>NC_000003.12:176205574-177455574 GCF_000001405.40 Homo sapiens
AGTTAGCATTTTTAGTAATGAACCACTTTTAGACATAGTGCTATTTTCTATAGACTACAGTACGTTGTAAACTTAACTTTAATATGCACTGAGAAACAACAAAAACAAAAAATGTGCCACTGGCTTTATTGTGATACTTACTCTATTGTGGTAGTCAGAACCAAACTCACAATATGTGCAAGGTATTCCTGTATTTAACTATTCATCTCCTTTCCAAGCTTCATGGGATTTCTTCAGTTGTTCCGTAAGTTCCTTTCCTTATCCCTAAAAGTTCTGCTGTCAAGGGGGCTTTATTATAAAAGAATTCAGACACAAGATTATCTGCTTCCAGGATGAAAAAAAAAATAAAACAAGACACAAAGATTATTTACTGGGGCATTTCTCTCACTTCCCTGAGACTAAATATTCTCCAGGCTTGGGAAGAGAATTTAAAGTGAGAAGCAGTTTGTAAACATTGGTTGGTTATGCAATAAGAGTTACAACCTGCCTTCCCTGTTCACTTCAGTGGGAAGGAAATAATGAAATAAACTTCTTAAAATGTATCAGGATACAAGTTTAGAAGAAACAAGTCTCCTTTCTCACAGAAAATCTTGAGAAGGAGAAAGCTTGAGGGAATCCCCTTTACCTCACAGTAGAGAAACGTTAGGAGAGAAATGGATGTTCAGGTGCTGAGGGCCTGAACAAGCCATGAAAGGCAGCCTTGAAGCCAAATCTAACATTTCCTGCCTTCGAGAAGGTCATTAAATACAACTGAAAGAGAAAAAGACTCTGAAAGAGTTCTGAGTCTTTGACAAGGGGGCATGGCAGCAGAAGGCACTCTAGACCATATGGTCAGAGACCAGGGAGGAAGATTGACACCTCAGAGGATGCCATTGCAGAGGGATGACAATGCAAGGGTCCAGATTTATACACCCCAGTGGATGCCAGCATGGAACAACTGTGGACCATATGCCTTTATTTAACTAACTTGCACCATAATGCCACATACTTCCCCCTGCCCACCCCAAAGGCATACACAAACATCACCACCACTATTGCTTAGATAAATCCAATGGAGAAGGAAAGATATTAGAATGATTGCAATTTTGCATTGACTGTGTTCCAATTAGAAATCACTATTTATTTAGAATTTACTAAGTTGTTTGCTGCCATCATTTCAAATGCCAGCAAAAAACAGAGTAGATACTGAATTAGGAAAAAAATAATTACTTGTATATTTGTGTTTATGGTCAGGAAACCAACTCTACTACATGGCTTTTGTAATACAGAGCCATGTTGCATCTCAACTCCATAAGTTATTGGGGATTGCAGGATTCTTGTGTCATTCACGCTATACTCAAATGCCATCTTCTCAGAGAGTCTGTGGTTTATGTATATAATATAGCTTCCCTGTCACTACCTATCACTTCTCTGCTAATTTTTTTTTCTCCATAGCGCTTACTATTACCTGACACTGTAAATTTATTTGCTTATGGATTGTCAGTCTCCCTCTGCAGAAATAAACTCCCAGAGGACATGGACCTTGTGTTGTTGACTGTGATTTTCCTAGAGCTTAGAAAACTCCCTGGTACAGAAAATACCTAGAATAAATATACATAGGGTGAATTAAACATTATATGTGTGTGTATATATATATATATATAATGTATTTACATATATTTACTTAGTGTATATAAATTTATATAAAATACATATTATATAGCATATCGTATGTATTTTGATAGTATATATGTTAGGTAGATGTGATTTTTCTTTTCTTTTCTTTTCCTTTTCCAATAATTCCTGAAGAAGTTATAGGTTATTTCTCAGCAATCACAAAGTAAGGAATTTACTGAATTATGACATTTTGCGGGAGAGGCTGATCCTTGTTTTTGGACTTAAAGGCATAGACGTGAAGAAAGGTCTCAAAGAGGTGACCTTAGAAGTGATATTTTCTGTTTTATAATTTTACCTAATATTACCCCTACATACAAGTCTATCTATCTGAAGTGGGTTTTTTATTGTTTAATACACCTTTGTTTTCATAGAATAGAAGAAAGGAAGACAGTCTCATATTGTTTTGTAGGTTCAATTCACACTGGAATTTTTTTATCACAGGAAGATATCTGAGTTAATTATAATGTTTGCATTATGCCACATTATCATCCCCGGTGCACACAAAGTCCTCCTGTTCTATCTATCTATCTATCTATCTACCTATCTATCTATCTATCTACCTATCTACTTATCCCTCTCTGCACTCTCATTTCACACTCTCAACCTAGGCAATAATTCTGAAGTGTTTAATGTATATGGCTTTTTTCTTTGCCTTCCTAAAACATCTGCATTAATATATTGAAGGGATGCATTTAAATTAACTATGTGTCCCACATAAAAATGTTTCACTTCTTTTCATTCAGCTATATGTTATTAAGACCAGGAGTGTTGTTATGTTCACATCTTTGCCACTTCCAAATACTGTATGCTATTCCTTTTATTTTGTTTTTTATAACTACCATATCTTGCCTATCTACTATCCGTAAATATATATTTATATATTTAAAGCAAATTACAAAACTACAGAAGGGTCTACTTAAATACCTAGTGCATCTTTGTGAAATAAAATGCATCATTAAGGAAATCTCAATTCTGTTTTTTAAGTTTTTTCTTCAGCTGAATTTGGTTTAAGTTACTTTTCAACCAACTCAGATACTTAGTGTTCTATTTTAAATTAGAAGGGTAAGTAATTTATTTTTCATATTAGCAAGAAAAATTCTTACACTCATGTGTTTATGTGTATGTGCACTCAAGTCTCTTTTTAAAAGGACAAAAGGATCCAGAGAGGCTTTTTCCTGCTGTGAAGGACAAAAACTCAAGATAGTGTACTCTGACACAAAGTGCATTTCTTTGCCAGTCTCTAAAATGTCACTTCATGGGCAGCCTGCTGGGCTCGGCTCAGAGCCATGGTGCCTAGTTTGCTAATAAAAAAGAATAAAGGTTAATGAAGGCATTGGATTATTTATGATCTTGAATAAAATAGCCTAGGTTTCATCTGGATGGTTTGTTCAAGGCATAAGATCTTGCCTTTGATTTTTAACATTGTATTATTCTTTTCTGCAGACTTTGGATTTCAATGCTTTTTGCCAGGATACAGTCTTATCACATTTGTTATATATGCAATTATATTACAAAAATAAATGGATATATCAGAGATATTTAAATGTGATGACTGAGATACATGAAAAATAAAATAATAAATCCTTCAGAAAACCACTTTGTAATTTAGAAAGGAATAATCTTGTACATTAAGCACATCTTTTGTTGCTCATCAGCAACTTATTTAGAGAAAATAAATGCCAACATTTAATTGTGGCATAATGACATACAGGAAAATATTGTTTATAAAGAACATATCAGGCTTAAGTCACACACTTCAGATTTAGGTTTAGGAATTTCAGTTTCATTTAAAAGAAGACAAAGTGTGCAATCAAACTAGTCTTCTTGTCAAGTGACGGAATGTGACATGCCAGAAGTATGTCATGCTCCATAGTCAGGATCTCATCATAGAGTTTTGAAGTCAGCTGAAAGTGAGTGTATATGCTATGAGGCCCACTACTGGTAAATACAAGAATACCAAACGTGTAAGGTATATAAAGTTGTTTAGTTCTATGCTCCAATCCAGAATCAGAATTGTCTACATTTATAATATACACAATTTGAAACATTATATTTGCTGTAATAAAGTCTGTAGCTGTGGATAATCATCTCTAACACCTTCAATTTGCTCTGAAGTGCTAAACATGAAGCCATCTTTCAAATGACCACTAACCATTTCCCAACCCATTGTGCAATATTAAAAAAATAAACAAATCCTGATTAAAATTAACCTGACATTTTTCTTAATTTTCCAGTTTCTTAATTTTTAGGCCTTGGATGTGTGAGTCTCTATTAATTTTTATGTTTGACCTTTTCTTCTGGTTTGTAGGTCAATTTATATTGTAATGACACAATCTATTGTACTATTTTTTTCTTGACTGAAACAAACAGTATTTAATTATCTCTTTAAAAAATTCTACTCACTAAAATTACACACATCATACATTTGAAAAGTATTTTTTGGTGTGGCTAATATGTGCCAGACATTGTTTCAATATTGAGGCTATAGCCATACAAAATTATTTTAGAGCTTGTGTTATAAGTTATCAGGAAAATACTAAAGATTGTTAGTAAACCTAACTTTCCAAAACTGCATAGACAATCTACAGAACATCATATGTTTATCTATGAGGTAAAATCCCATGACCAAATATGTGTTTTTAGCTTTTAGGTAAGATAAACTCAATTTATGATCATTGGTGAAGAAAAATATTTCGTACCCTATTGGAGCAGGTCAAAGAATGTGGTTAATGTAGTTTGGATATTTGTCCCTACCAAAACCTCATGTTGAATTGTAATCCTCAATGCTGGAGGTGGGACCTGGTGGGAGTTGTTTGGATGATAGGTCTGAATTCCTCATTGCTTGGTGCTTTCTTCATGATAGTAAGTTCTTGCAAGATCTGGTTGTTTAAAAGAGTGTGACACCTCCCTCCCCAACTCTCTCTCTCTCTTGCTTTCGTTCTGCCACATGACATGCCTGCTTCCCCTTTGCCTTTTGCCATGAGTAAAAGCTCCCTGAGGCCTCCCCAGAATGGAACAGAAGCCTGTGCCATGCTTCCTGCACAGCCTGCAGAACCACAAGCCAATTATATCTCTCTTCTTTATAAATTATCCAGTCTCAGGCATTTCTTTACAGCAATGCGAGAGCAGCCTAATACAATGGTGATCATTAATCTTTAGAGTTTTCACTGTACTCAATTTCTCTCTGCAATATGTGAAATGGTGGCTTCTCCTCCAACCTAAGTCCTGAAATGAGGACTACTTGAAGCAAACCTCCCAGCTGACCCATGATGGATATACAACCTGAGTGAGATATAAAACTTCATTAACTTTAAGTCAGTTTAGTGAGCAATAATTAACACACAGTAAAACTCACCCGTTTTAGATAGATAATTTGATGAGTTTTAACAAACGTCATGGTGGCCACAATTGAGATGAAGAACATTTCTACTACCTCAACCACTAAAGTAATAAAAAATAGCCACAACAACCAGATTTTCTTTTTGAAAATTGGTTATTTTTCTTTTTAATTGGTAGTACCTAGTTTCTGAAAAAATCAGAAGCAAGCTTCGTAAATATTACTTGCAGCAAAATACACTGGTGCAAAATTTCTGAACCCAACTTTGAAATTATGTCTCAAGAACCTTAAACTTTTATAAATGTTATACAATTTTAAATAATCAATATTTTTACATATGTAATTATGTGGCCTAACAGATCAAAATCAGAAACAACCATATCAACTGAGTAATTGTCTTGCACCCCATAATGTACTACAGTATAGCCACTATGGCTATAAAAGCATCTAACAACATGAGAAAATGTTCCAGATTATTTTTATATGGGGAGAAAATGTAAATTAAAATGCAGTAGATACAGCAGAACCTAATTATGCAAAATATATATTAACATAGGATTTTATATACCAAATGCTTAGAATTATTGGCCTGTTTCAAAAGATTGTCATGTATGGCATGTGAAATATTGCTAGCATTCAGATACACGATCAGACACAGTCCAGTTAAGGTTCAGAGAATGAAGTTTCCTAATCCTCATTTGAACGATTTACTAAAAACATAATCCTGCCTTTTCCACATCTAATTTTGTGACCTTGGTCAGATTAATCCTTCTAAGCTTTAGCTTCCACATTTTAAAATGTTATTTAAATAACAATAGAAGCAGTAGTGGTAACAATAGCACTAATAGTAATGAAGGTTATATTTATCTCATAAGGTTATTTTGGTCCTGAAAAATTACACAAAATGGCATAGTGTCTTGCACTTTGTGGATGCTCGATAAAAATTAGCTGCTTTTCTGAAAAGAGATAAGATGTAGAACTTTTCACAGTATTCTATTGCTTGGATTAACAAATTTTCATTGGCCCATAGTCTCCCAAGAGAAGAGTATATATCTTTCCTAAAGAAATGTTCTGTAGATAACCTAATAGAACAATGTGTGGTGTTTCAGTACTGAGTTATGAGGAACAGTGGGCATAGAAAAAGAAGGCAGAGCTCTTTGTAAGATTGGGTCTTTACACATACCCAGAAAAAAAAAGTCAACTTAGATAACAAGATTTCAATTAAAATTAACCTTTATATTTTGTTCTATATCTTATTTTATAGGTATTTTTCTACTTATTTTGAAAGATGAAAATCCAACATACAGTTTTATATGTCCAAGACACACAATCACCGTGACTAATTCAGACGCTGCTGCTATCAGAAAATGTGATGAGTTGCAGAATTCAGTATTGAATTGCATCTACCAGTGCCTCAAAATCAGCATTGCATGCAGAGGAGCCCATTACAATGTTAAATTGGTCTCATACCTAGATGAGCAATTATTTGCCTATTTTCACAATAACGTATCTGCTGCATTAGCCTCTTTGTTAATATAAGTGCAACACATGTACTGAATGCTTGAATCCTAATAAATAAATGAGTGAATAAAATTCTCTCATTTTTCATACAAAAGGCTAGAAATGAAAGCCAAAAGGAAACCATCTAAAAAGTCTATGAAAGCCAAGAATAAACCATCACAGAATCCTATAATAAAATTTTTTCTAATTGAGTCAGTGGTGTCTGGTTCACTCATTCCTTCAAGAAATATTTACTAAGCATCTATATGCCAAATGGTATAGGCTCCAGGAATAATGCAGATAATTTTGCAGATTATTTCTGTTTTCATGAAGCTTTAATAGTTTCAGGGAAATTGGAGAGCTGGTAAGGTATGCTTGAGACAGGAAAATAAGAAAAGAAGAAAATTTCAAATACGACAAGTACTTTAAGGATAATTAAAGAAAATTAAAATTGTATGCGTATGCATTTCTACATGACATTTTGTGTCTGGAATTGGTGGGTTCTTGGTCTCACTGACTTCAAGAATGAAGCCGCGGACCCTTCGCGGTGAGTGTTACAGTTCTTGAAGGCGGCGTGTCAGGAGTTTGCTCCTTCTGATGTTCAGATGTGTTCGGAGTTTCTTCCTTCTGGTGGGTTCGTGGTCTCGCTGGCTCAGGAGTGAAGCTGCAGACCTTTGCGGTGAGTGTTACAGCTCTTAAGGTGGCGCGCCTGGAGTTGTTCGTTCCTCCTGGTGGGCTCGTGATCTAGCTTGCTTCAGGAGTGAAGCTGCAGACCTTTGCGGTCAGTGTTACAGCTCATAAAGGCAGTGTGAACCCAAAGAGTGAGCAGCAGCAAGATTTATTGCAAAGAGCTAAAAAACAAAGCTTCCACAGTGTGGAAGCAGACCCTAGCGGGTTGCCACTGCTAGCTCCGCAGCCTGCTTTTATTCTCTTATCTGGCCCCACCCACATCCTGCTGATTGGTAGAGCCAGGTGGTCTGTTTTGACAGGGCGCTGATTGGTGCATTTACAATCCCTGAGCTAGACACAAAGGTTCTCCACCTCCCCACCAGATTAGCTAGATACAGAGTATCCACACAAAGGTTCTCCAAGTCCCCACCTGAGTAGCTAGATACAGAGTGTCCGTTGGTGCATTCACAAACCCTGAGCTAGACACAGGGTGCTGATTGGTGTGTTTACAAACTTTGAGCTAGATACAGAGTGTCGATTGGTGTATTTACAATCCCTGAGCTAGACATAAAGGTTCTCCACCTCCCCACCAGACTCAGGAGCCCAGCTGGCTTCACCCAGTGGATCCCGCACTGGGGCTGCAGGTGGAGCTGCCTGCCAGTCCCGCGCCATGCGCTCGTACTCCTCAGCCCTTGGGTGGGCAATGGGACCGGGCGCCGTGGAGCAGGGGGCGGCGCTCATGCAGGAGGCTTGGGCCGTACAGGAGCCCACTGCGGGGGCCGGGGGAAGGCTCAGGCATGGCGGGCTGCAGGTCCCGAGCCCTGCCCCACGGGAAGGCAGCTAAGGCCCGGCAAGAAATCGAGCGCAGCGCCAGTGGGCTGGCACTGCTGGGGGACCCAGTACACCCTCCGCAGCCACTGGCCTGGGTGCTAAGCCCCTCATTGCCCGGGGCGGCGGGGCCGGCAGGGCCGGCCGGCTGCTCCGAGTGCAGGGCCCGCCAAGCCCACGCCCACCCGGAACTCCAGCTGGCCCGCAAGCGCCGCGCAGCCCCGGTTCCTGCTCGCGCCTCTCCCTCCACACCTCCCTGCAAGCTGAGGGAGCCAGCTCCGGCCTTGGCCAGCTCCCACAGTGCAGCGGTGGGCTGAAGGGCCCCTCAGGTGCCGCCAAAGTGGGAGCCCAGGCAGAAGAGGCGCCGAGAGCGAGCGAGGGCTGTGAGGACTGCTAGCACGCTGTCACCTCTCAATTTGAGCAGAGGTACTCACAGTCTTTGTTTTAGACCACCTTTTCATGAATGTGTGTGTGGAAAACAGCATTAGAAGATAGAGATACTGTCTTCCTCCAGTGCAAAGGTAGCTTTGTTTACAAAATCTGATGATAAGAATAGTGTCTCTCTCCAGAGCAAAGGGAAAATTGTTTTTTTTTTCACCCCCCATTTGGTATAATATAAATAATGTCATCCTCTGGGTCAAAGATCAGGAATGTTCACTATCTATTATAAAGATTTGGGTTCCAGAAGCTTGAGGTTACTCTTCTGGAGTGCAAACAACTGCATGTGCAAAGTTCTTTTCAATAAGCCCTGGGTGTCGTGACTCAGAGAATCAGCGTAATTGCTGACATTCTGGTTACTGTTAACCCTGGAAGTAATAAGGTCCTTTAAGGCTGATCCAGAAATCTCTTATCTTCTGCCAATATCTATGAAACTTTTGCAGACTAACCTTCTGCAATTGCAATTAAGGTAAAATATCAGAGCCCTCATAGTTCTTGACAAGGCCCTGAGAAGTAGGTGAGTCATGTCTGTTCAAGAAACAGGAATAAAAGGCAAATTTTGAAAAATGGTGAGAGAAGGGAACTACAGACTAGAATAATTCAATCAGGAAGGCAGGATCTAGATCTTACAAAACCTTGCAAGCCATAACAGTAATGTGGTTTTATTTGTGCAATGAGAATCAAAAGGAGGGTTTAAATGGGAAAGTGACATAATCAGATTTATATATAATATGCTTATTAACCATATAGATGAAAACTACTAGACTGAGTCAGATTTGGATTCACGTCTCAGCTCTGTCATGTAACAGTTATATAATCTTAAATAAATTGCAATTTTCTGACCTCCCATTTTCTGCAATATAACAGGAAATCAGCAAATCAAAAGAACAGTGGAATACCACCTTACATCATCAGGATGACCATGATATTTTAAAAAACAGAAAATACAAATATTGCTGATATGGAGAAATTTGAACCCTTGGGCACTCTTGCTGGGGATGCATCCACTGTAGAATATAAATGGTGCTTTTTCAAAAAATTAAACATAGAATTACCATATAATCCTGTCATGCCACCCCTGGATATATACACAAAAGAATTGAAAGCAGAGTCTGGAAGAAATATTTGTACATCTATGTCTATTGCAGCATCATTTCCAGTAGCCAAAGATAGAAGCAGCCCAGTGTCCATCAGTGGATGAATAGATACACAAAATGCACTGTATATAAACAGTAGAATATTAGTCAGCCTTAAAAGGGAAGAAAATTTGACACATGCTACAACATAGATGAACCTTGATGACATTAGGCTATATGAGGTACCTAGAGTATTCAAATACATAGAGACAAAAAGTAGAATGGTAGTTGCTAGGGGCTGGGGGGAAAAGGAGAATGTGGAGTTGCTATTCAATGAGTATACAGTTTCAGTTTTGCGAGATGAAAGTTACGAAGACTGTCTACACAACAATGTGAATGCATTTAACACTACTAAATTGTATACTTCAAAATGGTTAAAGATAATACATTTTAAATTATGCATATTTTGCCACAATTAAAAATAACAGTTAAAAAGTCAACAGTATCTACTACAGTTGTTTTATTTAGCAATCAAGAAAAGTCTTCCTACCATGATTTGGAAACAATATTAATCTCTATGGATAGCAACATAGAAGAAGGAATCTCTCTCCTCAAACAACCAAGAGACTAGCAGATTATATTCCCATGTTAGGAAAAAACAATTAAAACATACATAAAACCTAAAATTATCTACAAATGTAAGATGGAAATAATGTTAGTTTCAAAATAGATTTCAGAACTTCAGTTTTAGGGGTGGTTGCATCACCTTTTAGGGTGGCTTGATCAGTGCTTGTTGTATACCCATTAGTGTATATCCTGTAAGGAGTAAGGACGCCATTCTAAGGGTCTAAAAAGTGAGACTGAGCGATAAGGAGATGTCATGAAGATGTGACTTGACATGTGGGTTGAATTACTAACAATGGCCTGAAGATACATTTTGATATATATTATATGTGAATTATATGTGATATATATATAATATATATTATATGATATATAATGATACATATTATATGTGAATGAAGAATTTTGCCCTTGCTATCTTCAAAGGGTACATTGCTTAAATTCATTTTTGAGCTGGTGTTAATTAGCCATTCTGGATGGAAACATTTGAAAATGCTCAAGCCTTCTTTGGCACTATATGTTAAGCTATATAAGAGAAAAAATGTATTATAATACCAGGAGAGAAATTAGAGATCATTGTTCTGATTAAAGAAGGGGTTGATTTGATATATTATAAAAACTGATTTATTGAGATATAATTGTAATACAATAAACTTCACATTTAAAGTGTGCACCTTGATAAGTTTGACATAATGCATACAACTGAAGAAAAGATCGCCGTAAGCGAAATAGTAAAAATAACCATTACTTCCCAAAGTTTCCTCATTTGCAATTCATCTCTCCCATTCCACTAATCCCTATACTAGTAATCATTGAAACCATTAACCTATTTATTCAACCAATAGTATTAGCTGTTTGTCTCCACCTATACAGGCAACAATTGATCTGCTTTCTGTCATTATAAATTATATTTTCTAGAATTTAATATAAATTAATCATACAACATCTATTATTTTAGTGCCTGGATAGTTTAAGCATAATTATTTTGAAACTGATACATGTATTCCATTTATCAAAAGTTTGTTCTTTTCATTCCTGGGTGGTATTTTATTGTGCGGATATACCACAATTTGTTCATTCCTTCACCTCTCAATGGACATTTTGCTTGTTTTTAGCGTTTGGCTACTACACAAAAAGCTAATATGATGATTCACATCATTCCTGTGTATGCACCCATACTTCATTTCTCTCAAATAAGCATAGAGGAGTGGAATGACTGAGTTGTATAGTAGAGTACATATCATTTGTTTAAGAAAATGACAAACTAGCTGGGCACGGTAGCTCACGCCTGTAATCCCAGCACTTTGGGAGGCCGAGGCTGGAGGATTACCTGAGATCAGGAGTTGGAGACCAGCCTGGCCAACATGGTGAAACCCTGTCTCTACTAAAAATACAAAAATTAGCCGGGCATGGTGGCACACGCCTATCATCCCAGCTACTCAGGAGGCTGAGGCAGGAGAATTGCTTGAGCCTGGGAAGTGGAGGTTGCAGTGAGCCGAGATTGTGCCACTGCACTCCAGCCTGGTCAACAGAGCAAGACTCTGTCTCAAAAAAAAAAAAAAAGAAAATGACAAACTAATTTCCAAAGTGGTTGCATCATTATACATTCCCACCAGCAGTGTATGAGAATTCTACTTGCTCCATTTTCTCACCAACACTTGACATGGCCAGTCTTATGTTTACCCATTCCAGTTGGCATGTAGTTGTATTTCATTACAGTTTTAATTTACATTCCTGTAAAAAAAAAAAGTTGAACATATTTTAATGTACTTATTTGCAATAGTATATTTTCTTTGGTATAGTGTGTATTCAAATATTTTGTTCCTTTTTAGGTTTATGTGCTATTAAGTTTTGAGTGTTGTGTTTGTTTTGCCATCACTTAGGCAGGATTTACACTGACAAAAATTAAGTGCAAGTTAGACACTACAACTGTGATATCTTGACAGCTGGCTTCGGAGAGGAAGGCGTAAAGGAGAGGTTGATGACTACAGTCACCCTGTGTAGCTGATGCATCCAACTAAAATTCAGGGCTTAGCAAAGTTTGTGAAGTTCTAGAGGATTGCATGAGCTCTTAAATTTAGAATCATTCCTTAAACTGTGAGAAACAAGCTACTGTTTCTCACAGACCAAGTCACTATTGGGAAACTCAGAGACAGCTAAGAATTTGGGGTTTTGGTGAAATTATATTTCTCATCCAGGAATCTTGTTGGTCCATAAACAAAATCAGCAGAAACAAATCTGAATTTGGATGGGAGGATGGCTGTTTAGAAAATATGCCTTAAAATATTCCTAAGGATCATAGCACAGGCAATCCAACTTGGCTCTTATTAGTGTACTTGATTGCTCAGATGATGCTAGACATGCTAGAAAGCAAAATATACTGAGACTCGAGTTTTGGGCAGAAACCAAAGAAGGCTAGTCTGGAGAAACTACTAATAAAATGTACCCAGACTGGAGTTTTGGGCAGAAACTCCGCAAAAGGCTACTCTCAGGTGTTGATATACAAATGTCCCTGATACAAATACTCATGATAGCTCATTTAGAGGAAAATTACTAGCTTGTTATGGGGCACTGATCAAAACTACCCCTACCATGGAAGAGCACCATGATTCTTACATCAGAAATATCAATCACACTAAAAAGAAAGATGTCAGAATAAAAGAGAGAAGAAAAGGCCAGTAACATTTGTTAACAAAATGCAAGTGGCATATTCAAAATTATGAGTGAGTGCAGTATTTTTCAGGCTTCAGAGGGAAGACAGCATATACGTGGGTAGGTTGCCTCACTGACTGTAGGGCCCATCATAGAGCCCACCAGGGCTATCCATCTCTATTAGCGTGTGCTTTGAAGCTTATGATTTTCTTCTTGTTGAAGCAAAGAAGTTTGCCTGGCTTGCCAACACAAAGGACAACAATAATAAGAAAAGATGCTTAAATATTGGTAATCAGTAAAATGTTCATTTGTCCCAAAGAAATTTAATGTGGCAGTACCAAGCACAAGCAAGGATTTGTAGAAATTGACCCCTACACGTTCCTTGTGACAGGAGATTTTTAAAAGCACTTTGGAAGAGTATCTTGCATTATCTAAATATAACAATCGCATACTTTAAAATCCAGAATACTCTTGTACATGTTCATCAGGAAACATGGACAAGAAAGCTCATTTGCAAATGAAAAATATGGAAGAATGTATTTAAAAAAACATATTTAGAATAATAGTTATCTCTGTAAAAAGTGAGTGGAGCATGTGATTGTGTAGCACGCACACTGGGTTTCAAGGCTACTGGTAATTTTGTTTTTCTTGAGTGATAAGGTGAGTACATAGGAGAATGTTTTAATTTAGTTAGAAAACTACACAATACACATATACATTATGTGTGTGTATGTGTTGAATACACATACACAAAAGATATTTCAGAAGTTCTAAAAATGGAATGATGTATGCCTATGGTACAGGCTGCATGCTTATTTCAGACAGCTCTCATCTGTTATAAAATCATAAATAGTCTTTATATGTAGCACTCGCTTAGGTAAACGCTTCTGAATGTTGATATAAATCATTTGATGAGACATTTATCTCACTTCAAGAGACTAAATTGAATACCTGGCCTACTTATTGACAGGGATAGACTGTAAAAGGAGATAATCGGGCTACCTCAAATTAGACCCACTTCTGCCTTTCCCTCCAAGGGCTCTAGCCACTAGTGGTTTGTGTGAGTAGCTATGTTTCATATCAGTAACCACTTATCAACTGAGAATTTGAATTTTTATTTAAATGCGGTAAAATGGAATTCTCAACAATGGAAGGTGAAGTGAAAAATTACACAATTGCTAGCTACCTATAATAAAAGTAAAAGGTAAAATAACTGTGTCAAATAAGAGTTGGACTCTGCCTCCACATTTTAGGAACCTATGGTATCAGAAATAATGGCTCTACTTTTTCTCAAATAAACTAAACAAGAAAACAAAATGAGTGGGGGAAAATCTAAATTATATGTTCATATAGCCAAGCAACACCAAACAGAAAAAAACCAAAAACTGAGACAAGCAGGAAAAAATGAGAAGACAAGTGGTAGACTGGCAGTGGCAGAACCCAAAAGAGGAAGTTCCACAAGGAATGGGAAATGATGTGAGCAGGAGTCAGAGTGAAGCGGGAAGATCACTAAGGAGATTAAGAAAAGAAAGCAAGGAAACTCCCTAAGAGGTGTCCGGATTTAGAATGTATCAAGAAATATCACCTTCTGATAAATGCTAAGAAGATAGCAGAAGCATATCTTTGGAGCTCTACTAAAATCTCCACAAATCCTCCAAAAAAAATGGATGGAGCAACCAGGATAGCAGAACAAAACGATGGAAATAATGTGTTGAATAAGACCTGATGAATATGCATCAAGGAGACTGGGGCAAACCACCAGGTCAGCAGTGGTGTGAGAACAAAGGGAAGAAAGAGAAGACGGCTCTGAGCAATGCTAAGTCCTCACCACTCCAAACAAAGCCCCCCCACTGGGAGTAAAGAAATTAACTGGTGGATCTGAGAACAGCAATCCAAACTGGTAGGTGAGTACAAGATTCTCTGGGAAGGACTGACCATGAGGGGTTACCTGGGACTTCACAGCTACTGAAATACTCAACGAAAGGACAGAGACTTGACAACAGAGACAGACGACTTGAAGTAAAATACAAATTGCTTGAGGAATAAAACAGATTTGGGGTAAAAGGAAGGCAAGTTTTCGATACCATTTGAGGAAAACTTGAGAGAAAGCAGGTGGCAGAAATTCTGGTAAAGTGACAGACTACTTTCTCAATATTAGTTGTCACATCTCAGGTTGGGTCCTAGAAGAAAGCTCTGAGACGGGATTTAGCACACTGGATGCTTATGAAGGGGGATCCTTTGGGATCAATACTTGTGAAAGGGAGGGAAGGAAGTGGGGCTGGATACAGGGAGCTATCAAGCTGCAATGTCAGCGCAATAGCCTCAGCTGCCCACACTGGGAGCTCTGCAGCAAGAAAAGCCCTTCAGGAATTGTTCGGAGCTGGGTTTTAATTCCCACCCTCATCCTTTTTTTTTTTTTTTTTTTTTTTTTTTTGAGACGGAGTCTCGCCTTGTCGCCCAGGCTGGAGTGCAGTGGTGCAATCTCGGCTCACTGCAAGCTCCACCTCCTGGGTTCACGCCATTCTCCTGCCTCAGCCTCCCCAGTAGCTGGGACTACAGGCGCCCGTCACCACGCCCAGCTAATTTTTTTTTGTATTTTTAGTAGAGAAGGGGTTTCACCGTGTTAGCCAGGATGGTTTTGATCTCCTGACCTCGTGATCCTCCCGCCTTGGCCTCCCAAAGTGCTGGGATTACAGGCATGAGCCACCATGCTCGGCCTCCCCGTCATCCTAATTGGTTTTAGATCACTCCAGGGAGGGGAGTGAATGTGAGCAAAGTGGTTTTCCGTAGCTGTGCTAATCCCCTAAGAGGCTGGTAGCTCAGAGCTTCCTCCTGGCAGCACCCCTGGCAGCAGTAGCAATAATATTTTCATCACACCCCCAAAGAAGCAGCCCTGGAGCCATAAAATGAGAAATCCTTTTCTGGCTTAAACTTCTAAAATTATAACAAAATTCATCTGATTTAGACATAAAGAATAAAAAAGGATTACATTCAAACCCATAGTAAATACTAGAAGAATAAAAGAGGATAATGAGAATCAAACACCTGTAGGAAATGGAGACACACCGGAAAAATGTGTCATAATGCAGGGAAAACCTATAAACTAGTATTTCTATAGGAGTAAACAGGGATTATGAAAGAAAAATAGGATATCTGGTAGAAAGATTGGAAAAAATGAGAAATAAGGACATGAAAGACAGTTAAAAGAATTTGGGAAATAATTATAAGTTAAGTTTAATAATCAGGGAAAAGATTAGAATTAACACAAGAGTAAAGAGAGATGGCAGAAAATATATTGTTTTGAATAGATGATAAAAAATAAATCAGATATTAAAAGAGAATACAAAGGAGATTTTTCAATACTGAGGTATTGGTAAAATTAGAAAATTAGTATTTTGTGGTATCTAATGAAATAATGGAACTAGACCAGGCATTCTTAAAATATGATCTGACAACTAATGGTCATCCAACTTACTCTATTTTCCAACTGCCTAACTAGATGAGGCCCAATTGTCTTCATGCACTTAAACCAAAACAACATATTGCAACAGGTTGAATGCAGAAACAGATATGAGAATTTAGCTATATTCAAACAGTCAAAATTAAAGAGTTTTATAAAAATATAAAATAATTCTATATTTTGAAAAATATTACTTTTATAAATGTTTATGTTAACAAAATAATTAATATTGAACAAATAAATTTATATTGGAATATAACATACAACAATCTTAAGACCCACATTCTTTTCAAGCAAAAAAGGAATATTCACAAAATTGACTCTATTTTCATCCATAAAGAAAATCTCTACAATTTCCAAAGGATTGATAAAATATAGAATATGTTCTCTGACCACAATGAAATTTAACTAGGCAACTACAACAAACAGCCTCTAGAAAAACTCTATTTGCTAAATAAGAAATGAATGTTATCTAAACCTTAAATAAAAAGAAATAACAACAGATATTATAAAATGTCTTAAACTGAATGATAATAAAAGTGTGTTACACAAAAAACCGGGGACACTTTTAAAATAGTAATAGATGAAAATTTATAGCCTTAAAGTAATGCACTAGGAAATAAGGATGGCTCGAAGTGTAAGGAGCTAAGCGTCCATCTAAAGATGTTAGAAATAAAACAGCAAAGAAAACTTTAATTAAAAAAGGAAAGATAATGTAGATGAAAGCTGAATAATAAACTGAAAAAAATATAAAGAGATGATTAATACATTGAAGTGTTAATTCTTTGAAAAGACTAAAAGCAAACATCTGGCAAAATGATTTTAAAAAGAGGGGAAAGGGGTTAGAAGGCATAAATAACTTGTAACAAATTAAAAAGTAAAAGTACTTTGTCTCTAAAAGCTAGCAGGTATTAAAAAGATAATAAATTATTATGAAAAATTATGTCTGGAAATTTAGACGAAATAGGCAACATTTTAGGAAAGCATAATATTAAAAGATAGACACAAGAAGTAACTAGTAACAGTGACATCAGCAAGATGGCTGACTAGAAGCTCCTTGTGGTCTTCATTCCCATAAAAAGAAATTCCAAAACTACAAAAAAAACTACGCTTTATCCAAAATAACTAAAGGAGCACTGGATAATAGTAAAGAAGCTGCAGAAATCTTGTAGAGCACAGAAACTCAGGATGGTCACACATGGAAGGAAAGGAGACACTTTGCCTCTGCCACCTCATTCCCGTAAGTCAGAATCAGCTTGGAACCAGAAGGGACTTCGCTTTGCAAGGAGAAGGTAAACAAGAGGACCTCACAGCGCCCATTATCATCATATAATATATAATATATAGTAAATATATATATTTATAATATATGTATTACAAATATATTATATATAATATTTATTATGTATATTATATATTATAAATATTATATATTTATAATATTTATAATATATTATATATGATATATAAAATATTATAAATTATAAATATATAATATATAAGATATATAATATATATTTATAATATATAAGATATATAATATATATTTATAATATATAAGATATATAATATATATTTATAATATATAAGATATATAATATATATTTATAATATATAAGATATATAATATATATTTATAATATATAAGATATATAATATATATTTATAATATATAAGATATATAATATATATTTATAATATATAAGATATATAATATATATTTATAATATATAAGATATAATATATTATATATAATATATAAGATATAATATCTTATATATAAGATATAATATCTTATATATTATATATAAGATATAATATCTTATATATAAGATATTATATCTTATATCTTATATATAATATATTATATATAAAAATAATATATAATATATTATATGTTATATATAATATATTATATTAATAATACATAATATATAAAATATATATAATTATATATTAATATATTATTATATAAAATAATATACAATTATATATTATATAGTATTATATAAAATAATATATAATTATATATACATATGTATTATATATAAATATATATTTATATATAATATATTAATATATATATATATATAATTGAGAGCTTCAACAGCAGACTAGATGCAACAGAAGAGAGAATCTGTGAACCTGAAGAAGGTCTTTTGAATTGACTTATTCAAAAGAAAAGAAAAAAGAAATAAAAGAAAGAAAAAAAGAATAAAAAATAGTGAAAGCCTACAGGACTTATGAGATACCATTAAGCAAACAAAGTTTCACATTGTGAGAGTTTAAAAGAAGGAAAAGAGATAGAGAAAGAAACAGAAAGCTTATTTAATGAAGTACTTTCTGAAAACTTCTCAAGTCTTGGGAAAGACATGGACATCTATGAAGCTCAAAAGTCCCCAAAATACATTCAATGCAAAGAGATTTTCTCCAACACATATTAAAATCACAACATCAAAAGTCGAAGACAAAGAAAGAAGTTGAAAAGCAGCAAGAGAAAAGCATCAACTCACATATAAGGAAATCCTCATTAAATCATAAGCAGTTTTCTCAGCAGAAACCTTGCAGGTCAGAAAAGAATGAGATGATATATTCAAAGTGCTAGAAAAAAAAACTGCCAATCAAGAATACTATTCCCATCAAAGCTGTGCTTCGGAAGTGAAAAAAAAAAAAGTAGACTTTCTCAGAGAAGCAAAAGCTCAGGTTATTTGTTACCACTAGATCAGCCTTATAAGAAATGCTTAAGAGTTCTTAAAGCAGAAATGAAAGGACAATAATTGTTATCATGTATATATATAAAAGCATAAAACTCACTGTTAGAATTAAATATGTAGTCAAATCCAGAATACTCCAGTACTACAATGATGCTGTGTAAATCATACATACATCTAGTATGAAGTCTAAAGGTCAAAAGAGTAAAAAATCAAGCTACAATAAGTTATTAAGAAACACACACTATAAAAAGATGTAAATTGTGACATAAAAACATAAATTGTGAAGGGAAGGGTAAAAGTCTGGAATTTTTTGTATGTCACAGAAGTTAAGTTGTTATCAGCTTAAAACAGTAGATTAGAAGTATGAGATATTTTATGCAAACCTCATTGTAACAAAACAAAACAAAAAACTGTAGCAGATATGCAAATGATAAAGAGAAAGGAATTTAAGCATAGGACTACAGAATATTATAAAATTATAAAGGTAGACAACAAGAGAGGAAAAAAGGGAAAAAGGAGATACAAAACAACAAGGAAAAATTAACAGAATGGCAGTAGTAAGTGCTAACCTACCAATAATAACCTTGAATGTAAATGGATTAAATTTTCCAATCAAAGGACATAGAGTGGCTGAATGCATAGGAAAACAAGAACTAACTATATGCTGCATACAGGAGACTCATGTAAACTTTAAGAATACACATAGGCTAAAAGTGAGAGGATGAAAGAAGATATTCCATGTAAATGGCAACTACAAGAGAGCAGAAGTGGCTATACTTATATCTGATTAAATAGGTTTCAAGTCAAAATCTATCACAAGAGACAAAGAAGGTCTCTATTTAATGATAAAAAGGTAAATTAATTGTGAGGACATAACCACTGTAAATATACATGCACCCAACATTGGAGCACCTAGATACATAAAGCAAATATTAATAAATGTGAAGGAAAAGAGAGATAGCAATACAATAAAGTAGGGGCCTTCAATAAGCCTCCTTGAACAATGAATAAATCAACCAGTTAGAAAATTAATAAGGTAATACTAAATTGAATTGTATTTTTGAACAAATGGACCTAAAACACACTTACAAAACTTTACCTCCAACAACAGCAGAACACACATTTTTCTTCAGTGCACATGAAACACTCTCCAGTATAGAACATATGTTAGGCTACAAAATGAGTCTTAACAAATTTTAAAAGTTTGAAATTATATCTAGTACCATTTCATATCACAAAGATACAAAACTAAACATAAATAACATGGTGAATTGTGGAAAATTCACAAATATGTGGAAATTAAACAACACACTTCTGAACAACCAATGAGTAAAGAAAGAAATCAAAAGAAATATTTAAAAATATATGGAGTCCAACAACAATGGAAACACAACGTACCAAAACCCATGAAATGTAGCAAAAGCAATTCTAAGAGTGATGTTTATATCAATCAATGCCTACATTAAAAAAAGAAGAAACATTCTAAATAAATAGCATAACATTATGCCTAAAGAATCAAAAGAACAAACTAAAACCAAAATTATCAGAAAGAAATCAAATAGAGAACAGAAAAAATACAGAGAGAATCAATCAAACCAGCACTTGATTTTTTTAAATAAAAACAAAATTGACAACCCCCTAGTTAGACTAAGAAAAGAATAGAGAAGGGTCAAATACAAAATTAAAAATGAAAGTGTAAATTTCATAATACATATCTCAGAAATAAAAAAATCATAAGGGACTATTAGGAACAATTATGTGCTGGCAAATTGGATAATCTAGGGAATTAATAAATTAATAGAAAAATACAACCTACCAAGATTGAACCAGAAAGAAATAAAAAGTCTGAACATATAAAAACAAATAGGAGATAATGAAGTTGTAAAAATCTTTCCAACAAAGAAAAGCCTAAGACCAGACCGCTTTACAGCAGAATTCCACGAAACATTCAAAGAAAACTTTAATAATTTCCAACAATTCTAAAAACTGCTGAAAAATAGAGCTAGAGGGAATGCTTTCAAACTCATTTTATAAATCCAGCATCACCTTGATTCCTAAGTTAAAAAAACACGTCACAAGAAAAGAAAACTACAGGTCAATTTATCTGATGTACATTGATGCAAAAATTATCTACAAAATATTAGCAGATGAAATTCAACAATGTATTTAAAATATTATATGACAAAGTAATATTTATCTCTGACATGCAAGGCTAATTTAACATAGGCAAATTAATCAATGTGATATATCACATTAACATAATGAAAACTTGAAACTACATGATTATTTCAATTGATGCAAAAAAAAGCATTCAACAAAATCCAACCTTCTTTCTTAATTAAAACCTTCAACAGTTTAGGTATAGAAGGAAAGTTTTTCAACATGATAAATGTCATTTATGAAAACCTTTTGTTATGATTTGGAACTGCGTTCCCACCCATATCTCATGTTGAAGTGTAATTCCCGGTGTTAGAGATGGAGCCTGATAGGAGGTGATTGAATCATGTGGGTGGCATTCTCATGAATGGTTTAGCACCAGTCCCCCCTTGGTACTGCATAATGAGAGAGTTCTCATGAGATCTGATTGTTTAAAAGTGTGCAGCATCTCCCCCGTCTCTCTGTTGGTCCTGCTCCTGCCATGTAGGATGACTGTTCCAACTTTGCCTTTCAGCATGAGTGAAAGATCCTTGAGGCTTCCCCGAAGCAGAAGCTGCTGTACTTTCTACACAGCTTAGGAAATCATGAGCCAATTAAACCTCTTTGCATTATAAATTACCCAGTCTCAGATATTTCTTTATAGCAATGCTAGAACAACCTAACACAGATAATTGAGGAATTAGGCATTGCTATAAAGAAACCTGAAAATGTGGAAGCAATGTTGGAACTGGGTAATGGGCAAAGGTTGGAAGAGTGTGGAGAGCTTAGAAGAAAACAATAAGATGACAGAAAGCTTGAAACTTCCTAGAGACTTGTTGAATGGTTGTGACCAAAATGCTGATAGTGATGTGGACAGTGAAAACTAGGCTAATGAGATATCAGATAGAAATAAGAAACTTATTGGGAAGTGGAGCAGTCATTTTTGTTATGCTTTAGCAAGGAGCTTGGGTGCATTATGCCCATGCCCTAGAGATCTGTGGAACTTTGAACTTGAGAGTGATGATTTAAGGTATCTGGTAGAAGAAATTGCTCAGCAGCAAGGCATTCAAAATGTGGCCTAGCTGCTTCTAACAACCTATGTTTATATGTGTGAGCAAAGAAATGACCAAAAACTGGAACTTACATTAAAAAGGGAAGCAGAACATAAAAATTTGGAAAATTTGCAGCTTGGCCATGTAGTAGAAAAGAAAAGCCCATTTTCAGAGGAGGAATTCAAGCAGGCTGTATAAATTTGCACAAGAAAAAAGGAGCCAAGTGCTAACATTCAAGACAATGGGGAAAAGGCCTCAAAAGCATTTCATAGATCTTTGTGGCAGCCCCTCCTATCACAGACCCAGAGGCCTAGGAGGGAATAATGCTTTTGAGGGCCAGGCCCAGGGCCCTGCCTTCCTGTACATCCTCGAGACACTGCTCCCTGCGTCCCAGCTGCTCCAGATCCAGCCTTGGCTCAAAGAGGCCCAAGTACAGTTCAAGATACTGCTTTAGAGAGTTCAAACTGTAAGCCTCTGTGGCTTCCATGTGGTGTTAAACCTGTGGGTAAGCAGAGTGCAAGAGGTGAAGCTTGGAGCCTCTCTCTAGATTTCAGAGAATGTATGGAAAACCTGCATGTCCAAGCAGAAGTCTGCTGCTGGGATGCAGCTCTCATGGGAAGCTCTACTAGGGCAGTGTAAAGGGCAAATATGGGTTGGAGCCCCTACACAATGTCCCCACTGGGGCACTACCTAGTGGAGCTATGAGAAGAGGGCCATCATCCTCCAGACCCCAGAATGGTAGAATCACTGGCAGCTTGCATCATGCATCTGGAGATGCTGCAGATGCTCAATGCTAGCCCATGAGAACAGCTGGAGGCAGGTGACAAACACTGCAAAGCCGCAGGGCCAGAACTACACAAGGGCCCAAGGCTTTGGGAGCCCACACCTTGTACCAGTGTGGCCTTGATATGAGACATGAAGTCAAAGGAAATTATTTTGGAACTTTATGATTTAATGACTGACCTGCTGGGTTTTTGACTTGAGTGGGGAGTGTAGCCCCTTTGTTTTGGCCAATTCTCCCTTTTGGAATGGAAGTATTTATCCAATCTCTATATCCTCATTTTATCTTGGAAGTAACTACCTTGTTTTGTTTTTTATTTATTTTACAGGGTCATAGGCAGGAGGGACCAGCCCTTTCTCAGATAACACTTTGGACTATAGACTTTTGAGTTAATGCTGGAATGAGTTAAGACTTCAGGGGACTTTGAGAAAACATGATTGTATTTTGAAATGTAAGAAGGACATGATATTTGAGAGGGTCCAGGAGTGGAATTATATGGTTTGGATCTGTGTCCTCACCCAAATCTCATGTTGAAATGTCCCATTGCTGGAGGTGGGGCCTGGTGGGAGGTGATTAGATATGGGAGTGAAATTCTCATGAATGGTTTATTACCATTCCCCCTTATTACTATATAGTGATAGCATTCTCATGAGATCTGGTTGTTTAAAAGTGTGTAGCTCCTCTGTCTTCTCTCTTTTGCTCCTGCTCTGGCCATATAAGATGCACCTGCTTTCCCTTTGCCTTCTGCCATGAGTGTAAGTTTTCTGAGGCCTCTCCAGAAGCAGAAGCCGCTACACTTCATGTACAGCCTGCAAAACCACGAGCCAACTAAATCTCTTTTTTTTTAATAAATTACCCAGTGTCAGGTATTTCTTGATAGCAGTGCAAGAATGGGCAAATAGAACCATAGTTAAAATTTTACTCAATGTGGAAAAATTGAAAGCTTCCTACTAAGACCCAGTAAGAAGCAAGGATGTCCACTCTCATGACTTCTATTCAATAGTGTGCTGGAAATACTAGCAAGAGCACTAAAGAGAGAAAAAATGTAATTTGTCACATGAATTTTTTGGTTTCCCAGTGCATGTAGTACTTATGCTTATACTGTAGTCAATTAAATGTGCAATAATATTATGTCTGAATCAATGTACATACTTTACTTTAAAATACTTCATTATTTAAAAATGCTGAAAGTTATCTAAACTTTCAGCCAATTGTAATCTTTTTGCTGGTGGAGGGTCTTGCCTCAATGTTGGTGTCTGCTGACTGATTAGGGTGATAGTTCCTGAAGGTTGGTTGGGGTGGCTACGAAAATTTCTTAAAATAAGACTGGAATGAAATTTGCCATATATATTAGCTTTTTCTCTCATGAAAAAGTTTTCTGTAACAAGTGATGCTGTTTCACAGCATTTTATCCACAGTAGAACTTTTCTCAAAATTGGGGTTAATCCTCTCAAACCCTGCTGCTACTTTATCAGCTAAGTTTATGTAATATTCTAAATTTTTTGTTGTCATTTCAACAACATTTGCATCACCTTCCCCAAGAGTAGATTTTACGTCAATAAACCAGTTTCTTTTCTTATTCATAAGAAGCAACTTCTCATTTGTTTGATTTTGAACGTTAGATTATAGCAATTCAGTCCCATCTTCAGGCTCCACTTCTAATTTATCTTGTTATTTCCACCACATCTGTAACTTCTTCCTCCATGGATGTCTTGAATCCCTCAAAATCATCCATGGGGGTTGGAATCAACTTTTTCCAAACTCCTGTTAATTTTGATATTTTTTATCCCCTTTCATGAATCACAAATATTCTTTTTTTTTTTTTTTGAGACAGAGTCTAACTCTGTCGCCCAGGCTGGAGCGCAGTGGCACAATCTCAGGTCACTGCAACCTCTGCCTCCTGAGTTCAAGCAATTCTCCTGCCTCAGCCTCCTGAGTAGCTGAGATTGCAGGCATGCACCACCACACTCAGCTAATTTTTGTATTTTTAATAGATACAGGATTTCGCCACATTGGTCAGGCTAGTCTTGAACTCCTGACCTTGTGATTCACCCGCCTCAGCCTCCCAAAGTGCTAGGATTACAGGCATGAGCCACCACGCCCAGCCCTCAAATATTCTTAATGCATTCAGAATGGTGAATCTTTCCAAGAACGTTTTCAATTGACTTTTCTCAGATCTACCAGAGAAATAGCTATTCATGGCAGCTACAGCCTTATCGATAATAAAGCCTTAAATAATAAGACTTGAGAGTCCAAATTACTCCTTGTTTAATGAGCTACACAATGGCTGTTGTGGTAGCAGGCATAAAAGCAACATGAATCTCTGTGTAAATTTCTATCAGAGCTGTTGGTTGACAAGGTACATTGTCAATGACCAGTAATATTTTGAAAGGAATGCTTTTCTTCCTGAATAGTAGCTCTCAATAGTAGGTCTCAGATATTTAATAAGCCATGCTGTAAACAGATGTGCTGTCATCCAGGCTTTGTTGTTCCATTCATAGAGCACAGACAGAGTAGATTTAGCATAATTTTTAAAGGCCGTAAGATTTTCAGAATGGTAAATGAGAATTGGCTTCCACTTAGGGTCACCGGCTGCATTAGCTCATAACAGGAGGGTCAGCCTGTCTTTTGATACTTTGACACCAGTCATTTAGTACCCATCTCTAGTTATGAAAGTCCTAGATGGCATCTTTTATCAACAGAATGCTGTTTTGCCTACATTAAAAATCTGTTATACAGTGTAGCCACCTTCTTTGATTATCTTATCTAGATCTTTTGGTTAACTTGATGCAGGTTCTACATTAGCACTTGCTGCTTTGTCTTGCAATGTTATGTTATGAAGATGCCTTCTTTCCTTAAACCTCATGAACCTCTGCTAGATTCAGCATTTTCTTCTCAAGTTTCCTCACCTCTCTTAACTTGCATAGAATTGGCAAGAGTTAGGACCTTGTTCTGGATTAGGCTTTGACTTAAAGGAATGGGGTGACTGCTTTGATCTTCAATCCAGACCAATAACCTTCTCTAGATCAGGAAGAAGGCTGTTGTGCCTTCTTAGCATGTGTTCACTGGCATAGCACTTTAATTTCCTCATTAAACTTTTTCTTTCTTTTTTTTTTTTTTGCATTCACAGCTTGGCTAATGATTTAGCACAAGAAGCCTAGCTTTCAGCCTATCTCAAATTTTGGCATGCCTTCCTCAATAAGCGTAATCATTTCTAGTATTTGATTTAAAGTGAGAATGTACAACTCTTCCTTTATCTTGACCACTTAGAGACCACTGTGTGGTTATTCATAGGCCTAATTTCAATATTACTGTGTTTCAGGGAATAAGGAGGCCTGAGGAACAGAGAGAGAAGAGGAAACAGCTAGTCAGTACAGCAGTCAGAACACATGTTGAACACAGGTAACATTTATCAAAGACGTTTCCTGTCTTATACTGGCACAGTTTGTGATCCCTCAAACAATTACAATGGAAACATCAAATATCAGTGATCATACATCACCATAACAAACGTGAGAAAGAAGTGTGAAATATTGCAAGAATTATCAAAACATGACACAACAACATGAAGTGAGCACATGCAGTACAAAAAAAACCATGCCAATGGACTTGCTCAAGGAAGGGTTGCTACATCCTTCAATTTGTAAGGATTTTGTCAAAATACTCTCTGTGAAGCACAATAAAGAGAAGTTCATTAATACAAGGTATGATTATATCTGATAAAGGGATGAGTGTCCAAAATTTATAAAGAATTCATACAACTCAATAGTGTAAAAACAATTCAATATAAAATGATCAAAATACCTGAAAAACCTTCTTATAAGAAGATATAAAAATGGCCAATAGGTATATGAAAATGTACCCAGTATCATTAAATCAAAAAATGCAAATAGATGACTATTATTAATACCCAAAAGTCAATAAGATAACAAATGTTGGTGAGATTGTGGAGAAAGGGAATTCTTGTACACTGTTGGTGAGAATGTAGATTGGTATAGCCATTTTGGAAAACAGTATGGAAGTTTCTAAAGAAATTAAAAATAGAACCACCATATAATCCAACAACACTTTTTCTGGGCATATAATGAATAAAATTGAAATCAACACCTTGTAAATATATCTATCTTCCCATGTTTATTGTGGCATTATTCACAATAGCCAAGATATAAAAGCAGTATAAGTGTTCATAGATAGGCAAATTTTCAGGAAAATTTGTTTTTATATCTTGGTGAAAAACAATCTAAGTGTTCATAGATAGACAAATGGAAAAATAAATTTTGATACATATATACAATGGAATATTATTCAGCCTTAAAAAAGAGTGAGATCTTGCCATTTGCTGCAACATGGATGAGCCTAGATGGATATTATTCTAATGAAATAAAGCAGACATAGAAAGAAAAATATTGCTTCATTTCACTTATATGTGGAATCTTAAAAAAATAATTAAAATCTACAGAGGTGAAGAATAAAACAGTGGTTACCAAGGGTAGAAGGTGGGGGGAGGATATAAGAGATGTAGGTCAGAGAATACAAGGCAGCATATTTGCAGGATAAACAAGTTCAGAGACCTAATGTACAACCTACGGTTTGTAGGTAATAACATTGTACTGTATATTGAATTCATGCTACATAAGTACATTTTAACTATTCTTGCCACAAAAACAAACAAAAAAAATGGGTAACCACGTGAGATAATGGATATGTTAATTGGCTTCACCATAGTAACCTTTTCACTATTTATATGTATTCCATAACATCATGTTATATAACATAAATATACACAATAAAGTTTATTTTAAATAAATAAAGAACAGGTAAAGCTAAATATTCTATTGGCTATTAAAGAAATTAAACTCATAATTTTAAAACTTTGTATAAGAAAAACCTCTAGGTCCATATGGCAAGCTCTACCAAAGAATTAGAAAGGTAATACCAGCCTTATACAAACTTTCTGTAGAAAGTAATAGTATATTTCTAAGCTCCATGTGGCTAATATCACTTTGATACCAAAATTTGACAAGGACAATACAAGAAAGAAAACCTATAAGCTCAGCTGATTAATGACAATACATGTAAAGATCCTACACAAAATAATAGAAAACAAAATCTAGCCTAGCAAAACAAATTTAATACCCCAGACTAAGATGAATTTATTCCATACAAGAATAGGATAAAATTAGAATATCAATTCTTTTAGTTTGCTACATAATCAGAAGAAAGAAGACAAATCATATTATCAATATGCTGATTTTAAGTGTAAAATATAAACTGGATTTCAAATATTTAGTATGAAAAATAATGTAAAAATCCCATGAATATATTTGTATTTATTTCTTACTGAAATGATAATATATTGGATATACTGAGTTAAATATATAACTGCTATCAATTGCCTGTTTCTTTTTACGCTTTTAAATGTGTCTACTGCTATCATTTCAACATTTTAAAAAATGTATCACTTGTCTAAAACACTTTGATAAAAGGCAGAGATTGTCAAGCTGTACAATAAAGCAATAATCAACTACAGGCTGTCTGTAAGAAACCAGTTTAAATATAAAGTTGTAAAGCATCCGGAATATCTCAAGTGATATTGAAAAAGAATAACAATTTTGGAGACTTAGAGTACCAGTATTCAACACAACTAAATTTTATATTAAGGACATTGTGATACTGCCAAAGGACAGCAAGATCAATGTAAGAGAATAGAGTGCCTATCCAGATACTGATCTATACATATGTATGGTTAGATTGTTGACAAAGATTCCAAAACAGGCCAAAGGAAAAAAGTCTTTTCAAAAAGAGGTGCTAGAACAGCTCAATATGTATATAGGAGAAAAAATTTGTACTTATGCATTATACCAAGAATTAATTTCACATGGATAATTAATCTAAACATAAAAACAGCCACCATAAAACTTTTTTAAAAACTCACCAGATAATATATTCATCAATTGGGTAAACAAACACTTCTTAGTCTGGACAAAAAGCAATAACCATAAAATTTTTTTAAAAAATTAGATTTCATTAAAATTAAAAATTTCTGTTCGTCAAAAGATATCATTAAAAATTCATATGAAAGACACAGAGTAGCAGAAAAAAATCACTGGAAAAAACTTTGTATGGTGATGAAAAGATTCCATAATGATATACATTTGTGAAAACTCATCGAACTTTATAGTAAATGTTCTCATGTTTGTGGACTATTAGGTCTCTCCTACATTATTGGTGAGGACCTAAGATAATACACCTAATTGGCAAATATCTGGTAGTTTCTTACAATTTTAAACATAATCTATTCACAAGTATTAGCCCAAATAAATTAAATCGTTAAAAAAAAGTACCCACATGTCCATAGTAGATTAATCTACAAGTAAATCTATTTATTTATCATAGTAGCCCAAATCTGGAAACTATCTGGTTGTCCAGGTATCCAATATTAAAAAATGACTAAAAAAACCCTAGCATATTCATACACATTCATTCATGGAGTACTATGTAGCAATAAGAGGGAAACTCGTGTATGGAATTACATGAACATATATCAGGACCATGATGCTGAGAAACAGAAACCAAATACCAAAAGAATACATATTGTATGATTTCATTTGTATGAAATTCCAAAAGAGGCAAAACTAACATATGCTGGGAAAAAAAAATCAGAACATTGGTTGCCTCTGCCACTTGAGAACTCACCATTAAGTTTTCTACTTAGGTGTTAAAGAGGCACAAAAGTGGAATGCTTTGTCTCAATATCTGGGAAAAAAAGCAATATTATATAGTTGAGAAAGACATTATTTTCTAGTACTAAGATCTTAGGCGAACGAGTCTTCAAATGAAGGATATTGAAAAACAAATGTTTATTTTTCAAAATATATAGGTTAGATATCCCCAATCTGAAAATCTGAAATCTGGAAAGCTCCAAAATCAACTATTTTTTGAATACCAACACAATGCCGCAAGTGAAAAATTTCACAACTGATCACGTGAGACATCACAGTGAAAAGCTCTTTCATGTACAAAATCATTGCAAATATGTGTATATTTTACAGATAAAATATTTGTTTAAAAATTGTATAAAAGTACCTTCAGATTATTTGTATAAGGTGAATATGAAACAAATGAATTTTGTATATAGAATTGGGTTCCTTCCCTAAAATATCTCATTAGGTACATGCAAATTTCCAAAAATCTGAAAAAATTCAAGATCTGAAACATTTCTGATCTCAAGAATTTTGGATAAGGGATACTGCATATTTAAAGTGCAAAGTTAATCTTTATGTGGCCATTTTATCTTCTAGAAATGTCAAGTATATCATCTTAAGTTATAATTAACACTTATATCACCATGTAACCTTCTTTTAAAGAATTATCTCCTTTTATACAAACACCAAATGACCCTGCAAACTGAATTCTAATTCTCTAAACTTAACAGGCTTGTTTAAAACTGTTGAAATGTTCATTTTTTATACACATACTTACTTCCATGTGCAATGTCTGTTTTCCCCTTTTCTCCTAAAGAATTACTTCTCTTTTACCTTTTGTTACTCGCTACATCTACTCTAGTTCCAAATTATATTGTCGATATCTCTGTTGGAATATATATATATATATATTATATAATCTTGCATTTTACCTAGAAAATCTTCCTTATTTCAAAGACTAACAATGGGAAGCACAGAAAAATCACAACTTAAATTTTGTGACTAAGAGAAGAGGCCATCCCTTAAACCAACCTCATCTGCATCTGAAGTAAATTCCATTTCTTTAGCATAGAAAAGCAGTATTTTCAAGATATTGATGAAGAAGTAGAATGCAGTAGGCTAAGGCTGTCAACCCTAGACATACATTAGTTATTTATGGGAGCTTAACAAAGTATCAATACTTGAGCCCTAGTTCCTAGAGATTATTTGTTAATTGGTCTCTGAAGGCATATGCCCATCTATTAGTATTCCAGTGTGCAATTCAGTTGAAATCTAAGACAATATCAGTTTTTTAAAGTCATAAATATTTCCTTAATCTGTTGTTAATTTATGCTTCTGAATATCCATTTTAGTTGACAATTAGACACTGTTATGAACTTCTGATAAAAAGCATGCAGATTTTAATATTTCAGGCTTCATGTATTAAAAAATTATCATAATGTTTCAGTTAATTTATTATGTTAGTCTGGAACTGAGCATATAACACCTCAAAAATTTACTGTGTATTATATCATCATTTTTCTGTGAATGCTTGTGTCCCTAGAAGAATGAAACAGCCCACAATAGAGCCTCATCCATATTATAGTACACATTGTTATAAAAGTCTTGTAGTGTAGTGAATTATGGCTAAAATCTATATTCATATATACTATATTTCAGTTAACTTGTCAGTCAATACCAACATATTTTCAAATATTAAGCTGAAATGCAGCTCAAGTTTTTAAAAAAATCACTATTTTAAACTAAATGCTCTATTTCCAAAACTCTATTAAATGCAACCAGAATTTTTATGTTTTCATGCAGTTTGATATGGTTTTTATTACTAAGTTTATGCCAAAATTAAATATGAATTTCTGTTTCCAACACTATTTGAAATATCATTCTATATTTAAAGTACAGCAATAAATTGTTTATATTTATTATTAACCTGTGTTGGTCTAAAACTATGAACTGTAATTAAATAGTCCAATAATAGCACAAAAGTAAGTTGATTCAATCTTGCAACTTGTATTTCTTGACACAGATATATTTTCTTAACAGAACATGTAATCAAATTGAGGCTATCAATAACAGACAGCTCCACCTCGCTCACAAATATGGAAGTATCAATATTGTAGTAGAGTTAATCTCTAAGAATAAACTCAGGGCTTCTTCCCTATTGCAACGTTAAAAAAAGAAATTCTCTCTATCAATGAAATGATGGGGGTTTTTAGGCTCCCCTTAAAGAAATTAGGTTTCATTGAAATGAGGAAAGGCAACACTCTGGCAAAGTGTTATCTTGGGCACAATATCATTATGATCAGTTCCTTCTGGGATGATGTTAAAGATTAGTTTATAAAAGTTCTTAAAGAGTTTAATATCTTTTCTTATTGGGCCTAGTTGTATTTATGGAAATTGTGGCAGTGTTTGTGATAGCAACCTCACAAAAACATGAGAAAGCTTTGAGAAAGAAAAAAAAAAATGCACCTGGCTGATCATTAGCTCAACGTCTAAATATCACTCTTTCCAAAATACTTTTCTGAGAAATGATCATGGGATTTTTCTCACTGTTTTCTGACAAAGGGAAATAGCAGCCTATAAAGACAAATTCTGAAAAGAAGCCAATCTTTTCTCATCAAAAGATACTTAACTTGGTGTAGGTGAGTCACTTGTAACAAATGTTCCACACTGATGCAGGATGTTGATGGTGGGGGAGGTTGTGCATGAGTGGGGACAAGGGGTACACAGGAACTCTTTGTAATTTCCACTCAATTTTGCTGTAAACCTAGAACTCCTCTAAGAAATTCTAGGCGGGGCATGATGGCTCACGCCTGTAATCCCAGCATTTTGAGAGGCCGAGGGAGGCAAATCACTTGAGGTTAAGAGTTTGAGACAAGCCTGGCCAACATGGCAAAACCGCATCTCTACTAAAAATACAAAAATTAGCTGTATGTGGTGGTGCACACCTGTGATCCCCGCTACTGAGGAGGCTGAGGCAGGAGAATCGCTTCAACCCAGAAGGTGGAGACTGAAGTGAGCCGAGATCGTGCTGCTGCACTCTAACCTGGGTGACAGAGTGAGACTCCATCTCAAAAAAGAAAAAATAAAAATAAAAAAATTAAAGAAAGTCTATTAATATAAAAAAGAGATTTAATTTACTTATAAAATATTTATAAAGATTTCTGGATTTACCATAGTAGGAAAAAGTTTTTTTTATTTATTGTTTATTTTATCCTGTTAAAAACTATCCAAAGTCAATAAGCACAACAATTTTTTGAAATCCCATCTTTGGTGAAAGTACTATTTGTTTGAAACTCGAAACCACACAATACAAGAGGAGTATGGTTTGGCCCTAAGAGCTTCACTGTGCTCAATTTATTTCCAAACAGAAGTAGTGGGGCTGACCCATATTTATGGCCAGAATTCTGTCAGGAAAGCAATGAGAAGACTGTGGTTTGAACAGTTCTTTGTCTGACAAACTCAGGTAGTTGGTGAGAAACAAAAACTAAATAGTGATTCCTAGCTCTTACTCTACTTTTGGATCACTTGAGAAAGTTTTGAAAATACATATGCTAGGGTCTCAAACCAGTGATCCAGGTGCAATTCTCTTGGGACATTGTGTAGATTGTCATTTATTTTTTAGTTCTCCAGTTTACACTACACAAAGCTATTGTGTAATACTTTCTCAATGAGGGCTAAGAGAGCTCACTCACATACAATTCTCTATCGTAAGGAATATTCCTTTTTTTAATGATTATACTTTAAGTTTTAGGGTACATGTGCATAACGTGCAGGTTTGTTACATATGTATACATGCGCCATGTTGGTGTGCTGCACCCATTAACTCATCATTTAGCATTAGGTATATCTCCTAATGCTATCCCTCCCCCCTCCCCCCACCCTGATGGCCTGTCAATTATCCCAGTCTTTTCTCCACACCAAAGTCCAAAAAATCAGCTTATCAATGAAGAACTCACCTAACTGAAAGACAAATGATTCATTCTTGTTGAATCAGTCTCCGTGCTAGAGAGGAAAAGAAAAACAAATTTTAAAAGGTGAACATTCAAAGTAAATTTCTGCCAAAAAGGATGAAATTTCTAAACTTCTAAAATACGATGCAGTTTTTTAAAAACTTAATGAAGACATTGTACAGGAGCTTAGGGAAAGACATGACAAGATCATAGAAACAAAAAAGTCATAACCACCAACCTTACCTTCACAGTTAAACGCCACTCATATCCTTTTCCCTGATCCCAGACTTCCTTTATATCTAATTCCTTCTCAATTTCAAGAAGATTTCTATTTGGCTTTAGTGTCCTACTGACCTTTTTACTACATTTCTAATAAGCTGATGGTGAATGTTGTGATTTAGGTTTGGGAGAGTCATTTTCAGATTTGCTATTCAACACTAATGTTTTGAACATTTTGAGTTTTCTGAAGTGAGAACAATTACAAATTAATGATCCTTTCTTTCTCAAATTGAAAACAACTTTAAATGATATGAAACTGCTCAGACAACACCGTAACTGCAAAAACACTCACCAGCTCAATTCAAATCACATGCAAAATTTTATTTTTTACTGAAATCAATTTGAATATCCTAAAGATATTCTATATGTAATCCACCTAATTATAAATAGTATATTTGAAGAAGTGTCCAATTTCCTATTTTTATAGAGTGTTGTGTTTACATTTCTGAGGAAAATTGAATATATGAAAGAATGATATTATCTATTAATCAAAAAAATAGACAAATCCAGGCAGGAGAGGGAGAGATGATTAAACATTGACCTATTAACACTCTACAAACTTATACTAGATTGATTCTTGCTAGAAGCATTGAAGAATGCATTCCATTTCCTATGGCTGTTTCAGATCCCATAGGGTAAAATCCTCTGGTCACAGCTATTGCTTGGACTCTGTTCTTTCTCAGTTCTTCTATTCTTACATGTGCAGGCTACTCCTTTTTTTAATCCAATTTTTCTTAGCTAAAATATAATCATAAATGAATTCCAATCTGATATATAAATATGATAATTGTGAACATAAAGTAAATGTTCATATTCATAATATAAGACACTAATAAACTTCCAAATCTGGATTCAATCTTAATTCTAATAGTTATTTTCATAGTTATTTGAATGTGCTTAATGCTCCCATGAAGACATTTCATTTTTATTGAAGGAATTCTTTTCCTTTGTGTTCAACATAAAATAAGTGGTTTGATTTTGCTCAAAATTATGGATAGTCTTTTCAGTAAAGCTTGAAAATGGCAGACAGATTTCTTCTTTGTAAGGAGGTGATATAAAGAACTGACATTTTGATAGACGTCATGATACATAAGCTTTCAAGTTGATGGCATGGTAGCAAGAAACACTAAGGTAATCTTTCCCTCATTGTTTTTCTCTTTTTAAAGATTTTATGAACTTAAACTGTTGGACAAAATTTGGTTTTATTTAAAATAACCTCTTACACATATGGATGATTCGACCAACTACTATAAAATGTTAATAATGTAATTACTTGATGGTAGAAAGTCCTATTAATATTCAGTTGTAATGATGGCCATATATTTTGATGGTATCTCAAGATTAATAGCACCTGACATTTTTATCACACCTAACAGTATTTAGATGCGTCTATGTATGGAATTTCAATTTCTCTTAAGATGCCTCTTCCTTTTTTCCTGAAGTTCTTTCCTTTCTGTCTCCACTGCTACCACTGGGGTTGAGTTACACAGATTCATTGCTATACCCTCACTTATCAAGGTAGTCACAGGTGGGAAAATGCAGAAATAAAAATCCTTTCCCTATATATTAGTTGAACTGTGACAGCCTGATAATTTGCAAAGAATAATACTTAAATAAGTGGGGAGAAAGTGTTTCAGGAAATTGTGATCCCCATCAAAGCACATGAAATTCATTCCCAGGTGCTTAGTGCCACAACTTTTTTCCCAAAGACTTTATTAATAGAGACAGTGGAAGGAAAACTCATTAATTTTATTACATGGGACAGATGGTGGCTATTTAATGTTCTTGTTAGGCTTAACAAATACTTCTCCTGTCTTGAGGTTTAGATTTTCTCAGCAAGTTCAATGCCCCAATCCTAAATTTAAAACAAAATAATAGTAATTACTGAAAGCAGAAAATTAAAATTCCACATTAAATTTTCAAAATTAACATTGAGCAGTTAATTCTTATTCATGGAAGTGAATTAAATTCATCTTTGAAGAAGACAACTTCTTTTCATGAAAAACCATCATAATGGCCTTTTGGTTTTGCATTTGTTATTCCAGAGGTAAGAATAAGAAGCAACCCGAAAGACAAAGTCTAAGACTGTGAAAAAGTCTTTTTGTATTGTAATTTAGTATATATTTTAAAAGAGTCAAGTACAAATAGCCCTTGTTGCTTCCTTTGGTAAGATGTTTCTTGACTCCATATAAACCTAGAGACTGTAGTGTCATGAATTGCTGGAAAATGTTATTACAGAGTTTTTTGTTTTGTTTTGTTTTGCTTGCATTTGTTGCAGATTGGATTCCCAGCAAATAGTCTCTGAGATGGAGTTTAGTGTTTAGGATATTAACTATGGAGTGCCTTTGGAGTCAATACAAGAGGGAGAGAAGGAAAGAAAACTGTGAAGAACAAGAAGTCAATTTGCGGCAGCCACCACAGCTTAACTTATGGTGAGGTGTGGATCCTTTAGAATTGTCTCATGTTGGGCTAAGATGGCCAAACCTTAGACTTCTAGTTCAATCACGGGAAGTGGGCTGACCTGGGAAGGGAAATGACTTTAAGCAAAGTGGCTGTCTTAAGCAGAGTCTAATCCTCGCAGGAGCTAACAGCTGAAGGCTATATGCCGATAGTAATTCCAGAAGAAGGGGCAACAAGTCCAACATGGAAGGGTACATCAGAGTTTTCACCACAGTTCATCTCTTACATAACTCAAATTCACCTCTGCATATACATCCTGGCAGACCTATCATCTGGAGGAAAATTTAGCAAAGCAGGTCAATGGGACAAAAACACCCTTTGCCCCTGCCAACGGATGTGCAATGTCTCTCCTCTCCACTACCCATTTTAGATTCCCCATAATATCATCTAGTACCTCTGCTAGTACCTAGTGACATGACCTGTGGCTCTAAGCCCCTGGTCACCATGGCCTTCTCAGGTTAGTGTGCTGTGAGAAGTTGCCCATTTATCATCAAAACTGGGCAAGGGATTTCCAAAAACACCTAAATAGATTACCCTGATAACATTTTTTCTTTCCCTCTTTATGCAGCAGCAGCAGCCCTGGACCTCATTTTATTTCCAGGAATTGGGTCAGTACGGTGAGAAATGGAAATGAAATTCGAAGCTCCTCAGCTAACTGAATGGACCCATCTTGGCCAATGGGACTCCAGAGCAACCTTGAAAACTGAGATTTTGGCCCTGATGAGTAGGAGGTCAGACATGTTGTTATATCCCCTCCCTCCCTAACTGTCATTAGGCTTTCATTCCTAAGGGCTAAACAGAAAGCAGCTCTTTTTTTTTTTAAATGAAGAAGTTTATTTGACTCACAGTTCTGGCAGAAAGCATGGCTGGGAGGCCTCAGGAAACTTGCAATTATGGTGGAAGGTGAAGGGGAAGCAAGCATGTCTCACCATGGTGGAGCAGGAGAGACAGAGCAAAGGGGAAAGTGCTACACACTTTTTTTTGAGACAGGGTCTTGCTCTGTTGCTCAGGTTGAAGTGTAGGGGCGCAATTTCAGCTCACCGCAACCCCCACCTCCTGGGCTCAAGCAGTGCTCCCACCTCAGCCTCCCCAGTAGCTGGGACTACAGGCAGGTGCCACTACACCTGGGTAATTTTTGTAGAGATGGAGTTTCGCCATGTTGCCCAGGCTGGTTTCAAACTCCTGAGCTCAAGCCATCTGCCCACCTTGGCCTCCCAAAGTGCTGGGATTATAGGCATGAGCCACTGCACCCACCCATGCTAGACACTTTTAAACAAGATCTTATGAGAACTCACTATCGTGAGAACAGGAAGGGAGAAACCTGCCCCCACGATCTAATCACCTCCCACTAGGTCACTCCCTCAACATCGGGAATTATAACATGAGACTTGGGTGGGGACACAGAATCAAACCATATCACTGTCATAGGATCCTAAATATTGTTTCTGACCAAGGAACTCATTTGCTGTGAGATTAATGAGAGGATAAACAGAAAGCAGGTCTTTCAAAAGACTCCTTGGCTGCTATCAGGCCTACATCAACCAACTGCCTGATGCTGCTCCTCCCTTCTGCAGTTTCCATGCAACAATTGATCAGCATTTCTTCCTGATAAGAGACCACCCATGGAGTGGTTCTGGCCAAGCCAATCTATATGCAACTCATGAAGGGGCATGAAGTTCCATTGCGCATGTGCATGTTTCTCCTTTCAAAGATATTCATGACTCCTTCTACTTTATTAAATATGTATATTCTACCACCCTGCTCAGCATCAATTCCTGTTCCCTTTGTCCTTCCCTTTAAGTGTCTGTTTCTGGCTTCTGGCCAGAGGCTATGCTTTCCAGTCTGTCAGAATGGCCACCCTGCAGGCTGCAATGCTTTATGAAAAATAAAGCTTTCCTTTCCAAATGTATGAGCCTCATTATTCTTGGGTTGACAATGGATACATTCTTTATATTAAAAATAAAACCCACAGTACCTAAACATTTGAATTAGACCATCTTAAATTTGAATTCTCATTATTTGCTAGCTAGGATTGTGGGCAGGTTACCTAAATGATCATACCTTAGTATCATTCCTGTAAAATACCAATGGTAATACCTACACTGAAGTTTTGTGAAAGGATTGAAGACAATGTAAAATGACTTGCAAAATACCCTGACACATAGCAGTGCACAAGAAATGTCAATGATTCTCACAAAAGTTAATTTTCTACATGGTTTACCTTTGCACGCCTATCTGATAGATAAGAAAAATGGGAACAGAGAGAGTTAGAAATGTTTAAACTGCAATCACATTAGCAGTTTGTCTAAATAAATACGTTTGCTATGTATCATTTGAACACCATTGAAAGGTCCCTTTGATTATTGCTGTTTACCTATTTGTTCTGCTTGGCAATTCTTGTTTGTCCCAGGGCAGCTCTCTAAAGACTTGCATTTAGTTATATTGCAAACAGACTGGTATGTGGAATCATTTGGTGAGAAGTTTAGAAGGTGCATTTCACCTTTAGATTTCCCTTAATTATTAAGTGGAAATAATTTCTATGATCCATGGTTCATCTCACTTTCATAAAAACCAATACAGATAATTTTTCAATATATTAAAGACATTTAAATAGCTAACAGTTGATATACTAATGAGTAGATTGATATACTTAGTTGATGTATTAGGTTGGTGCAAAAGTAATTGTGGTTTTTGCCATTAAAAGTAATATAAACAGTTAATATATTGATAGGTACGTAGGTATCCTCCCTTTTTTTCACCATCATGAATGGTGTGAAAGATTGCACTAATGGCCCCAATTTTTTACCTCTCCCAGTATTGACTCCATTTGTCAAGTAACTTTGTGGTGGTTTTTACTGTAAGTGGAGATTCTTTCTCACCGCCAGATTCTTGAATTGAACATATGCTTGCTCTGTTAATGAAATTTCAGTAGACCTGTTGCAAGAAGAGGCATGCATTTCTGCTGTTACCATGAGAAGAACATGCCCCAGCTGCAGCCAGATCACAGGAAAGGATTAAGAAACATGTGGAACTGAGCTAAACCCAGTCATGTCCGTCTAGATTAGCTGACCTTTCAGCTGTGCCAGGATGTGTGAACGAACAAAGCTGAAGCCAGAGAATCACCAAATGTAACTCAGCCTTGATCAGCCTATCCTCAGGCTTATGATCCTCAGCTTATCTGCATACTTGTGAAAAATGGTAAGTAGTTGCTATTTTAAGCCACTGAATTTTGTGTGGCTGTTACAAAGTTAATTTTCCTGAAATTGGTTAAATTTTCAGAATAGAATTTTTTTTTTCATTTTCTTCAGATATGTCATCTATTCATGAAATATCAGGTTATTGTCTGACATTAGAAGCTCTAGGCATGAAACACATCTGTCAACAGCAAGAATAAGAATAACTCGTTTTATACCACGCGTTCTCACTCATATGTGGAAGCTTAAACTGTTGTGATGTTGTGCTCATAGAAATAGAGAGTAGAGTAGTAGTATTAGAAGCTGGGAAACAGAAGGAGGAGAAGGGAGATGGTGGTTAATGGACACAAAATTACAGCTAGATAGAAGGAATAAGTTCTAGTGTTCTATCGCATTGATGGGTGACTAATAACTTATTATGTATTTTCAAACAACTAGAAGGGAAGAGTTTGAATGTTCCCAACACAAAGAAATGATAAATGTTTGAGGTGATGGATATGCTAACTACCCTGAATTGATCAATACATCTTATATACATGTATCAAAATATCACTGCATACCTCCAAAATATGTACAATTATTATGTCCCAATTTTTATTTTATTTATTATTATTATTATTATTATTATTCTTTTGAGACAGGATCTCACTCTGTCGCCCAGGCTGGAGTGCAGTGGCATGATCTTGGCTCACTGCAACCTCCACCTCCTGGGTTCAAGCGATTCTCCTGCCTCAGCCTCCTGAGTCGCTGGGATTATAGGCGCCTGCCACCAAACCCGGCTAATTTTTGTATTTTTAGTAGAGATGGGGTTTTGCCTTGTTGGCCAGGCTGGTCTTGAACTCCTGACCTCAAGTGATCCACCTGCCTCGGCCTCCCAAAGTGCTGAGATTACAGGCATGAGCCACTGTGCCCAGCCTATCTGTCAATGATTAAAAATAAAAATTAGAAACTAAAAAAAATTGTTAAAGAATAATTTTAACTAGGGAAAATTTGTTAAAATTAGGAAAGTGTAAATCATATTAGTAGAAGAAATTTATGTGGTTAAATTTTAAAATTACATTAAATGAAGAGAGTACATTGGAGCTCTAAGTAAAGAAGATACTGGGTAAATCTGGAGTTGATTTCATTCACTTCTGCTTTATTGAGGATGTGCTTGTAGAAAAACTTCATTCTCTTTATGTTCTACACTCTTAGTTTCAGAAACTTATAGTTTCCTAAATATAGTCTCTTGAATCATTGTTAAATTTTGCATTTTTTTTTTTGCTAAAGAGTAAAAGGGAAAAAGAAACCTCAAAATCTTGAGAAATTTATGAACTCCTTGTAAGTATTGATCATGAAACTGTGCAGTCAACTTATGAAAATATGAAACTGTAATACACATGAAAAATGAAATTTCACTTCCATTCTTCCATTATGTTGCTTAACAACATCAAGGCTTTCCATTGAGTATGGGAATTACAAGTGTAAACATTTTTAAGGGGACATAAAGAGGACAATCATTTGGGACTAACACTAGTGATTTCACTTCAAGTTAGTAAGATGGCTGGGTAGTTATACCTGGGAGTAGAACGGAAAACTTTTAGCTTAATGAAAACGCTTCAGTCTATTCTCAAAGAAGCCTATTACCAATGACGTTGGGAAAACAAACTTAACTTGCAAGTTAAACAGGAGAGTCACAAAAAAACTACTACTTAAATAGAGTCCAGAATTGGAAAATAGCAGAAGAAACCAAGCAAAAAGAGCAAGAAATATTGAGGTCCTGGTCCATGGCCATTTGCCTGTTGCCCTGAGGCATCTTAGAGGCAGAGGAGGCATCTGATTCTTGCTGATCTGACACATAGAAGGCACAATAAATACAGCAGGGGATGTGCATTCACAAATATCGCTAAAGGAAGGAAGACACCACTCAAAATATTATGGTATTGTTAAACAATTCAAAAGACAGATCTCTAAGAAAAAAAAAGAGAAGCATCCAAATTTTTGAAGTATCAAGCAAAAAGGTAATGCATTTATCATAAAATAAAAATTTGGAGACTGTGGAAGTAGCAGTAATGTTTTAAAAAGAAGAAGCTTAATATTCTGTTCCTTACACAATTGCTCCATCCTGCATGGTTTTGGTTATTAATACAACATACACATCAGGGTTGAAGAGATTTATACATACCCCAGAGAAATTGTATAAGTTGTTCTCTGTTTCTCCAATACAGTTGCAAACCCTGAAGCAGCTCAATGTACTGCATATTAATGGGCTTTCAGATATTCTCCAGGAAGTTATTAGAAAAGGGTTGGCAATGAGCTCTGATTACTGTAATCTGATAATCTCCAGTGGAAAGCATTAACAATATGAATTTCGAGAAGTTAACAAATCTCTCAAGACCAGGGGAAATCTGATAGTCCAACACGGGGAAAATAAAAACAATATGTTTTGCGAATTACTCTTCTTGTATTTTGCTTTTGGAGGTCAGATATTTCAGAGGAGACTTTTTAAAGCTGAAAATTAAAATCCAGTAGATTTTATTAAAATAGAGAAGCTTTTATAATATTTTATGAAAATAGAATGTTAAATAGGCAATGGCTAAATGTAACTACAATTTAACTATTACTGAATGTCAAATCAAGTGAGTCAAAACATTGCAAATATTAGGATAAATTTTAGAACCTAATTTAGGACTATAATTCACATGTAAATCAGATTTTAACTCAATTTTAATTCAGTTGTACTTTTTTTCTCGTTTTGCTATTTAAGGAGTTGATAAAGTAGAATGGTAAAAGTTTCTGCTGGTATCTGCTATTTTATCTGCTATACAGAGCTTGAAGATTACTCTTTTTGGGGAAATTTCCCATTTTATGAGGCTCTGCAGAAAGCAAGCTCTTGATTCTCACTAGTAAAGCCAGAGAATCCAAGTGTGTCTCTCTTGTCCCATCTAAGATAGGAAAAAGGCTTAAGAAATAACTTAAAGGACAATTTTTCTTCTCCCTGGAATTTCAAATCTGATAGGAGTGATGGGAAAACACAAAGAGTTGAGAAATCAGTCACAGATAGAGTATTAAGAGCCCAAGCATAGTGACAGTGGCAAATTCAGCAATAGTGGCATTACTATCAGTTGACTTCCTACCAAATTGTCCTTTTGCTATGACTGTGTCTCTGATATCTTGCATTTCTAGGTTCCTGCCTCTGTTCTGAGCTGAGTATTTTTCTTCCAGTTTCTTTATAGATTCCATGAGATATACAACATCTTTTCTAAGTCTTTGTTCAAAACATCTCGATGAAGATGTAACCTAGTATTATATGTAATACTATAATATGTAACCTAGTATTATAATGTAACCTAGTATTATAATGTCTTGGCCCTCTCCACACACCATACAACTTGCTCTTTAATTTCTCCTCACTGTGTACTATTTTTACAGCAGTTATTAATCTCTAATGTGAAATATAGCATATTTACTATGCTTATTATTTATGGTCCAATTCTACCTCCAGAATGTAGGTGTCATGAAGGCAGAGATCTTTATGTTATTCACTATTGAATCTTAAAGCCTAACACAAGGCCTAGCATATAATACGAGTCAATAGGATTTATAAGATGGACCCATGAATGAATGAATGCTCTCCCTTCTGTAGGACCTTTTCATTAACTACTCCTTTTGGAAAGTTCCTTCCTCATAGTCACTGTTATGGACTGAATGTTTGTGTTACCCCAAAATGCTTATATTGAAATCCCAGCCCTGAATGTGATGATGTTAGGAGGCGGGACCTTTGGGAGGTAATTAGGTTATGAGAATGTAATCCTCATGAATGGGATTAGCGCCCTTATAAAAGGGATCCCAGGGAGTCTCTTGCCCTCTTTCCAGTGTATGAGGATACAATGAGAAGTTGACTGCAACCCAACCAGAAGAGGGCTCTCACCAGAACCCAGTCCTGCGGGCACCCTGATATCAAACTATGAGGAATAAATTTCTTTTTAATTAAGCCACTAAGTATTAGGTATCTTGCTACAGCAGCTTGAATTGACTGAGACAGTCACACAGCAGCTCTTTTTGATCATTTATTATTCAAAACCAAAAAGAAGTCTTTCCTAATAATACAATCTAAGAGCAGTACCAGTCACCTGCTGTCTCACCACTCTATTTTCATGGTTCTTATCACTATTGAGTATTTTTTATTTATCTATTTTGTTTATATATACGGCTTCTCCCTCCCCACCCAATATTATGAGGTTCTGTAGAAAGCAAGCTCTTGATTCCCAAGGGGATTAATATTCACCTTTTAATCCCTAAGAACTAGAATAATGCCTGGCATATATCAGGCACACATAAGGCAAACATCACATTTTCATGAGATATTTGAAGAAATATCCACAAGGTTAGTGTGCCAAGTAAAAGGCATTACAAAAATTATATGTATATATGGTGGATCCAATGCAGAATTTAATAGGTCAAAGTCCCTCAATAGGTATTCTGCCAGTTTAGCAACCAGAAGAATGCTAAACAAGAGGACAGTATATGCTATTCTACTTTTGCTAGATTTCAACCATCATGATTTCTCTAAATTAAAACCTAGCTTTCAGACATGTAGCTAAAACCCATGGAGTGTTGAAACTCTTTATTATTTCCCCATTTCATGGAGTATCTAGTGTTATAGGCAGAGAGAGCAGTTAATGCCAGCCCTAAGGTAAGAGCAGGCCTTGTAAGCTTGAAGAACAGAAAGGATTTCAGTATAAACAGAGGGGTTTGAGTGAGGATAAGAACAGAAATAGATGAGGCAACTTTTTTTCATACTGTTCTCTCCTCTGGTTCCATTTAATTGGCCCGAGGATAAACATCTGAGCCAGAAACAGAGTTTTGTTCTAGGATTTTTCAAACAAGACCTTGTGAGACTTATATTCTCCAATGATGATGCTGTAAGACAGAAGATACAGGAGTTTCAGGCAACTATGTCTGTCTAATGGGAACCATATTGAGGAACATGAAGAAGCTGCACGTCACATATCATAGGCAATCTTATTAACCCAAAGAAATCGGTATTTTCTAGAAAAGTTTCAATCCTCAGTTGAATTCCCTAAAGCCCAGCTGCAACCCTGCCCTTTTAGAGTTTTTTTTTTTTCTGATGATAAATTATATCTTTTACCCCTTAGGTTGAAGTAGGGTTTCTGTCACTTTTAACCAAAGAGCTTCACCTCCACCTAAATAGAAAAACAAAAAAGAATAAAATTCAGCTGCTTTGGTTGAGACCTTGATTGTGCCTCAAAGCCCTGTCCATTTGGTGCCTCAAAGCCCTGTCCACTTGTTATATCATCTACTGCTCAGGCTTCACAGGCACCTCCAGATACTCCCTAGACTTCCATTAAAAATAATTTAACATATGTCCTAGGAAGAGTATAAGAAGAATCTAAAGGTCTTATTGACAACTCTTTATGAATCCTCACTAGTCTTCCTTTTCCCTTTTTCATTTACTCCCTTTCTCTCATCTTCCTTAGGTTTGTTTTTTTTTCTTTATCTCGACAGTACGTTCTCCTCCAAATAAATCCAACTCAGTTCTTATTTAACCATATTCTCCATTAATCCCTGACCCCATCAACTGGAAGAAATGTCTCTCTCCTTAGAACCCTTTGGCATTTATCCACTGCTCTTTCTTTGCACTTATCAATCCTGGCCAGTGCTATTTTTATTTAAATGCTGTCTAAATTAATCCATGAATATTTCAAGTAAAGCAATGCAAAAATAAATTGGACCTAGTGACCACAGTATGTCACATCTAATATGTATTCTATAAACATTTGACTGATGAAATATTTATAGAGGATTATCTAAAGGATAAGAAATTAAGTCATTTTAGCTGTAGTTTAGCAGAATTTATCTTTGTGTTAAAGTAGACTATATCAAAAAGCTTCACAGTTAGATTAAACTCACAGAAACTATTTTACTGTGTAACTTTGGAAAATATCAAATTTTTCAAATAATATAAAGCCACATTTAGCCGGATACTCTGCCAAGCATGCAGAGTAAAGAAAGTTATTTCTTCTAAAGTGTAGAAATTGTGGGAAAGGGAGAGGAGGGGAGGGAGAAAGAGGGAGGAAAAATGTTCACTTTCTATGTATTTATCTTCATTTTCATTTTTCCAATAAGAATTTTCTTAAAAATAAAAAAATAGTTGTAGGAAACTCATTTTATTTACTGCATGGATATTGGGATATGTTATCCTTTTCATAATGACAAATATGTGAAATTTATCTCTAGTGTAAGTACCTACAAGCTTCAACATCAGCCTTATTTCTCCTGAGAAACATTATTTTTTCTCTTAGGAATTGTGAATTACATAATATCTACAACATACTAGTGTTTTGATTTCTTCACTTAGTCCATCAACTACTCTGAAGGGTGTTCTTCATGTTCCTCCATCTACAAGAGGAGTATTAATTTCATGTTTAGGTGAGATAAAGATTACATGAAATTATGAAAAGTACTTTTCCCAGTGCACAGCTCAGAGTAAGAGCTTAAAAGTTAGAAGGCTTTATCATTTTGTCATTTTTATAACATCTACGATCATTATAACTTTAAAGGCTAAAATGTTTGGCACTGTGTTACGCTGTTTTCTTCTCCAGTATTTTTTGGTGCATAAGATCTAGAAATTTCAAAATCTATTTTAGTCATTTTTTAATATTATAGGAGTTGTGCATGGATAAGTTTCTTTTTCAAATAGTATCAGAAGGTCAGGAAAATGATAAACTATTCTCTCAATAAACCTTAAGTTTTAGGCAGCATTTGTTAGCAACTTTTGTTTTTAGTTGTTTTGATAATTACCACAAGGGGAACATACATTCATATTACTAATTTTTAATTACGAATTGTAGTCTGCCTCGTTTCCTTTCAGTTTTTAACAAAAATGCTGTGTGTAACATTCTGTTAAATTATATGTGATGCTAGTTGCATACATCAGAAGGAGGAAAAGTGGTATATTGTATGATAACATGTGAAGTCAATTGGCATGTTTAACGGGCAGAGGAAGAATGGGGAATAAGGACATATGCAGCATGATGTCCATCTTATATAGACTCTCATTAACAAAATACTATTTGGAGATCTACTTATTTCATTAGGTCTAAGACTATCTTAGTGATGGAACAGAATTACACTTCAGGAAGTCCAGTCTTTGCCAACTTATTCTGTTTTAACAGTATCATGGGGACTTATGGTAGTTGAAGCCATCCGAAAGTTTGGTTTTCTTTTTACAATGGTGAGTCTTTATCAGTAGACTGTAGTCTTTCCTTCCCATGTGAGCTCTATGAAGACATTGCCTTGTCCATGTTGTGTCTCCAGCACCTAGTACAGTGTCTCAATGAAAATCTGTTGAAGGGATCAATGTTTTGCTTTTAGCATTGACTGATAAATTTGCTGCTAAATTGTGATCTTTATTGTCATAAGTGTTCAGGAGCTCATGACGTTTTCATTTGGTATATGCATCTGCCTCAGAAATTTCTCTACCTTTGCTTTCCCATTTTTGAAATTTCTTTACATCCATCATTTTGAACATTTTGTGTACTGCTTTTTATATATTTTTAGATATTATTTAAAATATATTATTAAGTAATCTTAAATAATGTTCAGTTCAATATTAGGTAGAACTGGCTGGGCACAGTGGCTCACGCCTATAATCCCAGCAATTTAGGAGGCTGAGGCAGGTGGATAACTTGAGGTCAGGAGTTCAATACCAGCCTGGCCAACATGGTGAAATCCCATCTCTACTAAAAATACAAACATTAGCCGGTCATGGTGGTGTGCGCCTGTAATCACAGCTACTCAGGAGGCTGAGGTGGGAGAATCTCTTGAAACCGGGGAGTTGGAAGTTGCAGGGAGCAGAGATAGTGCCACTGCATTCCAGTCTGGGCAACAGAGCTAGACTCTGTCTCAAATCTATATATGAAGGTTATATGAACAGAAAGGGAAGTACTAGTGAAGGATGCAGAGGAGTGAAAGGGGTGAAAAGCAAGGGCCATATTCCCCACTAGTTGATTAGGTAGTAGCCAGACTGCCCCCGGTTGTAAATCCCTTATGATGTGAAGTTCCTAAGGTAGAAGAGGAGACAAAGCAGTTCTGGCTAAGTTATTACTCGCTTGTTATAAGTGACCAAATGTAAGACGATTGAGAAATAATCATTCTTATCAGATTTGATTTAGTTCTAGTTATTTGAGGCTTTAAGATAGCAAAATTCTTGAATCAAAGCAAGTGGACATGATGCAACTTGGAAATTCAACAAAACATCTACTTTATTCATAAGATTTCTACAACCCTAGACTTGCCAACATACAACTGTGACCTTTCTTTTTAGCATTTCTGAATCCCTACATTCACTATCTCAGAAAGCGAAATGAATACGTCCATTTCATTATGAGTTTGAAGTACACAGAAGATGGGTTTCCTGTCATTGAAATACATGATCCTTTTTATAGTCCAGTTCCTCTTTCTCCCTTTATCTACTTATGTTGCTGATAAAGATTAAAGGCTATCTCTTGCTGTCTATTGTTTCTTCTTCATTTTAAGAATAGAACATACTAAGTGTTAGATGAGAATATGTCCTCCCAGCTACACTTTTCATTCTCCCATGAAGAAAGATATGGCCACAGGATGCTAACAGAAACATGTGTCACTTCCCAATCATCCACTTAAAGATGTCTGCCCTGTATTTTCTCTGCCTCTGTTGCCACTGGCTAGGAAATGGTGACAATCAGAACAATCTAGGGGAGCCTTATGGTGACAATGATGCAGCTGCTTCATATTCCTGGTTCACTTGCCACTCTCAGTATTAAATGAGAGATTTGAAAAAAAAAATCTACCTTACTTAAGATATGATATTAACTAAGCTACTATAACATAAAGACTGCAGCAACATTAATTCTCGTGTTCTTATGTTAACTGCAAATGAAATCACATTTGATTCTTATGTCTTATTGATATATTTATTTTAATTACCTGCAAGACCTAATTACCCAAAGTAGCAGTAAAGCGAAAACTCTATAAAGGTTTTCTCAAACTCTGTGAAGTGTATCAGACCCTGTGAGGTGTACCCAGCCCAAAGGAAACATTTCATTAGCAAGTGCATACCAAAAGAGATATACCAGGTTTTATGTTGGACCTCATTAAAATATTTGAATTAGTGGGTCACTATGGTTAATATATTTGAGGAAAAAGAGTCACTTTCACCTCCTTGGTAGGAGTATATTTGGGAATTTTGTATCTACAAAAATTAAAAATATGTAAACTGTTTGTTCCAGAAATTTTGACTCTAGTAATTTAGTATAGGAATATACTCAATGAATTATGCTAAGATATAAATTTCTTACAGTGCTGTTTAGAAGACAAAAATAACTAAAATCTGAACCAAACTGGAAACAACCCAAATTCTCTTAAAAAAAGTTGATTTTATAAATTATAATTCATCCATACATTGATATTCTTAGCAGTCATTTAAAATCTATTTAAAAAGTTAAATAGATTTCATTCTACAGACCAGTAACTGACAAAAGCAAGTTGCCAAAAATATAACATAATCATACTTTATTTTACTACATATTCAAAGAAGTCTTAAAATACAAGGGATCAATATTATTTATAAAATTTTACACCTTAACCAACCTTTCTCTTTTCTTGATCCTATTATTATTAGAAAAAAAATAAAAATAAGAAATGTTTCTTTCATCACAATAAGAAAGAGCCAAAAGAAACTTCTGGGACGTAATGATAAATCATATTCTAATTCTTTCTTTCTTCCCTCACTAATGTTTTATATGACTTAAAACCAGAAGGGGCAATTGCAAGATAGTAAAACCATTTATTTAACATTCCAACTTCACTATTATTGTTGCCTTATCAACTTTTCTTTATGTTGCTTTATAATAGTTATCACAGCCTGAACTTATTCATTGTTTCCATTTGTTTCTTTGTGTCTTCGTTATTGTCTGTTTACTCTGTCCTCCAAAAACTTGCTGAAGTGTAAGTTGCATGAGGCCGGAGCTTTGTTTTTTCTGTTGTTTAGTATATTATCTTAACGTCAAAGAGCAATATCCTTTATGAATGAGTGAATCAATAAATATTTATTAATTGAAAGAATAAATACTTTTCCAAATTAATGAATTATAAACTTGGAGTTTGTACCTCTTCTCTTGTATTGTCACCCTAGTCGTGACAATCATATTAAGATCTAGTCTAATATTTTACCAAAAAATGTGTGCAAAAGTTGTTCAAAAATCATAAAAGTACAATTAATTTTTATTAAATCAGAGAATATGTTTTTTTCATTATTTGTATTTAAAGACATGTATACCTTTTATTCTAACAATACATTCAGCAAATTTAGCATTATACCAGTGACTGGCTTCAATTAAAATACAAGTTTCAATACGTGTTTGGTCTGTATAATTTGGGGAAAGAGTTTCTGGAGTGGTGTTTTGTCTTGTTCTAACTGAAAAATAATTCTGCATAAAAATTATTTGCTTGCATACTGAACATGTTGAAGTTTTTCAGATTGGGTACTTAACCCAAAAATTGAATGTGTGCTGGGGCATTACCTTGCACTTTCTTCTGTGAGCCTCATAGTAACTTTGATTTCGTTGTTAGGGTAAGAAAAAAAAATGGAAATAAGTCAAGGACTCTTTGTGTTGGGAAAAAGAATCATTCCTGTAATTTCACAAAAGTTGGTGCTTTCTTATGAAGATGATGTGATTAAAATAGAAAGATGATTGAATATGTCTTGGGAAATAAAGTGGGTTGGTGTGTTAAATATTCTTTTGAGTGCCTTTTAAAAGTGAAAAGGTACTTAAAAAATAAAATATAGTACTTTGAAAATAAGAATGTAACTTATAAGAAAGATGCTTAACCTTGGATTCAATAATTACTTTTGAAGATTTGCTATTCATTTGAAGAAGTCTGTCTATTATATAACACATCAATGAAAGAGAAGAATAAAAACCACTTGTGATTTGTTTGTGTGTTTAGACCATGATGTAAATTGATCCAACAAATTAAGCATCACATTTGGATCTATCTATTACTGTGGGTCCAAAGTACAGTAATTGAATATTACCAAAATTTGTATCCCTCAAGAAAAACTACTTGGCTCTAAAACTCTATTTAACACAAATATGTAATAAAATCTAGAAACATTTAAAAATACTTGAAAGAATAGCATACTCATTTTAAATATTGACTTTTTTTCTTATTTGCACAGCACCATTGTCTAAGCTGGATAGCTGAGAAATACTGACTATAGAAAGATTTTTATGATTGACCAAATGGTAGGTTTTTCTATCAACTCTATCTAGCATTGTGTTCAGGGCTCTCCTTTAATAGGTGGTTGTATGATTGATGCCCATAAAATCTAAGTAACAATAGAAAGTCTTCTCTGGAAAAAAAAAATCAACTTATGATTAACCGAAGATCAAGAATATAGGCAAAGAAGCTGTGGAGATGGATGGTGAAGGCAAGTTATCACCCTTTCCTCTGGATTTGGTGGCCAGATATCTTTGCCAGGAGGTAGTAACATCTCATCAATGATTTATAATTAAAAAAGCTAATTGAAGGAAGAAATTTTAAATGTCAACAATATGCTGTATGCAGTTTGTAGCAGTCACAGAACCACAGCCCTTCAATCTCTCATCAAGGAATATCTTGCTCTCCACCTGCAAGGAGTGTAATTACCTACTGCCTCCAGCTCTTGGAACCTTCAAGATTCACCTCAGCTTTTCTGATGGAACTAAAATCTTTCTGGACAGTCCCCAGGCAATAACTGAGCATGTCAGTGATAACAGGTCCAATCTCATTCAACTCAATATAGGACCTCTCTGCCTGGCATTCCTTATTGTTCACAAATGGACTGGCCAAGACGTTGCCATATCTGCATCAGAGTTGGAGCCTTCCCATGCCCAATCCTGCTTTCCCTTCCCATTCTTTTCACAGATGTCAGATCTATATCATGGTCTGAAGACTTTCCCTATTTAATCCTACTTTCTCTCCCGTTTGTCTTTCATAAGCATTGCCTGTCCCAGTGAACCTTGCACTCTTAATTTAGAAACAGATCTCATTATCTGTTTCTCACTTTAAAAATGTAAATTTGCATACATGTAATTTTCTTTGAGGCCATTGCATACTGTGCTGGTTAATTAAGTAAAAAGCTTGATCACCTGAAAGCTATGTCCTTTTTGCCTTGCCACAAGGCTCCAGGCAGTTACTGTATGTTATTGGCTAGTATTTGGGCTTTAAACATCTATACAGTGATGTAGTATTCAAACATTTGAGCTGTTCTCTGTCATTTGTACCCCACGTAGCCTAAATCAGTGGTTACCTCTCCTGGCTTCTAGCAGAATCACTTGGATGACTTTTTCAAAAGACTGATGCCAAAACTCCAGGTCAGGTTACAGTCAGGCTTGCGAAGCAGTAACATATACTCAATGTTGAGAAAATAGATTCCTTTGTCCTTATTTCCAAAGTCCACATTGTGATCCCAGCCCTAGAGTTTCACCACCTTCTAACACTAAGATCCATGGAAAGGCAAACACAGAAGAAAGCATTTGCTTCCATCTTTGTTCATTTATACTGTCCTGAATAAAAACTTCACATTCTCTAACTGAGACTTGATTTTGGTATTCCCAATTTGTACATTCTTGACCCATATCAGAAGTTCCAATAAGTAGAGACCTTAAGCTCCTCCAGAGGGGAAACTATGCCACTAATAATGCTGATCAGAAGCCAGGAAACATAACATAACCTTTGGAAAAATTGATTTCTCCAAATCATCATAGACTTTTCTTGTTATTAAAGAGCTAAAAAACAGAACTGTTTTTTTCTTGTTGTGTTTACATCACTCATGATGTTGTGTTTAATTCTCAGTCTTTCCTTTTATTTGGTTTTGTTTTTCTATTTTTAGTTTACACTTGTGCTTTCATAAGTTAACTCTCTGTTGCCCAGGCTGGAGCGCAGTTGCACGCACATGGCTGACTACTGCCTCGACCTCCCAGGCTCGAGCAATCCTCCCACCTTAACCTTCCAAATAGGTGGAACTACAGGCACTGGCCACCATGCCCGGCTAATTTTTGTATGTCCTCAAGCCACTTTTAATTAAACAATAATAAATTGAAAAGACAAGGTGTGACTGCCAGCACAAATTAAGATGACCTAGTATTCAGAATCTCTCCTCAAGCCATCGCCTCCAGGGAGGCCTGCCTTAGCTTTGCTTACTACTTATTAATGTACCCATTAATATCAGCACATTTACAGACTTAATGACACCACAATGCTTGTGTAGTTTAATTACAAGCAAGAAATCTGTGTCTTAATACATAAAAGACATTTATAGCAATGGATGATAATGGATGTTTATTAGCATATCAACAATTAAAAATTATTTGCCACTTACTCTTTCTTCAAGTTTATAAGGTATAATTTCCATGCTAATTTTATATTAGAAAGAAGAGTTGACAAACTGCTATTAGAATACAGGGATTATAGTGATTGTTCTATTTTATTAATGCAATTTTATTAAACAATAATGCAGTGAAAAGGAATAATTTAAGAGGGACTAAAGCAGGCATTTTTACAAAACATACTGCCTCTGCAATTTTTGCATAGTTTTGATATAATGAAACATCACACAAACATAAATATGAGAAATAAACTTCAGAGGAAATAAATATCTACCTCCAGCTATTACATTTCATTTAGATGGATTAGTTGAGTATGGTATATTAAACAGATACACAATTTCCTATCTCTAGAGATTCAATATGGTTTTCTGACAATTTATATTTGATTAACAGTAATACCAACTACAGAGATTTAATTGGCATTTTATTGAGCCAAAGTAAGTAATATTTTTTGTAAAATGCTGCAAGTATTTTTTTCACCTAATGAATACAAGCCCCAAAATACTGCCGACTTATTGGTAGCTAAATTCGTTTGACTTAATACACCACTTGCTGTGTAAGCAATAACTTGTTCAGCTAGGCCCAAGTTAAGATGTAGGATAAAAATCACAGAGAACAGTGAATGGACTGAAACAGAATGCAGGCTTTCTGTTTTTGGCCCAAACAGTATTTTTAAATAATTGTAATTAGCTAATTTAAAAGCTGATAAATTTCACATTAAAGTCATCCAGAATCTGGCTTTTCTTGAAAAAGCAAAATATTTCCAAATGCTACTCCCACATTCACCCAAGGAAACAGAATGAAGCCAATCATACCTATTTTTTTTCCAAAATGATAAAACAAGGTATTCTGTTTATAGAGTCAGAAAAGATTTATAGAGAGGCCAGGTGTCTGCTTAAGGAAAAATCCATCCAAAATATGGCAAACAATTGTGCTATTTCTAACAAAAATATTTTGCTTCCTTGAAGAATTTTTGTTTGGATGCCTGCAGCCATTTATCTTATCCTGCCTCCTTTTCTCTGGCAGCTAGCAAACACAAAGTCAAGATGAGCTTCTGAAATTCTGCCCAAATCTGCTCTTCTCAAATTCTTTCCTAAACCAATAAACAGCATTGTTTTTCTTCTGGCTGCTTAAATGACAAACTTAGGGTCATTTTGGATACTCTTTTTCTATCATGATTTTTTTTTGTTAATTTTAATAATATATTGACAGTTGTACATATTATGGAGTACCAAGTGTTGTTACAATTTTTTAACAAAATTTGGAATAATTAAAGTGATTAACATATCTAACACATCAAAGTTTAGCTCTTTTTGTGATGAGAATATTAGAAATTTGCTGTCTTAGTGATATTGAATTGTACCATAATCAATTATTAGCTATATTCAACACGCTATGCTATAGATGTAAAAAGAAAAATCAAACTTATCCCTCCTTTCTAAATGAGGCTTTGTACTTTTTGATGATCATCTCTCCATTCTCTCCACCTCTAAGCCTCTGATAACCACCTGATATGGTTTGGCTGTGTCCCCACCCAAATCTCATCTTGAATTGTAGCACCCATAATTCCCACATGTCATGGGAGGGATCTGGTGGGAGGTAATCGAATCACAGGGGTGGGTCTTTCCCTTGCTGTTCTCATGATACTGACTAAGTTTCATGAGATCTGATGCTTTTATAAAAGGGAATTCCTCTACACTAGCTTTTTGCCTGCCACCATGTAAGACATGACTTTGTCCCTCATTTGCCTTCCAACATGGTTGTGAGGCTTCCCCAGCCATGTGGAACTGTGAGTCAATTAAACTTCTTTCCTTTATAAATTATCCAGTCTTAGGTATGTCTTTATTAGCAGCATGAGAGCAAACTAATACACCATCATTCTATTCTCTGCTTTTATGGGTTCAGTTGGTTTAGATTCCACATGTAAATGACAATGTGCATTATTTGTCTTTCTGTGTTTTGCTCATTTCACTTAGCATAATGTTCTTGAATTTCAACCATATTGTATAAATTATAGAATTTCTCCTTTTTAAAGGCTGAATAGTATTCTGTGGTATATATATGCCACATTTTCTTTATCAATTCATCTCTCGATGGAAACTTAGGTTGATTTGATAACTTGGCAACTGTGAATAGCACTGCAATGAACATGGGAGTGCAGACATTCCTTCAACATGGTGATTTCAAATCTTTGGGGTAAATGTCCAGAATGGGATTGCTGGTTGATATGGTAATTCTATGTCTAGTATTTTGAACTGTATTCCATAATAACTTTAGTAACTTGCATTCCCACCAAGAGTAAGGGCTGCATTTTCACTATATCCTTGCCAACACCCACTGTCTTTCACCTTTTTGATTATAGCCATTATAATAATGTGAGATGGTATCTCATTGTGGTTCTAATTTGCATCTCCCTAAGGATTAGTGAGATTAAGCATTATTTCATGTATCTGTTAGCCACTCTGTTGTTTAATTTCCATGTATGTTTTAATTTTCTGAAGTTTCTGGTTTTATTGATTTCTAGTTTTATAATACTGTAGTTAAAAAAGGTATTTGATATAATTTACATTTTCTTAAATTTGCTAAGATTTGTCTCATGGTATAATAAATATAATCTATCCTGAGGAGTGTGGCATGTGCACTTAAGAAGAATGTGTATGCTGTTGCTTTTGAATAGGATGCTCTATATATGTCTATTAGTTCCATTTGTTCTAATGGCTGGAAGTGTTTTGCCTACAGCATTTTGAATACATCATTCCACTCTTTCCTGAATTACAGGGTTTTTGCTGGGAAGTCCATTGATAGTGGTATTGGTACTCTTTTGTGTGATGTATTTCTTCTTTCTCTTTGCTCTCAGAATTTCCCTTTGTCTTTGCTCTTTAAGAGTTTGATCATTATGTGTGGTGAGCTTCCTTAGGGTGAATTTGACTGAAGATCTCTGAACTTTCTGTGCCTGGGTGTTGTCTTATTTCCTCAAATTAGGGAAGTTTTCAGCCATTATTTCTTTAAATATCTTTTTAGAACTTTTTTTTCTTCTTTAACTCCTATTAAGTGTAGGTTAGGTGTCTTGATTGTGTCCCATAATTCCTGTAAGCTTTCTTCATTCTTTTTCATTCTTTCTTCTTGTTGTTGCTCTGATTGGGTGATTTCAAATATTCTGTCTTCAAGCTTATTGATTATTTCCTTTTATGTTCTAGTTTGATTTTAATTAACAAATAATAATTGTACATATATAGAGGGATCACTGTGATGTTTTGATACTTGTGCACATTGTGTAAATATTAAATGAGGATATTTAGTAGAAACATTACCTCAAACATTTATCATTTCCTTGTGGTGAGAACATTCAAAACCCTTTCTTCTAGTTATCTTGAAATATATAATACAATATTGTTAACTCTAGTCACCTTTCTGGGCAATAAAACAGCAGAACTTCTTCCTCCTATGTAACTGTAATTTTGTACCTGTTCACTAATCTCTTTCCATCTGCCCTTCCCCCTACAATCTCCAGCCTCTGGTAACTACCATTCTACTCTGTACTTCCAGGAGATCATCTTTTTTAGATTCCACAAATGAGCGGATTCATGCAGTATTTGTCTTTGTTGGCTGGTTTATTCCACTTAATGTAACGTCTTCCAGGTTTATCCATGTTGCCACGAATAACAGTGTTGCAACTTTTTTTGCTCCCATAGCTCGGCAAGTAGGAGGGAGTGGTGCCCAGCAGCTTCTTCACTCTGGCAGCTCAGTGAGCAGGAGAGCATTTTACAGCTCTCTCACCACCCGCAGCTTGGCAAGCGGGAGTGTTACAGTTCTTTCACTCCCACAGTTTGGCGAGTTCTAGGTTCTTGTCACGCAACCAAGAGGAATAAGGTACTTGGACACCAGAGAGTGAGTAAGGCAGAGTAGAATTTTATTGAGAGACAGAAGGAAAGCTCTCAGCAGCAAGACAGGGTTTGAAATTGTATTCCCATCTGTGAGGCTGAGTCCAGTGTTTTCATGGGCTTAGAATAGGGGAATGTGTTCTGATTGGTCTATGGGTGGGCTTGGAAAAGGTACCATTTGATTGGTTAAAAGGCATGATTCACAAGGAACCAATAGAGAGAAAGTTGGTGAGACGGGGTTGGAAGTTCTCACTCCAGTCGTGGATTCTATCCAAAACTTGCAGCTTGGTTTTCAGGCTTTCGACTGTCCTTGGCCTGAAGGTCGAGCTTCACCAGGGACCCATCCCTGTCTGCCTAGGAATTTGTCTGTCTCCTGTCGCTATCAACATGATTTTATTTTTTATGGCTAAATAGTATTTTATTGTATATACATACAATATTTTCTTTATTGATTTATCCATTGATGAACCTATAGGTTGATCCTGTATCTTGGCTGTTGTGAATAGTACTGCCATAAACATGGGAGTCCAGATAGCCCTTCAACATACTGATTTTCTTACTTTTGTATGAATATCCCCTAGTGAGATTGCCGGATCATTTGGTAGTTCTACTTTTATTTTTTGAGAAACCTCCATACCTTTTCTATAATGCTGGTATTAGTTTACATTCCCACCAACAATGTATAAAGGTTCCAATATCTGTAAATGTAAATCAGCCTTTTTTTTCCTTGTCTTTTTGATGGTACCCATTGTAATTGGGGTGAGGTAATATCTCATTGTGGTTTTGATTTGCATTTCTGTGATGATTAGCAATGTTGATCCTTTTTTCATATACCTGTTGGCCATTTGTATGTTTTCTTTTGAGAAATGTCCATTCAGGACTTTTGTTTATGTTCTAATTGGATTATTTGGTTTTGGGCTATTAAGTTGTTTGAGTCTCTCATATATTCTGGACATGAACTGCTTGTCAGATGCATAGTTTGCTCATATTTTCTCCCATTCTATAGGTTGTCTCTTTACTGTTTATTCCTTTATTGTGCAAAAGCTATTTAGTTTGATATAATCCCACTTGTCTATTTTGCCTTAGTTGCTTATGCTTTTGTTTTCTTATCTTAAAAAATCCTTGCCCAGAACAATGTAATGAAGATTTTACCCTATGTTTTCTTTTAGTAGTTTTATAGTTTCAAATCTTACATTTAAGTCTTTACTCCATTTTGAGTTGATTTTTTAATACACTGAGAGATAGGAACCTAGCTTCATTCTGCATGGGGATATCAAGCTTCTTGCCATCATTTATTGAAGAGACTGTTCTTTCCTTAACATATGTTGTTGGGGCATTTGTCAAAATCAGTTGGCTATAACTGTGTGGATTTATTTCTGTGTTGTCTATCTGTTCCATTTGTCTATGTGTCTATTTTTATGCCAATACCATGTTGTTTGGTAGCTATAGCTTTAGCTGTAGCTTTGCCGTATGTTTTGAAGTCAGATAGTATGATGTCCCAGCTTTGTTCTTTTTGCTCAAGATGGCTTTGGCTATTCAGGGTCTTTTGTAATTCCACACATTGATTTTCTTTATTATTTTATATTTGAGAACAGTGTTATTGGTACTTTGATAGGGATTACCATGAATCTATAAATTGCTTTAGTATATATTTTAGCAATATTAATTCTTCCAATTCATGAACACAGATTATCCTTTTAGTTTTGTCTTTTTCAACTTATTTTATCAATGTTTTATAATTTTTATTGTAAATTTTTTTTTCCTTCTCAGTTAAATTTATTAGGTTTTTAAATTTTGTTTGTTGCTATCGTAAATTGGATTGCTTTCTTGATTTCTTTTTCAGATAGGTTGCTATTGATATATAGAAATGACACTGATTTTTATGTTGATTTTGTACCCTAAAACTACACTAAATTTATTTGTTAGTTCTAACAGTTTTTTAGTGGGGTCTTTAGAATTTTCTACATATGAATACAATATCATGCTATCTGCAAACAAGGAAAATTTGACTTTCTCCTTTCCAATTTGGATGCCTTTATTTCTTTCCCTTTCCTAATTACTTTGTCTAGAACTTCCAGTGCTATAATGAATAGGAGGGTGTGTGTGTTGGGGGGCTGGTGAAGTGGGAATCCTTGTCTTGTCCAGATCTTAGCAGAAATGTTTTCAACTCCTCCTTATCTAGTATGATATTATATATGGCTTTGCCATATATGGCCTTTATTGTATTGAGGTATGTTCCTTTTTTTTGTTTTTTTTTTTTTTGAGACGGAGTCTCGCTCTGTCGCCCAGGCTGGAGTGCAGTAGCGTGATCTCAGCTCATTGCAAGCTCCGCCTCCCGGGTTCACGCCATTCTCCTGCCTCAGCCTCCCAAGTAGCTGGGACTACAGGGGCCGGCCACCATGCCCAGCTAATTTTTTCTATTTTTTAGTAGAGACGAGGGTTTCACCATATTAGCCAGGATGGTCTCGATCTCCTGACCTCGTGATCCGCCCGCCTCGGCCTCCCAAAGTGCTGGGATTACAGGTGTGAGCCACTGCGCCCGGCCGAGGTATGTTCCTTTTATACCTAATCTGTTGAGATTTTTTATCATAAAAGATTTATAAAATCCTTTTTCTGTGTTTATTGAAGTGATCACACAGTTTTTGTCCTTGATTCTGTTTATGTGATATGTCATGTTTATTGATTTGCGTATATAAAATTGAATCATCTTTGTGTCCCTGCGATAAATCCTGCTGGATCATGGTAAATTATCTTTTATATGTATTGCTGAATTTGGTTTGCTAGTATTTTGTTGAGGTCTGTGGTTTTCTGTTTTTGTTGTGTCCTTGTCTGGTTTTGGTATCAGGGTGATGTTGGCTTAGCAGAATGAGTTTAGAAGAATTCCTTTCTCTTCAATTTTTTGGAATAATTATCAAAGTATTGTTATAAGTTCTTTAAATGTTTGGTGAAATTTAGCAGTAAGGTGAAGAAAAGCCCTTGAGGTCCTGGACTTTTCTTTGATAGGAGATTTTTTATTACTGATTAGATGTCATTACTCATTATTGATCTATTCATATTTTCTATTTATTAAAGACTTAATTTTGGTAGGTTTTACGTGTCCAGGAATTTATTTATTTTTTCTAAGTTTGGCTCTTTATTGGTGTATAGTTGTTCATTCTATTCTTTTATGATCCTTTATATTTCTGTGATGTCAATGTAACATTTCCTTCTCCATCTATAATTTTGCTTATTTTAATCTTTCTCTTTTCTTCTTGGTCTTGCCAAAAGTTTGCCTATTTTGTTTATGTTTTTTAAAAAACAACTTTATGTCTCATAGACCTTTTGTATATCTTCTTTTCTTTCATTTTTCTTGTTTACCTTTGTAGCTTGACAGTTTTCTGTAGTAATGACATTTGATTCATTTTCATTTGTGTATCTGCTGTAATTTTTTAGTGTGTGCACATGTGTGGTTGCTCTGGGGCTTACATTAAATATTATGGCTATAAAAATGTATTTTCGTTGATAGCAACTTAACACTGGTCATTGACAAACATTCTAGACTTCTACCCTAGCCCTCATACAATTTGAATTTTTTTGCCTTACTTTACATATTTTATATTGTATATTCCTTAACAACATATTGTAGTTATTGTTAGCATTGTCCACTTTGATTTTTAACTTTCACACTACACATTTGAAAGATTATATACCACCATTAGAATAATGCAGTAGTCTGAATTTGATTATGAGTTTACCTCTACCAATGAGTTTTATACTTTTATATGGTTTATGGTAGTAATTAACATCCTTTTACTTCCAGCTGAAGCACTCCCTTAGCATTTCTTATAAGACTGGTCTTGTGATGATAAATTTCCTCAGGTTTTACTTGTCTGGGAAATATTTTATTACTCCTTCATTTTTTAAGGTTAGCTTTGGTGGGTATAGCATTCTTGGTGGATTCTTTTTTTATTTTTTTTCTTTGAGCACTTTGAATATATCAGCCCATTCTTTTCTGGCCTGAAAGATTTCTGCTAAAAAATCTGCTGATAGTTTAATGATAGTTTTCTTATATGTGACCAGGCACTGTTGGTGCTTTTAGAATTCTCTCTTTGTCTTTGACTTTTCACAGTTTGATTATAATGTGACTTGAAGAGGACATCTTTTGGTTGAATCTAATTGAGGTTCTTTGAATTTCTCAGATCTGAATGTACTTATATCTCCCAAGACTTGTGAAGTTTTCATCTATTATTTCATTAAGTAAGCTTTCTGTACTTTTCTTTATTTCTTCTCCCTCTGGTATTCCCACAATGCAAAAATTTGTTTGTTAATGGCGTTGCACACACCTTGTAGGCTTTTTTACTTTTTAAAATTCTTTTTTCCCCTTTGATTGGGTTATTTCAAAAGACCTGTCTTTAAGTTCAGAATTTCTGTCTTCTTCCTGATCTTATCTGCTGCTGAAGCTCTCAGTTGTATTTTTTATTTCATTCATTGAAGTCTTCAATTTTAAGATTTTTGTTTGACTTTTTAAATGATCTCTATTTGTTGAATTGTCTATTTGTATTTTCTTGTATCTCACTGAATTTCCATAAGATTATTATCTTGCCGTCATTTTCAGGCAATTTGTAAATTTTCCCTTCTTTATGATTAATTACCTGAACATAATTGTGCTCCCTTGTTGGCATCATGTTTCCTTGTTTTTTCATATTTTGTGTGTCCCTGCATTGATACCCATGTATTTTGTGGAGCAATTACCTCTTCCAATATTGGAAAATGGTCATTTAGGGAAACTTTTTCACCTGCAAATGTGTCCTAGGGTGTTGGTTGGATTTGATGCATTAGATTTGGTTCTAAGTAGGTGCAACAGGGTAGTCAATGAAGTTTCTTCAGCTGTAGTCAATGTCAGTGATGCTTGTGAATGTCTCAGTGGCCTAGACTGCAGGAGTTTGTGCAGCCGCTCCAACAGGTCAGGTGCACCTCTCTGCTGAGGGTGGGTGTACCAGGTTGTTTTGTGTGCCTTGTGTTCATGGGGGCTACTTTTTTGGGATCTGGCATGGTCTCCCACTGGGGTCAGGGTGCTGGGCTGTTCCAGGTGCCACAGGTGTACAGGGACTGCTCCACTAGGGTCAGGTGCAGCCTCCCCACTGGGCAAGATTTCCTGTTCTTTTGGGGGCCAGGGAGCCACTTAGAGTCTGGTACCAGGATTATGGCTGTTCCACTTGGCCTAAGCTTTCTGTAGCCAAATCTGCAGAAAGCCAAATCATTGCAGCCACTGAGATGAGAACAATGGAGTGCCTCCTGGGAGATTATTACCAGGGATAAAAGGCTGTAGCTGCTTAGCTGCAGAATGATGTGCTATTATGCAGGTGAGTAGCGTAGTGGCAGTGGAGCCTCAGGGATGAGGACATGCAATGCCTATTGGCTCCTAGAGCAGTGGCTCTGGTCTCCAGATTTTACCTTAAAGTAGCTGCTTGGATCATGGACATACACAATATGGGGTTTTTTTGGGGGTAATGCAGCCATGTGAACTTCAGTCAGTTCGCTAGCCTGGGCTCAGAGCCTGTGAGTGCTTAAGAGTTCTCTAGCAGCAAAGACTGTAAGTGTTTGCATTTTTAATGATACCTTCTGGGGTCTCCTGCTTAACTTTTTCTCTCAAAAGAAGTCCCTCCTGGTTCCAACTTGATGCTAACTGGGGAGACAGGGTTGCAAAGGCAGGGTGTTTTGTTCTATTTTTTTATTTTTTGAGACAGAGTCTCGTTCTGTTGCCCAGGCTGGAGTTCAATGGTGCAATCTCGGCTCACTGCAACCTCTGCCTCCTGGGTTCAAGCGATTCTCCTGCCTCAGCCTCCTGAGTAGCTGGGATTACAGACGTGCACCACCACTGCCGGCTAAGTTTTTATTTTTAGTAGAGATGGGGTTTCACCATGTTGTTCAAGCTGGTCCTGAATTCCTGACCTCGATCCACCAGCCTTGGCCTCCCAAAGTGCTTGGATTACAGGCGTGAGCCACCACGCCCGGCCTGTTCTATTTTTTTATGTGGCAATCCTGAGTTCCCTGATTTACAGTGACTCTACCACTCTTCCACTGAACACCAGCACTCTCCTTTAAATACTGTAGTTGAAATATGGTTGTTTATTGCTTGTTTTGGTCCTTTTGTTGTGAGGGACATAGGTGTTAGGCACCTCTAATCAGCAACCTTGCTGACTTCCTTCACCAATTCTTTTTTCAATTTGGTTGAGCTAGCTATTAAAAGTATTTATTCTTTTCTTCAATTCAGTAATTGCATTCTTCATCTCTAAGATTTCTGAGGTTTTTAAAATATTTCTATTTCTTCGTCAAACTTCTCATTTTGTTTATATATGGTTTTTCAAATTTTTAAAAATTTTGTATCTGTATATTAATGGAGTTCTCTGAACTTTTTAAAGAGGATTATTCTAAATTCTTTTTCTGTCATTTTATAGTTCTTTCTTTTGGTCCATTGTTTGAAGTTTCTATTGGAAGTGCCATGATTTCCTGAGTCTTTGTAATCCTTGTATTCTCCCATTGGTGTGTGTGTGTTTGCAGCAACAACCATCTTTTCTGGCTTTTTCAGATGTTTCTTGGCAGTGATAGATCTTCACTATTTAGTCTAGCCTATGATTGATTCTTGCTGGGCCAGCTGGCATTAATTCTGGCCAAGCTAAGCTTGCTTTCAGGTTCTCTAGATGGCTTGGCTGCTACCTTTGCTCTGCATTCATGTGGAGCAGCTGGCTAAGTTCTGCTACCCAGCAAGAAAACTGGCTGAGCTCTGGAATTAGGCTGAGCTCCGGATGGGCACTGCAATCACCTCTGATCTACCTGGGCTGCAGCATGTATTCCCTGACCAGAAGGGGCCATATATGTATCAGCAGTTGCACAGTGTTGCAGGAGGGTCCCTGAGGTTAAGTGTATCAGTATGAATGGAGCAACTGCTATGTTCAATAGAAATGCATGACTGAGATTTGCCTCCCTTTCTGGGTCAGGTGTGGGGATGGGCTTTGAGGCCGGGGGGGATGGCTGATTAAACTCCCTGGTGTGCCAAACTAGGGCTTATCAAATTTTGCCCAGTTCTGCTGTGGCAGAGGCTGGCAATCCTGTCCTTATGGTTCACATTAGCTAGTCTCACAGAAGTTCTTTACACGAGTGAAATTAATCCCTGGTACAGCAGAGAAAGGCTGGAAGGCAAGGCCTGGCTTCTCCTGGATCTGCCATGTAATGAAGACTGGTAAATCTGTTTCAGTGGCTCGTATGGGAGAGTCATCCAGCATATCCCTGTGTTTGGGGATAGTTTCCTGACCACAGTGACGGGCTGGAGCTGAGACTGGTCCCCTTCAAGATCTGCTGTGCAACAGTCAGGCATGTCTGTCGTAGTGGCTCAGCTAGTGTGCATGTCTCACAGCAGTTCCCTACATAGATTCCCTGACTTCAACAGAAGGGGCTAGAGCTGAGACCAAGCCCCTTTGAGATCTGCTATGGGACGGGGTGGGCAAACCTGTTGCAAACTCTCTGACAGGTGCATCTCCCAGCAGTTTCCTGCACAGGTGATACATTTCCCTGGCTGTGGCAAAGGGTAGTTGAGCCTCAGATGGATAAGTCTCCAGGCAGTTCTCTGCATGTGTAGGATACTTCCTGGGCTTTGTGGCAGAGAAGCGCTGGAACCAAGGCAGGATCTCTTTAAGATCTACCGTGGGAATGAAGCCAAAAAGCCGGTCATGGTGGCTCAGATGGGTAAGTCTCCCTCTGGGTCCTTGTTGGGGCAGTACTCAGCTGGGACAACAGCTGAGGGGCCTGGAATTGAGTTACGGACAACTTTTGACTCCACTACTGCTATGGTTTGGATATGGTTTGTTTGGCCCCACCAAATCTCATGTTGAAATTTGATCCCCACTGTTGGAGTTGAGTCCTGATGGGAAGTGTTTGTGCTGTGGGGACAAATCCCTCATGAGTGGCTTGATGCCATTCTTGTGATAATGAGTGAGTTCTCGCTGTATTTGTTCCTGCAAAAGCTGGTTGTTAAAAAGAGTCTGGTACTGCCCCGTCCCCTCTTGTTTTCAATCATGCCATGTGATCTCTGCATGCTGGTTCCCCCTTGCCTTCCACCTTGAGTAGATGAAGCATGAGATTCTCGCCAGAAGCCAAACTGGCACCATGGATCTTGTACAGTCTGCAGAACTGTGAGTCAAAGAAACCTTTTTTCTTTATAAATTATCCAGCCCCGTAAATATAATGGCCCCATAAAAATTTTGATGTCAAAATTCCTAAAATTTGTGATTCTGTCACCTTACATGGCAAAAGGGAAACTACGGTTGCAGATATTACTTTATAGCAATGCAGAAATGGACTAAGACAACCACTGAGACCAATGACTCTCACAAAGAGACTTTTGTCCATGGATAGGCACAGATTTCTTATGTGAGGAGATATGAGTAGTAACTTCCTATTTCATGATCTTGCTGACATCACTCTTCGTGATTCAGGTTTAAACTAAAATGTCACCTTCTCATTAGCCTCTGTATATGTAAAGAGGAAATAAAAGCTAAGAGACCAAAGTTGAATGCTTACTAGAAGTTTTACGTTTCCTAGTAGGAAAAGTAATCCTACATGGCGGATAAAGCTTGGGGCAGTAAACACGGGAATAGGCCTTTCAGAGCTACAAAGATCTCTGTCTCATTTTAGAAGAGCCATATTTCAAAGTTCCACTGATTGCTGGCAATATCTAGGCTTATTGATTAGGTATTGTGTAAAGGCTGGGCTGCCTGATACTGGTTTCTGCTGTATCATGAATTACCTAATTTAGAATTATAACTTTCATCTGCCTTTGCTACACTGATGAGGTACCCAATTCAGCAATATTGTATCCAGTTGTTATTTTAACCAAAGTGAGATGTATACCACTGTCAACAGCTGAGATAACCCTGTCAGGGCTCTCTGGCCCTTCATCTGAAAGACCAGTAAATGCTCCCTTTTTATCCCCATCCCATTATCCACAAACACATAATACTTACTTTTCTCCATTAAAAGATATGTAATATATTATGTATTTTACTTATGTTGTTATTGTTCATCTTTCCCATTAAAATATAAACTCCATGGTAGAAATTTATGTTTTCTTTTTACTGCTATGTCCTCATTACCTAGAGCAGGGTCTGCTTAATAGTAAACAAACAATAAATACCTGATTAACACTAAGATATAATCCTTTACTAGCAAGTGTACCTTCATGTTGCATAGTGTTGAAATAGAATAAGGTACAAATTAATTATAATAAAAAATAAACATTTAAAACATTTCTGTAGATTTTTACACATTAAAAGCAAAGCAATGATATGACATTAGTTACTGTAGAAGGCAGAATAATGGTCCCACAAAAATTTTGATGTCAAAATCCCTAAAATTTGTGATTCTGTTACCTTACATGGCAAAAGGGAAACTAAGGCTGCAGATGAGACTAAGGTTGCTAATCATCAAACCTTAAGAAAATGAGATTTGGGGGATTTTGGGGGTGGCCCAATGTAATCACAAGGACCTTAGAAGTGAAACAGGGAGGCAGAACAGAAGGTCAGAATGATACGGTGTGAGAACTCAACCCACTGTTGCTGGCTTTGAAGACAGAGGAGAGGCTATGAGCCATGGAATACAGGCAGCTTCTGGAAGCCGAACAGTGAGACCCATGTCAGACTTCTGACCTACACAGCTAATAAAAAAAAAATGTGTGGTTTAAGCCAAGTTGGTGGTGATCTGTCATAATAGTAATAGAAAACCAATATAGTTATTTTAAAAAAATTGATGTGGTTACTTTAAACATTTTAATTTTTGACCTCTTCTTGATCAAATAATTGTTATTTATGTATTTTTGTTTCTTGATCAAATAATTGTTATTTATGTATTTTTTTATTAAAAGTAAATACTTACACATTTTGCCTTTCCTGTGATTGGAGTACTCTTCTGAGTCATCTGATTCACATGAACAAAGGACTCACATGAATTATTTGCCTTGGATGAGGTAGCACAGTGTCCATCTCTCTAAATCAATGCTCAAATTAAAATTTTCAGATGATGTAAAATGTTATCATTAGAAAATGACCACAAGTCAATTGTAACAAAAATTATTATACAATTAAAACAAAATTTGAAGAAAACAAAAACCAATGAACATTTAATGTTTAGTATTCTAAATGTGCTTTCTCAAAATTAATAGAGTAAAGCAATCCATCTCTAACGATTGACTTTGAGGCTGGTAAATTCCTGTTAATGTTTCAGGTCTTTTAAGTTTTCAAACTAGTTGAAAACTTTTGTTAGTATCATTCAGTATTTAATATTTGCAATTATTAAATAATTATTCACTTCAAATAATGAAATAAATGAAGCTTTTTGAATATCCCTTATTTGAAACTCCACAGGTGAAAATTATAGCAATTATTCTGTTCCTCAAATTCCTAAGACTTTTTTTTAGCCAGAGATAGTATGGTCTGAAAATGATTTGGACATTTTCCTTTTCCATTGTCACACCTTAGAACTGCCATTGCATTTCTGTAAGAACATTAACTCTTGCTGTTTTTTTTTTTTTTTTCTCAGCAACCATTTCTTGGCTACTTCTTTAGAATATATTTTTATATAAATAGAACATGGCAAAACATTTTTAAAACTAATACAGTATATTCTATTTAAGGTAAAGGAAAGTTTTGTATGTGTATCATCACCTCCTTTCCTTCTTCCTGTGTATCTTTGACTGCATTTTGCAAATGTTTATCTTCCCTTAGTTTAGTATTGCAACATTCTAACTTCACACAGAAAAACAAAATGAAACACACACACATCCACTTGGTAAATTGAAGTTTCTGATTCATCATGTATATGTAAATCACCTGTGGTAGCTCCGTGCTTATCCCTAAAAATGTCTGGAACTATGGTATTGACTCTTGGACAAGATAGGAATGAAATATTCTAGCTCATGATTGGTAATGTGCTAAGATCAAAACTCCCCTGGAGGTATCTTGTACCAGCTGGTCAAAATTATCGTAAATATGTAGATTGGTGGTCTAAACCTGGTGCATCTGGTTACACAGCCTAGTTTGACTAAGTTGTTAGTGTTGTATCTGCATCAATGACTCTTAGTAAACACAAGACTGGGTATCCTTGAGACAGAGGCAATCACACTTATCTTGATGGTTTGTGATCCAGAGATAGCGCTTATCCCATGTGACAGAGATAGGACCCTGGAAGCTATGCCTGCATGCCTATAATCTGCCTGATATTTTATTTTTCTGGCTAAATTGAATTATTAGTCTTTATTAAAGCTTTATGTTTGTGTGCTCTGTGGCATCTCTTGAGTCTTTTAATTATATAACCCTCTGTAATTGCTGTAATGTCTGACTTCATTAAATGGTTCTAGGAATCAACTGGCCTGGAAATTATGATATTGGCAAAATTGTTTTATTTCTCTAAGTACCAAGTTTGCTTTTCTTAAATAATTTTTGATATTTTTCAGTTTTCTTTGATGGCTATATTAAACACACTTAAAATCCTTCCAAGTAAGTGTTCATGTAATAGATGTTTTCCCCCTAATTATTAAAGCAGCACATTTGGAAAATATTGACTTTCTCTATTTTCCCCATTGGTAAGGTAAACGTTTTAAAAGCAGCCAAGGTTAAGAAGTATAGTCAACACAGCTGCAAATGCTGCAACCTAAATGAATTCATAAAAATCAACAGAAGAGTAAACACCATAATGTTCCAGTATAGAATTTCAATTGTCAGGACAGGTGAAACAACTTGGATTCTGAAACTTTATTTATTCTGTGTGGATTAGTCAGGGTTCTCCAGAGAGACAGAACCAATGGAATATATATAAGCCTGGAGTTCTGATGTTTGAGGGCAGAAGAAGAAGGTTGTTCCAGCCTCAGAAGAGAGGGAGTGAATTTGCCTTTCCTCTGCCTTTTTTGTTTTATCCAGGCTCCCAGCCAATTGCGTGACCACATTGAGACCAGATCGTCTCCACCAGTTGAACAGGCTCACACATGAGCCTCCTCTGGAAACGCCCTCACAGACACACCCAGGAATAATGCTTTACCAGCTCTTTAGGTATTCTTTAATCCAGGCACGTTGATACCTAAAATCAGCCTTCACAATGTGTAACCACAGCACCAGGAGAAATGACAGGCATGTACTGTCTCTACAAAGTGTTCCGTCTCACACAATCAGAGCATAGCCTAAAGGCACAAAAATTTCTCCCTATGATCTTGGTCATTGTTCTCTATCTGAACACCTCTCACAATCTATTAATTTCTTTTCTCTCTCTTATAGTCACAAGAATTTAAACTTTATTACCTATGTGTCTCCAAGTTTCCTGCTGACTGACCTGTCAATTCGAATGCCTCTCATGGTTCCCTAATTTTATTGGCTCTGTACATTCAATTTATTTTTGGTTTAATCAAAACAGCACACAGACACAGTCAAAAAGTCAAGTAAAATTAATAAATTTATAATGTAAAAGCAGGATCCTGCTCCATACTTCCCTACTGCAGGTTCTTACTAACTGAAACAATTACTTTCAACTATTTGTAGCTATTTTTCCTGGTTTTCACCTTCATTCCAAGTGACACATTTATATGAACATTTCTTAATTTTTCATTTTTACGTATTTGTTAGTGATTTCCCAGTGTAAATGATAAGAAATAAGTTTCTTATTGCTCTAACTCCCACATACACACCAATGCACATTTGTTTTCTGTCATTCAGCCTCATCAAAGGGTCATAATTTTGCTTCATGCAGTATATAATGCTTATTTTTGACTCTATACAATTTTTCACAGATGAGTTAGCAAAGAACAATAATTACTTGTAGGGGAGGATGGGTGAAACAAAAGAGAGACTAAGGCAGAAACTAGCCAGGTGTTCTCAAACCCCGTTCCTCTTTTCTTCCTGCACACTTGGTTAGAATACATTTCTCACCCTCTCTTTCAGTTAGGTGAATAGACATGACTGAGTTCAAGTAAAAGGAGTGTGAGTTAAAATGACACAAACCACTACACAGCATCCTGCATGCAGCCCTTCATGCTGTTTTTCTTTAACAAGCTTAGCAGAGATAAGCATAGAAATGTTAGAAGCAAGAGTCGAAGATGGCTGAGCCTCAAGAAGGAAGGAGGCTATGGCTTTATGGAGGAGAGCTGCCTGGTAAGCAGGAGCACCAATTTCAAGAGAAGAAAGAAGGAAAGGAAGGAAGGAAGGAAGGGGAAAGGAGGAAAGGAGGGAGGGAAGGAAGGAAGGGAGGGAGGAAGGAAGGGAGGAAGGAAGGGAGGGAGGAAGGAAGGGAGGGAAGGAAGGGAAATTTCAGGGTTTTTGTCTATTACAAATAAGTTAGGTAACAATTCGCAAACATTTGCTATATTTCAAATTATTTTCTAAGCACTTTATGAGTACTAATCATCCAGCAAACTTATTTGTTAGAATATTATCTTTATTTTATTGAAAAGGAATCTCAGAAAGTTAAAGAACGAAACTAGTTTAACTGTATACATCTGGTAACTGGTGAAGCTAGAATTTTTGTTCATGCGTTCTGCTTCCAAAGTCCAGCTTTTAACTACTATTTGAAGCTGTTACAGTTCTTTGTAATGAAAGGTTTGAAGTGTAGATTTTTGGATCTTCTTGCTGATTGTAAGCTCTTCTTAATATTTGCTGTCATTTCCTCTGTTATTGTCTCAGAATTTCATTTGTCCTGAGAGAGTGGAGGAACTGGAGATAGGTAAGGATCCTAAAGATCACTGGAATACTTAGTTCATTTTTCCTCTTGAAACTTTATATTGGGGAAGCAGAGTTACTTTCTTCTGAAAGTGAATCTGGGGACAACATTTTAAAATGGCTTTCTTGGCATTCATAAAGCTGGGAACAGGGTTTTATTTGGAATCAAGCTGTTCTCTAAACACCGCCAAGAAAGAAATTTGAAAAGAGGTCAGGGAAGTACAAGGTGACATTTTATTGGGTCAGAATTCATATTATAACCCCACGCACTTATAGCTGGGTAATCACATTTCCTGTGCAACAATAGTAATGTTGCCACAGCCATATAGACTACAAAATGCTTTCTCATCATATGTAAGATCCACTTAATAACACTGGTAAAAAAAAAATGCCACAGATGATATGCATATCTGACAAAAAGCTTGTATACACAGAATTCTTAAAATGTAAAAATAATGAATGTCAAAACAGTAAAAATAATAATTATTAGTATTATGAGCAAAAGACTTGAACAGTCGCATCAAAATAGAAAGTATCAAATGGCTAAGAAACATCTGACTAGATGTTAATCCGTTTAATAAAACTACAATGTATGCATATTTCATTATAATTTTTAAAATAAGCTTCTTATTTACATATAACATACCTATATAAAATGAGTACTGGAAGTGTAAAACTTGATGGGTTTTAATAACATGAATGCACCCATGTAACTGGCTTTTGGATTGAGAAAAATAACATTGACAACACAATAGAAGACATCATCATGTCCTTCCTAGTCACTCTCCTTCCTTAAGTATACTTACTTTCTGACTTTGGACACACAGCCTGGTTTTGGATTTTACATAGGTGGGGTCAGGAAGTTTGTACTTTTTTGTGTTTTAATCTTCCAGTCAAAATTCACCTGTGTTCTTGTACAGAGCTATAGTTCAGACTAATTACTATACAGTAATCAATTGTATAAATATACCATGGTGGATTTATCCACTTGTCTTTTGATGGAGGTTTAGATTGTTTCCAGTTTCATCTATTATGTGTTTTTGTGAAATACTTCTTCATGTATTTTGGTGAACATATGTATACATTTCTCTTAAGTTTTTATCTATGAGTGGAACTGCCCAGTTTAGGATATACATATGTTCAGACTTGGTAGTTTCTGACAAAAGAGTTTTTAGTGAGATTATGTCAACATACATTAACATCAGCAGTATGTGAGTTCCAGTTGCTACATACTAACACTAACATTTGTCCTATAATTTGTTAATTCATATGGGTTTATAATGATGCCTCTTTTTTTTTATTTTACTTTAAGCTCTGGGCTATATGTGCAGAATGTGTCTGGTTTGTTACATTGGTATACATGTGCCATGGTGGTTTGCTGCACCTATCAACCTGTCATCTAGGTTTTAAGCCCCACATGCGTTAGGTATTTGTCCTAATGCTCTCCCTCCCCTTGCCCCTCACACCCTAACAGGCCCCGGTGTGTGATGTGCCTCTCCCTGTGTCCATGTGTTTTCATTGTTCAACTCCCACTTATGAGTCAGAACATGAGGTGTTTGGTTTTCTGTTCCTGTATTAGTTTGCTGAGAATGGTGGCTTCCAGCTTCATCCATGTCCCTGAAATGGACATGAACTCATTTTTCTTTTTTTTTTTTTTTTTTTTTTGAGACGAAGTCTCGCCCTGTCGCCCAGGCTGGAATGCAATGGCACGATCTCGGCTCACTGCAACCTCTGCCTCCTGGGTTCAAGCGATTCTCCTGCCTCAGCCTCCTGAGTAGTTGGGATTACAGGCACGTGCCTCTACGCCCAGCTAATTTTTGTATTTTTAGTAGAGACAGGATTTCACCATGTTGGCCAAGCTGGTCTCAAACTCCTGACCTCGTGATCCACCCACCTCGGCCTCCCAAAGTGCTGGGATTACAGGTGTGAGCCACCGTGCCCAGCCCGAACTCATTCTTTTTTATGGCTTCATAGTATTCCATGAATTTCTCTGGTAACCAATGAAGTCTGCAATTATTCAGGTGTTTATCAGGCATTTTGACACTTTCCATTTTGATGTGACTTTGAAGCCTTTGCTCATAATACTAATAATTATTTTTACTGTATTGACTTTTATTATTATTGCATTTTAAGAATTCTGTATCAGATATGCATATCTCTTTGTCAGATATGCATATCATCTGTGGGTATACTTTTTTACTCTCTTGATGTCTTTGAATAAGAAAACATCCTTACTTTTACTGTAATCCTATTTATCACATTTTCCCCCCTTCAGTTAGTACTTTTTCAGTTCAGTTCAAGAAAACTTTGCCTTCTTCTAAGGCAGTTAAAATTTTATGATTTTTTTAAAGTTTTGTTTTACTTATCACATGTAGAATAACAATCAAACTGGAGTTAATTTTTTTTTTTTTTTTTTTTTTTTTTTAGACAGAGTCTTGCTCTGTCACCCAGGCTGGAGTGCAGTGGTGCAATCTCGGCTCACTGCAACATCCACCTCCCGGTTCAAGCAATTCTCCTGCCTCAGCCTCCTGATTAGCTGGGATTACAGGTGCGCACCACCACAACTGGCTAATTTTTGTATTTTTAGTAGAGACAGAGTTTCACCATGTTGGTCAGGCTGGTCTCGAACTCTTGACCTTGTGATCCGCCCTTCCAAAGTGCTGGGATTACAGGCGTGAGCCACTGCGCCCGACCAAGATTTCTTTTTATTTTACATAATTATCCAATTGACTCAGCATCTTTTATTAAAGAAGAGCGTCCTTTTCCATTGCACTGCAATGTCCCCTTTGTCACAGTTCAACTGAGTGGAGATGTGTGGCTGTTTCTGGACTTGCTGTTCTATTCCTTTGGCCACTTCTCTTTGTTCCAGTCCCTTATTGCCTTATTTATCTAGGTTTGTAATAAATCATCATGTTTAATAGTAAAAGTCTTTTAACTTTGTTTCTTTTCATCTTTTTCGTCAATATTATCTTGGATACTTGCATTTCCATTTCCATTTTATGATCTTACTAATTTCTTTCATGAAATTACTGAGCCTTTGATTATGTTTAATCTATAGATCAATTTTAGAAAAATTGATGCCTTCATAATATTGAATCTTTCAACCTAAGAACATAGTATACATTTTTTTTATTTACTCTGGTCTTCTTTAATTTCTATCACTAATTTCTGTTGCTTTTGAGATAAAAATATGACACATCATTTATAAGAATCAGCCCTTTGTTTTTGATATTATTTTAAAAGCTATTTTTTAAAAACATTTATTTTCTATTTATTTTAAGATATATATGTAAAACTGATTTTTGTTTATTGAGTTTATACCTGATCTTTATATATTTAATCTTAATTTATTAAATTACATTGGAATAATTAATTTTTTTAGGGACAGTGGTTACTTTAGAGACACCTTTAAGTGTGCTGTTTACTATGTTTTTCTAGACTGTTTATCAAATTAGGGAAGTTTCTTTCTCCTCCTGATTGGGTATTGAATTTTTAATAAGTTTTTCTATTTATCATTTATCAGAGAAAATTATTTTTCTCCTTTTTTAAGGCAATCTGGTGAATTACATTGAATGTCAAATGTTAAACCAGAAAATATAATTAATCATAATGTATTATTTTCCCAAACATTACTGGATTTCATTTGCTAATGTTCAATTTGTTAATGTTATGTTAGTGAGAGAAAATTTTCAGAAATTTATACTTTATTTTAATAAAGTTTTATTGGGTTTGGTGTTAACAAGGCTGGTCTCATAAAATGAATTGGGGTGGGAAGTATTAACTTATTTTTTAATTTTCCCTGGAAGAATTTGTGTAAGATTTGCTGTTATTTATTACTTAGATGTTTGCTCTAAATAAATGGATGATGCTTCCTGAAAAGTTTTTATTGTTAATATTGTTTTAAATTTAGAGACTTAATTTTTAATAGATATAAAACTAATAAATGTTCTAACTCTTTTGTGTCAGTTTGGATAAGTTGTGTTTTTCAAGGGTTTTGTTCATTTCATCTAAATTTTCAAATTCATTGCCTAAAGTTTTAAAATAACAAATCTGTTTAATATCTGTAGAATCTATGGTTTTCATTCTTAATATTGTTTTTTCTACACCCTCTAATTTTTTCTTAATGAATCTAGTAGTGGTTTATGAACTTTACTGTCATTTTTCTTTTTCTTTTTTTTTTTTTTTTTTTTTGTTTGTGTGTGTGTGTGAGATGGAGTCTCGCTCTGTCGCCCAGGCTGGAGTGCAGTTGTGTGATCTTGGCTCACTGCAACTTCAGCCTCCCGGGTTCAAGTGATTCTCCTGCCTCAGCCTCCCGAGTAGCTGGGATTAAAGGCATGCGCCATCATGCCCGGCTAATTTTTGTATTTTTAGTAGAATCGGGGTGTCATTATGTTGGCCAGGATGGTCTCAAACCCATGACTTCAGGTGATCCGCCTGCCCAGGCCTCGCAAAGTGCTGGGATTACAGGCATGAGCCACCGCACCTGGCCCGACTATCATTTTTCAAGAACCAAATCTTGGATTGATTGATACTTTCCCTTATTGTTCATTTGTTTTGTATTTTTTAGTTGTTGATTTCTGCTATTGTTTATAATTTCCTTCCTAACAATTTTTCATGTTTAACATACTGTTTGATTCCAAGCTATGTTATTCTTTGATTTCTCCTTTTCTAGTGTATGCAATATAAAAAATATTTTTACATTATTATTGCTTTTCTAGGTATTCCTGGTAGGTACATTGGTCTGTCACAGGTATCCCATCATATTTTGAAATAGAAAGTCATTATTACTGCTTTTAATTATATTTTTTCAGAACAAAGGATTTGTATGTTAATTGTTAAAATGCTTATATAGTTACAGATATATGCATGTATATGTTTATGCAGTGTATTTTAAGATAATTGAATTTGTTGCAATGCTATCAAAAATATATTACTATTAAACTTTTATGTTTTTAAACATATTATTCTCTATTTTGCAGTTTCCATATTATAAAATATTTTAGAATATAATTATTGTTTTATAGTATTTCATTTTGCAGTAGTATCATGCATCATTATATTTCCATATTTATAGAAATTTAGATTTTCTCATTTTTTGTTAGTCTAATTTTTTTCTCCTATTTGCATATCTATATCTCTTTGTTAAAATCATAAATTGTTTCCCTAAGGCAGTCTCAGAAAATTATAATTACCAGGTCAAAATGAGTAACTTCTTAAAGACAACAAGAGATGCTTCAAGAAGACAAAATATTTTTACTTCTATTTAAAGATGAGTAAACTAAGGCTTGGAAGAGTAGATAATGCTGGAAATTAAAACCTGTTAACTGTCAGAGGTAACATTAAAGTATAGTTCACTGCACCTTCTTGTAGAATTTGGTACCTTCTTACTGAGGCACTTTTATGCAATTTTATGTTATAAGAAAACAAAATTCATCCAGTAGAAACATTGTATAGACCACAGTGAAAGTCAAATCAGAAAGAAAAACATTAGGCATTGTGGTATTAAATTACTGATGTCGATTATTTTTTTCCAGGACTACAGGGAGAAAAAAATCTTACCACAAGAATCGGCTGCTCTGCCTTCCAGTTCACTTTCAAACCCTTTCAAATACATCAATATCTTCCTGACCATATCAATATTATTTTTAGAAGTTAGACAATGAACTTGAATTTTCTGCAGATGGCAAGTCATTTACTGAAATGGAAAAAAAGTATGAATCCCAAGGGATATCATGACCCATTAACAGTGGGATGTAGTCCTACATTGAATAATAATTTAGAGCTATTACTAAGATAATTAGAGAGCCAGTTTGCTGCCAGAAGGGTTAGACCTTAGCTTCTCCTTTTATTAAAAAGAAGATCCTGATCTGTAAATGAAAAGAACCCAAAGTTCATTAATACCATAACCCCAACATCTGCCTGCCATAAAAAGATAATGATTTAGTATAAATTAATTTCAACTCTTCAGGTGCTGCAGATTTTATCAGACAATTACATCACTGGCATTCATTCTCCATTGTATTACTTTCAACTTAAAGTTAAATGTTCCCTAATATTTGTTCAACAATGGATACTAGCGAAAAGACATTTTAGGAAAATTATTTTTCTCTAACTTCTATTGAAAAAGAGTTTTTACACACACTGTTTCTTTCAGTTTTCACTGTGTTGCCTTTAAAAGATCGGTGTGAACTTCCAGACAAAGCCAATGTGTTGGATAAAAACAAAAACGACACTGAGACCTTGTCAAAGAGATTCATATGGTTCACTTCACCAAGACTTCCCCTTACTATTTAAAGATTAATAAGGACAAATTTTCCTTCATATTTCCATCTATGTTCTCCCCAAAACTGATTTTTGCTTCCTCAAGCAAAGCTTCACTAAGAAGCAACTAACTGCATGCCATTACCTAGCACAAAGAAAGCAGAGAACTAATGATGTTAGCCATGGCCTCTCTCCCCTCCCCGTTGTCCTATGTCTCTTATATACACTTTATTGTAGATAGAGCAACCTGGATACCTCAGTTCTCTTTCTAGGTAGGAGAAGATGTTAATAGCAAGATGGAATTGAAACCCTATCTTGTTCTTTCTTTTTTTGATTGATATTATCAAAACTGATATTTGAATAAACACTCATAATTTCCTTGAGAATATAGTGGTGATATTGATGGTTTCTAACCATATAATTCCCACTTCTAACAAAATAAACTATGAAGTTTGCTAGAAAAATATCCAAACCAGCAATAAAAAAAAACTGTGGTGTTTTTTTGTTTTTTGTTTTTGTTTTTTTTTTTTTTGAGACCAAGTTTCTCTCTTGTTGCCCAGACTGGAGATCAATGGCGCCATCTCGGCTCACTGCAACCTCTGCCTCCCAGGTTCAAGCAATTCTCCTGCCTCAGCCTCCCAAGTAGCTAGACTACTGGCATGCAACACCTCACCCAGCTCATTTTGTATTTTTAGTAGAGACGAGGTTTCTCCATGTTGGTCAGGCTGGTCTGGAACTCCTGACCACAGGTGATCTGCCCTCCTTGACCTCAAAAAATGTAGTTTTAATTCAAGCTCTTCAATTGTGTTCCCTGACCTTCAGCAGGCAGTTACTGTCTCTGGAAATTATTTTCCCTTTCTGCAAATAGAGCACTTGAATTAGTAGACCTCTAAATTTATTTTCAGCTCTATAAGTCTAAGAATCATTATTAAAAGATACCAAATGTTTACTAGTTATACATAACTCTGTATGAATCTCTCTTCTGTAGTAAATGTGGGCATGAATTTTGATTGAAATAGCAATGCCCAGTGTGCTGATGGTATAAGCAATTGTTATTGAGATAACAAATTAAACAAAATATTTCAAATGAATAAAATATTTCAAATGAAAGTATTTGAAGAATATGCAAAATAGAGTCATTATACTTTCAAAATCTGACAAATTCCTGGTTACTGAGTGAAGTTAACCAACCCAGGAATCGCGTTTCATAAAATAAAGTTTTAAATTAAGTTTCCCAAAGCATTTAGTACAAGTAAATTCATGTATTTGACAAAAATATTTTCCCCTTGCCATTTAGATATGATTAAGAAACTATTCTGGACAGTTCTAATTCAAGATGACTTAGTGTTATAATTCAACTACCAGATTGTGAAAAATTATTGTTTATCTGCATTTTGTACAAATACAGTTTATGATTCAATTATATTTCATAAGCAAAAATGCATTGTAAAATTTATTCTTAAAATTAATAACATTTAACACAGACTTTTGGAGCAATTTCACGGTTTAGAAGGAGAGTAAGTCCATAATGACTTCAAGCTGATAACTGAAACGCAATTTCGGAAAGTATTCACAGCAGATAAGTGGTATATTTACACTGAAGAGCCCCAAATTGGTATGTTTTCCTTCCACATTCCATAACTCTTCCTATCGCATATTATAATACTGGTCATTCATATGTACTTTATAATATTTATTAATTTATTTGTACTGGAAGCAGGGATAGCTCCTTGGTAGCTTACTCTTTAATAAAACTTTCATATGAAAGGCAAAACGTGGTTATTTGTATTATGTATCTAGCCACTGATTAGTTTCCTAGACGTAGTTATGAACTTGGTGATAATCACTTCAATTATTTGCATTATCTTTAGTACCGCGTCCCATCCTGAGAAAAATTCATGTTTTCTATAGGTGATCCGAGACACCAATATGCTTGTTTTAATCTTTGAAATTTGAATACTGGAAGTAGGGAGTTAATTTAGCTGATGAAAGGGGTAGAGAGGGGACAATACAAAATATTTTACCAAAGGGCATCTTTAAGACACCCTGAAACTTTACTTGTGTCAGAAATAACTTGATCTCTTTGGCAACTTTAAATTATAACCCAAGTACAGGAGCAACTTGATTTGTAATTGCCTTGTGTGTAGTGGTAATACTCTTCAGCGTAGACTATCACAGGCATTAGTTGACTGGTCATTGTGAACTTCATATTATAAAGGTCTCCTCTAGATAGTCCCATGTCATAAATGATTTTTTTAGCTAAATTATACAACTAACCAACAAAATAGCAATAAATAAAAGAGGATTACATATTGGCATCATAAAAACATTAACAATACAGTTTACCCTCCATATCCTTGTACTCCATGTCCGTGGTTTCCACAAACCATGAATAGAAAATACTCAAAAAAGAAATCACACAGCCAAATTAGTGGCTCATGCCTGTAATCCCAGCACTTTGGGAGGCCGAGGCGGGCAGATCACCTGAAGTCAGGAGTTTGAGGCCAGTCGGCCAACATGACGAAACCCTTTCTCTACTAAAAGTACAAAAATTAGCCAGTTGTAGTGGCACACACCTGTAGTCCCAGCTACTCGGGAGGCTGAGGCAAGAGAATCACTTGAACCCAGGAGGCAGAGGTTGCAGTGAGCCAAGATCCCACCACTGTACTCCAGCCTGGGCAACAGAGCAAGACTCCATCCAAAAAAAAAAATTAAATTAAAAAAATTTTAAAAAGGAAAAAAGAAATTGCATCTGTACTGAATATGTACAGGCATTTTTTTCTTGTCATTATTCCCCACATAATACCATGGAAAACTTATTATCCAGTATTTACATTGTATTAGGTATTATAAATAATCTAGAGACAATTTAAAATACACAGGAGGATGTAACTAGGCTATGTGCAAATACTATGCCATTTTATATAAGGGACTTGAGCATCCATAGAGTTTGCTATTTGCAGGGGTTTCTTGATATCAGTCCACCATGGATACCAAGGGATGGCTGTACTTTTGTTTTAAAACATTCCATGCTATCCACTGTATTCTGTATTTTCTAAAGAAAAGCTCTAATTCTCAGAACAACAGAACAACTCTCAAAAGAGGTTCTCTTACCCTGTGTTACCAACTTGGAAGTTTAGTTTTAGGATTTTTTTTTAAATTATTAGCCAAAAGGCCAATAAGACAAAAATGTGTGTGATCCAAGATATTTATATAATTCAAAGCCTGTACTTGATCCAACAAACCCTATTGACAGTATCATTCTGCTTCATTCAGTCTCTGACAGTAACTGTTGCTTGAAACTGATGTGATGAAATGGAGGAATAGGGTAAGGATGTCTTATCGCATGTTCTGAATCATCTCAAAATTTATTCACAAATATGCTATAATAAAAACTCTGATATAAAACTTGACTAAAACTTTTTATTTTTATATATGTGCTATCCTATACCAATGACCCTCCCTCTCAGTATACACATACACATATCACTAACACCGATAAATGAAAACATAACAGATATCAAAAATTTACTGAATGTTACTATAGGGTTAGACCTTAGCTTCTTTATGTATGGAAAAGCAGATTCTTGTCTGTAAATGAAAAAAATCCAACGTTAATTAATATCATAACCCCAAAATTTCTGCCTGCCATAAAAAGATAGTTAAGTAAACATATCTGTTCAAAAGTTATGGTAGGACTTACCAAGTCACAATATTTGGTTTTCCTCTCCTTTCAGGTATCTGGAGAATTACTTTTCTCTGTTCCTTTGAGTGTAAGAGTAAAAGTATGGGCATATGACTAATCCTGGTCCCTAAAATCTGGGTAGAAGTTGTATGTGGCATTTTTCAGGAAATACTTTTAGTTACCAGTACCAGTTTAGTTCAATTCTCCATTTTTTTCTTCTGCCTCTGCAAACCCTAAAGCCTCATAGTAGGATGGTAATATCACAAGATGGCGACTACTCTCTTCCTTTAGAAGTCTGAGCATCTATAATGAGCAGAGTTCTTCTGGTGACATGTGGAATGAGCCAGAAATACGAGTTCATATATGAAATTTTTATGTGCAATATGTAATATAATTTCAAAGAGATATATAGCTTGCAACAGTCCAGTGTGGGCTGTGAACATATACCTTTGGTACTGTATATTTATACTCCTCTGCCTGAGTAATCCTGCATTACAACAAAATGGTTATAGCTTTATACTGTCCAATTCTGCTCCTCATTCAACCACGTTCAAGTCTACAGAATACACTAAAAAAATCTCTAGGGGATTTTTCTGTTCAAACAATATTTTTACTCCTAAATGGAACCAGATGGAATAAGATGTCTCGAATACTGACCCATATCAATCTAAAAAATTAAAATACAAAAAAAAAACAAAAGGCAGAGTTGATCCAGCATGTATTTATTGATCCAGAGATAACTTCAGATTACTAGAACATGAAAGGGAGACCTGAAGAGAGCACATTTTGTCTGTGTGAATTTATTCCCATTTGTGTTCAATTTCTACTCTAGTATTTTTCCATGATAACGTACTGTGAGTCATCTTTTTATAACCAAGAAAATATTTCTTGCTTTTAGCAGCTTAAGGAAAAAAAGCAGTTTAGAAATTATTCCAAACTCCACATCTTTGAAGAAACAACTTTTTTGTTGCCTTAGACATTATTTTATCATTGGGAACTCCACAAAAACTCATAGCTCTGGATATTGGACAGATGTTTGGTGGGAGAATTAAGTTTAGAGTACAAAAGATGATTTGTGCATAAAATTAGTTTTTATTGTTTATAAAATACATGCATATTTATGTAATCATTTATACCTTTCATCAGTTACTTTTCCAATGTCACATATTTACAACTTTAAGCAACATTATTTAATTGTGATGATATAAGACAACTTTCACTTTCCTTATCAAATTAAGCATGATGACAGTGTATTTCTCTCAAAATGTCATAACAAATTACTGCATTATTTGTAATATGTAAGTACTGCATATTTGTAAGTTCTTACAAATCTAATATATTTAATTGCTTTCATACATATGTGAACTTTTTGTCATTAAAATGGTTAAAACTCCAGAGAAGTAAAAATATTACCCAAAAATGATAGTAAAGTAACATGAGCTGTGGTCGAGACATTTAAAGGGAGTTAAGTGAACATGCACAAATCAAAGATGGGATATAATAACTATCTCTAAAGTACAGATAATCAAACCATTAAAATAATTCTTTGTACATTTTATGTTTACTCTTACAATGGTCAGAGCTGTTTCACATTCAACCTTTTAAATGATTTCTTAAAGCTAGATGACTGTGTTGAAGAAAAAAATCTAGATTCAAATCCAGTTGCAGTCTACTGTATTCACTTCTTTAAATGATGTCAACACAAGTAATATAACCTCATTATTATGCAGAAGAAAGTCATCCCAAGATCAAAGAATGAGAGCTGATACAAATTATGATTAACATGCGATAGCTGTTTAAGTGTTCAGTGACTTCAGTTCATTTTATGTGATCATTCATTTAATTATCCTCTGTTGTCTGCTTCCATAGGTGACGAATTCCAGTTATGAAATGCAGTCTCTATGGAGTTGCCAATTCTTCTGTTTTGTTACTGTCTTTTGGGCTCAAGTCATTAAAATTGTGTAATTCTATGCCTTTAAAAGTATGAAGATATTTTTATTTATATAAATTAAGTTATACAAAAACTGGACAAGTTGATAATTATTTACTATCTCTTTGTCAAGTTTAATTTTATTTTTCTCATGTCTCAAGCTATTTCTCTTTTTCTTTTCTAAGGCTTTGTTAAAATTAGAAGCTGGGAAAAATAATTTTCAGTTGGCCTTTGGAAGTATATAATGTGAAAAATTTATCTTCTTAATTGAATTGCACACTTATGATATGTGTGCTTTTCTGTTTCTACATTTCATTTTAAAAGTTAAAAGAAATGTAACCTTAATAGAGTAGTTTCAAGTATATCTACATATAAGGATTATCTGTGCTTTTTCAAAATTCGAGACAGAGTCTTGCTCTATTGCCCAGGCTGGAGTGCAGTGGCACTATTATAACACACTGCAGGCTTGAACTCCTGGGCCCAGGTGATCCTCTGGCCCCAGCTTTCCAAAGTGCTGGGATTACAGGCGTGAGCCACCATGCCTCATTCTAGTTGTACATTTTTGCTTTATTTTATTTTTATACAATTTCCTCGACCATAGTCTGGGAAACTGATTCAGAAGGTCTAGGGTAGAGTCAGATTATTTGAAATTATTTTTAAGAAGATCTCCAGGTGATTTTGATCACCTCCCAGATTTGAAACAACTCTAACACACAGAGATGAAACAGAGGGAAAAACTTACATACCCACAAACCAGAAGGGTTCAGTAATTAATATGGATCATTTACATTGCAGTTTATTGATTTGATTATTGCATTTCTCAATAAATAAAAAGTCATGCCAATGAGGTAACTATGAGCAGAACAAATGAATTGTGGGGTGCATGTATAATGGAATACACTATTCCATCAATATTGAATGAACTAGATGGAAACTGAATGGATCTCACCAATATATTTAGCAAACAGAAAAAAAATTGCAGAAACATATATATAGTGTGATACGTGTAAACAGAAGTTGAAGGGCAAAATATACCATATATTACTTAAGTATATATCAATGAACACACAGGAATTTTAAAAATACCAAATTCAATATAGTCTTTACCTCTGGTGGAGAGAAGAGGAGAGATACTCAAGATCAACCTTGGTAATGTTGATTTCTTTTTTTAGTGGTGAGGGTAAAATTTTTTTGTTTTAATAGGAGCCTTACTACCATTTGTATCTGAAATATTTCATAAGAAATAAAGTTTGTTGGTTATGGAAATAGCCTGATTTTCATTTTCATACATGCAGAGGAGAGTAAAGGGAGCAGGCGTTTTATGTATCTTCAATACAATAAGTTTAAAATGTCAGAAATCTGTTGACTCGTTTTTGAAAGAATTGAGAAAATAAAAGGTAGAAAGTAGTGAAGAAAGTTTCTCTAAGATTGCCTTAAATGCCTTGAATTGTCTCTCATCTCATGGATGCCATGAGGGAGGTTTACTCATTTAAAATAGTAAGTGAGGCATGCAAAATAAAGGAAAAAGTTCTGTATCTATGTTCTTTATTAGTTTCCAATGTCATCATTTACTTTGTTAAATTAATTCACGTTACTTTAGTCTAAAAACCACTAATGAAAAAATCCATTTGGATTCATAGATTAGGCATGTGACAGGTAAGATTTGAACTTACATGTACCATGCTTCCCTTCCATCCTCAATATTTTTTTTAAAAAGCACACAAATGCATGAGAGTGGTTGCAGATTACTTTCTGAAAGGAAGGAAGCTTTTGTTCTTCATTTTGATTTTAGAGGAGTTATTTAAAAGCCCAGTTATACTCTTTACTTGCAAACATTTTTGGCTATTTGTGAAAGTTCACCTCCAAGGAAATCTAATCAGCCAGACAAGTTATTGTTTCATTTTAGCCTGAAAAAAAAAATCACACATATATAAAATTACACACACACACACACTTTTATTTTAAAGATAGGAGGTCTAAAGAATATAAAATATGGCAATGTGTTTCTAATGTGTTTGAAATGATCATAGCAAATAGTGAATTGCCACTAAATTATCAACAAATTATTTGCATTTGACTTTTGCGTCAGTTTCTAATTATCATATAACTTGAAACATAAACATTGGTTAATACTCTTTTGCAGACATATATGATCTTTTAATGGAATTTAATCATTTAATTATACTACTCATGTAATATTTTTAATTCATTAAAAATATTGCTATAAAAATACTATGTTTTATAAATGAATGGTAAGATTTGAAGAAACAAGTTTGAATGTTATCACTTTTTTCATGGTTAAAAAAGGAGACTGTTTTTTTCTTTTATAATATACCCAGAAGCCCAATTGCCAAGGTAGTTTTATGTACTTTTCCACAGATGAAGACACTTACACATTAATCTACACTCTAAAACATGGTAGGTGCCTCAAATGCTAAAGAAACATCCAGTTTAACTGTGAGGCTGACGCCTCAGATGTACCAGAGGATTTTGTCATTTAAATACGAAAATTCATAGATCTTTTTATATTTATAGCAGCATTGTCAGAGCTTATCAAAAATGAGCTGACTTACAAACTATCAATGGATTTAACAGTATGATCTAATATTCATAACATCAGAGACAGTATAAGTTGAGAGACAGATTTTATCTTTTTATTGTTAAAGATGTGTTTTTTAACTTTTCCTAGTAGATTTTGTCTTTTCATCTCATAACTGCTCTAACGAAAGGATCATGCCACCAATTTTAGTATATTCCATTATTCATGTAAAATCACAGCCAGTTCAATATCCAGAGAAGAAACTAGTTAGGAAAGTTTAATATTACCCATGTTCTTCTCTATGAGATTCATATTAAAGTTTTAATTTTGATTTTGATCTTTGCCCAAAACATTGTTTATTGTACATAACAGTCTGCTTGTGTATAATTAAAAAGTTGTTAAAGGTGTTAAATAAAGATAATTGAGATGAGAATGTAAATCCCTTGCGAAAAATATTCCTCTATTCCAAAAACACTGTAAGAAATATATATTTTAGCATAATTCATTGACTATATTCCTATACTAAATTACTAGGGTCAGAATTTCTAGAACAAAGAGTTATCCAATTTAAATTGTTACCAAATTTAAACATAGAAGATTAAAATTAGTGGAGCCAGCTACACAGTTGGGTGTGTTCCAGGATCCTTATATTCGTGTGTATTTTTTGTTTTTATAGAAAGAAATATTTTAAGTTACTTTTCATTTTTATTGAAAAATATACACACAACTAAATTTAAATGTTATAATTGCACATCTGGCTATATTTTTGGAAACTTAACATCATGTAACCAGCACCACCCACATATCAAGGTTAACACCATCCTGATTTCTAACAGTGAAAGTTAGTTTCTCTGGTTTTGTTCTAATGTAAATAGCGACATAGAGTTTACGTTGTGTCTGGCCTCTTTTACTCACTGTTATATTTGTAATATTTATGCATGTGTAAATTGTTTATTCTCATTACCATGTGATACTCAATTGAGTGATTCTGGCACATTTTTTCTATATTGGAATATTGGATGGAAATTTGGGTAGTTATCAGTTTAGGCTATTTTGAAGAGTGCTACTATGAATATTCTACTCATCTTTGGGTGAAATATGCTTTCATTTCCATTCAGCATTTACATGGGAAAGGTATTGATGGATTACAGAGTCTGTATGTGTTCAGCTTTAGTGCATGCTGGCAAAAGGTTTTCTAAAGGCGTTTTAGTGATTTACAGCGTCATCTACAATGTATAAGTGTTTCAATTGCTCCATATCCTAGTTCTGTTTCTGTTTTATTTTGTTTTCAGGTTAGACATTTTGCTAAATATGTAGTGGTACCCGATTGTGATTTCAATTTACATTTTCTTGATGACCAATAAAGCTGAGCATCTCTTCAAATGTGCATTGGTCATTTGGTTATCACCTAGTTTAAAGAATTTGTTCGTATTCTATGGAGTTGTCCTTTTCTTAGCGGTTCATAGAAGTCCTCAATATATTCAAAATATGAGTCACACATTGGGAAGTTATATCACAAATATTTTCTCCCACTTGTATTATATTTTCAGACTCCTAATGATATCTTATTTAGATAGGTCACAAAAACATGAAACATAAAAGTAAAAATCAGTAAACTGGAGTTAATTTAAATTAACTACTTTTCAAAAACAGTCTTAATATCACAGAAAAGCAAGCCACAGATTGGGAGGGGGAAAATATTTGCTGTACATATATCCAATAAAAGAATTGTTTTTGGAATATGTAAAGTACTACAAACTCAAAAATAAGCAAATGACTGAAAAACAATGACAAGAGTTTGGTGAAGACACTTTACAAAAGACATCTTAATATGGGGCATATAATGAATAACAAGATGCTCAACATCATTAGTTTTCAAAGAAGTGAAAACTAAACCAAAATGAGATACCAACATACACCAATAAGAATGACTAAAATTAGAAAGACTGATAATACGAAGTGATGGCAAAAAATGCACAGCAACTTTGCATTCATATATTGTTACTATGAATGCGAAGTACTATAGGCACATTAGAAAACAGTGTGGAATTTCTTATAAATTTAGACGTACATTTACTACCTGAGCCACCAGTCTCACTCCTAGATATTTACACAAAGGAAATGAAAAATTATACCCACACAAAAACTTGCCCATAAATATTCATGGAAATTACATTCACAATTGCCAAAGACTGCAAAAAACCCAAGGTTTCTCTTTTTCTCTTTTAAAAAGTTTGAGTAAACATCTGGGAATAAAAGTATGATTTTGGTTCTCCTCCATATCTCAGGCATTTTCTTCCCGTTCTTTTGAGAACAGCCTATCTCAAACTGTTTAGACACAATACTTATGAGAGGTTTAATCTTTCCTACAGAGGTTTTGAACTTTTCTCTATGGCTCCCACATTGTGTTAAAGATTGGCAAATATTTTGAAAAGGTGACTAGCCATGTGTTTGGGGAAAGTACCATTCCCCCGGCGGAGCTTGGTTTTCTAAATAATGAGAGACTGTGAGAAATTTCAAGTTCACTTATTAGAAGCCCTCTACATTCTGTGTGACTCAGGTTTCAGAAAATGTATTGTCTTAGCTCATTTGTGTTACTATCAAGGAATACCAGAGACTGGGCATTTGCAAAGAAAACAGGTTGATTTGGCTCACAGTTCTACAGGATGTACAAGAAGAATGGTGCCAGCATCTGCTTCTGGTGGGCAATTAAGCTACCTCCACTCAAGGCAGAAGGCAAAGTGGAGCTAGAATGTGCTAAAATCACATGGTTAGAGAGAAAGTAAGAGAGTAAGAGGGGAGATGTCAGGCTTTTTTCCACAACCAGCTTGCCAGGGAACTCTTGCAGGAACTAATAGAATGAGAATTCATTCAGTTCCCTCCCCACAGGGAAGTTATTAATCTATTTATGAGGGATCTGCTCCCATGACCCTGTCACCTCCCATTAGCCACCACTTCCAACACTGAGGATCACATTTCAACATGAGGTTTTGCAGGGACAAACATCCAAAGCACGCATGTTGTGAAAAAATCAGCCTTGTTTGGAGATCTAATTTTTTTTACATTGTGCCCAATAGACCACAGAATCGCTAGTTTCTCTTCCTCAAGCCACATTCTTCTTCAAGGGAAAACCTGATTTTTATTCCCAAGATTGGAAATCTGCAAACGATCCTAGGGAGGGAAATGACTGGAATTTCCATTATTTAATTCTCTCTGTTTTCACAGATCTCTTATGCTTTAAACAACGTAAATTTTACAATTAATCTGTCTTGTATATCGTCGTGATGGGAATATTGTTTGCAGCAACCTACTATTGCTTTTTTAGCATTAGAAGTTTCTTCTATATATTTTTATGTCAATGTTTAGATTTCTAAGAAAAACTTTGATATATTCTCCAAGTTAAAATACACATATTTTTAAAGTTTCAACAAACTTTTAAGTTTATAATCTGAGAAACAGTCCTAAATTTCAAAAATAAATATCTGAATTATTTAACATAAAAATTAATCTGATTTTTAATATTGATTTGTCCTTTTGAAATTTGTCATTGGATTTATATTTTTAAATACTTACACAAATGGTCACTGTGTTATTTTCTTAGCTACAAGTTGAATCACAGCATTCCCCTTTGGGAAACCTTTGTTTCTTTCTTTTAAAGAATAGAATTTCAATTCCTTTTATGGTGGTCAATAATTTCCATAAACTTGTCTTAACTACTTTTATAGTAGCTACATCTCCTACTGCATCTATCCATTAATCTGAGTCACTGATTATTCAAACATATTCTCTAGGTATCCCTATATACTCTCAAATCTATGCGATTTTACCACTGTAATCTTCTAAGTAGAACACAACAATCAACCTTTCTGCCCATCTAAATCTTACTATTTTTCCAAGGGCTAACTCACATAGCCCCTCCTCCATTGAGGATTACTCTAATGAGAAGTATACTCATCTTCCTTTAAATCCTAATCATTGTTCATTTCTCTTATCACTTAGTTTTTCCTACCCCCTTTTTTTATACTCGCTGGTCTCTAGATCTTTCCCATATAGTAGGAAACTCCTTGAGGAGGAGCCATACCTTAATCATGTGTATATTTCTTATATACCTGCATGAAAGGTACTAAAATATTTGTTGAATATATGTGACTATTGTTTTTATTACATAAATATGGTTCATTGGTAGAAAACAGCACTAATATTTTATAGTTAGGATCCATTACCTTAAAATAGACATTTTATCTAGTTGACGTCCTAGCAAATTACCTAATCTTTAAGTACTTAAAATGTATATTTTAAATTACTAAATCTTGCTTTATTTTCCCTTTAAGAGCAAACTACTAGCTACAATCTTTTCTGAAAGCTTTTCCTACTGTATCTTTTGGAATAGAGTAACCTTTTGCACAAATCCCAGCTCAGCACTTGGATAATTTGAATGACGATTTCTCTATTTCAATATATGAAATCAGAGGAGTTTAAGGTGAAAATTCACTAAGTATATATAGGCATTCCTCAACTTGCAAAATATTTTCATGAACACCTTAATTTTATAAATGATGTGTTGCAAGCTTTTATTCAGACTACTTAAATATAAAACACTTATTGCTCAGACTGGGCGTCAATATTGTTCTCTAAGGGGGGAAATAGCAGCAGTTTTTGATTGCAAGAAAATTATAGTCTTTCCTGTACTGTAAATATCAAAGACATCATAAGGCAGGTAGAAAGTTGTAAAATTTCTCTTTCAGTAGTTGGACAATAAAGAGAAAAATAAATATCATCATGGACTTTAATGTGCACAGAAAATAAAATGTTCAATAAAAAATATTAATTATTTCTAGTTTCATGCTTTCTTGTTTACACAGGTAATATATTTCAAAATATTTTATTTACCTTTAAAATGAAAATACTAAAAAATGTATGAGAAAAGAATAGAGTAAAGTCAAGATGCTTTAGCTTGGTGGTTCACAGTAGGGAGATTAAAGTAATCCCAATATTTTCTTGATTTCTTAAGGTTTAACAAGTCATATTCTTTGACAGTAAATGTTACTAGAAATAAGTAATCCCAACTGGCTGAGGGATATGAGAAAAAAGTATCAGCTCTATTTGAGATATAAAATGAGAATGCTAGTAATAATAAATCTCTCTCTTTATTTCTCTCTCTCTCTCTTTCTTAGAAAAGGTGTCTCCTTATTGACTAGAATGGTAAATTTATGTTCCTAAAAATGGCCTTGGTGGCAGCCTAATACCAACTTGCATTTGAAGAATGTTAGAATTGAGGTACATAAAGTGAAGTGATTTGTCCATGGTTATAAAACATATTATCAGAATAAGGATTAGAAGCTGCTTCTAAACAAGATTGGGACCCAAATCTTCTGTTAACAGTTCTATATACCAACTCACTTTCTTTGATTTTTCATCTGATTAGATCAATTGGAACTTCTTTGTGTGTAAAACATTTTCAAACTTAACAGAAGTCAAAAAACATGGTTTTGATTTAGTTTAAACTTTCCAATTAATTTTAATTATTCTTTTTCATACTCAAAATTTCTAGAGCCTGCAAAGCTGACTACCTCCATGCATAAACCAAAAATTGAGGTTTCTTACATTTTTAGTAAATATCTTCATTTTATGGAGCATGCTAATTGACAAAAAATTTGGTCATTTGGAAGTAGTACAAGGTTGCTCTTGGCTGCTCTCATTTGTAGGAATTCCTGATCTGAGTGCTGTATTCTATAAATGATTTCTGGAATTTGGCTTAGATGCTTAGTTCAGTCTGCATGTTCAGCTACATTTTCTCCTCTCTACTCATCTGCTGCTCATGCCTCCCTACAACTAACTACCTATAGAAACAAAGCCTATGTCTCCAGCCTTCTGTGACACCAATAGCTACCACTAGGTCCTCCTATTTCAGGCATATTCCAGGATGATCCTGCCTCTTCTCTCATTTCAGATATCCTGCCTTGTCTATCTTCATGCCTATCAAGCTGACAGAAATGGACCGTTCCTTTCTTGTCTACAGAGAGGGAAAAGAATTTCAGTATACACCACTCTCACCAGTCTCCAACAACACAGCTCTTTGTGGCATTTGGGGCTGCCCTCAATAGGAAGCATGTCATTCTACATACAGAGAATGGTTGGTTTACACAAGACTTCCTGCTGCTGCCATCACCAACAGAGATTCCTAATGTAGACATCTAACACATTCTGATCTTGCAGTAAGCTTAGCAAAGATATTTCTGGTAAAAATGTATTCAGCAGCAGAATGACTTCAGCAGTTCATTTATCACTTGATATGCCTGTTTTGCAGTTGTGTGGTCCCAGGAATGCTTGCTTACTATGATATTTTATAATAGTTTCCCAAGATTTTTTTTCCTGGACTCTGAAAAATTGCTATGAAAACCAATAGTGTATCTTTTTTCCTTGGGGGATAAGGTTTGGAAGAAGTAGTAGAAATGGGGTAGAAGCAATTCAGGTTGGGCATATTTAACCACTCATAAGAAACTTAGTCAATATTAATGGAGGCATAATTGCCAGATCAATTGAAATAATTATCCCTCCATATTCTGCACTGGGAAGACTACATTTATAGACAGTTTAGAAACACTGGAGTCAGATTTATCACAATTACAATCCCAACTCTGTGGCTTAGACCTAACCTCATAATGACACATGGTTGTTAACCTCTACTTTATGACTATCTAACATTTAATTACAGTATATTTATATATATATACTGTATATATACACACAAATATATAGAACACACATATATAGAAATATATACTGTATGTATATATATTTTTACATATACTGTGTGTATATGTGATATATTATAATCATATATATGATTATGATATATATATCATATATTATATTATAATCATATATATGACATATGATTATAATATATATCATATATTATAATCATATATATGATACATATTATATATCATATATGGTATATAATAATCATATCATATATGACATATAATCATATCACATATGATATATTATAATCATATCATATATGATACATATTATCTTATAATCATATAATATGTGATTATATTATCTTATAATATATAATATATATTATATGATTATCATATATAATATATATTATATGATTATCATATAATATATATTATATATGATAATCATATAATATATATTATATGATAATCATATAATATATGATAATATATGATTATATATTATCATATAATATATGATATATGATAATCATATAATATATGATAATATATGATAATATATGATTATATATAATATATGATAATATATGATTATATATAATCATATATAATATATGATTATATATGATTAGATATATAATCACATATATATATGAACATATATATAATATATGATATATATGATTATATATAATCGTATATATAATATACGATTATATCATATGGTATATATTATACTGTATATAATATACATAATATATAATATATAATATACATATACATTATATACGTATATAATATACATTATATATTATATACCTATATGAGATAATGTATATATTATATACATATATAATATATTATACTATATATAATATATATACATATATACATATATGATGTATATATTATATACATGTATATATGATGTATATATACACATTATAATATATATCATGTATATGATTATAATGTATATCATATATACACACAGTATATATGAAAAAGTCCTAATCTCCCTTCTGTGATCCACCAATCTAAAGCATCTTGACTTACTCTATTCCTTTCTCATATACTTTTTGATATTTTTATCTTTAAAGGTACATATATACGAATATACATTACATTATATATTATATATACACAGCATATATATATTTATATATGATTATTCATATATAATATATATTCATATATTTTATATATCTATGAAGGATTACTGAAAAGACTTATAATCATTTATTACTCCAGATGTTCTAAACTCTACCATTTCTACCATTTATAAGTTAAACAAACAAACAAAGCTCCGGGTATCGAGAACATAAAATTCTTGATTTCCTAGAAAATTGCCTTTACTGGTCTAGACTTTGGTGTGAGGGCATTGGCTATAGCAAGAAACATTGTAAATAAAAGCCAACTGAAATTTATAATTACATATTTTATAAAAATACATTTTCTACATATTCCTCTAGTCCTTTCTCTAAGGATATTTAACAGAAATTCTTTATTCTTAGTACCAGGTCTAGCTGCATTCTTATTTTTAAAAATAATTTACATTTTTTCTCTTCTTGGCTTTACGAATTAATAACTGACCATTGTCGCATTGCTAAGAATATCCATACTCTGTGGTCATCTATAGCAAGTGCACAATTATTATTATTTATTTTTTTGCTAGTCTCATTACTAACTTCATTTTACATTCTCAGTCATAAATATTCTTTCCTGCTTTTTACCTATTTTTTTTCACATTTAAGCTATGCAGTTGCACTTAAGCATTTAAGCCTGGAAAATGGTCTGAAATGCTTTCTGAATCAAATTGAGGAATAAATGAATAAATAGATACATAGCTTTGGTAAATGGCTATGTATGAGTGATCTTGAGCAATTTAACTGCTTTCTCTAAACATATTTTGTTACATGTGAAATAGGAATACTAATTACCTTATATATTCTTTTGAGAATTCAAATGATATAACATCTTAAGTGCAAATGCAGTGTCTGGCATCTAGTAAATTCTTAATAAAAGTTAATTGTATCTGAATTTATATTTAGTCCTGGAGGTAACATTTTAAAAGATCCACTGATAAAGTGTAACCAAAGGACAATAACAGCAACCGATGATTTTTCATGGGGAAAAATGGAATAGCAATACTATAACAAGATTCCATTTTTAAAAAAATAGAACAAAACTCCAAAAGAGACATCTGTGTGCTTGAGTGTGTGTGTGTGTGTGTGTTTGAGCATGTTTGAATAAGCAAAGATGACATCATAGAAGAATTAAACTCAAACTACTGACTGAGGTTACCTTGTGAGACTGGAAGGCAGCAGAGAGGACTTTACATTTTAATTCATACATATTTTTAAATGGAAAAATTGGAGAAACCACTGAAAATTTCTAGATGCTTTCTTCCGATTTCTAATTTTTTCTCTATTTATTACTTTAATCAAATACCTAAATATTACATTAAAATGAATTACTGAAGGAGGAATGCAGATAAAAATATGAGGAGTCTGGAAATCATTTTATAATAGGAAAAACACTGAGGACATTTTGTGTAAAGCTGAGATAAAGGAGGAATTATGGCTGTCTTCAAATATTTGAAGGACTCTCATGTGGAGAATAATTTACGCTTATTCTACAATGCTCCAAAGGATGGAATAGTGTCTTGATAAAAGAAGTAACAATTTAGTCAGAGTAAAGGAAATCTTGAATGAGCTGCTACTCAATATTAGCTTTAAGATGTCACATGTTTGTCTTTCAGGGGTGTTATATTTAAGTGAAAATTGCTAAGGTAGATCTAATTAGATTCTGAAATAACATCTACACTGCTATTTTTTTACAAGATGAAAAATATCTATTTGTTTTATTATAAGAAAGTTTGCTAAATGAATCAACAAACATTCATTGAGTAAATAGTACATTCCAGATAATATGCTACCCATTAGGGATAAGCAGTTAATTAAGATGTATGTGATCCTTTGAGGAGCTATGGTCCAATTATAAAGACATTCACAAATAGATAATTTTAATAATACAATTATTGTCAGGCTAGAAATATATACAAGGCACTATGAAAGCATAGCAAAGAGAACAACAAACTTAGGTTAAAGAGGAATTTCCTATTAGGTATTGATAACATTTTTTTTGGAATGTTATTATCTGATTTTTAAACACAAATCAGTACATAAGTAACATTTGCAACAGTTTGACTTTGAACATAATCTGGATATAGTTATACTTCTAAACTATTATATAGATAAGAATAGATTTTTGTAGCATCCCAAGCCATTCAAATGAGCCCATTAGAAATTGAGAAATGCTTAAAAATCAAGAAAAATTAAAGACCTTTCAGTAAGGTGAAAGGCTTGACTACAGGGTAATTGCAAAGGAGGCAATGATGCAATTCCAATTTTGAACGTTATAAATTATGCAAGTGATTTCAACAGCAGGGGGGTTATTTGTCCTGATGTGAAGATGTTGCAAAGCTCATGAATTTCAAATCTGTAAATTAAGAACAAAGGATTTAGAGCTTAGTTAGAAGCAAATGAAAGACAAGTTATGCCAACAGAGGTCAATGCTATGGCTCCCTCTGACTGTTAGGGATTGTTCAGTGTTACCCTCTTTTCACACTCCACTCCAAAAGGGGAAAAGTGCTGATGGATCAGGTCCAAGAACATAGGTGACTGAGGTGACAAGGGTCTGAGTATTTGGAGATGTTATTTAAAAATAGGTTGAAAGCTCTTGCAACTGCCTGTTGTGATGTGTTTAAAGGGGGCACATTGGATCCTGTCTCGTAATTTTCTTTTTGTTTCGCTTTCCTCTTTGCTCCCAACTAGCTAGAGATGTAAGAAGTATCTCCTGTAAGTTCTGCACAGGTAACTTAGCCTAGTTTTACATTTTGACAGATCATACCATAGCTCTTCAAGGAACCCTGATGTTTTCCATGATATTGACTATTATAATTTGTTTTACATTTCATTTATTCAAAATGTGCCAGAAAACTCAATAATTAATTTTGTCTTTATTTTCAATATAACTAAAAATAGTAGATAAAATAATCCCACTTGCTGTTTTGGTCTGCTTCCTTTTAAGTACTATACTATCAGTTCTACCAATTGTATCAGCTATTTCAGATTGTCAAAGAAAAGAAAAAAGTATTGACCCAAAAAAAGGTCAATCTAATATTCACAGACATTACCGGTATTCGACACCATATGGCTCTTTGTGTTTGCATTTTTCCCTCATATTTCATTCCAGCAGAATCCTAATATACCACAGCCAAAATAGATGGAACAAAAATGGTTCATCAATGAAATTGCATTAGGAAAGCTGTATTTTAGACATTTAGTAAGTGGACAAGTTCAGTAACAGAGTCAGATTCCTGAAACAACTGGAATTTGATGCAGATGAATGCCAGATCAATAGGCTTTTAAATCACAGAGAAGTTGGAAAGCAGCAAGTGAAATTGAAGTGGTTCTTTGTTTAAGTTACCTTTTTCTGTCATTATATATTTTTCTTCAGTTATTGGAAATCACTATAGACATCTTTTTGAGCATAAAAATGCAAATGTGTGCTTTTTAGTTCATCATATTCTTATGAAGTTTGATTAAAAGTTTTTTTTCAAATGTGTGGTTTTGTAATCCTGTGTTGTTCTATTAGCCTGGCTTTAATAGATATCTTTAAAAAGCTTACTATCACAAAAAGAAATGTAGCTATTTTGTGTTATGCTCATAATTATTGAATTGTTTGTTTCAATTTGTGAATTTTTTCTATGACATATTATATCCCATGGCCACCTTGTTTCATCATTACAATACTTTTTTAGCAGTACACTGGATTAAGTCAACTTTACCTTGATTTTATTTCCTTGCCTGTAAATCCTAAGCACAATTTAAAAAATGCTTCTGAAAGATCAAATACTTTCCGCAATAATTTATTGCTATTGGGGAAATTTGTGCTTGCAAACTTCAATATAATATTTTGCGACCGTAAAAGTCAAACACCAATAATAATGGCATAAGCTGAATAGGGGGTAGAACAAGGATGTGCAAAGTCATCTTCAAAAGTCTCATGATGTTAGAGCATTCACTTAGGTTCCCTTTTTAAAAAAATTTTGGTTAAATATGCTTAACAAAATTTATCGACCTAACCATTTCTAAGTATACAGTTCAGTGTTATTAAGTAGAATCATGATGTTGTGCAATCATCACCGCCATCCATCTCCTTCACACTTTTCAGCTTGTAAAATGGCAACTCTATACTCATAAACCATAACTCCCCACTGTCCCCTCCCTCCAGCTCCTGGCAAGCACCATTCCACTTTCTGTCCCCATGATTTTGACTACTATGCTAGGTGACTCATATAAGTGCAATCACACAGTATTTTCTTTTTGTGATTGGTTTATTTCACTTAGCTTAATGTCTTCAAAGTTGATTGATACTGTACCATATATCTGAATTTTCTTCCTTTTTAAGGCTGAATAATATTACATTGTATGTTTATATCATATTTTGCTTATCCATTCATTTGTCCATGGATACTTCAGTTGTTTCCATGTTTTACCTAGTGTGAATAATGCTACTATGAACATGGATGTTACAAATATTTCTTCAAGACTCTGCTTTCAAATCTTTTGGGTACATACCCAGAAGTGGAATTGCTTGTACATGTACATGTGGTAATTTTTTAAAATATATATTCTCATTACTTTTGATATAACAATTTGTCTTTCCTAATTGTCTGCTGTGACAAATAATCTTCTCTGGTGTGTCTTCTGCTGGCTTCTCATTCACTTTGTTTTTGTTCCTCTTTTCCTTTTATTTATAGATTAAAAATTCAACTTGCTTTGCAAAAACTTTTTAAAATATCTGTTTAAATCTTTAATGCACAAAAAGACAGCAACTGAGCTGCGTCTTAAATTTTATAGATTGATGTCTTAGAAACTACCAACTTAGCCCACTGGAAAACGTCACTGGTATCCTTTATGATGTGGCCAAAATTGGGGAATTTTTCCTTGTATTTGTCAGACTTAATTGACTGTCATGAAAGCAATGAACTGGAATGTGTCAGGATACCAAGAGACAGCGATCAAAGGCTAAAATTTGTTTTTTATTGTTGTTGTTCCTTTTACCCCCGCAAAGAGGGCAACATTAAGCAACAGAGACACATTGTCAATGCCAATCTTCTGTTTGTGTTGCTAAAATTTATTTATTGTTTTATAATTTGATACCCAAGAAGTTGAAGAAACAAACCAAAAGAATGTTGTCCCATGCCCAAAGTCAGCCTCAATGGGCCTGAGTGGGTAATTATTTCAAAGAAAAGATGGGTTCTGGCCCTTTTTTTAACCCTTTAGATATATAAAAGAACGGCAGTAATGATATCCAACTGTGTGTTTCTTTTACATATACTGCAATGATCTAATGAGCCCATTTAGAAAAGCAGCAATTTCTAAATTTTGTAGTACTTTCTTACCGTCAGTACCTCAATACGTTTGATGAGAAGGTATGAACTATTTGCAATTTGAAGCAATCATACATTTGATTAAAATTGATAATCACAAGAAGGGTTTTATATCAGGTAAAATTTGACTTACTGAAAATAAGTCCGCAATACATAAATTTACGAAGAGATCTTCATTCTTTATGAGCATTATCTGAAGTTTTATCTTTACTCTTCAATGAGACTATGGGCACGGTCTCAGATCATGAAAACATAGCTTAGGTTATACAAAAAAAAATTCTGTTTGAAATATAAGTGCTTATGTACAGTGAACATCCTCCTTAATATTGTTAGTTTACAAAGAAAACTGTGTTAAGCTTTGAAAACTTAGGATTTTTTATCAAAAGACCTGGTTTCAATTCCCAGCCAGCCAATTATAAGCGATGTAGCAGAGGGCAAATAAAATATGATCTCTGAGCTTCAATTTTCACATCTGTAATAACATGTCACAGAGTTGTTTAAAAAAGCATTGAAAATACAGATAAAGGTTTATTTGTATTTTTTACATGTTAACTCAGCATCTAGAAGAGTCAGGTACTATAGCAGGAACTGCGGGGAGTGGAGGGGCTGAAGTCTACATGCTTGAAGTCTGTATTCTGGGAGAGACAGATGTATAAACCTCAATGTAAGGTGTTTGTGTTGTAACTGAAGAAAAATCTAAATGCTGGGAGACCTCTCAGTAGAGAGAGACAAGCTCTGTCTTTGGATGTCAGAGGAAATTTCATTTAAAGGCAATATTTGGGTCTTGAAAGGAAAAAGTTTGCTGGCAGAGCAAGGACTCACAGTGGAATAAACACCACATGTACATGTAGGAGGAGGGAGGGTAACAGAGCAAGCAGTGTTAAGGAAAACTTGAGAGTCTTGTGTGGATGGAACATAGAGTTGGTGGGAGAATGGTAGCTGATGAGGCTTAAAAGCTTCACCAGGAACAGATTGTAAAGGGTCATGAAACATAAAGACTTCTAGATTTGACAAGGATACTAACGAGCTATGGCTCTTCGTGAAAGAAATGCTTTAGAAAAACTAGTCTAGCTGTAACATGAAGAATCATCTGCTGTTCTCAAGGCTAGAGTCATGGATAGCAAATAGTAGCCACTGCAGCAATTCACGTATGTGTCGATGAGGTCAGAAATAAAGGACAGAGGCCAGTGTTTGTAACTGAATGATGTATTTGGCTTGGGACACATTTAATTTAAATGATTATATTAGGTAGGTTAAGGAATGAGTGCTTGGGGAAATAGTGGCTTGCTCCATTGAAACATTTTACAGTAAAATTTTTCAACATTAATTTTCAACATTTAATTAACAAGTATCTTTTGCTATAGAATGAAATCAAAGCTCTGTATACAAAGACTTCCATTACCTCTATTTCTGCAGCATCATCTCTAGTTTGTATCTAGGTTTCAATAATCTAGAAGTAATTCCTCAAATGGCTGATGCTCTTTCTAGCCTCTATACCTTTGCATGCTCCGCTTCCTATGCCTAAATGCCTGAGTTTCTCCTTCATACCCTCATTATTGAGACTATTGTGATAATGTAAACTCTATTTGACTGTGTCTAAATCTGTTTCCCAACTCTGGCACATGACAGGCACACAAGAACATTTTAATGAATAACAAATAAACAAGGTATAAAGCATTGCAATGGAACATATTTGTTCAAAGAAGTTCTGTCTTTTGGCAAATATTTGTCCCAACAATCTCCAAGTTAGTAGGATAGGGTTCTGAGTGGAGTCAGTATACTAGAACACTACTGATTTACAGTGTGAGCCTTTTTTCCAAGCATAATGGCAAGGGGGTAATCCAAATTTCATAATTATAAACCTGTACAAAAATTTTAAAATCACAGTGTTTTATTAAAATGCCTCTTAATTTTTAGACTATTCTTTTACATTTTATGCAACTCACATTTTTAGACTAACAGGTACATATTCTGTATGAAATGTAATAAAAAAGAAGGCTCCATCTATGTTTTGACAACATGAAATATAAAGATTTTTATTTAATCTTTTTTTGACATCCCTGCCCTCATCATCTTCACTGACATGCACAGGGCAGCATCGTTTGAGCATGATCAAGAAAACGAGGCCCAGAAATACCAAAGTTAATGCTATTACTGTACATTAAAAGAATTACCTCACCATCAAATGATTTTTTTGTTCTCTTCCTGACCACCTGAATGAATAAAGCAGGATAATGACATTCTCATTATTTTAGGAACACATTTGCATTCGTAATGAAAAAGTCCCTAAAGGGCACAGACACCATAGAGGCGACTATCTGAATTAATTAAAATTGTTTGCCTGATTAAATAGAAAATGCAAGTGTAAACTTCATATCAGAGAAAGTTTCTCTCTTTTCATGAAAACACAAGAATAAACTATTTTTAGCAAAAAGCCTTACAAGATTAAACTTTAGAAAAAATATGTTTCCATTAAAAAAGCCTTGCAAGATTAAACTTTAGAAAATAAAATATGTTTCCACATTTTTGTCTACCTTAAAAAACCGACTCTCTTATTGGCCAACAAAAATAAAATACCCATATACTATATTTTATATGTTCTAAATTCTTCAGTAGTTGATCAATTGAATCCACATAAAATAAGATTCTTTAAAATGTAAACACGTTTATCTCAAAATTTAAAAAATGCATTTAATATCTTAAAACTTTTTATAAATAACTCCTCTAAATGGGTAAAAATTTATTATTTTTAAAAATAAATACAAGGGTATCAACATAAAGAACCATTTGCTCCTTATGTAGAACATTCCCCTCAACATCAGAAAGCAATCAAACACACATCTTTCTCACTTTAAGAAAGTTTTCATGTGTGCAAATCAATTCAAATGAGCTATTAATGTAATATTTAATAGAGCCATTAAAATGTGAATTATCTTGAAGTGATTGTATTACTTTTCCAGTGTTTTCCCAATACAGTTGCAGCCACAAGGACAAGATATGTATGTGAAGGTAACTATTGTTCCCAGAAACACAAGCTTTGATAGAAAGAATCATAAAATAAAACTACACAACATATATCCTTCTAAAATAACTCCGTAGGAGAACAGGTTCATTTTTACTTTGATCTACTGTTATTATGAGAAAGTGGATTGAGGTGACAGTGTGCAGTGCTGATTCAGACCTAATTCAGCAGTATGGAGTAAAGTAATACACTGCAAAGACATTGCTTAGTAATAGTAGAAAATAGAGTCAAGAAGAATCTTGAAAAGTGTACAGATGTAGTCCTTGACACTATGTTATGTAGCCTTCTAACAACACCCACATAGTTTTCCTTCCTTTCTCTGATCACTTTTAGTGTTAGTAGTCATAAATAGGATTTGATTATATTTCAAATCGCATTTCTTAAACTATTTCATTGTTTCAATCTTGTCTTCCCAAATAAGGTTGAAACCAGCAAGAGTAGCAGTGTGCACACATGTGTATGTATGTGTAGTTTTTTCCCAACCCTAATCTACAGAGTTTTTACACATATTCACACACTCACACCACATATGTATTTCTAAAAATCACAGTCACATTTTCGTGAATTATAAAATTTTGACACTGCCTTTTATTTACTTTTCTCTTCGCTTCTTTAACTTTCTGCCCTTATACTTGCTAAAACTTGTGTCTTAATCAGAATGCCAAGATCATGCATATCACCATAACAAATAAGAAAATCAAAGCTTACTGAATTTTCAGTGTAATTAGGGTAAAAATACCATAATACTCTGTGTTTTTTATAAAATAGCCATTGAGGTCAGCTCACATAGAATCATACCAGAAGTATCAGTAAGGGGGCAAACTAATTTATTGGTGTAGCTCTGTATTTCAATGGCTTAATAGATACTTTAACAGCCCGTTATACTACAGAGTGGTATCAACATGCAGGGCATATGTGCTTGTTTACCTTACACTGATACAGAAAACTCACATATCTTGTGAATTTAATCTCTAAAACCAGTAAAATGATTTTACGGTGTTGAAATGACTTGTCAAAAATTGAAATTTTGTGTAGAAACTTTTCCCTTGTCTAACATCAATTTATTAGCTGATATGTTTTCCCGACTACATTGTTTTTTAATACTGAGGGGACCCATTTTATCAATACAGCTTAAAGATGGTTCCATAACCAAATATCTATATTTTTATCTAATTGCTGCCCAGAGGCTTCAGTGGTAGACGTGTTAGCAAGGGAACAAAGAACATTAAAGATATGTTCTGGAGGAGATAATTATGTAAGACAGAGGGGATTTGGGCAAAAAATAACAACATGAAACAGAAGTGCCAGTTGAAATTCAGGAAAAGCGTTAGATGAATTCACGAAGAGGAGGAAATGTCTGCTTCCAGTAGGTATCCAAGGGAGTTTTATTGGGGTGATGATGTTTGCTGTAAGTAATATAAGCCATGATGTGGTGAATCGCAAGTAAAGAAAACTTCATTTAACAATATAGTACAGACGTGGCAAATCATGGAGGAATGATTAGTTCAATGACTTTCAGCAACAGATGCAGAAAAAGAAATAAGAAAGTAAAACTACAAAGACAAAGAACTGTGAAGGAGGGTAATAAATGTTACTCTAAAATCTTGTGCGTATTCTGTAGGGAAGTAAAGGTGGTTAGATAATGTAATGGTATCAATAGAATTATACTTCAGAGACTGTAATGTATCAGCAAATTATAAGATCAATTGGAAAGGGTGACATTAGGAAAGGACATAAACTTAGCAAGTTATGAGTCTATGTAAGCTATTGTTGAGTACAGAGGAGGATCATAGAGCAAGATATTATGTAAAATCATAATGTGCTGACACCAATATTAATGCAATAACTAACATTTATTAAACCTTTATTATGCATAGGCCCTGGGTTAAGTACACCACATGGATTATTTTATTTAATCATCACTAAACTGTGATTACTACCTATAGGTGGTAATGTTATGTACATCATACAGATGGGGAAATGCAGGTTCTTAGAGGTTAAATAACTTGACCAAGTTCTCATATCCAGTAATAAAAGGAGCCAAGATTCGAGTCTAAGCTTTCCGACTCCAAACCCATGTTATTAACAATCACAAATTGTTCTAAGAAATAAAAGAAGGAAAAATCAAGGATGACAGAGATCTGAGGCAGGGTGACTGGAAAAAGAGCTGTGCCATTAATAGATATTGGAACATGGATGAAAGTATTTCTTTTCAGGAAGCTTTGGCCTGTGCAGGCCTACTTTCAAACTAACTGATTTGACCTTCTATCTAAGAAATATACCCAAGCAGTGGACCTGCTGAGAGCATTGACAGGCAGAGGGAAAGGCCCTCACGTGGGCTGACTGCTGGTAGGGGAGCACAGAAAATATGATTATAGTTCATTTTCATGCCTGCCAAGAGGAAGTGACATAATTTCCATTTACAGATGAAGACAAGGACTTTTTGATGCTAGACAGCTTACCCAAAGTTATTTAGCTAGTGACTGATAAAGACAAAATTCTATTCTGCATCACCTTCTTGCCAGAGTCCAATTCCTTTTCAGAATATTCGGATCCAGATAGTTTAATAAATCTGCTAACTGAATCTTCAATCACAGTGAACTTTCAAAAGAATCTTTAAAGGGCACTACTTCAAAAATAGAAACTTATTGGCTCATTGTTAAACTATAATTCTTTCATAATAATTATCTTAAATATCAATAAATGTCTACATGATTTTTTTTTGCTAGGCAACTATTTCCAAACGCTGTCTTCTTTCAAGACACGACTTTCCACATCTACAGTTCACTAAATGTACTCTCAAATGTCTATAATGACCTGCTAAATTCTGCAATCCCACAAACTCTTCTCATAGCTCATCTTCTTTGACTTCTCTGCTGACCACACCCTCCTTCTTGTCATGCCTCCTTGGATTTCATAGCACTACCCCTTTTCTCTTCACCTCTTTATCTTTTCATTCTTAGTGTTCTCAACTCCTACATCCTTTCCTAACAACTACTCTGATATAATCCTTCCTATTCATCTTTTCCTTTTCTACTCTCTTTTCATGCTGTAACAGCCCACTACACTCTTTTCATGCTGTAAGAGCCCATTTACTTCAATACATTCTATCCCAAGAAATATATCTCCAAATTTTATCTACTAGCCAAATGTCTGTTCTAGATTTCAAGATGTAGCTTCTTGGGTGTATTACTCTAACCTGTTGCCTTCTCCTGGGTTCCTATCTTAATAGCATCAATTGCCTCTCAATTATTTTAAAGCCAATGTCTATGTGCCTTTCTCCATGACCTTTTCCATCTAGTAAGTTGCTAAATCCTTTCAGTTTGAACTCTCCAATATCTTTCACGATAAGAAAAATATAATAGTGATAAAGACAGTATGAACTACCCACATCAATACCACAATTATTGAGTGTTTATTTTGAATTAAAACTGCGCTAAGCATTTTCCTCATAGGATATCATTTAATCCCCACAATTCCATTACAGTGAAAACAATTGAGGTAAGGAAACTGAAGAGACTCAAAGAACACTTGCCCTTGATCATAAAATTGGGAAAAGGCAGATACACTATTCAAAATAAGGTGTAACTATCTGGTCATGAAACCCTCTGCTCTGCAGCTGCATCCTTTCCATTCCCACTGCTAGTGACTCAGTTTGTCCTTCATCATGTCTTCTCTGAACTAATGCCAGAGCCTCCCTGCCTCTAACTGTGGCCCTTCCCTTTAACTGTTGCAATACATCTATCTTCATAAAAGCGGGTTAAAACAATTTTTTTTTCATCAGAAATCTTCTTCAAGCCCTAAAATAAATGACAAGCTTTGAGTGTAGGTAAGACTTCCTGGGCTGGGTAGCCAAAACATTTTCCTAGTAACTCAATTTCTTTACTTATTCAAAAAACATTGAAAAAGTTTTTTGTATGTGTTGTGTGTGTGTGTGTGTGTGTGTGCCAGACCCTAATCCTTTACCGATATTACACAATTAATCCTCAAACAATCCATGATGGAAATGCTTTTTTCCTCCATTTTACCAAGTAAAGAATTGAGCACAAGGAAGTCAGGTCAATTGTCCTATGGCACAAAGCTAGTAGCTAGTGCCTCTGGGCGTCAATCAAACCTCTGCAGTCTAGCTCCGGAGCCCATGCTCTTAGCCCTCAGGCGGGCCACCTCTCCATCACTTGTCTTATTGATTTAAGAGGTTGGCAAGCATGTATTTCTTCTCAGATAGATTTTATATCCATTAAGGTATCCATCTTTACATCTTCTCCATCTTGCAATATCACAGTATCTAATACACAGAGCCTTTCAAATAATAATCTAAGATAATTTATTTTAACAATTATTTATTTATGGAACATCAGAGCTGATTTAGACCCTAGAGACACCTATTCTTTTGAAGAAAGCAGAACACTTCTGCTTAAGAAAACTTACCCAGTGTGTGGATGGACCAATAATAAAAAGGAATGTAAAAATTACAGTAAAAGAGGACATTAGGCTAGAAATGAGGAGGGCGGTAGAATTTAAATAAGTAGGACAAGGTCACATTCGTGCTGTGAACTGAATAACAGAGAGATGATCCCAAGATAAGTACTTTCTAGTCAGAGGGGAGAAATAATAAAGGTACTAGACGGGGAATAAATATGACATTTTAACGTGCCTGAGAAATATAGATGATCAATGTGGCTAGACTTTGGTGAATGAGGAAGAGAGTGATACAATAAGAGGCAAAAGCTCCAAATAGACAAGATGAGATTGTTTAAGGCCTTATAAGCCATGAAAAGGAGTATTAAATTTAAGTTCAATAAAAAGCGATTGAAGAATTTTAAACAGAAGAACAAAATAATATGATTTCCTTTTTTTTTTTTTTTTTTTTTTTTTTTTTTTAAGACGGAACCTCACTCTGTCTCCCAGGCTGGAGTGCAGTGGCGTGATCTCGACTCACTGCAAGCTCCGCCTCCCGGGTTCACGCGATTCTCCTGCCTCAGCCTCCCGCGTAGCTGGGACTACAGGCACCCCCCACCACACCCGGCTAATTTTGCTTTTGTATTTTTAGTAGAGATGGGGTTTCACCGTGATAACCAGGATGTTCTCAATCTCCTGACGTCGTGATCCACCTGCCTCAGCCTCCCAAAGTGCTGGGATTACAGGAGTGAGCCACCGCGCCCGGCCAAATAGTATGATTTCTATTTGTGAAAGATTACCTTGCTCGCATGGAAAACGGATTATTCTGTTTAACAGTAGAAGCCAGAAAACCAGTAAGGAGCCTGCTCGAATGAGCCAGATAAGGGATCAGAAAATTTTCTTATAGAGAGACGGAAGATAAATATTTTAGGCTTTGTGGCTATACAAATCTTTGCCAGAATAATTTAATTCTGCCATTGTAGCAGAAATACATTCACAGTAAATAAACAAATAAATGTGGTTAGTTGTTTTCCCATGAAGTTTTATTTATGGATATGGAAATTTGAATTTTATATCATTTTCGCATCATAAAACATTATTCTTTTATCAGCCATTAAAAAATGTAAAAACTATTCTTATCTAGAGGGACATAAAACAGCAGCCAGTGTGCTAAATGTGTCCTGTAGACGGTAATTTGCCAACCCTTTGTCTAGATAAGAGAAGATAACTTCACCAGTTTCATAGAGATAGAGGAGTCATTTACCAACATGAGGGAGAATTGTAAATAGTAGAATAGAATGGAGGAAAGGAGATAAAAATATCAAAAATTATATTTCGTGTATATTATGATTTAATACATCCCAACTTTAAAAAATAAAAATGGTCCTGAAATTTATATGTTTCTCCCTTGAAATTGTATAGTGTTCAGAAACTCAGTTTCTTACAAGACATGCCATTTCTTTAATGAATACTGGTACTTCATTGTATCAGAAAGTTTGTCTTTATTTTAATTGGAAATCTATCTCCCTGAAACCTATGCCTTTTGATTCTGGCCCTTGTTTCTAAAATTAAGCAGACTAACTTGTATCTCTTCCGTATGAGAGTATAGAAAATGTCTAAAAGCATCTATTATCTTTCTCTCTCACTTCTAGTTCTCCAGGCTAAACATACCCAGTCTTCTATACTTCATTATAAGACATGTGTCTAGAATATTTATTGACTTTCAACTGTTTTTCTTTTCTTTTGATGTCCTCCTTACAGTTGAATGTAAAATGTCACATTATATTAAATTAAATATAAACAAGACTATATAACTTCTCACTCATCTTTAATGACAAGAGTAATAAGAGCCTTCAAACAACAAGACTAAATGCAAATCAATCTATGTCAGCATCTATAAAATTCAGCTTAACTTGAACCAAAGCTCAGAGGTATAGAATATTGAGGAGTTCATTATCAAGTCAGATGAACAAAAGTTTGTCTTCACATTTCCAAGTCACCTCCATAGCAGCCTTCCCATCCAGCTGAAATTACTTACAAGGCCAAATTAATATTACCACAAGCTTCAAGTCAAAATACAACCAATGACATCTATTGAGCTGGTTCAATACATAAATCTCATCCCTGCCTAGAGAAGAGTCAGAGATTATTTCTCCCTTTGGATAAAGCATTACTTCATCCAAATGAATCAAACACAAGAGGCATAAAACTCCTTTTATATCCTTCATGCTTTTCCTTTTTTATGGCATACTTTATGGTTGGGGCCTGTTTTCTATTTTTTGTTGCTTTGGATATGAAAATATGTTCTGAGGATGATCACAAAATATAGGTGAGCTCCTCTTTACAAACTTTACTCTTGAAAGAGCATTTGAAAGTGAAAACTCAGAAATAAACAAGTAGAGCTGGCTTTCTGAATGAATAATAGAGAAACAATCTTAATGAGTGGTGTATATTCACCATCCCCTGAAGGGAGGCACACTTAGGAAGCCGCTACATTTGTGTTCTCTTTGGCACCATTGTTGCCTTAACCCTCATGACCACCAGTGATTATTACTTGATTTCCCCTAGGAAGAGCTTCCTTTACATTTGACTTATAAAGCCAATCTTATCCAGGAACCCAATTTTATATAGTCGATTTATTAATGGTGTGGTGATTACGTAGACATCATCATAGACTCATAGTTAAATGACATCTGTAATAGTCTTCTAGGGCTGCCATAAAAAATGAAGGCTTGAAAAACAGATCTTTATTTTTCATAGTTCCAGAGGCTGGAAATCCAATATCCAAGTGTTGTCAGGTTTGGTTTCTCCTGAGGCCTCGCCCCTAGACTTGCAGACGGCCACCTTCTCACTGTGTCTTCACATTGTCTTTCCTCTGTGCATGTACACTCTGAGTGTCTCTCTCTTTCTCTTCTTTTAAGGACAAAAGTTATACTGAATTAGAGCCCTACCCTTATAACCTTATTTAACCTTAATAACCTCCTTAAAGATCCTGTCTCCAGATATGGTCACATTGAGAGTTGGGCTTCAATATATAAATTTGGAGTGGACACAACACAGTCTATAACAGCATTTAATAACACGGAAGCCACAAGCATACAGACACACATACAAAGTTATTGCTTTCTTATTGTTCAAAAAGTAAAACACAATATTTTCATTTTAAGAGTGCTAAAGCAGTCATAGTACAGTTAGGAAAACAGAAACGACTCTAGGTATTTCAAGCAAGGAGAATTTAATATATGGATCTGCACCATATGTGAAAGAAGAGCTGAGAAGTTAAAAAGAACACAGGGAGATATTCTGGGGATTAGAAACAACACAAAACAGCCACAACCATCTGGAATGGGAAGGATGCAAGAGGAGGTAGTTACTATAACTGTATAGCAGGATTCAGAATCACACCTCTGTAGAGACCACCTGACAGAAGCTAGGATATCAAAGAATGGGACTCTCTGGTAGGGGAATATATTGGTTTATGTTACTGAAGAGGCTAAAGATAAACCCGTTTTCATTGTGGCTTTATTTTTGTTAAAGCAATGTGATCACACCCTGGTTTATCCTTCTCAACTTTTCTTTCTTGGTTTTGCTTATGATTCTTAGGTCAGCTGTAAACTCTTGGCCCTAAAAGGCAGCCAGAGGCTCCTGCATGCTCTCTTGTTCTTATACTACATGGGAAAAGAAATAGCTTTCATCATCCATTCATTTAAAGAAAAATAGGACCTCATCCAGATAAAAACAGCTGAAGACAGGTGCCCAATCTTGAGCTCATCACTGTAATAAAAGTGTTGAGATCACAATGAGAGGCTCAGGACAATCTGGCCTAATCCTGAGGCTTGAAGTAAGTCAATTTCACTCAAAATGCATGTCTGCCATTCAATAGACGATGAGTGAAATGGAAACTAGGCAGTAATAAATGATGCATACATTATAATTTCTTTGTGAATTCAACCCTAAAACTCTGGACAAAATTAATTTTCCTCCGTAATATCTTATTTGTTCCTGAATGAGAATAAACGGATGAAAGTTTTATTAAGAGAATAAATGAATGAACTATTAAATCAGTTAATCATTAAATTAATATGAGTATGTTTAATGGTGTAGAAAAATAGATTTGGGGAAGCTTTCAGGATTAATAGAACTTTGGTAAGGTAACAACCCATAAAGTATTACTATGAGGATCTTTGTGCCATTATCAATCACATTAATAATTATTATAATAACATTAACTACAAGTTATTGGTAATTATTAGCTACCAGGTGGTTATTAGCTACCTACTATGTGTTTATATATATAGATTATCTACATTTCTTCATATATATATAACATCTACATTTTATCATCTAAATTATCTACATTCATTATCCACAAGCACAGAGATGTTCAGTAACCAGCCCACGAATACCCAGCCAGAAGGTGAAAGAGCTGGAAATTGAGCCCACACATTTCAACACCACAGGACTATTGTTGACATCTATGACAAGTTATCTGTTGTGAAACTAGTAAAATAATTGAATAAAAGTTATTCTTGATTTTAAAAAAGAGTCTGGCCTTGTATTTCATTTATCATATCCTATGGCCAAATTGTCACTTCCTAATATCAGCCAAATATTTGAAATAAACTTTTTGCATGATTGAAAATGTTCTCTATGCTAATAATGTTGTGTAGTTTCTCTTCTTGAAATCTCACATTAGAATTCAGTTTTGCTGCTTTACCCACAGAATGAAGTGTAAATGCACTACTCTGGTATTTAAAATCTCCACAATTTGCCCCCAATCTACACTTTTAACGTTAGCTCTCATCATTCTCAATCGCACACCTTAGATTTCAGTCTCACCTTCCAGTAAATAGACCCTTTTCCATGATGTTTTATACCTCTTCCAGACAAATTCCAACTCCTAGAATTTTCTTAATTCTATGAGCTGAATATAATATGGGGATTTTTTTCAGAAGTTCTAAAGATCTTTACTTTCTTAAATACTTTTTAACAGGAAACTTTTTGACCATTATTGAATGTATGGCATTCCTTGATGAAATGTAGGTTTCTAGGCTGCCAAGACCATAGCTTACTTAATTGTATATAACCTTCCATACCAACTCAGAGCTCAAAAATGTAACTAATAGTTTTATTAATGAGATTAAGAAAATGACAAATAGAAATGCTAAAAAACATATATTTTATCCAGTTCTTTTAAATATCTAGATCTTAAGTCAAGAGAAGAATTATAAAACCTTATGAGAAATTCCATTATCACAAGTACCTTTTATAAAAATAATACCTGTATAACAGATAAAAATAGAACCTAGAGTATGTAATATATTAATGAAGAGTTCCATGTTTTTGTATGTTCAAGATTCAATGACCAATATCAACATTGTTAAACATTCGATTTATATTTTTTATTGCTTTTTACTCCCACAAACTCAGAAACATGATGGTTTTAGGGAATCCTGCATTTTCATGAGTTTGCTGCTTACTTTCTGATTAATTTCTTAAAACAAATTACATATTCTGATTTTCCTTTTATCATTTTGGGAAATTTGACATGTGACTTACTCAGACTTTCTTCTTTGTATGTAAATAAGGTAGAAATTAAGGTGTATTACCTGACACTTTTATATTGCTTATGAATAATTTTCTATAATAAAACTTAATCAATTTTACTACTTAATTTTTATGTACCAGGGTGATGTCAAAACTCTTCAGAAAGTTTAACATTAGATCTTTTAAGTAGTTAATAATTTTGAAAGCACAAAATTTCCATCAGATGACATGGAAAGCACAGAAGTAGGGTATCAAGAGGCAAATATTGAAGTCTGCTGAATTTGACTGAAGATAGAAGAATAGAGACAGTTCTAGATCAGTGCTTTCCAACAGAATTTTTTGGGGTAATGAAAATGTCCCACATCTGTATTGTCCAATAGAAGAACCATTTGCCACATATAGCTATTAAACACTTTAAAGTATGGCTAATGTTAACGAGAAAATTAATTTTAAATTTTATTTACTGTGAACCAATTTAACTTTAAATAGCCACATGTGATAAGTGGCTCCCCCACTGGGCAGTGCAAGTATGGAGTATAGCATACACAGAAGAGGTACAGATGGAGAACTGGTATTGGGAGATGCTCAGCAGCCATGTGACAGCTAAGACCACTGGGTATCTCAAGTTAATATTGCAGAATAAATGTTTAACCTGGGAATGGGAAGATGTCAAAAACAAGTTTCCCTTACTTTACAATTGTATCTGGACTTTCTCATCTTCGGAGGTGGTCTTAGTGTGGGGTAATAGACTGGAAGAGTTACCAAGGTTGTTATTTTATTTTATTTTATTTTATTTTCCCAAATACCTATTCTAATCTTGGTAAATACTTGTTGAGGGAATATTTAAAGTTAGAACATTTAATTTTTTTTTCCAGTGATACCTAAAAGAATATACCACTGGAAAAAATGTAATTGATATAAGTAAGAGTGGAAAAATTCACAATCCATATATAAACCTTCTTTAGAAATGATAAGATATATAATTTAAATTAATGAAGAGCACAACCAAGATAAAAAATGCTTTTATGTCTCTGCACGTAGCTGTGCTGACGTTTGTGTACACTACTCTGGCAAACTGGATTAATGTTTTCAGATATATTCTCCATTCTGCTTTTGATTTTGTAGCTATTAGTTATTAGTATAAGTGTTATAAGTTATTAGTATAAGTGTTAATAACTTGCATATAATTTTTTTCTAGTTGCCTAACTCATTGTTGACAAGTAATTTCAGCATCAGAAATAAATGTTACTCTCACATATTCTGTGTCTCGGTTCTATTAAGAGAGAGAATCTTAGGACATGGTAAATGTCAATTATTCGTTACTCTACTATTCCCACTAGTTCAATGGTACGATAAGAATGCCACCAATTATCATTTCATTGATACCTATCATAATGAGAACCTGTTAAGTTAATGATGAGACAGGTGTTCATCATTTAAGGGACTCCCGAGAAGACTGCTCACTTCGCCATTAATAACATTTCTGAGACATTTTCTATTTATGGATACCATAAAGACTGGGTTTCACTAGCAACTGGATCATTAAGGAGAAACTTTTTTTAAAGACCGGTTAAATTAATGCTAAAATTTTATAAAATAAATTTTAAAAGAAACCCAATTAGATTAGTCTTCTGCAATTATTTTAAAACTTAAAAATCATAATAAAAAGCACAAGAGTACAAGTGTACTTTAGGGTTAGGAGTGGATGTTGAAAATTTTTCAGCAATTACCAATTTAAATATAATTAAATTCTACTGAGTACCTTCTTGCTGCAGAGTGTGATCTAGAAGTTCAAGATCATCAAGGTTGGTATCTTCTGAGGTCTCTTTCCTTGGGTAGTGCATGGCGGTCTTCTCCCGTGTCTTCACATGGTCTTTTCTCTGCGTGTGTCTACCTTCTAATTTCCCCTTCTCATAAAGACACTAGTCATATTGGTTAAGGCCCAATGTAACGACACTGTTTTAACTTAATTACCTCTTGACAACGCTTATCTTCAAATACAGTCACATTCGGAGATACTAGGAGTTAGGACCTCAATATGAGTTTTGGGTAACACGATTCAGCCCATAACAGTAAGTATGCCTTCAAGCTGCACCCTCTAATAAAGTTAGATAAGTGTTAAACTAGAAGTGTAAGTAGGTGTAAAAGTTTTTAAGATATTTTAAATAATATAAGATATAGACATAATTCACTCCTGAATAAATGCTAGAAGTACTATTCATAAACTGGAAATACTATTTCAGGCTGAAGTTTGGGGAAGGACATGCATGGCTTTAGGAAAGAGGTGAAAATTGATCTCAGTCTTACAAGATTTGGTTAGAACAGTTAAGAAAATAATCCAGGAGAGTGAGATGTCATCAATAATCATGGAGATAGGAGAAAGCATAATTATAAGAAGAAGAGGAAGCAAGTTGGGATGAAGCGCAATAGGACATTATACTGGAAACTTATTTGTGTTCGAGCTGAAAATGTGGAGGCACTGAAAAGACACTCTGAGATTTATCAATTGAGAAAAAGAGAAGGTCCAAGAAAGGAACCTATTGGCATGCCTGAATTTTCAGTAGCTATCTGATTCCACAGTAACAACTGACCATTTTCATTTCGCTGTGCATCATATAAACAAGAAACTTATTATGACAATAACTGAGAATCAATCTAAGCCAAATATAGTATGAATTTAAATGGCCAACCTCATGGGAATAAAACTATTCCTTCTCTCAGTGCCCTAAGCAAAGATTTTGGTCACTCATCAAAGGCCAAGACTGAGGTAAAACCTCAGCAAGTAGGGAACTACTAAAAGTTGCATTACAGTCTGGATGACAGAGTGAGACCCTATTTAAAAGAAGAAGAAGAAGAGGAAGAAGAAGAAGGAGGAGGAGGAGGAGGGGAGGGAGGAGAAAAGAAAAGAAAAGGAGGAGAAAAGAAAAGAAAAGAAACCACATTAAATGATTCCCATGGGTAGTGAAAACTAGTATAAGCAAGCATCTATTCACTTTCTAATAACTTCAACCCTGGAAACAGCTGGCTCTACATTATAAAAGGACAAACGTCTTTCAAAATACATTTTTATATTTATATTTTTCTTTCAACTACAAAAGTAATTTCTAATTGAGTCAACAAAATAGTTCCTGGATAGTTTTGGAAATACACTATTGTAATACACTACTTTCACAGTTCCAATATAATTAGTTATACTTGAAATAGTGAGTTTCGTGTTTAGAATTAATATTGTATTTTATTCTTTTAACATTTGAAAAGATGGTATGGAATTTTAAACGCAGAATAACATTAAAACCAAATCAATATGTTGTTCATGCATGGTGTACAAGGGAAATTTTTTAGTAATTCCTACCTTTTCAGATCATTAATCTCAATCATTATATTACACCTGCTTTGTACCCCCCTCAAAATTACTAATACGGCAACGTTTATGACTCTGAAAATTGGATAGAACACGGATTCCAGAGTGACTCAACAGGCAAGTCTCAGGAGACAAATGCACCTCTAATTTAACCGTATAGCTTCTTGATAATAAACTAATATCAAAGACGTAAAGATGAATACCTTTACAACTACAGCCTATTTTGAAGAAGCTTTATATTATTTTATCATTGCATTGGACTTCAAACATTGAATCACCATTTATGTGTTTGTTCTGCAAATAAAAACAAATAAACTACTTGACTTAAATTTAATTTTGCAATATTTTCACATCTTTAGAGTCTTCCACCAAAATAAGTCCCTTTGGGACCTAATTAAAGAGCTTCTGCATAGCAAAAGAAACTATCAACAGAATAAACAGACAACCTATAGAATGAGAGAAAATATTTGCGAACTATGCATCTGACAAAGATCTAATATCCAAAATCCATAAGATACTTAAACAATTGAACAAGTAAAAACAAATAATCCCATTAAAAAATGAATGAAAGACACAAGAAGAGACACTTCACCAAAGAAGATATATACAATTGGTCAAGAAACATAAAAAAATCCTCCACATCACTAATCATCAGAGAAATGCAAATTGAAACCACAGTGAGATACCACCTCATATCAGTCAGAACGGCTATTATTAAAAAGTCAAAAATAACAGATACTGGCAAGGTTGCAGAGAAAAGGGAATGCTTATACACTGCTAGCAAGAATGTAAATTAGTTCATCCACTATGGAAAGCAGTTTGGAGATTTCACAAGGAACTTAGAACTACCATTTAATCCAGCAACTCCATTACTGAGTATATACCCAAAAAAACAAATCATTCTACCAGAAAGACGCATGCACTTGCATGTTTAATGCAGCACCATTCACAGTAGCAAAGACATGGAATCAAGGTAGGTGCTCATCAAAGGCACGCTGGGTTGAAAATGTGGTATATATACATCATTGAATACTACAGAGCCATAAACAAGAATGAAATCATGTCTTTTGCAGCAACATGGATCCAGCTGGAGGCCATTATCCTAAGCAAATTAAAACAGCAACAGAAAACCAAATACCACATGTTCTCACTTATACGTGGGAGCTGAACATTGGGTACTCAGGAATATAAAGATAGCGACAACAGAACCTGGGGACCTCTGGGGCCAGGGGTGAAGGGCTGAAAAACTACTGGGTACCATGTTTAGTACCATGGTGATGGGATAATACACACCCCAAACCTCAGCATCACATAGTATACCCAGATAACAAACCAGCACATGTACCCCCAATCTAAAGTAAAAATTGGAAGAAATATACATGTTCCTTTGATATCAGATAAAGTCAAACATCTCAACACACACAAAAAACTGCATTTCACAAAGAAGGTAGGCAATTCACAGTGGTAACTCCTTTTCTTTCTACTATGTATTAGTGGTAAATATTTGGGCAAATGTAGATTTTAATAATGTATTCATTAGCACATATGTAATGTAATATTTCAAGAATTCCACCAAACACACAAAGTGTGTTTCATGCCTGTCCGTGTGAAGAGACCACCAAACAGGCTTTGTGTGAGCAACATGGCTGTTTATTTCACCTGGGTGCAGGCGGGCTAAGTCCGAAAAGAGAGTCAGCGAAGGGAGATAAGGGTAAGGCCGTTTTATAGGATTTGGGTAGGTAAAGGAAAATTACAGTCAAAGGGGGTTTGTTCTCTGGCGAGCAGGAGTGGGGGTCGCAAGGTGCTCAGTGGGGGTGTTTTTTGAGCCAGGATGAGCCAGGAAAAGGACTTTCACAAGGTAATGTCATCACTTAAGGCAAGGACCGGCCATTTACACTTCTTTTGTGGTGGAATGTCATCAGTTAAGGTGGGGCAGGGCATTTTCACTTCTTTTGTGATTCTTCAGTTAGTTCAGGCCATCTGGGCGTATACCTGCAAGTCACAGGAGATGCCATGGCTTGGCTTGGGCTCAGAGGCCTGACATTCCTGCCTTCTTATATTAATAAGAAAAAATAAAACAAAATAGTGTTGAAGTCTTGGGGCAGCGAAAATTTTTGGGGGGTGGTATGGAGAGAGAATGGGCGATGTTTTTCAGGGCTGCTTCGAGTGGGAATAGGGGTGGCGTGGGAACCTAGAGTGGGAGAGATTAAGCTGAGAGGAGGTCTTGTGGTAAGGGGTGATATTGTGAGGATGTTAGAAGAAACATTTGTCGTATAGAATGATTGGTGATGGCCTGGATACGGTTTTGGATGAACTGAGAAACTGAATGGAATAACAGACGGAGAAAAACAGGTATAAAAGGTCTAAGAATTGGGACGACTCAGGATATCTGATTAGAGAGTGCCTAAGGAGATTCAGCATAGTCCTGCCAGCAAAGACTATTTATTTACTTCAAGTGTTAAGAGTGGCAGTTTGGGGATAGCACCAGGAGATATCAGCTGTGATGGCTTGGAGAAACAGTGTAAACTGGCAGTGTAAACAAGAGCAGGGCATGTATGAGTAGTTGAGAACGGTGAATAGGAGTATGACTAGACAGAAGATAGTAGGGATGACAAGTTTTTTTGGGGGCACAGTCTAAGTTGGTCTGGTGTCTGGAATGAGACTCGGGCCTAATAAAAAGGAGCGTCTATACAGGAGCTTAAATGGGCTGTACCCTGTAGCATTCCGAGGACAGGCCTGAATTCTGAGAAGGGAAAGTGGTAAAAGTATTGTCCGTCCTTTTTAAGTTGGTGGCTGAGCTTGGTGAGGTGTGTTTTTAAAAGACCTTTAGTCCATTCTACTTTTCTTGAAGACGGAGGACCGTAAGGGATATAAGGGTTTCACCGAATACTAAGAGCCTGAAAAACTGCTTGGCTGATTTGACTAATAAAGGCTGGTCTGTTATCAGACTGTATAGAGGTGGGAAGGCTAAACTGAGGAATTATGTCTGACAGAAGGGAAGAAATGACTGCAGTGGCCTTCTCAGACCCTATAGGAAAGGCCTCTGCCTATCCAGTGAAAGTATCTACCTAGACTAAGAGGTATTTTAGTTATCTGACTCAGGGCATGTTGAGTAAAGCTAATTTGCCAGTCCTGGGTGGGGCAAATCCTCGAGCTTGATGTGTAGGGAAGGGAGGGGGCCTGAATAATCCCTGAGGAGTAGTAGAATAGCAGATGGAACACGGAGAAGTTATTTCCTTGAGGATAGATTTCCACGATGGAAAGGAAATGAGAGGTTCTAAGAGGCAGGCTAGGGGCTTGTACTATAGCATAGCCTGCCTTTGCTGGTGTGTGGCGATTAGGCCTGGTGGAACTGCCATCAATAAATCAAGCGTGATCAGGGTGAGGAACAGGAAATAAGGAAATTTGGGGAAATGGGTGAATGTCAGGTAGATCAGAGAGATGCCGTCATGGGGGTCAGGTGTGGTATCAGGAATAATGTGGGAGGCCGGATTGAAGTCTGGACCAGGAACAACGGTAATTGTGGGAGACTCAACAAAGAGTGAGTACAGCTGAAGGAGCTGGGAAGGAGAAAGTATATGCGTCAGGTATGAGGAAGAAAATAGATTTTGGAAGTTATGAGAACTGTAGAGAGTGAGTTGAGCATCGTTTGTGATTTTGAGGGCCTCTAAAAGTATTAAAGCAGCGGCAGCTGCTGCACGCAGACATGAGGGCTAGGCTAAAACAGTAAGGTCAAGTTGTTTGGACAGAAAGGCTACAGGGTGTGGTCTTGGCTCTTGTGTAAGAATTCTGACCGTGCTAACCATTGCTAGGAAGGAAAGGAGTTGTTGTTTTGTAGAAGGTGCTGGGGTTTGAGAGATCAGTCGGACACGATTGGCAGGGAAAGCACATGTGTTTTTATGAAAATTATGCCGAGATAGGTAACAGATGAGGAAGAAATTTGGGCTTGACTGAAGTAATGGGGGCTGTCTGTGAAGCTTTGCGGCAGTACAGCCTAGGTAATTTGCTGAGCTTGATGGGTGTCAGGGTCAGTCCAAGTGAAAGCCAAGAGAGGCTGGGATTAAGGGTGCAAAGGAATAGTAAAGAAAGCATGTTTGAGAATAATGGGTTGTAGAGGCAGGTATCGAGGATAGGAGAGTATATGGGTTTGGCACCACGGGGTGGATGGGCGAAACAATTTCGTTGATAAGGCGCAGATCTTGAACTAACTTGTAAGGCTTGTCTGGTTTTAGGACAGGTAAAATGGGGGAATTGTAAGGACAGTCTATAGGCTTTAAAAGGCCATGCTGTAGCAGGCGAGTGATAACAGGCTTTAATCTTTTTAAAGCGTGCTGCGGGATGGGATCTTGGCTTTGAGCAGGGTGAGGGTGATTAGGTTTTAATGAGATGGTAAGAGGTGCGTGATCGGTCGCCAAGGAGGGAGTAGAGGTGTCTTATACTTGTGGGTTAAGGTGGGGGGATACAAAAGGAGGATGCAAAGGAGGCTTTGGATTGGGAAGAAGGGCAGCAATGAGATGCAGCTATAGTCCAGGAATAGTCAGGGAAGCAGATAATTTGGTTAAAATATCTCAGCCTAATAAGGGAACTGGGCAGGTGGGGATAACTAAAAAAGAGTGCATAAAAGAATATTGTCTAAGTTGGCACCAGAGTTGGGGAGTTTTAAGAGGTTTAGAAGCCTGGCTGTCAAAATGCACAACAGTTATGGAGGCAAGGGAAACAGGCCCTTGAAAAGAAGGTAATGTGGAGTGGGTAGCCTCTGTATTGATTAAGAAGGGGACGGACTTACCTTCCGCTGTGAGAGTTACCTAAAGCTCGGCATCCGTGATGGTCTACGGGGCTTCCGAGGCGATCAGGCAGCATCAGTCTTCAGCCGCTAAGCCAAGAAGGAGTCAGTCAGAGAGCCTTGGGCCAGAGTTCCAGGGGCTCTGGGAGTGGCTGCCAGGTGAGTTGAACAGTCCGATTTCCAGTGGAGTCCTACACAGATGGGACACGGCTTAGGAGGAATCCTGGGCTGAAGGCATTCCTTGGCCTGGTGGTCAGATTTCTGGCACTTGCAGCAAGCTCCTGGGGGAGGAGGTTCTGGAGGAACGCCTGGCCGCTGCGGTTCAGGCGTTTGGAAGTTCTTGTGTGCTGGAGATGTGGCTGGGGTTTGTCTCACAGTGGAGGCAAGGAATTGCAACTTTTTTTTTATTATTGTACACCTTGAAGATGAGGTTAATTAAGTCCTGTTGTGGGGTTTGAGGGCCAGATTCTAATTTTTGGAGTTTTATTTAATGTCGGGAGCAGATTTGGTAATAAAATGTATATTGAGAATAAGATGGCCTTTTGACCTTTTAGGGTCTAGGGCTGTAAAGCATCTCAGGGTTGCTGCCGAAGGAGCCATGAACTGGGCTGGGTTTTTATATTTGATAAAAAAGAGCCTAAATGCTTCTGATTTGGGATAAAGAAAAAGGAGCATTAACCTTGACTATGCCTGTGGCTCCAGCCACCTTTTTAAGAGTAAATTGCTGGGCAGGTGGGGGAGGGCTAGTCACAGAATGAAACTGTAAGCTGGACCAGGTGTGAGGAGGGGAGGTGATAAAAAGATTATAGGGTGGAGGAGCGGAGGCTGAGGAAGAATTGGGACCTAGCTTGGCCTGGCGAGGAGGGGAGAGGTCAGATGGGTCTGTAGGAAAGGAAGATTAGAAAGACTCAGCAATGCTTGGGGTTGGGACTGAGGGGACAGGCAGGAGGGAAAGAAGGAAGATTTGGGACGAGTTGCACTGGGCACAGAGACTAGGAAGGGACTGATGTGTAAAAGAATGCCTGGACGTCAGGCACCTCAGACCATTTGCCCCTTTTACGACAAGAATTATTTAGATCTTGTAGGAAGGAAAAATTGAAAGTGCCATTTTCCGGCTATTCAGAACTACTGTCGAGTTTGTATTGGGGTCAAGCGGCATTACAGAAGAAAATAAGATGCTTAGATTTTAGGTCAGGTGAGAGTTGAAGAGGTTTTAAGTTCTTAAGAATATAGGCTAAGGGAGAAGAAGGAGGAATGGAAGGTGGAAGCTTGCCCATAGTGAAGGAGGCAAGCCCAGAGAAAAGAGTAGAGACACAGAGAAGGGGTAGGGGTTTCTTGCCCTCCAGAAAATCAGAGAAAGGGTTGGGGCATGGAAATAAGGAATTGGGGCACAGAGATAAGAGGTTGGGGTGCAGAAATAAGGGATTGGGGGTTCTTGCCCCCTAGAAAAGCGGAACTTGCTGCTAAGGGTGAAGGAGAAGGGGTTGAGGGGTACTTGCCCCTCCCCCAGAAAAGCAGGACTTGCCGCTAAGGGTGAAGGAGAAGGGGTTGAGGGGTACTTCCCCTCCTCCAGAAAAGCAGAGAAGGGGTAGAGACAAGGAGAGAAGGGGTTGGGGTACTTGCCCCTTCCCCAGAAAAGCGGGACTTGCTGCTAAAGGTGAAGGACCAAGGCAGGCGTCCCTGCGTGGTCTGACACCTTTGAAACGTGAGTGAATAATCAGAGAGGTGTCCCTGCAATGATTAAACACCAAGGGAAGGCTGCCTTCCCATTCCATAACCGGTGCTGGAGTTTTGGGTCCACGGATAAAACTTGTCTCCTTTGTCTCTACCAGAAAATGAAAGGAATTGAAATTAAGAGACGGGAGAGATTGAAGTGTGGCACCAAGATTGAAAGGAGAAAGAGGTTGAGGGATAGTGAGGGAAGCCGGAGAAGAGAATGAAAAGAGGCCGCTTACTGGATTTGAAATTGGTGAGATGTTTCTTGGGCTGGTCGGTCTGAGGACCTGAGGTCGTAGGTGGATCTTTCTCACGGAGCAAAGAGCAGGAGGACAGGGGATTGATCTCCGAAGGGAGGTCCCCCAGTCTGAGTCACGGCACCAAATTTCATGCACGTCCATGTGAAGAGACCACCAAACAGGCTTTGTGTGAGCAACATGGCTGTTTATTTCACCTGGGTGCAGGCAGGCTGAGTCTGAAAAGAGAGTCAGTGAAGGGAGATAAGGGTAGGGCCGTTTCATAGGATTTCGGTAGGTAAAGGAAAATTACAGTCAGAAGGGGTTTGTTCTCTGGCGAGCAGGAGTGGGGGTCGCAAGGTGCTCAGTGGGGGTGCTTTTTGAGCCAGGATGAGCCAGGAAAAGGACTTTCACAAGGTAATGTCATCACTTAAGGCAAGGACCGGCTATTTACACTTCTTTTGTGGTGGAATGTCATCAGTTAAGGTGGGGCAGGGTATTTTCACTTCTTTTGTGATTCTTCAGTTACTTCAGGCCATCTGGGCGTATACCTGCAAGTCACAGGAGATGCGATGGCTTGGCTTGGGCTCAGAGGCCTGACAGTGTGTCTCTATAATCCCTTATCACTCCATTTCTTATATACACAGAAGTGCATGTCAAATTTTTTGGACATTTCTTTATACTTGTATTACATAAGTATTTAATATCTCTTTCCACTTCTAAAATAATGGCAAATCATTTAACCCTGCTCAGTGATTTTCTTGTCAGAGTAAATTTCACTCAGGATTGTGAATCTAACACACAGACTACTCTAGTTATTTTGTTTAAAACATAAAAGCCTACTGTGGCTGTGGTTTTAATAGGCTTCTGGATTTCATATTCCAAGGAATTCCTCAGTCACAAACTTGAAATGTTCCCAACACATAGAAATGATCAATGTTTAAGATGATGGGTACTCCAAATACCTTGATTTGAACATTACATGTTCTATGCTTGCAACAAAAGATACCCCCATAAATATGTAAAATATTATGTATCAATTTTAAAAAATAAATTCTTTGGTCATCTTCTGTCTCCAAACTATGTTGCCTCTTAAGTTAAAAGCATTCTGTCTTCACTGAAAATCTATGAAAATAGCAAAATCAGTTTCTTAATAGATTTCAGCAATTTGATTCCTATTTCAGTAGGCTCATTTCATGGCTTGTGAAAACATTGACATATTGCAAAAAGTTAGGTTGGAAGATCCAAGTGCCAGTTATTTGCAACTTACGACATTTATCACCAAAGATGGGTGTGACCCATCTTCATTAAAAAACAGCTAACAAATGATTATTGGGCAGTTCTCTGTTGGAAGAAATATATATTAGGTGGTGAATGTAATGCAAAAAAAAAAAAAAAAATGCAAATCAGGCTTCAGAAATTTGGAGACAAACACCAGGAGAAATTTGTTCTTAAACTCAGTCTTAGAAGAATGATGAAAATTTTCAGGGATTTTTTTTCCCCTTCAAGATCTATAACTGGATAGCAAACTGGATAAAGTTTATACAAGTCAAAGTCTTAACTGAATCACTATGTAAATACATGGAGGAATGATGCATGTTAAGGCAACCAGAGACATTTATAACTCAAAGAGAAAGAGTCCTATTCATTAACATTACAATCTTACAGAGAAAGTCACTTAATCATATGGTAATATCCATGGCCTACACAAAAGAAAAGGAATCAGTATCAGTTCTCACTGGAAATTAATATAGTCTTTAAAATAGAAAGTAAAAGATGTAGGTGCTTAGAAAGTATTTATAACATTTAAAGGAATAAATATTGGTTTGTATATCTTTATTATATTTGGAACAAGAATGATGTTCTGTAAATCCACATATCTTGTTTAGTAACCTCTCCACTTTATCTAGGCTGTTTTTATTTAATATTCACAGCAAGGCATTTTATAACAGTAATATATATTATGTGCATTTCAACTATAAAGTGTTACAATAGCTGACACTGCACACTGCATCCAAATCCTCTAATAGAGTTTCAAAATTTTTCACAAATTCATCTTATTCCTTCAACAGAAGTGATCCCCAGTGAATCTCTCTCCAGCAATTGGCTTTACATCAGAAAAATTTAGTTCCCTGGACAAAGGAAAGAGAACATTTGCTTTAGTATCGTAGACTTTTTTCCCCCAGCATATCAGATTTATCTTGCTTTTTAAAGAAATCCATTTTATCTCCACCTCCTAAAATCAATAGAAAATATATCTTTATAAATTCTGTGTTTAATCCACCTGATAAATAACATGTAGTTATATAAGATTACACAGTAGTTTATGCTAATGCATTTGCCACTGTTGTTATTATCATTAGCATTTATTAGAAAATACTATGAAAGAAGGCAAAGAGCAATAAGGAACAATGTAGACAGAAAGAAAGTAGTACTAGCATCTATTCTCAACATTTCCTTAGCATCTTTTTGTAAAATCACTTTCCTTCACCTTTTACATGCCATCTAATTCTCAACTACACAAAAGAGTCTTCATTCTGGAAGCTATCAACAATTTTGGCCCACATCAAGTTTGGCCTTCATAAAAACTGTGTCTGAGGCAATTGAACGAACAATAGCCAATACAAGGCTTTATAAATTTAACAGTTGAAAAAATAGCAGAAATGCAAGGTTAATCCAGCAAATTTATACAGACATAATTAAAAGTCACACATACACCCACCAATGACAAGGGCACCTGTGCAATCAAACTGTTTTCTCTGGCCAACTTCTCAATCAATTGTATATTATTCTCTTGGAGTTATGATGCGGTCAACAGATTCATGTACAAAGACAATTGAAATGACCAAACCACCTTTTCCAAAATACAACCATTTAAGCCACGCAAATAGAAATGTAGCACTGTAAGGACCTTTTATTTAAATTTATTTTTCAAATGGTCAAAATAAACTAAGAAAAACAAGCAAGTCTTGGCAATATTCAAACTTAGCATATCAAGAGGTTTGTCACAAGTGGAAACTATTCAATGTAGAACTAACATTATTCAGTGAGAGTCAAGGAGAATTGTAGCAATTGAAAGCATTCAAATAATAAAATACTTTAATTTTACTTTTAATTTCATTTCTAATGTCCTGCAAAGCCCACTTGACTTCTTCACAAGCTTTCCTTATACTAAGTTTTCTATAGAAGGTATGACTACATATTATATTTCTGCTAATCTTCGGGGCAGGAGGAGAAATTAAACTAGTGTTTTAATCAGTATATAAAAATGTTTTATCAGGCCAGGCACATTGGCTCACGCCAGTAATCCCTTTGGGAGATCGAGGCAGGCGGATTGCCTGAGGCCACTAGTTCAAGACCAGCCTGGCCAACATGGTAAAGCCCCGTCTCTACTAAAAATGCAAAAATTAGCTGGGCGTGGTGGCACGTGCCTATGGTCCCAGCTACTCAGGAGGCTGAGGCAGGGGAGTCTCTTGCACCCGGAAGGTGGATGTTGCAGTGAGCCGAGATCACACCACTGCATTCCAGCCTGGGTGACAGGGTGAGACTCTGTCTCAAAACAAACAAACAAGCAAATAAACAAAAAATGTATTATCTATTATCATACAAAGCCCAAACAACTGCAAGTACCAATAGATAAATATACCCTAAAAGTCTTATTTTATATTTAGAATAGTCATGTCAAAATGGTTATCTCTACCAAATGCTATCATGTACACAATGATATTTTTCAACAAGAAACCACAACTAATCATTGTACAGCATGCCCTGCTACTGAACTAGGTGGGCCCTCGTAATGTAGTTTCAAAAATACTTTCTTGAGCCAGTTTTTAGGTCTTGGTGAAAAGTGGATCAGTTCTCCTTTTTAAGCAGCTGATAAGTTCACACAGGAACAACTTCCCATTATCCAGCTCTCACACTTCCAGGTTAGTATAAACCTTCCCTATTCATCCCAGGGCGAGGTAGTAAAGAAGTAAAAACACCTCCTATCCCTACAGCCCACAAAATTAATTAAATTCACCAACTTACATGGATGGGGTAGATGTAGCTAAACCCACCCCACTTGCCATTCATAAGCTGCCCACTTCTGGCTCCAGTTTGCTGTGACCTTGTCCTTAGCACAACTCCCAGAGTGGCCCTGCCTCATAGCCTTCTCTTATTTGAAGCAGTAAGTAGCAAACAGTTCTGCTTTTCATCTATCCAAGTGTTAGTGTGTTGTGTTATGCCATCAGAAAAAAAAAAAAAAAAACAAACAAGCAAAAAAAAAAACTTTCTATTTTATAAAATAATCCTAGGGCACTAGAGTCTTCATGACTAATTGTCATAAATGAAAGAAATTCACTCATGTGTAAAATCAATTCATTTTATTTTTTCCTTATGCACAGGTGTACATAAAGTGTGAAAAATGAATAATTTTATTAACTTTCATAAAAATACCTTTGCACAAATGTCGATTGTTACGAAGAATTATTTGGATCAATTCCGATGTTCTCATATTTAAATGTTAACAGTCTTCCTTCCTTTTTCCCATCTACGGCAGTAGAGAGTTTAGAGAAGAGAGAAACAACCACTGACAACTTTTTAGTCTTTTTGGTGTTTTCTTTATGTGACATAGTTATTATCTAAATGTAGAGAGATTTTTAATCCTTAAAATGCTTTGCTCTTTCTACCATATTACATATTACTGTCTTTGTATGAAAAGTATAGATATAATAAAATTGTAGGATTTAATTAATACCAAATCATATCTTCTTACCTCCATAAAAGAAGAAAATAGAAACTTCAGATATATTGGATATTAAGCTATTATAAGAGGAGCAAAAACTGAGAGTAAAATGCAGAAACTAATAAAAGAAAATAAAATACAAATGTAGGGATCCCACCCCTCCCCCAGTGTGTTTTGATAGTAATAAAGTAATGGAGGAGAGATAGGAGATTTGTTAACGTAAAGATTGTCCACACAAGAAAGCTTTTTTCATTTACATGTATTTATTTAATTACTAAGGAGAGAAAGGAAGAGAACTAACATTTATTTGGCATCTGGCATTTTCTGGGCACTGGCTCAATGATTTCACATTTTTCTTACTCTATACAACATCATGATGTGGTAATTATTATCCCCATTTTATATACAAGGAAACAGGTTCAGAAACACTAAAGGGTTTGCTCAAGTTTGCATATCTAATAAAGATTATGAGCAGGATTTCCACTCCCACTTTGGATCTGAAGCTTATAATATTCGTTCCCTATAGGTAAAAGAGATTCATGGCAAGAAGGTGGCTACTGATGCATAGAAGCCAGAGAAAACATTAACCCATAAATTGGTTCATTTAAATAACTATGTATTAAAAATTGTGAAAAGAAATACTAGTTGATAAAATGAGACTGAATCACAAAGAAGATATGAAATATCCAAACAAACAGAAGACACATAATATGTAGGATGGAAATGTACATAAAATATATCAGGGTAGTTATGTCAAAAAATAAGCAGCAGGAGCTTTATATTATTATACAGCTTAATTCTTAGTATTGGGGGATTACATTTATTTTTGTTTGCTTGTTTTTTCATTCACATGCCTTGAACGTTAAATTGGATAGTAGTTGAAACATGGAAATATGTAAAGTGGTCACATATAGACTAATTATTTCAGTTATTCTAATGATTAGACATGGATCTTTTAGCACAATCTATTTTGAGACGGTCCTATAATTGGTTTATGGAGTCACATGGATATTCAAGAGTACTACTTTAAAAACATTATAGAAAATGTTCACTTCCCAGAAGATGGAGTTCTGAATGCATTTTTAAAAAATATCTCTTACTATGTACAGTTAAAAACCCTACACATTATATGTAAACAAACGTAAGAAGATCCTCAAAGGTAGAGAGAAGAAGGCGACCAATTAAGGACCCTGGGACCCAAGAAACAACACAGTAGTAAGTCCCTAAGTTTTGTTTTTGGCTCGTATATCATTGACTTAGAGCTGAAAAAAAAAAAAAAACTGGTAAGCCAAAAATGCCAATGGGCATAGACAAAAAATACATATATATATATATATATATTTTTCCAATATATATATGGAGATTGGATATATTATATATATCCAATCAAAATCCTTCTTTGTCTAGCCCAAGGACTGTGAAAGAAATAGTCTAGAAAGATATAAAACTTTAAACAATAATGGTTTTACTCCAGACAAACACATAGAAAAAAAAAAAAAACTGTGGCCCGACCCTACTCACAGTAGCAAAGGTTGAGTGGGGAGCCTAGACTTCCATTTTCAACTGGCTTGATGAGGCAGCCCAAAGCCTTCCTCCCTGAAGGTGGTATCAGAAAGACTAAGTAGAAAGCTAGCACTTTCATCCCTACCCAGCAGTAATGAGGAGACCCTACTCCTCACTGCTGGAGTGGTGCCAGAGGAAGCCTCACACAGTCAGGACTTCCATCAACACCCATAAATAACAAGCACTTTTTCTCTCCACCCTACCCACCTAGAGTCAGATGTTAGTGGAGGCTGTGCAGTGAGCAGTAATGAGGAGTATTCCCACACATGTCAGCTGTCACTGAAGATTCAGTAAGGAGCCTGGACTTGTACGTAACTGCCTCCCACATCTTGCAGTATTGAGGCAGAGTGCCTTTTCTTCCCCTGGTGAAGTATTGTCAGAAAAAGCCAATGAAAAGAAGTTTAAATAAGACTCGAAATCTTATAACATAATACCCCAAATATTTAGCTTTTAATCAAAAATCATTTGTCATAACAAAAAGAGTATACTGAGTGGGAAAGGAAGTGAATACTGAGAAAATAGAGATGTTAGAATTCTCTGAAGAAGATTTTAAGACAACAATAAAGGAAATATTTCAACAAACATTATAAACAAGCTTGAAATAAATTTTGAAAAGAGGAAGTTTCAGCAAAGTGATAGAATACAGATACTCCTCTACTCATAGTGGGATTACATTCCTAATAGCCCATTGCAAGTCAAAAATATCATAAGTCAAAAATGCATTTAGCATCCACAGTGAACTCATCCGAAAGTTGAAATATCCTAAGTCATCCTAAGTCAAGAACTTATATTAAAATGGAAATATATAACTGAAAAATAAAATAACAAAAGAAACAATAGATGGGTTCAAAAACAGAATAGAGAGAAAAAGAAAAGAATCAGTGAACTCAAAGATAGAAAGATACAAATTACACTTTTGGAAAAACAGAAAATGGACCAAAAAAGGAAGAAGAAATGAAGAAACCCTCACAGACCAATGTATACATAATAAATGTATCTAGCATTTGTGTCATCAGTGTTCCAGAAAAAGAGGAGAAAGAGAATGGGGTGAAAAAAAGTGTTCAAAGAAATTATGACTGAAAACCTCCCAAAGTTGGCAACAAAATAAAAATCCACAGATTCAAGAAGCTAAGCAAACCCCAAACAGTATAACCCAAAGAAATGCAAAGCAACGTACATAATAGTGAAATTCCTGAAAACTGAAGACAAAGAAAAAATTCTTGAAAGCAGCTAGGGTGAAATGACACCATTCTTTCTTTTTTTTTTTTTTTTATACTTTAAGTTTTAGGGTACATGTGCACAATGTGCAGGTTAGTTACATATGTATACATGTGCCATGCTGGTGTGCTGCACCCATTAACTTGTCATTTAGCATGAGTTATATCTCCTAATGCTATCCCTCCCCCCTCCCCCAACCCCACAACAGTACCCAGAGTGTGATGTTCCCCTTCCTGTGTCCATGTGTTCTCATTGTTCAATTCCCACCTATGAGTGAGAACATGCGGTGTTTGGTTTTTTGTCCTTGCGATAGTTTACTGAGAATGATGATTTCCAATTTCATCCATGTCCCTACAAAGGACATGAACTCATCATTTTTTATGGCTGCATAGTATTCCATGGTGTATATGTGCCACATTTTCTTAATCCAGTCTATCATTGTTGGACATTTAGGTTGGTTCCAAGTCCTTGCTATTGTGAATAATACCGCAATAAACATACATGTGCATGTGTCTTTATAGCAACATGATTTATAGTCCTTTGGGTATATAGCCAGTAATGGGATGGCTGGGTCAAATGGTATTTCTAGTTCTAGATCCCTGAGGAATCACCACCCTGACTTCCACAATGGTTGAACTAGTTTACAGTCCCACCAACAGTGTAAAAGTGTTCCTATTTCTCCACATCCTCTCCAGCACCTGTTGTTTCCTGACTTTTTAATGATTGCCATTCTAACTGGTGTGAGATGGTATCTCATTGTGGTTTTGATTTGCATTTCTCTGATGGCCAGTGATGATGAGCATTTCTTCATGTGTCTGTTGGCTGCATAAATGTCTTCTTTTGAGAAGTGTCTGTTCATATCCTTTGCCCACTTTTTGATGGGGTTGTTTGTTTTTTTCTTGTAAATTTGTTTGAGTTCATTGTAGATTCTGGATATTAGCCCTTTGTCAGATGAGTAGGTTGCGAAAATTTTCTACCATTTTGTAGGCTGCCTGTTCACTTTGATGCTAGTTTCTTTTGCTGTGCAGAAGCTCTTTAGTTTAATTAGATCCCATTTGTCAATTTTGGCTTTTGTTGCCATTGCTTTTGGTGTTTTAGACATGAAGTCCTTGCCCATGCCTATGTCCTGAATGGTAATGCCTAGGTTTTCTTCTAGGGTTTTTATGGTTTTAGGTCTAACGTTTAAATCTTTAATCCATCTTGAATTAATTTTTGTATAAGGTGTAAGGAAGGGATCCAGTTTCAGTTTTCTACATATGGCTAGCCAGTTTTCCCAGCACCATTTATTAAATGGGGAATCCTTTCCCCATTGCTTGTTTTTCTCAGGTTTGTCAAAGATCAGATAGTTGTAGATATGCAGTGTTATTTCTGAGGGTTCTGTTCTGTCCCATTGATCTATATCTCTGTTTTGGTACCAGTACCATGCTGTTGTGGTTACTGTAGCACCATTCTTACAGAGAAAAAACAATTCAAGTGATGGGAGATTTCTCATCAGAAACCACAGAGACCAGAGCCGTTCCCCAGTTGCTCTCCTCTGGCCTCCCTATTCCCTGAGACACAGCAGTATTGAAATTAGATCAATTAATAATTCTACAGTAGTCTCTACGTGTTGAAGTGAAAGAAAAAGTCACACATCGCTCACTTTATATCAAAAGGTAGAAATGATTAAGCTTAGTGAGGAAGGTATGTCGAAAGCCAAAATAGGCCAAAAATGATCCCTTTTGTGCCAAACAGATTGCGGATGCCAAGAAAAAAGTTCACTAAGCAATTAAAAGTGCTACTCCAGTGAACATACAAATGATAAGAAAGACTTACTGCTGATACAGAGAAAGTTTTAATGGTCTAGATAGAAAATCAAACCAGCCACAATATCCCTTAAGTCAAAGCTGAGTCCAGAGCAAGGCTCTAACTCTCCTCAACTCTATGAAGGCTGAGAGAGGTGAGGAAGCTGCAGAAGAAAATCTGGAAGCTAGCAGAGGTCAGTTCATGAAGTTTGAGGGAATTGTCTGCATAACATAAAAGTGCAAGGTGAAGCAGCAGGTACTGATGGAGAAGCTGCAGCAAGTTATGCAGAAGACCTAGCTAAGATAACTGACGAAGGTGGCTACATTAAACAAGGATCTATATGCTGAAAATTACAAAATGCTGCAGAAAGAAAGAAAATTTTAAAAAATGAATAGAAACATTATGTGCAAATAGTTAAGATGTCAATCCCCACCAAATTTCTATACTGATTTAAAGTACTTACTGTCAAAATTTTTGTACATATAGAAAAGATTATTCAAAATTTATATGAGGAGCAAAGGAAGAAAAATAGCTAAAACAATATTGAAAAAAGAATAGAGTGGGAGAAATCAGTATACCCAATTCAAGACTTGTTGGTTAGCTATAATAATCAGTACCATATAGTATTTACGGAGTGATCTATTAGTGCAACAAAAGGGAGAACTCAGAAATAGGCCACAAATAAGGCTAGCCGATTTTTGACAAAGGAGCAAAAGAAATTCAATGGAGGAAACAGAGAATTTTCAACAAATTGTTCTCAAGTACTCCACATCAAACGCCATCCCCCACCAAAAAAGTGAAACTAAACCCGTCTCAAACCTAAACAAAAATTAACTCAAAATGAACTACAGACATACATACAGAACATAAAATTCATAAACTTTTAGAAAAAAAAATGGAAGAAAATATTTGGGATTCAGGGATAGGCAAAGAATTCTTAGACATGACACCAAAAGTCTTATCTATAAAAGAAAAAAATGATAAATTAGAATTCAAAAAAATGAAAAATTCTGTCCTGTGAAAAATTCTGCTAAGAGAAAGAAAAGAAAAAATACAGATTGAGAGAGAATATTTGCAAACCACATATCTGGCAAAAGAATAGGACTGAAAATATATAATGAACTCTCCAAAATCAACAGTAAAAACACAATCCAGTTAGAATATAGGCAAAATAAATTTAAAATATTTTCACCAAAGGATATACAGATGGCAACTAAGTACATGAAAATGTTTAACATCATTAGTCAATAGTAATATAATAATGAAAAGCCTAATGAGATACTGCTACATACCTACCACATGGCTAAAATAAAAAATACTGACAGTGACAAATGCTGACATAAATGCAGAGCAGCTTGGTCAATCATGCATTGTCATTGGAAATATAAAATGATACAGTCACTTTGGAAAACAGTTTGGCAATTACATAAGAAAAAAATAAGCTTGTCATTACCATACCATACAACAATTGCACCCCCTAAGTGTTTATTCCAGAGGAATGAAAACTAATGTTGGCACAAAAAGCCTGTACATGAATTTTTATAGCAACTTTATTATAATAGCTGAAAACTAGAAAAAAACTCGGATTCCTTCAGTGGGTGAATGGTTAAACAAACCATGGTACACCCATACCAGGAAAAATTACTCAGCAATAAAAAGTAATGGACTATCAATACAAAGAACCACCTGACAAACCTCCAGAAAATCATGCTAAGTAAAAAAATATATATAGCAGAAGGTTACATACTACATAATTTCATTAATAAAACACTTTTTGACATGACAAAGTTATACAAATAAATAACAAATTCATGTTTGCAAGGGGATAAGAAGGTGGTGATGGTGAGAGTAAAGTGGGTTTGGTGATACAAGGAGAACATGAAAGATCCTTGTGATGGAAATGCTTTGTGTGTTGACTGTACTGATAGCAATATCTTGGTTGTGATATTATACTATAGTGTTACAAGATGTTATCGTTGGGGGAAACTGAGTAAAGAGTACATGGAATCTCTGTATATTTTTTACAACTGCATGTGAATATACATTTATCTCAAAATAAAAGTTTCAAAATAAAATACAAACTTATGAAATATTTTCTTTCTTAGATCTGTTTTAAACATGAAAGCAGATGGCTGGTTCATGCTTTCAAAAGCCGATGTATAATTTGGACTTAGACAAGTGAGATTCTTAAAGAAAAGTGAAAAAGCACTTAAGGAGCCAAATCTGTTACAAGTTAGTTGCACTGTGTATTGTTTTCCCTCATGGGAAACTAGGTTTAGGGACTTCCATTTTACTTAACTGTTTTTTCAATAAGATTGCTTAAAATTTCTTAATTAAATAGTTATTTATTTAGCACATATTATACAACAGGAACTATCCTAGGTATAGAAAAATCGATGTGCAAAAATGACATGCCCAATAGAATGTGACAAGAATATATAATATTCAGAACCATGAGCCAAACAAACCTCTTCGTTATGAATTATCTAGCTTCAAGTATTCCTTAACAGCAACACAGACTGACACTTAGCAAGACTTCATGTGAATTTCCATGTGTTAAAAGTTCTATCTGCACTGAAAATATAGTTCAAGCTAATGACTTTCAAAATGAAAAAAAAAAATTAAACTTAATTTCTATACAATGCATAGGCAGTTTTAGGTTAAGTTTTTTGGAAAATCAAATTTTGTAGATTTTTGTATTTTTAAAAAAAGAATTTAGTAAATATCACAATGGAGTTTGCCTGCTCCTTTTCATTCAGCAAACAGCAGCATCTACAGTCACTAAGAGGAGCATACTTCTAAGGAAAATTACTAAATATTTTTTCCATGTTGTCAGTATTAATTCCTTTAAATGAAATCTCCATCTTATTAAATTTGTTTGTTCTTTAAAAGGTTTTGAAGTGAAAATAACTAAAGATTTGCTGAAAAATAAAATAGTATTCAGTTCCATAAGCCAGTAATGTCCATAAAATAATAAGGCAAATAGGAAACACCATAGCTATTTCATGGATAACTGGGATTTATGTAACTCATATAATTTTTGCTTGCCTTCTATTCCCTAGTCACACAATAATTTGTCCTTGAATTGCAGAATATCATATTTTTATAGAATTTGTTTGGATGACTAGAATCTAAAGCCCAGCAAAACATAAATCTCTCATTTACTATTTTGATGACAAAATTATATTCTTACCTTGTCTAGCTCTTCAAGTGCTCCCTATAATTTCCTGGATAACTCTTGTTGTTATAAAACTTAACATCGATTTTCTGTGGGTATCATTGTTTGGATGACATAATCACAAAATATTTTATAAGGAGAGCACATACTATTTTATAATATTTTAGTTGTCCTTTAAGCTTCACTATTGAATGTTTTTCTGAAACTGAAAGGTAGCAGTAACTTAGCATAATTAATTTCTACTGTGAGCAACAGAGATTTAAACATCTGTTCCTTTATTATTGAACTCTGCCTAAAAACCAATGTAAGATTTGGATTAAAGCTGTCAAGGACAAATTACACTTATGAAACAGAAAAAAAAAAGTGCCTTTTAAAAAAAGACCATTTATTTTTAGAAATCTCAACACCTTTGCCATTTATATCACCTGGTCAGTAACATGTCTTTATGGGACAAGGATTTCTGATCATGCCAAGTTATTTGCCAATTTGTTCAAACAGTGCATAAAAAGATGAATTAGAATAAATAATACAGAGAGAATTTTCTTTGCATACAAATAGTTTATTTCTCCTTTTTTACGTCATGGGATCCATTATGGAAAATTAAGTAAGCCACGATCACATAGTACATGCTAGTTTAAATATCAATTTCAAATCCACTACATCTAATCTTTTATAATAAGTATTTTTGATTGCTCCAATCATTGTCCCATGCTTCTGAAGGGAAAATAAGGATCAAAAGGGGCTTTTTAAAATTGATACATAATATTTGTACATGTCGATAGGATATATGTAATATTTTGTTACATGCATAGAATATGTAATAATCAAGTCAGAGTATTTAGAATATCCCTCGACTAAAGCATTTATCATTTCTGTGTTCAAGACCTCTCTTCTAGCTGTTTTGAAATATACAATTCATTGTTGTTAACTATAGTCACCCTACTCTGTTATTGAACATTAGATCTTATTTCTTCTATCTGTATGTTTATACCCATTAACCAATCACTCTTCATTACCCTCCGTCTACACACATACTCTTCTCAGCCTTTGGTAACTATCATCCAACACTATCTCCATGAGATTAACTTTTTAAGCTCCCATACACGGATAAGAACATGTGAATACGAATAAGAACATTGTCTTTCTGTGCCTGGCTTATTTCACTTCACCGAATGACCTTCAGACTAGGTATGGTGGCTCATGCTTGTAATCCCAGTGCTTTGGGAGGCTGAGGTGGGATGATCATGTGAGGCCAGGGGTTCAAGATAAGCCAGGTCAACATACAGAGACCCTGTCTCTCAAAAAAAAAATTAAAAAATATTAGCCATGTGTGATGGCATGCATCTTTAGTCCTAGCTACTCAGGAGGTTGGAGTGGGAGGGTTGCTTGAGGCCAGGAGTTCAAGGCTACAGTGAGCTGATTGTGCTACTGCACTCCCACTTGGGCAACAGTGTAAGAACCTGTCTCCAAGTAAAAACCCATAAAGGCCTCCAATTCCATCATGTTGCTGAAATAATAAGGTTTCATTAGTATGGCCAAATAGTATTCCATTGTGTATATATACCACTTTTTCTTTATTCATTCATTTGTTGGCAGCTACCTAGGTTGATCCCACATCTTTACCATTTTAAATAGCGTTGCAGTAAACATGTGTGGGTATCCCTTTGATATACTTCATTTCTTTCTTTGGATAAACATCCGGTAGTGGGATTGCTGGATCATAGAGTATTTTTATTTTTAGTTTTTTGAGAAACTGTCATGCTGTTTTTCATAGTGGCTATACTAACTTACATTTCAACCAACAGTGTATAAGAATTCCTTCTTTAATACATGTTTACCAGTATGTGTTGTTTTAGTTTCTTTGATAAGAGGCATTCTAACTGGGGTGGGATGATATCTCATTGTGGTTTTGATTTGCATTTCCCTGACTTTGATGCATTTTTTTCATATACTTATTGGACACCTGTATATCTTCTTTTGAGAAATGTCTATTCAGATCTTCATATTTTTGCCCACGTTTTAAAGAGATTTATTTTCCATTGAGATGTTTGATTGACTTACTTGTATATTCTGGATATTAGCACCTTGTTAAATGAATAGTTTGCAAATATTTTCTTTCATTCTACAGGTTATTTCATCTCTCTATTGATGGTTTCCTTTGCTATGGAGAAACCTTTTTATTTAACTTAACCCCATTTGTCTATTTTTGTTTTTGTTGCCTATACTTCTGAGGTCTTGCACATAAAGTCTTTGCCTAAACCAAGGTCCTGAAGTATTTTCCTTGTGTTTTCTACTAGTAGTTTTATAGCTTTGGGCCTTAAATTTAAGTCTTTAATTCATTTTGATTTGATTTGTGTACGTTGTAATTGACATATGTCTACTTCCATTTTGTTAAATATGGATATCCAGTTTTCCCAGAATCATTTATTGAAGAGGTTCTTGTATTAGTCTGTTTTCACACTGCTATTAAAAACTTCCCATCCTGGCCAACATGGCGAAAGCTCGTCTCTAATAAAAATACAAAAATTAGCTGGGCGTGGTGGTGCACGCCTGTAATCCCAGCTACTCAGGAGGCTGAGGCAGGAGAATCGTTTGAACCTGAGAGGCAGAGGTTGCAGTGAGCCGAGATTGCACAGTTGCACTCCGGCCTGGACAACAAGAGTGAAACTCTGCCTTAAATAAATAAATAAATAAATAAATAAATAAATAAACTTCCCTGAGACTGGGCAATTTATGTAGAAAGAGGTGTAATTTACTCACATACTCACAATTTGGCATGAGTAGGGAGGCCTTAGTAAATTTACAGTCATGGTGGAAAGGGAAGCAGGCATGTCTTACATAGCAGTAGGTGAGAAAGAACAAGAGAGAGAGAACCATGAAGGGGGAAGAGTCTCATAAAACTAACAGATCTCGTGAGAACTCACTCACTTTCACGAGAACAGCATGGGGGAAGCCACCCCCATGATCCAATCACCTTTTTCCCTCTACACGTCAGAATTACAGTGCCTCCCTCGAAGCGTGGGAATTACAATTCCAGATGAGATTTGAGTGAGAACACAGAGCCAAACCATATCAGTTGTCTTTTCCCCAGTGTGTGCTCTTGGTGCCTCTGTCAATAAATTGGTTGTAAATACATGAATTTATGTTAAGTTCTCTATTCTGTTCCATTGGTCTATGTGTTTGTTTTTATACCAATACTATGCGGTTTGGGTTACTACAGCCTATTGCTCAGGATTGCTTTAGCTATTTGGCATCTTTAGTGGTTCCATAGAAATTTTAGGCTTTTTATCTATTTCTCTGAAAATTGCCTTTGGTATTTTGATAGGGATTGCATTGAATCTGTAGATTCTTTTAAGTAGTTCAGTCATTTTTAACTACAATAATTCTTCTAATCCCTTATCATTGGATGTCTTTCCATCTATTTGTGTCCTCTTCAATTTCTTTCATCAGTGTTTCATAGTTTTTCTTGTAGGGATCTCTTACCTCTTTGGTAAATTTATTCCTATATAGTCCTTTTTTTGTAGCTATTGTAAATAGGATTGCCTTCTTGATTTCTTTTTCAGCTAGTTCATTATTGGTGTCTAGAAATGCTAATGATTTTGTATGCTGATTATTAAATTTGTTTACCAGATCTAAAGGTTTTTAGTGAAGTCTTTAGTTTTTCTATATATAAAACATGTCATATGCAAACAAGGACAATTTGATTTCCTCTTTTCCAATTTGGATGCCTTTTATTTTTTTCTCTCACATGATTGCTCCTGTTAGGACTTCCAGTACTATGTTAAATAGGAGTAGTGAAAGTGGGCATCCTTGTCTTGTACCAGTTCTTAGAGAAAAAGGCTTTCTGATTTCCCCATTTCGTATAATGTTAATTGTGGGTTTGCAATATATGACCTTTATTATGTTGAGAGATGTTACTTCTATGCATAGTTCGTTAAGAGTTTTTACCATGAAGGGATATAAAGTTTTATAAAAAGCATTTTCTGCATCTATTGAGATAATCATAGGGTTTTTATCCCTCATTCTCCTTGGTGTGATATATCACATTTATTGATTTGCCTATGTTGAACTATTCTTGCATTCGGGGTATAAATCCCACTTGATCACAGTGTATTATCTGTTTGAAGTGCTATTGGATTCAGTTTGCTAGTATTTTATTGAGAATATTTGTGTCTATGTTCATCAGAGATATTGGCATATAGTTTTCTTTTTTGTTGGTGTCTTTGTCTGGTTTTGGTGTAAGGATACTGTTGGTCTTGTAGAATGAGTTAGGGAGAATTCCCACCTTTTCAATTTTTGTTTTGAAATTAATTAAAGATAATTAGTGTTTAGTTCTTCTTTATCAGTTTGGTAGAACTAAGCAGTGAAGCCATCAGGTTCTGGGCTTTTCTTTGTTGGGAGACTCTTATTACTGATCAATTTTTTTTTTTTTTTTTTTTTTGAGATGGAGCCTTGCACTGTTGCCCAGACTGGAGTGCAAAGGCGCGATCTCGGCTCACTGCCACTTCAGTGTCCCAGGTTCACACGATTCTCCTGCTTCAGCCTCCCAAGTAGCTGGGTTTACAGGCACACACAACCACACCCAGCTAATTTTTGTATTTTTAGTAGAGATGGGGTTTCACTATGTTGGCCAGACTGGTCTCGAACTCCTGACCTCTTGATTTGCCTGCCTCAGCCTCCCAAAGTGCTGGGATTACAGGCGTGAGCAACCATGCCCAGCCTTTTTGTGCTATTTTTATGTGTTGCTCAGTGGTTTTGTTTTGAGGGAGGGCCTTGCTCTGTTCCCCAGCCTGGAAGGTGACATAATCATAGTTCATTGCAACCTCAAAATCTTGGGCTCAGGCAATCCTTTTGCTTCAGCCTCCTAAGTAATAAAGACTACAGGCACATGCCACCATGTCTGCCTATTTTTTTTTTTAACTTGTTTTAGAGACAGTGTCTCACTAGGCTGCCCAGGCTGGTCTTGAACTTCTGGTCTCAAGCAATCCTCCTGCCTCGGCCTCCCAAATTGCTGAGATTACAGGCATGAGCCTCTACACCCAGCTTGGTGTTCTAGTTCCTCCTGACGCAATCTTGGCAGGTTCTATTTGTCCAGAAATTTGTCTGTTCTTTAAGTTTTCCAGTTTGTTAGCAAATAGTTTTTCATAATTCTGTGATGATCCTTGGTACTTCTGTGGTACCAGTTGTAATGTATCCTTTTTCTTTCTGATTTTGTTTATTTGGCTCCTCTCTCTTTTTTTATTGGTTACTCTAGCTAGTAGTTTACGGATTTTGTTTATATTTTCAAAAAATAGCTTTTTGTTTTGTTGATTCCTTGTATTATTTTAGTGTGTATTTTATTTAGTTCTGCTATAATCTTATTTCTTTTCTTCTACCAATCTGGGGTTTGGTTTGTTCTCGCTTTTTTAGTTCCTTGAGGTGCATCTTTAGATTGTTTAGTCAAAATCTTTCTACTTTTTTGATGTAGGTATTTATTGTTATAAACTTTCCTCTCATTACTGTTTGTGCTATATTTCATAGGTGTTGCAATTCTATATATATTTTTTCAAGAATTTTTAATTTTTTAAAATTTCTTCCTTGACCCAATGGTCGTTCATTAGCACATTGTTTAATTTCCATGTATTTATACAGCTTCCAAAATTCCTGTTGTTTATTTCTAGTTTTATTTTATTGTGGTCTGAGGATATATTGATATGGTTTTGATTTTTAAAATTTGCTGAGAGTTGTTTTGTGTCTTAACATATGGTCTCTCCTGGAGAATGTTCCATGTGCTTATGAAAAGAATGTGTATTCTGCAGCTGTTTGTGTGTGAGTGTGTGTGTGTGTATGTGTGTGTCTGACTGGGTTATTTCAAAAGACCTCTCTTCTAGTTCTGAATTTCTTTCTTCTACTTAATCCAGTCTATTTATAACCTCTTAATTGAATGTTTTAATTTCACTCATTGAATTCTTCAGCTCCAGGATTTCTGTGTGGTTCTTTTGTGTATCTCTTTGGTGAATTTTTCATTCATATCCTGAATCGTTTTTCTGTTTTCTTTGTATTATATATCTGTGTTCATCACAGTCCACACCAACAGCTATGGCCTAAGGCACTAGTGAAATTACAAACACTACTGATGCTGTTTACAGCCAAAGAAATCATACAGAGACTACACTATTACACACACTCAGATGCACTACTCATTCCCCGGGGTGCAGGACACCGTGTGTACTAGAGTGCTGCGTAGCCTGCCACTCCACTTGGTCCAACCAGCATTGTGCCACTGAAGCCCTCTGGGTGGACATAAAGAGATGTCAGTAGAGCTCTAGGAATGATGCAGTCACTGTTGGGCCCCAGGGCAGCTGCAGTTTGTTTGAGGCTGGGCTCTCAAAACGGCACCATGCTGCAGCCACTTGGGGGTCAGGGGATGTGTGGGACCTAATGTGAGCTCTCTGTCTGGAGCAATATTGTCATATGAACTCATAGCCACACCCTATACCAGCCTCAGGGCTCACAAGGGTCCAGGGCCTCTCTCATGACTAGAATTGCAGGAGTCCACCATGGGAGTGTGGACCACTGGGGATTTCTCACTTAGTCTTTCCCCACACTGGGAAGTTTCTCTTGGCTCTCAGCCAATCCTGGCCCAGACCATCCTCACATCCCTTTGCTTCTGTGCCTGTAGGGTTTCCCATCACTTTTCTGCTGAAGTCCAGTGTTCTCCCTTGGATGCTCTATGTGAAGTATGATTATCTACTTACTATTTTGTGGAGGAAGCAAGTGGCAAATGTCTCTCTAGTCAGCCATCTTGATGTCCCCATGAGGATCAGAAGTTTTAATGTGACTTGCATCATAGAGCTTTATGAAATTCTTATTTAACCTGCATCAGATAGGATGGTCTATGATGGTTTCACACACATGAAAAGAATTTACTGTTTTTTTTTAATTTATTTGTTTTCTGTGATCAATGCTGATGAGAACATTTTGTACTGCAGAATCCCCCCAACATTTTTATTTATTCATTTTCAGTATTGTTTAGCATGGCATTGATTATGAACAAAATATTTAAATAGACACAGACAGAAGCAAAAATTATAAAACACAAATTCTTGCCTTGATTTATGACTTCATAATAATAACTAATAAAAACAATGACTGCACCAGTTATTGAGCACTGTCTAAAAGCCAGATGCAGATGCATATGTATGTGTGTGTGTGTGTGTGTGTGTCTGTCTGTCTGTCTGTTACTTCATTCAATCATTACCATGAGAAAATACTGTGAGAAATGTACTGTTATTATCTCAATTTTTCCCATGACAGAAACTGAAGGACAAGGAAGTTAAGTAACTTACAAAAGTACAAATATTTAGTAAAACTTTATAAAGTTTAGCAATCAGTAGGTGTACATTCCAAAGTTGTAATTAGCAAGGTTTTTTTTTTTTCCTTTTTCTTAAAACCAAGATATAGGTCCTAGTGCCTTCTTGTACAGCCCTGTGACTATCTACTGTTAAAGATTTGCCTGGGAATTTAAATAGAAGTGCTAACTCATAGCATTTTTTGTTTTCCCCACATCTTTTCTCCATTAGTATTTCTCTCTAAGTAGAAACTTGCCTATTCAAACAGTATATTCATCCCTGGATTTCTGATGTTCTTATAGACTTCTAGTGCCAAAGACTTTGATTCAATTTTCTTAGATAAGGGATAAACATTATCAATACTATACAAACCCTTCCAGAGAACAGGAAAAAAAATGGAAAGAATTCTTAACATACTTAGAAACCTGACAGTATTATTAGAGAAAAAAACTATAAACCAATAACTCATAAACATAGTTTCAAAAATTATTCCAAAATATTAGCAAATTGAATCCAGTGGCATACCACAAAGATAACATATTTTAACTAAGTAGAACTTATTACAGGTATAAAATGTCTTAACATTTTAAAATAAATTAATGTATTTTACCAATTTAACAAAAATATGAAAAAAATAATAGGATTATCCTATTCAATACAAAAGAGACAAAATTCAATACCCATTTATGGTTTTTAAAAATCACTTTAGGAAACTGGAATAGAAGAAATTTTTTCTTAATGTGATAACAATATCTACAAAAAAAACCCCAACAGCAAACATCATAATCAACAGTAAAACGTTGACTGAGTATGTTAGCAGAAAGGGGTTTCAATCCAGACCCCAACAGAGGGTTCTTGGACCTCACACAAGAAAGAATTCAGGGAGAGTCCATAGAGTAAAGTGAAAACAAGTGTATTAAGAAAGTAAAGAAATAAAGGATGACTACTCCATAGGCATGGGCTGCTCAACTGAATATACTTACAGTTATTTCTTGATTATATGCTGCTCACATGGTGGATTACTCATGAGTTTTTCAGGAAAGGGATGGGCAATTCCTGGAAATGAGGTTTCCTCCCCATTTTAGAGCATGTAGCATAACTTCTCAACGTCGCCACGGCATTTGTAAATTGTCATGGCACTGGTGAGAGTGTATCTTAGCATGTTAATGCATTATAAGTAGCATACAATGAGCAGTGAGGAGGACCAGCGGTCACCACTTTTCTCACCATCTTGGTTTTGGTCAGTTTTGGCTGGCTTCTTTATGACATCCTGTTTTATCAGCAAGATCTTTGTGACCTGTATCTTGTGTGAACCTCCTATCTCATCCTGTCACATAACCTCCTGAGAATGCAGCCCAGTAGGTCTCAGCCTTATTTTACCCAACCCCTATCCAAGATGGAATCACTCTGGTTCAAACACCTCTGACAAATACTTTCTTCTTCTTCTTTTTTTAAAAATTATATTTTAAGTTCTGGGATACATGTACAGAACATGCAGGTTTGTTACATAGGTATACACATGCCATGGTGGTTTGCTGCACCCATCAACCCATCATCTACATTAGGTATTTCTCCTAATGCTATCCTTTTCCTAGCCCCCACCCCCTGACAGGCCCCGGTGTGTGATGTTCCCCTCCCTGTGTCCATGTGTTCTCATTGTTCAGCTCCCACTTATGAGTGAGAATATGCAGTGTTTGGTTTTCTGTTCCTGTGTTAGTTTGCTGAGAATGATGGTTTCCAACTTTATCTGTGTCCCTGCAAAGGACATGAACTCATCCTTCTTTATGGCTGCATAGTATTTCATGGTGTATATGTGCCACATTTTCTTTAACCAGTCCATCATTGATGGGCATTTGGGTTAGTCCCAAGTCTTTGCTATTGTGAATAGTGCTAAAGACACATGACAAATACTTTCTCTGGAGATCAGGAACAAGAAGAGAATGTCTGTCATCACCACTTCTATTCAAAACTGTACTAAAGGAACTTGTCAGTTCAATGGGACAAAAGAAGGAAGTCTTTAGAATTGTTTTCAGAAAGTTTGATTTAAAAATTTTTTTAGTACCCAGAAAAACTTGAAATATGTGTCAATTTAGCAAGGAAGTTTTATATAAAGACTATATATTGTAATTTTATAACCTAGCAACAGAGAAGTTTATTTCAAAAAACACCATTTCAGTATTTTTAAAAACAAATACCCAATAATAAAGTTATTTAAAATGAGCAACTAAACACAAGAGTAAGATAAAAAAAAAACAAAAAGAAATTGAGATATACCATGTTCATAATTTGTAAAATTCTATAATATAAATATATAGATATTTTCAAATTAATCTGTAAAATCAATGCATCCCAATTTTTTAAATTTCCATCAGGATTTTTTGCAGAAATTTGGTAGACAATTTAAAAATGTATATGAATATGCAGGATCAAGAAGAGCTGAAAAATCATTTGGGGAAGAAAAGCTTCATTGTTGAAACTATCTATACCAAAATCGATTATAAAGCTACAGTAATTAAGACTGTGATATTTTTGTATGAATAGAGAAACTGGTTAAGGAATAGAACAAAGAGTGTAGAAATGCAATAGGAAAATCAAATGCAAAGGAGGAAAATGTGGCCTTTTAAATAACTGGTACTGGATCAATTGGATAGCTACCTGGAAAATGGTGTGTCTTCATCTCACATTACACCTTGCCCCCTCTGCACCCTGGCAAAAAGTAAAGCTTTCATTAAAAAGAAAAGAATACCTAGGAGGACATCTTTATGAACTTAAAGTAGGCAACTATTTCTTTAACAGAATATGAAATGTGCTGATTATAAAAGAAAAAAATGATCAACTAAACTATATAGTAATTAAGAACTTCTTTTAAACTGAGACCATCAAGAGAGTAGAGAGGCAAGGCACAACATGTGAAAAAATATTTGTCTATGCAAAAAGCTGTTTATCCAGAATATTTATTTATTTATTTATTTATTTATTTATTTTTGAGACAGAGTCTCACTCTGTTGCCAGACTGGAGTTCAGTGGTGCAATCACAGCTCACTGCAACCTCCACCTCCTGGGTTCAAGCAGAATATTTATTTTAAAAATACACACAAGGTACAAATGAGAAGTGAAAAATACGTGTACAGACATTCCATAGAAGAGAATATTCAAATAGCCCATAAATACAGGAAAACATGCTCAACTTCAACAGTCATCAGGCAAATTTAAACTTCAGCAACCACCACATGCATGACAAGATGGCCAAAATGAAAAGGACAGAAAGTTTCAAAATTCTATGGAAAAATTTGGAGCAACCACAATTCTCATATAATACCCATGGGACTGTACATTGTACATTGGTACAATATCTTCAGGGAAACTTCTGGCAGCATCTACTAAAGCTGAACATAGGAATAAGCTATGACTCAACAATTCTACTTGTTGGTATATAACCAAAAGTACAAATTAAATTAGCCCAGAACTCGAAACTACTCAAATATTCAACAGTAGTACAACAGATAAAACAAACTGTTGGATATTCACACATTGGAATACCTGAAAGCAATGAGAGTGTATGATCTCCAACTACACGCAACAGTAGAAAAGAATCTCACCACCATAATACTGAGATAAAGAGGCCAGGCACAAAAAAGCACATACTGCATGGTTTTGTTTATATAAAACATAGAAATAAGCAATCCTAATCTGTGATGTTAGAAGCTAAGTGATTATGCTTAAGGTAGGCAGGAGTGAATTGCAATGACTGAAAGGGCATGGATGGTGGGGAAAGAGGTGGCTTTGGAATGACAATGATATTAATTTTTTTAAATCTGGGCCCTGGTTACACAGGTGTGATGAGTTTGTGATAATTCTACCAGCCATATAGAGTGTACTAGTCAGAGTTCTCTAGAGGGGCAGTACTAATAAGATAGGTATATATATGTAAAACGGAGTTTCTTAAGGAGTATTGACTCACATGATCACAAAGTAAAGTCCCACAATAGAATATCTACAAGCTGAGGAGCAAGGAAGTCAGTACGAGTCCCCAAACCTCAAACGTAGGGAAGCTGACAGTGCAGCCTCCAGTCTGTGGCCGAAGGCCTGAGAGCCCCTGGCAAACCACTGGTGTAGGTCCAAGAGTCCAAAAGCTGAAGAAGTTGGAGTCCGATGTTTGAGAGCAGGAAGCATCCAGCACAGGAGAAAGATGGCGGCTAGAAGACTCAGGCCAGTCTAGTCCTTCCACATTCCTCTGCCTACTTTTATTTTAGCCATTCTGGCAGCTGATTAGATGGTGCCCACCTGGATTGTGGGTGGATCTGCCTTTCCCAGTCCACTGACTCAAATGTTAATCTAATTTGGCAACACCCTCACAGGCATACCCAGGAACAATACTTTGCATCCTTCAATCCAGTCAAGTTAATATTCAATATTAACCATCACATAGAGTTTGGTGTGTGCATTTGTAAGTATATATGTATACTTCAATAAAGAAATTCTAAAAATAATTTTAAAAGAAAAGCCGCCACCTGCATAGTACTTAAAAATCACTGGGTTCTAAAACAATTAAAAATTATAAGTTTGAATTCACAGACAGTGATTTGTAGAAAGGTAATTAACATATTTTTATTTAAAACATAGTTGTCTTTTATCAGCCTAGTTTTACTCTCTACATCTTAATATAATGACCAGTTTTATTAAAAAATCATTTTAAATTAAACTTTTCCACATTTGTGCAATTCCAGTGATGAATTCGTAAACAGGTTGTAACACATGTTTGCCACCTGGTATTAATTTTGCAGGAGTGGGAAGGTGTGAAACAAAATCAACCAACAATTATAGGTGATTTTTACTACAAAAAAAATCAAATATTACTATGCTAGGCATTTTGTGGCCATATGGAAAATTTAAATTCCAAACACTTAATTAAAACCACAGTGCATTTTTGGATAACTATCATAGCCTTTTTCACCCCATATCTTAGGCAATACTTTCAGATTCATTTGTGAAATTTTTCCACTTCTACTCATATTTCCGTGTCTAAGCACTAGACTGAAGTAATACCTCATTTTTCTTGGAAAACATTCAGTAAAATCCAGAGTCCATCCAAGAGCAAACTGTTACACGATAAAATGAGTCTTCAGTGCCTCCAAGCTTCCTATTTTCACGGTGCCTTCTTGGTGCCCCCACATACACACACATGCACACATACATTCTTATCCACTGCTATTATAGGTGTCTGTGTCCTCCAGTCCGGTGCCCATGGAGGAATCACACTCTGCCAGTCCTCCAGGAGCTGAGCGTCATGTCAAATTTCTCCTGCCCTTATTGTCAATAAAACATACTAATTTGTAATTTCATTCTCTTTGGACTAGGTGTACTTTCCAAAGGCGCAGCCAAAATTAATATGTCCTACAATCATATGTGTAAAATGCAATAGCCCTTGCTTCTCCTCCCAGGGAAATGCATCTCCCACAACAGTCCTCTTGAGACTAGGCTTTAACTGCAATGTACAATGTTTATGATGAACTTGTTAGACTCCACAGAACATTCACAAGAGATTTTTGGGGTAGCAAGAAACTCTCAGTGCCCGTCTCGTGTTTTTATACAAGTATCTAGCCTATGGCAGATCTTGTGCAATCCATTCTTCAATGATAATACTTCAGTATTTGCCATCTTCTTTTAAAAGACAGTCAAAATAAATATCAAAAATAGACAATGCTGAAATACTTGTATATTAAAAACAAATAAGCAAATTTGAAGAACAATTGTCCAGAATCAAATAGCGAAATGTTAGCCACCCTCGTTTAATTTCCCAAAGCACAAAAATTTACCTTTATTTGCCTAATTTTATAGACTCTATCTTTTGTGAAGCTAATTACTTGAAAATTTATTCTATTCGATTATATTTTTTGTTTTATTTTTCTAATATGGTCTAGAAATGCCTAGCTTATTGGTATGTTCTGACCTTTGAAATTAATAACTGTTTAATTGATCAGAATTGTTTACTATATAAAAGAATGAATAAGATCTATTCAGAATATTAGGGTTGGAAAATATCATTTTTAACCTTTCTTATTTAAAAACATAATCAAAAAAATTTTTTTAAGTCTATGTTAAGATCTTCCTGTAGAAGGGCAAAACTATCCCTTTAGGCTAAAAAAAGATCTCTATTCGGTTATGACATTTTCTCAGCACCCAAGTGAATGCTATACATATGAAAACCAGTTTTTTTTGAGAACCTCATCTATTTTACAAAGTTACTTAAGATTTTGTGGGAATTTTCAGTCAGACATAATCAAAGGGAGAAAAATGAAATACTCATTATGACTCAGCAGTTGTTTTAATGTGTGAATGCTCCAAAGGTCTTGACATTTATTTTCTTAGAAGAGTATTCACTTTCTCATTATTTATTTATAGTAAGAAAGAAGAAAGTACAACATACACACTGAAAAACATGTTGTATTATTGAATAAGGCAGGGAATGACTACGGGTGGGGTAATGTCGACAGTAAGTAAGTCAAGGTCATTGGGTGCTAAGGTTGTGGCCCTGAATAAAGTCTTAAATGAAAGCTTTGTATGGAAACTTGGAGAGGTTACAGGAATCAGCCACTTGGAAACACAAAGTGGGAAAGTCAGATACCACGGAACTAATGGAGCCACCAAGGAGAGAATTCCAAGAATATTGTTGAGTGAAAATGGCAAGTTGTAGCAAAATGTATGAAATATATGAAATAATGGCAGCAAAAATACTTGTAGCATTACTATGTATAAGGTTATCTGCTATATGTTTTTATGCTTCCCTTCTTATTTTACTCTCTCCTCCATCTATCCCTAAATAAATATTTTTAAACATCTCTCCTTCATCTGAAAGATTCATATAAAGTGTTACTGTTACAGACTTCCAGAGAAAGAATAAGATGATTTTGAAAGAGAGGGGAGGTGTCAAACAACTACTTTAGATTTAGAGATAAATTATTATTATTCATCAATTTTTAGAGGGAGAAAGTAATCATGTATTACAATAACTAATTACAATAACTAAAATTTTTAAATGTCAATAAAATGAATAATGAATTCAGCCATCAGAGCAGAAATGAGAAGCCATGGACCCTAAATAGGTTAGAAGTAAGTGGCAAGAGGAAAGTGCAGTGTACACAGAAAGAGTTTCAGTCTCCAGATCCCAGAGTGCACTTGCTATGACTCTACATCCCTTGCCTTGTCACTCACTCAGCAGATACTAATTTACCCACAATGTACCAGGGAACATACAGCTGTTGGGTCTTTGATGGCTCCTGACTTTGAGGGAAGACAGGCAATTAAATTACAATATGATATGAGCTTCTTGGCAGTCCGTACTCTGTAGTCCTACATACAATAATAAAACATTATTTTTGCCCTATGCAGTAAGGAGATAATACAGAAAAAAAATTCTTGGAGGAAGGTGCAGTAAAGTGCATAGGGATTTAGAGACATTACTTTAATTTGGATGTTAGAGATATTGACCTAAATCAGATCACCTCACTGAATAGAATGTAACCTCTAGAAAATCCTTGAAATTGGAGTCGATTGAGATGGAAGCTGATCTCTGCTCAGCAAACACAAGTTTCCTTCAAGTGGCAACTCCGGAAGTACCATGAGAACCACAGACTCAGTAGCATAAAGAGATACTTTTTTTCTTTCTTTTTTTGTTTGTTTGTTTGTTTGTTTGTTTGAGACGAAGAGTCTTGCTCTGTCGCCCAGGCTGGAGTGCAGTGGCGCAATCTCAGCTCACTGCTACCTCCGTCTCACGGGTTCAAGAGATTCTCTTGCCTCAGCCTCCCAAGTAGCTGAGACTACAAGGCATGAGCCACCATGCCCGCCTAATTTTTTGTGTGTGTATTTTGAGTAGAGACGGGGTTTCACCATGTTGGCCAGGCTGGTCTTGACTTCTGACCTCATGATCCACCCACCTCAGCCTCCAAAGTGCTGGGATTACAGGGGTGAGCCACCACACCCAGCCAAGAGATACTTTTCATAGTCTGTGTGTGTCAGTATAAATTTTTGCCAACTTTCAGTGGTCTTATGGTATTTCTCATGATCATCAAAACTGGGAAGCAATCACAATGTCCCTGGAGATGACGAATTAGTGTGCTTCTTATAATTGCTGATATTGAGATAAAAGATTGTGTATTTTTGAGATAACTAGTGTCTGTATTTTCATATAAATTGTTTATAATAAAATTTAGCTCTTTTTTAGTTGTGTCTATTTCCTAATTTCCCAGCTGACCTAACTAGAAGTATTGCAGATTTTCCCCTAAAGGTGAAGCCCATTCTGATTCACAGCCAATCCTGATCAAAGCAAGAAAAATATTTGGAAATTAATTTGGAATAGCAGCTGAAATGAAGAATTAGCATGCAGTTGGTTTGATGATATGCCCGCTAAATTGTAATATATAAATCTTGGCTTATGGTTCTGTTTCCAGTTTGTTATTTTGTCAGAACCTGCCAAAATTTGAAATGGTTTTTCTCTCTTGGCCTTCCATAACTTGATTACTTTAATTGGGACCAGATGATAATTTTAAGTGCTTGGGACTAGACGATCATTTTAAGTAAACAAAAGGTAGAGACTGGTCAAATTATTTTCCTAATTGAAATTCCTAATCAAATGTAACATCAAGATATTATATAAAGTGCTTCTTCTGTCTTTTTGAAAGTGAGATTCTTCAGCTGTCCAGATAGTTGTTAAAAACAAACAAACAAACAAAAAGAACAAGTCTGGACTTAGATAAAGAGAAACTTTGTAAAAGAAACTATTGTAATAGTTTTTGTGAACTATTGTGATAGTTATTGTAATTGAGGGAGAATGTCTCAATCTCAAAAATCAGCAAGTGTCTCAGAATAAAACAGAAAAAGATCTGTATGACAAAAAAGGTTGTTTTCTTCTATGGTAACATCTTCCACAACAGAGTATCACTGCCACGATATTGCCATTGATGCATCAAGATATAGGACATTTCCATCACGAGAAGAATCCTCATGTTGCTGTTCTATGGCCACATCCATTTCTCTTCTACTTAGAACTCTCTTTTACTTACCCATTTTTCAGCTACTTAACCTTGGCAACCACTGATATATTCTTCATCCCTATAATTTTGTCATTCCAAGAATATTATATAATGGAATCATAGAGTGTTTAACCCTTTGAGATAGCTTTTTATTTCACTCAGCATAATTTGGGTAGATTCATTGAGGATGGTATAAGTATTGATATGTTGTTTCTTTACTGTTGAGTGGTATTCCATTGCATGAATGTACCATTGTCTTTTCATTGATCAATTGAAAGAACACTGAGCTGTTTCCTAATGTTGGCTATTATAAATACACCTCCTATAAAAATTTGTGTACACACTTTTTGTGTGAAATAACTCTTCATTTCCCTGGAACAAGTGCCCAACAGTGCATTGCTGGGTTGTATGGTAATTATGTGCTTAGTTTATTATTAAGAAGCTGAAAATATTTCCCATTATAGTCATATCAGTTTATCACATTATGGTCCCAGCAGCAAGAGTGTAAGTCATCAGGTTGTGTCACATTCATGTCAGCATTTGACATTACCAATACTTTTTATTTTAGCCATTCTGGTAGATATGTAGCAACATCTCATTGAGGTTTCGATTAGCATTCTCCTAATGGTAAACCATGCTGAACTCCTTCCCATATACTTATTTGCAATCTATATATCCTCTTTGGTGAAATATCTGTTCATGTATTTTGCCCATGTTATCTTTGGATTATTTCTTTTTTTTTTTTTAACTATTATATTTTGAGAATTGTATTGGTTTTCTAGGGCTGCCTTAACAAACTACCACAGACTGGGTGGCTTAAACAGCAGAAATTTATTTTCTCACAAGTATGGAAGCTAGAAGTACAAAATTAAAATGTCAGCTGGCCTGGTTTCTTCTGAGGCTTCTCTCCTTGGCTCGTGCATGGCAAAGGAAGCCAGCCTGTGTCTTCATATGGCCTTTCCTCCATATGTTTCTCTATCCTAAATTTCTCTTTTTTAAAGAAGAGGAATCATATTGGATCAAGACCCACCCTTATGACCTAATTTTAACTTAATTAACTCCTGAAAGACACTATCTTCAAATATAGTCACATTCTGAGGTACTGAGGGTTAAAACCTCAATACGTGAATATTGAGGTGACACATTTCAGCCCATATAAAGTTGTATTATATATTTTAGATAATGTATCCTCTCCAAAAGTCAGTTATTTCCAATGTGATACTATTAAAAGATGGGGTCTTTGAAAGGTTATTAGGGCTAGGAGCAGTGGCTCATGTCTTTAATCCCAGCACTTTGAGACGCCGAGGCGGGCGCATCACCTGAGATACATGACCATATATGAGATCGAGACCAGCCTGGCCAACATGGTGAAACCCCATTTCTACTAAAAATACAAAAATTAGCTGCGTGTGGGGGTGCACACCTGTAATCCCAGCTACTCAGGAGGCTGAGGTGGGAGAATCTCTTGAACCCAGTGGGCAGAGGTTGCAGTGAGCCAAGATTGCAGTCTAGGTGACAGAGGGAGACTCCGTCAAAAAAAAAAAAATAGTTATTAGGCCATGAGAGCTTCTCCCTCATGAATCAGATCAATGCCTTTGCAAAAGAGGCTTCACGCAGCATTCAGCTAGTGTGCTCTTCCCCTCCTGACATGTGAAGGCCCTCACGAGATCCCAGTTCCTTGATCATGGGCTTTGCCACCTCCAGAGCTGAGAGAAAATAAATTTCTCTTTTTCATAAATTACTCAGCCCCTGATATTTTGTTTTAGCAGCACAACTGAACTAGGACAATCATCCTTTGTCAGATATGTAGTCTACAAATACTTTCTCCCCATCTGTAGGTTTCCATTTCATCCTCTTAACAAACTCACAGAGCAAATAGTTTAAATTTTGTTAAATTCTAATTTATCAACTTTTCCATTTGTACTTGTGCATTGATAGTTTTTTTATTATGAATAGATGTCAAATTTTGATTTTTCTGCGTGAATTGATATAATTATGTGATTTTTCTTCTTCAGTTTGTAAACAAGGTGGATCACATTGATTTTTTAAATATTAAACTAGTCTTGCAATTTTGGAATAAACCCTACTCAGTATAACATTCTTTTTTTACACTGTTACATTGTTGAATTCTATTTGCACGTATTTTTTAAAGAAATTTTGAGTCCATTTTATGAGAAATATTCATTGGTGGTACTCCTTTTTTGGTACTGTCTTTGCTTTTGCTGTCGGGCTAATTCTAGCTTCATAGAATAAATTCAGACGAGTTCTCTCGTTTTCTGTCTACTTTATCTTCCTAGAATCAGAAGTCATTCCTTAAGTTTTTAAGATTAACTTAAAAATTGTGTTACTCTTTTCCATTCTAACAAATTCTAAAAATCACTTTTAGGGAAATTTTTATAGCTTGATAAAATCACTTTTTTGAATCTTGCAATTGCATTTATAAAGTTAATATTAATATATGCAGGTTTTTTCCCTTTTTACTAACTTTAAAAACCTTTAGTCAGCAAAATGTTTGCCAATGTTTAAACTATTCTAATTTTTTCTATTGCTTACAAACATATCCAAATTATATTTTATATTTCTAATTAAAACTTGTAACAATAAAATCACTTAATTGTATACTTTTACTGTAATCCCAAGACTACTTTGAATAATATGTCAAAATATCTTAAATAGTTAAAATATTTTTAAACCACTATACCCATATTTTTCTGAACATAAAAGATTTGTAGTAAAGTAAGCTTTATTATTTCTGTACAAAAGTCTGAATCTTTCCAGGGTTAAAAAAAAAAAAGATTTCAACGAAAACTCACTAAAAAAAACAACTGTATCATCCCAAGCATATTAGAATTACCACATCAACAGCTAAATTTACATATCGACTGAATATTTGGGCAAGGGTATAAAACTCAAAGCTGTGACTATCAAGAGTGATTTTTCTCACTGCAAAATGAACAGGTTGAATCCCTTATAGGTGATTGGTCTTTCTTGGATTCAAGATATGCCATTAATTAATTCTTCTAATTGATTTCAATCTGGTGCCCCACTCAGGCTGTGGCTAACTTCGTTCAATATTGAGTTTGATTTTCCAATTTTCCCATATATTTGTTATTATTATATTTTAATTTTTTCGTCTCGTGCTAAAGGCATGTAAGCTTAGATACTGTATACCCTTATACTTATTTTTCCTACTTATTTTAGCTTTATCACCTAATTTGAGCTGATAGATTTCCTATATATTTTACATTTTTTTCTATTTGGCACTTTTTCATCATTACACACATATATATTTAAAAGGACCATACAGTGGGCTGACAAACTGCTAGTTGGATAACTATCCCAAACATTATTCACCAAGTACTATGAATCTGCTTCATATATAAGTGGGTCATTCTGTTACCTAGAGCCCCAAGTTTAGATTATTTTTCTTCAGACTGAGTTTACTGAAACTCATTAGAAATTATAATTAACATTAATTGGCATGCCTTCCTGGATTACAGTAATTCCCCAGCAAATAGGTGTCTTCTTTCTTCTGGCTTTAGGGGGAACTACTTCACCTACATAATTATAATTTGTTCCAAAGGGGGCTTTCAATAATGATACTTTGAATTATTTCACACCCTAAATATAAGAACATGTTTCAAACTTAGACAAACATAATACATTTACCCAAACCCTCTGCTGCAAAATGAACTAAGCAAGGTGTGAGCTGTGATAAATGGCCTGCCAATCAGAGTCCTGCTCTGATTTTCTACAAAACATTGTGGAGGGTAAAAGTCTCTTTTCCTCCAGCAATGAAGCTGCCCATCTAGTGGCCCATCTGCCATCATACGGTGAAAAGTGGTCGGTGGTAGAAGAATATTAAGGTAATACACAGAAAACCAGGAAAGGGAGGAAAAGAAAGCAAACCCCAGTGATGTAATGGTTATTTTTTAGCCATTTCCTTTAGTATTTCTGTAATTTCTGATTACATGAGCCAGTATATCCCTCAATTTGCCTAGGGGGCTTCGGGTTAGGTTTTTGTCACCAGCACCAAGAACAGACCTGATTACTATAGTCACAGCTTTTTGCCTTCCTCATGTGACAGACAGCTTTCTGCGCATTTCCCTTTCTACCTACACTCTTATTCATTTGAATTATAAATACTTGAGAATTATCTTAGACACTATATCTAGTTTTTAAATTTAATAATCAGAAAACATTCTACAATACTCAAAGAAAAGCACCAACATGCATGGTCTGACATACTATTTGTAAATTGAAAACAATTGGCTTTTTAAAGGAATTATTATGCTATAAGGGTGTGGTTATCTTCTTGGTTTGTTAGGTTCCTAGTAGCATTATAAAATGTTAATTAATATGATTCTATTTCTGTAAAGGATATCATCTATTCTATTCATTCATTCTAAACCAAAAAAAGTCACAGAAAAAGAAGCATAATTTGTCACCGTGTCTTTCTAGAATTTGCTTAGCATCCCAATTTTTTACACTAGCTTTTTCTCTTCCGTTCCATTTATAGTATTCCAAAACTGCCAAGAAATTATCCCCTCAAAGAAAATAAGATCATATTCTTAATAGCTATGCTCAGATAAGGATACTAATCTATGCCTTACAGAGTTATTCTAAAGATAAAATGAGTTGTCTTTGTCTCTCCAGTTACCCTGAAAAGCTCCTTGAGAATAAGAATCCTTTCTTCTGCTTCTTTTTTCTGTACACTGTGCCACCAAGGCTCACCAGGTTCACAAAATTGTTTTCAACCAATTAAAACTATACTACAAGTGTCTTCCTTTCTAAGCATTTCAGTCCTAGAGGTTTTAGTTGGATAAAGCGAGGTAGATGTCCAGAGCAAAAGTGAAGAGGGGTTGCCTCAATGAACAGAGCCTAAGCAGAGTGAGAATAACAACACTGCAGAAGAAACATCATGGTTTGGGGAGTTCAAACAGTGTGGCAAGGGGCGTTGGAGTGCACGAAGGCTGAGGAGACAGCCCATGCAATTGTGAAGGAAAACGTCCAGGAAGGGAGCATCGGCGTCTGAGCAGGGAGAGGACAGCCTCCATGCAGAAGAGAAAGTCGAAGCAGGGGAAGGAGATTGGATATATACAAGGTGATTGATTGGATTTAAAAAAAAAAAAAAGCCAGAGCTCCTTGGAGAAATGGATTATTTCTAGTTTGAGTCAGGGAAAGTACAAGATAAGCCTGGGCCATATTTTTCTTTCAGAAAGTAAGGAAATGCCCAGAGAAAAATGCGAACATCTCAGAAGCACAGAGCAGATAGCTTGAATGAAATAAAACTGGCCAAATCCAGGGACAATTTGAGCATCAAAATAAATAATGATAGCAATGGATTGTAATCAACTGAACACAAAAGTAACCATGAGTGCATATGATATGAAAAAATTAATGAATAAATGGAAATGTTAAAAGGGAGGATTATTTTCATAGATTTCAGAGTAACTCTATGTAATACTAATTTCAAAGTGAAAAGGTGTACTTTTAAAATTGAGGAACCTGACAGTCATCACCTTAAACAAGTGATCCAAGTAGACAACATCAGTGATGAAACAAATTGAAACCGTGCATCAACCTGATAGTACACACAAGAAACAACATTATATAAAACTCTTGCCATAGATGAATCTAAACATGAGGAAACATCAGACAATCCCAAATTAAGAAGTATTCCATAAAATAACTAGACAGTAATCTTCAAAAATATGAAGGTAATGAAATCAAGGTGTGTTCAGAATTGGTGGGTTCTTGGTCTCACTGACTTCAAGAATGAAGCCGCGGACCCTCGCGGTGAGTGTTACAGTTCTTAAAGGCGGCGTGTCCGGAGTTTGTTCCTTCTGATGTTCGGACGTATTAGGAGTTTCTTCCTTCTGGTGGGTTCGTGGTCTCACTGGCTTCAGGAGTGAAGCTGCAGACCTTCGCGATGAGTGTTACAGCTCTTAAGGCCGAGTGTCTGGAGTTGTTCGTTCCTCCCCGTAAGTTCGTGGTCTTGCTGGCCTTAGGAAGTGAAGCTGCAAACCTCCAGTGAGTGTTACAGCTCATAAAGGCAGCGCAGACCCAAAGAGTAAGCAGCAGCAAGATTTATTGCAAAGAGCGAAAAAACAAACCTTCCACTCTGTGGAAGGGGACCAGCCTGGCGGCTGGGCTAGTCCCCAGCCGGCTGGGCTAGTCCCCAGCCGGCTGGGCTAGTCCCCAGCCGGCTGGGCTAGTCCCCAGCCGGCTGGGCTAGTCCCCAGCCGGCTGGGCTAGCCTGCTTTTATTCCCTTATCTGGACCTACCTACATCCTGCTGTTTGGTCCATTTTACAGAGAGCTGATTGGTCTGTTTTACAGAGCGCTGAATGTTCCTTTTTGACAGGGTGCTGATTGGTGCATTTACAATCCCTGAGCTAGACACAAAAGTTCTCCATGTCCCCACTAGATGAGCTAGATACAGAGCACTGATTGGTGCATTTACACACCTTGAGCTAGACACAGAGTGCTGATTGGTGTATTTACAATCCCTTAGCTAAACATAAAGGTTCTCCAAGTCCCCACTAGACTCAGCAGCCCAGCTGGCTTCACGTAGTGGATCCTGCACTGGGGTCGCAGGCGGAGCTGCCCGCTAGTCCGGCACCTTGCGCCCGCACTTCTCAGCCATTGGGCAGTTAATGGGACCGGCGCCGCGGAGCAGGGGGCGGCGCTGGTCGGGGAGGTTTGGGCAGCGCAGGAGCCCACTGCGGGGGCGAGGCTTGGGCATGGCGGGCTGCAGGTCCTGAGCCCTGCCCTGTGGAGAGGCAGCTGAGGCTCAGCAAGAATTCGAGTGCAGCGCTGGTGGGCCGGCACTGCTGGGGGACCCGGCGCACCCTCCGCAGCTGCTGGCCCGGGTGGTAAGCCCCTCACTGCCCGGGGCCCGCGCCGCCGGCGGGCGGCTCAGAGTGCGGGGCCCTCTGAACCCACACCCACCCGGAACTTGCGCTGGCCCGAGAGTGCCGCTCGCAGCCCCGGTTGCCGCCCACGCCCCTCCCTCCACACCTCCCTGCAAGCAGAGGGAGCTGGCTCCGGCCTCGGCCAGCCCAATGAGGGGCTCCCACAGTGCAGCGCGGGGCTGAAGGGCTCCTCAAGCGCTGCCAGAGTGGGCGCAAAGGCCAAGGAGGCGCCGAGAGCAAGGAGCAAGCGAGGGCTGAGGGCTGCCAGCAAGCTGTCACCTCTCAAAGGTAAGATTGAGGAACTGTTACAAATTGAAGAAGACTAAGGACTAAATGCAATGAGGGATTCTAAACTGAAATCTTCTGTCATGTGTAAATTACATGACAAAATTTTTAGGGAAATTGGAAAAATTAGAATGGGAACTAAGGATTAGGTAGTCATATGTATCATTGTTAAGTTTCTGGTTTTGATAGTTATGGTTATTAAGGAGGATACAACTTGTTTTTTGTGCTAAAAACTATGTCCTACTACTACTAAATGCTACTAAGAGCTATTAAAAACACAACCACTATGGAAAACAGTGTGGAGGTTCCTTAAAGAACTAAAAGTAGATCTACCATTTGATCCAGCAATTCTACTACTAGGTATCTATCTACCCAGTGGAAAAGATGTCATTACATGAAAAAGATACTTGCACATGCATGTTTATAGCAGCACAATTTGCAGTTGCAAAATATCGAACTAGCTCAAATGACCATCAATCAACTAGTGGATAAAGAAAAAAATATATATATATATACCGCATTTTCTTTATCCACTAGTTGATATATGTATATATATGTGTGTATATATATATATGAGTACTACAGCCATAAAAAGGAATGAAATAATGGCATTCACAGCAACCTGAATGGAATTGAAGAGTATCATTCTAAGTGAAGTATCTCAGGAATAGAAAAACAAACATCATATGTAGGCGTAAGTGGGAGCTAAGCTGTGAGGATGCAAAGGCATAAGAATGATACAGTGGGCATTGGGGATTCGGGGAAAGGGTGGGTGTAGGTGAGGGATAAAAGACTACACATTGGGTACTGTGTACACTGCTCAGGTGATGGGTGCAACAAAATCTCAGAAATCACAACTAAAGAACTTATTCATGTAATCAAACACCACTTGATCCCTAAAAACCTATTAAAATTAAAAATAAATTTTAAAAAAAGGAAAATTGAAGTTTGTCAACATAAAAAGACAGAGTATAGTACAATAAGTGTAATAAAATAGCAAACAAATCCAGAATGTTAACAAACCCTGATATAGACTATGTTTTAAAAATGAATAAAATGCAGGTGACCTTGAATGACAACAATTAAAAAAAAAAAAACCTATGTTCTTATTTCTAGGACTAAAGTATTGGAGTGTTAAATGGTATTAGGTTGTCAATTTCATCTCAAATTAGTCAGAAAAAAAATGTTCCTTGTCCAGTACATCCAACTTGTTTATGTTTAAAATTGTTACAAAGTTAATAAGAATACTATTTACTAGCATTATGAAATGTAAAATATCCTGAAGTATATCACTGTCACAATACACGCAAATAAAATTATAATACAATTACTATTTATTTCATGTACAGTTTATCTACCTAGTTAAGTATTATGATTCTAGATAGAAATCAAATATCATCTTTTTAGGTAAAAGGCAAATCAACCACTTTAAAATAAAAATACAGAAACAACTTAATTGTGTCAAGTAATTGTATCAGATTGTAAGATGCATAAGGGACTTGGTTCAATTTTTCAATTTTTCTCCTGTGCTTTGCACTTAGAAATAAGGACATAGCTATTTCAATTCCCTTCACACACCACATTGTAATTATGAGTTTCCTTGTCTGTCCACCATATTGTGAGTACCTGAAGGGCAGAATCCTTGTCTTACTCAGCTTTGCACAGCTGGGGCTTATAACATCTGCTAAAAAAAAAAAAAAAGAAACCATTTATTAAACTGTTGCTATTTTCATGAACTTTTGTTAACAGCCTGATGAGCTTGGGAATGATCATTGCTACCTGAAATGAATGAGCTGTGCAAATGGAAGATATTCTCAGGGCTCATGACCACACCTGAAGCAGGTATAAATGCAGGAGTGGATGAGAAAATCTATATATTGACACAAAGTGAAGCGGAAAATTTAGAGTAACATAGCAATCAATTTTTTAATCTATAGGTTATATATATATATTTGCGTTCTCCTTATCCTCTTCTATGAGAACTGCCTTTCCCTTAGCGGTAAGACCCTGAGACTACTATATGCGCTATATGGCTCTCCGGGCCATAGGTTATTTGGCAGAAAATGAACACCTAATAGAGAGTATCTCTAGAGATTTGGCTAGGCCAATTAAATTCTGTCTTCCAGGAATTCAGAACAAGGATAAGAGAAGTGTAGACACTGGACCAGTGAATATAGATATAGAAGCTAAGAAAACTGACCAGAGAAAAGAGGAAAAAAAGGGAGGGGAAGAGCAGAAAGACCAATAAGTCTTTCTGTGAAGAAATTGTAGAAGTGCTGCCCAAATTTTCAGGGTTGTTGGAGTCCCAGCCTCACTTCCTGTCCTTGGCTTTAATGTGATGTCCTTTTATCTTTCCAATACAATGATTCTTTTTTGTGCTATAGGTGTTTCAAATGAGATTTGTTCCTTATAATCAAAGTATTTCCTTATAATCAAAGTATTGCTGATCAAGAAATTAGTGCAGTATACACATAGCCAACATCTATCAAATGCAATGATTGCTGAACCAGACTAAGCAGGGAAAGTAATAAAAGTAGTAATAACAATGAGAACACAAAATCAACTCAACTGAAGCTACCAAGTGATTTAATCAACTGAGACAAAAGCTTTGTTGTAGAATCTCTGGGCAATATCAATATTAATAACTTGGAGGCGATTGGTAATGTTATCAAGAATTATTTTAGTGGAATCCTGGGGCCAGGTAACAAAGTGAATTCTATAGTGAATAAGAGGTTTAAATGAGCTCTGCTGTTCTATAGCACTGTAGCATGACTATAGTTAACAATATTATATTATATAGTTTCAAATAGCCAAAGGAGGAAATTGAATGTTCCCAAAACAGATAATAAATGTTTGAGATGACAGATATGTTAATTACCCTGGTGTGATCATTTACATTGTATGTATCAAACTATCACTATGCACCCCATAAATATTTACAACTATTATTTGTTAATAAAAAAAGAAAAAAGTTTAAAATATTGAAGTAAGTTTAGACAAATTTTATATCATTTTTAGATATGGAGAGGAGGTAGAGTGGGATTGGAGAATACATAAAGAGTTTTTATGGCTTTTGTGTTTGAGGACTGACACAACACAAAGTTTAGATGTACAAGAGATAAAAAGTATAATTGATAGTGCATGATTCATTCAAAACAAGTGTTTACTGTATGCCCACTTATGTGCTGAGCTTTATTCTAGGAGCTAGAGATGTGGCAGTAACTACGAGGTCACCTTTGTCGTGAAGCCCACAATCTAGTATGCAAAGCGGACAATAAAGAAATATATGTCAGTTCAGATCAAGATTTTGGAGGAAAAAATAAGCATTTCAAAGTTAAGCAGAAATATAGAGTGTGTGGGGAGGAGGTGTTAGTTTAGGTGCTGCATAGTTAGGGAGGTATGGGTAAGGTGATACCTTTCCATCAAGAACTGAATGGAGTTATGGAGCCAAGTAAATATCCAGGGGGAAGTTTCAAGTAGAAAGTATAGAAAGTACAAGTGACCTGAAAGAAGATAATATTCTGAGGCATCTAAACAAAGTAAGTTTGGCTGCAGCACTCTGCAAATTAGAGAGCGGTGAGAAGTCATAGAGGTGGCCAAAAACTAGATTTTGTAGGACTTTGAGGAGTCTTGTAAATTTTTTTTTTATTATTCTGAGTAAAATAAAAAGCCATTGGAGTTTTTTAAATTTGGTTATAACAGACAAAAAGTGAGGAAAATATGCCTGTAGCTTGGTGAATTTTGCACATATGCTATGTAACTACCACATTAAGCAAGTATACAACATTTGTAGCAGTCCAAAAGATTCTCTTCCTATTTAATAGTTCATTTTTTTTCAAAGGCAATTACTATTTTGATTTCTATTAAAAAGATTAGTTTCTCTTGTTCCTGATCTTCACAGGGAAGATGAAGTAGGTAATTTTTGTTTTCACATTTTGGCAACATAGCATCTTTGATGTTTTTTATGTTTTGCGTGTATTTTTTATGTTGCCAAAAGGTATTCCTTATATAAAATGTGATATATATAATTATAAAATGTGATATAATTATATATATATCTTCAATTTTTGGCATTCGGGTCGCTCCTGGCTTGAGCTTTATGATGAATAAAGCTGTCAGGAATATGCTTGCACATGTCCGTTGGTGTACACATGCACACATGCACTCATTTTTAATAGGTCTGTAACAGGGATTGCTTGATTGTTGGGTATGTTTCAACTTGGAAAAAAAAAAACTACCAAAAGACTTTCAAAAATGATTTTACTAATTTATATTCCACCCAGAAATGTGTCCGTTTCAGTTGCTGCCTGTTTTTGCTAACACTTGATATTACTAGGCTCTTTAATTTTGGCCATTATTTTGAATGTTTATTAGTACTGCTTTGTGGTTTTAGTTTTCTTTTTCCTTCTTTTTTTTTTTTTTTTGGATGACTGTTGGGCACCTTTTCATGTGCAAAGTGTCAAATTAAATGTTTTATTTTTTGAATCATCTGTTCATGGGTTTTTGCTGACTTTTGTTTATTAGGATTTTTTCTGTTTTGTCTTTTAAAATTCATTTATAGAAGTTCTTTTTATATTTTGTATGCAAATCATTTGTGAGATATATATTACCAAAATCTGTTCTGAGCATGTGTCTCGCTTTTTCACATTTTTAATGATGTCTTTTAATAGACAGAAGTTTTTACTTTAATTAAGATCAATTTTTTTCTCTTATAGTTTGTGCTTTTTGTGTCTTATTCTTAAAAGTTATGCCTACTCTAGAGCTTCAAAGATACTGTTTCTTTAATACAAGCTTTATTATTTACTTTACATATTCATATATGTAATCCATTTGTGTGAGTCTTGTGTATGGACTGGTCACAGCCAAAGTTCATTTGTTTCATATGGATATCCAGTTGATCCAGAATTATTTATTGAAAAAGCATCCTGTACCACTTTGTTGTACATTAAATGAATATGTATATGGAATTTCTGTTCTGTTTCCTTATTTGTTCATCATTATAATATCACAGCATCTTAATTTCATTTTTTATGATAAGCTTTGAAAATTTATCAATGTAAATCTTGTGGTTTGTTCTTCTCTAAGATTGTCTTGTCTATTCTATGTCCTTTGCATTTCTATATACATTTTGGAATCTACTTACAAACTTTTACACACACACATATTAACACAAACATTCTCAAAGGAAAAAGAAACCTGCTGTAATTTTTACCAAAATTATACTAATTCAACAACTTAATTTGAGTGCCACTGACATCTCTATAATATTGAGTCTTTCAATCCATAAGCATGGTAAACCTCTACATTATTTAGGGAGTCACTAATTTCTCTCAACAATATTTTGCAGTTTTTAGTGTAGAAGTCTTGCATATCTTTAATAAGATGGTTTTTTGTTATTGTAAATAATATAGTTTAATTTCATTTTGTAATCTGTTGCTTGTGTATTAAAATATTATTGACTTTTTTGTATAGACTTTGTATCTTTTGTATATTGACCTTGTATCTATGAACATACTACCTCAAATTCTTTCATATTGATCTTGCTAATTTACTTAATAATTCTCATGGCTTTTTGTAGAGTCTTTGGATTTTTCATTTATACAATATTGTCATTTGCAAATAATGAAAGTTTAGCTTCTTTCAAAAATGTATCCCTTATATGTTTTCACGCCTTGTTGCCCTGCCTAGAATTGACAAAGATTTTAAGTAGTGAAGTCATAGAATTAAAATATTTTTGCTACTATGAGATAAATGGGCCAATAGAAACAAGAATGGAGGAAGAGACCCCAATTAATTTCCTATTTCAATAGTGCAGGCCAGTGATGGTGTCACTGTATAGGTGTACAGAAGTAATCACATTTTAAATATACTTTGAATGTAGTCAGTAGGCGTTTCTGATATATATAATAGTATATGATCGTAAGACGAATTCTGAAAACTTCCAGATCTTCTTGTTGTTGTTACTTGACTGAGCATCTGAGTAACAGGAATTGCATATTACCAAGATGAAAATACTGGGAAGATGAGGTTACAAGAGTAGAAACAAAAATTGCATATTCAGTTTTGAACATTAATTTGGAGATTCTTACCAGATTTCTTAGTAGATAGGTTGAGCTGGTAGTTAGATACAACAATCTAAAGTTTAGGAGGGAGGTTTTTGAGTTCTGTAAATATATATTTGGAAGTCATCAGCGTATGTGTTATTTGAAACTGTTGAGTATTTGAAATAAGTGTAAAGAGGAGGAATAGTATAAAAACATAGCTGTGGGACACTCTGACACTTTTTGGCTTGTTCCTTTTCATACAGTAAAGCAAAACAAATAGGAGCAGCCATTAAGGTAGGAGAAACCCCAGGAAATTATGTTTATCCCAGTAACTAATAGAGGAAAGTGTTTAAAAGGTAAAAGGAATTACCAACTATGTCATATGATGCTGATAGTTCTACCAAAGTGAGGACTGACAAATGACCATTGAATTATTTCTTTGAGGTTGTCAAATAAGTGCAATTGAAAATCAGATTGGCAAATCTTCCCACCAAAAAGTAGTTCTACTTAACGATAAAGACCACCTATCACAAGTAGAATCAATAACTTGGTATCAAGGAACTCAGTTTCCTCCTCTATAAATGCCAACAGATTTTTTAAAGTTAGCAAAACAATGATAAATGTTTAAATCAGTAAAAGTTTCAAAGTGGTAGTTATATTTTCCTGTTCATCATCTTCACATTTGGGCAAAGTTTGTCTTAATTCCCGAAATCTTTTCAGTTTGCATTTTCCCCAGCTTTAAGTGTCCTCTCCTTCACCCAAAGCAACAGATATTCTATGATGACCAAATGGCATTGCCTTTTGCCTATTCACACTGAAATGTAGAGTTTATTTTATCCCTTCGTCCAGAAGCATTTGCATTTTGAAAGAGAATCACTGAGTTGGAAGCAACTTTAATACACATGAATTCACCACCAATGATATAATTTCAGTCATTCTGCTGGTTGGTTTTGTGGGTGTTTTTTGTGCCAGTTGGCAACCATTTGTTAAAATAAGTGCAAACATTCATGAAGAACTGAGGCACAAACTGTCAATATCCTAATACTATGTATCTTTTAAAATTTATAGAGTTCTTATGTAGACAAGCCATCAAGCTACACCTAAGCCTCAATCTAATTCTCATAATAAAGAATGATATTTTTCTTATTCAGTCTTGCGAATAAGAAAAAATCATCTTGATTTAATTCTGTAAGACTAACTCCTGATTTCCTTCATTCTTTCCACATATATTTCTAATTACAAGAAAGCATATACATTGGAAATATTATTTAGGTCTGTCATTAACTTAGATTAAGATATGCCTACCTTTAAATGACCATATTTACCAGTTTTGTGAATATGACCCCCAAATAATTGTCAGGAAAATTGCCACTGATTTTTGTTATTGATTCAGATATCATTTGCACATTATCCTCAAATGTTCTCTTTTACAAAATTTGCTCATGCAAAAGTTCAGGTAGGTATAATCCAGCTCAATATATTCCCTTCTTCTTTCACTAATTCTTCTCCTTGAACCCATTGCCAAAGACTAATATAGTTTAGGTTAATACAAATAATCTAATTTAATAAAAATAACCTTAATCAAATAAGTTTAATCAAAGAGGTAGTCTAGGGAGTATGATAGGGAGATTGACCTCAAACATCTGAAGATCAAAGTTAGCTCGTTGGAATAATGTAAAAAATCTCATTCTCATTTTAGAGTAGGATAATGATTAAGTATAAGCCACAGATGTGTTGTATAATGTAAGAGATATGATTTTTTTTCTGCTACACCAGTGCAGCTCCTGGTCAGACTTTAGGGACGAGATAATTAGAATATCTTGTAAGAAATCTAATTTTTCTACACATTTTGCACAAGCCCAATATGTCACTTAATTAAGACCCTGGAGTATTTATGTTTACTTTAAGAAATTATAAAAATTCAACAAGAAAACAAGAAAAACTTAGCAAAGCTCAACTGGAGCTGACTTATATAAAATATTTCCAAATATAGATCATAGAATACTTCCTAATACTCATTCATATTCCTCTGTAAGTATATTTCCATTAACCAAAATGAAGTTTACATTAGGAAAAAAGATGTGTTTAAAATGCAGATTCATCTTGCTTTGTTAGGAATATAGAAGCCTTGAATATTTTTTTTCCTGAGGAAATGGTATGAAACAAATAAAAAAAGTTCTATTAAATGCAGAGAAGATAGTCAAGTTATTTGTCACCTAAAATGAGTTGTGTTTTTTGTTTTTGTTTTTCCAAATTCAGGAATTATCTTCTGAAATACTATTTAAAAGTCTATTATAGAGATATTTGTAAAGAGTCATAGATAAGGATGTTCAGACTCTAAACCTTTTTCAGAATAATGTAACTGACCTTCCACAGAAAGGGAAGAGGCAACCCTTAGTAATAAAGTTAATTTTAACCTAATTTCTGCAACTTCCTTTGAAATAGCAGCTTCTTGGGAATTGCTGTTATAGGACAAACCCAGACATTTGGTTCCCAAAATTATACCTAAACCTTCTCAACTTTAGAAACAGTAAGACTACAGTTATTTTGAATACTTCAATAATTGAATTGAAGATGATAAATCCAATATAAAACACTCTGTGGAGGTATTGTTATTCATATCAACTAAATGAATTTTTCAGAAATTATAATTAATTACTTAGCTAAAAAAAAGTAATAGTAGAGCTGTATTACTGGTCCTGGAAGTGTGAGGTAAAAACATTAAAACCTGTACAGGGAGAGGGAGAGATTACTTAAAAGTTTTATGCAAGAATTCCCGATAACAAAACCAGACAATGGCACAGCAAACAAAGAAAACCACAGGCCAATATCTCTGATGAACATAGACATAAGAATAAATCCTCAACAAAATCCTAGTAAGCTGAATCCAGCAGCACATCAAAAAAATAATACAGCATGATCAAGTGGGTTTTACTTCAGGAATGCAAGGATAATTCAGCATACACAAATCAATAAATGTCATATATATCCATATAATAAAGGACAAAAACCATATGCTCATCACCATAGATGCAGAAAAAGCTCTTGATAAAATTCAACATCCTTCATGAGGAAAACTCTTAATTATGTATAGAAAGAAAATACCTCAACATAATAAAAGCCATATAGGACAAACTCACAGCTAACATCTTACTGAGTGGGAGAAAATCTAAAAGTATTTTCTCTAAGAACTGGAATAAAACAAGGATGCCCACTCTAACCACTCATATTTAACATAGTAGTGGAAGTCCTAGCAGAGCAATTAGTCAAAAGAAAGAAGTAAAGGACAACCGAATTGTAAAGGAAAAAGTCAAGTTGTCCCTGTTTGCAGATAACATGATATTCTATATAGAAAAACCTAAAGACTCTACCAGAAAACGTGAAATTAATCAATGAATTCAGTAAAGTTGCAGAATATAAAAATAATATACAAAAATTAGTAGTATGAACTAATTTTTGTATATTATTGAACAACAAACTGGCTGAAAAATCAAGAAGGCAATTCCATTTACAATAACTACAAAATAAAATACCTGGGAATAAATTTAACCAAGGAGGTGAAAAAACCTCTACAAGAAAAACTACAAAACACTGATGAAAGAAATTGAAGAGGATATAAGCAAATGGAAAGACATCCCATGCTCATGGATTGAAAGAATTCATATTGTTGAAATGACCATATTACTCAATGTGATTTACACATTCAATACAATCCCTATCAAAATACCAATGATATTCTTCACATAAACATTTTTCAAAAATTGAAAATGTGTATGAAATTACAAAAGACTCTGAATAGCCAAAGCAATCTAGAGCAGAAAGAACAAAGCTGGAAGTATTATATAACAGACTTCAAAATATACAACAAAGTTGTAGTAACCAAAACATCATGGCACTGGCATAAAAAGAGGCACATAGAACAATGGCATAGAATAGAGGACCCAGAAATTAATCCGCATATCTACAGCCAACTGACTTGAGAAAGCTTCCAAGAACACTCACTGGGAAAAAGACAGTCTATTTGATAAATGATTCTGGGAAAACTGGATGTTTGTGTACAGAAGAATACTAGATCCCCACCTCTTACTCTATACAAAAATCAACTCAGAATTCATTTTGCAAGACCTGAAATGATAAAACTGTTAGAAGATGACACAGGGAAATGCTTCACAACATTGGACTGGAAAAAGGTTTCATGAATAAGACCTCAAAAGCAGGGGCATCAAAAGCAAAAATAAAATTAAATTATATCAAACTAAAAGCTTCTGCACAGCAAAAGAAACAATCAACATAGTGAAAAGACAATCTACAGAAATGGAAGAAAGTATATGCAAACTACTCATCCAACAAGGGACGAATATCCAGAATACACAAAGAACTCAAGCATCTTAACAGAAAAAAAAAGCCAACAATCTGATTAAAAAATGGGTAAATGATCTGAGCAGACATTTCTCAAAAGAAGACATATAAGTGGCCAGCCAAATATCTGAAAGAGAAGTTCAACATCACTAATCATCAGGGAAATGCAAATCAAAACCACAATGAGGTATCATCTCACTCCAGTTAGGATGGCTATTATCAGAAAGGCAATATCAAATGCTGGTGAGGATGCAGAGAAAAGGGAACCCTTACCACCGTTGGTGGGAATGCAAACTAGTACAGCCACTATGGAGAACAGTATAGAGGTCCCTTTAAAAACTACCAATAGAATTACCATATGATCCAGCAATCCCACTACTGGAAATTTATCTGAAAAAAGGAATTCATTGTATCAGACAGACATTTGGACCCCCATGTTTATTGCAGCAGTATTCACAATAGCCAAGATATGGAATTAACCTAGGTGTCCAAAAACAGATGAATGGATAAAGAAAATGTGTTATGTATATACACAAAAGAATACTACTCAGCTATAAAAAGAATGAAGTCCTGTCGTTCACAGCAACATGGATGGAACTACAGGACATTATGCTAAGTTGAATAAGCCAGAAACAGAAAGTTAAACACTGAATGTTCTCACTCATGTGAAAGCTAAAAATGTTGACCTAATAGAAGTGAAAAGTAGAACAGAGGGTGCTAGAATCTGGGACTGATAAGGGGAAAGGAGGGATAAGATGAGACTTGTTAAAGGATACATAATTACAGCTAGCTAGGAGGGATAAGTTTTACTGTTCTATACTACTATAAGATAACAATAGTTAACAACAATGTATAGTTTCAAATAGCTAGAAGGGTAATATTGAATGTTTCCAACACAAATAAATGACAAATGCTTGAGATGATGAATATGCTAATTACTCTAAGCTGTTTACCGTACATTATACTTACTGAAACTTCACTATGTACCCCATCAATATGTACAATTAAAAAATAAAATAAAATAATTTTAAATAAAGGGAAACCAATACCAAAACACATAATACAGAAATTTCTGAACTCAAAAATTAAAAGATACCTAAGGACAGATGGAGAAAAAAGACAGATGGAATAAAATAGATCATTTATCAGGTATTCATGCTCACTTTCATGGAAGCAGTATACTTCCCTGCTCTATTAATGCTAGTATTCTCTGTGTGTCTTCTTTTTGTCTCATGATAGACAGAACATAACTCATCAACCATTATTTTGGACTCAACCTTATGATTTGTTTTTCCAATAGTCGTTAACAGGAGTGTCCCCAAATACAGAGAAAATGTAATTGAAAAGTCAGGCATGGCTTCTCACACTTTTTCCTTTCCCTGTGAAAAGAACACATCCTGGATAGTCTACTTATTCAAGAAGAATGAGGAACAGCAGACTTGCACTTGACCTGCATGGGAACCAAACTCAGCAGATCACAGACTTTATCAACAGACCCACTCTTTCCCACCTCCTGACAATTCCGCAAGAATGTGTGATTGCTTTTTAGACACTACACTTGTAGTGGTTTATTATACAATTTTGTTGAGGCAAAAGATAACCAAGGTAGACATGGACTAGAAGTGGGTTGCTTCTTTAACAAAAACCTAACAGTGGATTTAGGACCAGGTATTACTCCACAAGGAAGTCATTATAGAAGCCTGGAGAAATGATGAGAACTGTGGTGAGAAGCTGAAAAAGTGACAACCTATGTTATGGAGTAGAAAAACATTTGATAAAAATGTGTGAGATTATATTAAAGATAAAGTATGGATATGACAAGTTTATAGTTGAGGAGTGGAATCTTAGACAAGATGTAAAAAGCATGCTCTGTTTGGTTTTTGTTAGGTTGCTTGATTTATTTTATTCCATTTTTTTACCAGCTGCATTTGATAAGAAATTGCAAGGAAGAGATACGGTAAGGAAATAACCCAGTTTGTAAGCAAAATTTAGTGAGTATATAAGAAGCCAATTAATTTCAGCTTGAAAGATGAAGTTATTTTCTACCAAATCGAAGGTGTGACCATTATGCTTTGGCTCTATGTAAAGGACCAAAGCCAGGGCTTTGGCAGTAAAATAAGACTTCAGGGTAAAAATTCAAGGGTGAGGCTATAAGACCCTTTGCTATTCACAAACTCAAGCTTGTTGTGATTCTCAACTTGATGAGGTGCCTCTAAACTTTATTCATGAAATTTCTGTATCATTAGTGATCTTGTCTTTACTGGGCTGAAAGTTTGCCATTAACTTTCACAAAAGACATAGCAGCTATATTCGTTTCCTAGGGCTGTCATAACAAATTACCACAAGCTGGTGGCTTCAAACAGCAGAAATGTATTCTCACAGTTCTGGATGCTAAAAATCTAAAATCTAGGTGTTGGCAGGAGCATGGCGCCTCAAAAGGCTCCAGGGAAGAATCCTCTCCTGACTCTCCCTAGCTTGTGGTGACTCTTGTTAAACCTTGGCATTCTTTGATTTGTGGTAACCTCTCTCCAAGGTACTGAGTTGATGAACAACTGGTTGTATGCAATTTGGCATTTCTGGATCATAAAGCCCATAGGAGGGGCTGATGAGAGATGATACTGGAGAATTGAGCAATAGCTAGAGAATAGAGGGACTTGAATGCCACATTAGCAGTATGGACTTTCTCTTTTGAATATTGGATGGTTACAGAACAATCATAAGCAAAGAATGTGACATAATATGATCTACTTAACAGATTTCAGTCCCCACAAATCTAAAAGTGGCCTACTTCCCTTCATCTCTACATAAAAGAAAAGTATGCTCCTCAGAGTTGCGTTATCCTCACCACACTCTCATTTTAATTAATGAACGCATCAGATGGGGCTCTTTCACAATTCTGACCAAGAGATACCATATAATTACTCTATCCTGAGTAGTCATAAAAATATACATAATTTAAATAAGAATATATAATTGTAAAATTATAAATTTTATATTTTATATGTAAAAATTATATAATCTTACTTGAATTATTGTATAATTTTATATGTAATATTTACCTTAGTATCAATGTCATGCTCTTTATTGCATCAGTTCCTCCTTTCTTATATGTGTATGAATACAAATTGTTTTATGCTTGTTTCATTATTTTAAGTATTCAAGGATAAACTTGCACAACAATAAGTTTGCATTATCAACCTAGAGAAAAGTCTTTTGATTATGCTTTTTAAATTCAAAGAACAAATTCATGGAGTTACTGAAGAGTCAAATCACCTTGTATTTTGCAAAAAAATTTACATTACAAATACAAGTAAAATAATCATAAATATATTGCTACACATTGCAATGTGACAATGTCACTTTTTTCTTCCTATGAAAAAGAATGAGTCACACACTAAAATAGAATTGTTAAAATATTCTTTTTCTGAATCTCCATCAGGCTCAATGCAGGTGCAATTGGCCTCTTGTGTTCTCAGAAAAAAGAAGCAAGTGGCCAATTAAACTGGGAATGAGCCCATTGAATGGTCAATTTTTGGCAGGCATTAACTTGCAGATGTAAAAAATTGGCTCTAACCTACTCAGAAAACCATGACATGCACAAAGAAGTAAACAGGAGAGGACACCTTGAAATTGGTTTGGTCTCTTATAACTAGCAAGAGAGAAAATAAAATGAACAGTTTTCTCACTCACAGATGTCTTTGCATAAAACTATGGTTTTCAGAACAATTTTATTTTAATGTTATTGATAAGTGTGACCACCTCTTCTGGTTATGTATATGATTTACGAATAAAATCACAAACAGTGAGGGGGAAAAAAAACAGGGAAATAAACTAATGCTTAGTCTCCTCAGTACCAAAGAATCCATTTGATAGTGTTAGAAGTTTGGTAAGTTGGAGTCATAGCTCATTATGCCTTTTGACAGAATACAACTTTAACCCCTTCCCTCCTTAGTGACAATAATATTCAAACACTTTTCTTGCTATCAGCAGTAATTGAATATCTATTCCAATAAAAGGGTGTGTGTGTATGTATGTGTGTACATGTATGTATGTGTTTGGGAATTTGGATGAGGCAGATAGTCATATTCAAATGTGGAGTATAACTAGACCAAAAAATCTTACTTCCTGACATATTTTAAACAATGCCCTCATTTTTTTCCAACACCTGAGTCCAAGAACGCTCTAAAAGGCTATCTTCAGTGTTATACATTGAGATCCTGTAAAGCCTTATTTGGAACTTCTAAAGAATTAAGGATCAACCAAACATGATGAAGAGGCAAAGATACAAGTATCAGACACAGCAATTAGGAAAGAATCCTGGGATCTATTAGCTTAAGCTTGTAAGTGAGCAAGTTTATACGCACACAGTGAATAAAGATAGCTGTCTTTCAGTGTGGCTTAATACTTGTAGTTACTGGTGGCATTCAGCAAAGAGCACACATCCTTTTCAATTCTTTCAGTAAAGAGATCTGTTAATCAGAAATCCTGCCTTTCACCTTTAACCTTGACCCTAATTCTATGAATGTTTGCAAGTCACATCACTTCTTTGTCTCAACTTCCTCATTTATAAAATTAAGGTGTCAAACTCAATGATTTAAAAAATCTCATCCACCTGTTACATTCAGTGATTCTACACTTAGCAAAAAGAAGCATATGTGTCTTCCATATTACCTAAATGAACTCGGGTATTCAAGAAATTTATAGAATAGTTTTTATTTAAAATAAACTCCAGCATAATTTTTAATTAAATTTAAAATGCACATATTGGCTAAACCAGTGTTTTATTGAATCAGAAAATTATTTAATTACTCATTCATTACTTGATGTCATTGTAGAACACCCCTGCCAGTGAATGCAAATAGTAAGTTATAGACTTCCATTGATCCATAATGCATACCCTCTAAAGGCAATCTGTTCCTTCCTCAGACTATTTGGACTCAACATTTTTCTTATATTTAGCTGAAGCTTAGCTCCCTATGGCTTCTACTCATTTCTCCTGGCTCTAATGCTTTGGAAGGCTATACATAATGTGTTTAATCCCTCTTCTCCATGACAACTCTTAAAGTATTTGAAGATAGCAATCATATCTTCTCTAATCTATCTGCAGTTCTCTCAATGACTCTGAATATGAGAGTTACATGTTCCCTTATCCTTATCCTCTGAATGTGTTTCTATCCCACTTAACACGAGGGTCCAAGCACAAAAACTAGACAGTTTGATAAGTGCCAAGGAAAGCAGTTCTTTCTGTCCTTATTGTGGGCAAATTATTAGTAAAAGTTGAAGAGTAATTACCTTACATTATTTGCTCATATCAGGTTTATAATGTACCAAATTAAAATCTTCTTCAGTGTCTCCTGGTTACACCCATTTTTTTCTGCTTATATTTGTACAATTGGTTAAAAACGGAAGAAAAAAGATGTATAAACAAAGTAAAGAGGTTCTTCTTGTGTAAATACTCGCCATAGCTTATAATCGCTTGTCCCTACAAAAGAGCTTTGGAGAGACAGTTCACTGAAGCATATTGGCCTAACTGTGATGCAAAGAAACTCTATTTGTTCTCTGATTCTTGCTAAGTGATATCTGGGGCTATTTAAAAATGAAAATGTTTTAATTTCATCTTGGAGGTTTGGTATTCTGTTTGGTTTTTCTTTTTTCTTTTTTTTAAACTGAAAAAACTAAGAATTCTTCAGGGTATACTTTCAACAGATACCACTTTCTCTTTTAACTCTCTACACGTGTTGTAAAAGAATAAGCAGAGTAGAAACAAATGCCCAGTTTTAGCTGTGTGTCACACAGGCCTGAAGCTTTCATGGGAGATAATGGCACATTACACAATAACAAATACGAAAGCTTTCCACATTTCAGTCACTGGGAACAAAAAGCAGTAGCATTGTCTCTTTGAAATGTCTAAAACATGACAATCTTAGTAGTTAATGAAACATAAATACTTTTTCTTGTCCAAAAGTACACTCAGAAAGCTAGTGCTGATAATGAGACTTTCTACAGTGCAATCCCTGGGCTTTTGATGTGGTAGAGTGGTTATACATCTATAACATGAAGAAAGGATGCATTACTTTGTCAACAATTTACCACAAAATAAAAAGCAGTGTACAAACAACACAAACTTAGTGTTCATCAAATTATCTTGTATAGTCATGAATGTTTTCAAAATCAAAATGTTTATTTCCCCCAAAAGTCTTAATGTTTATTTTGAAAGAAAGTCACACAACTTTTGAATTTGACATTTAGGGCAGGCAAGTCAAATTTTTAAAATTTAAATGAGAAGCATTAGATATTTGAGATAAATGATGATCAAAAGGAAGCAACCAAAATGAAGTTTATTTTGTACAATCTGCAAACTGAGTTATATGATAGCAAGAAAAGCAGACTCGGAGTAGTTGCTTTTCTCTACTATGTCTACCAGTGGTTTGTTTAATTTACATACATCACCTTAATGGTAACAATAATCCTGGTCATAACTGCTCTCCAAACACACTGTTTTCCAGTCCCTGACTTTTGACAAAGCCCACACTAAACTTTCATTAGCAACAAGAGTTTTCTATAATCTTGGCAAGACTTATAATCCTTGTCCTTCAGAGAATTGTGAAAATCTCTTCTACAGATTGTCTTTTCTCCCACTCCGCTTCAGTGCAAGAGGAGAGCTTACATCAACGTGTTAAACCTAAACCCCTTGAGTTGAGTCTGACCATATCTCAACTCTGAAGATCCTTTAGTGTCACCACAAAGGTCAGCATTTTGTAACATTATTCATTTCTCTTATTTAAATTCTCTTCTTTCTCCAGCAGTGTGATGGAGGCAGCAAAATGTGTGGAACCGTCATTATGAAGAAGGCAATGCTCTCCTGCACCAGGGAGCTCTTCACCCCACAACTACAGAGCTCCTGTCTTCCAAGGTTCCCGAACTGTTCTGGGAAGTGCTCCTAATCACCTGAGGTTTACATACAAACAACCCCAGGACATTTCATTTAGCTACCAATGTCATGATTACCAAAAATTAATTAACAATATGGTGGTCGTCATCACATCTGAGTCACCAAATCAAAATTCAGGACACATTTCCATGCAAAGTGCAGCCTTCTTCTTACGTTTCATAATTGTCATTTCAAATGAGATCTTGGTTGGAAACAATTGCTTAACTGTTTCAAGGTATACTGGGTTATCACTAACTCATTTCTGTAAAGCAGAATACAAGACCTCAACCTGTTAGAGATCCTTTGTTGATTAACAAGCTGATTAATAAGCTGATTGTTCTCCTGATTTAAGGCCTATACCAAAATTCTTGAAGCTCAATTTGCACCACAGAGTACGCCAATATGTTTGAGTGAACTGGCTCTGGCTCTCCGAAGCTGTTTTGTAAAGACAAGAGACTATAAGCCATGGTGAGTAGTTATACATGAAGAACCTCAATTAATGCCTTACATATGGCATGAGGAGACTAGAAATTTTCTTGTTAATGGGGCAGGGGTATAATAATAAATATCTTGGCAAATGAGAAGGGTCAAACTGTTTATGGTTAAGAACACAAATTTTGAGCCAAAATACATGGATTTGAATCCCTGCTATACCCCATTATTAGCTATGTGACTTCAGGCAAGTTATTTAAGGTTGCTGTGCCACATTTCCATCCACCTGTAAAATGGGGATAATATTTATAGAAGTTAAAAACTAGCTAGCACTTGTTAAAGTGTTATCTAACACATTTATGAAGAAATCAGCAGAAAGATAAAGTAGCTGGAAAGGAAGATTTAAGTCGAATTGCAAATTGCATGTAGTGTTCACTAGGTTAACTTTCAACAGAGCTATAAAACCATATCACCTTTAGAGTTAATATATCTCCATGGCTATCAAATTATAAAAACTCTTTAATTTCTGCACGTCAATCTCTTGACCTCAAAGGACCATAAACCATCCACACACTTTTCAGTTGTTGATTGTTAGCCAAGCAAAGTTACATTCTCAGCATGTGTCAGATGATGCTCAAATGGGCTTATTGGAAAATGACCTAGCATGACATTTTAAAAATCAAGCAATAATCATTTATCTCATCTCTAAATTTAGGATAAATATTTTTAGTAGCCTTGCCATGATTTTCATGCCAATTTATATTTGTAAAGCACTTTGAAAAGTGTCTGGCACAAGGTTAAGTAAAATACTCAGTAATTAGGCAGTAGTAAAAAGATATGGCCTATAGAATCTGTACTATTTTAAAAGAGCTTACGTCATTTGTCTGAAATAATTTTTAAGGATGCCACAGGAATGGTTTGGTTGTAGACCCCACTCCATAAATCAAGTTTCCCTGAGGGAAAAAATTAAGCAACAGAATAGAAGACAGAAATAGAGAAAAGAACTACTCAAAACGAATTTGAATGCCGTAATAGGATAATCATTTATATTTGGAGACAAAAATGCTAAGAGTTATATTAGAATATTCCAGAGAGACAGAACCAGTAGGATAGATGATAGAGAGATAGACAGATAGATAGATAGATAGATAGATAGATAGATAGATAGATAGATAGACAGACAGACAGACAGATAGATGATGCATAGATAGATAAATGATAGATGACGGATGGATGGGTAGGTAGATAGACAGACAGACAGATGAGAGGGGATTTATCTGGGGAGTTGACTCATGTGATTGATTATGGAGGCTGAGAACCCCACAATAGGACATCTGTAAGCTGGAGACTTGGGATGCTGGTTGCATGGCTCAGTCTAAGTTCAAAAGCATCAGAACCAGGGAAGCCAATGACATAACTCTCAATCTGAGGCTAAAGGCCCAAAAACCCAAGGAGATACTGGTATAAGTATCAGAGTCCAAAAGCCAGAGAACCTTGTGTGCTGATGTCCAAGAACAGGAGAGGAAGGGTGCTGTAGCTCCAGGAGAGAGAGAGTAAATTTTCTTAGGTGGTGCAAAAGTAATTGTGGTTCTTGCCATTGAAATTAATAGCAAAAACTGCAATTACTTTTGCACCAACCTAATGCTTTCCTCTTGCTTTTTGTTCTATCCAGGTTCCCAGTCAATTGTCCACCTACACTGAGGTCAGATCTTCCCCATTCAGTCTACCGACTCACACATCAATCTTCTCTGGAAAACATCCTCACAGAAACATCCAGAAACAATACTTTACCAGTTGTCTAGGTATACCTTAATCCAGTCAAGCTGACATCTCAAATTAGCCACCACAAATACATTTTTTTTCCAAAATATCTAGGCACTACTAGATAAGCATATTTTTAAAATGTTTTCTTCCCACTGTGTAAACTTAGAAAATAATAGAGAGATTTACAAAGCTATGCTATATTCACGATCCATTAAAATAATATATATTTTATGAGAGAGACTTTTGCTGCTACCAACATTCCAAAACCCTCTTTACCTCAAACAATGTTAAAGATGGTATTTGTTTAATATTGGAAAAGGATTATGCCACAACCACTTAATCAAAATCTTGTTTAGTGTCAGTATCTATTCAATTTTGCATGTCCCAGCTTGATGGAAACTAACTACCTCACAGCACTCCATAAATATTTATATCGTAATCCATTATTGATATCTTACAAACATTTTACTATAGCTTGCTAATGGCTGCAACATGACAGTTCTGGATGGAACTGAACAATTATTTTAATTTTATTTCCATAGGAGATGCTTTGCACATGTAAAAACAAAAATGCCAGTTTAATTGGGGTACTTACTACCAACACAAAACAAAAGCATAGTATCTAAAATCAAGTCCTGAAAATGAATGAAAAAATGTTTTCAAGAATTTTTTAACACGAAAATTACAATTCCCTATTATGTTAAAATCTCTCACACTTGTATTACAACCTATCATACTCAGATAATTTATTTAAATCTCAAAGTATCACTATAATATAGGAAATATTTCAATGTTCCCACTTTCCAAATGAAGAAAATGAGCAGTACAGAAAACTTTAATGACTTACGCAAAGGCACACAGCTATCTGGGACTAAAATAAGAGCTTTTGCCTCTTATGCTCATGACACCAATAACTTAGCCTCTTGCCACAAGTGTATCCTCCTTTATATATATTTCTTACCTTACACATATGCTAAAAGCTTCACCTGTATGACATATATAAAATTATTCTTGTACACCTCCTAAATGAAGGTATACAAGCCATCCTAATATGTACCTAGTGTGTGAGTTTATTTCAGTCTTTACTCATCTGTTTTCTGTTTTAGACTGTCAGTTCACTGAACCAGAGTTAGTATTTTTGAAAAGCAGGATAGGTAGTTTTCAGCATCAGATGGATAAAGATGAGGTCAAGTCAAAAAGAGCAGCATGTGTGCAGAACGTGAGAGCAACAGAGGAAACAGACCTGTAGGTGTTCAGATTCTAAATCTGCCATTTACTCGTCGTGTGATAGTCAATAACTTATTTTCCTGAAGCATCAGTATTAAATGAGGTAATGTAATATAAGTGCTTAGCACAAGCATAACACAGAGTAAATTTTCAGTTAATTAAATGATAATTGATGCTTTTACACACAAAAAAAACCACTTATTGTATTTAGAGTTTATAACAAAGAGAGCTATTTATTATCTGTTCAAGGAAAGAAGATTTATGTATTATTATTCCTATTAAAGATTATACCATCTCATGTATTGTGAAAGCTGACCAGTAGTGGTGAAAAGTCTTCCCATATGTATAATCCTTTATAAAACATATTTATTTCCATTTTTCATTTGAGCCACTGAAAAGTTCTGTGAATTTAGTTTATTTTTTATCATCATCATCATCATCATTTCCATACTTAAATTGAGCAGACTGAGTTTAGAAGAGGTAAAGTAATAGGCTCAAATTCTTTCACCCAATCTCTACACCAAATCAGTTGCCAGCATGTTTCTCATTTTCTGAATTTTTGATAGTGCTGGATGTAAAACCTGACATGAGTTGTATAGCAACAAATAACCACAATAAAATCATCAGCCAGGTTTCTTTTAAGCTCCCACAATCCCATCATGTTCATTAATTTTTAACATAATTCACTTTAAACAGAATTTTCTAATGGGTAAGAAAGAGTTAGGAGGGTATTCACCAAGACATCTTTTGTCAGCCTATGGCAAACCAGTTTAATTTATTCTTTGGTCAACCTCAGTGCCACGTTTTCAGTTATTTTTTAAGACTACCACAACGGACTTGTAGACATGTGTTTGAAAAAATGTGATTCTCAATTCACAATAGCATAATGAAGAGGTAATAGTACTGAAAAGAAATCAGAAGCATTCCCTTTAGCCAGTTATCAAGATGCAATATAGAAATATGATTATGGGCCGGGCGCGGTGGCTCACGCCTGTAATCCCAGCACTTTGGGAGGCCGAGGCGGGCGGATCACGAGGTCAGGAGATCGAGACCATCCTGGCTAACACGGTGAAACCCCGTCTCTACTAAAAATACAAAAAATTAGCCGGGCGTGGTGGCGGGCGCCTGTAGTCCCAGCTACTCGGGAGGCTGAGGCAGGTGAATGGCGTGAACCCGGGAGGCGGAGCTTGCAGTGAGCCGAGATCGCGCCACTGCACTCCAGCCTGGGCGACAGAGCAAGACTCCGTCTCAAAAAAAAAAAAAAAAAAAAAAGAAATATGATTATGTAGAACCATAAACGTGCTCTACTGCATTCATCCTCACTTAGTTGATATCTATTCAGTCAGACTTCCTCACACCATTTAAGGCTTTAATGGAGTGTATGGTTATATGTGACTTCTCTACGGATTCTTAATCTGTAGCAATCATCTGCTAAGATCTCCAAATCCTCACAAGCCTAGTTTTTGTTTTCCCTTAAGTATGCAGCCAGTATCACATATTTTAAAAGGCCATAAAATCAACCTCATTCTTTGCTTCTTTTAGAGAAATGTGACACTCGAAATTCTCTGCTTCTCTCCTTTGCCTCTATTGTACATTCATGGCTTTTTGAAACCTAACCCTTTCAATTTACAGATGAGGAAATTGAGGCCCAGAGAAGTGGTATGAGTACAAACCAAATATAACTGGTATGTAGCAGAGACAGAATATTGACCCAAGTCTACTGTTTCCAAGAGCCATGTGTTCTCTGCTGCTACATGATCAGAAATTAAAGGAATGAGAACTAAAAAACTTTCACTACTGGGGCTATTGAATGCTGTATTAGAACTCAGAAAGTTTTGGTCTTGGGCATAATCGAAGTATCTTGCTTAATTATTCCTTTTTCAGTAAGCTCTAGCCTCTCTTTGCCATATCTAAATCCACCAGAGATCAAGAAAGACAAGGAGAAAGTTACAAGGAAAAGAGAAAGAAAAACGGGAAAAATAATTTAAGAAACCCTATGTATGTTTATGTCTTGTCCAATAACAGGTGAATGATTTAGCAAAGCAAAACAATAAAGTGACAGCTATGAAGAAAGTGCAGATATTCTTTGGAAAACACATTTTTCTGATAAACATAGAAATGGTCAAAAGCAGTAATCTAAACAGCATGGACATAAGTGTTCTCACTGTGTGTGTGGGATTTTGTGTGTGTGGATGGATGGTTGGATAGATAGATATATGCATGCATACATATATATATGCATATGTACATATATATATGCATATGTACATATATATGCATATGTACATATATACCTGCACAGATATAGCTGACCAGAAGTAAATGAAACAAGCCAAAACAAAATGAAGATATAATAATTAGAGGTGAACTTATTCAATTTTAAAATGTTGTATGTTATTACTATAATATATACTAAATAAAATTAACACTTCTTCAAAAATAGTTCTTAAATCTTTTTGGGGGTAGGGGGTGAGTCTACATAAGGAGATTTATTGATGGTTCAGATAATTATCTATAAATAACATTATTTTTGTGTGCTTATAGTTATCAAAAGCCTGAGGAAGAGTGAAAAGAACAAAGCAAAATAAGTTTTAACCTTTGTTAAAATATAATTTATGACAAGAATAGCCTAACTCCATATATTTTTTAAAAGAAAAAATTACATCACCAGAAAATAAGAAACGTCATGCAGTGATTACTGATGGATTATGAATAAAAGGGCTTAAATTTTCAAAAGCAGAATTTAATCACCAGGAGGAAAAGAATACTTGTATAACATAAGGAAATTTGCAGTGCTGATGAAATGCTTACCATTTTGAAATGTTGAGTGCTTTGACCTGGGGTGATATAGAAAGCAGTTTATCACATTTGCATAGTAAATAATTAAAAACAAAGGTAAACAATTATTTTGTATATTTTGGCAGATGCTTTGAAATCACTGTTCAAACCTCCAATATTTTTCTACACATGGAAAGAATGACTCATAGGAGGCTCTATCAAAAGATATTTTTTGATTACCAAGGAGAATTACCAAAGATAAAGTCATTCCTGCCATTCAGTGGCTCTGGAAACCACACACCACTCATTTCTTTTTCCGTACCTAATATGCAATCTCCAGTCATTTTTATCCATCTAAATGTTATTCTTCCTCAAGATTCAACTCAAGTTCCACCTCTCTGATTATGCACAAGCAAACATGCACACACAACACACACACAGGTCTTTTATCTAAACTTTGTTGCTTTTTTTGTCTTTATGCATATTGAATATTTCCATGCGCTGTTAGTTATGCTTAGAAGTGCGTAGGTCTAACTATAGCATACTGGAGCCTCTTTATTAGGTCTGGACAGTATCTTATGTCTTTGTATTTCCCCAGTCCCTTGTACAAAGTAGGTGCTTTGTCTACATGAGAAGGAAATAAAGATGATAAGAGTCTTGGAATTTAAACTGAGATCTGAATATTTAAAATTGAGAGAGGCATTTAAACTCTTTGCACATCAAAACAGAATTTTCATGCTGGTTTGCTAGCCAATGTAGCCCATGTCGTTGTTCTGAAGATAAATTAGGAAACGTCTATGAACTGATTTTTCAAAACTATAAAAAATAGATCTTTTATAGAAGCAGAGTCTTAATCCTCTAGAGAAAATAACTCAGGCTACAGAGACAAACAGACATGGATTTTCTCAGGGCTTCTGCCACTTAGTAGCAGGATCCACTCACAACCCCATCATAATCTATAACATTGTAATAATAATACATATCTAGTGGGATGCTGTGAGGATTAGTAGCTCACAGAGTCTGGAAAGCTATCAGTAAATGGCAGATTTATCATTATCCTTGAGATATAAGGTATTATAATAATTATTATTATAGATGCCAATATCCAAAAAGAGATATGCTGCAGAACACTGCAAATGCAATCTAAAACATCACCAGAAGTTTGTGGATTACAAGCCTTCATGCCATATTTGTTCTCTTTAAATTGAAATACAAGCATAAATGGTCAATTCAATTAACACTCAGTAATTGGGCAACAATTGATAAAAAGAAATAAACTCTGGTTTTATGTTGCTTTTAATCTACATGTATGTGCTTAACCCTTCTATACATCAAAAACGTGTAGGATTTTATAAAATGCTGAATCCCAAGCCCCATAACAGATATACCAATTATCCACCTACCAATCATCAAAATTGGTGGGAACTCAGAAAGTTCTGGCTATTTCTAAGTTTAATAATATCTGAAAAGGGTATCTTTAAAGGTTTAATCATTCTAAATTTAAAGGTAAGGCAAGATCCCCATATTACAATGAGGATCTATAAGGAAATACGTAACATTGTTTTGGACATTGTAGAGGTTAAAGAAGTTGTATTATAATAACAAACTTTTAAAACTTTTACATTGTGTCATTATTAATAGTATTCTTATTATTACTATTATCGTTGTTATTATAAGTATGTGTGCATATGGGTGCCTTTCAAAGCATCAAAAAATAAATCTTTTCATTTGTTACTTCACTCAGTAGCCTCTTAACTTCACCATCAACCAACTAAGCATTTGAGACACAAGGCAATTATTCATGAGAATTCTAGAAACATTTAGCCAAGTTATTTAATCTCAAAATAAGAGAAAATGTGGCACCTGTTTTATCTAAAGCAAAATGGGGCACAATCTGGAAGGTTGATCTGGGTACCTCATTCTTGAGGCTTTAAAAGACCTTAAATGAATGATGTATGTCAAATATGTAAGGTGAATCAAGTGGTCAATGATATAATGGTAATAGGTATAAACTTTAAACTGACTCTAAAACCTTGTGATTAAGAGATTCATGTTTATTTTAATAATATATTCATCTAATAGTATATCAAATATATTTAATCTATTTAATAAGTAATATACATCAATATATTTAACATATATATTAAACACATCTAATAATGTATTTATCAAATAATACATTCTATCCAAATGTCATGTACAACATGAAATACATGGAAAATTCAAGATACTTTGTAAAAACTTCATTAACTGAAGTAAAATCTTGACTAAGGCAATGATAAAAAAGAAATTATTGCATATATTCCTCAAATGTTAGCTCGTTTTATGGACATTATAGTACACAATTTAACAGAATATTTTAAGTACTGCTCAATATTCCAAAAATAGACAGCTGCCATATAGGTTTTATTAATCTTGATTTAAGGCACTGAAGGTCAAATTATTTTCCTCTTTCCTTTTGAATGGCCCTGTCTTGGAAGGCTACCTGTTGAGTACTATGCTCACTATGCTCACCTTGGTGACAGGATCTTTTGTATACCAAGCCTCAGTGACATGCAATTTAACCATGTAGCAAACCTGCACATGTACCCCTGAACCCAAAATAAAAGTAGAAAAAAATAAAGAGCCAATAAAATTTATTCTTGTTGTCATAGTCCTACATTATCCAAAATATATACGTTATTCACATAAGAAATTGATGGCTAAATTTTTATATATAGTTGAATTTTCATTTATTCATCTTTTTGATGCATGATGCACACAGTATTATTTTGTTGACTATCTGCATTTTTAGTAATTTGCTTTCTTTAGCATAACTTGGAATTCTGTTATTAAACCTATTGCAAAAAGATGCACTATTTCCGTGTGAAAGGACAAAAATCTCATTCATAATATGACCATGAAAAAATTGTGTCACATAAAATTTGCCACCCACCTATCTCAAAGAGTGATTTTGAAACATAACAAATAAATTATTTAAAGAGATTTTAACACAATGTGCTTCACATATGCTCAATAAAAATGAATAAAATAATGCTGGAATTCCTTCAAATTTGGATTGATATTACATATAACTCATAATGTACACACTCCAAACATTTTTATTTAATAAAGATAATAGGTACTCAAGAAAGTTGATTATTTTAAGACGTAATAAAGTAAATCATTTTATAACTTTCATAACTTTGCCCACTATTAATAGTATAGATAAATACAACTTTGTGAGAATCCAGCACTTTAAAGACAAAAAGAGAGAAAGGAGGACAAAATACTATATTTTGCACTAATGTGCAATCTTCCTTAATTTCTTATTCTCATGATCATGATTATTTCTAGACTAAAGGATCTTTATGGATAGGACATCTCCTACCCTTCCAAAAAACCATGAACAGAGGCAGCTGCTTACCTTCATATGACAGAGGAAGAGACATTTGGGCTTGGTGCCTCTCTTATAACTTTGGGTCAAGCAGCTGTAGGTAGCACTTTCAGAAATAGTTAAATTTGACCTGTGCTAAATTCCACTGCTGCAATCCAGGCTCTTTGCTTGAGTTAGTGGCAGAAATGTTTAGGAAATGCTTCTGTATTTTAGCTCTAGAATGAGTGAAAGAAAGAACACTGGAATAAAAATTGTTATATCATCCTTTGTTCTTACAGCTCATCTTCAATCAGCTTTGAAACTCTATCAATCCCACACCTGAAATTGCTCTCAAATTCTTCCCCCTCATTTACTATCTAATTATCTCAGACCTGAAATGTTGAAAAAGACTTCTAAAAATCTAAAATTTCCCAACCATTGTGCCTTCTTCAAGGAGCCTTGCACATTACTTCAAAGAATTATCAGGCATCAGGGTCAGTGCCCATTCTGCAGGGCAAAGGGGGTGGCAACACTCCCAGAGAGGCAGGCAAGTTTAGAAGATCACCCTTCGAAATGCAAAGGAAGGGAAATAAAAAGATAGCAGATGGCTTTAATAGTAACTCCCCCTAATAAATATTTATTTAAATATTTTGCATATTAAAACATTATTTTCCAATTGTCCATCAAAATAAAAGTTATATTTTTAGAATAAAATAACTAGAATAGATTGATTTAAAGCATGCCCAACAGAAAAGTAATCAATTCTGTTACTTCTTTTCTTAAAACCTGACTGAAAACATATTTGTATTTTTAGTTCATAGTCCTTTCCTCTATCCCCAACCTACATATCCATCTGCCAGCTTGACATCTATACTTGAACATCTCTCAAGCATCCCAAATTTAACATGAACAAATGTAAACTTTTTAAATTACCCCCTTAAACATTCTCCAAAAATTGGCTTATCTACATTTTAGTATATGCCTCCTCTATCTTTCTACCTGAATTATCTTTAATAGTTTTATCTCCCAAACGGCACTCATCCAAGTCCTCTTGGATTTCCCCAAAATATCTAGATTCAGACCACTTTTCTGCATCACTTCTGTCACAATTTCTGCATCACTGATGGACAAGACACAACCAGTTCTAAACTGAACTCTTGTAGCAACCTCATTACTATCTCTCTGTTTCCATTCTTGCCCCCCTTAAAATACTCTGCATTGTAGAGCAGAATAAAGTTTTGTGTTTTTTTGTTTGTTTGTTTTTTGAAATGGATTCTTGCTCTCTTGCCCAGGCTGGAGATCTCGGCTCACTGCAACCTCCACCTCCTGGGTTCAAGTGATTCTCTTGTCTTAGCCTCCAGGGTAGCTAGGATTACAGGCACACCACCACATCTGGCTAATTTTTGTATGTTTTTTGAGGAGAGATGGGGTTTCACCATGTTGGCCAGGCTGGTCTGGAACTCCTGACCTCAGGTGATCTGCCCACCTTGGCCTCCCAAAGCACTGGGATTGCAGGCATGAGCCACTGCACCTGGCCCAGAATAAAGTTTTTAAAGAATAAATTGGATCATATCCCTCACTTGCTCAAACTCATCCTCTTTGTACTGAGAATGAACTAAAAGTTCTTAAAGCAGTCTCCAAGCTCCTGCCTCATCTGATTGCTCTCTTTCTCTCCAGTCTCCTGTCATGGCTAGGATTTCAGATAAACAATATGTACCATACTTATTTCCAAAAAAAATCCATTGTTTATCTGAAGTTCAAATTTAACTGAATGCCTATAGTTTACCTGACAATCTTCATTATGACACTTTCTGATCTACTCATGACATATCAGCCACAATAGCCATTTTAAAATGTCCATCTGAACTACATCCTTTCTTGCTGTGATGCCTACTATTTCTATGAGCAGAAATGCTCCTCCACCCAAGTTTTACCTGACAAGCTACAACTCTTTTTTCCAGATTCATCTTAAATTCTACATTGTAAGGGAGGCATCTCATATGCCAATCCAAGTAAAATTGTATCATTAAATTCTCATAACACCTTATTTCCTTATTTTGTTTTCTGATTTCCCCATCATAGTTTATATTGGCCTATGTATTTGGTTTACCACTATATGCCCAGTGCTAGCAGAAAGCCAGGAAAATAGTAGAGCTTCAATATGTGTCTATAAAAGGCAGAAAAAAGAAAGGAAGGGAGAGAGTAAGTCTATGTAAAGCTTCCCTTTATTCTAAGTCTGTGCTGCTTATGCAACCTTCAGTTCTGTAGTTCAACTTCCTGAACACATTTATGCTCTTTGGACCAATGCACCTAATCTTAAACCATAACACAATGTTCAGTCATTCTTACAGATCTGCTCATCATTGTAAATGAAGAAATGGGACATTGACTTGTGGATTCAGTTTTTATCACTAGATTTTATAGGATTTGATCATTTTGTTATAAAGTCCAGCCTGATTCCCAGTCACTTCCATTTTCCCCTCATCAGCATGCCAGGAAAACAGAGGCAAGTTCTTCCTGGTCTCTGCTTTCCTACTCTCATCCTAATTCAACCCAAAAGAAATGTAATCAGCTATAACACCATACATAAGGATTTACTTTCTTTCACTATCAACTTTAATAATTTAATCACTAGTTTGATGTTATTCCAGAGAATTATATTAGTCAGTATAGCACAGTAAAAGCATATTTGTTTTAGAATTTGGAGCCAATATTTCTGCTGTAGTCATAGCAGCTTACTAAACTTGGAAAAAAATTCTGCAACCCTTTCAATGTCAGTTTTCTTAACTATAAAATTAGGATACACTATCTACTTCATGAGACTATTATGTTGATTACATGAAATTGCCTTCTGCTTAAAACTATAAATCCAAAATCCAAAATCCTAGACTTTGTAGGATCTTGGTACTACTGAACTCATTGGCCTCATTGAATGCTGCCCTTTTCTTCCTCCATATAAAGGGCCATACATTCAAATAACTGCAATAGACAGACAGAAAATGCAAAGAATATGTCTGACAGTATGTAAAGGAAAATAGGAAGTGGTGGCAATATTGGTGGACTAGACAATATAGTCCCTGTCTGAAGAAATCAACTCTTACTCAGCCCAGGCAATCATTGCCGGGTAAGAACATAGGCCCAGTACTTTCAGCTTCTTCTTTTTTTTTTTTTTTTTGAGACAGGGTCTCACTGTGTTAACCTGCGTTTGAGTGCAGTGGTGTGATAAAGGCTCACTACAAGCCATCCTCCCGCCTCAGCCTCCTGAGTAGCTGCGACAACAGGCATGCACCACCATGCCTGGCTAGTTTTGGTCTGTTTGTTGGTGTTGTTGGTGTTGTTTTGTTTTGTATCACTATCTCACTATGTTATCCAGGCTGATCTCAATCTCCTGGGCTCAACTGATCCTCCTGCCTTGGCCTCCCAAAGTGCTGGGATTATAGGCATGAGCTACCATACACTGGCCCATGTGATTTTTTAACAGAGCCCAGAACTCAAAATGTTTTTATAAAAATTTTTAATTTTAAAATATTAGGTACTAACTAAAATAATTTTAGAACTCAGTGCAGAGTCACCGATCAAGTTAGTCAGTGAAGGCATGACTTGATATGCCTTTTCCGTATACATACATGGCAAGAACGTAAATGATAACTAGAATATTTAGAAGGGAAAATATATAGTTAGGATAAAGAAAAAAGAAATATTAAATATCTCCAAAGAATGTAAATGTAACACAAAAATCAAGGAGGTAAAATTATTTTCTCCATGATGAAGACTTGCCTTTAATCATTCTCTAGTATTTCATTCTGTGGCTTCCAAAATAAAACACACTTTTAGAGAAGCAGTTATATATACCAGTCTCAGGCACTAACTCCCTCTAACATCCCCAGAATTTGGTCTATCATTTCAAGGAAGTTGACTCAACCATTTCTTTGCACTTGAGGGCACAGAGTGTAGAGGCAGGCCTATCATGAGGGAGGAACCCCAAGCTCTCTCCATCCCCTTCTTAGAGGTTTAGGAGTAAGGAGTCTAATGTTAGCAGAATTAACAACAACAAATCCAAATTCCTAAGCTCTGTGAAAAACAAAATAGGATTCTGGGGAAACTTTGTTTTTGTTGTTATTCCTTTGCTATCTTGTTCATTTTATATCCAGGTTTAGGACTAGACTGACCCCCTAAATTCCAGGGCTTTCTTTTAGAAAAGAAGTATTAAGGTTGTTAGAAAACAAATCTTGTGCTAACTTCACTATCACTGGTACAGAGCTTCCTGCAGCCAAACAAAAATCTTTCCAAATTTATAGATTTTGGTTAATTTCCCAGAATGACTTTTTAATTTTTTTTTTACTCATACCTCAACATGGAGGGAATATTTAAATCATAGCAGGAAGATTTGACAGGGTAATTTTTTTTTTAACTTAAGGGCAGATAACAGAATCTTATTTTTGAGCAATAAACCCAGCTGGAAGCATTTTAAAAATAAAATTAGCTTTACATATGAAAATGATATTTTCAAGGTCAGGAATTTAAGCATTTCACACCAAAGAAACTTTAGAAAAAGTATGCCTGTAGATACAGAAACACTAACTATAATAAAGTTTATGATGTAGACTAGCCATTTAGTTTATAAATTACATAAAGTTTATGATGTGAACCTAGATCTCCCAAAATAGCACCTTACTACAGAGAGACCATCACTGTGCCAATCTTAGTAGTGCCTCAAAATATGGAAATCAGAGCATACATCCAATGGGCCTGGGATAGGAGATTTTAAGGCAGATATTTCTTTTTTTTTTTTTTTTTTTTTTTGCTGTACAAAAATTTTTTATTTGTATCCTTATTCTACAAGTTTTTTCTATTTTAAAAATTTTTTATTTTTATTTTTTACTTTTTAAAATTTTTTGTTAAAAACTAAGACACAGAACATATCTTGTCCCACTGGGAGGTTTTCAGGGGCAATAACACGCATGTAGCTGTCATCTCCTGGAATAACAATGCCTTCTTCTGAAATACCTCCTGAAGGACCTGCCTGAAGCTGTGTTACAGTCACTTTGTTCTTTTTTCTTTTTTGTATTATTATACTTTAAGTTTTAGGGTACATGTGCACAATGTGCAGGTTTGTTACATATGTATACATGTGCCATGTTGGTGTGCTGCACCCATTAACTGGTCATTTAGCATTAGGTATATCTCCTAATGCTATCCCTCCCCCGTCTCCCCACCCCACAACAGTCCCCGGTGAAGGCAGATATTTCAAGACAGAGAGTGGTTGGAATTGGGCAAAAAAAAAAAGGTATTGAAATGTATATAGCAAAGCTAGAGTCTTAAAACTAGGCTTGACGATCAAAGTGTACGCTTTTTCAGGTTGGTTCACAGTCTTACCGTCTACGAGAAATTATATTCTGGAACAAATACTTAAGGTATTTTTTTTTCCTGTCCCCAGCATTATTTTACACAGAAACTAGAAAGTGTGTTTGTTGCCAGAAATTCTAGCATATAGATACAAATTATGTTTGGCTGCAATTTTCAGTACTTAAAATGTATATGCCTCATTTCTACAAAATGCCTCTAGTAGAAATCTGAACTATTTTTACCGTAAATATCCCCGACCTTTCTACTACTTTAATGAAATGCCTTCTCTGCCTCTAAATAGCAGCTCATCTCCTTATTCAGTGTTCTTCTTTCTGTATCACTTAAGATGTTAAAGGGATTTAAATCTTTAAAAGACTTAAGTTATTGAAAATAAAACATAGCCCTTAATTCTTAGCATACCACTTACTTATGAATCATCCAAATGATTATATACTTAGTCTACCAAAGAGAGTACCAGAAAGAGAAAACTAGTTTATTGCAGTAGAGAATCTTTCTATTATAAATTGTAAGAAGATCAGATTCATGGTGTAGTTAGGCTCTGTCTTTACCCAGTTTAGCAGATTAATTTGGTTTTCTTTCCCATGAATTCAAATTTGTAACTAAAGGGAGCTTGGAGAATACTTACTTCAAACTTTTTCATTTTAAATTAGAAAACAAATAAATATGAGGTAACAGTGTTGTCTGTCCAAGGTTACACAGCTACTCAGTTCTTTTAGATGCCATATTTTAGGAGACTTTAATATCTGAGAGTGCATTTTTCTTACCACATGCTCTCACTCTGCCTCAGTTTTTCTTTCTCTCCCACAGACCTTGGTCTCCAAGGACAGAATGTCTCTGCTTGCTGACACCATATCCTCTTGTGTTCTTACCAGCAACCCCTGATGACACTATGCTTCATATCTCTCCCCACAAGGTCCATCTCCTGAAATCTCATGACTGAACCCCTTTCCAGGCATCCTGCTTTCAGGTAGGCATCCTCCAATTTTAACTGAGCGCTTATACCCCTACTTAAGCTATTGTTTCTTCCTTGGAATTTAGATATTTCATAGCATGGTTGAAGACAAGTGGGAGCATGTGCCAAGTGTCTATCTGCTTGATGGGTTGAAGATGATTCTGGAAAACACTTCTTAAATAGGAAAGTGAAGTAGCAAATATATGAAACCAGCCGAATTGTCCCAAAGAACTGATGTTTATGATTTATTTTTAATAAACATAGCAGTTGATCCTCTCAGTCTTAAAACTTGAGAAAGTGACAGTTTTCTTATCTGAGTTCCTTTCTCAAGAAACCAAGCATCAGGCCTCCCAGAGAGAATTAAAGAACTATACCACTGCATCTGGAAAATGAAGACACCAGACCCCTCACCCATGATGATTCCCTAACCTATCACCTACTCCCTAATTACCAACTCCTCTTCCTTACACCTCCCTAATTCCTATTTTCCTGCATGTAGTTACATTTCTTTCCTGCTATATAAACCCTTGATTTTAGTTGGTGAGGGAGATGGGTTTGAGACTGATTTCCCATCTCTGTGGCTGCAGCACCTGATTAAAGCCTTCTTCCCTGGCAGTACTCATTGTCTCAGTGATTGGTTTTCTGTGCAGCAAGCAGCAGGACTTTGACAAAACCCCTGGCATTTCAGTAACATGTGGACCAACAATAAGCCTGCAGTTATCAAAGAAAAGAGAAAATTATGTTCACACTTAGATTTGCTCTAGCCAGGATCACCATAGGCACATTTGAAACCTACAGAGAAAAAAGCTAAAATAACTGTTTTTAACGATAAATACAATGCTCAGGTACCATGAGACTAAGATGAACATAAAAGCAGAGACATGAAAGACCTTTGCACATTAGTACTGCAACCCACAGTGGCACTGACAATAAGAAGACACTCCTGATAGCTTTGAGAGAGGACACAGAGCATACCACTTGTGCTAGTCCTTGTGTTGAACATCAACGGTAGAAACAGTAGAAAGCATCATTAGCAGCCATCACCAACAGGATCTATGAGAGCAGAGTATTACATTGCATAATATCCAAGAGAACTTGGCTTCCAGACAAACAGAAAAAGCTTACCCGGTTAGATGTTAGGAGCCCTGGAGATTCCATAAGAGCAAGCCAGACTGACACCTAGAACAGTACTATTGATTAGTTTTCCCTGGAGCTCTGGGCCTGAAGAAATATAAGTTACAGTCTGATGTCTTGCTCATTGTTCTGGCTCCAGTCCAAATCAATGTTTTAAAATTTTTACAACTCCTCTATTCAGGCAATTTCTTTGTCCCACCTGTTTTCTATTTTTATTCCATTTACTTCTGATCAATCACAAAGTTAACTTTTATAGAATTAATAATTTTGTTAAATATATTTAAGATACTCTTGACTTATGCATAGAAACTAAAGAGGACATGCAATTATGGTAAATATTGATGAAGAATAGTCATTTATTAAACTATAATTTGTTGATATTCTCTTGCTTCTTCTGAAATATTTGCTCAAGTTCACAGATACTGTGTGTCTGACTCAGTTCTATATTCAAACTCCTGTTTGGGCAGAGAAGTGAGAAAAATGAGATTATTAGACAAAAAATAAATACCTACTCTATTTGTTTCAAGAAATTCTTGAAAACAGATTTGTCTAGACAAAAGTTTGCTCACCTGGACAAAATCTCTCCTATCAGAACAACAGACTGTTCACCTGGGTAAACAGCTTATTTACCACCCAAAAGTTTACAAGTTTGTTAAAAGTTCTAAATATCCACTAGAATTCTTAATTATCTTTGGCACAATTATGCTGTTGTTCTTACAAGAAGCACCTTTGAACAAAAAAGAAGGAACAAAAAATTAAAAATATTTATTGAATGGATTTTACTTTGTGTGAAAAAATTCCCCAAATAAATTCTGATTCCAAAACGATTTCTCAAAAAGAGTCCTTGGCCAACATACATGAAAATGTAAAAAATTCAAGCTTACCTATTTTATATCCCCCAAATCATAACTAGAACATAGCGGCCCTTATCTCACTTATCCTCTTCCCCTTTCTTGTATTTTTCAGTACTCTCTAATCCTATCTCTCTTTATGACCCAATTTATTTCCATTCCAGACAGCCATAAACCCCAAGTTGTAACTGCCTCTTAACTTAAATTCACTTTAAAAGAAAGCATGGCCGGGCACAATGGCTCACACCTGTAATCCCAATATTTTGGGAGGCTGAGGTGTGAGGATCCCTTGAGCCCAGGAGTTTAAGAGGAGCCTGGGTAACATAGTGGAACCACGTCTCCACAAAAAGTAGAAAAAAAAATTATCCAGGCATGGTGGTGCACACCTGTAGTCCCAGCTACTTGGGAGGCTGAAGCAGGAGGATCACTTGAGCTCAAGAGGTCAAGGCTGCAGTGAGCTGTGATGATGCCACCACACTCCAGCCTGGATGAGAGAGTGAGATTCTGACTCAAAAAATAAAATAATAAAATAAAATAAATGAAACACAACATTCTGGCATTAGCACTCATGTTGAGCATCAACATGAGCTGTCATTCATGTGTTATTGCTACTCCTATTACATTTCATAAGTAATAAAATACCTGTAAACTTTATATGTCAGTATCTTTAACTTCACTTTTCCCCCCAGATCTTTGAACAAAGAGCCTCACATTTTCATTTTGCACTGGATCTTCAAATTAGGTACCCAGTCCCTATGCTGTAATTCCAAGCATAGCAGAAAAATGAAGCAATGTCAAAAAATGTATGTAATTCCTCTGCTGCAATTTTCATAAAATTATATGGGAAGTAAATCAAAATCGACCTCTTTAGATATAATACTAGTTTTTCAAACAGGAATGTGTGCAATCTTGGGAGAATAGTTCTGTACTTATATCCCTAAAGTCTTCTATGGTATCTTAACTGTTATGAAAAAATATCTGACCAAAAAATAGGGAGAGGATGTGATAAAATTAGGTAATTTGATTTATATTTCCTGTGGTGGTTGATTTTATATGTCAATTAAGTAGGCTACAGGGTACCCAGTTATTTGCCAGCCATTATTCTGAGTGTTTCTGTGAAGATATTTTTGGATGAGATTATTAAATCTGGCAGACTGAGTAAAGCATATTGTCCTTCTTTATGTGGGTGGGCCTCCTTCAAGCAATTGAAGGTCGGAATAGAACAAAAAGGCAGACCCTGCCCCACATAAGAGGGAATTCCTCTTTCCTGACTGCCTTCAAACTGGGGACATCAGCTTTTGTTTTTGACTTCAGACTCAAACTGAAACATTGGCTCTTCCTGGATTTTGAGTCTGCTAGCCTTTAGCTGGAACTACATCAGGAGCTCTCCCAGTTCTCAGGCCTTCAAACTTGGACTGGAGCTACGTCATCTGTTCTCTTGGGTCTCCAGCTTGCAGACACACCCTGTGGATTTGGGGACTTGTCATCTTCCCTAATTGCATGAGCCAGTTTTTGATAATAAATCTCTTTATATAATGTATCCAACCTATTGGTTCTGTTTCTTTGGAGAACATTGATTAATATACTTACATAGCTATTTCTGTGAACTCTTCATATTGGGGACCAATTTTGGTCTCTTGACTTAATGTAGACACTTTTGGCTTCTGGATTAGAAGGTGACTACAAACGCTAATAATAAACATTATGTATTTGTGTGTATGTAGTCCTCATTGGTGATTTCTGGAAGTTTAAATGCCATTGTCCCACTGCTGATCCATTAAATGATTCTAAAAATAGTCACCCAACAAAAAGAACAGGAAAATGCGATGCTTATTTTAGAGACTGCAATCATACCTGCTGGAAAGTTGGTACATGATCACAATGCCTTAACCAATGAGGTATTAATAGATCTCTTCTTTAACTCAAGCTTATGAATGTTCCTGTGAAGCAGGGGACTGAGACCACCTACATCCACTTAGAGTAACAGGACAGAGAAGTGAGGCTGCCAGTGTCACCTATGACTTAACTATTTTTTCTATCACATTCTGGCCTAGGAATATAAGCCTGGTGACCAATAAATCATACACCTGATTTAGAAAATTCCTGTAACACATTTTGTCTGAAAAAAAATCGTTTTCTTATCTGGGCAAACAGCTCTTCTTTCAAGACAATGTATCGTTCACCTGGCAAACAGTTTGCATGTCAAACAACGATTTATCAAGACTCACTTTATTTTGAGGTTTATTTAACCTCACTTTATTTACCAACTTTAAATTATTATGCCATAAAACTTGCTTATTCCTGATCAATTTTCCACCTAGAATGACCCTAACTTAATAAATATCAGACCCCATAACTTAATAAATATTTTTTGTAGGCATTCCTCTTTACGGCACTACTAAGACTCTGTTGGGGGGGCAAACATCTCTCATTGCAGTACAACTCATACTTAGCTTTGCCTAACCAGCTGATTTTTTGGTGATCTTTTGAAAAGTTGGCAAACAACAGGCACATGTATCCCTGTTAACCAAGTTACATTTGCCAATATAGCAAGATAAGAAAAAAGAGGAGAAAAGAGCAATAATTAACTATTGTAGCTAGAAACTACTCTACTAAAGGATAAAATGAAAAAGCTTCTCCATCATCCTAAATTTACTGTTGTATAAAGATGACTACCATTTAACCATACAACCCCAACTTTTATTTTTCCTCAAATATTTTAATACTCAATAGATTCATTGAGGTAGGGTGGTAGAACAATAATCAGAAAGAAAATGTCTGAAAAAATCATCTGGGGTGTCCATATAATTGAAATTAAGATTTATTCCTTTGGTGTCCGAAAACCTAGAATCGATGTCTAGTTATATATTTATTTATGCAATTTTTAAAATCACTGATTATCTCTTTGTTTAGTTTGAGTTTTTTTTAGCAATTTTTAAAATCAGATATATGATTTGCAAATATTTTCTCCCACTCTGTGGGTTGCCTTTGCTCACTGTTGATAGTGTCCTTTGATACACAAAAGTTTTTTTTTATTTTGATGAAGTGCAACATCTATTTTTGGATGAAATTCCATTTCTTAACTCTTTCCTGGGAAATATTCAAGAATGTCTCTAATTTTCCAAGAATTTACTGTTAGAAATTGTGTTGGAGTCACTTTTTTAATGAAAGCCAACATCTAACTGAACAAACAAAAAAAGTGCTAATTCACCACTGGGAGGAGAAAACAGATTTGGAGAACCCTGTTAAAATAAGTACAATGAGTAATGATCCACTGCACTCTTCATTTGAGGATAGAGAGGGAAAAAGTACATTGAAGTACCTCATGTTTAGTGGGAAACAGAGATAAAAATAGAAAGGAAATAAATCTTTCCAGTTTGGAGCTGTGACATAGTCTCAGGCGGAAACCAAGAAGTACCACAGAGCCAGGTCTTGTTTAGCCCATGAGCATGATGGGCCTCCTGCTGCACTCTGCCAAGAGCCATTATTTTCTGTGCAAGCAAACGACATTTCCATAGTAAGATAAGTAGCCCTGCTATTGGCAGTGAGTGGAGGAAAAGTAAGTAAAATATGCTGGTGTATACCATGGAGCGCTATTCAATATCTAAAAACCACAAACTAGATCTCTACCCAGCAACATACGAAGCAAGGAAAAATAGTGTGAAGTGAAAATAAACAGGGTGAGGGTTTTGTTTTTTGCTTTTTGTTTTTGTTTGTTTTGTTTTGTTTTGAGAGGGAGTCTTGCTCTGTCGCCCAGGCTGGAGTGCAGTGACGAGGTTCGGCTCACTGCAACCTCCACCTCCTGGGTTCAAGCAATTTTCCTGCCTCAGCCTCCCAAGTAGCTGGGATGACAGGTACCCGCCACCATGCCTGGCTAATTTTTGTATTTTTAGTAGAGATGGGGTTTCACCATCTTGGCCAGGCTGGTCTTGAACTCCTGACCTCGTGATCTGCCCACCTTGGCCTCCCAAAGTGCTGGGATTACAGAGGGTTTTTTTAAAACAATACCATTTATGTAAAACGAACATAAATACACATAACAATTACATATTTTACAAAGATGATAATGGTAACAAACCGAGCAGATGTGGTTGCTTTTGAAAGGGAGAAAAATAGGGTAAGTAATAAGGAGAAAATCAAAATATGTGTAATTAAATGAGAGGGACTTTGTATAGACCAATGACAACAGTGTGCTCTGAAGTAAGGATTAGAATTAGGTACACTCTTCTACGCATATATGGTACCATTTTTTCAAAAAAAAAAAGTAGGCGTTATGAAGATATAACAAAGAATATCAGTGAGCTAGATGGCCAGTAGGTAAAACTGGTAATGACTTCATGATGTCCATATTTTGAGATGTGTCCTTAGGAAGCAGGTAACCCTATAATGTGAAGCCTTTATGGAGAAGTAAACGAAAGTAAGAGTGCAACGGCAGAGAGTGAGAGTGAAATCAACACAGCAAAATGGAGGTTGAATTTCATGCCTAAAGAAAGAGCAACGCCAAAGAGAATTTAGGGAGAAGCAACTGCAACAACATAAAAAGCACTGGAGGGAGAAGGTTGATGGGAAGAAAACTGTGAAAATGAAAAGGTGTTTAGATAAGAAAGCAGGAGAAAGTTGAAATAGTTATTCTAAGATTCACAGGCTGGGCAAGCTCTAATGTTCATATATGGATAAAGGCATTTAGTGGTTTTGTAAGATCAATGTAAAAATACAACATGATTACAGAGAAGCAGAGCAGTGTTTTTTGTTTCATTTGTTTGTGTTCATTACAAGCAGGGCTTTAAAGTGGGTAGATAAATTAATGGTTTTCAAGTTAACAGGTATCACAAACACCTGGAGGGCTTGTTAAAGCGGAGATTGTGTTGGGCTCAACTCCCAGAGTTTCTAATTCAGAAGGTCTGTGTTGTGCTCTGAGACTCTGCCTTTCTCACAAGTCCCCAGTTGATGCTTATGCTGCTGACCGCGGAGCAATCTTTGGGAATTACTGATCTCAACAATGTAAGAATAACTAGTTTAAGAAGGTATTTGTAGAATAAGTACTGATCGCAGTGTGTTTTCCTTGGGCAAGCTTTTCCAGAGAAAATAATTTTTGCTTGGACCAGTAGCTCAAGTTCTTGAAGTAAGAAATTTTTATGGCCAACTTATTTTGAGGGGAAAGGTTAGGACATTTTGTTTGTTTGTTTGTTTGTTTAAGTCAGTTTAAAAGGATATGATTTGAGAAAGCCTTAGGCTTAGTTTCAAAGCTAAGGATTTTGAAAAGCGATCTAGAATTTGAAGCCAGGATTTAAGATAAAATGTAAGAAGTAGTAAGGTAATAAGGATGTTGGGCTATAGGCCAGAAAGTCTTAGTAACAGACATTTCGGCATAGCGTGGTGGTTAACAGCATATTCTTAAGGATTAGGTGACCAAGGTTCAGCTTCTGGCTCTCATTTACAATTGTTTTTCTGTATGCAAATTATCTAGCATTTTTCCATCTTGATTTCCTTGTTTTAAAATAGGATTGATAAGGCACGACCTCATTAATCAGGATAGGCAGTCTGCTGTAACAACTCACCCCAAAATTTCAGTGGCTTGACACAGTAAGTTGATTTCTTGCTTCATATATTTCAATTTATGTAAACATTCCTGGTTGGTATGATCTTTAAGGTAACTTCATTCCAGCAGTGACTTAGACTCAAGCTGATTGTATCTCATGATTTCACATTCCATGGCTTCAAGGCTGTCCTGATGTCATCCCAACATCAGATGAGAATGTAGGTGGAAGGAAGAGAAAATATGGAGCATTGCACTTAGCACAGAGAGATACTCATCACTCCTATTGAAATACATATGACTAATGTCAAAAACTAGTCATATGACCACACCTAAATCCAAAAGTGGCTGAAAACATAGACCCTGAAGCTTCCAAACGCAAATCAACTCCATGAAAGGGGAGTGTGAATGATCTTGTAAAATAGTCATCTCTGCCACACTAGTTCCCAGGATTGTTTTAAATAGTAAATAAAGTACTAAATGTAAAGTGCTTAGGATGTAGTAACAATGACGATTAACCTAATTTACTGGTTCCTTAAGTGGCAAACAGCCATAGTCAGTTTTGGTAGCATTGAAAGACCAGAAACTTTTAGGACTACAAGACATAATTCCTGCTTAAAATCTATTCACCTGGCCTGGCACAGTGGCTCATGCCTGTAATCCCAGCACTTTGGGAGACCAAGGCAGGTAGATCACCAGCCGTCAAGAGTTCAAGACCAGCCTGACCAACATGGTGAAACCCCATCTCTACTACAAATACAAAAAATTAGCTTGGTGTGGTGGTGTGCACCTGTAATCCCAGCTACTCGGGAGGCTGAGGCAGGAGAATCACTTGCACTCAGGAGGTAAAGGTTGCAGTGAGCTGAGATGGTGCCATTGCACTCCAGCCTTGGCAACAAGAGCAAAACTCCACTCAAAAAAAAAAAAAAGTATATATATGTATATATATTTTCCCTTGAAGAAAAATTTGATTTCCTTTGAAGAAAATTGATTATCAAAACAAAACCACTCTCTTAAATGTTTTGTTATTAATATTTCTCATCATGTCAACAGTACAGAGAAGAGCATAATTACTCTCATGTACCAACTAACTAGCTTCAACAATTATCAACATTTTCATTTATGCCTTCCATGTTTCTTTTAAAGCAAGTCTCAGTTATGGTAGCATTTCACCTGTACATGCTTCAGTATTATCACTGATAAATAATGTTATAGACCAAGCTAAATTTATATTAATTCCTTAACAACATCTAATCTCCAGATCATATACTTATTTCCCTGATCATGTCAAAAAACATTCTTTTAGAGTTTTTAAATTAGAATCTAACTTTAAGCAAGTTCCCCATGTGTCATTTGGGTGTTACGATTCCGATGAGTTTTTTTTTAATAGAAAACAGTTTCTCTTCTCATCCATTTTTTAAAATGTAATTTGTTTTTTGAAGAAAGTGGGACGTTTGTTCCATAGAAATTCCCATGACTTGGCTGATCATATCCATGTGATATCATTTAATATGGGAGTGTATTTCCTGTATTTCACGTAAACCAGTAGATATATTCCAGAAGTTTGATTAGATTTAAGACCAATTCTTTTAGCCAGAATACTTCACAGGTTGTGCTGTGTCCTTCCTAATAGATCACTTCAGGAGGTACATAATGTCTCATTGATCTCTTTGTGAAGTTGAAATTAATTAGTGGGTTCAGTTGATGTGAGCCCAGTCTTCCTTTAAGTCTCTCATCGAACTGTTATTTTAAGGTTTTAGTAGCTTTTTTTATTTTTTTGAAACAGAGTCTCACTCTGTTGCCCAGGCTGGAGTGCAGTGGTGCAATCTCGACTCACTGCAACCTCCACCTCCTGGGTTCCAGTGATTCTCTTGGCTCAGCCTCCCAAGTAGCTGGAATTACAGGTGCACACCACCAAACCTGGCTAATCTTTGTACTTTTTGTAGAGAGGGGGTTTTGCCATGTAGCCCAGCTGGTCTCGAACTCCTGTTCTCAAGACGTCCACCCACCTTGGCCTCCAAAACTGCTGGGATTATAGGCGTGAGCCACTGTCGGTTTTAGTAGCTTTTAATAATCAGTGCCTAAACCCATGTGATGATGGTGATTTTATATGGTGCTTTCTGCATTTAATAGTTGAAATTATTTTGTAAAGAACATCTTACTAATTCTGTGCACTCTGTGGTACCAAACAGGTATTCGTTTTCAGAATGATGAATTAGTGCTCCAAAAACCCTCAATAGTCCCACTGAAATTTTGTTGTGTTCATTAATTTTGAATTCATGAACTTTTATATAATTAATGTGTTTTAATTCATTTTGAGTATTATTTTTCTTATGCCATATTCTCTTGATGCCAGCCAATGTGAGTCCCATCATACTGGCTCCTATATCTGTTTGGTTTTACTCCAGTTGTCTTTGATAGATTTCTTGGTTTCTGATAAAACATAATGCTCCTTGTCTGATCATGAACATTTTCTGCCCAAGCTGAAATCAGTCATTTCTTGTAGGTAGCCTGGTACCTTTTAGTGACAAGTTGTATTTGGAAGGTACAATGGAGACTTTAGGGGTGCATGTTGCTACTGGATTGGTATTATTTCCAGGCTTTTTTCTGTGGTAAGACTTGTAACATATTTTCTAACCTGGAGAATTTACTATGTGCAATTGAAAAGAATATTTATTTATCTATGTGTTGGTTAATGTTCTATAAATGTCAGCAAGATCAAGGTGGTGGATAGTATTGTTCATCTTCTATATGCCTGCTAATTTTCTGCCTAGTTTGTGTATCAATTTTTGAGAGTAGGGTTGGAAAATCTCAAACTATTATTATTCAGGTCTCTATTTCTTCTTTAACTCTCTTAGTTTTTGCCTTTTATATTTAGAAGTTCTGCTGTTAGGTATGTGTATATATGTATAGTTGCCATATCTTCCTAAAAAATTGACACCTTTATTATCATAAAATGTCTTTTTTTCTAGTAATATTTCTTGTCTTAAAGTCAATTATTTCTGACATTAAAATAGTAATTCTAGATCAACTATGATTATTGTTTGTATGGTATGTTTTTTCACATTCTTTTAATTTCAACTTAGGTCTTTGAATCTATAGTGTGTCTCTTGTGGACACCATGTAGTTGGTCCTTATTCTTTTTGTTTTCAGTCTGTCAATGTCTGCATTTGAGTTAGGTGCTTAGCCCATTCACATTTTACATAATTATTGATACGTTAGATTTACATTTGCCATTTTGCTGTTTATTATCTAAATGGATACAGCCACAGGAAAGAATGCCTTGGATTTCCACTGTCCTTATTTAAAGTTTAGTCGATTTTCTCTAAGAGCTTCTCACTTATCTTAAATCATTGGCCAATTTCCAGGTCTCTGAAATGGTTGTTTTCGAAAAGTTTCTGCAGTTTTATAGCTACTTTTTGAGAATATTATACAGTGGCCTCCTCACTCCACTATGCTAGAAATCCCTGCATAAGGTTTTTGCATTAGTTCTGGAATAAAAAAAAAAACAATCTGAACCAGGATGAATATCAATGAAGATTATAAAATGGATTTAATAAATATTTAAAAGGTAAAATAGACAAAACTTCAAGAATAATTACATTTAAGAAGTGGTGAAAATGAAGACAGGATAAATTCCAAATCAGTAGAACATAATAATTAAAATTGTAGATTTAAATGTTAACTCTGTCACTTTGGGCTGAGTGGCATTTCTAAGCCTTTACTCATCTGAAAAACAGAGATAATAATCATTCTTGTGTGAGCATTTAGTATAACGATGCATATAACATTGTTTGCACAGTGCCTGACATCTTGTAAGTTCTTTAAAAATGTGACTATGACTTTTACCATTATTAAGTCATCCTCTGTTCCTATAAGATTTGTTAAATTAATTAGCAGTGCCATTGAAATCTGGTCACAAAACACCTGGGGCATACTCCATAAGAGCTCTGTAAGAAATTAAGACTATTCTAATTCTTGCTAATCACCACTAAGATAAACTTAAGTAATATTCTTAAAACAATTAAATTAAATTAAAACAATTTTATACCAAAATTTCTAAATATATTATGGCATAATTGTCATCAGTAATAAGGAATATGAGATTTTTTAAAGAAAAGCTATCAATTACCTTTAAAATAGCTGTCAAATATTCCTTGCCATGTAATATATTTCAAAGGGGTTTTTAAAATAACATTTATTTCCTCTTCAGTCTTCCTCATTCCTTCAGCAAACACTGATTATTTTCCCTAGTGTCCTGAATAGAGATTGAAATCAATGTGGATTTGGGGTTTATGATTTGATTAGTGCACCTGAATCATTAATGATATGAGCTCAACTCTTAAAATAGTTTGAATAAAGAGCTGCTGTTCACAGATCACACAAAGGGAGACCAACAATGCAAGCCTTCATTTCTACACATTAATATTAACTACTAACTCATGCCCAAGGCCTTATTTCAGTAGAAAAATCAAGTGAATTCTAAAATACATAATGATGGTTATCTTTTTATTTTTATTCATTTATAATTTATACTTCCCATGCTTCCAAAATATATTTGAAATTGCTTTTAATAAACTCATGAGAAAATAAAAGATAAAAGCAAAAAAAAAAAAAAAAAGATCAGAAGGAAGCAAAAGGGGTAGAAATAATTCTACCCAAAATCTAGGATCAGAGGGCAATGAGCATTGTCTTTAGCTCTGACCTTCCTGGTAGCCAAAAGAAAAAGAGAAATAATGGATCACATATTCTCACTAATTGATTAAAGGAAATGTAATAATTCCTCACATGAGAGAAACTTTCCTTGTACTAAATTTTTGAAGGCATTCAATTTCACAGGATCTTATACAAGACACACAGACATGGAGAAATTCAGTGGGTCATTGATCCTTCCAAAGCTCAGTTCACTTATACCCAGACTCTCCCAGAGAGGTGGGTAAATGTGAGTTGTTTCTAGGGGCACACCAGGAAAAGCAACCTTATTGAAGTGAGAGTGAGGGAGTTATCATTAATTCATTTATTCATTCAAGTCCTTTTCCTACTTATTTGGAATGTAAGTCTATTTCATAAGTATCATAAGAACTTCAAACTGCAAGTCATACCTGTAATTTGGGGAAGCATCATGATGGGAAGTCATCTCTGGTGGTTTCTGATTTAAAAGCCCAGAAGATAAAATTCTTACATGATTTTAATGAATCATTCCCACCCTGCTTATCACCAGGGTCAAGCAGGAAAAAGTCTTTTCTTGTTCCACATTCACCCCCCTACCCCCAAGCTGGGAAGGGGTTTGGGGAGCATAGTGGGGATGGCTGAGATGCTGGCTATGGGGGGGTCTGGCCTGGCAGCCCCTGTTCCAGGGATGGTTGCCCAGGCCTGGGGATGGCTGTCTAGGTCCCTGCCTTCTCCCCTGCATTGGAGGGATGCGGTTCAGGCTGGTTGCTGCTGTCCTTTTATGATTTTTCCTTTAAAGTTATAGATCCATAAGTTATTTTTTTCTCTCTGACTTTATCTACATAATGATACTGAGGGAAAGAAGAAAGATGAAGAGTAGGGTGAGCCTAGACTTGCTCCAGCTATGGCTAGCTGTGTACCTGTTCTTTTTGTAAAAATTTATTATCTGCTTTTGGTAACTGTGGACTCTTCCACATGACAGCTACTTGACAGCTCCTTGTAGTAATACATTTTTCCTCTCAAGGTTCATTAATTCATCCACTGCCAGTGTTACAGGTGATGATGTTGATAATGATGATAGCAGATAACTTTTTAGTGACCATTAAATGCGTTACAGGCTTTGGGCTAGTAGCTTTATTTATTTGCAATAATAATCCCATGAAGTGGAACTATTAAGTTATTTTGGGACTAGGAAGATCGAGGTTTACAAAGATCAGTAAATTGCCTAGAGTTACCTAGCTGGAAAATGGCAGAGCTGGGATGTGAAGTAAGTTTTGCTCACTGAAGAACCCACACTTGTAACTACCAAATTGTGGTGTACTTGGACAGCTTTGGAATTTACCATCAAAAGGAATTGGATTTGGGGCAAGCTCTGAGAGTTCCTAGCTATATGACCTTAGGTGACTAGCAGAAATTCTAAGACTTAGTGCCTTTATTTGTAAAAATTAGAGTAATACATTTTTACTCTCAAGGTTTTTTCTAAGAATCTGTAAGCATAGTGAAAGAATGTGGCCTTAAGGTGATCAACATTAGTTTCTTTCCTGTTGGCAATTGCGGGTGCTACTTACATTAAATTACTGCTCTAATCTTTTAAAATTAAGATTTCTAAGGTAATGGATTCCTTATTTTAAAAGTGGTTTTGTGTTTACAAAAAAAAAATAATAAGCTGCTGGTATGGAGTTGTCATATACTCTCCTAGCCCATACACCCTTTCCCCTATTATTAACATCTTGCATTAATATGGTATATGTTACAATTAAAGAACCAATATTGACACATTATTATCAAGTAAAGTGCATATATTAAGGTTCACTCTGTATTATACAGTTTTGACAAATGCATAATGTCATGTATCTACCATTATAATATACAGAATAGTTTTGCCACTCTGCAAATCTGTGCTCCACCTGTCTTCCTCCCAACCCCTGTAAACTCCTGCCAACTGCAGATGTTTTTACTGTATCGAAAGTTTTGCCTTTTGCAGAATGTCATATCACTGGAGTCATATGGCACGTAGGCTTTCAGATTGACTTCTTTCACTTAATAGTGTACATTTTTATTTCCTTCCTGTAATTCTGTGGCTTGATAACTCATTTTCTAACACTGAGTAATACTCCATGATATGAGTATAACACAATTTGTTTTTCTGTTCAACTACTGAAGGACATCTTGCTTGCTTCCAGTTTGGGCAGTAATGAATAAAGCTACTATAAACATTCATGTGAAAATTTTTGTGTGGGCATGAATTTTCAGATGAAATGGATAAATACTTAGGGGAATGGTTGTATCATTCTATGGTAAGACTACGTTTAGCTTTGCAAGAAACTGTCAAATTGTCATTCAACGTGGCTGTGTCATGTTACATTCCCTACAATGATTGGGAGTGTCTAATGTTTCACATCCTCGTCAGCATTTGGGATTGTGAATTGTATGAATTTTGTCAACTCTAATGTGTATGTACTGGTATCTCATTTTTTTAATTTGCAATTCTCTTATGACATATGATGCTGAACATCTTTTTATATACTTATTTGCCATCTGTATGTATTCTTTGGTGAGGTGTCCAGATTTTTTTGTCCATGTTTTAATTGGATTGTTTGCTTTCTTAGTGTTGAGTTTTGGGTGTTTTGTATGTTTTAGATACAATTCTCTATTAGACAGGTGTTTCTCAAATATTTTTCCCACTATGTGGCTTATCTATTCATTCTATTCACAGTGTCTTTGGCAGAGCAGAAGTTTTTAATTATAATAAAGTTCATCTTATCATTATTTCATTTCATGGATCATGCCTCTGGTGTTATACCTAAAAACTCATCACCAAACCAATGGTCACCAAGATATAATTCTCTGTTATCTTCTAGAAGTTTTATAATTTCATATTTTACATTTAGATCTATGATCCATTTTAAATTAATTTTTATGAAAAGTATTAAGTCTATGTCTAGAATCTTCTTTTTTACATGTCGGTGTCCAATTGTTCCTTCATCGTTTGTTGAAAAAGTCCATCTATCTGTATTATTTAAACATCTTTGTTTGTTTTTATTTGTTTTAGTTCAAATAAGTCTATCTTGATCATGTTTTCTTTAACAGATTTGCACATATTTTTACTACTGAGAGACAGCAAATTTTAATCTATAACAAAAAGTGTGTTCCACTTTGTATGTAAGCCATTGGTAACGTTTTCTTGTTCTGTGACCTTTGGGGTCTACTTTAAAACGCAGCTTAAAAAAATGGAGTAAGAAATTGAAAATGATCTCCAAGGAAAGTCCGTGCCTCAAGGTCTTTTAAGAAAATTGTGTAAGATAATTGCTTTTCAACCTCTGTCTTCAAGTGTATTCTTTCTAGCTCAAGAAAAGAATGAGCTAGCTTGATCTTATTCTCTACCCTTCCTTTTGGCACTTCTGTTGACATCATTCTAACTAGGTGGTAGAATTCAGTCTTGCCTAGTGTATGTTTTAGGCCCTTCTTGAACTTTTCTTTAAGACTTCCACCTTACTTTGTTTTTTTCTTCCCATTAAACATAATTTCACAAAGTGCACCAAAAGCTTTTTGTATCTTCTTCTTATAATGGGTCACTGAGAAAAGTTACTGAAATATTTCACCTACTGAAAGGAACAAATGTTTATATTGTTTACACAGTACTACTGTCTCCCCCAGAATATTCAGTTGCTTGGAGAATGTCGGCATGGGTTGGCTGGATAAACATAGAAGATAAGTTATTGTACTATCTCCTCCTAAATCTGCTACTTTTGAGATTGTCTTTTGGGGAAGGTAATACGATTGCAACCAATAGTCAGGATACATTGAGCTATATGTAATAAAAACCATAAACCAGTGGTTAACCAAGAATGAGATTTATTTTCTCAAATAACAAGAGGCCTAAGTTTGGCAATTGAGATCTGGTGCAGATGTTCAAACAACCATGCTCCCTCAATCTTCCTACTTTACCATTCTTGGTATGTGATCACAAATGGCAATTGCATGTATGGTCATTGCAGCTGGATTGCAGGAAGCAAAATAAATGTGGTGTATTTGTCATGATTAAAAGAAAATCTTCCCAGAAATTCCAGTAGACTCCTACTTACATTTCATTAGACAAAATGATGTCACAGAGCTACCTTTAACCACAAGAAATGCTGGAGAATAAAGTGTTATATTTTCAGCTGTGTGGATTGCTACCCCATGATAGTTCTTTTAATAATGAAGAAGGAACGAAGATATAAGGTCTGCTAGTTGAGAGTGTCTGTGACGTGAACTGTGTCTGCTCAACTACGTTGAAGTTTGATGGCACAGAAATTGAGCAATCAAGCTCTAAAAATAGACTGAAACTACAATTTGATTTTAGTCATAATTTATATGTTACAAGGTATACAGATTCATAATTATTCATCTACTTATTTATTTTAGAGACAGGGTCTTGCTTTGCCCAGACTGGAGTACAGTGGTGAAATCATAGCTCGCTGCAGCCCTGAACTCCTAGCCTCAAGGGATCTTCCTGCCTCAGCCTCACGAAGTGCTGGAATTACAGGCATGAGCCACCGTGCCCAGTCATAATTACTTTAACGATGAAATGGATTACTAAATTGGATTTTCCCACAGCTGTATGTTTTTAATCATGCCATATAGTAAACTGCTTTCTAAATAATTTTTAAATGTATCCCTCATCTCCATTTCTTCCATCACTCTCCTAAGGTAGGCTTGGCTTATTACTATTACTTTTTAATTGGTTCCCACCTTGCCAGCGCAAACCCATTCCAACTCATTCTCCAAGTATCTGTCAGAAAGTTTGAAAGCACAAATCTGATTATGCCAAACTTGTGCCAAATCCTTTTTTTTTAATCTCCTCCTTTAGAAATCAAGCCCAAGAGTATCCACTAGAGAAAGGCACTCTCTGCCTCAGCCTCTTCCTATCACCCCGGCTTGGATTCTTACCTACTCCTCCTTTGTATCTGACGTTAACAAAATAACTTAATAGTAGTTTTAATTCATGGGATTTCTACTGGGATTAAGTGAAGTGCTCATCCCAAGGCCTGGCACACAATCCAACAATAAGCCATATTTCTCTAGCCTCTTCTTATTTGATGTTTCTGTCACTACAGTCCTCTTTTGTATTATTTTCCCTTCATCAGGGAAAATACTTTCATTAAACTGTAACAAACAACTAAGAGGAAATGGTCACCTCACTTCAGATGCCATTTCTTCAAAGACATCTTTCCTGGCTTTCTTCTCTCCTCTCATAATATTGCATGACTAAATCTATCATAGAAGCCAGCTTCTCATACTGAAATTATCTGTGTGGATTTTTGTGCATTGGACTTGCCAGCTGCTTGTATTTTCTTGACCTGTATTGTCAGTGTTAGCAGAGTGATTGGCAAATAGTAGGTGCCCCATAAATGTTTGACAAAAGTAATTATGTTATATATACATGCTCTTTAATTTAAAAGCAATTTCCTTTCAATGTTATCAGAACTATTTTCTTTATTAATTACTTAAATTCACATAAAAATTAACTTAACCAATGAAGCAAATTGTATCTCTTGTAACACACTGAAGAAATTGCAATGCAAAAAAACAATCATTTGAAACCTCTTAGAAAAAAAGGACAACATATAATTTTGGGAGAAATGACATTGGGAGGTAAATTTTTTAAAAAACCAACAACTCCAGATTGGAATGAAATGGAAATTATTTTTCTGTTTTAAATTTGCTTACATAGTTACAGAACTTAATCAATGTCTCCTTAGTTCTTATTCTAGTACGGCAGGAACTAATAATTTTTTCCAGACTTGTATCTTGTTTTTATTACACTCCAATAGGATCTTTATTATGCTTTTACAAAATCTATGTTAATGTATTGTATTCACAAGAGTGGGCTGACAATGCCACAATTCTCTTTAAATCTTAAAACCAGGAGACTCTGCAGCCTCTCTTATTTAGCAAAAAAGGAAACTGAATCCAAAGGTGTTAAGTCACTAGCCCAAGGTCACATAACAGCAATGGCAGAGCTGAGACTAGAACTAGGACATCAGGTACAAAGTATATTTTTCTGATAGAAATTTAGGAATATATTCCAAATCTCACTGTGGCAGTTTTATTCTGTCAATTTACCTACATTGGAACTAAATTTCCCACAATCCCCTTTCCTATGTATTTTCTTGTTAGAGTTGGCCAAAAGAGAAGTACGCGTGAGATTTGGATGTCAGAAGCAAAGCAGTCACCATTACACTTTGAAAGTCACTGCAATCACTTACGTGAACGACAGGTGCAAAGGGACCAGCAGATTCCAGCCTTTCCTCATTCTCTTTCACTCCAGATCTATTTCTCCTTCCCATCTGCTAGTTTTGCTGACCAACCGTGACCCAAGACACACAAACAGAATAGCTTTCCAGAGACCTCTTTATGAGCACTTCCTGTCCTACTCCAGCAACTGGCTGTTTCTGGGTTTAGAAGGCCTGCTAGCACTTTGGGAGGCCAAGGCCTCGTGATCACACAAGGTCAGGGGTTCAAGACCACCCTGACCAACATAGTGAAACTCGTCTCTACTAAAAATACAAAAATTAGCCCGGCGTGGTGGTGGGCACCTGTAGTCCCAGCTACTCGGGAAACTGAGGCAGGAGAATCGCTTGACCCCGGGAGGCAGAGGTGACAGTGAGCCAAGATCACGCCACTGCACTCCAGCCTGGGTGACAGAGTAAGACTCTGTCAAAAAAAAAAAAAAAAAAAAAAGGCCTGTTACTGACTTTTCTATGATCCTCTAACTCCTTTCAGATCCCCATCCCTCAGTGACTCCTACAATTGTGGGAACTGGTATTCCTACAATAAATTCCTTATTCTGCAACGCTGATAGCAGTTCTGCTTCCATCACAGAATTGACTCACACACCCAATTAACACGTGAATTATCACATCTTACACATCATTTTTTCAAAGAAAAAAATGTTTGCTAAGCTGACAGAAGATATTGATTACAATGAGACAAACTTATAGCATAAATTATCATATAGACTTGCATATAAAGATACAGCCTTCATTCTCAAAATATGTCTGCACAATAAAAACCTAATATGTATTATTTGTTTCCAAAGAGTATTGATAAGTAAAGCACACAAAGATCAAACCTGTGATTACAGAAACACATTCATATATTAAAAGATCTAAGAAGCTCTTTAACCTGGTATTTTCCAAACTTGTTCTTGCACAGAAACTGCTTTCCTTTTTTTTTTCTTTTTTTCAATTGTGAAGGATGGCGTATGCCTATTAATATTGGACATACCCACAGTTAATAATTAGAAAAGATAGCATGTTAATATTGAGATTTTTGACTACTATTTAAGAAGGATACTAGGTCTGTCCATTGGCATGAATATTATAAAGGAATTCCACTGGATTTTAGTTGTAATGATACCAATTATCAGAAAGGCCTTGAAGGCACTACCCAGTTCGTGCCCACATAAAGATGTTTTTTGACTAACTCAGAGAATAATGACTTATTGATTGGCTAAATAAATAAAAAAATGGATAAAGAGCGTCTCTATCCTGCAACCAGTACAGAGTGGGATTATTGCAATTGAAAATGAGACTGGCTCTCCTGCTTCTTTTTATTATGCACTGCCAATCCACACTCAGCCAGGCTGTTTCTGAAAAATGCTGGTGTGAATACACCCTTCAATATTTCTTCCACGCTGACTATACATACAATCTAGGCATAAATCATCAAAAGTAAATACCAGTGAGCACTTTAATCCTTTATAATAAATCAGGGAAATGGGGAGCCTATGCCTGATGATGAAGTTTTAGTGTAGGTCAAACCAGCAGTTTGCTGAGGAGGGAGCACTTTAAGAATCAGGAAGCGTTTTGTTAAAGACGCTGCATTCCACTGTAGGGTAGGAATTTTTTGCATGCATTTCTATCTCTTCTGATTATTAAGTGGTGCTATTGTTTTTCTTCAGCAAGCCAAATCAAATAAGAACAAGTTTTTCTGAATGCCTACTACTGTTCCAAGGAGCTAAGCTAGATGCTAAGTAGGATAGAAAACAATCATAAAAACCTTCTGCCCTCAAATAATTTCTACTTAATAGGGTAGATGAGACACATATATAGATAATTTTAATACAAGGTTGAACCTTTTCAGTGTCACATGTGAAGTTTAACTTCTGCTGAAGTTAGGAAGAAAGAAAATTCAATTTTAGTTGGAGAGGTCAGGGAAAGCTTCTTGGAGTAGGTGGTATTTAAGTCAATCCTTGAAGAAAAAATCAGACTGGGGGTTTTAAAAAAATAATTTAACCAAACCAAGTGCTACCAAACACCAGGAGTTCAGTCTAGATCCCATTGTTCCCCCTCTCACAGAAAGCCAATCACTGAGACACTGAATATTGCTGGTGAAGAAGGCTTTATTATATTATGGGCAATGTGAGCCAGAGAGACATTAGCCAAACCTCAAGTCCTCCCCCTACTCCTGACTAAAGTCAGGGGTTTATGTATTAGGTTGGTGCACAGTGATTGCAGTTTCAGATTGTGAATTTTAAATCATTATAACTAGGCTCAAACACATCTTTATTAATCAAAATAGGAACCATTATAATCAGCACCTTTTTGCCAATGAGAGATAAGTTTGTTTATTTCTGTAGCATAAAAATCTGTGCTTCAGGATGTTGTTATAGGACTTTCTCCTTAGTTCAGCTAAAAGTCATGTTCTTGTCACATGGCCATGAAATACTAGGCTCACAGACACTTTGAAGGGTGAGAAAAATAGAATATATTGGGCAAAAAGGAGAAAAAAGGAAAACAGGAACTCTCAGCAAAGTGAGAGCCCTGCTAGATGGTTTCCCACCTCACAGACTGAATCCCAGGTACCACCTGGAACAGGAGCGGCCAGGCTCCTCCCCTCTGCAAATAACGCAAACTTCCTGAGCTCCACCCCAGTGTGCACTCCTCCCAGTGCACAGGCCAGTCAGAGGTTCTGCCAGGGGGCCCTTTTTATTTGGCTGTTCATTTGATAAACTCTTGGAAAGCATTTTCTGCATCCTACTGGTTGTGGAAACATTTTCCCTGCAAAACGTTGTGAAAATGCTTGAAGAAGTGGTAGTCGGTTGTCAAGAGGTCAGGTGAATATAGTGGATTAAGCAAAACTTGGTAGCCCAATTTGTTCAATTTTTGAAGCATTGGTTATGTGATGTGCAGTCAGACCTTGTCATAAAGAAAAACTGGACCCTTCTGTTGACCAATGCCAGCTGCAGGCATTGCAGTTTTTGGTGCATTTCATCAATATGCTGAGCATACTTCTCAGATGTAATGGTTTTGCTGGGACTCTGAAAGCTTTAATGGATCAGACTGGCAGCAGACCACCAAACAGTGACCATGACCTTTCTTTGGTGCAAATTTGGCTTTGGGAAATGCTTTGGAGCCTCTTCTTGATTCAGCTACTGAGCTGACCATTGCCAGTTGTTGTATAAAATCCACGTTTCATCGCACATCACGATGCAGTCAACAAATGGTTTGTTGTTGTATAGAGTAAGAGAAGACAACACTTCAAAGTGACAATTTTTTTAAAATTTTCACTCAGCTCATGAGGCACCCACTTACTGAGCTTTTTCACCTTTCCAATTTGCTTCAAATGCCAAATGATCATAGAACAGTCGACATTGAGTTCTTCCCCAACTTCTTGTTTAGTTGTAAGATGATCAGCTTCAATGATTGCTCTCAATTGCTCATTGTCAACTTCCAATTGCCGGCCACTACGCTCCTCATCTTCAAGGCTCTTGTCTCCTTCGTAAAACTTTTTGAACCAACACTGCTCGGTGCATTCGTTAGCAGTTCCTGGGCCAAATGCATTGTTGATGTTGCGAGTTGTCTCTGCTGCTTTTAAACTCGAATAAGAAAATTACTAGAATTTGCTTTTTGTCTAACATCATTTCCATAGTCTAAAATAAATATAAAATAAATAGCAAGTAATAAGTCATCAGTAAAAAAAATAAAGTGAGAAATGCCCATTAAAATTATGTATAACATAACCACATTTATTTAAAAATGTATCCCAATATCAAATGGCAAATTTCAACAATGCAAAAACCGCAATTACTTTTGCTTTCACCTAATAGCTTGGAAGAAGAACCAGGGCCGGGGGAGAGGAAGAGGAGCTGGTCAACAGGCAGCAGGTAGCTGAATGAGGGATCTAGCATCTCACTGTAATCACGTGCAGGAAAAAAAGGAATTATGGAGGAGCTAGGAAGAGGGTTGGTTCGACAGGCAGCAGGTGTGTCTCATTGGGTGCAGTGATCCAATCCATAAAGCCTCAGCTCCCTGGTGTCATACAGGAGGCCTGACCGTCAGTTTCCTGAGAAAAGATGTAAGTTTAAAATTAGGCTGATTTCACAAGGAAGGCAAAGGCCTGAAAGTAAGTGTACAAAATAAAATTCTAGATAAATTTGAACTTCAAATAAACAACCACACAAACGTGGTATAAGAATGTACCATAAATTATTTAGGACATACCTATACTAAAAATTATTTGTTCTTTATGTGAAATTCGAATTTATCTGAGGCTACTATATTTCTATTTATTAAATTCGGCAGCTCTACTTAAAGGAACAAAAACATGAGATATACTAGGAAAAGAGAGTGATTCAGTTGGTGTTACAGTTTATTTCCCCTAAAAAAGATATGTTGATTTCCAGCCCCTAGTTCCTCTGAATGTGGCCTTATTTGGAAATAGAGTCTTTAAAGGGGTGATGAAGTTAAAATGGAGTCACTAAGTTGAGCTCAAACGCAATACAACTGATGTTCTTATAAAAAGGGGAAATAGGGGCCGGGCGCGGTGGCTCACGCCTGAAATCCCAGCACTTTGGGAGGCCGAGGCAGGTGGATCACGAGGTCAGGAGATCGAGACCATCCTGACTAACACGATGAAACCCCGTCTGTACTAAAAATACAAAAAATTAGCTGGGCGTGGTGGCGGGTGCCTGTAGTCCCAGCTACTCAGGAGACCGAGGCAGGAGAATCCCTTGAACCGGGAGGTGGAGCTTGCAGTGAGCTGAGTTCAGGCCACTGCACTCCACCCTGGGGGACAAAGCGAGACTCCTCTCAAAAAAAAAAAAAAAAAAAAAAACGGAAGTATGAACACAAAGACAAAAAAGCATCTAGCAAAGACAATGTGAAGATGGAAACAGAAATTGGAGTTATGTTCTCATAAGTCAAAGAATTTCTGAGGCCACTGCTGGAAGGGGCAAATTAGCATCCTTTTCCTACAGGTTTGGGAGGGAGTTTGGCCCTGCCGGCAACTTGATTTGGGATGTCTAATCTCCAAAACTGTAAGACAATAAATTTCTTTTTTTTTTTTTTTTTTTTTTTTTTTTTTTTGAGACGGAGTCTCGCTCTGTCGCCCAGGCTGGAGTGCAGTGGCGGGATCTCGGCTCATTGCAAGCTCCGCCTCCCGGGTTCACGCCATTCTCCTGCCTCAGCCTCCCAAGTAGCTGGGACTACAGGCGCCCGCCACTACGCCCGGCTAATTTTTTGTATTTTTAGTAGAGACGGGGTTTCACCGTTTTTAGCCGGGATGGTCTCGATCTCCTGACCTCGTGATCCGCCCGCCTCGGCCTCCCAAAGTGCTGGGATTACAGGCGTGAGCCACCGCGCCCGGCCGACAATAAATTTCTAAGCCACCTAGTTTGTGGTACTTTGTTTTGGCAGACTTAGGAAATTAATAGAGTTAACTATAGCCAAAGGTGTTTTGGTAAAAGGTAGGAATTTTGTGAGCTGAGGCAACATGATAGGAGGCCTGGAATCCTCAGGAATAGTGGCTAAACTTCCTGTTTTTTGCATATTCTAAAAATATACTTAATTTCTGGTATTTATTGCAAGACTATGAAAAAGGCTAAGCCGTGGCTCTAACATATTTTATTTTCTTAGAACACTTATTTTAACACAAAAGGACATATTGTGATGTAAATGCGAAATGTTCACACATTTTCAGGACAGAATACAACTACAAACCTCTTGAAATAAATTTCAAAGTTTAGCCCCTGCTTCAGTTTATGTCCCCAAATCCTCAGAAATAATCTTTCATATCCCTTTTTTTATTAGAAGTACTTTGATGGAAAAGTTTGAATAGCAGTTTTTGTTTGTTTGTTCATTTGTTTGTTTTTTTGAGACAGGGTCTCACTCTTTCGCCCAGGCGGGAGTGCCATGGTGTGAACAAGGCTCACTGCAGCCTTGACATCCTGGGCTCAAGTGATTGTCCTTGTTCAGCCTAACAAGTAGCTGGACTACCGGCGGTCACCATTACACTGGCTATGAATAGCCGTATTTAATTAGTGAAAATAAAATGTTATAACAGATACTCTTAAAATATTTTAGGTATAAGGCACAAGAATGCAAAATAATATACCCCTATACTCAAAGAGTTTATAATCAAATTCTGTAAACAAGGCACAAAAAGGAAATGTGGAGTTAAATAATTATTCATTCAAGATAATAAATTAACCAGATTTTTTTCCCTATGGATATTCAGAAATGTTATAACGATCAGGGAAAGCATCATGATGAGATATGGTCTTTAGTGGATCTAGAAGGGTGGAATAGATTCAGAATGCATGTGAAAATTCATTTCATATCATTTTGAGTAAACCACGTACAGTTTCACTCAATATTTTAAAACTGGGCATCTGTGATTGAGGGCTGCAAAACAAAGTATGTTTAAAAATATGTTTATGTTATTTTGATAATTTTGAAAATGTACTCTCACCTGAGGATGATCTACAAAGCCAGTTCAGCTGGCTCTTCAGCACTGTATTAAAAATACTCTTAGTTCTGGGGAAAAAAAAAAAAACACTTTCAGAAAACAGTTTTTGAAGAGTAACTGTGGTAGGTTCCGAAGTTGGTATCTTTCCTGAGAGGACTCTAAGTGCCCTAGATTTTATATGTAAAATCATGTAGTTTGCAAGACATTGGAAAGGTGGCACTTCAATTAAACCCTTCACTCCCACCCCCAAAAGTTAAAAAATAAGTAATATCTAGAGAAAAACTGGTTATGGATCCACTGTGACTGGATAGTATTTGATCACCAAGAACTATTTCTTTGAGAAATTTACTCTCTATCGTGTACCAAATGTAGCTAGGTAATTAAGGTTTATATAGTTACAGAAGATGATAAAAATAGAGAAAATATTAAAATGTAATAAAATTGTTAAGCCAGGAATGACTAACACTATATTCTAAAGTACTGTACACTCTGAGAGATGGCTGCAATTGTTTTCCAATCTTCTTCAGTGTTAGGAAGATGGTAAAACATGATTCGTTATAGCTGTGCTTCTCTAACTTTAGTGTGCATGAGAAGCACCTAGGAAGATTCTAATTCATGGAGTCTGGGTCGGACGTGGCATTCTCTATTTTTAGCAAGCTTCTCAAGGATACCATGTTGATATTCTTCCCATCTTTGAATAGCAACCCATTGCTTTAAACATATTTAACATCTCTGGGCTACTATTTTCTATTCAATTGTTGGTCTACTCCACTAGGATATATGTGAGGTCCTTTAATTCAGAATAATATCTTATTCAGCTGTGCAATAAGAAATGGCTGAAAAAATGATCATTCCTTCTCCTTTTTCATTATTACTTTTCTTTGACCAAAGAATGCTATTGCTCTAACAAGAAATGTACCAATTCTGATGAAGTCTGTAGCTTGGTAAAAATCACAGGGGAGGAATAAGACCACTAACTAACCAATGTATTTGCTAACATACCATAGAAAGATAAAACATAATTTTAAAAAGTGCAATGCTCTGGGGCAAATATTTTGAAAAAGATCAGGCCTAGGAAAGAAAACAGTTCTGAACCTAAGGAGGTTAAAGTTTTGGACCCACATCTATTATCTGAGTAATAAATTTCCACTGTAAGGAATAAAAAAAAAAGAAAAGAAAACATGGTAAGTCCAACAAAAGACAAGAAAGGGATGAAACACCAACAACAAAAAAGCACAGTAAACATAAGAGAGACATGGAATAAGACCAAACACAGTAAAAGTAAATATAATTGACTAAATTACCCCTTAAAAAGACAGGGTAATTTTGAGTTAAAAAACGTTTTCAGTTTTCGGAAAATGTTCATAAAATTTCCATTCCTAAGCTGTCAATCAGGGATATGATAAAATAAATGGACACAGAATGATTGGAACCAAAATATGCAACTATATATAAATACATATTTTAAAAATAGCAGAAGTAAAACATTTAACTCAATTAATATTAATTATTAACAAGTAATATATTCAAAATAGTATTAAAATTATATTTCATACTGGTAAAATATACAGTCAACCAAGAAAATTCAATAGTCATTAATCATCAAGCATCTAATGAACCAGCTTGTAAATATATAAAAAAGGAATCTCATGGAGGGGCAAGGAGAAAAGAAATTCTACAATCATAGTCAACTATTTAAACAAAGATCTATCACAAATTAGAAAATTAAGTTGCTCAAAATAAGAATATAGGTGAGTAGAATAATTTAAATTTAATCACAATTGATGTGTGGAGAACTTTGTATCCAATATCTACCAATTTAAAAAATAATACATTTCAAACTTTTTTTAAAAAAGATAATATATTTTAAAGATCTTTTTTAAAAAGATATAGATATATATATATATGAGAGGAAAAAGAGAGAAAAGTAGTAGATTGATTAATAAAACCAAATGCTGATTCTTAAAAATATCAATGAAACTGAAAAACTTAGGGAAATTCTAAATAATATCCTTCCCCAAAGGGATGACACACAGGTAACATTACAAGTGAGAAAGGGACTATAGACATGAAGAAGTTTCAACATGTTTCAAAAGAATACTTAGTAAACATCATACTGAAATATGTAAATATTAAGTTTGATTTCCTAAAAGGTATTGACTCAAAAACTGGCAGAAAAACTAAATAGATCAATATACATAGAAATTGAAATGTAAATTAATTAAATATTTACCTTGCTATAAAAAGTCTCCTGGCCCAGACAGCTTTATGGGGAAGTTCTACTAAACCTTAAAGTTTCAACTTATATAAATTTTTCTGGGGCATAGAAAACAACAGAAAAACTTCCAATTTCATACTTTCACTCACCTTGATACTAAAGACTCACCTTGATACTAAAACCAGAAAAAGAGAACACAGAAAAAAAAGTGTTTAGAACTCTAAAAGAAATATTTTTGAATTATACCTAACAATATATTAGCATGTGAGTTTTACTTCAAATAAAGAAGGAAGTACCTATTATGGGGTATCTATTATCTCAACAGATGCTGAAAAAATTTTGTTTAAAATTCAACACTTTTTCCTGATGAAAAACAAACCAAAAAAAAAGTACTACATAGGAATTTCTCAACCTAAGAAAGCATCTCTTTCAGAAACACTTTGGAAGAATTAATTCTCCATGGACAGTCAATAGAGCCAGTCAACTAAATACAAGGCAAGATGAGGAGGCACCCCACAACCACAAAATACATCTGATGCAAGACCTATTCAATTAAATAAAATGGAAAAAAGTAGAAAATACAAAACTGTTCAGCATTTATTAATGATTTAACTGTCTACATAAATAATAAAAAAGAATTCACTGAAAAATTGTTAGAATGAATGTAGCTGTTTCATAAGTTGCTGGATATTAAATAAACATAAATCAATGGTTTACTCAGAAATAATAAAAATGGAATAAAGAATTTCATATACAATAGCATAAAAAGCCACACAATATCTAGTAATAAACCCAACAAGAAAGCCCTATAAACAAAAAATCATAAAACTTTAGTGAAAGACACAAAATAAAAATCTAAATAATGGGAGGCATTCCATGTTCCTAGATGGTGAGTTTTAGTAAGTTTATTTTCCCCAAATTAATCTATGAATTCAAAGCCTTCTCAATCAAAACATGAGGAGTTTTAATGAATCCTGACAATTCAAAACATTATATAGAAAAGAGAATGCTTTTAAATAGTCAAAAACATTTAGAAAAAGACAATAAGGTGTGTCACTCTCACAAAGTACCTGAAGTAACACCCCATGGAATTCATGCCAGAATAAACAAATGGGTTGACAGAAGGAGAGTTCCTAACAGATCTTGTATATGTCAGTGTAACTTACGGTAAAGGTGATATTCCCAGTCAAAAGCTGGCCCGCTTAATACGTGATCACAGGAAGATGAGATAGCCATTTACAGAAGCAAAATAAATCCATAGTCTGAGGCGGAGGGTGCCAGCTGTTTCTAAATCCATTTCTTCTGGGGAATGCCATGTGACCTGTGGCTGATTTTAGGGAATCCTGCATGAGAGGTAATGGGTACCACTTCCAGACACAACCCAGAAAAACTCACACACGTGCTTCCCCCTCATCTTTTCTCTCACGTGAACTGCAATAAAAAACGACCCTCTGGCAAGCTTTGCAAACCTAAAATGGCAAATGGCAGAGCTAGAGTTGCCTGGACCCCCAAAGCACTCTGAAGCCAAGCAGCCCACCTTCCACCCCTAGTCACCATTGGCCTGAACCACCCGGGGTATTTCTTGAGTGAAGCACTTCTATTCTATTCTGTTGGACTCATTATATATATATATATATATATATATATATATATATATATATATATATATATATTTAATCTAATTGCCTCAGCAGCTGTGTTCCCTAACACAATCTATTACACATAATGAATAAAAATTAATCTCGTGGATTAAAGAGATAAGTCAGACACAAAACTGTAAAACAGGAAAGGAAAATGATAATTAATTTACCTTATAAAATTAAAATCTTCCTTTAGAAAGAAATAATTAATGAAGTTAAAAACAAATGACAGTTTGGGTGAAAATATATGTATCTTACTCAAAAGGTTGATTTCTATGAGAAAGAACTTATATAAATTAACTTGAAAAGAAAAAAAAAATGCCTAGTAGGAAAAAGGGTAAAGAAATATAAACAGGACACTCACAGAATAAGGAATGAAAAGCTACTAAATGTATCAAGCAATTATGAGAAATGTCAAAAAAGAGAGATTTTTTCCCCCTGATTAAAAAAAAAAGAAATTAAAGACTAAAGAATGAATGCAGGGAAGGATTCAGAAGAACTGGCCTTGACATGCATTGTTAGAGTGAATGTGGTCCATGGGGTCTAAATGGAGACAGTCTAGCAGTTTTTACTACATTCTAAAATGCATCGCCGGGATTGGTCGCTCACTCCTGTAATCCCAGCATTTTGGGACGCCAAGGCGGGTGGATTGCTTGAGGTCAGGAGTTAAAGACCAGCCCGACCAACATGGTGAAACCCTGTCTCTACTAAAAATACAAAAACTAGCCGGGTGTGGTGGTGGGTGCCTGTGATCCGAGCTACTTGGGAGGCTAAGGCAGGAGAGTCACTTGAACCTGGGAGTCGGAGGTTGCAGTGAGCTGAGATCGCACCATTACACTCTAGCCTGGGAGACAGAGCAAGACTCCATCTCAAAAAAAAAAAAAAAAAAAAAAAAAAGTTCATGTACTTTAAGCAACACTTCTGCTTCTAGGTATCTATTATTTTTAAATACAACTTACTTCTACATTTATGAAAATATTTATAATTACAAGATATTCTCTGGAACATTGCTTGTAATAGCAAACCCCCTCCCCAAATGTACTGTTTAGTGGAGGAAAGATTAAATAATTTGCCATATATCCATATAATGGCAGACCAGAAATTCAGATACACCCATATGCAATAACATGGAAAGATTTCCGAAACATATGTATCATAAATAAAACTAACCAAAAGCAATGTATTTACGTTGTTAATTTATATTTTATATCATTTATATTAATATTTTACATTTATATTTTTAAACATGCTGCTTATCTATCTATATACATACAGATGTTTGTATAACATATACATACAGATCTGTATGTATAACATATACGTACACGTATATACATATAAATACAGAGAAAGGAGGTTCCAAGGAACATACACTGTCCACAGAGGCTGCCTGGGAAGAGAAGTCAGAGTTGGACTAGCAGCAATGGGGGACTTTTATGCCTTGTCTTATGTGCATCTACACTGTTTACGTCTTAAACGACATATTCAGGTGTTAAAACGGCAAAACCACGATTGCTTTTGAACCAACATAATATTTATGGAAATTTTTTTTGTTCAATTCAGAAGTCTTCACTTGATCAGTGTTTCTCCCAGCATGTTCCATAAAACACTGGTCCTGGTCCTCTGAGCTGCTTCATGCAAAATGGGTTCTGAGATCAAACACATTTTTTCTTCATATTGTCATGTTTCTCTAAAGGGAATGCACTTCCCAATCAATATCAAAATAAATTTTTCAGCTGCCAAGTAAGAGTAGGTTGTGAAATAACAGTCATTGACTTGTCAAAGGTAACCAAACATTTCTGAGCTGATCATAGACATTTCAAAGCTAGGAAGAACTGGTGTGACTGATTTCATGAGTTCTGAAGGTTATCTGTCAGGTTAGATATCAAAAGTTTCTAGCTGCCTTTGAAGGGAAGCTATTTAACTTCCAGCAATATGTAATTAAATTAAAGAGGAAAATGAAACTAAACATGTACCTAAATATCAAATGTAGAGCAAAATCCAAGAATTCCTCAATGTGAATCTAATTGCCACTTCTAAGGAGGGCTCAAGCACTAGCAAAAATACTAAAAAAAACAGCATGTTGTCATGATGTCTTACATTACAACTACCAGCTGTAAGTGATTCAGAACTTTAGGTGCTGTGTGTGGAACAAAAAAAGAAACGTAGCCTCAAACCAACCAACAACAACAACAAAAAAATGTGGCATCCAATGATACATGTACACTATTGTCAGTTTAAAAACGTGTGTATACATTGAATATAGCAGAGGCCTTTTTGGCTTTGTTTTTCTTTTATATGTTTGCTCCCAGAGCTGTTTTTTAAACTGATGATGTCTCTTAACACCATCAGTTAAGAGACCTCCTGAACACTGGCGCTGCCTCTGTTACTCGAAAATCCCACACACACTCCAACCTCATAGCCACCTGACCTGATCCTTTTGCTCAAAAGAGCCTTCATGGACCACCTTATATAAAAGCGAGGCTCAACCTTGACCCCAGCACTCCCTATCCCCCTTCCCTGCTTTATTATTTTTGTAGCACTTATCATTATTTGACTTACTCTATAGTTTACATATTTGCTTGTTGTCTATTCTTTCCCACTAGAAATTAGGCAGAGATTTTTTTTTTACTCTCTTTACTCCTGCATCCCTAATCCCTTTAACAGTGCCTAACATATACTAGGTAGTCAATAAATATTTCTTGAATGAATAAATAAATGAATCTTAAAATCAATGATCTATATGAATTGAGAGGCTAAAATCATTCTGGAGATACAGTAGGCTCATCAGCAAATTAAATTCTTTAACAGGCAATGCTGCTTTTAAAAAGCTACTTTGGCCTGGTGCAGTGGCTCACACCTGTAATCCCAACACTTTGGGAGGCCAAGGCAGGTGGATCACCTGAGGTTGGGAGTTCAAAGCCAGCCTGACCAACATGGAGAAACCCTGTCTCTACTAAAAATACAAAATTAGCCAGGCATGGAGGCACATACCTGTAATCCCAGCTACTCGGGAGGCTGAGACAGGAGAATTGCTTGAACCCGGCAGGCAGAGTTTGCAGTGAGCCGAGATCACGCCATTGCACTCCAGCCTGGGCAACAAGAGTGAAATTTCTCCTCAAAAAAAAAAAGAAAAAAAGCTACTTTATTTTGGTAAACTTTTGTTCTCCAAAATTGGTTGACTATGGCACATTATTTTTTCTCGTATAACATTAAAATACAGTTCAACTAGTATTCTGTATAAAACATTTTCGAAAAGAGGAGATACTCTAAAAATCTATTAAGTTCTACAATTAATTATTTTAAAATATGGCACCCTTTCAGTCCTTCTTACTCTTTTTCTTCCTCCTCTCTCTCGCTATGTTCTCTCTTACCTATGCCTCTCTGGTTCTAGTACAACACTGTATTATTTAGAGACATAGAAGTCATGGAATCACATTCAGGGCACAAGGTATAAATTGAAAACAAATTTGAACTGATTTGAAAAATATGTAAAATAATAAATTGACAGTAATTACACTAATGCAGAAGAGTTCTGTGCTAAGGATATTTTGCACTGAATTTTACATTTTAGTCAAGATAAACAGAAACAGTTCTTCTGCCAGAAAAACAGAAACCATTTCAAGTTTTTACAACAGAGAATTTTTAATGCAAGAAATTGGTTACAGGGGTGATAGACTAAGAAGCCAAACCAGGGACAGTGAGGCAGCCCAGATATAAGCAACAGCAAAAAGCCCCTGAGACACTGAGAGCTGGGGGTCCTGAGAAGCCCCCAGAACCCAACAGCCAGGGATGCCTGGCAGAAGGAAACTCAGCCAATGCCAGAGACACTGCCCAAAGAGAAGAGGGAATGTTCTAGCCTCTTCCCTCTTCCTAAGCTTTGAACTCACACAAGTGCCTCCCTTTAGCTGAATCCGTTGACATAGGATCCTGAGAAATGCAGCCTGCAGGAGTCAGTTTCTCTGTGATGCAGACTAAAACCGGAAGAGTAAGGAGAGGTAAGCAGTCCCAGTACTGGCTCAGCTACATATTTCATTTAATGTAAACCACACATGAACATTTGCCTGAGCTTTCGGTTATGACATAAGTCTAACCAAAGATTAAAAACAAAAAGAAGAGCATGTTAAATCCAGCTCCCTCCCAAAAGTCGTATTATTAATTTTAATGCTCAGTTGTGACAAACTTGTTAGCATACCCTTGCAATCAAATGGATATAAAGTATCAATTACATTAAGTATGTGTGAAAACAATATTGATAAAACTGTTTTAATTATGTACGACAACAGAACTAATATCCTACCATTGAAATTTAATTTTAATATTCCATACCTGTTCTTTTTATTTTAATAATCCACATTTTTTTAAGTTGGGATCCAACACTGTCATAGTAGATATCACTTTAGTAAATTCTAAGTTTTTTCTATAACATACTATTACCTTTAATCACTGTAGCAACATAATTTATTAAATAATGTTTCTCTTTACTCAAACTGGCTAAAAGGGCCTTACATGAAATCCTCAAGAAGAACAATATGGAAGCCATCTGCAGTAGACCATGCAATAGACCAAGAACTTTATTAATAATAGACCATAAGCTAGAATAAAATAATTAAAATATAGCAATTGGAAAAAAATGTTATGGGCAACAAACTGAAAACCATTTTATTTTAAAATACCCTAGGTGTGGATATTGTATTTAAAAATACCCTCGCTGAGAAATAGCAACCAGAGTTATCTTGCATATACCAATAAAAGATGAAGGTGGCTTTCATATTATGATTTTGTTCTTAAGAAAATTGTTAGGCAATTTATGGATAGAGCCACAAGCCATCACAAGTAACAAATGGATTTAATTATTATGAGAGTAAGTCGACTGTTTCATTGCATTCATGGACTTAAATCATATGTTATTTCCAAAAGAGATTCAACATGGATTAAAACAAAAGTGCAATATAATAAAACTAAGCTATTAACCCAGAATTAAAGGTACAGTAATAATTAAAGTTTAAAAAGTAAGTCATGAAACTCTTGCTAAAAAAAAAAAAAAAAAAAAAAATTATGCCTGAGCATCCTAGAAGCAGAAACAGGGAAAGTGTTGGGTTTTGCAGCACTCGGGGTCAAATTAAAGGGAATGTATGTGCCCTCAATGAAAAGGGCGGTGAAGTTTCAATCACATTTTCAGCCTTAGTCAGGTTGAACAGTGACAGCATCACACTGAACTCTGACAGAAAAAAAAAATTGGCTTGATCTCTTGATCTCAGTCATGCTAAAGGCAAAAAATTCCAGGGACATTGATATGATTCCTTAGAGATTCAGTGATATTTGTCTGAGTGGTAACCATCCTAATCTTATAAAATTCCCACTTTAATTCATTGTCTATGTCTTCAGTAAAATGTATGATTGTATGCATAATTTTTTTTTCAAAATTATGTTACTGATTCCAGGAGAGCAAAATGATTATTTTTGGATATTGAGAGAACTGTCATGACAAAGATTTTGGTAAAAATCAAGCTGTGAATGAGTAGAAACAACTTAATAATTCAAGAACTTAAAATGAATAATTTTGCATTGGAAAACAGATTTGGAAATCCCAATCATTTTGGCACAAAGTTTAATTTTGGTGTAATGAGCTTGTTTATAGGCATAACATGGAAGTAGATCACTATTGCCATCTCCTGGCAAGCAAACCACATGACCACAGTTTAAATCTTTTTGGAGAGCCACATATTGTGAGAAAGCAAGATTACCCCATAAATAGGCAATAAAGTATAGGATATTTATTGTAAGACCATCATTGGATTTTTATTCTTTATTTCTATAAGACCTTTACAAAAACCCATTAGAGTTGATAAATAGTAACGTTTGTTTTATGAGCTCTTTATATTGAACAGGAATTCTGCTTGATATGACTCTTTAAATGCATATGATGGATCTACCTGCGATTGAAACAAATATTAGAAATGCTTCAAAAAGAAAACTTAGAAAGTGTTTGCAATGCATTGGTAGAAAGCAGCCAGCATTGTCCCTACCACTGCATACAGCCCAGAAAGTGACAGGTAGCTTTCTACCACATAATAAAGCTGAAGGGATGGCTAACAGCTTGAACAGCATTAATTCATCTTTCTGCTGTGGGGGCTTTCACCAGAGATTAATCATACACTCCCTCCAACTTGCCTTCTCATCTTGCTGTGTTTCTGTTTAATTTCTCTTTCTTACTATGTTCTCCTTTGCAATCTATTGCTGCTGTTGCATTGAACCCCCTTCCCTCTCCTCCTCACATCTGGACATCAGATCGTCAGCTGCCTCCAAGCCTGGTTCATGCACTCCCTGCCTGAGACGTCAGCTGAGCCATTTATGAACTAGATGTCACTCAAGTCTGCAAGCTGTGCTCCAGGGTATCATCCTGTCTTAGAGACTCCAAGTTCTTGCAGCTGCTGAGTAAAAAAGGAGAATGAGATGTGGCTTCAAGCTATTACCCTCCAGATCAGAATGCCACGTTCCATATAGTTCTGAGGCTTGACATGTCATCTTATCAAACTAATCATTTCGTCAAGGATGAGCATAATAGCGAACTTCCACAAGATGGGTTGAAAACACCAAGACAATTGACATAAAAAAAAAATCTTCTGAAGTCATTCTTTGGAGGAAGAAAGAAAATGCATTGTTTTTGTTGTTGTTTTACTTATCACATTGATCATAAATTCTTCCTAATCTAAATTCCATTCCCCACCAACCCACCAACTAGCTCAAGGTCACATTTAGCTTACACTAAGGTGAAACAGGAACGAACATTTGAGAAAAAAACCTGGACTTTAGCTTTGATGTATAAAATCACTCCAGTTCAGTGTCTTCGTGGTCCTCTGTTGAAGTTTCATATTGCCTGCCTGTTGCATCCCTAGTTAAGGCAATTTCCTGAAGAGCCAACCTTGGGAAAACAATAGAAGAAAATCATCTTCTATACCTGGAGTTAGAAAACTGATGAAGCCAAAGTACAGAGGGCAGATCAAAGGGAATGACTCCTATAAAATATGCCCAATTTCTGAATTACAAATGACCACTCAGGGAACCTTCCCCTTATAGAGAGAAATTCAGATAAATCAATAAAAAGAAAATCCTCACAGAAATAAGAAAAAGATTTTGAAAGGAGGAAGAGAGGTCAAAATAATTAAAGGTTATAGCAATAATCTTTCAAAGCAATAATAGCATTAAAGTTCGCATATATGGCGCTTACTATGTGCTAACCATGCCTGTCGTCATTTCACATGTATAAATTCATTCAATTCTCACAACAATCCTATTATCTCCATGTTAAGACATAAGGAAACAGAGCACAAAGAGACTTGGAAACACACATGGTAGATTCACGATTCCAACCCACGTGGTCTGACTCTTAACCACTGAATTAGTCAGGGTTCTCCAGAGACACAGAACCAATAGGATATATAAATAGATGAGAGGGAATTTGCTAGGGAAGTTGGCTCATTACAGAAGATGAGGCGTCCCAGGCAATCTGCAAGCTGGAGATCCTGGGATGCTGGTAGCATGGTTCAGTCCAAGTTTGAAAGCCTCAGAACCAAGGATGCTGATGATATAATTCTCAGCCCGAGGTTGAAGGCCTGGGAACCTAGGGAGCCATTAGTGTGAGTCGTGGAGTCCAAAGGCCAGAAAGCCTGGGGTTCTGATGTCCAAAGGCAGGAGAAATGTGGCCCAGATGCAAGAAAGAGAGAGAAACAAGTAATTGCCTTCCCTCTGCCTTTTTCGCCAACTGGATGGTACCTGCCTATGCTGAGGGTAAATCTTCCTCAGTCAGTCCACTAACTCACACACCAGTCTTCTCTGGAAACACCCTCATAGGTACACCCAGAAGTGACGTTTTACCAGTTCCAAGGTATTCCTTAATCTAGTCAAGTTGACACCTAAAATTAGCCAACAATCACTACCATTAAGCTCTTCTAATTCTCCTAAATGTATCGATATCTGTGTCTATCTATGTCTATATTTTGGAAACTCAGTCTCTCTCTCTCTCTCTCTCTCTCTCTTCTTTCCCCCTCCCTTTCTCTGTGCTGTGTTCAACTACTAAAATGAATAGGATATGGGCTAGCTTTTCCCTTCTATGGATAGATTAACCAAAGCTGAGGTCCAGGAGCCCCTAAGTGGCAGAGCTATGATATAAATCCAAATCCCATGCCTTCCCTCCATACCTCACTGCCTTCCAGGATGCTAAGGCCATGAAAATTGACTGCTCAGATCTCAAGCTGCAAGGACAGTTTTCTGAGAGCCTCAACTATGGCCCCTCTGTATCTACCACCACATTTGTACTGAGGTCACACTTCTGGGCTGCTCTCAACTAGTGACTGAGCACATCAGGGGTATTTATGTGGGCATATTCCTGCCATAAAACAGGACTACCCAACTGGGAGACTTGGGCTCAAGTGCTCCTCGTGATCTTGCTTGAAACTTTGTTAGAAGAGCCTTACCAGCCTTCCTACCCAATCTTCTTCTCTTACTTCTCCACGTTCACATGTGTCAGATCAGCATCAAGGTGTGGGTTTCTCTGTTCGTGCTCCCACTCTATCCACCTCCCTTTACTTTTTATAGCCTCAAATTAGCTATTGTATTTATGTGTAAGGTGTATAATGTGACTTCTTTCAAATAAAAATTCTGTATATTTGTCATGTACATACAACATGATATTTTGAAACATGTATACATTGTGGAATGGCTAAATGAAGCTAACTGACATTCATTACCTCACATGCTTATCTTTTTGTGTGGTGAGAACACTTAAAATCTACACTCTCAGCAGTTTTAAGAATGCAATACATTATTATTAACTATAGTCACCATGTTATATGATAAATCTCTTTAATTTAGTCCACCTCCTCCTCCCTTTATCTTTTGTAAGCATTTTTTCCTAATATATCATTTGCCATACCTCATCCCAATTTGAGCTTTGCTTCTGACAAAAATCAAATTAACACACAGACCAGCCTAATATCTTCAGAAATTCATTTCAGTAGATATATAAGAATACAGATATCTATTATTTTAGACATGTTATTTTTATTTAACTGTTTTAGATATGTTGGGTTCAATAAATCACATATAGAAAATGTAATGATAGAATGGAATGATATGGTTAGGCCTTGTGCCCTCACTCAAATATCATCTTGAATTGTAATCCCTACGTGTGGAGGAAGGGACCTGATTGGAGGTGATCGGATCATGAAGCGGTTTCCCCCATGCTGTTCTCGTGACAGTCAGTGAGTTCTCATGAGATCCGATGGTTTTAAAGTGTGGCAGTTCCCCTTTGCTCACTCTCTCTCTCCTGCCACTTTGTGAAGAAGGTGCTTACTTTTCCTTCACCTGCCATGATGGTAAGTTTTCTGAGACCTCCACAGCCATGCAGAACTATAAGTCAATTAAACCTCTTTCATCCATAAACTACCAAGTATCAGGTAGTATCTCCTCTATAACAGTATGAAAATGGACTAATACATGGAAGAAACACAAGAACAAAGCACCTACAATAATTATGCCTTGACCTATTGTAGATCTAAAGGATACATGCTAAAGCTTCTCTGGAATAAAAATTAGCAAGAGGCTAAAATATGAGGGCTCACAACCAATAACAACCAGATTCACAGAATGGTATTGTTCAAGAGTCTCCAGGAGCACTTTGCACATTCTTGCAAACATTTACATGACAATGAGACAGCAAAAATATACTGAAATCCTTTCACAGAGAAGAAAAATTTATAGTTATCTGACCTTATACATCTCCATGTCCTATAATTTAGATAATAACTAGTAACATATTATTTCCATGATATTCTATGATTTATGATGACCCCGAGGCATTTAGCTTTTCTTACGTATAGATCTCAAAACTTATTCTATTTTTGATGATCTATTCTCTTCTTTGCCAGAGGGCTTATCTTTAATTTTCCTTCAGTACTACATGACCCTGGGAACTTAGTGGCCATCTTAACTCCCAACACCCAGATATTTAACATATAGAGGAAATGCCAACATTCACTCAGCACCAACATTGTCTGATGAATCACATTGGGAATCATGAGGTGTAAGAGGCTCTTGTGGGCCTTCAGTGGTACTGATTATGACCATTGAATATTCAAATCATTTCAAATCAGCATGACATCTTTGTCAATCGATACAATTATACTCGAATAGGATTCAACTTTGGCTGAATTATCATAAAGATCAGTTACAGCATTATAGCAATGGAGCCGATTAGTGTTAGTTAGGAACTGGGCCTCTGTGATGATGGGAAAGAATGCTCTAATACATCTGTACTCTGTTCCAGTGATATGGCGGCAATAAAGTATTGATTGGCTAAGTAATTGAAAGTCCAAATCACATGTAACTGAGGAAAAAGACAAACATAAGAATATAAACAAAATCTTATTTTGTTGAAAAATGATCCTATGTGATTCAGACTGCTAAAGAATCCATCTCATACTTGTGTAATGACACTGTAGACCCTGGCAATACAGTTTAGAATAATAAGATATGGTCATGATATGGTGTGATTTTGTAAAAAAAAGGCAGTACACTAAGGTACTTGGGTTCTTGGCACCTTTGTCGAAGTTCAGTCGACTGTAGGTAGTAATATGTGGAATTATATGAATTAATATATGGAATATAAATACTAATATATTAATATGGAAAACGGTATGCAGATTCCTCAAAAACTTAAAAAGAAAACTACAACATAATCCAGCAATTCCACTTCTGGTTATATAACCGAAGAAAATGAAATTAATATGTCAAAGCAACCTCTACACTCCCATGTTAATTGCAGACATATTCACAATAGCTAAGATATAGCACCAATCTAATTATCCATCAGCAAACAGATTATTAATGTAATATATAGAGAGACAATAGAATACTAATTTGCTTTAAAAAAGAGGGAAGTCCTGACCTTGGAGACAATATAGATGAATTTGGAAAACATTATGCCCAGTGAGATAAACCAGTCACAGAAAAACAAATGCCACATAATCTCATTTATGTGTCAAATCTAGAAAAGTTAAACTTATAAAAGCAGGGAGTAGAATGGTGATTACCAGGAGCAGTAGGCTAAGGGAGATTGGGAGGATGCAGTCAAATAATACAATATTTTGGTTAAACAGGAGGAATAAGTTCAGGAGATCTATTGTACAGCATAGTGATTGTAGTTAATAACAATGTACTATAAAGCTAAAAATTGCTTAAAGTAGATTTTAAATGTTTTGCCCACCAAAAAAGGATAAGTATGTGAGCTAATAAATATGTTAATTAGCTTGATTTAGCCATTCCACAATGTATACATATATCAAAACATCATACTGTACACCATGAATGTATAAATTTAGTCAATTAGAAAAATTAAAAAAATCAAAGTAAAACAAAAACCTACAGGATTGTCACAAATGTTGACTTAACGGCTCACTGAAGATTTCACTTATAATCAAACTTACTATTAGAAAAATCTTAAATTCAATTAAAATACAACTTTTAAAAAAATCAGCAAATGTCAAGAGTAAGCCTGACTGTTCTGTTTGCATGCAGTTTTTTAAGTGAGGAGTTACACAACTCGCATAATTGCAGGTGAATCAAAATAGGTAACTGAAAATTATATATAGTGTCTTAATGTTGAAGTGAAGCTGAAGAGTTTATAATTATCATAGTAATCTTCCCTCTGCTTTGTTTTCCACCTCTACTCTTTATAGTAATCTGAGCCTTTTTTTTAAATAGTTCTCAAAAATAATGGACACAGAGCTATAAATGTATATCCTTCTTGAAGTCCTTAAAAATTCTATAAAAATCATTCCTATGACCCTGCTGATGTTAGTATATACAGCTTTCAAGCTACATACCAACCCTATTCTCAATTTTTCTGTTTTGGCTTTTATACTTTCCTTCATGGACCAACACCCGCTGTATGATTAGAGCTGAACTTTTTCAAAAGACTAGTTTCACAAAAGCATAGAAAGCTTCCACTGTCTCAGATGCTTTTCCCTTTAGGTCCCTCCTACTGGTGATATGTATACACACATATGATATATTTTTCCTCTATATAGATCATATATTATTTTCCTGTATATATATACACACACACATATCAGATATATTTTCCTGTATATTTATATATCATATATTCTTTTCATCTCTATATATATCTATATCCATATCCATAGATATATAGACAGATATATTCTTTCCTCTCTCTATACATTTTAGTCAAGATAAACAGAAACAGTTCTTCTGCCAGAAAAACAGCCTTTCCTCATAGATAAATATAGATATAGATATGGATAGATATACATACAGATAGATATAGATATAGATCACCAATAGGAGAGACCTAAGGGGAAATTTATACACACACACACACACACACACATATATATATATACACACACACATATATATGGGGAAATTATATATATATATAATATAAAGACATATATATATGTCTTTATTATGCCTGTTTTCCTTTTTTTCTCTATTGACTCCTATCATCCTATCATCTTCATCAAGGCTATCGAAATTCTTTCTTGTTTATGAAAATCAAAATAAAAGGAGCACCTGCCTTATTGATATTTTTTCTGCATGGTTCTAACAACTTCTTAAAAGATGGCCAGAAGTATTATCAGTCACAAGAAGGAGGTTGGAGACGAAAGAATTCCTATGGCCTTAGGGGACAGGATTTCAAGAGCTGGGTGCTAAATTTTAAAAACATGTCGTACCCACAACTGTTCTTAACAGTGCTTCTGTGGGTTTGTGTGATGACGACACTAAAAATGCCATATTACATTGTTCTTATACAAGTGGGTCTCAATAACAGACATATAGTATGAGGGTGGGTAGATATATTATGTCTCTAATAATATTATCTAACCATCACTCTTTGCAAACTTACATCAACCTTGTTCTGATTACATGTCATATATCGAGGTTATGGGTTATCATTTCTGTCTCCTATTGGGGTGGAATCTCCAAAAGAGCAGGAGTTGTGTCTTTTTAATCTCTCCATCCGCTCCCCTGTAGTTCACTTACTTGCATATTTTCAGTGTCTTTTTCTGGCTCAATATACAATGTTTGCATCAAGACTAATGCTTGCTGCACTTCATTGGGGAGAAAGAAATTTAGGTTTAGAATGAGTTTCACAACTTTAAATGGTTCCCTGTTGACCAAAAGTAAAATCCAAACTCCTTACCATGACATGGAAAGCATCTGAGGCTCTTGATAGTTTTTAGTTTTATAGTCTCACTCACTTTTCAATTACATTAGGGGTACTCAATAATACTTCTTAGTTGCTTTCACTTCACATCTTTTATTTTTGCCTAAAATGCCCATTTTGTTTTTCTCTGCTTGATTAATACTTAATCCACTTTTCCTTCCTAACTTAAATAAAAAATTACCTTACCTCTGAGAGCTCTCCTGACACCTGCCCAAAATAGTATGTACTCCCGTTTTTAATACATTTTGAATGAGGCTTTATCACTTTTAGCTTTTATCACATTTTATGATAATTGCTTGTATATTTCCATGTCTCCTTCATGGGCACACACTGTCTTGCAAACACACACACTTGGTTGTAAGTGCTACCAAGGTAAATATTATATAGTATTTTGTTCTGCAGTTTCTTTACTTTGCACAAAGCCTGGAAAATGGTCAAAAAATGCATTTGAATAAAATTACAAAGCAATTATTTTCAAGTTAGCACTTACTCTGCCTTTTACAATTGTATGCAATTAGAGAAGTCACTTAACCCCTCTGAACTTCAGTTTCCTCACCTGCAAAAAGGAGGGAAAAATGCTTTATTTCATATGATTGCTGTAAATATTAAATTAAATGTTTTGTGTAGAACACCTTGGGGATTTCTTTAAAGTGTATTATGGGAACTATTAATATTATTAATATAAAACTAGAGGTGCTTAATAAAATGATGCTGGATGTTACAGTTTCTTTGAACTACAAGAATGAGTGAGAATAAAGGAATCAGCTTAATCTTAGTAATTAAGTTATATGGGACAATAAAATGTGCTCTCAATGAGCTTTTTGTTTTAGAAGACTGCAGCAAAAAGAGAATTTTTAAAAATGTTCTTAAAAAGTAGGATTATTTCAAGACACAATTGTATTTTTCCCACATGCTATAATGAAAACCATATTAGGTGTTTCAGTAATACTTTATCAGGGGATTTGTTTACACTCATTGGGTTTAAAATCTGACTACACTAATTTCATTAGCATCTTATTTTTGCTTGGCTCATTTAATGTTATCCAAACACTGTATTTGAAATCAGTCTCCGGAGATATATGTTTCCCCTTGAAGTTAAACTTACTTTAATGCTTGCACAGGGGATCAAGCATGGACACAGTAGATATTCAATGAGTATGAAAAACTGCAGTAGAGCATGAAGCAAAGAATGAGCCCCTGCTTATATAAATGCCTTCATTCCAAATTCAGGTGTCTATAATGTAAGGGAGCTTTCATCAGGCACCCCCTCATATTCATTATCACATGGCAGAAACACAGCAAATTGGGGGAGGGCACCCGAGTCAGAAAACCAAACACCGATTTGAGTTCATTTACTGATCTATTTACTGATTACATCTAAGGAGACTGGGAGCTTTATGCTTGTGAGGACTCCATAGGAGCTATCTCATGTAGGAGTTACCTGGGCTGAAGAAGAACTTGGTAATTTGTTCCATGTCCTCGATCACCACTTGGAGATGGGACTGGGACTGACTAGTTTCATGGCTCCTGGTTGGCCCCACTTTGTACACACAGTATCAGCATAGTCAACATGCCCTGAGGCACATAGATCTTGACTCAAGCCCACTTTGTTAAGAGTCAAAGAGGGCTTTATTTGTTTAATGATTTTCCAGGGTAGTTAATGTTCCAAGGGTCTTTAGGTTGAAAAAAAAAAAGGAGCATTTTAGTATTTTGTTTGACTGTGATAATTTACAATTCATTGGGAAAGTGGTAAAACATCTCAGAAGAACTGGCTTCACTTTCTTACAAGACTCCTACAAGAAGATGAAAGTCTATGGTTTACACAAATATTGATCCATGTGTACTCCTCAGAGATTCTACAATGACTTTGACATCGATCTTTTTTTGCTGACACTACTGTATCATGCACTCACCAAATCAACTTTAGCACTACATTACCTAACTGCTGTCTTCTGAAATCGAGGTAACTAGGTAGCTTATAGAATTAGCAGTCTAATCTCTTGCTACATATTTTAAAAACTATTTATTTGCATCTATAGCTATAAAAGTACTTTAAAACACTTACAGTGTTTGTGTTGCCTTTACTCAATGTTGGATAATATTAGTTTTTTCCTTCATGGGTTTCAACCTTTACTATTTGGAGAAACATTGATTTTTTTCTCTCTCTCTATGGTTTTAATATAGTACAAGTCAGCATGGTTTTATTTATGCTGTGTCTTAGGCCAAATGCCATCAAATATGTCAATTGCCTCTGGGAACATTAGACTTTAGGGCTGCCTCTGCTGTATAAGTAGTCAAGGAGTAGAAAACAATAAGTAGTGTAAGTTCAGTCCAGACATGAATCAAGTGTCTTTCATCAGTTCCACCCTCCTCTGCCCAAATTACAGAAGAAAGTTAAGTAAATGAGACCTGAATCTTGACTAGGTTGATTCAGGATGCTCTGCTTGGGTTAAATCTTGCCTGTTCTATTCCTGAGTTTCTACTAGATCTTAATCAGAAAGACCAGACACTAAACAGCTTGATGAGTTGGGATACAGGGCATGCAATTTGATAGCGGTTGTGTGATTTGTGGCTAAGCTCCTTTCTCAATGGCCAAGTACTATGACTGATGTAGATTGAATAACTTTTCAATGTAGTAATTCAAACTATTGAATAGACTGAGTATTGTGCAATATTTTAAAAAGGTAACTATTCAGATCACTTACTTGTAAGACTTTTTTAAAAAAGAAATAGCATCTGTGGAGTAAAGCCACATGAGACGGCTTTTTTAAAAAATTAAAAATAATAAAAAAGAAAAATATTAATAACGCTTATATAGTTGAGTAATACAATAGTTTCAATACACAGATTTACAATTAGCATTTTTTTTTCTTGAGATGGAGTCTTGTTCTGTCACCCAGGCTGGAGTGCAGTGGCACGATCTTGGCTCACTGCAACCTCCACTTCCCAGGTTCAAGCGATTCTCTAGCCTCAGCCTCCAAAGTAGCTGGGACCACAGGCACGCACCACCATGTCTGGCTAATTTTTGTATTTTTAGTACAGACAGGGTTTCATCATATTGGCCAGGCTGTACAATTAGCATTTTTAATAAAAAGTGTTAGATAGTGATACTGTTTGGAGTCAATTCACAACCACAGCATCACTATTTATAGTACATCTCTGTGCCCTGAAGATAATGGGACAATGAACTAAACAAGTCTTTGCCAATGCATTGACATTTGACTTATAGTCACACATATGTTGAATGATATTTCTTTCAGAAGAAATGTTTAAAAATTTTTATTTCAAGTAGTATGAATAGATGGAAAATGGAAAGATCTTCATTTAGGGAAAACATGTTTATAGCATTAATAAAATCAGCAATGTCCGCACTTCCACTGATGTTAATATTGCACTGATGTTTCCATTAAAAACTGATATATCTATTGAATTAAAACCCCTACGCAAATGTCACTTTAATTTAAATCTTAGTAAGCAGGTTGCTTTGCTAAAATATGAAAGATTTCCATAATTCAGAAGGAGAGACTCAATTGCAAAAGAAAATTAAATTTAAGGTAAATTAGAAAAAATAAGTTACCTTGAAATTTGCGAAGTATATCTGCTAAAAAACTGCTTATAAAAAGCATTCACTGTTGTTAAGTGTTAAATACAGGAAGTTAGATTGAAATAAATTTTTAAATAAGTACCAATAGTCTTTTAGAGAGGCATCATAGACATGCAAAAACAATGTAATTTAAAGCAAATGTTTCATTTTTAATGTAATGTTTTTACCATACACTTAACTTCTAAAAAGTTTACTTATCAATTCAACTTTCTTCTTGCAGTTGGTTTTATTTTCTGGTTTTGATGCAGGTTTTTAATTTTCTGACATTAAATTTGGCAATTTGCATACTAAAAGCAACAAAGAAAAACTTCCTAACTCATTGAAATTTTACAAAAGATGTCCTTGTTAGGCATTACAAGCTGTTGCAATAAATTTAAAATATAGAATGGAAAAATAAATTCAAATTCTATGCAAAGCAAGTTATATTTTGTGGTTTTCCAGTGTTGTTGTTTTGTTGTTGTTTTCTTTCAGGAGCAGAGTGGGTGATTATCTCCTAAAGATGAAAAACAAAGTGAAATTACTACTTAAAATGAATCATTGACTACTTCTCTCTCTCTCTCTCTCTCTCTCTCTTTCTCTCTGTTCAAGAGAAATTTGCAAACAAGTTGACCAAAATTAGCAAATATGATATATCAAAGTTGAGCTTTTCTTTCCAAAATATGCTGCATGACTTTGAACAATAAGCCAAGTGTAAATGTTAATAAGACATTTTTCTCACAAATGCTGGCCTTTAATAATAACTGTGCCATTATAATAAAAATAACAGCTAACAATTGTTCAGCAATATGATGTTTCTGGCACTGTTAAAAATGTCTTGCACTGATCAACTCATTTTATCTTTACAATGATTCCACAGAAGTAGAAACTGTTATCTCTAATTTGCAGATGAGGAAACTTAAGATACAATGAATGCAAACAATTTGACAGAATGGCTGTATGACAGACTGAATCTGAACCATGTAGATCTAGCTCCAGAGACATCATTCTTTTTTTTTTTTAACTTTTATTTTAAGTTCAGGGGTACATGTACAGGTTTGCTACATAGGTTAACTTTTGTCATGAGGGTTTGTTGTAGAGATTATTTAAACACCCACGTATTAAGCCTAGTACCCATTAGTTATTTTTCCTGATCTCCCTCCTCCCAACCTCCACCCTGTGATAAGCCCCATTGTTGTTCCTTTCTATGTGTCCATGTGTTCTCATCATTTAGCACCCACATATAAGTGTGAACATGCAGTATTTAGTTTTCTCTTCCTGCATTAGTTTGCTAAGGATAATGGCCTTCAGTTCCATCCATGTCCCTGGAGAGGATATGATCTGGTTCTTTTTGATGGCTGCATAGTATTCCATGGTATATATAGAGGTATTTTTTATTTTATTTTAAGTTACAGGGTACATGTGAAAGATGTGCAGGTTTGTTACATAGGTAAACATGTGCCATGGTGGTTCGCTGCACCTATCAACCCATCACCTAAGTATTAAGCCTAGCATGTATTAACTATTTTTCCTAATGCTCTCCTTCTCCTTGTCCCCTGCACTCCCCCATCCCCTGCCGACAGGCTTCAGTGTCTGTTGTTCCCCTTCCTGTGTTCATGTGTTTTCATTGTTCACTACTTTTACAAACAGTCCCTTTGTACACTTTGTGTTTCATAGTCCTTTATCATTGGTTTTAGCTCTCTAAAGTTCTCCTAATGACAAATAATTACAAAAAAACTTGGAAATGTCTACTAATATCAAAAGCATTAGCAGAGACTTTGTTAAAAAGATAAAAGATCAGGGTTCAAGACCTAAGAAGCTATCTAACATAGGAACTATTTTTCCAATAGGCAAAAATAGTGTCATTAAGCATTAGCAAAATTCTGAAACAACCTGGATGCTTCAAATGGCAGCAGGTTAAAACACTGGGCCATGCTGGAGGGATCCCTCATGGCTTGGTGCTGTCCTGGCCATAGTGAGTGAGTTCTCTTGAGATCTGGTTGTTTAAATGTGTGGCACGTTCCCTCATCAAGCTCCCACTTCACCTTTTGCCACCAGTAAAAGCTCCCTAAGACCTCCCAGAAGCAGATGTGGACACTACACTTCCAATACAGCCTGCCTAACTATAAGCCAATAAAAACTCTTTTCTTATAAATTACCCAGTCTTGGGTATTTCTTTATAACAATGCAAGAATGGCCTAATACAACCTTGTAGCACATGGAGAAGTCGTGGCTTCTTAATAAATAACAGACAGTAGCAGCAAGAGTGGAAACTGGAAAAACAAATGGAAGTCTACTGGGCAAGTCCCAATAGAGGGAAGATGATGCCCTTGGCCAGAGTGTTAGTGGAAAGAGTAAAATAGACGAAATATTCAAAATTTCCTCTAAAGCCAGTAGGATGTACTGATAATCTGGAAAGACAGGATGAGAAGAAGAAGGAAAAAAAGATACAGCAGTAAATTTAGAAAATTCACAGCTGACACAAAGCAATAGTGCCCATGCCATGAAGAATGGCAAAGTAATTCCATCTGAGAGCATTCTTTGCTACATCCTGGCCATCGAAGAGTGGCTGTGTAATCTCAGATGCCTGTGGCTTCGGTAAACACTTTGAAGCCAAGGGGTACTGGATCACCCAAACCTCCTTCGTGGTAAAACTGTTCTTGCCACATGCTAACCTAGATATAAAATTGTAAATATATATAAAATAATTGCACAGATTTGTTAGGAAATACATCATGCCTATTTTTTTAAGACTAACATTCCCTTCACTTTAAAGAGCAAGTAGGCCGGGCGCGGTGGCTCACGCCTGTAATCCCAGCACTTTGGGAGGCCGAGGCGGGCGGATCACGAGGTCAGGAGATCGAGACCATCTTGGCTAACACGGTGAAACCCCGTCTCTACTAAAAATACAAAAAATTAGCCGGGTGTGGTGGCGGGCGCCTGTAGTCCCAGCTACTTGGGAGGCTGAGGCAGGAGAATGGCGTGAAAAAAATTAGCCGGGTGCGGTGGCAGGTGCCTGTAGTCCCAGCTACTCAGGAGGCTGAGGCAGGAGAATGGCGTGAAAAAAATTAGCCGGGTGCGGTGGCAGGTGCCTGTAGTCCCAGCTACTCAGGAGGCTGAGGCAGGAGAATGGCGTGAACCCGGGAGGCGGAGCTTGCAGTGAGCCGAGATCGCACCACTGCACTCCAGCCTGGGCGACAGAGCGAGACTCCATCTCAAAAAAAAAAAAAAAAAAAAGAGCAAGTAAAAATATCATGTATTCAAGAATGTTATTAACCCCAAAAGCACTAATAAAAAGGAAATTTACAGTGTGAGCATCTCTTTTTATACATTCTCAATTTAGGGATGCTCTTTCGTAATGATTCACCTTGAATCTTTCTCTAGAAATAAGTTACTTGGCGTTGTAGGGGGACGTATGAAACAGAGTAATGCAGGCACCTCAGACATATATCACCACACTAATATTCATTCATTTACTCCGCAAATGTTTACTGGGTACCTAATATGCATCAAGAATTATGTAAGGTGCTGGGGTTATATAGCAATGAATAATCAGACCTAGGCCATGACCCTGTATTTGAGTATCTCAGCGTCTGGTAGGCAAAGTGACCCTGAATATGTAATTACATGTGAGCAGTAAATAAAGTGTGTTAAGGAAATGCAAGATTTTATATAGCACCTACCCCAAAAGGAGCTGGGCACTATATGGCATATACATTTTAACATGGTACAGAATTTTGTTCGTTCAGTTAGTAGATTGCTTTTTCTTGAGAGGAAGGCTTCCTAGTGATTTAAAATCTTTATGTGGATATTAAGTGGTAACTACTTCGATGTGTTCCCAAACATGAGAAAACAGTAAATAACTTAGGATAGGTTTAGTGGTTTTGGTTTTTATTTACTTTAATCCCTAGCACAGAACTTGGGGCAGGCTGGTACACAAAAATATTTATTAAAGACAAATAAATAAGCAAAAGAGTCTATCTGTTTAGAGAAAGAAATGAAAGAAGGGATAGAATTTCAAGAACAACAACAACAAAAAGCTGAGAAAAGCCTTCAAAAGTAAGAAAACTCACCAGCATCTTTTTACTTTTCCCTCTCTTGGACACATACATTATTTCTCAGTCTCCATGAATTATCCAGCAGTAGTTTCTGTGATAGAGCAATATACTGAAAATCCAGAGATTATATCCTACTGCTTTTTAACACTTGATAAGGGGGTATAGGCTACAAGCTTCAACAGTGTTTCCAGATATTCCTTCAACTACTACCTCATTTTGCTTTATACCATTAGTTTTAGGCCTGAAAATAGAAAATATTTAAAAATTAACAATAGTAAGAGAAGGCTAATTTTTTTTGAAAGATACTCATGTTACCACACCCCATTTATAATTCCAAATCCCTATGTTTTCTGACAAATACAATAGGTCCATTGAGCACTTTGTAGCATGGTGCAGTGGTTACCATGGTTATTTTTTTAAAGTTTAGTGAACAGTTTGCTTTCAAAACCTACATTGCCAAGGCCTTTGGCAGAGTAAATTATATATTTCTGAGGCTTAAGAAGCATTTTTTGCTCTTTCTCTATTAAATAGTTTAAAATACAGAAAATTATAGGGGTTTCTTACTACCACTCAACTACAGTAAACACATTTTCATATTTTCCATTTTTGCTTCAAATATTTTGTTTATTGAACAATTTAAAAATTAACATTTAAAATTAAATTTTCTGGTGTTTTTCCTCCCATGCACTTCCCAACCCCACCCTTCTCCCCTCTACCATTTCCCAACGGCAACAATTTGGTGTGTTTCATTCTATTTCATATATCTTGACTCACTCTATATTGGCACCTACAAATAAATGTCTTCAAAATGACATGGTTGGCCTCTTATTTTAAGTATTAGTCAGCAGTTATATTCAGTTTATGCCTAAAGATTTCCCCTGATCCATACTGCCAATTCTACCATACACCAAGTTCTTGTATGTTCTTAGGTCATTTTTATTATTACCTGCTTTGTTCCATTAATGTACTTTTTTCTTCTGTACCAAAACCATATTGTTTTAATTCTGATACAACAAGTGTTGATGTATGGTAAGCCTCACCTCTTTTATGATTTTCGTGGCCATCCTTGAATCTTTTTATTGTATTTGAAATCAATTTTCTTATTTAGAATTTAATAAATGTATAGGTTTATTTGAGGAAGACTGACGTATTTATGATGTCTTATCTACCATGAATATGGTATTTTTTTATTTATTCAGGCCTTCCTTCATGTCCTTCAATAATGGTTTGTAACTATCTGCACAATATTTATTAGATTTCTTCCTTGATATCAAATAAACCATACTCTTCTTATAAAGTGTCTATTACTGTTACATTTTTAAATTATGATTATTGATAGGAGAAATAATCATTTTAGTTTTGATGATTGGTGTGACCAATGATATAACACTCCCTCAAAAATATCAACATCTTAATTCTCCAGAATCTGTGAATATATTAGATTCTAAGGCAAAGGAGAATTAAGGCTGTGCATAAAATTAAGCTACTAATTAGCTGGCCTGGATATGATGAGATTATCCTGAAATATCCCAGTAGACCAACACAATAAAAGGGTCTTTCTTAGTGGAAGAGAATAATAGAAGAGTGAAAGTTAGAGAGACGTTGGAAGGTGTTACGCTGCTGGATTTGAAAATGGAGATCCATTTCAGAGTTCTGACCTACAGAACTGTAAAGTAATATATTTGTGTTGTTTTGAGGCACTAAATTTGTGGTAATTTGCTATAGCAGCAATAGGAAAGCAATAGAATTGCTATTGAGTAAAATGTACTAAATTATTATTAATAGTAATAGTTTTCCTAAGAGTTTCCTTGGATTTTTACATGTATAAAAACATATCATGTGTCAACGACTTGCTGGGTGTGGTGGATTATGCCGGAGGCCGAGGAGGGTGGAGTGCCTGAGCCCAGGAGTCTAAGATAAGACCAGCCAGAGGAACATGGTGAAACACCCTCTCTACCAAAAATACAAAAAATTAGCTGGGCATGGTGGCACACATCTGTGATCCCAGCTACTTGGGAGGCTGAGGTGGGAGAATTGCTTGAACCTAAGAGGCGGGGGTTGGAGTGAGCCAAGATCACATCATAGCATTCAAATCTGGGTGACAGAGTGAGCCCTCATCTCAAAAAAAAAAAGAAAAGACTATAATTTTATCTGTTTCTTTCTAATACTTATACCTCATATCTAAAATTTTATATGCAGTAGTATTGGTTAGCAGTAGCATTGGTTAGAAATTGTCTTTATAAATATGCTAAAGAGAAATAGTAACATGAGGCCTTTTAACTGTTGCTACTTAGATAGAAATGATGCTGTTTGACTGGGTATATGATATTTGCTGATTGGCAGGGGCCATTTGTAAGGTAGGGGAAGTCCCTACCTAGTCTTTATTTTCTAGGATTTATAACAAATTTCCTACTCAGCACCTCCCCTTGGATATTTAATAGTCATCTCAAACTTTTATATATATAGATATATATATAAAATACTTTAAGTTCTAGGGTACATATGCACAATGTGCAGGTTTGTTACATATGTATACATGTGCCATGTTGGTGTGCTACACCCATTAACTCATCATTTACATTACGTATATCTCCTAATGCTGTCCCTTCCCTCTCCCCCCACCCCACAACAGGCCCCGATGTGTGATGTTCCCCTTCCTGTGTCCAAGTGCTCTCATTGTTCAATTCCCAGCTATGAGTGAGAACATGCGGTGTTTGGTTTTGTGTCCTTGTGATAGTTTGCTGAGAATGATGGTTTCCAGCTTCATCCATGTCCCTACAAAAGACATGAACTCATCATTTTTTATGGCTACATAGTATTCCATGGTGTATATGTGCCACATTTTGTTAATCCAGTCTATCATTGTTGGACATTTGGGTTGGTTCCAAGTCTTTGCTATTGTGAGTAGTGCCACAATAAACATTACGTGTGCATGTGTCTTTATAGCAGCATGATTTATATTCCTTTGAGTATATACCCAGTAATGGGATGGCTGGCTCAAATGGTATTTCTAGTTCTAGATCCCTGAGGAATCGCCACACTGTCTACCACAATGGTGGAACTAGTTTACAGTCCCACCAACAGTGTAAAAGTGTTCCTATTTCTCCACATCCTCTCCAACACCTGTTGTTTCCTGACATTTTAATGATCGCCATTCTAACTGGTGTGAGATGATATCTCATTGTGGTTTTGATTTGCATTTCTCTGATGGCCAGTGATGATGAGCATTTTTTCACGTGTCTATTGGCTGCACAAATGCCTTCTTTTGAGAAGTGTCTGTTCATATCCTTCGCCCACTTGTTGATGGGTTTTTTTTTTCTTGTAAATTTGTGTGAGTTCTTTGTAGATTCTGGATATTAGCCCTTTGTCAGATGAGTAGATTGCAAAAATTTTCTCCCATTCTGTAGGTTGCCTGTTCACTCTGATGGTAGTTTCTTTTGCTGTGCAGAAGCTCTTTAGTTTAATTAGATCCCATTTGTCAATTTTGGCTTTTGTTGCCATTGCTTTTGGTGTTTTAGACATGAAGTCTTTGCCCATGCCTATGTCCTGAATGGTATTGCCTAGGTTTTCTTCTAGGGTTTTTATGGTTTTAGGTCTAACATTTATATCTTTAATCCATCTTGAATTAATTTTTGTATAAGGTGTAAGGAAGGGATCCAGTTTCAGCTTTCTACATATGGCTAGCCAGTTTTCCCAGCACCATTTGTTAAGTAGGGAATCCTTTCCCCATTTCTTGTTTTTGTCAGGTTTGTCAAAGATCGGATAGTGGTAGATGTGTGGTATTATTTCTGAGGGCTCTGTTCTGATTATTTCGGAGGGCTCTGTTCTGTTCCATTGGTCTATATCTCTGTTTTGGTACCAGTACCATGCTGTTTTGGTTACTGTAGCCGTGTAGTATAGTTTGAAGTCAGGCAGCGTGATGCCTCCAGCTTTGTCCAGCTTTGTTCTTTTGGCTTAGGATTGACTTGGCAATGCAGGCTCTTTTTTGGTTCCATATGAACTTTAAAGTAGTTTTTTTCCAATTCTGTGAAGAAAGTCATTGGTAGCTTGATGGGGATGGCACTGAATCTATAAATTACCTTGGGCAGTATGGCCATTTTCATGATATTGATTCTTCCTATCCATGAGCATGGAATGTTCTTCCATTTGTTTGTGTCCTCTTTTATTTCGTTGAGCAGTGGTTTGTAGTTCTCCTTGAAGAGGTCCTTCACATCCCTTGTAAGTTGGATTCCTAGGTATTTTATTCTCTTTGAAGCAATTGTGAATGGGAGTTCACTCATGATTTGGCTCTCTGTTTGTCTGTTATTGGTGTATAAGAATGCTTGCGATTTTTGTACATTGATTTTGCATCCTGAGACTTTGCTGCAGTTGCTTATCAGCTTGAGATTTTGGGCTAAGATGATGGGGTTTTCTAGATATACAATCATGTCATCTGCAAACAGGGACAATTTGACTTCCTCTTTTCTTAATTGAATAACTTTTATTTCTTTCTCCTGCCTGATTGCCCTGGCCAGAACTTCCAATACTTTTTTGAATAGGAGTGGTGAGAGAGGGCATCCCTGTCTTGTGCCAGTTTTCAAAGGGAATGCTTCCAGTTTTTGCCCATTCAGTATGATATTGGCTGTGGGTTTGTCATAGATAGCTCTTATTATTTTGAGATACGTCCCATCAATACCTAATTTATTGAGAGTTTTTAGCATGAAGTGCTGTTGAAATTTGTCGAAGGCCTTTTCTGCACCTATTGAGATAATCATGTGGTTTTTGTCTTTGGTTCTGTTTATATGCTGGATTACATTTATTGATTTGCATATGTTGAACCAGCCTTGCATCCCAGGGATGAAGCCCACTTGATTATGGTGGATAAGCTTTTTGATGTGCTGCTGGATTCGGTTTGCCAGTATTTTATTGAGGATTTTTGCATCGATGTTCATTGGGGATATTGGCCTAAAATTCTCTTTTTTTGTTGTGTCTCTGCCAGGCTTTGGTATCAGGATGATGCTGGCCTCATAAAATGAGTTAGGGAGGATTCCCTCTTTTTCTATTGATTGGAATAGTTTCAGAAGGAATGGTACCAGTTCCTCCTTGTACCTCTGGTAGCATTTGGCTGTGAATCCATCTGCTCCTGGACTTTTTTTGATTGGTAGGCTATTAATTATTGCCTCAATTTCAGAGCCTGTTATTGGTCTATTAAGAAATTCAATTTCTTCCTGGTTTAGTGTTGGGAGGGTGTATGTGTCGAGGAATTTATCCATCTCTTCTAGATTTTCTAGTTTATTTGTGTAGAGGTGTTGATAGTATTCTCTGATGGTAGTTTGTGTTTTTGTGGGATCAGTGGTGTTATCCCCTTTATCATTTTTTTTTTGGCATCTATTTGATTCTTCTCTCTTTTCTTGTTTATTAGTCTTGCTAGAGGTCTATCAATTTTGTTGATCTTTTCAAAAAACCAGCTCCTGGATTCATTGATTTTTTGAAGGGCTTTTTGTGTCTCTATTTCCTTCAGTTCTGCTCTGATCTTAGTTATTTCTTGCCTTCTGCTAGCTTTTCAATGTGTTTGCTCTTGCTTCTCTATTTCTTTTGATTGTAATGTTAGGGTGTTAATTTTAGATCTTTCCTGCTTTCTCTTGTGGGCATTTAGTGCTATAAATTTCCCTCTACACACTGCTTTAAATGTGTCCCAGAGATTCTGGTATGTTGTGTCTTTGTTCTCATTGGTTTCAAAGAACATCTTCATTTCTGCCTTCATTTCATTATGTACCCAGTAGTCATTCAGGAACAGGTTGTTCAGTTTCCATGTAGTTGAGCGGTTTTGAGTGAGTTTCTTAATCCTGAGTTCTAGTTTGATTGCACTGTGGTCTGAGAGACAGTTTGTTATAATTTCTGTTCTTTTACATTTGCTGAGGAGTGCTTTACTTCCAACTATGTGGTCAATTTTGGAATAGGTGTGGTGTGGTGCTGACAAGAATGTATATTCTGTTAATTTGGGGTAGAGAGTTGTGTAGATGTCTATTAGGTCTGCTTGGTGCAGAGCTGAATTCAATTCCTGGATATCCTCGTTAACTTTCTGTCTCGTTGATCTGTCTAATGTTGACAGGGTGTGTTAAAGTCTCCCATTATTATTGTGTGGGAGTCTAAGTCTCTTTGTAGGTCTCTAAGGACTTGCTTTATGAATCTGGGTGCTCCTGTATTGGGTGCATATATATTTAGGATAGTTAGCTCTTCTTGTTGAATTGATCCCTTTACCATTATGTAATGGCCTTCTTTGTCTCTTTTGATCTTTGTTGGTTTAAAGTCTGTTTTATCAGAGACTAGGATTGCAACCCCTGCCTTTTTTTGTTTTCCATTTGCTTGGTAGATCTTCCTCCATCCCTTTATTTTGAGCCTATGTGTGTCTCTGCACGTGAGATGGGTTTCCTGAATATAGCACACTGATGGGACTTGACTCTTTATCCACTTTGCCAGTCTGTGTCTTTTAATTGGAGCATTTAGCCCATTTACATTTAAGGTTAATATTGTTATGTGTGAATTTGATCCTGTCATTATGATGTTAGCTGGTTATTTTGCTCATTAGTTGATGCAGTTTCTTCCTAGTCTTTACAATTTGGCATGTTTTTGCAGTGGCTGGTACTGGTTGTTCCTTTCCATGTTTAGTGCTTCCTTCAGGAGCTCTTGTATGGCAGGCCTGGTGGTGACAAAATCTCTCAGCATTTGCTTTACTGTAAAGGGTTTTATTTCTCCTTCACTTATGAAGCTTCGTTTGGCTGGATATGAAAAATTCTGGGTTGAAAATTCTTTTCTTTAAGAATGTTGAATATTGGCCCCCACTCTCTTCTGGCTTGTAGAGTTTCTGCCGAGAGATCAGCTGTTAGTCTGATGGGCTTCCCTTTGTGGGTAACCTGACCTTTCTCTCTGGCTGCCCTTAACATTTTTTCCTTCATTTCAACTTTGGCAAATCTGACAATTATGTGTCTTGGAGTTGCTCTTCTTAAGGAGTATCTTTGTGGTGTTCTCTGTATTCCCTGAATTTGAATGTTGGCTTGCCTTGCTAGGTTGGGGAAGTTCTCCTGGATATTATCCTGCAGAGTGTTTTCCAACTTGGTTCCATTCTCCTCGTCACTTTCTGGTACACCAATCAGACGTAGATTTGGTATTTTCACATAGTCCCATATTTCTTGGAGGCTTTGTTCATTTCTTTTTATTCTTTTTTCTCTAAACTTCTCTTCTTGCTTCATTTCATTCATTTGATCTTCCATCACTGATACCCTTTCTTCCAGTTGATCGAATCAGCTACTGAAGCTTGAGCATTCATCATGTAGTTCTCGTGCCATGGTTTTCAGCTCCATCAGGTCCTTTAAGGACTTCTCTACATTGGTTATTCTAGTTAGCCATTCATCTAATCTTTTTTCAAGGTTTTTAACTTCTTTGCCATTGGTTTGAACGTCCTCCTTTAGCTTGGCATAGTTTGATCTTCTGAAGCCTTCCTCTCTCAACTAGTCAAAGTCATTCTCCGTCCATCTTTGTTCCATTGCTGGTGAGGGGCTGTGTTCCTTTGGAGGAGGAGAGGTGCTCTGATTTTTAGAGTTTCCGGTTTTTCTGCTCTGTTTTTTCCCCATCTTTGTGGTTTTATCTACCTTTGGTCTTTGATGATGGTGACGTACAGATGGGTTTTTGGTGTGGATGTCCTTTCTGTTTGTTAGTTTTCCTTCTAACAGTCAGGACCCTCAGCTGCAGGTCTGTTGGAGTTTACTGGAGGTCCACTCCAGACCCTGTTTGCCTGGGTATCAGCAGTGGTGGCTGCAGAACAGCGGATATTGGTGAACCGCAAGTGCTGCTGCCTGATTATTCCTCTGGAAGTTTTGTCTCAGAGGAGTACCCGGCTGTGTGAGGTTTCAGTCCACCCCTACTGGGGGGTGCCTCCCAGTTACGCTACTCGGGGGTCAGGGACCCACTTGAGGAGGCAGTCTGCCCGTTCTCAGATTTCAAGCTGCATGCTGGGAGAACCACTACTCTCTTCAAAGCTGTCAGACAGGGACATTTAAGTCTGCAGAGGTTATTGCTGTCTTTTGTTTGTCTGTGCCCTGCCCCCAGAGGTGGAGCCTACTGAGGCAGGCAGTCAGGCCTCCTTGAGCTCTGGTGGGCTCCACCCAGTTCAAGCTTCCCAGCCACTTTGTTTATCTACTCAACCCTGGGCAATGGCAGGCGCCCCTCCCCCAGCCTCGCTGCCGCCTTGCAGTTTGATCTCAGACTGCTGTGCTAACAATGAGCGAGGCTCCGTGGGCGTAGGACCCTCCGAGCCAGGTGCAGGATATAATCTCCTGGTGTGCCATTTGATAAGCCCACTGGAAAAGCACAGTATTAGGGTGGGAGTGACCCGATTTTCCAGGTACCGTCTGTCACCCCTTTCTTTGACTAGGAAAGGGAATTCCATGATCCCTTGCACTTCCCAGGTGAGGCGATGCCTCACCCTGCTTCAGCTCACACATGGTGCACTGCACCCACTGTCTTTCACCCACTGTCTGACACTCCCCAGTGAGAACCCGGTACCTCAGTTGGAAACGCAGAAATCACCCATCTTCTGCGTCGCTCACGCTGGGAGCTGTAGACTGGAGCTGTTCCTATTTAGCCCAGTCATCTCCAACTTAATGTGCCTAAAACAGAGTCTTGCTCTCCTTCCCCAACTCTGCTCCTCTCCTAAACTTCCTTGTCCCAATAAATGACACCAGCATTTACACAGAGACTCAGGTCCAAACCTAGGAGTTATTCCAGACTCTTCTCTTTCCTATATTTGTCACATCCAACTTACTGGCAAATTCAATGAGCCCTACCTTTAAAACCATAACATAGTCACTTTCACCCCAACTGACTTAGACAGCCACTACCATCTCTCAATTCAACTACGATAACCTCTTTCCTGCTGTCTTTGCATGAGAATCCATTTTGACAGCAAGCAGAGTAATGTTTTAAAAATGCATAATATTTGATGTCATTCCTCTCAAATTTATCCAACAGCTTTCCACCAGATGCAAATTTTAATCTAAATGTTTATCATGACCTTTGAGGCTCTACATGATCTGACCTCATCATCTACCTCTCTCTGCTTCTCTCAATCTGGCCCATATACGATGCTTTCTTTGTTGTTCCTTGATCAAGTCAAATAGTTTTCAGTTAGCCTTTGTTATTGGTGTTCTCTCTGCCTGAAACCCTCTTCCCCCAGATTTTCTCATGAATTATTTCTCCCCCCATTCAGGTATCAGCATGATTGTTATCTCTTCAAAAAGACAGTCCTTGACCATACCATCTAAAATATCTAAAATAGTGCACACATTTATGCAAAGGCACACATCCTCAGTTCTTTCCTCCTTTATTTTTCTATGTAGAAGAAAAATACATTATACTGTAGTGTATATAAGGGCAGAGATTTTGCTTCACTTATTTAGCGTCCTCAGTGCCTAGAAAAGTGCCCATCACACAGCAAGTGCTAAAGGAATTTATGTTTAACATGTTTTGAATTTGATCAAATACTTTACTTTTATCTAAAATACGACCATATTGTTGCATCTGTAAATATAGTAATTTGCACTTATATGATCTCTCACATTGTGATATGGTCAATTTTTGTTAAGTTTTCTGTTTTTGCTTAAAAAGAATACATGATCTTTATTTTTTAGATCTATGACATCCAATTAACCAATTGTATCTGTTTAATTCAAGTAGTCTAAATGCTCACTAATATTATATGTTTAATACATTTAGTTTCTCGGACAGATATTTTAAAATGTCATTGAGATTATACTTGTAAATCTTTTTAGTTTTGCTATATAAATTTCAAAAGAAAAATGTGTTCATGCAAGTTCAGTATTGTAATATCTTTTGTTTTTCCTTTTCTGATTTTGCAAAATTTCTCTCCAACCCTAAGGTTTTTTCCTGAAAATTTTTGTTTGATGTTAATATTGCTATACCAACAGCATGTTGGTTGGTGTATTATAGTATATTTATTTATTTATTTTCAACTTTTCTGTACTACTTTAAGCATTTTTTTTTTTTTGAGACAGAGTCTCACTCTGTCACCCAGGCTGGAGTGCAGTGGTGCAATCTCAACTCACTGCAACCCGGGTTCAAGTGTTTCTTGTGCCTCAGCATTCCAAGTAGCTGGGATTACAGTTACACACCAGCATGCCCAGCTAATTTTTGTATTTTTAGTAGTGACGGGGTTTCACCATGTTGGCCAGGCTGGTCTGGAACTTCTGACTTCTGGTGATCTGCCTGCCTCGGCCTCCCAAAATGCTGGGATTTCAGGTGTGAGACACTGTGCCCAGCCTAAGCATTTTTATAAGCTATGCTTGTCTGAATTTTACTTATGTAATTCTTAAATAGATATATTATTTATACAATAACTAGTAGTTTATATGTAATCGTTTAGTACATTAACATATCTTATGATTACAGATAATTGTGAACCCTTATTTGTCCAATCTTTTTATATTTTTGTTTACCATTCTTTTTATTCTATTTCTCTTTTCATATCCTACTCTCTGTTGGATGGTTAAGTCTTCCTTAGATTTCTGTGTTTCACATACATGTAACTTTGCCACACATATTCTCTAAAAAACATTTTTTAGTGTTTACTCTTCAATGTTTAATATTAACATTGACAAAGTCTTAAATTATTCAATACATCTTTTCTCTACTCAAATAACAGGAAATTGACATCCTTTAGCAACCTTCCAACCCCTTTGCAATCATCTTCTAAGACTTAAAGTTAATTGTACTTTTTCTTAACTTAGAAGCCTTTCCAATAGCATTTACTGCTATTTTTGCTCATGGTTACTTATTGCATGATATTTCTCTTTTTGCATTCATTTCCTTCTTGCTACAGAATATCTTATAGTAATGTTTTAGCAAGAATCTCTTAATTCTAAAGTTTCAGGTTTGTATTTCTGAGAGTGTCTCATTTCTTTCTCACTCTTGAATGATGCATAGCTAGCTAGGATAATTTCCTCCTGAATACAGGCCAAAAAGTTAAAATTTATGCTGGAAAAACATTTTTAAATCATTTTGGAAGTCCTCAAAGTGATAAAAGAAGAAAAAATATCCACAAAGTAAGAACAAAATTTATTTTTTAAAAAGCATACAAATACAAATATAAATCAAAACCAGATAAAGATTGTTTAAAGTATTGATTATTAATTTTGGAAATGAAAATATCTACATTAAAATTAAATTATGAGATGCATGCCAGTTTAGGCAAAGACACAGAGAAAATAAGAGAATTGAAAGACTATACTGAGGAATTAACCCAGACCACTATGAAGAAATATAAATAGGTAAAAAAAAAAATGTGAAAGATAAGAGAAGAAACATGAGGGATAGACTGACATGTAATGGAAAGTTTATGAAGTAGAAGATATAGGTAATGACAGAAAGGTAGTATTTGACGTATGATGCAGTTTGGCTGAGTCCCCACCCTAATCTCATCTTGAATTCCCACATGTTGTGGGAGGGACCCAGTGGGAGGTAATTGAATCACAGGGCAGGTCTTTCCTGTGCTGTTCTCGTGATAGTGAATAAGTCTCATGGGATCTGATGGTTTTAAAAATGGGAGTTTCCCTGCACAAGCTCTCTTTTTGCCTGCTGACATCCACCTAAGATGTGACTTGCTCTTCCTTGCCTTCCAACATGATTGTGAGGCCTCCCAAACTATGTGGAACTGTAAGTCCACTAAACCTCTTTCTTTTGTAAATTGCCCAGTCTCAGATATGTCTTTATCAGCAGCATGAAAACAAACTAACACAGTAAATTAGTACCAGTAGAGTGGGGCGCTGCTGAAAAGATACTCGAAAATGTGGAAATGACTTTGGAACTGGGTAACAGGTAGGGGTGGTTGGAACAGTTTGGAGGGCTCAGAAGAAGACAGGAAAATGTGGGAAAGTTTGGAACTTCCTAGAGACTTGTTGGATGGCTTTGCCCAAAATGCTGATAGTAATATGTACAATAAGGTCCAGGCTGAGGTGGTCTCAGATGGAAATGAAGAACTTGTTGGGAACTGGAGCAAAGGTAAGTCTTGCTATGTTTTAGCAAAGAGATTGGTAGCATTTTGCTCTTGCCTTAGATATTTGTGGAACTTTGCACTTGAGAGAGATGATTTAGGATATCAGGCGGAGGAAACTTATAAGCAGCAAAGCTTTCAAGAGGTGACTTAGGTGCTGTTAAACGCATTCAGTTTTATAAGGGAAATGGCATAAAAGTTCAGAAAAATTGCAGCCTGACAATGCAATAGAAAAGAAATCTCATTTTCTGAGGAGAAATTCAAGCCAGCTGCAGAAATTTGCACAAGTAACGAGGAACTGAATATTAATCTCCAAGACAATGGGGGAAATGTCTCCAGCCCATGTCAGTGGTCTTCATGGCAGCCCCTCCCATCACATGCCCAGAGGCCTAGAAGTAAAAAGTGGTTTCGTGGGCCAGGGTGCTGTGTGCAGCCTAGGGACATGGTGCCCTGTGTCCCAGCCACTCCAGCTGTGGCTGAAAGTGGCCAATGTAGAACTGGGTCCATGGCTTCAGAGGGTGCAAGCCCCAAGCCTTGGCAGCTTCCACATGGTGTTGAGCCTGCAAGTACACAGAAGTCAAGAATTGAGGTTTGGGGACCTCCCCCTAGATTTCAGAATATGTATGGAAAAGTCTGAATACCCAGGCAGAAGTTTGCTGTAGGGGCGGGGTCCTCATGAAGAACCTCTGGTAGGCCAGTGTGGAAGGAAAAATGTGGGGTCAGATCCCCTACACAGAGTCCCTACTGGGGCACTGCCTAGTGGAGCTGTTAGAATAAGGCCCCTGTCCTCCAGACCCCAGAATGGTAGCTCCCCCGACAGCTTGCACCGTGTGGCTGGAAAAGCCACAGACACTCAACAACAGCCCATGAAAGCCATGGGGAGGGAGGCTGTACCCTGCAAAGCCACAGGGGTGGAGCTGCCCAGGACCATAGGAAGCCACATGTTACATCAGTGTGACCTGGATGTCAGACATGGAGTCAAAGGAGATCATTTTGGAGCTTTAAGATATGACTGCCCTGCTGGATTTTGCACTTGCATGCGGCCTGTAGCCCATTTGTTTTGGCCAATTTCTCCATTTGGAATGGCTGTACCTATACCCCCATTGTATCTAGGAAGTAACTAACTTGATTTTGATTTTACAGGCTCATAGACAAAAGGGACTTGCCTTGTCTCTGATGAGACTTTGCACTGTGGATTTTTGAGTTAATAATGAAATGAGTTAAGACTTTGGGGCAATGTAGGGAAGGCATAATTGGTTTTGAAATTTGAGGAAATGAGATTTGGGAGGGGCCAGGGGAGGAACGATATGGTTTGGCTGTGTCCCCACCCACATCTCATCTTGAATTCCCACATGTTTTGGGAGGGACCTGGTGGAAGGTAATTGAATCATGTGGACAGGTCTTTCCTGTGCTATTCTCGTGATAGTGAATAAATCTCACAAGATCTAATGGTTTTAAAAACAGGAGTGTCCCTGTACAAGCTCTCTTTTTGCCTGCTGCCATCCATGTAAGACGTAATTTGTTTCCCCTTGCCTTCCACCATGATTGTGAGGCCTCCCCAGCCCTGTGGAACTGTAAGTCCAATAAACCTCTTTCTTTTGTAAATTGCCCAGTCTTGGGTAAGTCTTTATCAGCAGTCTGAAAACAAACTAATACAAGGTAACAGTGGCTGACCATTCTGAATTTAAGAAGGAAACCTGCTTGTTGAATTTGTGACTGTCTTTCATGGAATTGATTTCCTCTTGTACTTCGGAATCTTAATTTTAAGCCCACATGTATAGGGAATTTCTTGGGATGTTTTATGTTGCTATTGTTGTTGTGATTTGGGTTTATTTATATGTGTATTTGTTTCTCTCTTCTGAGTCTTAACTTCTGAGTCTGTGGTTTTATAGTTGTCTCTAAACAGCTCACAGGTATGTACTTCAGACACAAGTATTACAATGAATGCTTAGGGCCTTTGTCTCTTGAGATCACCACAAACACAGTCTCTGTCAATGAGCACTTTGGCCTGGGTTCTGATTACCTCCTTTTCTCTAGTCAACCACTCAATACTAGCTGCAAAGGTAGCCTTCAAAACTTTTCTAATTACTGATCATGACTGTATCTTGCCTCTGTTTGATGTCTTTAATCTAACTCCTGGTGCTGTGTGAGCCAGCCTAGTCACTGCTACCACACAACGTTGATTCCCAGCCTCCTCTGCTTGCTTCCTGGTCCCAGAGCCCAGTAGGTCTGTGACTAGAGCCTCTAGATACTGAGCTGTGTTTCTGTTCTGTGAATCACAAAACCACCTTGAGCTAATATTGATTTGACTTTTTAGAAGTTTTTCTGATACCTTAGACTATCCTCTATTTTCCTCAGAAATGGTTAATTAAAATCAAAGAAACTGATTCCCACATTGCCTTACTTGCTGTGACTGTAATGATAGAAAAATATTTTCTCTTAAAAATGTGTACTTTACCAACATGAATAGTAATTAATATTGCCCATTTTGCTACATGTGAAATGTTCTCAGCTTGTCAGCTCCCCACTGGTATGCTTGGCACCTCTGGTCCACAGATATAATTCAGCGTTCTACATGAGTTAGTTGTGATAATTCGCAAACTTACTATGTTAGCAAACACACTTCTTATGACAATTGTGATCTTTAATTAAATAGTATGCACATTGATAAAATATGAGTGACAAAAGAAAAGTAACAAAAACCTAAAAGATATATCTGCTATTTTTTTAATCATGTTCCACTCTAGAGTACTAAACTGGAAATCATAGATTAAATTCTGTGTATGGTTTGTGCTACAAAGAATAAACAGAAGTCTACAAATTTGTCCTCTAAGAAAAGATCTTTACGTAAAAATATTGTAAATAAATGTGCAGTTATATGTCTTAAACCAAAATAAGATATTCAAAGAGACACTGTACCTACATTTCATGATTCTTGGCTTTAGCCAGGTTTTTTGATTATCCAACTAGATATCAGTCCTAATAGCTTTTATTCTAATATCAGTCCTAATAGCTTTTATTCTATTTCTGCCACCAACAGAAAAGTATTGGAAGAAAAAGAAATCAGAGGACTTTGCCCCTTTATGAAGACAAAAAGAGATAAAATTAATCCAATTTGGTAATAAACCATTTTTTAACCTCGAATATAGTTATTATACAATTTCTCTGCCCAAATATATGTATTGAGAAACAACAATCTGTCAGCAATGTGGTTCTTGTAGTTGCAATGTGTTTTGGGATTAGTCTTAATTGGAATTGTGTGTTATGGATCCAAACAACATGCATTCAGGAAAGAACAATCATTCCACCTGCTTGGGGAATCAGTACGTAAGAGCAAGCGTGTGAGAGCCTTGTGGAGAATTTTTGCTCAGTGAACAGTTAAAGTGAGACTCTAAGGAGCTATCCCCTTTAAACTAGCACTGTACAGTAGGCACTGGCTCATTGCCACAGGGTAGCCTTTGCAGGACATCTTGGAGAATATCCTTATGATTATTTTTACCTTAAAAGTAATCTATGCAGGATTTAGAAAGATATGTAATCCCTTGTATATTTCACCAAAATAGAGAGAGAGAAAGAAAGGAAGTTTTTAATTATGTTTGTTTTGGGTTTTCTAGATAGGACTAATATTTATGTAAGCAAAATATATTTGCTAATTTTGTTAACTTTTTTTAATTTCATAAAGTTTATTCTTAGGGACTATGAGATCAATGTAGCAATTTGTAACATTTCTGGAGTTGTTTTTATTTAATTTTATGACCTCTTCAATTTATATACTACAATATGTAATCTATACAATATCGAGTGTCAGCAAAAATGTAGAGAAACTGGAACTTTAATTTGCCGCTGATGGGAATGTAAATTGGTACAGCTACTAATAAAAAGTAAAGTTGAAGGTATATATTTCCTTCATTCCCAGACTCCTAGGCACATGTTCATGTCCTAGAGAAACTTTCACATGTTTCTCTATTCTACAACATTCCTGTATATTCCAGGAGTCATCCACAAGAATGTTTACTGCAGCATTAGTAAAAAGATTGAAATGAACTTAAAAAATTGACATCAAAAGAATGGATAGATAAACTGTGATCTATTTACACTAGGGGACCCTATGTAGCAGCTAAATGACTGATCTAGAAGTTAAAAAATGTACACTATGAATCACTTTTATGAAGTTTGAAAATACACATCATATATGTGTTGCTTACACACATATACATACATGTTCACTTGCATTTATATTACGTGTAAGTATATGTGCACATATATGTATCTTTGTAAATACATATACACTTACACAGAAATTTTTAAAAACACATTTAGGACAATTATTTCAGAAGAGGAAGAGAAATGGGAAAAGGGTTCAGGAATTAGTACATAAAGCTTTTAAACTGTATCTGTAATGTTATCTGCTTTAAAATGTAAAAGAAATACTAAGGTAAATTGTCAAGGCGGTATGATTTAGCAAAAGTTTATAATGAGTTCTGGTATTTCCACTAAATTATTTCTTTACCTTTCTGTAGAGATAAAATACTTTGTAGCCAAAAGCTATTGCATTAAGTACCCCATAGCTCATGTGGATTCTACTCCAGGAAGTAAGGTCCAACTGGAATCCTTTCTTTGATGATGCATTTTAATTTTTTTTCATGTGGCATTTTAATCCTTATCAGGTGTTTACTTTCAAGATTGACTGCTTGTTGAATCTTTTGATAAATTGAAGATATTCCAGAGTTAGTGAAAAAAATGTAGTTTTCCTTGTACGGAGACAAATAATAAATGGAAGCCTTCTATTCATGGCTCCCCTTGTCACAAGGTACATAGTGCCACGAACACTAGAAAATAAAATTTCCATTTTAGAAGCTGCAAAAGGTGACAAGAATAAAACCAGGCTACAACCCCACCCCCAGTGCTTCTTTGAGAAGCACAGATGAGACACCAACAAAATTGACCACATTATTTTAAAGTCTGCTGTGAATATCTCAGGTTGTTTGGATCATTTAGATTTATGACTAGAAGAAAATTAAATTCAACTTAGAGAGACATTAATCTGCTATCGAGGATCATGAAGAGTAAATGATATTTCCCAGGCAATAGATGTTTTTCTCATCATTTTCTCTAATACCATTTCTTTTTATTTGGGGAAATTTTAATATCAACATTTCAATTAAACTCTAATACTCCCTGCACTAAACTAAATTGAGAGGATCTTGACTGTGCTATTGAACATTTTATCTCCATACTTAGTATAAAATAGGCTTATTTACATTTTCTCTATTCCTGATTCAATTTTAACTATAATCCACAACAGGAGAGATATAAATGCCTCTATAATACTTCACTTCTCACATACATGATTTTAACTCTTTTCGAGCACTATATTTACATAATTCCTAAGATTATTTTCCCAATAGCAAAACCATTTTTAAAGCTCTGGTGATTCTGCTTTACTAGCTCAAGAGGAAGCATATTTTCAAAAGTATAAATATAGAGAAGTTAATGATAAATTATACGAAGGGAACAAAATTGTGATTCCAGAGATAAGGTGAATAGCAAGCCTTCACCTTCCAGATACAAAACCTATATGGTGCATAGGCTGATGGCAGGAACTGTGTCTATTTAGATGACAGCCGTGACCTGTACTCAGGTCTTTGGGACTCTCCATCCAGTCTTAGTCCTTTGGAGGTTGTAGTATCTTCTTGCTGGATCAAAAGAAGCTGAACTCAGCTATGTGGGGGCAGCTCTCCTGAGCATTTCTCCTTTTTGACATAAAGTGGTTTGATTCAAGGAGAGAAAATGATACTGTGCACAGGCCTAAGTTAGTCTTTGAACTTTAGTTCTGTTCCTCACAAGGCTAAATTCTTTGCTAACTCTGAGGCAAAAAGACTTCTTTTTTGCCAGGTTGTGCTTTCAGGTTGATGCCCGATTCCCTGGAGCACACCAGTAAAATTGAAGAAGCATTGAAAAGTTCTGTGTAAGTACCAGCTTCCCTGTCATTTGAGTCACTGCTATCACTAAATCTATAAAACTGAAACTTTGTACAAGTACCTAAAATGTTATTCTTTGTGTTCTCATTTGGAAAAAATAAATGCTGACCTAGCAATTGTAATTAAAATATTTGTTACTAAGCTGGGTGAAGATGCAAAGAAATCAACTGAATATTTTAGAGCACACAGTATGTGTTATCTCATTTAATGCGCATGCAAACATTGCAAAATGTTATCCTTTTTGTAAAGTTATGTTATATAACTTGACTCAGTTGCTTTGTAACACAAAACTTAGATTAAGTGCCCAAATATTTCCCACTGTAAAACAGAATTTAATCCACTGTGTTATCCTGCTTGCTGCACTAGGCTTTTAGTGATTGAGAAGAAAAGCAAAATAATTATATTCCCTTCTATTCATTGATGAAATACCTAATATTTTTAACAGCTTCATAGGTTTATGAAGATTTTTTTCAGACAGGATTCCATCCACCCTCAAGAAGGCTTAAAGTCATATTGAAATAAATAAGGTACAGTGACTATGGCACAGTAGTGGTATCAGATTTACCCTTTGATTGAAAACAATTCCAAAAGCCAGGTTAACTAAAAAACTGCGGTTTGAACAAATTATACAGGAATCAAGGCATCAAGGATTTGGAGAACTGAAATCCCAAGTTCCTTAAAAAATGACAGCCTCAGAGAAATGAGCCCAACATTCTTCATGCAATTATCACTCAATATATTTGCCAGTTCCTAAACGGCGTATATGCAGTATGAAATGCCAAGACGAAGCAGAATACAGCTGCTAAAAGACTATAAAAATAAGCAGCAATTTCTATAATTTCACCATTCTTAGAAGACAAAGATTATAATTCAAAATTCACTGACAAGGGGAATTGACTACAACTTGAGTTGTCTGTTAAGACCTACAAAATGCTCTTCCATAGGAATGAGGACAAATTGAAAATGTACACCTCACAAAAACGAAGATTAAAAGGTGAAATAAAAAATGTACAATCCTGGTTGAATGTTGAGTGTTTCAACAGTCCTCCATGTTAATTGACAGAACAAGCAGAAAAGTTTACACACACATTAGTGTGTATTTCTGTATGTGTGTGATGTGCATATGCATATTTGTGTGTATATGTGTGTACGTGTATACTTAAGACAGAGAAGCTATGAACCATAAAATAACCAAATTTACATAAGCAAAATATGCACAGTATTGTATCTAAACATGTAGAGTTCATGTTATTTTAAAGTTCATATAGAAAATTTACCAAAATTGACCATATCCTGGTCCATAAAGCAATAATCACCAAATGTAAAAGGATTGAAATCATACAAAGTATGTTTTCTGACCACAATAGGATTGATCAAGAAATAAATATCAAGAGAATAACGAAACAACTTGAAGTGAATAAAAGATAAATATCACGGGTCAAAAAAGAAATTTAACTAGACAATATTTTGAAAATATGACATATTTTAGCTCATAGAATATAGTGCTTAGAAAGAAATTATAATATTAAATCTTTTAAAAAATCAAGACTGAAAAGTATTATCTAATTTTATCTGAAGAAGCAAGAAAACATTGTTTAAAAAAGCAGAAATTAATAAAACCAAAAACACATACAATGGAGAAAATTAACAAATGCAAAGGTTGGCTGCTGAAAATGAATAAAAGTAATAAATTCTTAGCAAACTGATGAACGCAAAGAGACAAAATAAAAATTACCAATATTAGGAATGAAGACACATTACTACAGATTCTACAGACATTAAATGATAATACAAATATATTATGAATAACTTCATGTCAAAAAGTATGATACTTGGGATCAAACAAATTCCTTAAAACATGTAACTTATCAAATCTGACACAAGAAGAAATCGAAAATCTAATTAGCCCTGTATCATACAATGAAATTTAATCTGTACTCTAGAAATTTTACACAAACGTAACTATAGGTCTATATAACATTACTGATTCATTTCACTAGTGTTTAAAACAAAGACCAATGTTGTATAAAATACTCTGGAAATTAGAAACAGAAAGCATTTCCAAGTATTCAAGGAGGCTATATTACTTAATACATAAAGATGTCAAGAATATAAAAGAAAAGAAAAGTTAATTAAAATATATGGGAGGTTGAAACTGAATTAAATTGAATTATTTTTTGGTACAAAAATACCTCAGAGAGCAATTAAAGAGAATATAAATAGAATTAGAATGTCATGAATTAGGAAGCTTAATGCTACAAAGATGTCAAGTTTCCCCAAGCAATCTTGATGCTCAATCCAGTCTCATTAAAAGTTTCAGTGCAAATTATTGAGAAAATTTACAAATTGATTACAAAATTTTTAAAGAAATGCAAAGGACCTTAATGAGCAAGAAGAATTTTGAGATCAAACAGAAATAGAAGACTTTTTCTAACAGCTAGCAAGACATTATGTAGTAATTAATAATATTAGTGAAAGGATAGATAAATAGACTGAGAGATACAGGTCCATATATATACAGTCATGTGAATTACAACAATTTAGTGGAAGAAAGGATGGGAAAAAACTATCTTTATCCCCATCTCACGCTATATACAAAAATCAATTCCAGAGTGATTGTAGTCCTAAATATAAAATAAAAATTCTAGAGGAGAATATCTTAATGATATTCTTAATACCATAGGAGATGACATTAATGATGTTAATATAAGCAAACAGATTTAAATGACACAAAGGCATCTAGAAAACATTTATATAAATTAGGCTTCATTAAAATTAAGAACTTTTATTAATCAAAACATACCATCAAGACAGTGAAAAGGCAACGCATATAGGGATCACAAATGTTTGCAATACATGTATCTGACAAAGACCGCATATTTAGAGCATAGAGAGAACAACTACAAATCAATAAGAACAATGAGCAATGACTTTAACAACCACTTCACAAAAATATATTGAAAGGACCAATAATCATGTTGATATGTTTAATATTAGTCATCAAGAAAATACAAATTTAAAAATCATCATAAGATACAACCATACACCCAACAAAATGCATTTTTAAAAATATGTGAAAGTTGCAAGAGATAACAAAAATATGGGGTGATTGAAAGTTTTATAAACTATAAGTTAGAATGAAAATTATAAAGCATTTTGGAAAATTCTTATACATTGTCTTCTAAAACTTAACATATCTGTAACTTGACTCATATCGTAGGTATATGCACAACACAAATGTATATCCATATATATGTATATATTAAAAAAATACAGGCTTACCTTGTTTATCATGCTTTACTTATTGCACTTTCAGATACCGCATTTTTTACAAATTGAAAGTTTATGGCAACCTTGCATCAAGTATCTTTTGGTGCCATTTTCCCAACAGGATATTCTCACTTCTTTTCTCTGTGTCACATTTTGGTAATTCTCAGAATATGTGAAACACTTTTAATTATTATTATAGCTGTTATAGTGATCTGTGATCACTGATCTTTGATGTCAATATTGTAACTGATTTGGGGTGCCATGGACCACACCCATACAAGACAGCAAACTTAATCAACAAATGTTGTATGTGTTCTGACTGCTTTACCAATTGGCCATTTCTCCCTCTCTCTTTCTCTCTTCAGGCCTCTCTATTTCCTGAGACACAACAATATTGAAATTAGGCCAAATAACAACCCTACAATTGCTTCTAAGTGTTAAAGGGAAAAAAAGGAGTCACACAGATGACTTTAAATCACAACCTCACTTTAAATCAAAACCTAGAAATGATTAAGCTTAGTGAGAAAGGCATGTCAAAACGCCATGTTTTGGCCTAGTGAGATAGGCCAAAAGAAGTTAGGCCTCTTGTGCTAAACAGCCAAGTTGTGAATGCAAAGGAAAAATTCTTGAAGGAAATTAAAAGTGCTACTCCAGTGAACACAGGAATGATAAAGCAAAACAGCCTCACTGCTGAGATAGAGAAAGGATTAGTTGTCTGAGTAGAAGATGAAGTCAGCCACAAGATTCCCTTAAGCCAAAGCCTCATCCAGAGCAAGGCTGTAACTCTGCAATATGATGAAGGCTGAGAGGATAGGAAGCTGGAAAAGAAAAGTTGGAAACTGGCAGAGATTGGTTCATGAGGTTTAATGAAAGAAGCCATCTCCATAACATAAAAATGCAAGGAGAAGCAGAAAGTTCTGTTGGAGAAGCTTCAGCAAGTGATTAAGAAGATCTAGCTAAGAAAATTGATCAAGGAGACTACAAAAACAGACTTTCAGTGTAAACAAAATATCCATTTATTGAAGAAGATCCAATCTAGGACTTTCATAGCTAGAGAGGAGACATCAACGCTGGGCTTCAAAGTTTCAAAGACAAGCTAACTCTGTTGTTAAGGGCTGTGATGGTTAATACTGGGTGTCAACTTGACTGGATTGAGGGATGCCTAGGTAGCTGGTGAAGTATTGTTTCTGGCTTTGTCTGCGAGGGTGTTGCCAGAGGAGACTGACATTTGAGTCAGTAGACTGGGAGAGGAAGACTCACCCTCCATGTGCATGGGCACCATCCAACGTGCTGCCAATGTGGCTAGAACAAAGAAGGTGGGAGAAGGCAGATAAGCAGTTTGCTGAGTCCTCTTGCTCTCTCTCTCTCTCTCTCTCTCTCTCTCTCTCCCCCCCCACCCCCCTTCCTGTGCCAGACACTTTTCTCCTCTCCTCCTGCCCTTGGACATCAGACTCCAGGTTCTTTGGCCTTTAGATTCTGGGACTTGCACCAGTGGCCTCCTGGGGGCTCTCAGGTTTTCAGCCTCTGACCAGAGCTGTACTGTTAACTTTCCTGATTTTGAGGTTTTGGGACTTGCAGTGAGCCATGCTACCAACTTCTCCCCTTCCCCAGCTTCTTACAGACAGCCTGTTGTGGGACTTTGCATTGTAATTGAATTGTGTGAGCCAATTCTCCCTAATAAACTCCATAGAACATACACACACATACACACACACACACACACACACACACACACACACACACACACACACACACACACACGAGATATATCTTAAGACCCTTTAGAATTATGCTAAATCAACTCTGCCTTTGCTCTATAAGTGAAAAAACAAAGCCTGGGTAACAGCACATCTGCTTTCAACATGGTTTACTGAATATTTTAAGCCCACTGTTGAAACCTGTTGCTCAGAAAAAAAATATTTCTTTCAAAATATAACTGCTCATTGATAATCCACCTGTTCACCTAAAAGTGTTGATGATGATGTACAAGGGGATCGATGTTTTGAAAGATGCTAACAAAACATCCATTCTTCAGCCTATAGATCAATAAGTAATTTCAATTTTCAAGTCATTATTTAATAAATACATTTCATAAGTCTATCGCTGACAAAAAGTAATGATTCCTCTGATACAGCTTGCCAAAGTAAATTGAAAACCTTTTGGAAAGGATTCACCATTCTAGATGCCATTTAGAATAGTCATGACTCATGGGAGGGGGCCAAAATATCAACATGAACAGGAGTTTGAAAGAAGTTGATTCCAGCCCTTATGGATGACTTTGAGGGGTTCGAGATTTCAGGGGAGTAACTGCAGATGTGGTAGAATTAGAAAGAGAACTAGAATTAGAAGTGGAGTCTGAAAATGTGGTTATATTGTTGCAATCTCATGATCATACTTCAATAGAAGAGGATTTTGCTCATATGGATGAGCAAAGAAAGTGATTTCTTGAGACAGAATCTACTCCTGGTGAAGATGCTGTGAAGTTTGTTAAAATGGCAACAAAGAATTTAGAATATTATGTAAATGTAGTTAATAAAGCACCAGGAAGGTTTGAGAGGACTGATTTCAATTTTGAAAGAAGTTCTACTGTGAGTAAAATGCTATAAAACAGCACTGCATGCTACAGAAAATATTTCATAAAAGGAAGAGTCAATTGATGCAGCAAACTATACTGTTGTCTTTTTTAAGAAATTGCCCCAGACACCCCAACCTTTATCAACAATCACACCAATCAGTCAGCAGCTATCAACATTAAGGAAAAACCCGGGATGCCAAAGAGATTATGACTCACTGAAGACTCGGATAATCGTGGACCTTTTTAGCAATTTAAGGTATGTACATTTTTTTACACATAATCCTGCCGGGGTCTGACCTGCAGACCCAGGCTGCACGACAGATGAATAACATACTCAGACACCAATATTCAGTGAAAGAGCAGGCCAGGGAGCCAGGCTACTCACAGAAAGAGTTGTGGCAGCCTCACCCTAACTAGCTAGCCCTGCTGGCATTTATTCAGCACAGAGTTAATGACAAAGGCTTTGAGTCAACACACCTGTGGGTAATTAATCTGGTCACCCTCCCCGGGAAAGAGCAGTCCTAGGAATGATCAAAGGTCAGTCTTAGGACCACATGAGTAAACAAACTCTTTAGATAAACTCCCTTACATTCCTTTGTACCTACTCTAAGCTATGAACTCAAGGTAAGAGGATTAGGCTGCTTTCAGCCATAACCCTATCCTGAGGCTTTTGTAAACCCTTCTGGCCTTCCAAGAAAGTTTGCATTTTTCCTATAATTTTACAATTTCTCCAGCCACCCTGACTGAACTCCTATATTATCCTATTGCATACTTAATAGACTACAGTAAGGAGTAAACATAATTTTTGTATACTGGAAAACCAAAAAATTGTGTGACTCACTTTATTGAGATATTTATTGTGATGGTCTGAAACCAAACCCACATTATCTCATATATATGTATGGCAATGTGAAAATTTTACAGAAAAATTGTTTGTGAGCCCCAAACTGGAACCTATATGTTTGCCTATCACTTTTATTAAATGGATGTATTAGTTCCCAAGTGCTTTCATAACAAAGTATCTCAAGTGATTTAAAACAACTGTATTGTCTCAGTTCTGGAGGCCTAAATTTGAAATCAAGGTGTCATGCAAGGCCACACCCCCACTGAATCCTTTAGGAGAGAATCCTTTCTTGCCTATTCTCCATTCTGGTATTTTTCCAGCAATCTCTATTGTTCCTTGACTTGTAAAATGCATCACTCCAAGCTCTACCTCTGTCATTACAGGTCAATCTTCTCCTTGTTTCTATTTCTGTCTGAATCTTTTCTTCCTCTTCTTATAAGTATACGAGTTAGATTAGATTAGGATCTACTCTAATGACCTAATCTAAACTAATTAAATTTGCAATAATCCTATTTCCAAATAAGGTGACATTTTGAGGTAATGGAGGTTAGGACTTCAACATATCTGTTTGAAGTTCACAATGCCACCCATAACAATAGATAAATAAATTTTCAGTGTAATATTATGCATAAACAGAAAATAACTTCGGATACATGGTTGAATTTTAGTAACATAATGTAGAGTAGAAAGAAGATAGACACAAAATCAATCTATGAGCCTTACTATAGGATCACATTTATATAAGATTTGGAAAATACAAAATGAATCTACCCAACAGAAGTCATAATAGTGGTTATCTAGGAGGTAATAACAGGGAAGAAGCATGGTAATATCTTTATATGGGTACTGATTTCACAGGTGTATTCAGTTTGTAAAAACTCATTGAACTGTATAAGATTTACACATTTTATACTATATTTTATCAAACAAAAATTAACAGAAATATTACATTATATATAATTGTGAAGCTTACTTTAACAGATTGGTTATTAAAATTTTTCAAAGTAGATATTAGTGATAACTAAACTGTTCATTTTTATTATACAGTGTACTTCACCTATTAACTTACTTTAGTAACTTTGAGGTTCTTTATACAAGTACACATTTTGAAGTTTATTTTTGTACTGCACAAAAACGCATTTGAAATGTTACTTATATAAAATTAAATGAAATTATAAATGATTTATATTGATAGATTACTACTATTCATAGAACATGAACCGGGTGCTAAGCTTTTCAAAGACATCTTTATTTGGGTGTAATTGAAATACAATTAACATGCACATACTGAAAATATACAGTTTGATTAATTCTGACATGAGTATACACCCAAAAAACCATCATCATGACAAAAATAGTGACCATATACCTCACTTCCAAAAGCTTCCTCTTGCCCCCTTGTACTTTCTCCCCTAATATCTCCCCATTCACAAGAACCTCTGATCTGCTTTCTGTCTATACATGAGTTTGCATTGTGTAGGATGTTATACAAATGGAATCGTAAAATATGTTTGCTTTTTCTATCTGGTTCCAGCATAATTATCTTAAAATTTGTGCATGGTGTTTAATATAACAATAATTTACTTCTTTTTATTGCTGAGTAGCATTCCATTTTATGAATATATCACAATATGTTTAAGTGCTCACATGTTAATGTACACTAGGTTGGTTCCAATTTGGGGATGCTACGACTATGGCTTTCAATGGACACGTGTCTGTGTTCATTTTGGCCAAGTACTAGGATGAAAACACTGAGGTCTATGTCTAAAAGTTTTTAAAAATTGCCAAAATGTTTTCCACACTGGTTGTACCATTTTATAGTCCCACTAGCAGTACATGAGTGTTCTAGTTGTTTCACGTCCTTGAAAACACTTGGCATAATCATACTTTTAAAACATTCTAATAGGTGCGTAGTGGCATTTCATTGTGTTTTTTATTTGTAATTCACTAATGACTAATGATGACTATATATACCATGTATTCATATGCTTATCTGCCATCTGTGTATGTTCTTTGGTGAAGTGTTTGTAGTGTAAAAGGCTTACCCATTCTGATTGGGGTTTCTGTTCCCATTATTTCTGTGTTTTGAGAATTCTTTATATATTATAGATACAAACCCTTCTTCAAATATGTGATTTGCCATTATTTTCCCCGAGGCTACAGCTTCTCTTTTTATTTGCTTAAAAGTCTCTTTTGAAGTAAAAAGTTCTTAATTCTAATTAAGTCCAACTTATAAAACTTTACTTTTATTGATCATGCCTTCGGTGTTATACCTAAGAAATCTTTGCCTAATAAAAGTCACAAATATCTAGCCTGTGTTTTCCTCTACATGTTTAATAATTGTATATTTCAAAATTAAGTCTATATGGTGCAAATAATATAACAAGGTTTGTTTGGGATACATGTCCAGAACATGCAGGTTTGTTATATAGGTATAGATGTGCCGTGGTGGTTTGCTGCACTCATCAACCCGTCATCTGCACATGTATACCAGAACATAAGTATAATTTAAAAAGAGGAGTAACCATACCCTTAATGGAAATAGTTTAAAACATCTTATCCTCATGCCTTTCCCTGAATGTTGATCTCCAAAAGGTATGTCCCAGTCTTGTTAATGAGCCTGGATGTCTGGATACAATTACTGAGATTTCTATGCAGAAGAACCTGTTTTAAGCAAAGTTATAAATTTGGCCTGTATTTATTTTAAAATTTCTCTTCACTTTCCTTATGGTATATTTCCCTCCAATCTTGGTGCTTAAACACACACACACGCCTCAAGTGATTCTCCTGCCTTAGCTTCCCGAGTAGCTGGGACTACAGGCATGCACCACCACGCCCAGCTAATTTTGTATTTTTAGTAGAGATGGGATTTCTCCATGTTGGTCAGGCTGGTCTTGAACTCCTGACGTCAGGTGATCCCCCCACCTTGGCCTTCCAAAGTGCTGGGATTACAGGCGTGAGCCACTGTGCCCAGAGGAGTTAATTTTTTTATATAGTGAGAGATACGGATCCAGTTTCATTCTTCTACATGTGGCTAACCAGTTTTCCCAGAATGATTTATTGAATAGGAAGCTTTGTCAAAGATCAGTTGGTTGCAAGTATTTGTCTTTATTTCTGGATTCTCTATTCTATTCCATTGATATCTAAGTTTATACCAGTACCATGCTGTTTTTGTTACTATAGCCTTGAAGTATAACTTGAAATCAGATTTTTTAAAAATTTTTTTATTTTTATTTATTTATTTATTTTTGCTTAGAATTGCTTTGGCTATCCAGCTTTTTTTTTTTTTGGTTCCATATGAATTTAGGATTTTTTTTTCTAATTCTGTAAAAAACGATATTGGTATCTTGATAATAATTGAATTGAATCTACAGATTGCTTTGAGCAGTATGGTCATTTTCACAATATTGATTCTTCCTATTCATGAGTATGGGATGTATTTCTATTTTTTGTGTCATCTATGATTTCTTTCAGCAGTGTTTTTTAGTCCTCCTTATAGAGATCTTTCGCCTCCTTGTTTAAGTATATTCCTAGGTGGGTTTATTTTTATAGTTATTGTAAAAGGGATTATGTTCTTGATTTGATTCTCAGCTTGGTCATTGTTGGTGTATAGCAGTGCTCCTGACTTGTGTACATTTCATTTTGTAACCTGAGACTTTACTGAATTCATTTGTCAGATCTAGAAATCTTTTGAAGGAGTCTTTAGGGTTTTCTAGGTATAAGATCATATCAGCAGAGATAATTTGACTCTTCCAATTTGGATGTCATTTATTTCTTTCTCATGCCTGATTGCTCTGGCTAAGACTTCTAGTAATATATTGAATAGAAATGATGGAAGTGGGCATCCTTGTCTTGTTCCAGTTCTTAGGGGGAATGCTTTCAACTTCCCTGTTCTGTACGATGTTGGCTGTTGATTTGTCTTAGATGGCTCTTACCATTTCGAGGTATGTTCCTTCTAGGCTTGGTTTGTTGAGGGTTTTCTTTAATAAAGGAATCCTAGATTTTATCAAATGGTTTTCCTCCATCTATTGAGATAATCATATGGTTTTTGTTTTTAATTTTGTTTATGTGATAAATCATGTTTGTTGTGTATATTGAGCCATCCTTGCATCCCTGGACTGAAACCTACTTGATCATGGTGAAATTTTTTTATGTGCTGTTAGATATGGTTTGCTAGTATTTTGTTGAGGATTTTTGCATCTGTATTCATGAGAGATATTGACTTGTAGGTTTTTGTTGTTGTTGTTGTTATATACTTTCCTGAATTTGGTATCAGGGTGATATTGGCTTTGTAGAATGAGCTATGGAGGATTCTGTCCTTCTCAATCTTTTGGGATTGTTTCAGTGGAATTGATACCAGTTCTTCTTTTAATGTCTAGTAGGTTTTGTCTGTGAATCTGTCTGGTCCTGGGCTTTTTGTTGTTGTTGTTTTTGGCAGGTTTTTATTACTGATTTAATCTCATTGCTTGTTATTGGTCTGTTCAGGACCTTGGTTTCTTCCGGATTCAAGCTGGGCCATTGGCGGGGTTACGTTTCCAGGAATTTACCCATTTCCTATAGATTTTCTAGTTTGTGTGCACAGAGGTATTTATAGGAGTCTTGAATGGTCTTTTGTATTTCTATAGTGTCAGTTGTAATGTCTCCATTTTCATTTCTAATAAGCTTATTTGAAACGTTCTGGGTTAATCTAGCTAATGTTCTATCAATTTTATTTATCTTTTCAAAGACCCAGCTTTTTGTTAAATTGATATTTTGTAAATTTTTTTTTGCTTTCAATTTCATTTAATTCTCTTCTGATCTTTGTTATTTTTTTTTCTGTTCATTTTGGGTTTCACTTGTTCTTGTTTCCCTAGTTCCTTGAGTTGCGACATTAGGTTGTCAATTTGTGATCTTTCAGACTTTCTGATGTTGGCATTTAGTGCTATAAACTTTCCTCTTAGCACTGTTTTTGATGTATCCCAGAGGTTTTGATAACTTTTGTTACTATTATCATCGATTTTGAAAAATGATTTAATTTCCATCTTGATATCATTGGTAATCCAAAAATTGTTCAGGGGCAGATTGTTTAATTTCCATGTATTTGTGTAGTTTTGAGGGTTCCTTTCGGAATTGATATCTAGTTTTATTCTGCTGTAACCTGAGAAGATACTTGATATAATTTTGATTTTTTTTTAATTTACTGAAACTTGTTTTGTGACCTATCATATTCTATTTCAAAGAATGTTCCATGTGATAATGAGAGAAATGTATATTCTGCAGTTCTTGGGTAGAATGTTCTGTAAATATCTGTTAGATCTATTTGTTTAGAGTGCAGTTTAAGTCCAGTATTAGTTGACTTCCTGCCTTTGTCATCTGTCTACTGCTGTCAGTGCAGTGTTTAAGTCCCCATTCTTATTGTGTTATTGTCTGTCTTTTTTAGGTCTAGTGTTATTGCTTTATAAATCTGGAAGCTCCAGAGCTAGGTGCATATGTATATTTAAGATTGTTACATCTTCTTGTTGAACTGATCCCTTTATCGTTATATAATAAACTTCTATGTCTTTTTTTACTGTTGTTGTTGCTTTAAAGTCTATTTTATCTGACATAGGAATAGCTACTCCTGCTTGCTTTTGGTTCAATTTTCATGAAATATCTTTTTCCACCGTTTTACTCTGAGTCTATAAGAATTCTAACATGTTAGGTGTGTCTCCTAAAGACAGAAGACATTTGGTTTGTGATTTTTTTATTCATTCTGTGAAAGTTACATTTTTAAATGATAATACTTTCTTTTATTATACACAATCTCAAATTTTAAGATTGAAGGTAGGGACATGAGCAAGACATTCCACAAAGATCATCTCCTTCCACAAAATAAAACTACCTAAGAACAGCAGTTTGGACACTTATGCAATCAAAATGACTGAAGTACTACTTATTATTAATTTTGATGAAAAAGCAAATTAGTGGAATACCTAAAATTCTCCATGTAAACACTTGGGAGAAAAATAGCATAACTAAAATGATAAGAGATGATCAGCCACAAGTATTTATAAACTTTTTAAATGTCAAACTTCATATATATACACATATATAAATGCACATTGGTGTCTGCACACAGCAGAGAGATTTAGAAACTCTGTATAAATTTTTATGAAAGAGCATCATATTCTACAACTAGGAAAAGGTATTTAACATCATAGAAAAGACATTTAGTTGCATAGTGATTTCAATTAAATAAAAATTAAATGCTTAAAAGCAGTTGCTAAATGTTTTATGATCTCCACAAAGAACATTACATACATTGTATTGAAATATGTAGATGCTTAATTTGACTAATATAGATAATAAATTCGGTTTAAATATCCAAGGAAAGTCATAGCTTTACCTGGTCCTTTGTTATCAATTGTATATCTACCTCATGGAATCACTGTATTACAAAGTGTGTTAAAACATTTATTTTTATTAAATTAATATAAGGTATTCTAAAATTAATGTCTTCATACTTTGTGTCAATATTGTAAGTAATACTCAAAATGTAGCCACTTTCTCTATATTAGACAATAGAATAAAAAGAGAATAAAAAATATATACACGGAAGACTTAATTTTTGCACCACATTGAACTGATTACGAGTACTGCTGGTAGTATCAGACCTGGGAATTCATACCAGTTCTGTCACCACGTCTCAGTTTTCTCATCTATTAAATATAACAAAGGAATTTAAACAATTGGGCTGTTGTGAGGATTGAATGAGATAAATTCTGCCAAATGTTGAGCATACAGTCTCGTCTGTGTGCCTGGACTTGACAACTGTACTTGTCTTCACAGGTATATCCAGGTCACATTTCTTTTCTGTGTTAATAAAAGGACCTCATGGATCCTCAGATTTGTGTTACTTAGCACATTCAGAGGGCAGGACCTGGTGCCCAAGCCTGTAGGACTGAGCTGGCAGCAGGCACCCAGCTAGCTCAGAGCTCTGCTACAGGATTGGCAAGTAAACATGACAGCTGTTTCCTTCTAAGGGTCTTAGAGCAGCAGAAGGCTTATGCAGCTCTTGGGCAGAAACCTGGAGAAGCCTGGACAAGACAGACTGAAATCCAAGGTGAAGGATACGTGTGGGTTAGTGAGGAGAGGAGCCACAGGTAGTACCAAGCCGCCTAGTTGCTCCTTTACAAATGATTCCAGCTTGGAACACCTGTTCTAAATTTTCTGCTTTGTTCCATAACTTAATAGGCAATTCAGATTTGCACAGGGGGAACTTTATTCTAGCCAACTAGTCTGGCAGAATTCATTGCTTTGAGGTTAAGACTATTTAACCATTTTGTGATCAAATACATGAATTCCAGTGCTTCTTTCTAGTGTGATGAAAATATTCTGAAATTAGATGATGGTGATGGTTGTCCAACTCTGTAAATGTTTTAAAAAACTTTGAATTGTACCCTTTAAATGGGTAAACTTTTGATATGAAAGTTATAGTTCAATAAAGCTCTTGAAAAATAAAGTGAAGACAATAACTTTTTGTTAATTAAGATTTCTGGGAAGCAATAAAGAGTTTAAAACAAGAACTTTATATTCTGAGAAACTAAGACACATGGTCATGCTAGCCAGTTACAGCCAAGTGACACTTAGGAGCTGAGAAACTTGATAGTGACAAGATATTTGATCATTCTATGATCATTTGCCTCATCACTACTATGAGGGCTAATATCCCCCCTTGCAGTGGTGTTGCTAGGATTGAATGAGGAAATATATGGGAATTTCCCAGCAGAGTTCCATGGTAGCTACTCAGTAAATGGCAGCTATTATTGTAATTTTTTATTGTTATTTGTAAAACTATAATGTTTTTATATATTAAGACTAATGCAATGCAGTATGATAAATTTTCATGGTTTGGGGGCTGTAAACCAGAAACCCTGAGCAAGTCAGTTTTTGATCAGGTCAGAGCTGGTAGGTCGGTCCTGGGCCATTCTAAGTCCTGCCCACCGGCTCTTGGTACTCCTACTCAGGCCTGCATATACAGAAGCATAAAAAGTCTTTTGAATATTTCAGCCAAGGACTGTGACACTGGACAAAACCTTGTTTATTTTCACTTCCCTCTACTGCAAACTTCATATTTCTTACAGAAAATATACCTAACAGACTTTCTTTCCAGGTCAGCAGAGACCTCCACACTGATACTAATTCTGCTGCCTTGCGTTATTTATTTAAGAAGGTAAGGCAAACAAAAAGAAGGTAAATCTAGAAGAAGAAATTTGCCACAAAGAACAAAAAGTAGCTTCTAAATTCAGAGGGCCTACATGCTACAGAAAACAAAGCCATTACTAATGAAATATGACACAGCTTTCAATATTCTGTAATAGTGAAGCCTGAGATTTTGATTTTTATATCTTATTTTATTCAATAGGTTCATCTTCTTTTATAATAAACATTTTTAATCACCTTTTAATAAATTATTTAAAACTTAATTTTAACCACTTCTAAACATACATGTCAATATTTTAGTACAGTTCTAGGGATATGTTGAAAAGTATTCACCTATAAATATTGAATGTTTCTTTTATACCTGCCATTTTCATGTATGTTTTCATGCTCCCACATAGCCATGCAATGAAGAAGTTATTGTTGTCATTACAATCACTCATGTTTTGTTAATGGGAAATCAGACCCAAAAAGGAAAAGAGACTTACTTAATTTCCCACAGCTAAAAAGTAACCGAGACAAGACTCTAACTCAAAATCTTCTAATTTGTGCAATTTTGCCACTGTAATTGCTAGAGTACTTTTTGAGATTTCACATAACTTGAGCACTATATCTCAATATATGGAAGTATAAAATATAAACATGATGAAAAATCTACGTTAAAAATAGCATAATAAACCTAAATAAATAATCTCCCTTTCCCATAACTAACAAAAGAAAGGGACATTGTGTATACCAAAAATCTTCAAAACTCGTAGTCAATGTAGGAAAGATAAGATTTTGAACAGAGGGAAAAAGGTCAGTACAACGCAATACGGTGAAATTCCTAAGAACTCTCACTGTAATCTTTTATTTTTTCATAAGCTATTGGGGTACAGGTGGTATTGGGTTACACGAGTAAGTTCTTTAGTGGTGATTTGTGAGATTTTGGTGCATGACTCACCCGAGCAGTAAACACTGCACCATATTTGTAGTCTTTTATCCCACGCCTCCCTCCCACTCTTCCCCCCAGTCCCCAAAGTCCCTTGTATCATTCTTATGCCTTTTGGTCCTCATAGCTTAGCTTCCACATATCAGTGAGAACATACGACGTTCGGTTTTCCATTCCTGAGTTACTTCACTTAGTATAATAGTCTCCAATCTCATCCAGGTCACTGCAAATGCTGTTAATTCATTCCTCTTTATGGCTGCATAGCATTCCATCAGATAGATAGATAGATAGATAGATAGATAGATAGATAGATAGATAGATGATAGATAGATAAAGATAGAGATATATATGGAGATATAAATATATAGATATATCTCACAGTTTCTTTATCCACTCACTCACTGATGGGCATTTGGTTTGGTTCCATGATTTCACAATTGTGAATTGTGCTGCTATAAACATGCATGTGCAAGTATCTTTTCTGAATAATGACTTCTTTTCCTCTGGGTAGATACCCAGTAGTGGGATTGCTGGATCAAATGGTAGTTCTACTTTTAGTTCTTTAAGGAATCTCCACGCTGTTTTCCTTAGTGGCTGTACTAGTTTACATTCCCACCAGCAGTGTAGAAGTGTTCCCTGTTCACCACACCCATGCCAACATCCACTGTTTTTTGATTTTTTGCTTATGGCCATTCTTGGAGGAGTAAGGTGGCATCACATTGTGGTTTTGATTTGCATTTCTCTGACCATTTGTGATGCTGAGCATTTTTTCATGTTTGTTGGCCATTTGTATATCTTCTTTTGAGAATTGTCTATTCATGTTCTTAGCCTACTTTTTGATGGTATTGTTTTTTCTTACTGATTTATTTGAGTTCATTGTACATTCTGGATGTTAGCTCTTTGTCAGATGTATAGATTCTGAATATTTTCTCCCACTCTATGGGTTGTCTGTTTACTCTGCTGACTGTTCCTTTTTCCATGTAAAACCTCTTTAGTTTAATTAGGTCCCAGCTATTTATCTTTGTTTTTATGCCATTTGCTTTTGGGTTCTTGGTCATGAAATCCTTGCCTAAGCCAATGTCTAAAAGGCTTTTTCCAATGTTATCTTCTAGAATTTTTAAAGTTTCAGGTCTTATGTTTAAGTCCTTAATCCATTTTGTGTTGATTTTTGTATAAGGTGAGAAATGAGGATCCAGTTTCATTCTCCTACATGTGGCTAGCCAATTATCCCAGCACCATTTGTTGAAAAGGGTGTCCTTTCCCCACTTCATGTTTTTGTTTGCTTTGTCAAAGATCAGTTGGCTATTCAGTATTTGGGTTTATTTCTGGGTTATCTATTCTGTTCTATTGGTCTGTGTGCCATTTTTATACCAGTACCATGCTGTTTTGGTGACTATGGCATTATAGCACAGTTTGCAATCAGGTAGTGTGATGCCTCCAGATTTGTTATTTTTGTTTAGTCTTGCTTTGGCTATATGGGCTCTTTTTTGGTTCCATATGAGTTTTAGAATTTTTTTAAAATTCTGTGAAGAATGATGCTGGTGTTCTGAGGGGGATTGCATTGAATTTGTTGATTGCTTTTGGCAGTATTGTCATTTTCACAATATTGATTCTACCCATCCATGAGCATGGGATGTGTTTCCATTTGTTTGTGCCATCTATGATTTCTTTCAGCAGTGTTTTGCAGTTTTCCTTGTAGAGATCTTTTGACTCCTTTGTCAGGTATATTCCTAAGTATTTTATTTATTTATTTGTTTGCAGCTATTGTAAAGGGGTTTAGTTCTTGATTTAATTATCTGCTTGGTCACTCTTGCTGTATAGAAGAGCTACTGATTTGTGTACACTAATCTTGTAGCCAGAAACTTTACTGAACTCTTTTATCAGTTCTAGGAGCTTTCTGGAGGAGTCTTTAGCGTTTTAAAGTTAAACCATATAACCAGCAGTGACAGTCTGAGTTCCTCTTTACTGATTTGGATGCCCTTTATTTCTCTCTCTTGTCTGATTGCTCTGGCTAGGACTTCCAGTACTATGTTGAAGAGGAGTGAGGAGAGTGAGCATTCTTGTCTTGTTCCAGTTCTCAGAGGGAATGCTTTCAGCTTTTCCCCATTCAGTATTACGTTGGCCGTGGATTTGTCATAGATGGTTTTTTTTACATTAAGGTATGTCCTTCGTATACCGATATTGCTGAGAGTTTTAATCATACAGTGATGCTGGATAATGTTGAATGCTTTTTCTGCATCTATTGAGATAATTTTTGTTTTTAATTCTGTTTATGTGGTGTATCACATTTATTGACTCATGTATGTTAAACCATCCCTGCATCTCTGATATGAAACCCACTTGATCATTGTGGATTATCTTTTTGATGTGTTGTTGGATTCAGTTAGCTAGTATTTTATTAAGGATTTTAGCATCTATGTTCATCAAGGATATCGGTCTGTAGTTTTCTTTTTTGGTTATGTCCTTTCCTGGTTGTGGTATTAGGCTGATGCTGGCTTCATAGAATGAGTTACAGATGGTTTCTTCTTTCTCTGTCTTGTGGAATAGTGTCAAAAGGATTGGTACCAATTCTTCTTTGAATGTCTGGTAGAATTCTGCTGTGAATCTGTCTAGTCCTTGATTTTTGTTGTTGTTGGTAATTTTGTAATTACCATTTCAATCTTGCTACTTGTTACTGGTCTGTTCAGGGTATCTAATTCTTCCTGATTTAAGCTAGGAGGGTTGTATATTTCCAGGAATTTATCCATCTCTTCTAGGTTTTCTAGTTTATGTGCGTAGAGGTGTTCATAGTAGCCTTTAATGATCTTTTGTATTTCAGTGGTGTCAGTTGTAATATCTTCCAGTTTTATTTCTTAGTGAGGTTATTTGGATTTTCTTTCTACTTTTCTTGGTTAATCTTGCTAATGGTCTATCCATTTTATTTATCTTTTCAAAGAACCAGCTTTTTGTTTCATTTATCATTTGTAGTTTTTTTTTGTTTGTTTGTTTCAACTTCATTTAGTTTTGCTCTGATCTTGGCTATTTTCTTTCTTCTGTTGGGTTTGGGTTTGGTTTGTTCTTGTTTCTCTAGTTCCTTCAGATGTGACCTTAAATTGTCTGTCTGTGCTCTTTCAGGCTTTTTGATGTAGGCATGTAGGGCTATGAACTTTCCTCTTAGCACTGCCTTTGCTGTATCCCAGACATTTTGATAGGTTATATCATTATTGTCATTCAGTTTGAAAAATTTTTTAATTTCCATCTTGATTTCATTTTTGACCCAATGCTCCTTCAGGAGCAGGTTATTTAATTTCCTTGTATTTGCATGGTTTTTGAAGGTTCCTTTTGGAGTTGATTTCCAGTTTTATTCCACTGCAGTCTGAGAGAGTGCTGATATAATTTCAATTTTCTTAAATTTTTTGAGGCTCATTTTATGGCCTATCATATGTTCTATCTTGGAGAAAGTTCCATGCACTGTTGAAGAGAATGTGTGTTCTGCAGTTGTAGGATGAAATGTTCTGTACATATGTGTCAAGTCCATTTGTTCCAAGGTATAGTTTAAATCCATTGTTTCTTTGTTGACTCTCTGTCTTGATGACCTGCCTAGTGCTGTTAGCAGAGTATTGCAGTGCCCACTATTATGGTGTTGCTGTCCATCTCATTTCTTAGGTCTATTAGAAATTGTTTTATAAATTTGGGATCTCCAGTGTTAGGTGCATATATGTTTAGGATTGTGATATTTTCCTGTTGGAAAAGGTCTTTTACCATTATATACTGTCCCTGTTTATCTCTTTTAACTGCTTTTGCTTTAAAGTTTGTTTTGTCTGATATAAGAATAGCTACCCCTGCTTGCTTTTGGTGTCCATTTGCATGAAATGCCTTTTTCTACTCTTTTAAGTTTATGTGAGTCCTTATGTGTTAGGTGAGTCCCCTGAGGGCAGCAGATAGTTGGTTGGTGAATTCTTCTCCATTCTGCAGTTCCATATCTTTTAAGAGGAGCATTTAGACCGTTTACATTCAATGTTAGTATTGAAATGTGAGGTACCGTTGCTTTCATCATGCTCTTTTTTGCCTGTGTACTTTGGTTTTGTTTTTTGTTTTTGCTTTTTAACTTGTATTTTTGTTTTATTAGGTCCTCTGTGATTTATGCTTTAAAGAAGTTACGTTTTGATATGTTCCTAGGATTTGTTTCAAGATTTAGAGCTCCTTTTAGCAGTTCTTGTACTGGTGGTTTGGTAATGGTGAATTCTCTCAACATTTGATTGTCTGAATACGACTGTATCTTTCCTTCATATATAATGCTTAGTTTCACTGGATACAAAATTCTTGGATGATAATTGTTTTGTTTGAGGAGGCTGAAGATACGGGCTCAATCCCTTCTAGCTTGTAGGGTTTCTGCTGAGAAATCTGCTGTTATTCTGATGGGTTTTCCTTTACAGGTTACCTGGTGCTTCTGTCTCATAGCTCTTAAGATTCTTTCCTTCATCTTAACTTTGGATAACCTGATGACAGTGTGTCTAGGTGAAGATCTTTTTGCAATGAATTTCCCAGGCGTTCTTTGTGCTTATTCTATTTGCATGTCTAGGTCTCTCACAAGGCTGGGGAAGTTTTCCTCAATTACTCCCCCAAATATGTTTTCCAGGCTTTTACACTTCTCTTCTCCTTTAGGTACACCGATTATTCTTAGGTTTGGTTATTTAATATAATCCCAGACTTTTGGAGGCTTTGTTCATATTTTCTTATTCTGTTTTCTTTGTCTTTGTTGGATTAGGTTAATTTGAAGACCTCATCTTCGAGCTCTGAATTTCTTCCTGCTACTTCTTCAATTCCATTGCTGAGACTTTCCAGAGCATTTTGCATTTCTAAAAGTGTGTCCAAGGTTTCCTGAATTTCTGATTCTTTTTTCTTTAAGCTGTCTATTTCCATGAATATTTCTCTCCTCACTTCTTTTATCATTTTTTGGAATTCCTTGCACTGGGCTTCACTTTTCTCTGGTCCCTCCCTGATTAGCTTAATAACTAACCCCCTGAATTCCTTTTCAGGTAAATCAGGGATTTCTTCTTGGTTTGGATCCATTGCTGGTGAACTAGTGTGATTTTTGGGGGGTGCTGAAGAGCCTTGTTTTGTTATATTATCAGGGTTGGTTTTCTGGTTCCTTCTCATTTGGGTAGGCTCTGTCAGAGGGAAGGTCTAGGGCTGAAGGCTGATGCTCAGATTCTTTTGTCCCACAGGTGTTCCCTTGATGTAGTACTCTCCGCCTTTTCCTATGGGTGTGGCTTCCTGTGAGCTGAAATGAAGTGATTGTTGACTCTCTTCTGGGTCTAGCTACCCAGCAAGTCTACCCGGCTCTGGGCTGATACTGTAGGTTGTCTGCACAGAGTCCTGTGACATGAACCATCTATGGGTCTCTCAGCCATGGATACCATTGCCTGTCCCAGCAGAGGTGGCAGAGGGTGCAGTGGACTCCAGGAGGGCTCTTAGCTTTGGTGGTTTAATGCTCTATTTTTGTGCTGGCTGGCCTCATGCCAGGAGGTGACACTTTCCAGAAAGCACCAACTACAGTAGTGTGGAGAGGGACAAGTGGTGGGCAGGGCCCTAGAACTCCCAAGATTATATGACCTTTGTCTTTCACTACCAGGTTGGATAGGAATGGACCATCCAATCGGGGCAAGGCTAGGCATGTCTGAGCTCAGACTCTCCTTCAACGGGTCTTGCTGTGGCTGCTGCAGAGGATGGGGGTGAGATTCCCAGATCACTGTAGTTGTATACCTAGGAGGATTATGGATGCATCTGCTGAGCCATGCACGTTGTCAGGAAAGTTGGGGGAAAGCCAGCCATCATGGGCTTCACCCAGCTCCCACACAAACTGAAGAGCCGTCTCACTCTCACCATGCATCCCCCCAATAGCACCTAGGGTCTGTTTCCAGGCAGAGGGCAAGACTGGCCTGAAAACTTGCCTGAGGCTTTCCGCCTCTCAGGGCTTTAGTTCTTCCTCCACCTGTGAAGTCTGCACACCTCATTCGTGCCCTCCCCTGAGTTCTGGCCAGGAGGCTAGAGAATTCCTTCTCCCTGTGGAGTTTTAACCCCTGCTTATCTGGCCACCTTCCTGATGGATCCCTGTGGTGCCAGGCAGGAATGGGTTGCTTGGGGACCCAGCGAGCTCTCACGGCCTTTCTGCTGTTTCCTCTACCCTTGTATTTCACTCAGCTCTCTAACTTGACTCAGCTTCAGGTAAAGTCAGAAACTTCTCCCACAAACAGACCTTCAGCTTCTCCAGTGGGAGTGTGTGTTCAGAAGAGGAGGGTCTCCCTTTCCCAATTCTGCAGTTATGGCACTCACAGTATTTGGGGTGTCTCCCAGATCCTGTAGGAGCAGTCCACGTCCTTCAGAGGGTCTGTGGGTCCTCTTGGGATTGCTGGTTTGTTCTTACAGTCAGTCTGGAGCTAAAATTTACAATGCAAGCCTCTACATACTGCTCTGTCCAGAGCTACAAGTCTAGTCCTGCCTCCTGTCTGCCATGATCCCCTGAATCCTCTCACCATAATCTTAGATTCAAAGAAAGGCAAACTGAATGAGCAGTTGCTCCTATTCTGACTAGGACTGACAGAAATACTGGTTTGGAAAAACAGATAAGTGGAGAAAGTGACAAAAGGACTGACTGAGGAGAATAAAACATGTAGCACTACACACTGAATTGGAACAATTAGCTGAAATTTTTTTTCTTTATTCCTTCTTAAAAAAAAAACAGGATACATGTACAAAATGTGCATGGTTTGTCACATAGATATATGTGTGCCATGGTGGTTTGCTGAACCTATTGACCTGTCCTCTAAGTTCCCTACCCTCACCCCCCACCCCCAACAGGCCCTGGTATGTGTTGTTCCCCTCTCTGTATTCATGTGTTCTCAATGTTCAACTCACACTTATGAGTGAGAACATGCAGTATTTGGTTTTCTGTTCCTGTGTTAGTTTGCTGAGGATGATGACTTCCAGCTGAAATCTTAAAGTGTTCCCCCATGGAAATTGAAATACTACCTTCCTTCCCAACCAAAAAGAGTAAAACATCCTACAATACATTTCATAGACTTTCAGAACAGCATAGCCCAAGTAAATACTGTGTGCCTCCTCAGTTGCGTTCTCTCCCTCCCGGCTAACAATTTCCTAGGCTACAAAAAAAATAGGGAGCATATGAAAGACTCAGTCTTCAAACTATTGCTGAAGAAGAAAAGAAACAATTCTCAAATACAGTGAGACACTATATCAGATTGAGTAAAAGACTTGGACATAGCCACCCAAGCATAAACAAGATGATATAATTCACATGCCAACTAAGCAATGGTATTACAGTAAAAAGAAAAAGAAAATCTTTTTTCATAGGAAAAAAAAAAAACCTACTGTAGAAGAAAACAAAAATCCTTACCTCCCACAAAAATGAAGAAAAGATGCCATGCTATAGAAAAACTTTTTGTCACTGTGAATTTAACCAACAAGCATGCAAAGGTGAAATGATCAAACAACAAAATGAGATTTTTTTTAAGGGGATGAAGGATTACTGACATATAGATACATACTGGCCAGGTGCAGTGGCTCACGCCTGCAATCCCAGCACTTCAGGAGGCAGAGATGGGGGCATCACTTGATCCCAGGAGTAGAAGACCAGCCTGGGAAACATAGGGAGACCTGTCTCTACAAAAAATAAAAAATTAACCGAACATAGTGTCATACACCTGTAGTCCCAGCTACTTGGGGGGCTGAGGTGAGAGAATCACTTGAGCCCAGGAGGTCGAGGCTGTAGTGAGTCACAGCCATGCCACTGCCCTCTAGCCTGGGTGACAGAGTGAGACCCTGTCTCAAAATAAAAAAAATAAAAAAAAGATACATATTAAGAATCATAGTTATTGAAGAAGTAATAAATATATTGGAAAAATTATTGGATAAAATAGTCATAGCTGGGGATCAATATCAGAGGAATGGCTTGAGAAAATTTTAGTGAAAACAGATAAGATTTAGTTAATAAAAAATACAAATAGGGACAAAGGATAGACAAGGGCAATCTAACATGATGATGACTGGTATCCATGAAATCAAGAATTCAACAAATGGAGTGGGAGTGGGAAAACTGAAATATGTAATAGTTTTAAAAATGTTTCCTTGCAGTGAACAATAATAACAAAACATGAATCTGGAAACTAAAATAATAAATGAGCTTTTAGGGAAATTAAGTATAGAATGCTCAAAATCAAGATATATCTTTCTTAAAGAATTTTAAGAATAAATAAGAATCTTACATGTATTCAGGGAGAAAAAAAGCAAGTTAAATGCAAGGGGAGAAAATGACAGGTTGGCCTCAGACTTATCTACTGTAACATATAATAACAGGGTATGTCTGCAATAATGTAAGTAAAAAAAAGTATTATCCAGTGATATCATTCTGAGCAAAGCTATTGTACAAATATAAAGGAACTAGTAAAAATCCTAGAGAACAGAGTACCCATGAGTCTTTCCTTGAATAACTATGTGAAAATGAAATCTAGCAAAAATAAAGAACAGGAGATACTCATGAGCACCAAGTACAATTAAATGTAGAAATAATAAGAAACTACTGTGGGGATTATGGTTATAGGTCATAATATTACTTTGGATACCTGAATCATGTAAAAATAATGACAAATAAAATTGGAGACTTGTAAGGTTCTATCTTTCATAACAAGGAGTCAATTGATACAGACTTAAAACATAGTTTTAAAAAATTGATTACAACTTCTGAATAGTTTCTACACCTATATTTTTTCATTTTAGAAGAGCCTTCTAGGCAGTAATATGTCTCGTGAAGAAAAATATATGAATTTCTGAAATGATTTCAACTACACTGGGGTTTTTCTTCTGAAACATTCTGGTGCAATTAAATCAAGTGTTTTAATTAAAAATTGCACAGTCATATATATTAAAAATATGCCTTTATATTAGTCATTCTCATGGTATATATGCATTAAAAGATTGTTGGAACAATATAAAACAAATTAAAGATTTTGGCCGGGTGTGGTGGCTCACGCCTGTAACCCCAGCACTTAGGGAGGCCGAGGCGGGCAGATCACCTGAGGTCGGGAGTTCGAGACCAGCCTGACCAACATGGAGAAACCCTGTCTCTGCTAAAAATACAAAATTAGCTGGGCATGGTGGTGCATGCCTGTAATCTCAGCTACTTGGGAGGCTGAGGCATGAGAATCGCTTGAACCCAGGAGGCGGAGGTTGCGGTGAGCAGAGATCGTGTCATTGCACTCCAGCCTGGGCAACAACAGTGAAACTCTGTCTCAAAAAAAAAAAAAAAAAAAAAGATTTTGTCTGGAACATGAGGATTTTTATTTATCTATTTCCTCCTGCTCATAATGAACTTACATAATGTTTAAAAAAACATAGGATTTTTGTTGTAAATTTTTTAGATGAAATACAATCCAACAACTACAGTCCTACAACTAAGAAATTTTAGATCAAATGCTTTTAAAAAGTCTTAACACTTACATCTCAGTACGCAAATGAATTTGAAAAGAAGGAATATGATATTTTTTAAAAGTGGCCCAAATGAGATAACGTTGATCAGAAGATAATTTTGGGAGATAAATACCAACAGTTTCTGAAGAAAGAAATTAGCAAAGATTAATAGACAGAAGTAAAAGGAGTCTGTAAAAGAAAAATCAGGGAAAGCCCGAAATATGTCCAATAAGGAAATGAATAGATTTACCTGGAGCAACGGCCCTGTGTTTTGAACAAGTGTGAGAAAGGAAGAGGAGGAAGAGGAGAGGAAAGCTAGGAAGGCAAGAATGGGCAGAAGGGACAGGGGAGATAGGAGGGAAGAAGAGACAAGAAGGGGGAAGAAAAGAGGAAGATAAGGGGAGAGGGAAAAGGAAGAGAAGAAAAGGAAATAGGAGGACAAGATAAGCAAAAACTTTATTAGACCCTTTACAGGTTGCCCATATACTAATTACAAAAATCGTATGAGATATTTAAATGAAAAAGAATACATAAAAAGAAAGTGAGTTTATGGAGATTAAGTAAGATATCCATGAGCATGAAACTAGTAAATATTCCAGCCAGGAATTCCTCCAAAATAATATTAGAATATTTCTGGAATTGCTTCCAAATTAATGTAAAAATGTAAAGACTGAGTACATCTACATACCCCATAACCCTTCCTTGCTTCCAAGAATTCAAAAAAGGAAGTAGGGCCCATTTACTGGGTTTTGTAGATAAATAAAAAATATGAAGAAATTGATATAAATTGTTCATATTTCATTTCCTCTCCAAGACATACAGCAAGATACTTTCATTGTCCAGGTGTTCACTCTCAAGTTTGTTGTAGCTGGCCAAAGAAAATTAAAATACTGACCCTCATAGATCATAACTTGACATCTGTTGGGCCTCTCTATTTTGGCAACTTGGCTTATTCTTACGGAGAAAGTGATTGGTACAATCAAAATCATTGATTTCTGCCTGTCATAAATATAGATGCAGGGTTATGTTAACAATCTTTTTTGTTTGTTTATTTTATGTTTTGTTTGAGACAAGTCCTTGCTCTGTCACCCATGCTGGAGTGCCGTGGGGAAATCTCAGCTCACTGCCACCTCTGCCTCCCACACTCAAGCAATCTTCCCACCTCAGCCTCTCAAGTAGCTGGGACTACAGGCGTGTACCACCATGCTTAACTAAATTTTTGTATTTTTTTTGCAGAGGTAAGGTCTCACCATGTTGCCCAGGCTCGTCTTTAATTCCTGGGCTCCTGGCTCAAGCAATTCACACTCTTTAGCCTCTCAAAGTGTTGGGATTACAGGTGTGAACCACCACACCTGACCAGATTCTGCAATTAATAAATGTGTGTTGTGAGTTGGACAACTATTTTACAAAACAAAATAAAAATAATAACTACAATAATGGTAATCATTTATTGAACATCTATTAAATGTTAGAAACTGTGTTGGGCCTCTGTACAAATTTAGACTTGCAAGGCTAAATCCAGTCAGCAGGAGGCCTGACTAGAACAAAAAGCCTGACCCATGTTTCAGGTGAGGTGAACGCCTGCCTGACTAAATGAGCTGGAACACCAGTCTTTTCTTGCCTTCAGATTTTGAAACTGAAACCTCAAGTCTTCTGAGGTCTTGGGCTTGCTGCCTTCCAACTAGAACTTACACCATCAGCCTTCCTGGGTCTCCAGCCTTCACACTTAAACTGGACTTACACCATTGACTCTCCTGGATCTGTACGTTGCCACCTGCAGATATGGTGACCTCTCAGCCTGGGTTATTATGTAAGTCAATTTCTTACAATAAATCTCTTTATATATCTAGCTAGCTGATCTATCTATCTATCTATCTATCTATCTATCTATCTATCTGTCTGTCTGTCTATCTATCATCTACACATTCTGTTGGTTCTGTTTCTCTGGAGAACATTGACTAGTACAGTTAATTGTCTCCTAATCAACTAATGTTTCTAGTGGTTGGATTATTTAATACATTGATGAAATAAAACCTATGCACTATGTACACCAGCACTTCTCGGAAGTTACTGTGTATACATATTCCTGGACATATTGTTAAAATGCAGATTCTGATTCAGAAGGTGGGTAGGGGGGTGAGTCTGGTACTCTGACAAGATGCCAGTGCCATGCTGTTGATCCATGCATCGCACTTTGAGCAGCAAAAATTTACAGGCCACCTCTTTACTTCAAAGTAAAGTGACTGGAGATTCCCCTGAGCCTAGCAGCCTCTGCTGCATCATATTCAGTCCGAGGCCTCTTCCTACATCAAGGAAAAGCTATAGTTAAAGTATAAATCAGGGAGTCATCTGCGAGGAAAATGAATGTCACTCACAGTAGTTGTTCTCTGTTTCTGCTGTCATTAAGCTTCAAATTGGTGCCTGTCTGTGCATGAAGAAGAAAACTAGAAAAGGATAAAAACAAAAGCATTTAGCCTTGGGCAGAAACAATCCACTGTTCCAAATATTATTTTCTGGCTACATAAACTGTTGCAGGCAGAACTCTGTCCGCTAAGTGGAACTAAGTCTAGGCTGCAAACCTTTGCTTTCTCAGAACCTCCCCATATTAATGCATTCTCTAGACAAGTCCCTGAGCTTGCTTGCCTATCTCACCAGAACAGAGAAACGTGCATTTCTAAGTTACTTATTCATTGTATCAAGCCTATCGATAAGACAAATTATGCCATATATTAAAATGTCATTTGGCCAATTTTGAAAAGAAAAGCCTTCATTTGTGACAATCTAAATGTACTCTGCAATACATGTATTAGAGATCATAGAAAAGAAAATGCCAATTTTCGTTTTCCATTTAATTTTAGGTTAAAATTTTGCAATAACTTGTCTTGGTTGACAGAAGCACCTGTGTAAGCAGTAAATGCTACCACATATTTACCCTGGGTAATAGACACCAGATTAATAAAACACAAAAATATTTCACCACAAATGACGAGAGGCAGCTGCAACCTTTATGAGAAAAAAAAAATGTGTTCTGATTTATCCAGACATCTAAACAGTCAGCCACATGATTGGAAGTAGCAGTCCAGGTTAGAAGATTTGCCATTTCATCAAATGCATTACCCATTCTTTGGATGGCTTGGTATTTTAAACCGTTTTGTGACAGAAAATATCATGCGAGTGTGAAACAAGGGAGTTGAAAGGTGCTTTCACTCATTTCACATTATGAATTCTATCCAGTGAAAGCACTCACTTCTGCTCTTTTCTTTTAACATCATCTTGACTTTCTCATTTCCTCAGCTGCTTTGGTAGGTGTTTTGACACTTGACACTTTTAAAAGGAGCAAAAAAGCAGAAAGTTTTTCTGTACAGACATCTCTCTGTTTTCTAATACTGTGAGAGAAAGAACTAGTGTAGAAAATCAGATGTTCTAATTAGAGAATTTTCACATATATGATTGTAATACATTTAAATAGGCATACCACTAAATCTAGACCATGTACAACAAAACATTTCTTTGATAATCCAAAAGACTCTTAATGTTACTTGACAGATGTGTGAAAATACTGGTTAATAGTTCAGTCTAATGGATTAAATGCAACAAGACGTTTTTACTGAGTGCCAAGACAATAATGGTACCCAGTTGCTAGATTGCTAAAGTAAAGTGAGTTACTGGCTCACAAAGTTATTATCTAACATCTGGATCATGCTGTTTCTCAAACAGGAAAATCATTAGCCTAATGAGTTAGGGTTGCTTGACACCTTTTATATACGGGCTTGCTCACGCATTTAGGTAAATTGCCTCGAAGATCTGGAGCAGGTTTTCAGGGTATTTAAGTTCCTAGTGTCATTGAGCAGAATCAGAAAGTTGATTTGCATTCAATATATGGAAGAAGGTCTGATGTTGTGAAGTGGGTAGTTTAAAACAGTTTAACTTCATAGGTGACTTTTTAACCCTCCCTGTCCTACCTTCCCACATGAGTATCACAGCCCTACTACACTCTTCCCTGCCTGGTTTCCCTACTTTCCTCTGCAGTAACATGTCAGCAACAGTATAATTAATTTCAAAAATCAGGGTTTTGTGGCTATATAATAAAAATAGCCTTTTATAGCAGTTTTCATTAACAAAAATTTATGAACTCATAAAAAGGAAGTCAACTAACATGTACTGAATGGTCGCTATGTGTCTTCACTTGATTCGGCACTTATACACATTATATGCATAATCTCATTAAATATCCACCAAAAATCTATAGGGTAGTTATTAATTCCACTTTCCTGATAAGAAAACGGAGGCTCTAAGGTGCAAATTTGTCTCTGGTCACACAACTAGTTACCAAAGGACTTAAAATATGAAGCCATATTCATGTGATTCCAATACATATTTTAATTATACTCTAGCATACATAAGTTAATGAAAAGAAAGTATAATTTAACTACACTAGCAGTTTATTTTCTTGGTTTACATCTATTCATTTATCTAATTATAAAAGTAATATAACTCTCTGTTAGAAAACTTGGAAAACAGAGAACACTGCAAAATTCATATGCATTATCTGTAATCCTACCATACATGGATAATAATGGATGATATTGGATGGATTTTATGTTTAACTTTTACGAATTTAGGTTCATAATGCATGTATCTTTTATAACTAGTGTTTGCACTTAAAGTATCATGACTATTTTCCATGTTAGTAAATACACTCTGAAACATAATTTTTATGGCTACACATTATTCCATATTATAAAGACATCATAATTCAATTTGGTTTCCTTGTTGAATAGCCCTGTTGTTTCAAATAAGAAGGCATTGTGATACAATGAAAACAACTTGGCACTGGAAATATAGAATACTGAATTCTAGGTTTGTTATTTGCTAGTTCTGAAACATTTTAAAAAGGCATTTAACCTTTCTGGTATTGATTTTTATCTGCAAGATTAAAGAACTAGAGTAGATAACCCTTTTCACACATTTTAGGTTCTATGACTCCAGGAATACTATGTAAATTATTCTAAATCTGATGCTCAAACTAGAGTATTTATTGTGTATACAAAGATATAGGCAATGGCTGGGGGGCTAGAGGGGAATGTTATAAATTCACATATTGGATCAAAGTGGCAGGTTTTCCTTTTTGACAAGTCTAATTTATTCAAATTTAGTTGAAATGTTATTTTGACAGGTACTAATGTATTATGAAATAAAATACAATATTTTCATAAATTTTACTCTTTAAAACAGAAAATTTCAAAATATTGAACTCCAACTCCCTAAGATATACAATGATTTCTGTGTTATTAGATATGTTTTGGTGGAATATTTTGAGTATTTGAGCAGCCATGCCTAGAACAATTGAAACTAGTCCTAAAACACTATAGTTATGTTAGTTACTAATCAGATATTTCCATGTAAATGATGCAACTTGTTGGCACAGATTTCCCTTGAAATGTCTTCCTTGAGATACTATGGGCAGCAAAATGTTTTTCTAGATTGAAACAAATACTAATCCCTTTCCTATTGTTTCACCTCAGACGGATTTTTCCAAAAAAAATAAAATAAAATAGAATAAAAATTACCTCCTGAGCTCCTATTAGAAATGTGAGCTTTAGCACTATGAGCAAAAAGTGGCTTGAGAAGCACCTTGGTCTTTGCGACTCCTAAGCATTTTTCCTTCTTGTTCTTTTCCTGTTGTTATTTGCTCTTCAGTCATTGGTTCACTTGCCATCATCCCAGGAGTTACCTTCTTTTCTTAGTTTGATATGTTACAGACTTTTTCGTTTTAATAAATTGGATACTTATGAAATGTACATGATATAACTCTTTTAAACTCTCTTTTTCTAAGTGTTAAATGTGTGTATGCGCAAGCCACATGTGCACACAGACACACATTGCTAGACATGAGACTTCTTGAGACTTCGCTCATGTTTGAAAGGTGTGCAAAGCAGTCTATTGGAACTATTGATGAAATAAGGATCACTGTCCAGGCAATGAAGATGGGGTGAATCAGTTGAAAATTATTCATGTGAGTAGTCAATCCATGGAAACCAGCACTTTCTGATAGTCTGAAGGAGTAAGAATTGGTCTAATAGTGCAGTCAAGCAACAGATCTAATGAAAATTCAAAGGGATCTTGAAGAAAGTGATTTAATATACTCTTTCATCCTTCAAGTATTAGCTTATTTTTTGGCAATCTATGATAATGGAAAAACAGTGCATTTCCACACATATATTCTTGTGTTTTTTCTTAACTGAACACTTACTGAAATTGAAATAATCCATTCAGTAATGAGATACGAGTAATGAATGACACATGGTTCTTACCCTCAAGAATCTCAAAAATCTATTGGTCAGAAATGAAAGGGTCCTAAGCATAGGAAGACAATTCTTCTGAGGGAATTTTTCTTGTTTTGTTTTGTCTTGTCTTTTAGAAGTAGCCCAACTCATAAAACCATTTGTCAATTTTCCAGAATCATGCCGATACCAAGGCCAGTGTTTCCCATCAATGATATGTTATGTTTGTGTGGAGATTTACAGTTCCTTTCCATATACAATGCCCCATTTGATCTCACAGCAGGCATGAGATAGTAGGTGAAGCATTTGAGAGACAGCCAGATAAATGAAGCAACTTCTTTGAAGTCACACAATTAGACTGTAGAAGTCAGACATTAAACCAACTATTTCAAATTATTGATCTAATGTTGTTTTTACTTTTTCTTGTTGCATATCAAATTCTTTGAAAATCTTTGTTTAGTGTTAAATATTCTATAGAATCAAGAATTAGATTAATGCAGAAAACAACCGTGTATGCACAAACCCATTTCCAATGTGTCAGCTTTTTTTAGTCTCAATTTTCCTAATCACTTTGAGATAAGTAGAGAGATGGTGTAATATTGGACAGATAGGCAATGATAAATTGAAGGAGAAAAATATTTAGGAAAATGTTTTACATTGGATAAAAAGCCTTATTTAGAAGAAGTTAGTAATTTGAACACAAATACTGGGAGGTGTTTAAGCTTGTGCTGAAATTATTCTCATCAGTATTGCAAGGGGGAAGAGGCTACAAAATGATTACAAGAGTAAAGTAAACTGAGAAAATTGGTGGAGCTAGGCTAAGTGAGATCAAGGATTTGCCTGACAGGAAACTGGAATACACAGGCTTCTCTCAGAGTCACCATGATTAAAGACCCCGTCCCCATGTTAAATATATTCTAATAATATACTTATTGATATGGTTTGGATTTATATCCCCACCCAAATCTCATGTTGAAGTGTAATCCCCAGTGAGGGACCTGGGACTTTGTGGGAGGTGAATGGATCATGGGGGTGGTTTTTAATGGTTTAGCACCATTCCCCTAGCACTGTTCTCCTGATAGAGTTCTTGTTTAAAAGCATGTGGCACCTACTCCTACCTCTTCCTCCTAGTTCGGCCATGTAAGACGTGCCTGCTTCCCCTTCACCTTCTGCTGTGATTGTAAGCTTCCTGAAGCCTCCTCAAAAGTCAAGCAGATAGCCAGCATCATGCTTTCTGTATGGCCTGCAGAACTATGAGCCCATTAAACATCTTTTCTTTATAAATTACCCAGTCTATGGTATTTCTTTATAGCAATGTTAGAATGGACTAATACACTTGTAAAATAAATAGTAAATAGAGTACAGCAACACTTGCCTTGCTAGTTCCACCTTGAGGAAGGATTAAGTAGAAATTTGTGCAAAGGATAAGGATAACATCACAGAAATTGTAAGTAAAAAAGATTTCTGTGCCAGTACCTTTATTGAAATGTTCGACCACTAGTCAGCTGGAGTTCCTATTGTCCCTGTCAGTTAATGTAAAGGAGTTCAGTGTTTTAGGCACCCACATTGCCCTGCCTATTTCTTCTATGTGATGGTCAATGGGAGGAACCATTGGATAGCTTGATAAGTTTATCATGGGTTGCAGATGTGCGACAGAAGCTACCTGAATGCATTTCCTTAGATCTGTTGCCCACAAACACAATCAAAGGGTTAAGGAAGTTAGAAAGGAGAGAGTTGACAAGGATATCTCAAAAGGAGCACTACTGCTACTCTGTATAAACGTGCATGCCAGGTGCCTTTCCAGGCCGCTTCTGTTTTTGTTCATTGGTCTATACTCCATAGGAGAACCACCACAGAGTTGTTTAAATCATCTACAGAATTTTCTGTGACATTGATTTTACCCTTTTTGTGAGCCAGTGTTCAGCAACAAAAACCTTTGCGTGAAAGAGTCGAAAAAATTCCAGAACTCAAAATGTCTCCTGGTCAATGCCCTATATCCTTTAGCACAAAGGACCAGCTTTGCCATTGTCTCTTACCAGATACGTCTTTCAAATCAAAGTCATCTGTTCCATGAACTTCTAAGAGTTGGGCCAAGGGAAATTTTAACCAAGAAACCGTTTCACCAAATGTCAGTCAGAGTGTCTGGCATCTGGCTGAAACCTAAAAGCTTGGAATATGAAATGCTTCAGAAGGCTGTAGCCTCCTCTGGAATTTTAGAAAGTATAGAGTGCACTTAAAACGTATGTTTATTTTATGTTTCTGATTAGAAAATTATTCAATGTTCATTATAAAAAATTTAAAATAAAAAGCAGAAAGAAAATGACAATTATTCTTGATCACAGGACATTATTGTCATGTAATATTTCCTTGTCTTCTATCTATGGTTTGTTTTACAAACTTAGCATCTTATTCTATATGCTACTGTATATATGTCCTCTTCTTTATATATTTTCCATATCATTTAATAGTGTGTTAAAATGTTAAGCTATCATGAGGAAGTGTCATTATTAATCAATTCTAAATTAATGTACTTTAATTTTTCTAATCTTGAATAGAATATTTTAGATACTACCTTTGTCCATATAACATTGTGTGCATCTTTGATTGCTGCCTTGATTTTATTCTAGATAATTACTATGACAAAGATCAATGAATATTTTTAGAATCCCGATAGATTTTGCCATATTGATTTCTAGAAAGTTAGTGCTCTCTCACAAGCTGTGGCTAAGATTTGTCTTGCTGTACTGTGTTAACAGAAAAAAATATTTCAAAAGGATGTCTGAAAAAATTGTGATTTTGTATTTTACTAGTGAAATTAATCTCTCTCCTCTCTCTCTTGCTCTCTCCCTCTCTTGCTTCATCTTTCTCTCTCTCCCTCTTTCTCTTTCTCTCTATCTCTTTTAAATGCCACTCTCCTACCATAGAAAAAGAATCTAAGTCCTGGGACACACCTAGCCCCATAGCCTGCCCTACACTATCCCATCTAGGACTCATCAGAGGGATTATTTCCAGAGCTCCTATTCTCATTGCCTGGTATCTCAGCACTTCTTAGGAGAGGTACATGTCAATGCTCAGTGACATTTATCAATCTGATTACATCTAAAGCATACACAGCAGAAATTTCTTAACATTTGCTCCTTATTGTAGTTTTCAGTTGTTGCAGGTTTCCTCCTACTTTTTGTAATATTCTGTATATCTTTTCATCTGTACTACTTTTAGTATTTTTATACTTTTCATTGTACTTCCTTCCACCTGTAAACCTTCAAGTTTCTATGTTTTGATTTGAATAATTACTACTTTCTTCTTTCTCAAATACAAACTCAGCTTCTCCTTAGGCCTCTTTCCATTAGCACCCTGTATTAATCTGTTTTCACAGTGCTATAAAGAACTTCCCTGAGACTGGGCAATTTATAAAGGAAAGAGGTTTAATTTACTCACAGTTCCGCATAGCTGAGGAAGCCTCAGGAAACTTACAGTCATGGCGGAAGGGGAAGCAGACACCTTCTTCACAAGGTGACAGGAGAGAGAGCATGTGAAGGAGGAACTGTCAGGCACTTATAAAACCATCAGATTTCAGGACAACCCACTATCACAAGAACAGCATAGGGGAAACCACCCCCATGATCCAATCATGATCCAGTCTCCCACCAGGTCTCTCCCTGGACATGTGGGGATTATGGGAATTACAATTTGAGATGAGATTTGGGTAGGGACACAGAGCCAAACCACATTACACCCTTTTCTTTTTTCTGGAAGCCTCTGCTTCTCAAAGGTACCTTCTGTTCCAAATATCTACTATAACCCAGTTTTATTCACAACTGGCTGTGAATTAATCTCACTATGTGTTAGATGATAATCAGTATATTAGTTGATAACCACTTATGCTGTTTTCTTTTGTTTAAATATTTTAAGAGAAATTAAAGAAAAATAATAGCATTCTAAGATCCAAAGGGATAAAAGTTTAATGACAGATAATGGGGAAAATGCTTTGGATTAAAGAATCTTATTTGCTGCTCTCCCAGACTTTATTTCAAGTTGTTGCCCTTTGAAAAAATTTGCCTTAAAATGTAAATCGGAATTGCAAGTAGATCTCTGATTTTTTTTTAGGCTCTCATTTCTACATTTATTTCACTTTTTTTTTTTTTTTTTTACCAAAACATAAAATTTTGTTTCTGCAAAATGGCTGGTATTCTACCCATTGTGATTCCTCTAGTTGTTTTCAAGTTGTTAATAAGTCCACTGACTACTGAACAGGGCCTATTCTTACAAACTTTGTGGTCAGCTCAAGCTCACAGCATTTTAAAACTGAAGGAATCTTAATGCTAGCCGGTGAACCTCAAAAAATTGAAGTAGGTCCAGAGAAATTAGGCAGTTTTCAAGATGATACAGATAACTGTCTTCCAAAACTCAAGCCAATGCTTTCTATTACAATTATGTCATTTACTGTGTTGTTATTGTTGAAAACTTCATGTAAACTATATCCTAAAGTAACTCTTGAAGAGCATTTCATTTTACATATATTATTATCACAGCCTCACATTAACCTTTTCCTTCATAATCAGTTCCTCCTAAAAATACATCCAGTTCCTACAAAAAGAAATAGTTCCTAGTTAAGTTACAAAGACACAGGTGCAAACTTCAGATGAGTCCAAAAGCTAGTATGCTGCTGCTAAAATCCTGCTCTTCACAATTACGTTTTATCTTAATCCTGGGCTGTGCACCTGCTTCTAAGGGATAGGCTTCCAGGAATTCAAAGGATTCTTTGTCTGAATCCACATTTTATTCAGCTTAATGAGTTTTATGCATATGCTAATTTTCAAGCATCATACCTCAAAGAGGTGTGAGAATATATCTGGATATAGATATAGATCTCAATAAAGAGAAAAAATGAGAAAATGCAGTAAAAGTTCCAGTAGTTCAGTAGTGTGGTATAAAATATGATGGCACAATTGGTTCTCCAGTCAACAGAGAGAATAGAGACATTCACAACCAAGAATAACTTTCCTCTTGGGTTAAGATTTTTTCTTCACATAAATTCACAGCATTTCAGTCTTGGCAGGTTTTCTTCAGACTCAAAATAAAACATGATCATTGTCTTTTACAATAAATAAGTCTTGTCCTCTGTGACTAACCAAGGAAATGACATCTTAAGCACCAGGATCACAAATGGAGAAAACCTAAGCTGCCTAAAAGGAAAGATTTAGCAGTAACAAGCTAAAGCATGTAATCTCTGCAGACTCAATGCCCAAGCCTTCCCCTAACTAACAATGGGGCTATCTGGGTCTTCAGAATTTTTGCAGGGCAAAAGGGTATCCCAGTTCCAAGAAGGACTAAAAGATAAATTGACCTCTACTCCTCCAGGCCTGGGAGGCTGCCTGGTTCTCCTTGGTCATGGCCTCTGCCCTTCAGAAGCAGAAGTCAGGACAATCATGATCTGACCTCACCCCATCTTTCATGCAGAGACAATGATGAGTCTTTTTATAGGTAATTGTTTATACACAGGTCATTTTACTTAATCTGAGGGATTCACTTGGGAGAATTAATTAAGTTAGCAAATATGCAAATCAGTAATTTGATTGTCTTTACTTGACTTAGAATGAGGCTAAGTCTAACACAGTATTTGCAAATCTTGAAACATGACATTTTTCTTTTGGCCTTTATTTAGCTGATTGAAGCAGGTTATTCAGAAGGTAAATTCTGAACCCAAACCAACTGAACTCTATTTTACTAAATTGCACATTTTATATTGTCAAGGAATGCATCAAGAAATGCAATACATACATTAGAATTGAGTAATTTTGGAAGATAGAGCATTTTCAATTTACCAAGACAGGGGCAGAAAAAAATTCCAAGTTTTTCTTGGTTAGCAGTTTAGCTCTTCATAGTACAAAGACCACTTACATCTATGGTCCTCAGAAGTTTATAAACTGTTTCACCTATATTATTTTCTTTGGCTCTTTCTAATATTCTGTAGGTTATTTGCAAATGCATGTTTATTTAAATTTGAAATCATGAAAACTAAGGCCGGGGAGACATTTGTGCTCTCTCAAAGTGAAGATCATTGATGTTCAGTGACTTTAACTTAACAATTGTAGCTTATTGCTTCTATAGGCAATTCAAGTAAAAACAACCTATTTTATCCCATTTACAATTACTTAGTGTACTATTATGTTTAAATGTCTTCTTTATCTGGTCAAAAATTCTTACTGGGAAGGGAATATGTCTTATTCACCTTCATATCTTCTATGCAGCTCAGCACAGTAACTTGACACATCAAAGACTCATGAACCTATCTTAATAAGTTGGACTGCACCTTTAATAAATATTTATGTAATTATTTAATATATATCTATTATATTTCCCCATTACTATTTGCCAGTGAGAAAATACTTCTTTCCCCATGTTAAATTCCTTTTAGAGGTAAAACAAAAAATTATCAGGCTTTTTTAAAATGCATCTCTCAGAGTTGGATATTTGAAGATAAACTTAGGTTGTCTTTTGACTCATTCCAAATCATTTTACCCCACACATAAAAATTGGGGATCCTAGTATATATTTAACTCTCTGTCTTCAGTCAAGAATGGGATAAATTATCCCTTAGAATTTAAACTTAAAAGTTTAATTTTATTTAGTTGTTTATCGCCAAAGTCTTGTGTTAGTCTATTTGGGTTGCTATAATATAATATCATTAACTGGGTGGCTTGAACAACAGAATTTTTTTTCTCACTGTTCTAAGAGGCTGGAAAGCCCCAGAGCAGGGCACCAGCAAATCCAGTGTCTGTTGAGGGCTCTCTTCCTGATTTGCAGATATCTACCTCAGTGTAGCCTCAGGTGCAGAGAGCAGAGAGAGAGGGGAAGTAAGTTATCTCATGTCTTTTTAAAAGGGCAACAATCACATTCATGAAGACTTTATCCTCATTATCTAATAACTTCCCAAAGGCCTCACCTCCTAATATCATCACATTGGGGGTTAGGATTTCTTTTTTTTTCTTTTTTTCTTTTTTGAGACGGAGTTTCACTCCTGTTGCCCAGGCTGGAGTGCAATGGCTCGATCTCAGCTCACCACAACCTCCATCTCCTGGGTTCAAGTGATTCTCCTGCCTCAGCCTCCCAAGTAGCTGGGATTACAGGCATGTGCCACCATAGCCGGCTCATTTTGTATTTTTAGTAGAGACAGGGTTTCTCCATGTTGGCCAGGCTGGTCTTGAACTCCCAACCTCAGGGGATCCACCCTCCTCGGCCTCCCAAAGTGCTAGGATTACAGGCGTGAGCCACTGCGCCCGGTGGCGGTTAGGATTTCAACATGTAAATTGGGAGGAACGCAAACATTCACTCCATAACAAGTCTATTACTGCTATATTTTTGACACTTAACATTCCTTGTCAGTTAAGAAACTACTTATTATTCAAGTGTTTTAGTGTATTTCTCATTTGAAATTAAAATTTCTGCAATTTTAACTAAAATCCTCGAGAAAAGATAAATTTTTCTGGCTAAGAAGGCCTGATCTATAAAGTATAAAAATGTGCATGCTAACCCCAAATATAGCAAATGCTAAGATTTTTTCATGTGAAAAGAAAAAATAATAATAATAATTTATATGATTTTATGAGGCATTCCTTATCTTGCCCCTAGACAGTGACAGAGGAAAGTGACTCTTGGCTCAGCTGGCTGAATGGTCATCCTGCACATGATTGCCGGGTAAGGTGACCTCAGTTATTCTGAGTTTACTATCATGAATCCTGGGCTTCTTGCCACTAAGACTACCTCTGAAACATATTCTTGAATTTCCCTTACACACACTTTGCTAACAGGAATAATAAAGAAGTAGCCATTTATGTTTATACATTTATGTTCATTTGTGGCACACATCTGGAACTAGTACGTCTTTAAAGGTCCCTTCAACTGACCCCTTGCATCAAAGCCCTTTCTCAAAGCTAATCATTACAGCCAAATTTAGTGGTTATATATTAAAACGTGAAAAAGCATTTTGATAAGAGTTATAGGGTTGGCAAAAAAAATCTAATGAAACCATGGAGATACAAAAATAGCAATGTAGAAACATAAAGCTTTAAGTTATTTTAAATTTCAGAGAGCTCAATTTAGCTCAACCAAAGCAGAAAAGAATATGAAATGATAATAAAGAAACAGAAATCACAAATCACTTTTGGGAAGTTTTTATTGTACCACTAAGAGGTATTTTTCTGTCCTGAAGAATATCAATCTCTTAGCTTGAGAGTATTAAAGAAAAAAGTTATTCAGTGATACTTGTTAAAGCATCATTTAGATACTTATTAAAGACTTTTTCAAGACCATTATAATAGGTATAGGAAGCACTGTAAGGGGGTCTTGCACTGGAGAAGAGAGATTGGGCTCAGTTCTAAATATGGCATTGACAAGTGGGAATTATTTATAGTCAAGGAGCAAGGTAGGGGTTATAGGATAGAAAGTTACTAACAGGAAACATCAGGGGTAAGCAAGATTTCTGGCTGAACAACTTAACAGAATTTCTGCTGAACACAGGCTGCAGTGATCAGTCATCACCTGGGAGATGGTAGAGGGTTAGGAACCTGATCAGATATCGAGGGTGAGCAGATATCAAGAGTCTTGGGGGTTCTTAGCAGGGATCACCCAAACTAGATTTACAAAGTACACACATGGGCCAAGGAGCGGGTTCAGAAGCCTGACTAAAAGTTTGGTCAAGCAAACAGGTTTGGAATGCATCCCTCAATAAAGTACCAGGGGCTCTGAAAGAGTATAATTAATAAACCCTCAGGCATAATCATAGATCCTGGTTATTTTACCTAAGCACAATTCTGCAATATTCCCCAGGGCCTACCCCTATCGTCATTCCCTAGAGCATAGATAGAATACAATGTGCCCAGCACTCAAACTGTAACTCTTTGGGAGGTGGCACTGGGTGCATGTTTTATATATAGTGAGAAGTTAATCAGGAAGCTCCCTACGCTACAGCACAGCAAAGGAAAGACTTGTAAAGAGCTGCCACTGTGTACAAAAAAAATTGTACAACACACTTACAAATAGACTGAGGTAAATTATTAAACAAAAATATATCATTCAAAAGATTTTTTTTTTCTTTTGGAGGTGGAGTCTCACTCTGTCTCCAGGCTGGAGTGCAGTAACGCAATCTCAGCTCACTGCAACCTCCGCCTCCCGGGTTCAAGCAATTCTCCTGCCTCAGCCTCCTGAGTAGCTGGGACTACAGGCGCACGCCGCCACACCCGACTAATTTTTTTTGTATTTTTAGTAGAGACGGGGTTTCACCGTGTTGCCCAGGCTGGTTTCAAACTCCTGAGCTCAGGAAATTCGCCTGCCTCAGCCTCCCAAAGTGCTAGGATTACAGGCGTGAGCCACTGTGCCTGGTCTCAAAAGGTTTTTTTAATTTTAGAAAACATAATCTTCAAAACAAAAGACATTCCCTGAAAGGATTTGGAGCTCTAGAATACAGGTGGATAGAAGAAATAAGTTCCAATTTTCAATAGCAGAGAAAGGTGGCTATAATTAACAACAATGTAGTGTATATTTCAAAATAGCTAGAAGAGAAGATTTGAAATGTTATCAACACATAAAAATGATAAATACCCAAGGTGATAGATGCCCTGAATACTCTGCATTCTATGCATGTAACAAAATATTACATGTAACCCATAAATGTGTGCAAATATTATGTATCTATGAAAAAATCAAAAAAGTAAATACCAAACCTAACTAAATAAAAAAAGAATATAATTATATTAAGTATTTTAAATTTTATTTGACAATTAAAGTATTGATTAAATTAGCATTTAAACATTCATGTGGATTTAATTAGGTAATAGGATAATTTAATAACTTAATCCGCTCAAGGTAAAAACATTATAGCAACAGAATGGCATGCATGGGGGGATTGTAGTCCATAGGAAATAAAACTACCTATAGAAAAAAAAAATTAGAAACATCAAAGAATGGAAAGTCAATTAACCGACTTAGAAGAATGGCTTGATGTAAACACTGCAAATGCAGATTGAAAGACAGCATTTAAAGGAATACTAAAGCTAAGTAATAAAACAGGAAGAATACACATTATCCAACATGGATATTTTTGGTAGCACTGAATAGAAAACTCCACAAACGTTACAGAAGAGACATATTAAAATATGACATAAGAAAGTTGCACAGGAAGGAAGAGAAGAGGAGGGAGACAGGAGGATAAGAAAAGTAGTAGGAGGATAAGAAGAAAGAGACAAAAATAAACTAGGCAGAACTATCTCAGCCTTTGTTCTAGGTACCTGAAATATGCTAACTCAGTATGGAACACATACTTTTATTATCCCCATGTTCAGATGCTAAAACTGAGGCAGAGAGGGGTAAGTAACTTACCCCAGGTCACAAAGCAAGTGGCAGAGCCAGAATTTAAACTTAGGTAGTCTAACTTTAGAGAGCAAAAGAACACAAATTCTAGGAAATTTGAAAACAGTGAATCATTAGTTTAATACTTGAGCCAAAAAAAAAGAAATTCAATTATCATTCTCATTTAAATTATAGTAGTGATAAAGATCCATTGTCTGGAGAAACTCCTTGGGTCCTTGGTCTTGGTTGAGAAAATTAGCAACATGGACATACATGGAGTGGTTTAAGGAACAGAAAGTTTATATTAAACTTTCAAGAAAGAAGAAAACAGCTCCCTTGTACAGAGGGAGGAGGGCTCTGAATGGAAAACCCCACATGTGGCAGAAAGCAATCGGTTCTATTGAGAGGCTGGAGGAGGCAGTGTCTGATTTGTTTGGGCCCAGGGGATTGGTTTGACCAGGTTTGTCATTCATGTAGCCTGCGGCGGGGCGGGGGGAGGGGGACTTGCCTTCCCACCCTAGCCTTTTAATATGCAAATGCTACCATGATGTCCTGCACACGTGGCAACAATGAACAAGTGGCGGGAACTGCCACACTGGGTGGACCTGGCTTCTAGCCACCGGTATTTGCATATCAATGCTTGCAGGTCAGGTTTTTCAGGCCACTTTCTGTTAGAAAAGAAATGTTTGTTGGGGGGAGCTGCTTTTTTATTAAAAGAAAAAGCCTTGCTGAGGACTCTTTTACCCTCTCTAGGTGACTAAAATAATTTCTTAGTAATTCCTGTAATATTTCCCCCACTCAGGAGATGTCACCCTAACTGCTGTTGGGGGTTTTGGACAGCGACTGTTTCTGGCCACTTCTGATGAAAAGGGGAAGTGGGGAACAGCAGCTAGGGTTCCTCCTGGGGTCAATCTAAGGGTCCTCAGAAGAATGGCATGTCGGTGAGTGGTTCTGTTTGTAGCACCATTTGGAGTTTGATTGCTTCTAGGTGAGAGGAAACAATTCTGGTTATAGTATTGAGTATAAAAGGTCCAAATATTAATATGAGACATATAAGCAAGAGGGGGCTTAATAAAGGAACTAACCAGTTTCATAAAGAAGACTGGAATTCATTAAAGAGGGATTGTAGCCACCTGGGGCTGAAGCCTGCATTTTCTCTTAGCCTGTCAATGACTTTGATATCATCTTTAAGTACCTGTAGGTTTTCCTCTACTTGACTATACGTGTTAATCCAGAAGGAATATGTTTCATTTAAAAGTGCACAGGTACCTCCTATTTCAGCCATAAGGACATCTAAGGCCCATCTATTTTGTGCTACTACTCAGGCTAAAGAGTCATAGATTGCTGTTGTGCCTCTATGGCCCCTACAGTTGCCTTCCATCTTCATTGTATTATAACAGGAATATTAAGTACCAATCTGTCAAGGAGAGGGATGCCAGCAAACCAGAATAGACCTCTGGCTATAGAATTTCCCATCCATGGTTTTTCCAAGCTGGGATTGTCACGTGCATGCCCTCCTCAGTCTCCCCTTTCAGTTAAATCTCCATATGAGGGCATAGAAATGATAGAGCTCTTTGTCCAGTGTATTTGAGATAGTACAGTTTCTAGAAAAGAGCCTAAGTTAGGAATGTCCTCAGATGATGCTGCCATCTTAGTACAGTTTAAAAATAATAAGTCAGGAACTACTGCTACTACAGTACAGGTTCCCTTCCAATGCCTTGGAAAGATTAAATGTAGCCAGGAGCCACAAAGAAAATATAACCCTGTTCCTTGAAAGGATGGTTCTAAGCTGTGGCTTGTGAGAGACACCAGCAGATTTTTCTCATATCTTAGAAGTCTCCCCTCTTTACATATAACAAGGGCATCCTTGGGATAAGGATAGTCATTTATGATAAGATTTGGAATTTGAAATGCCAAGTGAGAAGGGTCCACCTGAAAAATGGAGTTTTGAAAAATTAGGGACATAGTATTTCCTGGCCAGTATCTCAAATGATCCCTGTGGCAAGGGCTGCCGGTCCAGATGTCTCCAGTTTGCCCACAGATTTGTAGGCCACTACTATTAGCAAACATCATACAAGGGTCTAGAATTCCATGAGGGGGCATGTTTGGAAAGGCCTGTGTGTTATTCTTTCCATTATAGTCAAGGTGGTTACTTAGAGCATGCCATTCCCTTCGGGACTTCCAACCACAAGGAGAGGCTAGACTCCAAAAGCCCCCCACTCCCCCACTAAGGCTTCTGATCCTTTTAGATCACCCTTACGGCACTTTCCTCCCCACATCTTTGAACTATCAGCAATTACAAGTGTGATATTACAACATTTAAGATCTCCCAAGTATGGTCCTTCCTTGCTGCTTTTAAAGGAGAGGGAGGCGTTTGCTATTACCCAGTCAACTTTTCCCAGCCTGAAGGTGTGCAGCTTATCTGTGGGGAGAGCGTTCTTCCGAGTGTTTTCCTGAGAATAGTTACCCAGTTAAAATTGCTCCCATACCATGTCCCATTTACGCCTGATAAGTCTTTAAGGATTAAAGGTAAAACTAACAAAGGGAATCCTAAGAAGGTAAGTTCTGGGTCATTAAGAGGTTTCTTAGTGTTATTGAACTGAGCACACGGCTTAGGACAGATCCAATAATTAGTCTTGTCATAAAAACGGGCCATGGCTGATATTGTAGGAGCTAATGGATGTGATGTGTTAGTTACTAAGTTTGATAAAAAGTTCTAGCAGACTTAGTGATAGTAAAACATTCAGGTTTACTTCCTGTCAGTAACGGCTATTCCTGTTATGAGGATGGTAATTAGGTAAAATGCTACAGTAATTGAGATTCTCTGTCTGATATTTCACCCAGAGGGTGCTACAGTATATAGTCCTACTGCAAATAGTAGAGTGAGTATAACAGTTCCTGCAAGGGTGGCGTAGTAAGTAATTTCCATCTAAAATTGTTATTTGCCAAGATATACAATTTCTCTTTGGAGCTCTATGAAGTTATAATGTAACTCTATGGATAATTAAAAATTCCCTTGCAAATATGCATCAAAAAGAAGGTCTAATATTTGGTGACGAATCTCAAAAGGAGAGGTAGAAACAAAGTATTTGGTGAGGTAGGGGCGTGAGTAAGATAAGTAGTTCTCACTCAGTTACTTATCTTTTGGGATTTTCGGCTTAAGATCTCTTCTTTCTTCACATTGATATTCAGGACCTTCCTCTGGGCTGTCAGGGGTTGTTCCCTCAGCTTTCCAGGCTTCAATCTGAGTGTGATGTATCCAGGAGTCGATTCCTGTAGCTTTTATTGCCAAGGGAGTTGGGAGAAAGAACAGTGTAAGGCCCTTCCCAGCTTGGGCCTAGAGAAGGAGAGAAAGAGGAGAGAGCCTTTACCAGTACCAAATCTCCTGGGTTAAACAGAAGTGGTCCTCTTTTCTGGGATTGAGCTTTTGCTAATTGTGCTAATTCCTGTTGGAAGTGTGCCAGAGAGGTTACATGCTTAACTAACTCAGAGGTTTCCCGATCTAACGGAAAATCACTGGTGAGGAAAGGTCATCCATACAGCATCTCAAAAGGGCTAAGACCTAATTTAGAAGGGGTATTCTTATTCACAGCAAGGCCACGGGAAGAAGAGTGACCCAAGGAAGCTGAGTTTCTTGGGATAATTTTCTGAGGTGTCTCTTGATAATATCATTAGTTTTCTCCACCTTTCCTGAGGACTGGGGTCTCCAAGCACAATGGAGACGATATTCTATGCCTAGTGCTTTTGAGACCCCTTGTGTGACAGCTGCCTTAAATGAGGGCCATTGTCACTTTGAAAGGACTTAGGTAGACCAAAGCAGGGAGCTATTTCATTAACTAACACTTTTAATACCTCAGAGGCTTTTTCTGTGTGGCATGGAAATGCTTCTACCCAGCTAGTGAGGGTATCTACCCATACCAGGAGGTATTGAATGCCCTTCATCTTTGGCATGTGGGTGAAGTCTATCTGCCAGTCCTCCCCTGGATAACTTCCTATTCTTTGGGTTTGAGGAGGAAGGAGTTGCCTGTTCAGGGGAATATTTTTTTAAGACAGATTTTAGCATTAAAAACTTTCTTGACTGTTTTTAGTAAGTTCAATCCTGAAAACAATCTCTGATCACACTGATAAGTTTTATCCTTTCCCAGTTGAAAAGCTTGGTGAAGGATTTTAAGAACTTTCCATTGGCTGAGACTGGCAAGTGGAGTTTGCCATCCTCTGACTGTAGCCATCCTGTGGGCTGAAAAGTATAACCTCGACAAGTGGCCCATTCTGTTTCTGTAGGGGAGTACTTAGTTATTTTTTCGGAATCTTTTATGGAGCCTTCCCAGATTAGAGGGTTTTGAAGTGTGTTGATGTCTTGAGGCTTCCTTGCTGCTGACTTAGCGGCCTGATCATCTAGTCTATTTCCTTAGGCTACCTCATCTGTTCCCTTTTGATGTCCCCTGAAATGCATAACTTCTATTTCTCATGGAAGGAAAACTGAAGATAATAACCTGATAATTTCCTGGTGATATTTTACAGGAGATCCATTAGTGGTAAGAAAATGTCTTCCCTTCCAGATGACAGCATGAGCATGGAAAACCAGGAAAGCATACTTGGAGTCAGTGTAAATGTTAGCTACCTTTCCATTGTTTAATTTAAGTGTTATTGTCAGAGCTATTAGCTCAACTAATTGAGTGCTTGTGCTTGGAGGGAGAGATGTACTTTCAATGACGTCATTTAGAGAACTGCATATCCTGCCTTATGGATTCCTTGTTCTACAAAAGAGCTCTCATCTGTGAAGAGGGTCCAGTCTGGGTTCTCCAGGGGAGTTTCTCTGAGATCTTCCCTGGCTGCATAGGTCCGTATTATGACTTGTTCACAATCATATTCAGGTTCCCGAGTTTCCTTGCGGAGGAAAGTGTCTGGATGTAGGTAAGAACAAGTTTTTCATTTGATGTTGGAACCCTCTAACAGCAGGGCCTCCTAGTTGAACAGTCAGCTGTCTGTTAGCCAGAGGCTCCCTCTAGGGTACGGTAGTCCTGCCATGTTGTGTGGGGTGTAAACAGTTCAATCATTTCCCAGGGTTAATTTGGAGGCTTCTGGGACCATTGCCACTGAGGCAATGGCTCAGAGACATGCTGGCCATTGTTTAGCCACCAAATCAAGTTCCTTATTTAGGTAACCCACTGGTTGTTGAGCTGGTCCTTGGGTCTGTGTTAAAACTCCCAGGGCCATTCCCTTCCTTTGTGATACATACAGATTTAAGCCCTTCCCTACAGGAAGGTTGAGAGCTGATGCCTTAAGCAAGGCTTGCTTTAGCTGGTCAAAGGCCTTTTGAGCTTCAGGTTCCAAGGTTAAAAGATGAGTTTTAGTTCCCTTAGTTACTTTTATGAGATTATATAATAAATGGGTTATTTCACCATACCCAGGTATCCATAGTCTGCAAAATCCTGTAATGCCCAAAAATCCTCTTAGTTGCTTGAGGGTTTTGGAGAGGAGGAAGGAGGAAATAGGCTTAATCCTTTCTTCCCCTAATGTTCCAATCCCCTCAGACAGCACTAAACCTAGGTGCTTCGCTGAGGCTTGACAAAGCTGGGCCCTGGGTTTTGAAACCTTATATCCTCTATTACTAAGAAGTTAAGGAGAGCTTCAGTGCCTTCCTGAGAAGCTTCCTCAGTTGGGGCACAGAGCAGAGTAACAACAACATCCTGCAAGACCCTAACTTGAGGATGCGAAAACTCAGAGAGGTCTTTTGACAGTGCCTGTTCAAACACATTCCTGAGGAAGCACTGTCCATGTTAATTGGGCAGTTTGGCCAGAGGGATCTTCGAAGGCAAAGAGGTATTGAGAGTCAGAATGTAACCGTATGCAGAAAAAGGCATCCTTTAAATCTAGAACTGTAAACCATTTAGTTCCCTCAGATATGTGAATTAACGGGGTATAGGGATTAAATACCACTGGGTGGATTGGAACTACAGCTTCTTTAATGAGGCGGAACTAGTCCTGAACTAGTCTCCATTCCCCATTGGCTTTCTGCACTCCTAATATTGGGGTGTTTCAGGGGCTACTATAGGGTTTGAGGAGGCCCTGCATCTTTAGGTTATTAATAATAACTTCTAACCCTTTCCTAGCCTCTGGCCTTAGGGGATACTGCCTCTGATTAGGAAAAGAAGTAGGATTCTTAAGATGGATCTGGACTGGTCTAGCAGTTATAGCTTGACCTATTCTTCCTTGAGTTGCCCACATTTCTGGATTAATATTAGCTTCCATCAGGAGGGGACAAAGAGTTTGTCCTGGGGCTATAAGGATGCTTGCCCCTGTGTGAACAAGAATATCTCTACCCAATAAAAGAGTGAGACTTTCAGGCATGATTAAAAAGCCATTTGTAAATAATAGGCCCCCATCTTCAGCTAACAGATTGAGAAAAATATCAGGTTAGAGTTTTTCCTGAGACACCCCTCACAGTCTTGCTATGGGAAGAGGGGAGGCCTGGATTACAGAGAAGAGAGAGGCTGATTCCAGTATCCCTAAGGGATCTACCTTCCTTCCTTCAATTTCCAGAATCAGCCAGGGCTCCTGTGTGGTAATGGCAGTCTGAGCCCCAGCTGAAGCTGGGGGATTGAGCCCCGGGACCCATCAGTCCTGCTGGACCATCTGCAAGACAGGTCCTGAACCCAGTGAGCTCTGTTTCCAGGGGCAGTTTGATCTCCAGTGGTCTCTGCCATGGGCTGGACAGGGTTGAGGTGGCTTGTTCTTTCTGCCTGGGCATTCCTTCTTAAAATGCCCTGACTTTCCACATTAATAACAGCTGGTAGATGCACCTTGGAGATCCTGGACTTTGCAAGCTTGCAAGGCTGCTAATAGAGGCTCTGTCCTTCTCTTGTGTTTCCTCTCCTTTTCTTGGGCCTCCTCCTGATCCCTATTGTAAAAGGCTGAAGTGGCTATTCTCAGGAGGTTCTTTAGGGTGCTATCTGGTCCTATAGCTTACTTCTGCAGTTTCCTTCTAATGTTGGAAGCTGCCTGTGTAATAAACTTCTCCTTCAGGATGAGCTGTCCCTTGACTGAATCAGAGGATAAAGAGGCATGTCTTATTAGTGCCTCTCTCCACCTTTCCATAAAGGCTGTGGGTTTCTCATCTGGTTTTTGGTCTATCATGGACAGTTTAGAGTAATTAAGAGGTTTAGCCCTGGTTTATCGTAGGCCCTCTAATATGCACATTTAAAAGTGCTTTCTTTTCCATTTATCTGCTGAGTTATTGAGGTTCCAATCAGGGTTGTCTACTTGAACTGCTTCTCTTCCTAGTGGGAATGGAGTTTCCATTACTTCTTCACCTTCCCTATCTCCTTTTTTTCTCTTTGGTCTGCCATAGGAGATGTTGTTCATCTTCATATTTTTCTGCTGCCTGCAGAACTGCTTGCTTTTCAGCTTCAGTGAGGCCTGACTTAGGAGCAACATAACATCCCTCCATGTGAGGTCAAACACCTGAGTTAAATTTTGGAAAATTTCTATATATTTATTGGGGTCATCAGAAAATCTGCTTAAGTCTCCCTTTAATTGCTTAAGGTCCTGTAATGAGAAGGGAACGTGAACCCTCATGGCACGATTTTCATCAGGCACTTCCTGCAGAGATAAGAATGAAGTGGGGAAAGTGGGTAATACTGGAGATGGTGGACCTGGAGGACCTGATGGTATGATTGGAGGGGCTTCTGGATGAGGGGAACTGAGTTGAGACATTCAATAGCTGTCTCAGATTGCTCCTCTGGAATCTGCTTTAGCTCTGGGGGACTATTCCTTGTGGGCTTGCCTGTCATGCTGCTAAAAGAACTGGGTCAATTGTACAAAGCTTGTAAAGGTCTGGGTCGTCTCGCAGGGCAAAGAAAGCCTGTACATTGGGTATCTCAGACCATTTGTCCTTCCATCTGCAGAAAATATCTAATTGTTGGACAGTATTAAAATGAAGGCTCCCCCCAGCAGGCCAGGTTTGTCTGTCTTAAAGATGGTAAGAAGGCCATGCCCTTATGCCATAGAATATGAGGTGCTCTTTCTACAAAGTCTCAGGGTTGAAGCAGTCCCAGTGCTTTAGAATATACTCCAGGGGAGTACATGCTGAACATGATCTGTTACCCATCTAGAAAGAGAAGTGAGAAAAAGGTGTCTCTTTTGTCTCCTTCCTCTCTCTGTATAACCCAGAGTGGAGAAGAAGACAGTGGGAGCGTCCCCCCAACTGTTTTCCTTCCTTGGTTCCTGGGTCCCAGCACCCTGTTAAATGTGCTGCCCATGGTTGTATGTGTGACCCTCCAAGCCATGGCACCAAAGAAACCAAGCAACTGGGGCTAGTCATGCTCATTCAAGTAGCTCTAGTCCTCTGCCTGTGATTTCCCTTTGACTTCCTAGACTTGTGTGACCTGTGTGCCTCCCTTAAAAAAAATTGACCTTGGGAAAGATTATATAAAAGGCAAGTGTCCTTTAATGGAGGGAATGTGCTAGATTGCCTGCTACTATGGCCCGTGTTAAAGCCTTAACCCTTAGAAAAATGGTTCTGGTTAACTTTCAGACTTAAAATCCCCTTACTAATTAAGGACTGTCTTATTGGAGACAGAATAGTTTCCTTAAAGGGATGTGGGGGCCTAATCGTGACTTTCCTGTTGATGGGACAGGATCAGGACTCAAATTTGGCTGCAGAGGACAATTTACTCCTAATTGTTGAAGGCAGAATTTTCCTGTTCACAGAAGCAGCATAAAGCCTGGTTTCCAGTAGGAAGGGGCAAAAAGGAAAAATTAGGAAGCTGCGGTGGACTGTAGCGGACAAGCAATGCGTCTTATGAAGAGGGTGTCTATTTCCACTAGGTGGCGCTGTTGGCTTAGGAATACTATGTGCCACCAGCAGCATAGTAGGGACTCATCTCACAACCGGGGTTTCAGAGACCTCTGTTCCTAGAAGATTGCAACAGCATTTTCCTGAGCTATAGCCCCGGTTATTACAGCATTTCCTGATCTTGCCTAACAGGATTACTTCCCTAGGCTGTAAAAATTCCCACACATTCGACACACAAAGAGAATAAGAGGCATAGCGACCGTGGATAGAAACAGAAAAAAAGTTTTGCGACAGGATAACTGGGGATCTTTTACCAACACCTGGGCAGGCTGCTGGAGGCTGAGTCCGGTCCAGAAGCTTTTGAATAACACTAGGAAATGCCCTGGCCAGAAATTCTCAGTTGCTTCAGAACTTTTCCCCGCCTTATGCAATGGCTAATTTTCCCCATGAACAGAAAAGCTGGTTTGAAGCACGGCCAACATTCCCAATGACCCAGGGTATTGGAGGGAGGGGGGTCTTCATGTTCTCCCCAGCAAGGCTGACATGCGAGTCTTTAAGAATGGCAGCCACACTAAGCATATCTAGATGGTTGACAGATGCTGTTATTGATTTGATTTGATTTTAAAATGGAAGCCAAGAGCCTCGGAATGAAAGGACAGGTTTTGAGTTTGCTCTTCTGCTCACCAACCCCAATGGATATTGTACCTTGGTTTCCCAGCCAACGCACCAAAAATGATATGGGTCTGTTGTCTGGAGAAACACCCAAGGTCCTTGTTCTCGCACGGAGAAAATTAGCGACACGGATACACGTGGAGTGGTTTAAGGAGTGGAATGTTTAATAGGCAAGAAAGAAGAAAACAGCTCCCTCATACAGAGGGAGGAGGGCTCCAAATGGAAAACCCCACATGTAGCAGAAAGCAGTCGGTTATATTGGGAGGCTGGACGACGTGGTGTTTGGTTTGCATAGGAGCCAGGGGATTGGTTTGACCAGGTGTGTCATTCACATAGCCTGCAAAAAAGCCAGCTCTCCCACCCTAGCCTTTAAATATGCACATATGGCTACCTGGCTGGTCACCATGATGTTCTGCATACGTGGCAACAAAGAAAAAGTCACGGGAACCACCATATTGGTTGGACCTGGCTTCTAGCCACCAGCATTTGCATATCAATGCTTGCAGGTCTGGTTTTTCAGGCCACTTTCTGTTAGAAAAGAAATGTTTTGGGGCTTGCTTTTTTATTAAAAGAAAAAGCCTTACCAAGGACTCTTTTCCCCTCTCTTGCTGCCTAAAATAATTTCTTAATAACTCCTGTAATACTAGTGATTCTTCGATCAGGAATACAACTTTTCTATAATTTGTGATTTCAAACGTGTCAAGATGGCAGTGACATCATTTTTTCCCATGTGCTTTCTGCTTCTTCGCTTAGAAAATCAGTGGCAGATTTCTCCCAGTAAAGAAGACATATTATTTTAATGTTGCCAAATATTTTATAAATTATTCCCTGACTTATGCTCAAACAGTGACTATAGTTGAAACATCATCCTGCAATGAAGCTCAAAGTATACCAGTCTTACCTATGCGTTCAGAGCTTCAAACAGTTTTTAAAATCTCCGTCTTTAAACGTGAGAAGATAAGCAAGAATTAACAGTTGAAGAAGGCTTCTTTTGTGAAAGAAAAGTACTGGGAAAACAAAACAAAACAAAACAAAAACTGGAGGAGAGAGATAATATAAAAAAGAAAATGTTTAAAGCTTATCGTTGTCTTAAAAGAAGTTTCGTTAATTAAACAAAAAGAGCTTTCTGATTTTAAAATTACTGTAGGCCAGGCATAGCAGTTCGCACCTGTAATCCCAGCAATTTGGGAGGCCTAGGCAGGTGAATTACTTAAGCTCAGGAGTTCAAGACCAACCTGGGCAATATGGCAAAACCCCATCTCTACAAAAAATACAAAAATTAGCCAAGTATGGTGGCACATGTCTGTGGTCTCAGCCACTCAGGAGGCTGAGGTGGGAGGATGGCTTGAGCCTGGCAGACAGAGGTTGCAGTGAGCCTAGATCACATCACTGCACTCCAGCCCAGGGACAGAGCGAAACCCTGTCTCAATAAATAAATAAACAAACAAACAAATAAAATTACTATGGAGCTATAGAAATCAAAATAGTGTGGTACTGACATAAAGATAGGCCTATAAATAAGGTAATGGAACTGAGAGTCCAGAAGTAAAGCCTTCTAATTGTGTCAACTTTTTCTTCAAAAAATTTGCCAGGCCAATTCAATGAGAAAGGACAGTCTTTTCCACAACTAATTTTAGGACTATTGAATATCCAACATGCAGAAAGGATAAATTTAGGCCTTTATCTCAAACTATGCACACAAATTGACTCAATATGGATCAAAGATCTAAATGTAAGAGCTAAAACTGTAAAACTTTTAGAAGAAAATGCAGGAGAAAATCTTTTTGACCTTGGCTAGTCAATAATTTCTTAAATATAACATTGAGACCACAATCCATTAAAATAAATAAACTATAGTCAAATTGGTCATCAAAATTAGAATCTTGGGTACTTCTAAAGAAATAGCTGACAGAATGAAAAGATAATCCACAGACTGGAAGAAAATATTTGCAATATGTTTCTGATAAGGCATTTACATCCAGAATATGTAAAGAACCAAATAGATGACAACAAGCTCAATAAAAACTTAAACAAAAAAATTAAATAGACAATTTACAAAAAAGAATAAAAAGACTCATCAGCACATGTAAAGACATTCAACATCATTAATTATTAGGTAAGTACCCTTTAAAACTATAGTAAGATACCAGTTCATTCGCATTTGAATAACTATAAACATAAAAGACAGACAAAAATAACAAAAGTTGGTAGGGAAATGGAGAAACTTCATATATTGCTGATGGAAATGTAAAATGATACAGGCAGTCAGAAAATAGTTTGGCAGCTTCTTAAAAACTTAAACATGAACTTACTATGTGACCTAATAGTTTCTCTCCTAAATACCTACCCAAGAGAAGTGAAAGTTATTTCCACAGAAAGACTTACATCTCAAAGTTCATAGAAGCATTCACAGGAGCCTAAATATAGAAACCATTCAAATGTTCATTAACTTATAAATGAATAAACAAAAATTGGTATATCCATTGAGTGAAATATTAGTCAACAATAAAAAAATGAACATATGTCATAATATGGATAAAATTATAAAAGCATTATACTGAGCAAAAGAAGCCAGATCAAATGATCACATATTATTAGATCCCACTTATATGAAATTTTCAGAAAAGAAAAATCTGTAGAGACAGAAAATAGGTTTGTGATTAACTAGCTCTTGGGGTGGGAATGGAGAATCATCAAAAGTAGTTGCTTCTGTGATGAGAATGATAGAGCTTAACCACTGAATGTTTTCTAAAGCTTTGAAATTCTATTTCTTTCAAATTGATATGCATGTATTATTTTGACAAAAAGTATGTAAACATAGATATCCGTTTTAAAAAGTAGAGTATGGAAATTGAAGGAATAACTTCACAGTGGAGAATTGTGGCAAACACAAACTTGGTTTGATGGTGAAGGTTAACATCATCAATGGTCAGTCATGTTGATAGCTTGCACCTGGATCTACTGTGTTGACAACACTTTGCTCATGTATTCTTCCTCTGCAAAACCCATTACCCTAGTCTACCCTTGAGGAAAAGATCAGCCAATCCCAATTGAAGAACAGTCTACAAAATACTTGATCAGTAATCCTCAAAATGGTTAAATTAAAAAAAAAAATCAGGAAAGTCTGAGAAATTGTCACAGACCAGAGTAGGCTAAGGATACGTGATGACTAAATGCAATATGGTATCCAGCATGGGATTCTGGAATCTTAGAGGAAAATAGTGATAAGTTGAATAAGTTGTTCAGTGTCATTACTAGTAATGTGTCAATATTGGTTTCTTTGTTTTGATAAACGTACCATGATAATCTAAGATATTAACATAGAGGAGACAGGATGAGGGGTATAAAGGAATTCTCAGTATTATTTTTGTAATTTTTCTGTATATTTAATACTATTATAAAATTAAAAAGCTTATAGAAAAGAAAATGTATGTCTACAATGATGCTCACCTAATGTTGAAGATAGTTGTTTCTTGTGCAGTAGGAAATTGGCATCTTATGCTTGTTTTTCTTTTTAAAATTCTCTTTATTACATACATTCTTTATAATAATAATGTATTTTTTAAAATCATAGCATGATTTTTCTTATAAACAAAACTCAACAGCTATGATGCCCGGGTTTCTGGCTTGGAATACTAAATGGATGGTGATTATATTAGCTAGCTATTACTGCCCTGGCACTACATAACAAACCACTCAAAACTCAATGGCTTACATTGGGTATTGGTTTTCTGTAGTTTAATGAGTTGGCTCTGAATGGGTAGGCTGAGCACCAGGCAGTGGGTTAGGTTCAAGTAAATACACATTCACCTTAGACCAGTATCTACCTACTACTTTTTCTCATAGCAATTGGTAAGACCACAGACGATGAGAAGAAACACATGATACCACTCAATCTGGCCCCTAACAGGCCACTTTTCACTTTACCAACATTCCAGTGGCTGCAGTAAATCACATGGTCAAGCTCAACATTTAGCAGGTGGGAAAATATACCTTCTTCAGTGGGTAGCACTGCAAAGTTGCATATCAAAAGACATGGATGCATAATTATAATACAAAAAGTCCATTGATGATTAAATGCAATGATTTAATCTACCTTAGCAGTATAATCAACTAAGAGGAGAGCAACATTTCCTATCTACATTTTCATACAAAATAGGGAAAGCAATCAGTTCTGCTCCTCATGGGATGAAGGGTAGGAACCTGAGTTTTCAGCACTCCCGAAAGCATTAGCCCACTTCCAGAGCAGCTTCACCCCATCCTTTCCTTTGGGCGTGATGATGAGCATTCAGAATCTCCCACCCCTCCCCTTATAACAGAGCCTAATGAACAACAGACACAATACTGACACTGCTCCAGCATGGATCTTCCCATTAAAAAGTATCTTTGATTTTCAAATAACTGCAGCTCTCTCTCCAAAGTCCCTTATAATTTTTTTCCCTTCTTTTTCCAAACATAACTTTCTTTTTTCACTTTTCCAAAAGTGTTTGACTAGGATTTTCATCTCATGATAATAATTAAAATCTCTAAGTGATTATAGACTAATAAAAATCCATCTCACTTACTTCTGAACCATTCCACTGTAAGAAAACTACTATTGAACATCTCTAAGTCTTTATTTCCTGTTCCATAAAATGGAACAATTAACACATGTCTTCCTTCCGCAAATGATTATTTTGAGAATGGATCAGTTAATTCACCTGTAAACACTTTAAAATCTCTAAATTGTTCTATAGTAGAACATGTTAATATTTAATTAAAAATTATGCCAGTCTGTATATTCTGAGACTATTTACAAAAATTTGATGACCTGACCCCAATATTAAAGGGAGGTAGTTTTCTTTTTTTTCTCTTGTCAAACGTATTGAACTCCAGAATTCTGTCTCATCAATCTTGCCTATTTCTGACAGCTAGTGCCATTGGAAGACATCCTATAAGAACAAATTTTTAGGTTTTGCCCAAAGAAAGTAGGTGATATCATTCCTAAGCTAAATTATTCAGCTTCTGGTTAGTTGCTGTAGAAATTAATGTATAACAGTATATTGCTAATTATTGAATGTGTTATTGCTTCACACCTAATTTTATGTTTTTATTTATTAATAGGCTTTTCTCATTTTAAGTAAAGGAATGTCTTTCACATCCATTATTCATTATTCATTAACTGCTAGTTAAAACAAAGGTAAGATGTGATAGGAATGAAATTTTCTAAATAATAATAGTGTCGGGGAAACATTCCATTAATACCAGTGCATTAAACCTTCTCGAAACTCCACAATTTGGATATTTGTTACAATCTAGATATGTGGCTATACTATGGATTTTTTTTACATACAAAATTATGGCTTTAATTAAATGAAAGAAGTTGCTACTCATGCTGTGTTTATGGATTTTTCAGATCAGAATGAAACAAAAATAAGTTTTAGTGCTAATAAAATGTATTTTTAAAATACATTTATTTCATCCATGAGGGTGAAGGCCCTTGGACCTGTAAAGGCTGACTGAAAAATCACTGACACAAAGCAGATTGATTAATAGGAGAAAAGACTACAAATTTATTTAACCTGTATGCACAGCAGCCTTCAGAATGAAGACTCAACTTCCCAATGAGATGCGGAAGCTTAGATACCACGTTGAGGTTACGGAAAGAATAGGGGCTCAGATCCTGGCAAACAGGTTAGAGGAATGGGAGAAGATGAATTATATTGAGGGGCAGTAAATGATTACCAGGGAGAAAAATTGCATCAGGGAACAGAAACTAACTTGTAAATAGTTACTTATAGTATTTAAATGATCCTTGGAAACAGTCATTTTCTTGAAAAAGAGTCTGTACAGGTGTGGTTATACCCTGGGTCCTCTTTTCTGCAACAGATAATGAGATAACAGGGTGGGGAACAGGACCAGTTGTTCTTGGTGAGTCAGTCCTATCTTTATGTAGATAGGGGAAAAGTCTCTTAAAACACTTGTTGATCTCTAATAATTTTTAATTTAAAACTTTCATTGTACCAGGGAGCCATAATTTGGTGTGAAATATTTTTATTTCCTTCACATAATTTACATATTGGTAACCGTAATAAGAAGGTGTTAGTATTTTTCAAGGCCCAGATTATGATGAATGCTTCTTGAGTTTTTTAAAAAAACACTCCAAAACAGTGAAAAAAATATTAATGGCAAATAGAACATCAAACAATGTACATCGTACTAAATAGAACATGTGCCATTTACAAGAACAGTGCAGATGAAGGGTAAGAATATTTGATACTTTCACACAAAATAAAAAAGACAAAAAAGATTTTCTTAAAGAGTATTAATTTTCAGTTGTTGAAATCTTAAAAATAACAACCTCCATTAACCAAAGCACAGCAATTGAAGACATTATCAGAGATATAAGCCAAGGCAGAACAAAAGGCCTGAAAGGAGGAGGCAAAGCCCAGTGAGACCATGGAGACCTCAGATGAAGACAGGCTTTTCACAACTCTTGCCTGTGTTACAATAGGCTGCTGACATTACCCCTCAAAATATTACCACTAAGCTATTACTGGAATCTATCTACATATTTCCATTTCCCTTCCAGTTGCTCACTTCACAAAAATGTGTCTAAGAGGAGATTTAACTGCAATACGGCTAGAGAGGTTGAGGACTAAGTCTTCCTGCATAAATTCTATTAAACGGCTGCCAGGTTTGTATGTCTGCTGCATAGCAGCAGGCCAATTCACTGACAGTGGGGATGCAGCAGAGAAAGAGTTTAATAACTGCAAGGTGCCAAACAAGGAAATGGGAAGAATTCTCTCAAGTGCTCAAATCCGTTTCATTGAGGGGTCCTGAGCAAAGGCTTTTAAGGGGATTTGTGGAGGGTGAGAGGCTGGAAAATTTGGGGTCATCAATTCGTCAGGGTTAAGGGGGATGAAACTATCAGGATATGGTAACTGCATTCCTCCATGAGTCAGCTTCTTACTAGGCCTTCCAAACCAGCTGGCATCCATTAATATGCAGAACCTAAAGAAGAAGCTCAAACAGAATGCCTGTCATTTCACTATGTCTTTGATTTTATGTCTAGAACTGAAAAAGAACAAAGAGTCTTGTGACAAGGGATACGTTTTCCTGGGCTAGCTAGTAAGTGGCAACCAGCTACAAGGAAGTGAGCTAAAGGGCAAGCTGGCTTAGCGATTGCTGCTGGAAGCCTAATAGGATGTTATTTTATATTTTTTCTTAATTGATTTTATAAAATTTTGTTGGGGATGATTTCAATGCTAGCTCTTCCAACCAAGTTCTGTGACCTTATACCAGTTATGGGACACCTCTGTGCTTCACTCTCTACAAGTAAATGGCAGTACTCAGTGGGTGATTGCAAGGATTAAAAGATAGAATATATTACAGCAATTAGTAAAGGGCCAATATATGACACTAAATATTTTAGTTTGAATATTTGACTTCTTTGAGCATCATTATCTTCAAATAATTCAAATTCTAGTGTCTTATGGGCACACTGGTTATATGTATGTTTCAACACTGTCTGCATGTTTTGGATTAACATAGACAGGATTTTATAAGTACAGATTTTCACTTTTAGATATGAGTGACTTGGTTTCTAAATTACTTGCATTCAATGAGTAATTGCCACATCTTTTATTTTTGGTTTAGTCAGCACAGTCTCTTTAACATAACAATTTATTCTCCACTTTGGCTTTTAACAACATGGTAGAACAGTCTGTTCTCCATGGGAGCTGTAAATAATAACACTAAAACACAAAATCTTGCATGCTATGATAAAACCGCTGTTTTGGCCAAAATTATTAACATTCTGTAACCCATCTATGAAGGCATTTAATTGAAAGGCATATTTGAAATGTGGGAATTAATATTGTCTAACAAGAACAGATAGTGCTGGTGATTCTGTTCTTTTGGGTTTAGATGAGTCAAAAGATCTCAGTCAATTCCTAGTTTGGCAGGTAGAGCTGGGACCATTAAATACTGAAGTATCTTTGAGTATTCATATGTTATATATTGATCTAGCTCTATGGGCTATCCCTCAGAAGTAATTGGGATTACTGTCTAGATTTCAAAATTGCAACCTGATTTGATTTATGCTATACAATCCATTTAATCCCCACTTGTATGTGTGCACTGTAATTTCCACCTGGGTATACTCAATCTGCCAACCTGGAGTTTGTAGCAGACAAATAATTCATTTAACAGCTGTTAAATAGAGGAATCCACAGGTAGCTCTTATTCAAATGTTAATTACTCTCAGTGCCTTGCTCATAAACCCATACCAAGTCAGGTAATTTAAGTTCCATTGCAGAGAGATGCAAAGTAAGATAGGTTACAGGCATCCTAGTGAAAAGGAGGATGGACTTAGTCCTAGAACTGAATGTGCCTAGGACCAAAAACCAATACCAGCATGGATATGAAATAGTGATGGATATTTGTAGGACAGTTGTTGTTTCCCACATGGTAAGAGTTTGCAAAAGGCCTAATGGTGAGAAAGTCATTGCAAATTCAGACTGTGAAAAGAGGCTGGAAGGAGTCAACTGTAAAATTTCCAAACTATGAGACAGTGCTGAGCCAGGACAGAGGTAGTCTGTTGTCAGTTGTTTGAAATACACTAAGTAAAGGAAGAGTGCATTTGGAACCAAGCAGATGATTTTACTGAAGCCAGACAATTTGAATGTTGTGTAGATGATCATTTTGTGCATGGTGATTCAGCAATGTGTTTGGGAGGTGTCAAAAGATAAAATCACAGCAAATTTAGCATAAAGATCTTCTTACTTGGCTTTTATTCACAATTCTAGAATCAGGCAACATCTCATTCTATAAAGTAGAATGAGTGTTCCAATAAGCCCAGCAGAGGAGGTTGGCTTTGTAGACAGAAAAAGGCTGAGGAAGGCAGAAACAGAACAAAAAGCAGATTGGTAATTTCAAAGTTACTTTCCTTGCAAAGGTTTCAGCAGAGGGGACTTCTTTATCACGTCAGCTAAAACGTGTCTGTGGGGATGTGGCTATTCTCTCTCCTGACTTCTTGGGAAGTCTGATAACAACTTAGTTTTGGCATGTTGGTGTGGAACTTCAGCATGAGTGACTCCATTTTGGTTTGATTTGTTGGACATAGTGCAGGAGCTCCGTCCAGACCAAGGGCTTCCTGTAAGTTTTATTTGACAAGGGGTTACTGGATTATCTTTTACCAGCAACTGTTCAGAAAAGACAAGTAACCTAAGGGAGAAAAAATCGATAGTATGATTTAGGATGAGTCAGTCTGCTACTCTGGACCTTAGTTTCTTTCTCTGTAAAATGAGGTGATTAAACTAAATAGGTCTTTGAGGTCCCATCACGCTGTCTGGTATTTGACTATCTCTGGGATTGCTAAAAAGGCAGGAACAGTGTGCTCTTATTTAGATACACCAAAAATGTCAAGTTCTAACTAAATGCTCATCTGCAAGGATGCCAAATCTTAGCAAACAAACATAAAATTAGGGTCAAACCAGGTGATCCAGGAGTAGGAAATGAGGGCTTTCTGAGGCTGACCTGCTTAGCCTCAGAACTCTTAATCCCTCTGCCCAATCAGCTCAACTATTCAAATTTATGTTTTTTTCATTTAATTACGTTGAGTATTGTTGAATATTTACTATGTACCAAATACCCCATAGATGCAAAGGTCTACACAGACTAATGATTGGTAATTACAGATTTAATTCCATTTTTTCCATGTAAATATGTAAGATTTCACTTACATTTTTACCTTCGTGTTAGGTTGTAGGTACTTATAGAAGACAGACAGTGCATATAAACGATTATTTTTATTGTCACTTGACGAATACCCTTTGTTATTGGTGGAGGTGATAAAGAAGAATTTAATTCGAAGAAATTTTTTGTCTTGTAGGCACTGGAATATGCATTCTGTTTGGTGACAACTAAAGATTTGTCTTTAGAGTAAAATTCAGTTAATCTTTTGGTAGCTATCTTGAACCTAGAGACAGAAAATATGTTTGCCAATTTCAAATGATAATTTTCCAGTAATGAATTGATTTTGATGTATTATGTGGGTTTATAAAAATCTTACCATTCATCAACTATTGATTATCAAGAAACCTTCAGGCTCTGTTATTTTTTAATGATTACATGCATATGAAAATAGCAAACATATATACATACAGAAAATGTGGGCTTGCCTCCTTCAAAAAATACATAGATTTTACAAGATCTGTATATACGATATCCATCTCCTTGTTTTCTAAATCTTTTAATATTTTTCTTAACTTGATTCCCCTCTATTCGTTTGATCTATTATCTACTTTTACTGCATCTCTTTTCATCCAGAGTTGCCATCCTCACCCTTTTATAAGGAATACCCTCCATTTTTGCAACTACATCCCCTGGGTATCTTTGTGCTATAAGGCCATAATAAGATGAGATGCCCAAATTTGGAGAAGATGTCAGTCTTAGAAGCTCTGTCATCTATTTTCAAGAAGCTACAATACTGACACACAGACTACTGATTCTTGCTTGTATCGCCTCAGATGTAACTTTATATCACTAAAATTGTTCCTTAAATACATTAGAATGTCCCCAGGAGATATTTCATGATCACAAACCAGTCCAAACTCATTTGACATCTCTGATCTTGTAATGGATACCACAGTTCTCACTAAAAATTGCCATGCTCCTTCCACTAATGTAAATGCCCTGAGTAGTACTACTACTAGTACTATTATCTCCTGCTACCATAAGGAATGCTCTGGAACCCAGGAGATGTCAAAGCAACATGGTTCTCTATTACAGTGTTTCTCAAAATAACCAGTGCACCAACTCTCAGTTAAGAAGAGTAAAGAGATTCTGCCAGAATGTAAATGAACACTCTTCCTCCTTCGTCAAGCCTATCTTGTTAGTATTAAAAGAAAAATATTAGCTGAACTAAACAATGTCCTCATTGACATGGCCAAGTTATGTTCTGATTCAAATTCCTTATCTCATCATGGACCAACTCATATAGACTGACACTGATCCGTGGACCACATTGTGTAGTTCTGCTCTATTGTGTGGTAGGGAAGAAAAATGGCTCTCCCTCTTCTGATATTCAACACTTTAAAAAGCATCTGAGCAGTAACACTGATGCCTCAGTGCTTGAAGAGTTTTCAGGGAAAGAGCCCATTTATGTTTATTCAAGGGAGAAGACTCACACTTGAGTCCATTGAGAAGTGGGGCTTGGACAATGTCTAATCCCATGCTTTCTTCACAATTAGCCCACTCCACCAACCACTAAGGCCTCTTTCTTGGATCAAGTTCATGATGCCAGATACTTTTCTCTTTTGTGATAAGGTCTCTTTTCCTCATTCCTCATGTAAATGGGCCTTTGGCAAGTCTGTCCCTCCGGATCACCAGATATGTCTTAATCCTGCTTAGACTCAAATTCATATTTAAACTGGGACTCAAGCCAGATGCATTTTTCAATGTCCTTATTCATTAGTTCACCATTTATTGAGCAGTATGTGCCAGGAAGAACATGAAGTACAGAGGTGGATAGGGCATAGCATTTACCATAAAGAACCTGGAGAATAGTTGGGGATAAGAATGTATAAAAATGCATATAATATTACATTAACTCTAACTGTAATAAGACAAGTATAAAAAGATGGTAGCAGGCAGATGTGATATATGATTAAAAGAATAGAAAAATATTTTATTAAGCTACAGTTGAACAAGCTTTGCAGAATGTTTATGATTTATAATAAGGCAGAAGAGTTAATGCAAAAACAGCATTAAGAGGACTGATAAACTATTGGATGTTTTCATTTGTGTTATCATTTTATTTGTACCCACTCTGTGCCATGTGGAACTTGACCTCATTGTTGATAATTTCTCATGCTCTGGTCTTTACTGACTACATAAAATAAAAACAACCAGTGGATCCAGGACAATGCTGTATCCACTACTTTTTTCCAGTCATAATCTTAGCTTACGCCATATAAACATCAAAAAAAAAAAAAAACCCATGATTTATTTCTGGTGTTTTATCAGACTAGTGCTTTGAAGATGTGAATAAAAGGACAATGATAGATCTAAATGGTTTGAAAGTTAATTTTATAGCAGCTATATTTGTGCAAGATGGTGATTATTATCTTGAAAGGCCTTACTATTATTTAAAAGCATTTCTCTTTAAGTCAGAGAAAACTTTTATACTATCAGTAATTTTCCTGCAGTCTCTCCATACTAAACTTAATTGCTTCCTGTGCTCCCTGTTAGATTGATTTGGATCTCATTAATGCACTGTCTAAAAGCTTTAGTTTATAAAAATGAATAATTTGATGAAGAATTACAATTAAGACTTGTTTCTTTAATAGCAATGTTAGTCAATTTAATGCAAATCAGTATGGTATATTTGGTTCCATTTTGAGACTACTGCTTCCTATTATATTCCATTTCAGCTAAATTTCTTGTTGATCCTTAAGAAATAAACATGAGTAATAGCTCACAAAGAAACTACCTCCCATTTCTTGTAGTATTGTAACATCTCAAAATGTTTACATGAATAGACAGAGGAAAAGCAACTCTTCTCACTTTACATAATAAAAAGATAACGGCTTCCTAGTGGGTGGCTGAGAGATTTCATGTCTTGAATACCAGGGAATATTTTGGGGAATATTTTGTTCTAGGCTTGTCTCTTAAAATAATTCTATTCTCCTTAATGAAAGTAAACAAATAAATATCCTTCATGGTCGGCACAAGGAAGGAAAATTAGTGTAGGAAGCACCTGGACTGCATGACTTTGCTCTGTCCCCAAGGTTCCCTTTTCCCTTGGGGTCTCATTAATTGCCACTACAGTCATCCTCAGGGAGGAGGATACTTCCCCTTAACAGTGCCCTACACATCCTGCTCCACCTGCCCTGCTGAGGCTGTCTGGAACACTTAAATAAGTGTTGGAGAATAACAAAAGGAAAAACAATGTGAAGAATATTGACTATACATAATGTGACTTGTAAGGCATCACTTACTATCTCTGTTCCCAGGCCACACGTGTGCTTGTATGACCTCAATAAAAAGTGGAGGGTCTTATCTAAATTCCTCTCTTCCTAGTAGAATGATATATTAGGCCATTTTTGCATCACTATAGAGAAAAGAGATTTAATTGGCTTATGGTTCAGCAGGCTGTATAGGAAGCATGGCACCAGTATCTGTTCTGCTTCTGGTGAGGGTCTCAAGGAGCTTTTTTGACTTATGGCAGAAGGTGAAGCAGGAGCAGGCACTTCATGGTAAGAGAGGGAGTAAGAGGGAGAAAAGAGAGGTGCCGTGCACTTTTAAACAAGCAGATCTTGTGTGAGCTGAGTGAGAACTAACTTATCACTAAGGGGGCAGTGCTAAACCATTCATAAGAGATCTGCCCCCATTATCAAATCACCTCTCACCAGGCCCCACCTCCAACACTGGAAATCGCATTTCAACATGAGATTTGGAGATGACAAACACTCAAACCATATAAAATGGCGAAAATATAAAAAGATGCTATCTTTCACCGATCATCAGATGCCTTATGGTCTAAGCTGAGAGAATGAGTTTAGCCCCTTTTTCCCATCTACCAGCACAATGGTCCTTAAACTTTAGTGCCCACAAGAATCACGGTGGAATTAGTAAAAATGATAATCTGAAGACCCTACTTCCAGAAAGTTTGACTCAGTAGGACACAGGTACGCTATAATTTTCCAGATATTTCTGGTTATTGTCTCTGAGAATGACCTTTAAGTAAAGTGAAACTTCATCCACAGTCTCAGCATAACCTTGCAGTTTCCATAGCTTGATCCAAGCATAATGATCCTTTCAGAATATAGGCATATCTCAGAGATACTGTGGATTCTCTGCTAGACTACCACAATAAAACAAATATGGCAATAAAGTGTGTCACAAAAATATTTTTGGTTTCTCAGTGCATATAAAATTTATACAATGCTATAGTCTGTTAGGTGTGCAATAGCATTATATCTTTAAAAAACAATATACATACCTTAATTTATAGACACTTTATTGCTAAGAAATGCTAAGGACCAGCAAGTGGAGCAAGATGGCAGAATAGAAAGTTCCCTCAATTATCCCCCAACCCCCACTCAAGGAGAACAGGTTAACAACTATCTCTACAGAAAAAACACCTTCATAAGAACTAAAAATCAGGTGAGCACTCACAGTACCTGGCTTTAACTTCACATTGCTAAAAGAGGCACTGAAGAGATAGAAAAAAACAGTCTTGAATCACCAAAGCCACCACTCCCCCCTCGGCACTCCCACACCACCTCCCGCCAACCTCCGGCAGCAGTGTGGTGCAGAGAGCATCTCTGGGCACTGGGGGAGAAAGAACAGAGCAATTGTGAGACATTGAACTCTGTGCTGTTCTGTTCTGTTAGAGCGGAAAGGAAACCCAGAGCAAACTCAGCTAACGCTACCCACAGAGGGAGCATTTAAAACCAGCCCTAGCTAGAGCGGCATCAATGATCCCAATGGTCTGAACTTGAGCACCCACAAACCTTTCCACTGAGGGCCAAAATGCTCTTGGTCTCTAAGTAAACTTGAAAGGCAATCTAGGCCATAAGGACAGCAAGCCCTAGGGCTGAAGTGGTCCCAGAGACAGTTGCAGGGAGCAGAGGTGGGGACACTGCATACTGAGACACCACTTGGGATAGCAAGAGAGGGCTGGCATCTCTCCCCTAAGCTGCACAGCTCACAGCTCCAAAAGAGACTCCTTCCCTCCCCTTGAGGAGAGGAAAAGCAAGAGTGAAGAGGACTTTGTCTTGCATCCTGGATACCAGCTCAGCTACAGCAGGATAGGGCATCAGTCAGAGTCAAGAGGCCCCCATTCCTGGCTCTAGCTCCCAGACAACATTTCTAGACATACTCTGGGCCAGTAACCAGGGAGTGGTTATAGCAGGTTTTGGTCAAAACCCAGCACTGTGCTGGTTTCAGGTCTGACCCAGCACAGACACTGTGGTGGTGGCTACAGGGGTGCTTGTGTCACTCCACCCACAGTTTTAGGTGGCTCAGAACAGAGATAGAGACTCTATGTTTGGGAGAAAGTAAGGGAAGAGAAGAAGAGTCTTCCCCTGATAATCCAGAGAATTCTCCCGGATCTTATCCAAGACCATCAAGGTAGTACCTCTATGGGTCTGCAAGAACCACAGCGTTCCTGAACTTGGGATTCCCCCTAAAACAGAAACAGCTTAGATCACAACACCAAAGTCATTTCAAATATCTGGAAAGCTTTCCCAAGAAGAAGAGCTTCAAATAAGCCAAGACAGTGAAGACTGCAATAAGCGTCTAACTCTTCAATGCCCAGACTCTGAAGAATGCCTACAAACATCAACACCATCCAGGAAAACATGACCTCACCAAATGAACTATGTACAACACCAGGGACCAATGCTGGAGAAACAGAGATATGTAACCTTTCAGACAGAAAATTCAAAATAGCTGAGTCGAGGAAACGCAAAGAAATTCAAGATAGTACAGAAAAAAATTCAGAATTCTATCAGATAAACTTAACTAAAATATTAAAATTAAAGAAACAATCAGAAATTCTGAAGCTGAAAAATGCAGTTGGCATGCTAAAGAATGCACTAGAGTCCTTTAATAGCAGAATGGATCAAGCAGAAGAAAAAATTTAGTGAGCTTGAAGACAGGCTATTTGAAAATACACAGAGGAGACCAAAGAAAAAAGAATAAAAAACTGTAAGCACACCTACAGGATCTAGAAAATAGCCTCAAATGGACATATAAGAGTTATTGACCTTAAACAGAAGGTAGAAAAAGAAATAGGGCTAGAAAACTTATTCAAAGTGATAACAGAGAACTTTGCAAACCTAGAGAAAGATATCAATATCTAAGCACAAGATGGTTCTAGAATACCAAGCATATTTATTCCAAAGACTACCTCAAGATATTTAATAATCAAACTCCCAAAAGTCCAGGATAAAGACAGGATTCTAAAAGTGCAAGAGAGAAGAAACAAATAACATAAAATGGAGCTTCAATACATCTGGCAGCAGATCCTTCAATGGAAACCTTTCAGGCCAAGAGAGAGTGGTATGACATATTTAAAGTGCTGAAGGAAAAAAGAACTTTTATTCTAGAATAGTATATCCAGTGAAAATAACCTTCAAACGTGAAGAAAAAATAAAGATTTTCTGAGACAAACAAAAGCTGAGGGATTTCAGCAATACCAGATCCATTCTACAAGAAATGCTAAAGAGAGTACTCTAATCAGAAAGAAAAAACATTAATGAGCAATAAATAATTACCTGAAGTTACACAACTTACTGGTAATAGTAAATACACAGAAAAACTCAGAATATTATAACACCGTAACTGTGGCATGCAAACTACTCTATCCTAAGTAAAAAGACTAAACAATAAACCAATCAAAAATAATAACTACAACAATTTTTCAAGACCTAGTGAGTGCAATAAGATATAAAAAGAAACAACGAAAAGTTAAAAAGTGGGGGGATTAAGTTAAAGTCAGTTTTTATTAGTTTTCTTTTTGCTTGTTTGTTTGTTTCTTCATGCAAATATTGTGAAGTTGTTTTCAGGTTAAAATAATGGGTTATAAGATAGTATTTGCAAACCTCATTGTAACCTCAAGCCAAAAACCATAAAATGGATACACAAAAAAATAAAAAGCAAGAAACCAAATCTTATTACCAGAGAAAATCATCTTCACTAGAGGAAGACATGAAGGAAAGAAAGGAGGAAGAAAAGACCACAAAACAATCAGAAAACAAATAAAGAAATGATAGTAATAAGTCCTTACATATAAAAAAAAACATTGAATGTAATGGCCTAAACTCTCCCACCAAAAGACATAGGCTGAATGGGTGAAGAAACAAGGCCCATTGATCTGTTGCCTACAGACAACACATTTCACCTGTAAAGACACACATAAATAAAAAATAAAGGGGTGAAAAAAATATTCCATGCCAGTGGAAACCAAGAAAGAGCAAGAGTTGCTATACTTATGTAAGACAAAACAGATTTCAGGACAAAAACTATAAGAAGAGACAAAAAAAGTCACAATATAATGATAAAGGGGTCAATTCAGCAAATGGATATAACAATTTTGAATATATATGCATCCAACAAGGGAGTACACAGATATATAAAAGTAATATTATTAAAGCTAAGAGAGAGATAGTTCCCAATATAATAATAGCTGGAAGCCTGGCTTGGTGGCTCATGCCTATAATCCTAGCACTTTGGGAAGCCAAGGAGGACAGATCACCTGAGGTCAGAAGTTCAAGAGCAGCCTGGCCAACATGGCAAAACCCTGTCTATACTAAAAATACAAAAATTAGCCGGGCATGGTGGCACATACCTGTAGTCCCAGCTACTCAGGAGGCTGAGGCACCAGCATAACTTGAACCCAGGAGGCGGAGGTCGCAGTAAGCCTCCCAAAATCACACCATGGCACTCTGGCCTGAGTGGCAGAGTAAGACCCTATCTCAAAATAATAATTAATAATAATAATAATAATAATAGCTGGAGACTTCACCCCACTTTCAGCATTGGACAGATGTTCCAGAAAGAAAATCAACAAACATCAGACTCAACCTGCACTATAGACCAATGAATCTAATAGATGTTTACAGACCATTTCATCTAAGAGCTGCAGAATACACATTCTTTTCCTCAGCATATAAATCATTCTCAAGGATAGACCATAAGTTAGGTCACAAAGCAATTCTTAAAACATTCAAATAAATTGAAATAATATCACACAACTTTTCTGACCAATATTGAATAAAACTAAAAACTAATAACAAAAGGAATCTTGGAAACAATACAAATATATGGAAATTAAACAATATGCTCCTGAATGACCAGTGGGTCAATGAAGAAATTAAGAAGGCAATTGAAAAATGTATTGAAACAAATGATAATGGAAATACAACATACAAAAACCTATGAGATACAGGAAAAGCAGTACTCAGAAGAAAGTTTATAGCTATAAGTGCCTACAACACTTGAATTAAACAATCTAATGGTGCATCTTAAGAACTAGAAAGCAAGAGCAAACAAAACCCCAAATTAGTAGAAAAGAATAAAGTTCAGAGCAGAAATAAATAAAATTGAAATAAAAAATATAATATGAAAGATTAGTGAAACAAAAAGATTTTTTTGAAAAGTTAAACAAAATTGACAAACCTTTATCCACACTAAGAAATAAATAGAGGATTTAAACAAATGAAATTTAAAAAAAGACATTACAACTGATACTGCAGAAATTCAAAGGATCATTAGAGACTACTATGAGCAATTACATGCCAACAACTTGGAAAATCTAGAAGAAATGGATAAATTCCTAGATACATACAGCCTACCAAGATTGAACCAAGAAGAAATCTAAAATCAGAACAGACCAATAACAAGCAACAAGATTGAAGTGGTAATCAAAAGTCTTCCCATAAAGAAAAGCCCAGGACTTGATGGCTTCCCTGCTGAATTCTACCATATATTTAAAGAACTAATATCAATCCTACTCAAACCATTCTGAAAAACAGAGAAGGAGGAAATACTTTTAAACCCATTCTATGAGGCCAGTATTATCCTGATACCAAAACCAGACAAAGACGCATAAAAAAATAATTAAAAAAAAGAAACCTACAAGCCAGTATTTCTGATGAATATTGATGTAAAAATCCTCAACAAAATACCAGCAACCAAATTCAACAATATATTAGAGTGGTCATCCATCATGACCAAGTGGGATTTATCCCTGGGATGCAAGGATAGTTGAATATACACAAATCAATCAACATGATACATCATATCAACAGAATGAAGGATAAAAATTATACGATCATTTCAACTAATGCCGCAAAAGCATTTGATAAAATTCAACATCACTTCTTGATAAAAAAAATCCCTCAAAAAACTGGGTATAGAAGGAACATACTTCAACATAATAAAAGCCATGTATGACAGACACACAGCTAGTATGACCCACATCATACTGAATAGGGAAAACTGAAAGCCTTTCCTCTAAGATCTGGAACATGACAAGGATGCACACTGTCTCCATTGTTATTCAACATAGTACTGGAAGTCCTCACTAGAACAGTCAGACAAGAGAAAGATATAAAAGTCATCCAAATTGGAAAGGACACATAAATGTAAATAAATGTCTTTTCTCTTAGCTTAGTTAGTATCATTTAACAAATTGTTATGTGCTCTTTTCTTTATAAGCTTTTGTCCTTCCTGTGCTTTTAATATGATAAATATTATTTAGTAATTAGGAAATCTTAACAGAGATTCCTAACATACCTACTTATCTCATTACCACTGAATGTCTTGCCTGCTGAAAGAATTCAGCTCAACGCTTCTCTATACACAAATGCAGGTCTCTTGAATTTTACTCCTACTAAACTGAACAGGTCTATTTATCTAACTGCAATCCCTTGAACACCAACAATTAAAGGTGCAATGAAAGACAAAAGAGCATTCAGTCTCAAGCCCTACCTGGAAGATCTTAAAATCTAATGAGAGAGAAAAAGCTGATACATAACTAACTAACAAACAAACTATTAACAAATGCTATGGAAAAAGTGCAGGTAAAATGTTAGAAGAAATTAAATCTGCCATAATTTTCCTTACAAATGTTTGCCTAAAGACTCAAAGAAATGCCTAAAAAAAAAAAAAAGGCAATTTCAATAGTTCTATTTCATCTGTTCTTTGTGAGCAAAAAATCCCCTTAACATTAATGTTAGTTGATTCACATTTTATTCATAAATCTTTACTATTTAATTATAATACATAAGTACATAATTAAATGTTCATGCCCAAATCCTAGAATCCAAACACGTTTCTTTTTTTGAAATTGTAAGACCTTAATTTTATACTCACCTGTCCACCTACCAAGATTCCTAATATAACAATTTGGATTTAAGCAACAACTTGTATTCAAGTGTAAGATATAATCTTGGTAATTTCAGTATGGTACTGAGTACTCTTTTATAGTATGTTCCTGAAACCCATATTGTTCCTATTATTTGTTATCTGATCCCTTAATATTAGATGATGCCCTCTGAAAACCTTCTTTTATTCCTAAATTTGCAACATAGTTTGTAGCATTTAGAGGCAAATAATTTCCTTGTGTAGCTTTGCTTTTCCATCACAATTTTAAGGTTTCAATCTTCATGATATGTTTGGAGGATAAATTGTACAAAACAAATTATTTTCCTAAGTATCTAGGGCATTTTGTAGAGTTAAACAGATTTTTAAGGGATGGAATTATTTGAGGGATAAGTATGACATAAAACCCACTAAAATACTCCTTTTACCCCTCAAATTGAAAATAAAGGATTTAAATAAATGTGGAGAGGTAAGAATAACATCACCAGGTAGCACCAATGCCAATTGGATATAAAAATGATTTCAAGCAATTGTCAATCAAGCGGTCATCAAGCCTAATTAATATTAGAACTGACATTATTTTTCCAGTTTAATAACACGGAGTTGAGTTACATTACCTGCTACAACCAAGGAGAAACCACAGAAACCACAGAATATTTAATATTTACTGGAAAACATTATTTATTGGCCTGACTTTGATCGAACTATGTAATAATTACCTGAATTTAAACAGTATATTTACAGTAACCAGATGTGGACCCAAGTTGTAGGGTCCCAAAGTTTCTATAATTTGAGGGATCCCTTTATAGTAAATAACACAAAATTATTAATACAAACTTGTGTACAAAGTCTTGAAATATTTCAAAATGAGTGAGAGGACCTGAAGCATAAGCATCCTCAGCTTCATTGCGATACCCTGTGACCAAGATATACAATGTTTACTGCAATATGTTTGGTTTTAGACCATACAGAGGTTCACTAAGTCTTCCTAGACAACTTAACCTTTGAAGATTATAAGATACTCTGTCTACTGGTTGGATAGGCTAGGCTACTTCAATTTAGGATATGCAGCTGTCTTCAATATTCTTTCAAGCAATAATAGCTTAAAGCTCTGTCTCTGTAGTCAAATTTCTGGGACTTGAATCCTTACTCTACCCTTCTTGTGTGACCATGAGCAAATTACCTAACTACTGCTCAGGCTGCTTGCTCATCTGTAAAATAACAACAATAAGAATGCCAGTTTCATAGGATTGTTGGAGAATTAAACCATGATGTGCAAAATGGTGGATAGAAGGCAGGACTAAATTGCAGCTCCCACTTGGATGGACAGAGCCATGTGTGGAGACTCACATGGTGAAATTTTGCTCCAGAACTACTGCAGGAATACACCAGGAAAGCCAAGAGAATCCACAGACCCTCCGAAGGAAGTGGATTCCTCCTGCAGGACCCAGAAGACAGCCCAAATAGTGAGTGCACAAATTTTGAAAGTGGGAAACGGGCATCATGTGCTCCCAAACACACACCCTCACTGGGGAACCTGAAGATCTAGATTATGGGAGGGTTTGACCTTACCTGGAGCTGAGTCATATTAGACAGCCAAGTGAAATACAGGGGTAGAGGACGCAGTGGGAAAAACCCTGTGGGTTCTCTAAGTCCCCAGGAAAGCCATTTCTGACTTGTCTCACAGGGGTGTTTGGGGTGGGCTGCCAGAGGTACTGGGAAAAGACCACAGAAAAAAGGAAACCTCCAGCTGAACTTCCTAACAATTCCAACCGAATGTGAAGTCTCCTGGCCAGAACTTGCAGGAGGGCATGAATCTAGTGTGCAGACTCAACAGGCAGGGGGATGCAAAAGCCTTGCTTGCTTTCTCAGCTGGGAGGCTTATAGCCTTGGGCAACTTGACAGCCATGTTCACCCACTGCTTGGAAACAAACTCAGTGCTGTTGGTGGGGGTATGGTGGGAGTGAGACCGGCCTTTTGGGTTGCAAGGAAGCTGGATGAGGCCTGTAACTGCCAACTTTCCCCAACTTCCCTGAAAACCTGCATTACACAGCAGAGGCAGCCGTAATCCTCCTGGGAATATAACTCCATTGACCTGGGAACCACATCCCAAGCCCAGCCTAAGGAGGGTCTGAGCTCAGAGACACCTAACCCTGTCCCCACCTGATGGTCCTTCCCTACCCACCCTGGTAGCTGAAGACAAAGGGCATATTCTCTTGGGAGTTCTAGGGCCCCGTTCACAGCCTGATCCTTCCCTATACTACCTCAGCTGATGCTCTCTTGGAAGCACCACCTCCTGGCAGGAGGCCAGTCAGTGCAAAACTAGTGCACTAAACAACTGCAACTAAGGACCCTCACAGAGTCCATTTCACTTCCTGCCACCTCCATCAGAGTACAGTGCTGGTATCCATGGCTGAGAGGCCTGAAGATGGTTCACATCACAGGACTCTGTACAGACAACCTCCAGTACCAGCCTGGAGTCTGGCAGCCCTGCTGGGTGGCTAGATTTAGAAGAGAAATAACAATCACCTCAGTTCTGCTCTCAGGAAGCCACATCCCTAAAAAAGGGGGGATAGTACTACATCAAGGGAACACCCTGTGGGACAAAAGAATCTGAACAGCAGCCTTGAACCCCAGATCTTCCCTCTGACATAGCCTACCCAAATGAGAGAAAAACAGAAAAATAATTCTGGTAATATGACAAAAAAAGGTTCTTTAACAACCCCCACCCCAAAATCACACTAGCTTACCAGCAAAGGATCCAAACCAAGAGGAAATCCCTGATTTACCTGAAAAAGAATTCAGAACGTCAATTATTAAGCTAATCAAGGAGGCACCAGAGAAAGGTAAAGTCCAATTTACGGAAATTAAAAAAAAAAAAAAAGACACAAAGTATGAGGGGAGAAATCTTCAGCAAAATAGACAGCATAAATAAAAAATAATCACAACTTCAGGAAATAAAAGACACAGTCAGAGAAATGAAAATGTACTGGAAAGTCTCAGCAATAGCATCAAACAAGCAGAAGAAAGAACTTCAGAGCTCAAATATAAGGTTTTCAAATTAACCCAATCCAACAAAGACAAAGAAAAGAGAATTTAAAAAAATGAACAAAGCCCCCAAGAAATTTGGGAGTATGTTAAATGACCTAACCTAAGAATAATTGGCATTCCTGAGGAAAAAGAGAAATCTAAAAGTTTGGGAAACATATTTAGGGAAATAATCAAGGAATACTTCACAGGCCTTGCTAGAGACCTAGACATCCAAATACAAGAAGCTCAAAAAAAAAACCTGGGAAATTCATCACAAAAAGATCTTCACCTAGGTACGTTGTCATCAGAATATCTGAAGTCAAGATGAAGGAAAGAATCTTAAGAACTTTGAGGCAAAAGCACCAGGTAACCTATAAAGGAAAAACTATCAGATTAACAGCAGATTTCTTAGCAGAAATCCTACAGACTAGAAGGGATTGGGGTCCTATCTTTAGCCTTCTTAAATAAAACAATTATCAGCCACGAATTTTCTGTCCTAAGCTTCATAAATGAAGGAAAGATACAGTATTTTTCAGATAAACAAATGCTGAGAGAATTCGCTACTAACATGCTGGCACTACAAGAACTGCTACAAGGAGTTCTAAATCTTGAAACAAATTCTGGAAACACATCAAAACAGAATCTCTTTAAAGCATAAATCTCACAGGACCTTTAAAAGAAAAATACCAAAAAATATAGGTATACAGGTAACAGCATGATGAATGTACCTCACATCTCAATACTAACATTGAATATAAATGGCCTAAATGCTCCACTTAAAAGATATAGAATTGCAGAATGGTTAAGAATTCACCAGCTAACTATCTGCTGCCTTCAAGAGACTCACCCAACACATAAGGACTCACATAAACTCAAGTTAAAGGGGTGGAAAAAGACATTCCATACAAATGGCCACCAAAAGCAATCAGGAGTAGCTATTCTTATATCAGAAAAAACAAATTTGAAGCAACAGCACTTAAAAAAGACAAAAAGAGACATTATATAATGATAAAATGTTACAGTCCTAAATATATATGCACCTAACACTGGAGCTTCCAAATTTATAAAACAATTACTGCTAGACCTAAGAAATGAGATATACAGTAACACAAAAATAGTGGGGTCTTCAACACTCCACCGACAGCACTAGACAGGTTGTTAAGACAAAGTCAATAAAGAAACAATGGATTTATACTATACCCTACAATAAATGAACTTAACAGATATTTATAGAACATTCTACTCAACAACTGCAGAATACACATTCTATTCATCAGCACATGGAACTTTCTCCAAGATAGACCACATAATAGGCCACAGAAAAGTCACAATAAATTTAAGAAAATTGACATTATATCTAGTACTGTTTCAGATGACAATCAATCAAGATGGAAATTTAAAAATTCTTTGAACTGAACAATATAGTGGCACAATCTATCAAAACCTCTGGGACACAGCCGAGACAGTGCTAAGAGGAAATTTCATAGCCTTAAGTGTCTACATCAAAAAGTCTGAAAGAGCACAAATAGACAACCTAATGTCACACCACAAGGAACTAGAGAAACAAGAACAAACCAAACCCAAATCCAGCAGAAGAAAGGATATAACCAAGATCGGAGCAGAACTAAATTAAATTGAAACAAACAAACAAAACCCATAAAAGATAAATGAAACAAAAAGCTGGTTATTTGAACAGATACATACAATTGATAGACCATTAGCAAGATTAACCAAGAAAAGGAGAGGATCCAAATAAGCTCAATTAGAAACAGAATGGGAGATATTACAACCGACACCACAGAAATACAAAAGATCATTCAAAGCTACTATGAACACCTTTACATGCATAAACTAGAAAACCTAGAGGAGATGAAAACATTTCTGGAAACATATAACCCTCTCAACTTAAATCAGGAAATATTAAAAACCTGAACCAACCAATAACAAGCAGAGAGATTGAAATGGTAATAAAACAATTACCAACAAAAAAAAGTTCAGAACCAGACAGATTCACAGTTGAATTCTATCAGACATTCAAAGAAGAATTGGTACCAATTCTATTGGCACTATTTTACAACATAGAGAGAGAATCCTCTCTAAATTATTCTATGAAGCCCATATAACCCTAATACCAAAATGAGGAAAAAACATAATAACAAAAGAAAACTACATACCAATGTTCCCGATGAACATATATGCAAAAATCCTTAACAAAATACTAGCTAATTGAATCCAACAGCATATCAAAATAAAATCCAATATAATCAATTGGATTTTATACCAGGGATGCAGGGATGTTTTAACATACACAAGTCAATAAATGTGATATGCCACATAAACAGAATTAAAAACAAAAATTATATGATCATCTCAATAGATGCAGAAAAAGCATTTGACAAAATCCAGTATCCTTTTATGATTAAATCCCTCAGCAAAATCAGCATAGAAGGGACATACCTTAAGATAATAGAAACCACCTATGGTAACCCCACAGCCCACATAATACTGAACACGGAAAAGTTAAAAGCATTCACTCTGGGAACTGGAGCAAGACAAGGATGCCCACTCTTACCACTTGCAACATAGTACTGGAAGCCTTAGCCATAGCAACCAGACAAGAGAAAGAAATAAAGCCCGTCTAAATTGATAAAGAGGAAGTCAAACTGTCACTGTTTGCTGATGATGATATTGTATACCTACAAAACCCTAAAGATTCCTCCAAAAACTCCTGGAACTGATAAATGAATTTGGCAAAGTTTCAGGATACAAACTTAATGTACACAAATTAGTAGCTCTGCTATACACCGACAATGACCAAGCAGAGAATCAAATCAAGAACTCAAACCCTTTTACAATAGCTGCAAAAAAAAAAAAAACCTTAGGAATATACTTAACCAAGGATGTGAATGACCTCTACAAGTAAAACTACAAAACACTGCTGAAAGAAATCATGGATGACACAAATGGGAACACATCCTATGCTCATGGATGGGTAGACTCAATATTGTGAAAATGACATTATGCCAAAAGCAATCTACAAACTCAATGCAATTCCCATCAAAACACCACCAGCATTCTTCACAGAACTAGAAAAAACAATCCTAAAATTCATATGGAACCAAAAAAGAGCCTGCATACCTAAAGCAAAAGTAAGCAAAAAGAATAAATCTGGAGGCATCACATTACTTGATTTCAAAGTATACTATAAGGACATAGTTACAAAATAGCATGGTACTGGTATAAAAATAAGCACACAGACCAATGGAACAGAATAGAGAACCCAGAAATAAACCCAAATACTTACAGCCAACTGATCTTCGATAAAGCAAACAAAAACATAAAGTTGGAATGACACCCTATTCAACAAATGGTGCTGCGATAATTGACAAGCCACATGTAGGAGAATAAAATTGGATCCTCCTGTCTCATCTTTTACAAAAATCAACTCAAGATGGATGAAGGACTTAAATCTAAGACCTGAAACTATAAAAATTCTAGAAGATAACATTAAAAAAACCCTTCTAGACATTGGCTTAGGCAAAGATTTCATGACCAATAACCCAAAAGCAAATGCAATAAAAGACAAATAGGTGGGACTTAATTAAACTAAAGAGCTTTTGCACAACAAAAGGAACAGTAGCAGAGTAAACAGACAACTTACAGAGTAAGAGAAAATCTTCGCATTCTACACATCTAACAAAAGACTAATATCCAGAATCTACAAGGAACGCAAACAAATTAGCAAGAAATAAACAATTCTATCAAAAAGAATGCTAAGGACATGAATAGACAATTCTCACAAGAAGACATACAAATCGTCAACAAACATATGAAAAAATGCCCAACATCACTAATTATCAGGGAAATGCAAATTAAAACCACTATGCAATACTACCTTACTCCCGCAAGAATGGCCATAATCAAAAAATAAAAAATAACAGATGTTGGAGTGGATGCAGTGAAAAGGGAACACTTCTACACTGCTGGTGGGAATGTAAACTAGTACAACCACTATGGAAAATGGTGTGGAGATCCCTTAAAGAGCTAAAAGTAGAACTACCATTTGATCCAGTAATCCCACCACTGGGTGTCTACCCAGAGAAAAAGAAGTCATTATACAAAAAAGATATTCGCACATGCATGTTTACAGCAGCACAATTCAAAATTGCAAAAATGTGGAATCAACCCAAATGCCCATCAATCAACAAGTGGATAAAGAAACTGTGATATATATATATATATGTGATGGAATACTACTCAGCCATAAAAAGGAATGAATTAATGGCATTCACAGCAATGTGGACAGAATTGGAGGCTAGTGTTCTAAGTGAAGTAACTCAAGAATGGAAAACCAAACATCATATATTGTCACTCATAAGTGGGAGCAGAGCTATGAGGATGTGAAGGCATAGTAATGACACAATGGACTTTGGGGACTCGAGGGGAAAGGGTGAGAAGGGGTTGAGCCATTAAAAGACTATGTATATTTCTCAGGTGATGGGTGTACCAACATCTCACAAATCACCACTAAATAACTTACTTATGTAACCAAATACCACCTGTTCCCCAAAAACCAATGGAAATATTTTTTTTAAAAAAAGCATGATGTAAAGCATGTGAAACATTCAACACAGTGACTTAACGCTTACCAAGTAGGCATTAATAGTCACTAAAAATTAAGAGCATTTGTGGACTTCAGGTACATGATTATTCCCATTTATTATGCATGGTAATTTCTACAGAGGCTTCCTTTCCGGATGACGCTGGTAGTATAACATCGTTGATATTCTATGCAGAGTTTGTTCTATTGGCGGATACCAAGCTTAAGCTTCAGAATAAAAGATACATCAAAGTATGAAATTCTTTTATCATTTCATTCTATCTGAAAACAATTTTACAAAATTGTGCTATATATGTCACAGAAGTCTTAGATTTTTATTGTTCTTGAAATTAACTTAATAAATATCAAATTTGATCTTTTGATCTCTAGATACTTTGATTTGTGAAAGTAAACCAAAAAATTATATCCTTGCATTTTAATCTAGCTGACCTAAGTGGCCTTACTTTTAATCTAGCTGACCTAAATATCAAAACACTTGATATATATGTGGACTAGAATTTCCCAAGTAGATTGATTTCTTCAAGGCAATTAAAGCAGTATAGAATAGAAGAAAGTTATTGAATGAATTGCTTTGGCTTCTTGATCAAAGATAGATAACTTTTTTTCCAGTTTGGATTCTAGAGAGTAAAGAAGAAAGTCTTGCAATAAAAAAGACTTTCTTGACTTTTTATATTGGAAAAGAAATAATTGATTCTATTCTCACCTTTAATATTTCCTTCTAAGGATTTTCTTCAGAGGCCATTGGATTTTGGTGAGCTTTGTTTTCACTTGATTAGGGCAACTGAGTTTCAAGCCCTTTTGCCTTCACAAATTCAAATATATTAATTCACATTTCACTTAATTTGTCCATTTGTCCATTTGTTTCTGAGAAACTGATGACGAGGAAGCATGTGCAGAAAGTCTGAATGTGTGTGTGTATTTGAGGGGCCATGGGATACTGTTGGCTACAAACAAACATGAATCATATTTATTTTCTTATATGAGAAGAAGTTTGGATATGGAGGGTCACTAGTGTTGATTTAACTGATTAAGAATGTCACAAAAGATTCAGGTTCTGTTCTGCTGCCCTTCATACATGGTAGCCCTATGTGCTGGCTACATTTGTCCTTTTCATCAGAAAAAGCAAAAGCCCTTCCAGAATCTTCTCTAGTAAATGCTTGCTTAAGTACATTGGCTAGAAGTGTGTTTTTCTTCCCCCCATAGCTGGGAGGCAGAGGAACTGAGAACCTGTCCTAAAACCCCTAATGGAAGCAAACAGAGAAGAAGGGAATACAAACATTATTATATTTGCTACCAAAGCAAACATAAAGAATACTTTACAATCATTATGCAAAAATTATATTCCAAGGCATCTTGACATCTACCATATTAATTAACAGAAATACACATTTCCTTACTGAATGATAATTGAGGTTCTTCTATATTTCAGGCTAATTATTTAAAAACTTAATTGTTCATTCATTCTTTAAACATGTTTGAATGACAGCTGGTGGCCAGATACTATACTACTAAACACTATGGATAAATAAATAAACTGTTCATAGTTTTCTTTCTCGGGAAGGAGAAAAACCATAAAACAAAATTAGTTATAGTATGTGGTAGGTAGAAAAATGCTCCTACCCAAAAACGTTCACATCTTAATCTTGCGAACATGGTATGTTTCACAGCAAAAGAGAATCAAGGCAGCAGATGGAATTATCGTCACTAATCAGCTGGCTTGGAGATATGGAGATGGTTATGGATTATTCAGGTGGGTCCAATCTAATAACATGAGTCCTTAAATACAGAGGAAGAGACAGAGGGGATGTCAGAGAGCCAAGACATGAGAAGGACTTGACTTCCATGTCTGCAACAGTGGAGGAAAAGGGCCAAGAACAAAAGATGTGGCAGTCTCTAGATGAGAACATCCCTCAGCCTACAGCCAGCAAGAAAACAGGAACCTTAGTCCTACAACTGCAAGGTTCTAAATTCTGCCAACAATCTGAATGAGTCTGGATGAGGATTCTTCCCCAGAGATTCTAGAAAGGGATGGAGACAACCAGCACCTTAATTTTAGCCCAGTGAGACTTGTTATCTATGTAACTATAAGATGAAAAGGTTATGCCGTTTTAAAGCACTATGTTTGCAGTAATTTGTTAAGGCAGCAATAGAAGACTAATATAGAGTTATATGTTAATGGCCACATTAAACAAAATATATATCATGACAAAGGCTTAAGAAACATCTGGAATATTTGGATGTCTTGGATGTTAAGAATCTTGGGTCTGTAAGTAATAAGAAGCCATCAAGAAATTTCAGCTGGGGATTTACACTAGTAAAATGAAAATTTACTTTCCAAAATTAACAGGATCAATTTTCGTAGAAGCTCTATTTATAAGCACAAGAAATTGGAAACAAGCCAAATGTCTTTCAGCTGATGAATGGACAAACCAATTGTGGCATATCCATACAATGGAGTACAATGCAGCATCAAAAAGAAACACACCGTAGACACCTGCAACAACTTGGATTAATCTCAGAGGGATTATGGTAAGTATCAGGAGCTAGTATATTGCCATTTATATGGCATTCTCAAAAAGACAAAACCACAGGGATGAAGAATGGGTGGTTGCCAGGGTTTAGAGATAGGGGTAGGGACGCATATTGCCTTAAAGCGAGAGCATGAGGGAACTACTGTGTATCCTGATGTGGTGATGTATGGGAGTCTAAATGTGAAAATTCATACAATTGTGCATCGAAAATTAAGTTCAATTTTACTAATGATAATATATACATTTAGAGAAAGAAGAGACTGGCCTAGGGAAACCAGTAAGTCTCTAGAAACTCAAAACTACTGGAGAAAAAGACCACGTAGAACTATAACTGTTGTAGTGAATGGAAAAACCTGTTCAGAAGGTTTTCTCCAAAGGCAATAGCAGAAGGATTTTAGTATGAAAGAGGAAAGAGTAAAAGAAAATGTCTTCAAAACATGGATGAAGGCTGGGTGCGATGGCTCACACCTGTAATCCCAGCACTTTGGGAGGCCAAGACAGGAAGATTGCTTGAACCCAGGAGTCCAAGAGCCACCTGGAAAACACAGTGAGGCCCTGTCTCTACAAAAAATTTAAAAATTAGCCAGGTTTGGTGGTACATGCCTGTAGTCCCAGCTACATGGGGGGCTGAGGCAAACAGATTGCTTGAGCCTAAGAAGTCAAGGCTTCAGTAAGTCATGATTACACCACTGCACTCCAGCCAGGGTGACAGAGTGAGACCCTCTTTCAAAAAAAAAAAAGCGGATGAAGGTGAACAATGATGTTAATATATATAGCGAGCACAGGAAAATGAACAGATTTTTTACTATTATTATTATTATACTTTAAGTTCTGGGTTACATGTGCAGATCATGCAGTTTTGTTACATAGGTATACACGTGCCCTGGTGGTTTGCTGCACCCATCAATCTGTCACCTACATTAGGTATTTCTCTTAATGTTATCCTTCCCCTAGCCCCCACAATCCCCAACAGGCCCTGGTGTGTGATGTTCCCCTCCCTGTGTCCATGTATTCTCATTGTTCAACTCCCACTTATGAGTGAGAACATGTGGTGTTTGGTTTGCTGATTATGAAGGTTTCCAGCTTCATCCATGTCCCTTCAAGTGGAACAGATTATTTTGATTAAATTCAGAATTCAACATGTTGAGTTTAGGTCACTGGTAGCATATTCTATCAACTTCCAAAAACACTGGACTGGAACTTAGGAGAGACTCAGATCTATCCTAGTGCTTTGGCAGCATGGGAATCTAGGTGGTAGCTGAAGCCATAGGAGAGAAAGTAGGTAGAACTTTTTCTACATAACCCTTTCCCAAATAACAATTTCCCAAGTCCTGCAATTTCTGGAACTTAAAATGAGGAACCTGTGGTTGACACTGTTAACTTATTAAGGAGAGTGCTGTTTAGTCAGTCTCTTTACTGGTAGACATCTAGTATGGGGCATCTTCAGGAAAATGGACAAATTATTTTTGTGAATTAGTGTTCAGGATTTGTAGTGTGATAATCCATGCTTCCATAAAAAAAAAAAGCTATGTAATCACCGAATTAAAAGATTTTCTTGCTATTGAGTTTTCTGGTTGAAATAAAGCAGTGCACATTGTAACTTATTTTTGCGTTTTAGCTACTGTTTAAATCTTTGTTTACCTATCTCAGGCACACCTCAGGAACTAGTTCTTATTAAGGCTTATAGATCAATGAAAGTTTGTAATTTTAAAGGGAGCCTCTTTATGGTGACTTAAATAGAAAGAACATATTCTTTAACCAGTGAGTAGAAACACTCTCCCTACCATACAACACTGAAGACGTAAAGGGAAAAGTCTTCTAATTGAGGCAAAGCAAAGAAAAAGGCATGTATTAGTCCCTTTTTATGCTGCTGATGAAGACATACCTGAGACTGGAAAGAAAAAGAGGTTTAATTGAACTTGCAGTTCCATATGGCTGGGGAGGCCTCAGAATCATGGTGGGAGGTGAAAGGCACTTCTTACATGGTGACGGCAAGAGGAAAAAGAAGAAGAAGCAAAAGCAGAAACCCCTGATAAACCCATCAGATCTTGTGAGAGTTATTTGCTATCAGGAGAATAGCATGGAAAGACTGGCCTCTATGATTAAATTACCTCCCCCTAGGTCCCTCCCACAACACGTTGGAATTCTGGGAGATAGAATTCAAGTTGAGATTTGGGTGGGAACACAGCCAAACCATACCATTCTGCTCCTTCCAAATTTCATTACCTCACATTTCAAAATCAGTCACGCCTTCCCAACAGTCCCCCAAAGTCTTAACTCATTTCAGCATTAACTCAAAAGTCCATAGTCCAAAGCCTCATCTGAGAAAAGGCAACTCCCTTCCACCTATGAGCCTGAACAATCAAAAGCAAGCTAGTTATTTCTTAGATACAATGGGGGTACAGGTATTTGATAAATACAGTCATTCCAAATGGGAGAAATTTGCAAAAACAAAGGGGTTGCAGGGCCCATGCAGGGCAGTCAAATTTTAAAGCTCCAAAATTATCTCCCCTTTGACTCCAAGTCTCACATCCAGGTCACATTGATGCAAGAGATGGGTTCCCATGAGCTTGGGCAGCACTGCCTCTGTGGCTTTGCAGGGTACAGCCTCCCTCCTGGCTGCTTCCACGGGCCGTCATTGAGTGTCTGCAGCTTATCCAGGTGCACGGTGCAAGCTGTCAGTGGATCTACCATTCTGGGGTCTGGAGGATGGTGGCCTTTTCACAGCTTCATTAGGCAGTGCCCCAGTAGGGACTCTGTGTGAGGGCTCCAACCCCACATTTTCCTTCCACATTGGCCTAGCAAAGGTTCTCCATGAGGGCCCTGCCCCTGCAGCAAACTTTTGCCTGGGTATCCAGGTGTTTCCATACATCTTCTGAAATCCAGGCAGAGGCTCCCAAACCTCAATTCTTGACTTCTGTTCACCTGCAGAACATCACATGGAAGCTGCCAAGGCTTGAGGCTTGCATCCTCTGAAGCCACAGCCCGAGCTCTATGTTGGCCCCTTTCAGCCACGGCTGGAGCAGCTGGGACACAGGACATCAAGTCCCTAGGCTACATACAGCGCAAGAACCCTGGGCCTGACCCGTGAAACCACTTTCTCCTCCTGGGCCTCTGGACCTTTGATGGGAGGGGCTGCCCAGACGGTCTCTGACATGGCCTGGAGACATTTTCCCCATGATTTGAGGATTAACATTAGGCTCCTTGCTACTTCTGCAAATTTCTGCAGCCAGCTTGAATTTCTCCTCAAAAAAATAAAAAAAAAAAAAGGATTTTTCTTTTCTACTGAATCATCAGGCTGCAAATTTTCTGAACTTTTTTGCTCTGTTTCTCTTCTAAAACAGAATGCTTTTAACAGCACCCAAGACACCTTTGGAATGCTTTGCTGCTTAGAAATTTCTTCCATCAGATACCCTAAATCATCTCTCTCAAGCTCAAAGTTCCACAAATCTCTAGGGCAGGGGCAAAATGCCTCCAGTCTATTTGCTAAACATAGCAAGAGTCACCTTTGCTCCAGTTCTCAATAAGTTCCTCATCTCCATCTGAGACCACCTCAGCCTGGACTTTATTGTTCATATCACTAACAGCATTTTTGTCAAAGCCATTCAACAAGTCTCTAGGAGGTTCCAAACTTTCCCACATTTTCCTGTCTTCTTGTGAGCCCTCCAAACTGTTCCAACATCTTCCTGTTACCCAGTTCCAAAGTCGCTTCCAGATTTTCGGGTGTCTTTTTAGCAATGTCCCACTCCCAGTACCAATTTACTGTATTAGTCCATTTTCATGCTGCTGATAAAGACATACCTGAGACTGGGACGAAAAGAGGTTTAATTGGACTTACAGTTCCATATAGCTGGGGAGGCCTCAGAATCATGGTGGGAAGCAAAAGACCTTACATGGTGGTGGCAAGAGAAAAATTAGGAAGAAGCAAAAGCAGAAACCCCTGATAAACCCTTCAGATCTCGTGAGACTTATTCACTATCACGAGAATAGCAAGGGAAAGACTGTCCCCCATGATTCAGTTACCTCCCCCTGGGTCCCTCTCACAACTTGTGGGAATTCTGGGAGATACAATTAGTTGAGATTTGGGTGGGGACACAGCCAAACCATATCAAGGCAACTTAAGATAAATTCATATCAACCTGATAATTAAAGTTTTTATGATAGCAATATCAGTGTCATCAGAACAAATTTGAAAAATGTTTGCTACATCCTTCAGAGTGATTTTCAAATGTTATATGTTTATCTTTTATGAAGACAGTTGGAAATAGAGTTTATTACCAAGTCTCTATGACATGGCCAAATTCACTGGCTAAGTGGATTTGCAATTTTCTGTTGTCTTAGTAATTGGCTGAGAGGAAAACAATCAGACTGACAGTGTGGTAAGCCAATTTGTTCATCAAGGAGATATAAAATCCTGGTTCAACTGTGCCTCAGTACACTTTCTGCAGTTGCCTGGCTGTTAGGAATTCATGTCCAGTTTGTGACTAAAGGGAAGGATTTGGGTTTTACATTGCAATTACTATCCTGCATAGGATGCGTCCATTGTTTACAGCAAGACAGTTCAGAAGCTGGCAATAGACCCAACCAATAAAGAAGGACAAATATTTGGGAGATGTCAAGGCCAGAGGGCAACAAAAGTTCCGTGTGGGAAATAATAATTTTTAAAGACACAGCAGGCATCAATTAAAATTGAGGCAAAATATCTTACATTTAAAATATTTAATTCTGTGTTAAAAGCCTCCTAACTGGCCCGACTGAGTCCACTCTGACCCCCTCCAGTTTATTCTCACCAGGACTGCCTCAGAAATTGGCTCCAAGGTGGAAATCTCAACAATGGGCTGCTGCTCCCTTGCTTCAGCCTAAAATCTTTCAATGGCTCCCCTTCTCCTTGGGATAAACACAATACTTGGCAGGCCTGTGAGGCTCTGCAATGCCCTGCCTTCACTTGCTTGTTCAGCACCATCATACACCACCCTTCCTTGCTCCCTGCTCCCAATCACACAGTCCTTTGTGTCCCTTGTTCTGGCTGTACTGTCCCTGCCATTGGTCTTTAAACACAGTTTTCTCTGAATGGAGGACTCTTCCCTCCCCTATTGCCTCATTAACTCCTACTCATCCTTCAGGTCTCAGCTCCAGGATGATTTCCTCAGTGAAGCCTCTTGTGACCTCCCTAAGTGCAGCCCTCCCGAAGTAAAGTTCGCACCCCATGCACCAGCTTGTATTACTTATTATGGTTGCCAACAGACTCCTTCATGTGATTATTTGATATTGTTTATCTCTGCTGCTAACAGTAAGCTCTGTGGCTGTGTATTTTTGCTTACTATTGCCTCCCCAGAACTGAGAAAAGTACCAGAAGACACAGACACTTAAAATGTACAGTATTTGCTGAATATACAAACAGATGAGGTAAGAACATTTTCAGGGATTCTTGATCATATAACTTCTACACAGTGTTTATAGCACTGTCCTCCATTAAGTGAAGAAACTACTCTATCATGCAGCGTAATACTTTCAATAACCAAGTGCTTAATGTAAGTTTAAGAAATACAGTTAAAGTCATATAGGCAGAATTATATTGACATATAGCTCAGAGAAATGTTGACAGTGGTTAGTTTTTATCAGTGTGAATAGGCTAAGAGCAGAGACAAAAAAATACCAGTTCTCCCACCTAGGGTAGGTGGCTCTAGGGAACACAACATGTAATGTCTTTACAAAGTTTCTGAGAGGTAGCCAAAACTCCTGGGTTAAACTGACTTAAAATCAGCTAATACTAAGAAGTTAACTTAGTCCTAGAGCAGAGGTTATAACTCAATAGACAAATTAGGGATCCATGAATCCAAGAGCTAACTCATAGAGTACCTCATAGAGTTAAAACTTCATTCTCTTCACTTTGTAGAAAAAAAAAATTAAGCACAACATACTTAAAAATATATATCTGTAGTCACATTCCTGGTGTGGGTCAATATCAGAATTAGAAATCAGATGGCAAAGATATTCCTTAATGGTTTCTATATGTGTAATACTATAGTGACTCTGTAGAAAAATGAATTTAAAAGATGAACTCATCCATATGTGACTGTGGAAAACAACCCCTAATAAATATTTGGCAGATCTCTCAAAGCATTTTAAAAATGAAAATAAGTGTTACAAATTCTAAAAAGATAATAGCCAAGGCAATTGGTATCTCCAAAACTAAATATTTTTTAAAGAATCAGACTAGAAAGAAAATATAATCATGGAACTTAAGTTGGCTGAATGGTAAATAATAATTATATAGTTATAATAAAGTAATGATTATTAATTTAACAAAAAAGATATTACTATAATCATTGGGATGATTGGATAAATATAAAAATGGATAATGTCTAAAGTTGATAAATCAAGAAATAACAGTATAAGTATCTTATGTAGAAATGTGGAGCTAAGTATATAAATGTTTTAAAGTATTATCTCTGGGGAGTAGGGATGAGTGGTAAAAGATGGTTGGAGTACGGCCTGCTATTGTTTTTCTGAAGGTTTCAGCACTTGTTGCAGTCAAAGTCCAATTAGGAGAAAGAAAATACGCAGTGAGTTGAACAGGGAAATTTCAATATAAAAAAAATTGTAATAGGGAATTAGCTACTAAAGTGTGAAAAGGACACTCAAGCAGCCATTACCCCTAAGGCTGAGGTAGAGAACCCAAGGTAGGAAGAAATCTGGAAGATGCATCCGCCTCAGGGCTGAACCCCAGACCTTCTGTTAGAAGGTACAGCTGTGGCCTACTGTGTGGCATAAAAGTTTGCATCAGTGAGACTCACTCTGAAGACACCCTCTGGGAAGGCATCTTCAGGGTGATGCCACAAAAGTGGCACTCACCAGGAACTGCTCTCTGGGGTTCCAGAAGTTGTACCCATGAGAAGGTACCTCAGAAATTACTTGGAAGGGGTGGTGCTGGGAAAAGCCATCCACAGGGAGGTGCCATGCTTCATGACTCACTGTGAAGCCACATGAGGGGTACCAGGGAAGCTGTCTATGCTCCTTGGAATTCACTGTCAAGTTGCCCAAAGAGGTGCCAGAGGAAGCCATCCACAGGGAGAAGCCACACCAATGGGACTTTCTGGGAAGCTGCTCTCTGAAATGTTATGAGAAGCTGCTTTTAGAAAGCAACATGACACGTTCTGCAGGAGGTTACTGAGAGGAGCAGGGAAGAGCCAGGAAGAGAAACCTCTGCCTTCTCCAGTGGCTCTCCAGAGCACTCTCCAGACAACATTTAACATTTACCACCACACTTGCTGGCAAAGGAGAAGTGCTTACACAGTCCATTTCTGGCTTTGCATTGCAGACAATGAAGGGTGAATTTGGAGCTGAGAGACAACAGATTGATAACTGGAACAGTACTTTTTGAATGTGTTAAATAATGTACATTGATATAGGTCAAAATTAATCCTTTAAAAGCAGTTGCTAAAAAAAGTGCTGTTTGATGATATAATATGTTTCTTCCTATTTTTAAAGATTTATTCCTCTTTGATGGTGTATTAGTTTTCACACTGCTAAAAAGATACTACCTGAGACTGGGTAATTTATAAACAAAAAGGGCTTAGTTGACTCTCAGTTCCACATGGCTTGGGAGGCCTCAGGAGACTTACAGTCATGGCAGAAGGCAAAGGGGAAGAAACATTTTCTTCACAAGGTGGCAAGAGAGAGAGAGAACACAGGGAAAACTGCCACTTTTAACCCATCAGACCTTGTAAGAATTCTCTCACTATCACAAGAACAGCATGGGGAAACCACCCCCATGATCCAATCACCTCCCACCAGGTCCCTCCCTCTACATGTGAGGACTGCAATTTGAGATGTGATTTGGGTGGGGACACAGAGCCAAAATACAGCAGATGGTAAAAAATCGTGATACCCCCCCTTGCTCCCTTTCAATTTAGCATTTATAACAAATCATATTATCATCTTGAAGCGTGCTTGTTTTTTTTACCACCCACCCCAATTTATAATTTTCCTGCACTTGATTCTTTGTTCCTAAATATATTTTATCACTATTTTATGACATGCATTTTTAAAGGTAGTCTCTATAGCTTCTAATAAGACGTAGTCCCAGCTTTCCAGATGTTTATTGTCTGGCTGAAGTCATAAAACAAGTTCAATTAAAACAATTAGGTAAAAACAAAATTCAGAACCTTATTAAGTAATCAATTTTGCAGGATGAAGATTTATGCTCTAGGAGTTCTTTGAAAAAATAATATCCAAATCATAACAGTGAGAGCGTCCTGAAGACTAAAACTGACCTTTAAAACAAGAAAATCATTTGTTTCAGCTGAGGGAAATAGAGGAGAGACAGAGAGAAGACATTACTTCGACCCTCAGGGACTTCCAAGGCATAGTGAAGCTCAGAGTTTGATTAACTGCCTTCTATGGGTCACCATAGTCTGACCCCACTGTCTCTCTAAATCATCTTTGACCCTGTTTGACATCAATTCTCTATTCCCTTCACTTTGGCTTATGTATTGCCCTGAACACATCTTGTTCATATTTCTATTAGACATTGTTCTTGAATCTTCTTTTTGGAATGCACCCTTCTCCCTCCTCTTCATCTGTCTGAGTCTTGCACTTCACCCAAGACCAAGTATCTTGACCTGCAAGAATTTTTCCCTATTCTAAATTTCCAAAGCACTTAATTCTATTCACTCATTGAAAGCCATAGTATTGTGTGATGAGGTAGAATAATAGAAAGGGCAAAGACCTATAGTTAGAAGTCTTAAGTTCAAGTCAACATCCTTGCTGTATTCCCTAACTTCTCTCAGTCTCAGTTTTTTTCACTGTAACAGGGTTGATGATACCTGTTTCATAGAGCTGTTGTGAGGATTGAATGATTTTGTATATTTATGTGTGGCCTGAAATTCTTGAAAATTTTTCTGAGTAAATCACATATAAGCTATGGCTGTGTGTGTGTATATGTGTGTATTTTCACACCATCTAGGATATAAACGTATAGAAGGAACAATGTCTAATAATTGTTCATATTCCCCTTAGCATCTAGTGCTAGCAAAGCACCTACTCCCAGTGCTTAGCAAATAGTAAACACTGAATAAACACTAACTAGATGAATAGAACAAAGCCAGTTTCTGTAAAAATATAAAATGATCCATCTTCACTGCATTTACTTCATCCATCCTTGTTTGTACCCATTAGATGCCTCTGAGTTACAATATGAGTCACTGCAGACATTACTGATGAAGAAAAATTTAAACTGGTAACACTCATCTTTGCTACATCAAGCCATGGGTTTATAAAAGCAGTTTAGAACTTGTGAGCTGTCATAGCAGTGACACTCACTTAACACCTTTTGCAGACAGCAATTGCTGATAAGTGTTCTTTCAATGAAGTACTTAAATAACTGGTATGACTAGGGATGTCAGTCACAGATCAGTCAAGTGGGAAATTTTAGGAAATCAATTTTGCCAGCAGCTGTGGAATTCCGGAATTTTTATCTTTTAATATATAAGTCACGTTTAGGAAATTCCAAACCAACTGTTTTTGACAGATCACTTACGGGGGCAGGGTGGGAAGGGGCAGAGCTAACAGGTAGAGGTGGTGTTCTTTCTGCGTAAACAGGCTTTGGAGCAAGTCGTACTAGGGGAAAACAGCAACTATCATTTACTAGCCTCTTGGCAACAAGCCTTCTTTAAGTCTCAATGTTCTTCTGTGTAAGGTGGCAATAATGCAGTCGTGAGAATTAAAAGTGTCTAAAGCATCTACTACAGGGCCCTGTGTGGAACTCGGGTGATGAACAGTATGCGTGGTAGCTCGAAATGATATTTGAAAATGTGCCTTCAGGCCTATTCTGTGAAGTTTCCAACATCCAGGTTCAGAATGTAAGCCATCAGTATCACAGCCTCAACAAACACTCGTAACCCCACAGCTCATTAAATGTCTTGCCCAGGGTCATAGACTCAGTTAACAATTCACTTGAGCACAGGTCTGCTGCATTCAAGGTAATTTCGAAAGCAAATGTATTTAACAACGTACACTACTCCTCCATCCCCCACCCGTTCCTCATGAACAACTCATAAATATCACTTGGCACTCACAGAATAAGTAGAACTCTATCTGACAGTATCTGATGGATTCAGTTATGATTAGTCAGAGTCCCTGCTTTAAGGGAAATTATGATTCCTTTGTTGTCTTCACTAAGATACTAAGGTAAAAACTGTAACTGAATTTGATGAGATCTGACATTGTATCTCCTGAAGAACTTAACCTCTGTAAGATTCTTGGAACATAGTTGTGAAGGTTAAATGAAATTAGATCTGTGAAGCACTTAGCACAGTGCCAAGCACATAGTGATTAACGACAACCACAATGGTATGATAACAAGTAGTTCCTATAAGGACAGCTCAAAGCATCTCCAGAAATATCAATCCTAGAAGCTGCTATAAAGGATTACGGTTTCTTTCAAACTAGATAGCTTTTCAAATGTTAAAATGATAGAAGGGAAAAATAGAAAACAGTTGCTATAAGGTAATTCTGTGACCTTCTTTTATTGTCAGTGGCTGATTGGGAATGCTGGGTTCTACCACCGGCAATGCTGCTGCTTTGGGGGGAGAATGTGAACAAATTAATTAATGTCATTGAGAGTCCGTTTCCTTTTGTAAAATGAGGCTGTTGGAATAGAAATGTTCAGATTGCTTTCAGCTCTGCTGTCCTATGAACCTTGAACATGGAATCTATTCTAGCAGTGGTAGAAGGGGGATCTGTGGTAACAAAGAACAGGAGCAGAAACAGGGGTAGAAAACCTTGGAGTTGAGATTAAAAGTGAAAATACTTTAGGGGAGTAGCCAAGCAATATATTTACTCAGAGGCATGGCTTTTTAAATGTCTGCCACTGGCGGCATGACATATTTGCTTGAACAGAGTTCCTATAGCAAGTTGACAATAATTTGATTTTCTCTGTTGCCTGACACTCTAACTTCTTATTTCCTAGGTTACCATAGTGCTCTCTCTAGCCACTGTCACTCAGTGGGCTCTTACTGGGCAGACTTAATATGATGCCAGTTTTGCGCAATGCTGTTTACTCTCTATCCCTTCAAATTAGATGCTCTTCTATTTCTGAAAATAAAATATCAACAATGCCACCAGACAAGTCTTCAACTTAGTAAACTCTCAAAAATACAGCCCTTCTATTTCTGTCTGCTGAGGACATGAGGATTCTTTCTGATTATGGAACAATGCGTGCAAGGGTGGGCCAGGGAGAGAACGTGCTGGATGTAATGGCCTGGAATCTCAAGTTAGAGTGCAGGCAGGTTTCCTCGAGGGAGCCTCTAAAAAGAGGGAAATACAGTGTGTGAAAACAGCAGAATCTTTCACCTCAGAGCAGGTAAAATAAACCAGATACCGAAGTTCATATCTGAGAACGAGGACACAGAAAGGTTTCCTTCACCAAAAACTTACCCTTCAAATTCTACTCAAGATTTTCATTTCCATTGCAAGTCACCAAGACAGCTATTAGATGAATGCAATCATTAGAGGGGAAATGTTGATGCCCCACTCCTACAGTTTGTATAAGGGGGAATTTTCCCTCCAAACCTCCTTGCCTCTTGCCCTATTCTTACTTGTCTCCAAGGAGAAGGAGCGACTTACCTATTTAGTGAAGTGACCTGCATAGCTCATCTTCTCCCACCTCCTGTTCCCTTGGGAGCACCATTCCCACAGAGATAGAACATCTGCTTCTGCTGAAAGGATCCTGCCCTGAGAGGAGGCTGTGTCCAACCCTGTACATCAGGATTAGGAAGCCTGCTTGTGGGTGCATAGACATCACATTCCCCACAGTTAGATGTGCAATTAAGACAAGTACTACTTGATCTCTCATCATCCCTACTCTTTTGCCCTATGTCACATTTTGTCAAAACACAGGTGAGCACGGTGAAGCTACTGTTGCTTCTCTCCAGTCATGAAACTAATATTAATGTGTATTCTAAGGAGAAATCTGCTACAACTTCCTCAGGGATTTCATAGTGTGAGAGTTAATTTACTTCTGTTGATTCCTTCTCTTTTCATTGCCTCTCATTCCACAAAAGTCCCATGCCAACCCATGGAATTGATCATCAAGTAAAGCCATCTGTATAGCCCAGTGATTAATAAAACAGAATAGTGTAAACTAAAAAATGGGTTAGCTCCATCTTTAATGTATTTCAGCTATCAATTTAACTAGAATCATAACTGTTTGGATTTGAACACTGCTATAGTGGAAATATAGGCTGAAAATAATCCTGTATCTATCTAAACTGGCTGAATTTAACTAGAAGGAAACTTACATATAATCTGAATCTACTCTTTCTTTTGCATCTGAAGTACAATGACAGGCATAGAACAAGGAAAAAAGTAGCCAGATTTCTCACCCTGGCTCTGTCACTGATCTGCCGTCTATCACTGATCTGGGTTAACCTTTCTGAAACTTGAATTTTTTTCTAGAAAATGGCAACAAAAATGGCTTACAAAATGCTAGAAAGATTAAATTAGACAATACTGGGAACAATGTTTAAATTCCATAAAATTTATATACAAATGTAAATTGCAAATATCATAGATGAAAAAACTGAAAAGAGACAGAACATGACATGTCCAAGGTCACATAGCACTGTAGTTCCTTATCAAGACAAGACCCCATTTTCTTGTCTTTAAGCTTATTCCAGAGTTCCTAAAAATGAGGTCCAGGGATTACTTCTACTGTATTTATTTATTTAATTTTTAAAAAATTTTTCTTAATAGAGCAAGTTCTTGCTATGTTGCCCAGGCTGGTCTTGAACTCCTGGGCTCCAGTAATCCTCTTGCCTCTGCCTCCCTAAGTGCTGGGATTACCGTTGTGAGCATGCCCAGCTAAGGTCCAGGGAATACTTTTAAATAAACATATTTTTGAGCCCCACTCCAACTCTAAATAAGAATTTCTAAGGCATGACCTTGAATCTTCATTTTAACAATGAACATTACATTTGGGAAACACTGTATCTGGTCCAAAAGTTTTTTAGTACTTACACAATGCTGCATTCTCATCAATTATAAATGTTACTTCTCCCCTTTATGTGAAAGCATATTCAAAGAATCAGTTCAAAGTATCTCTCTCTATTTTAAGCTACTTGGGTCACTGTAAGTTAAAAGTACATCTTCTCACAATTTAAAAATTAAAATTCCTACAGCAAAACATGTCCATCTTGAACTTTCCATTCTCAAAATATTTTTAATATTTTATTTCATCTTTTTAAAAAGTCAGTTTGGAACTCTTAACCGCAAGGTAGCAATAGGTACAGGTAAAATAAAAAATCATTAAACTACAGCACAAAGTATAATAACAGATAAAATTCAATTATGACAAATTTCATGAAACTACCATATGGCTATATTCTAATAGAATTGTGTTATGGTGAACATAATGCCAGAAATTAGGTCCAGGTTTGTGAAACTCGGGAAGCAAAATGGTTGATTTCCAACCTCTTTGAAGTGAATTATCCAGTGAAACAAAGTGATTTTTATATCATATAGATGCAAAGGCTATATCATGTAAGCGAGCTTCTGTGGAGCTGCTGGGTCTTACTGTGGGGCTCTGTTTCTGCAGGTGCTGGCCATGCAGGGACTTGGTCTCTGAATGAGATGAAGAGCCATTAGCCTATGAGCAGAGGAGCAGCATAACAGGACTTCCGTTTTCAAGACACCTCTTTGGCTGTGATGTTAGGAATGAGGTAGAAACAGGGAGACCAGTTAGAAGGTTGTCACCATAATCAAGGTACCAGCATGGGAGGGGTGAAAAGCAATCAGCCTCCGGATATACTTTAAAGGTAAAGTTGACAGGATTTGATCCTCAAATTCAATTTAACTAAGCATGCTCCGTCCATGCAGAAATGACTGCTCTACAGACATTTTTTAATAACCCTTTTTAACAGTTTTTTATTTTCATGGAAATAATCTTAAAAATGATGGATAGAATAATGTAATATACTATGTATTATATAATATAAAATATAGTATAACTGTATATATTAAAAATCTAGTCACATACGCAACAAAATATATAATCTACACATATTCTTAGTGCAAGCATATTATGACTAGGTGTGTCTAGTCTCAAGTTTATTTAACTAAATAATGTTTTGCTTTGTTTTATTCTAAGCCATGATATTCTGCAAATGCCATGTATTCTGTTAATGTAGCTATGAACAAATAGCTATACAGGTATTGTATTGCCATGTCCCCCCTCTTTGGTCTATGACATTAAAATACTGTATATCCAGTTTGAACTTTTCTTCTCTAAGCCAGCTCTGCTCAGAATGCAGCAGTCTCCTATTTTTCTTCTGTAGGCTTAGCTTATCATCTTGCCCCTCCATTGTCCTCCAAATTCTTAGTCTTTAAACTGATCTTGCCCTTACACACATTTCCCTCAGAAAATTTTTGTTCCACCTTACACATTGCTGACAAATTTTCTTCATCTTCCCTCCTTTTCTTCCTTGAGTTAGTCTCCTATTGGTGGACCAATCAGAGTAGGCCGTTTCCCTTCCCCCAGGAGGTTTATAGAACCATCTCTGCAAACTAACTAGAGATTCTGCGATTGAAGCCAAGATATCAGTTGAAGCTATAAATAAAAAGTAGCAGTCTAAGGTGAAGTAGTCTTTTTTTCTCTAAGTTATTTAGCACAACGCCATCATTTCATCTCTTCTACACATTTTATTATTACATTGCATTTTAATATTCAGTATGACACCCCATATGAAATGCTGAAACCCCCTGTCGACACTTTATTGTGTATTCCATTTTTTTCTGCATGGAATCTGAATATTATTTTATAAAATGTTTCTCTTAGATGAAATTAGAGAGTAAACCAGTGTTATTTAGGAATTCACAATTGCATATCGACCCCCTATTGTGGAAAGATTAAGTGTGATTTCAAACAATAGAAGGCAATCCCAGGAAGAAATCATAAAGATGGGTATGTTGATTATGATGTCACAGTTTGGCTTTGGGTTAATATACCTCAGCAAAGATCTGATAATGGCTTTATCAGAGTCGTCGTTACACTTAGATGATCCACTTTGGCTACTTGGCAATCCAAATTTTGCTTCAGCATTGAGGATCCTCCATGTACACTTTCATTTTAGATCTCTTTTCTTGTTTCAGTGGAATAAATTTGCTTTATAGTTGTCAGTAGATTACAATATTCTTAGTTACTACCATTTTGTGTTAATTGCACCAGTCTTGACTTCTTCGTCAATATTGTTTTATAATTACACTTATGAAAGCACAGTCTGATTATTATGCCTACTGTTTAAGAAAATCACAGGGTATTAATAGATCTGTATATAAGTAATCATTTTCCAGCGTGGTCTAATGACTATATCATCTCATTCATAAAAATGTGTAAATTATATTCACCATATTATCAAACACCTGGACAGAAAATAAAATATTTGTTAAATGTCTGAGCAGAAAGAAAATTGCTTGGAATGAATGTTTCCATTTTCATCCTATCCACTATTATATTAGTTGATCCTTGGGAACAAAGTTTCTGTCATTTTATCCTTCGTTCACCTTCCTCCTCTCGAGTATGAGTCACAGTTAATAATTACTATTATAAACAGAATTTTGTTGAGGATAACAAACACTTATGTAGTATTTACTGTGGATCTAATACTGTTCTAAGAGCATTATGCATAATAACATATACACATCAATCTTCACACCAACACTATGAGGTAAGTGCTATTACTAACCCCATTTACAGATGAGATAACTTGACTCATGTCATAACACTAGTAAGTGGTAGAGCTGTAAACTAAACACAGGGAAATCTTACTTGCCGCTCTTAACCCTATGCAACATCAACCCCACCCCACCATCCCATCCCTACCTAGGAGGAAGTGTGGCTTCAGTAGCAGTGATTTAGTCACGTTTTTAGGGGTGACATTTTCAAAAAAGATAAATATTATTAAGCACACGGGTGTAGACATTTATCTTTCTGTTTAAAGTGGGTACTTTTGGCTAAGGTCAGAATTCCTGGCCCCTTGGCCTTATAATATTGTGTTTCAGCTAGTACCCCAGTGCAACAATAACTTCTTAGCAGTATAGACAATGACTAAATAAAAGTTCATATAATTATGCAGAAAACGTAACCCATACCCATCACTCAAATAGGATAAAGCAAAAATATTTAGATTTGCCAAGTCAACATGAGATGGTACCCACATTTCACAGAAAGGTTCTAAACTCAACCTTGTACTGCTTCTGTAGAGTTTGTATGGGTACAGAGGCACCATTTACATCTTTAAGATTTAGGACCAAAACAGTGCAGAAAGAAAAACTTGTCTTTATTAAAATAAATATTAGATGAAACTCATTAGGCACCACCTATATGCCAGGACTATTGTAGACCAACAAAGGCTGAACTAGAGTGCACCTGGTTAAACAAAAAAAATGCGCCCCCACCCCAGGAAGTACAGAGAGGCTAAATATTTAACATGGGATTTTGATATTAAACATTTTATACCAGGAATTTTATATCACTACAAATGCAACAAACTCAACAGGACTCCTTAGATTTCTGGCAATTTGTGTCTGTTCCTCACCACTACCCCAACATCTTGGAGGCCCTGGAGACACAATTATAAACAACACATCCTCTGCTCTCAGGTTCAACATCTGGAGATTTTTACACAGCCCTTATGACTTGTATGCACACCTTCTCCCTCACCTGCCTTCAGCGCATCCTCTGATTGACCCAGTTCTGAATAGCTCCTTGTAATTCTCATAGGTCATTTCTGTGTCTCTTCTCTTTCATCCCAGCTTGATCCACGACTGCTTCCAGGTTGTGGGCATGGATTTGCCCAGCACCTGTGCTCCCCTGAACCCCATCTGACCCACTTTGAGCTCCCATACTTTGCTCCTGGGCATGCTTCCTGCTGGGCAGACACCTGGCTTGCCATTTGCTTGGTTTCTCTTGCAGCCTGGCTGCTCTTCTCACCCCCACCTCACCTCCCACCTCCCTGGGCCATAAGAGTGTGCACTTAAATCAGTATTTAGTTGTGGACATCCACGAGCATTTCACACAAAAATATTCCACTTTTTAAGCCAGGAAACAAAATGAAATCAAATACATGCTTAAAGGGTAATATATTCTTACAGTCTTTATCAGTTGAAATAAGAGATAAGTTTGCTCTTTTATCTTTATTTGAAATATTCAAACTTAAAGTTTCAGGAGATCTAAATAAATAACATGCTATTCAGATCACCACAGGCAGTAGAAAAGGACACTGTGTAAAACCCAGTTTGTAAATCTCCCAATAGTCAATTAGCATACCAATGTGAGCGATGAGTAGACCTTACAGCCTTTCCCAAGCAAACACAGTAATTAAAAACAAATTACAGTACAGCCTGGATGTGGTGCTTTACAATGTACCCCACCTGCCAACCAGCAGCTAAATTCATTCCAAGAATGTCTGGCCAATTAGCTGCTCCCCCATTGGGTAACTTGGGCTTCCTGTGTGAGCACCATTTGTGAGGCTCCACATTAGATTAGGCCTTTTGTTCTCAGAAGGCAGCAGATCTTCCAGGAGACTTGAGAGTGGGTCTCTATCTGGAAAAATTCTGCCTCAGCCAGAACATATATTCTTTGTACTTCACTTCACAAGAGGCTGGAGATATTCCAATCTCAACATCAGAATGGAATCTCTAGGTTCTAACAAGGAAATAATATTATTGCATATTTTTGCTACAGGTAATTGTAATTAGAAAAAGGAAAAAATCACACACTGGGTTTTGACATTTCCATCAAAGCCTCTTGGCAAAAAAAAAAATTCAAGTAAAATGTCTACTTTTTTCTCTCAGATAAAAATAAGTCCATGAAATCAGGACAAGTGAAATGTATTGGTTTGTCTTACAATTGGTTTTGTACATGTGTGTAGAAATAAAGAAGAATAGAATTAAAAAGGAAAATCCAGTGCTTGAATTTTACAGCTGAAAAAATTGAGACCCAAGGTTGAGAGAGGGAGAAGCAGAAGCAAAGCCTCACAGTTCTTTCCATTACACTATACTGTGAGTGAATTTATGTTTATGCAAATACTTATAATATGTATAGATTTCATGTATATAAACACAGGTGTCCAAATAGTTTTCCACATGAGTTTTTAGGTGAGATCATCATCTTCTGTAAACAGAGTTGTTCCTGGAAGGCAGGGACCCCAAACGGAGGGACCGGCTGAAGCCATGGCAGAAGAACGTGGATTGTGAAGATTTCATGGACATTTGTTAGTTCCCCAAATTAACACTTTTATAATTTCTTATGCCTGTCTTTACTGCAATCTCTAAACATAAACTGTAAAGATTTCATGGACACTTATCACTTCCCCAGTCAATACCCTTGTGATTTCCTATGCCTGTCTTTACTTTAGTCTCTTAATCCTGTCAGCTGAGGAGGATGTATGTCGCCTCAGGACCATGTGATAATTGGGTTAACTGCACAAATTGTACAGCATGTGTGTTTGAGCAATATGAAATCTGGGCACCTTGAAAAAAGAACAGGATAACAGCAATTGTTCAGGGAATAAGAGAGATAACCTTAAACTCTGACTGCTGGTGAGCCAGACGGAACAGAGCCATATTTCTCTTCTTTCAAAAGCAAATGGGAGAAATATCGCTGAATTCTTTTTCTCAGCAAGGAACATCCCTGGGAAAGAGAATACACGCCTGGAGGTATAGGCCTATAAACAGCCCCCCCCCCCGGGTGTGCCTGTCTCTTATGGTGGAGACTGCAGGGGTGAAATAGACCCCAGTCTCCCATAGCGCTCCCAGGCTTATTAGGAAGAGGAAATTCCCGCCTAATAATTTTGGTCAGACCGGTTGCTCTCAAAACCCTGTCTCCTGATAAGATGTTATCAATAATGATGGTGCCTGAAACTTCATTAGCAATTTTAATTTCGCCCCGGTCCTGTGGTCCTGTGATCTCACCCTGCCTCCACTTGCCTTGTGATATTCTATTACCTTGTAAAGTACTTGATGTCTGTGACCCATACCTATTTGCACACTCCCTCCCCTTTTGAAAATTCCTAATAAAAACTTGCTGGTTTTTGAGGCTTGTGGGGCATCGCGGAACCTACCGACATGTGATGTCTCCCCCAGATGCCCAGCTTTAAAATTTCTCTCTTTTGTACTCTGTCCCTTTATTTCTCAAGCTGGCCGATGCTTAAGGAAAATAGAAAAGAACCTACGTGAATATCAGGGCAGATTCCCTGATATCTGGCCCCCATTTATGTTTAGAGATCGCAGTAAAGAGAGGCATAAGAAATTATAAAAGTATTAATTTGGGGAACTAATAAATGTCCATGAAATCTTCACAATCCATGTTCTTCTGCCATGGCTTCAGCCGGTCCCTCCGTTTGGGGTCTCTGACTTCCTGCAACACAGAGTCCAATAGCAAAGGATGTTGTTGATGGGAGCATTCTTATTTTAGGCCACAAGGTAAATGAGACCCCAATTATGTGGCTGTAGAATTTTTTTCTCTGTAAATTTGAAACATTTCATCACCCATTCAATAAGCATTTATTTAACAATGTCCATGTACTAATCACATAGATAGTGAATCTCATGGCAAGAATAATAAGTAGACCTCAACTCTTGAGACAAAATCAATTATCACCAACTCATTTCTAGTGCTTGTGTTAAGGAGGATTCTGAGGAGCTATTTGAACTCAGAATAAAAAAAATGATTATGTATGATTTTCACTGACCATATTGAGTATAGGAATGGTAACACTGTGTTAGTTACATGGCATTTCTATGTAGTAGACTGTTCTTCTAGCTCCAATATTCCCTACAGAGTCTGTCTTCTCTGTTTCTGTTTAAATGTTTGCCTGAAGTTGTACAAAAGGAGAGACTGTTTCTGTGTAATTGCTTCTCCTTTTTTTCCAACACAGAGAGAAGAAACGGAAGAATCATCCATGGAGTTAAGGTGAAAGCAGCACAAATAGAGGAAAGTTTTAAAAAAATTGTTCACTAGGGAGGTATTTCCTGAATAGAACTTCCTAACTGCAGCTACAGACCATGTTAAAAGTGATTGATTTGCCTTAGCTACTGGCACAAAATATGGAGAGCATTTCAAAAAGGTTCTTTATAGTAAAACTTTGTTTTTCCTCTATGACTTATAATAGTGATTTATTGAGAAAATTCACCGTTTTCCAATGATAGATGCAGTCCAATCTTCCAGTTTATAACATTTTCTGAGTAACTTTATCAAATCAAGGAGTCTTTCTTCATCAAAATGAAATCACAGATATACATTAAATATGTGTTTAAGCTGGAAAGGAAAGAAAATCAAAATGATTCTCTTATTTCCCTGTTGAAAAGGCTTTTGTAATCAGTACAAGTCTTTGAATGGCGGTTCCTTTAATCATTTGGTTGGTATAAAACCATAAGTGACATGCCCTCGAAATCATGAAAAGAAGCCAGGAAGTCAATATTAAGTTCACTGTAAGAATATGATGAATTTGCACTATTGTCTGGTCTCATTATATTCTTTGTCACAAAAATGAGTTATCACAGAATTATAATGTCTAGTGTGTTCTTCTTTATAATACATTCTTATGCACATGACAAGAATTACGACAAGAGGAGAAAATGGACAAAATTAATCCACCCTCATGACAGAAAATACTGCTTCAAATTAACTTGTGACAGGCAAGTATTTTGGGGAAGGCATTTATTGATGGCATCTGTCTTATCAGTCTACCTACATCAGTTCTTTATGTGCCTCATCAAGGATCTATCACAAGTAGAACCCTGGGAAAAACATCTTCTGAAGATAGTTAGATGTAAAAGAGAGAAACAAGGGTCATATTGTACATGATCTTTGGAGGAAATCCTTAACTAAATCAATAACTTGGATTTTACAGCACTACTTTTGAACAAATTCCAGCATACTTTGTTCCTTCGTGAGAAATTGGTACCTCTGGTTTTGGCAACATAAACACAATTACAGATTTTATTTTAGGAATAAAAAAAAAGGATAGAAACATTTCAACAATAAATTAGTTTGCACCTAATATCTTTGTTTTCCACTTTGGATCTAGCTGTAACCAATGTAGACATTCCTGTGATAATAGATATCATGCATATTGTTTAACCAAATTGAATTAGCTGAAGGTAAAAATTCAATGTAGTAACTCTACGTAAGAGGGAAATGATGTTGAGGATCTATGACAATAGGTGTATATAATTCATATTTGTTAATATATAAATAGCTCTTACCAAGGTAGGCTAGAATGAATGATACAGAGATTTCAAAAGAAAAAGGGGCAGTGGTGTGTAATGAAGCAGAGAGATCACCAACATAGACCAACTGGTTATTTTAAAAGAGCTTGGGTAGTATTTACTCTGGGATTTTACCAAGGACCAGGGCCTGGCCCACAGCACTGTAAATTTGGAAACTCATTCATGCTTACTGTACAAGAAAGTTGTTGGAGACTTACATGTCAAACCAGGAGACTGTTTGGGTTTTTTTTTCTTTGTTTTGCTGCTAATGATCACTGTATTTAACCAATTCATTTTCATGACCCATAAAAGAAGATAATATATAAATTTTGTGTTGAAAAATATACCCAGAAAGTTAAATAGAGAAAATTTTCCTCATCATGGAGAAGAATAATCTATTACTGCATTTCTGTGTCAGGGAGGTAACTTCTCTAAGGGAGTGTGACAACTTCCCTATCATGCCCCCATTAACTCTCATTTGCATATGGATCTCTAAGTTAGATGATAAATGAGAAAAGACACACATGGAGCTAATCAGATCCCCAGTGATTACACAACTGCAGACACAGCAGAACGCAAATACCTCAAGTGGGGTTTTCGTTGACTGATGCCTAAAATATCTTTGCTGGTCTTCCTTAGTCAAAAAATGTAATTTAATATGGTATTGTACTTTCATTCTAGACTACAGACCCATTTGATTTTCTTCCATGGTGAACACAAGCACCATTTAGCTCAAGTGCCATTTGTATAGGAAGGTATGAAAGAGGCATGACAAATTTATACAAGCAGTAAATGCTAGATTTTGAAAGTATACAAGTTGTGGTTAAAATCTTGGTTTCAGGAGTTATTCCAATGTTGTTAAAGCACACAAATAAGGAATCCACTTTTCCAGGTAGATTTAACTGATGGGCATTTACCATTATAATTACCTGTTTGTTATGGGCAACACACACTAATTACCTGACCTCAATTTAGAATGAAAGTTTGGGGACTGGTATCATTATTCTGAAGGCTCTTGTCTATGCCTCCTCTTTTTTGAGTAAAAAACTGTAATGAACTAGCCAAACCAAATTGAGTGTAAGTGCTCTGGGAATTGCTTAATATTTTTAACCAGTAGAACAATATATCTTCTAAAGAACCTGGCATATTCATTGTAAACAATTAAATTTTGGAGACTGACTTATTACAGAGGCATATGCTCTGTTAAAATAATTTAAGAATACTTTTCACAGTAAAACGAAAGAACAACATATTGTAAATATGCAACTCACTTGTCCACATCATTGTCTTGGTACGTTATGAGAAATTCAGCAATATTTCATCACTGAAAATGAATAAAGCAGGCCACAGTAGTTATTTCAAATACTGTGAACATAATGAAGCCCATTTTAGCAATTCTACACCAAGGAAAATTAATTCCAAGTTAGAAAGTTAGGTAGGTTTGACTTTTTTTAAATTTCATAAGCCTTCCATGATGAAACACTGTGTCTAAGGGGGAAAAATAAATGATTTAATTAAATCCCTAAATTGTAATTCTCTTACAACTACACAAATGTTGACCTTCTTCATCATGCCTTTACTTCTGCATACCTGGGTTACTCAGCTAAAGAAATACGGTAGACTATCACTATTAATTATTATACCTCTAGACTTTTCTATTTGCTAATCTTTTACATGTCTTGAAACATTCTGGGCTATTATGCCATTGGCAATGACTTTTTAATAGAGTATAAGTAAATCATTTTCATATTGCTGTTGTCTCTAAAATTATTCTGTTTCAAATTTTTGGCTGAAGCTAGCAGGGCATATTCTCTTCATTTTGGTATAACACATGTCAGCTACATGTCAGCTAATGACTCCTCCTCCCCCTCCCCACCCACTCGCTGCCCTGCAACATCTCTTTAAACTTGTCCTGAACTCTGAACCCAATTCCATGGGTTGAGCCATGAATGCGTGCTTTCTTCCCTAAGCATCTCTATGCCTCACAGCCTCCCACAGACATCTCTAATTGTCCTGGGATGCTCTGGATGAAAAACCAAGATTCTTTACAAGTTTCCATGAGAAAGTCACTCACCTTAGTTATTCAGAACTGGTTAGACTTGACTAGGGTTTTGTAGCTCATTGTCCTCTGCTACCTCCTGGTTCTACCTATCTCTATTTTCCATCATCTCTAATTTCTTTCTCCTCCTCGGGAGCAACAAGCAAAATTCCCCCTCTTAACCAACAGTTTAGTTCCACCCAAACCTAGTTTAGTCACCCAAACCTTTAGTTCTCAGGTCTCAGCGCCTATCCTGAGCAATTATCAAATCATGTTACCAAAAACTCCTGAGTTCTTCCCTCTTAAAAGGAATCCTAATGAGGGATAATCTATTAACTTTCTATCACCCACAACTCCTGCACACAGATTTTTCTTAAACATCTATTAAATGAACATTTTGTTTAACACTTGGGTGCTGGCATAAAGCTGCAGAGTTTATAGAGTAAAATAGCCCTGATATCAATTTCCTGTTATACTTGCTGTGTAACCTAGACCAATAATAAAGCTCTCAGGCTCTCAGTTTTTTCATCCAGAAAATGGTAACAATAAAGTGTAGTTGGATTAAAGCAGAAATCAACTATGACAGAGAAAGTAAAAGAATAACAGACAGATAAGTTTCAAGTCATGCAATACAGTTGTTGAACTTATGTCCACAGGCAATGGTATAAAATCTAGGCATAACCCATTGATGCATGTTGGTAATCCCAGCACTTTGGGAGGCCGAGGCAGGCAAATCATGAGGTCAGGAGATCGAGACCATCCTGGCTAACACAGTGAAACCCCGTCTCCACTAAAAATACAAAAAATTAGCCAGGCGTGGTGGTGGGCGCCTGTAGTCCCAGCTACTCGGGAGGCTGAGGCAGGATAATTGTGTGAACCTGGGAGGCGGAGCTTGCAGTGAGTCGAGATCATGCCACTGCACTCCAGCCTGGGTGACAGAGCGAGACTCTCTCTCAAAAAAAAAAAAAAAAAAAAAAAAAAAAGAATAGGTAAGTGATTTTGAGAGTGTCCTGGTATTTAGCAAGCAAAACATTGTTCAGATGGCCCAGCACATGAGTGTGATGACATCTTCAATATTCTCAAGAAAAGCAATGAGAAATTAATAGTCACTTAGAAACATTAACAAAGGGAGAGTATGGAGAACTGATAAAAATCCTCTCTGGATAATGATTATGACAACCAGAGTCTGGTCTGCTTGGTGAAACCCTTTTTTTTTTTTAATTTGTTGAAGTATCGCTAACAGGGAAATACTCAGTGATTTAGTTTCTGAATGTGATTTCTATTGAATTATATACAAAAATTATATTATAAATATTATACATATATTATTTGTATTACTCAAAGATTCATCATAGGATTTGTTTAACTATATTAGGTCTATTTATATGAGGTTTTGTTTATATACAAATTTCCAGGAGTACATCTAAAAAGTCATAGAGCTAGAAAAATGCATGATGTCTTCTAGTCTCTTTCCTTCATTTCCCAGAAAATTGAGATATACGATAGTTACATTGCACTGCCCTAGGGTTAATAATAATCCAAGACTCTGGATTGCTAGACTAGGACATCTGTGATTCCTTTTCATCTCTTCCATTAGTGATCCTCACTCAACACTAGCTGCACATTACGATCAACTGGGGAATACGTTTTAAAGAGCCATGGCCACATGTCACCCTAGAGATTATAATTGAATTGGTCTGGGGTGGGCTCTGTCATCTATGTTTGCTTTAAAGCTCCTCAAATGATCTTAATATATAGCCAGAATTGAGAACCCACTGTTTCTTCTTGTATGTTGAGATGGGCTTCTTGTTTTTGTTTGTCATGGTGGGATCATATGTTGTAGTGGGCCCTAACTCCATGGAACTGGAGGTAGGCAGCAGAGAGGAATGAACATACATGCTGATAAAGTTTACCCTGTGCCCTTGGAGAGCATACTCAAACTCTGACTCCTGATGGACTGGTTCTCAGACCATGCTGCCCCTGAGCTCCACCTAAATGCCACATCACTAAAATCAGGCGCTTCATTTCTTTGCTTAATTCAGAGAACAGTGTTAAGACAGTAGAATAGATTTTTTTTCAATTTGGAATTTTCCCCCTAGAATTATATTCCTAAAATTTTGACAGATGTTAGAGATCGTCTGCGCTAAAATGTACTACTAGATTCTACTTGATTAAGCACAAAATTTTATATTTTTTCCTTTATATTAGTATATCAATATTTTATTTTGCTTATTACCCAATGAGCACCATAAATCTCAGATGTTTCATCACCTAAACAAAGTGAGAACTACTGTCCTGATTCCTTAATTTCTACCCCTTCTTGATTTTAGTTTCCAAACCCAGAAACTTTATAGTCCTTTTGATTAAACCACCCTGAAAATAGTAGATACTGAAAAAAGATTTATTGCATTGAATTTATGTCATCTGTTCTAGTTTTATAATAATCTGTTGTTAAAATATTTCAATTTTTTCTATTCACAATTTTCTCAGCTTTGCCTCATTTGCTTCATCTTCTCTCTAAAAACCCTAGTTTAGTAAAGATTTTAAAAATAAATTGGAGTAACTAGATAGAAAAGCATGTACAAAGCTCTGGAGTTAAAAGTAGAAAATGGCCAGTTTGGTGAACAAAAAGCAGAAATTAAATACACAGCACGAATATAGAAGAAGGCTGTGAGAACTAAGATCTGATAACTTCCTGCATCCTCTCAGTGCTTCTATCTTCTTAATTAGATTGTCCAATCCTAAACGTTGCCTGGACTGTCTCCACAACCACTGAATTTGTCTATAGGGTCCTTATCTGCACCAGCTTCCAGGTTACAATTCCGAAAATGCCACTTATAATTTTTTGTTCAAAAAATTACATAAGGCCAGGTGCGGTGGCTCACACCTGTAATCCCAGCACTTTGGAAGGCCGAGGCAGGCAGATCACAGGGTCAAGAGATTGAGACCATCCTGGCCAACATGGTGAAACCCTGTCTCTACTAAAAATACAAAACTTAGCTGGGCGTGGTGGCAGGCGCCTGTAGTCCCAGCCACTCGGGAGGCTGAGGCAAGTGAATTGCTTGAACCTGGGAGGTGGACTTTGCAGTGAGCCAAGATCACGCCACTGCACTCCAGCCTGGTGACAGAGCGAGATTCTGTCTTAAAAAAAAAAAAAAAAGAAAAGAAAAAAAAAACTATATAAAACCTTTCCTTGCTAGATGAGTCTTAAAGTTCTACAATCTATTTGCAATTTACCTTTTGACCCTTTACATTCACTGGCGAAGAGAATAAGACCAAAGTCCTTGGGTAGTAAGTAGCAGTAAATTGATCCAGGGAGAGGCTGACCCAAGTTAGATCAATCAGACCCTTTCAGGATATTTGGACTTGTGACCCCAAAAGCCAAGTTGGTTGGTTGTTGGCCCTATTTCCCATCGTGAAGGGTATATTTAGAGCTGGAATGAAGAATGATACCCACACAGAGAGAAGAACAAAAATAAGAGACAGAGTTTTGAAGTTAGTTAAGCCCAGGCAGTCACATATTTCTGTAGCCTAACTGCTCTGTGTTTCTTCCCTCAGTATTGTTGTTCTCTGTTCAGTCTATTTTGAATAAATATCATTTTTTGCTTAAGCCAAGACCGTTTGAAATTTTGCCACTTGAAATCCAAACAATCCTAACTCATACATACGCTCTCGGGCGCGAGATGTTGCAAGTGACAGATCCACTAGAATCCTGGTAAAATTGAGGAACAGTGAGACTCCCAAGATCCCAAAGTGAGCAGATGGCAGTCCTTGTTACATAGCAGCAAAGCAGTTGGTTAAACTATCATTGATTGTCTTTTGGATGCAGACTACGTGCTCATAAAAGTTAGAGCAAATGAGGACAAGAGATCCAAATTAAAGGAGACAGGGGAATGTTGGCTAACTCTTAGAAACTTATGTATAGTACTAAGAAAGAAAGAAAGCCGCTGTAAGTCCACTTGAAAGCAATCAAGAATAATGGGAGGCAGGCTGAGGCCAGGCACAGTGGCTCACGCGTATAATCTCAACACTTTGAGAGGCCAGGGCAACAGGAAAGCTTGAGCCCAGGAGTTCAAACCAGACTGGGAAACATAGCAAAACCCCATCTCTATCAAAAAAAAAAATTAGCTGGGCATGATAGCACATGCCTGTAGTCCCAGCTACTCAGCAGACTGAGGTGGGAGGATCGCCACCTTGTCACTCCCACCTTGTCCTGCAGGGAGCTGTGTTTGTGCGATTGCACTCCACCCTGGACAATAGAATGAGACCTTGTCCTAAAAAAAGAAAGAATAATAGGAGGAATATAAGTTTGTTAAGAGAAATGCTTTCTATCTATATTTTTGAGATCAATAAAGACAGATAAGAACATATTTTTGTGAATAATAGAAGAAAACACTTTATCATGCCCTTAAGGTGGAGGCCAATTACAACTGTGAATACTAGAAATGGGAGTAAAGAGAGCTGAAAAGAGCCAGATTACAAGAAGCCTGATCCTGCCTGTGTCTCCAAGTACCTTACCCTGTGTAACTTTTATCTGTCAAAGCAAACAATGCTTCTGACTGGAACTCAGTTTAGGATCGGGGTAAACTTTCTAGGACATTATAAGCCTGCCCAGCCTCCTTCCTTTTGTGTCCAATCATGTTTCATTAGATTGTTACTTGCAGGAAAAGAATTCTCAGGCACTGTGCTGAAGAAACAGAAGCTCAAGGACCCAGGTACAAAGAGCATGGGTTTGACCTTCAGGGATAGATGGGATTTCAGCAGACAGAAAGAGGACCTTAAAGAAGGACCATCTAAGCAAAGGGCAGAAGAAAACACTCCACATTCTGTAACAGGAAGAGGGAGTCTAATGTGAACGAACAAGGTATACACACGTAGGAGAGCAAAGGAAAGTAAGGTAGTCAATGACATCTGGGCCATCCAGAACTCTTCAGAGGTCTCTTTCATTTACTTCTGGCTTCTTAGCATCCCTTCTTGCAAGTAGAGTTAACAGAACACTGACCGCTAGATATCAAGTGGAGTCTTGCTATAATTCCTCTTACTTCTGAAATAGCACACCACCTGGTTTCACTTAAAATAAATCCCCGGATCCTTAATGGTAAAACATATTTGCCAAGAACTTGTCACATATTATTTCTTAAACATAATAATATATAAACGTAGAAATATAGTTGTCACTATCTCTCCTACTACCCACTTTTCCCAACACTAGCAAACACAAACACAAAAAAGAGTTTATTTAGATTAATTTTTAATAAAATAAGAAAAGATATTTTACTTAGAAAAATATTTTTAAAGGAATATATTGACCTTGCTCAACAAACAAGAGTTAACAGTATACTGAATATATGTATATAGCTATGCTGGTTCTATATGGTAGCCACTAATCATATGTGGTTATTTAAATTTAAATAAAAATTTAGTTTCTCAGGTACACTAACCATATTCCAAGTGCCCAATTGCCACATATGGCTACTGGCTAATATATAGAATATTTCCATTATCAAAAATGTTCTATTAAACAGCATTGGCTAGCACATTCATTATTTAGAGTGATCCACTCCAACTGTAAGGCTCAGCAAAGTGGTTTTTATCTTGAGCTATAAGCAATTAGGCTCACCCAGGTTATGAGAGGTATAGGAAGAAACATTTTTAGAAAACAATAAAGCTATGGGGAAAAAGTTGTAAAAGAACAATGAAATTGACACTAAAAATAGCTAAACAAGGTCAAGACATAAATGATGCTGTTTTGATAATATTTCAGTGGTGTTTTCAACTTCCCTCTAGGTCTCTTATCAGCTGGGATCTTTTCAAGTTTGGCTGTTGTTCTGAAACCCCCTTCAGTATTCCTTTCTGTGTTTTTGTCATTGAAAAGAAATAAAAGCATCAGGAGAGAGTGTGTCCAATAGTCATAAAGAGGCTTGAACAGAAAATCAAATCCAACAATGAGCAATTATTTCTTCTTTCCAATTCCTAAACAAAACACAAAACAACCATAGCAAACCCCCCAAGCATCCATGTGTGAAGTGGTAGAAAGAGGGAGAGGTATGACCACCCGACAGCCAGGCACACAGTGCACATTCACGGCACCTCCGAGTACGAAGCAGGCATTTTATTTCTGCCCTTATAAAATGGCTGTTTTCTTTGAGCAGAAAATGTTCTCGAATTTTCTGTGAAATTTGGAACCCATATCAAGGATAGAAACTGAAAACACTTGAACAGCAATTATTTGATTTTTATTCTTTGTTTCCTTCCTGACTGTAGTATCCCTTACGTTTCTCTACCTGGTGTGACTGGGATCTGAACATTACATCCCTTTTTAACATTTTTATAGGTTTAAATAAAAAGACAAAGTAAAACAAGTTCTTTGAGGAATAATACCCACATCCACATGCACAATCACTTGCTCTCCCCAGGAGCTATGCCTTTGGTTTTGCTTAACCTCAACTTTTTAATATGATAGTACAACCAAGAGATTGCAACATCATCATGTATTTGATTAAAGATGCAGCCCTTTATAGCACATTTCCAGTAAGATAAAATATTCAGTAGCATGATTTCTAGACAATAAATTTTCCACAGTATGACTTATAGCTGGCTCATCAGCCACAAAAGCTGAATAATAATCAAAGTTAACCTCCATATTTCTAAAAGGAAGGCACTGGTGTTTCCAATCTTAATTCTTAGTCTGACATTGGTTAAAGAGGTGCTAATATCCCACATTTTACCGTGCCATCAATATTGCAAATAAATGCATAACACAATGAAAATATTTATGTGTGGTACTATCCAGAAAGATATAGTTAGGAAAAATATGGTAAAGTATAAGTAACCTTGACATATTAGGCTTCATTGAAATACTTCCCAGGCCTTGCCCAGAAACATAAATAATTTACAGAGCCCAGCACCAAATACAAATGAAGAACATTTGTTATTAATCTATCCCTCTTTTGTGGGCCAGGGTATTGTTCCTTCATAATGAAACTCATTGTGAACCACTTTGTGTAGCTCCCCTGTGCCATTACCGGCAAGTTATAAAATACCTACTTTATCTTTATGCAACTAATCACACTTAGGAATGGGTGTTTGTTTGTTTGTTTGTTTGCTTGCTTGCTTGTAAGCAGTCTACAAGGCTCTTTAAAACTTAGTCATCATCACATCAAACATGAAAAATTAGTGTTTGAAGAGTTAATGTCCTTTGGGATCTCTTAATACAGACTAAACAAACCATTAGTGAAATATGTAGTTATATGACAAATATCCTTTACCAAAGGGTGGGAATTATTCACATGAGTGAAAAGTTAAATTCCATTTTCAAAGTTAAGGAGACACAGTTTACCCTTTAAGAAAGTAACTGAGAAAATGGATGGATAAAACAGAAACCAATGAACTTGGACCTTATCCTAAAGACCTCTCATTAAAAACCAAAATACTCTATTGAACTGAGTCAACTTATAAAAAGAAGGAAATGAATAGTATGACCTGGCTGACATCTGAAAAGGCAGTTGATTCGTTCCATTTTAAAATAATAGCTGACTTCCAATTTGTTTAATTTGTAACTATTAGTGTAACTGAACTTTTCTTATCCTTCAATCTTCTGTTTTTAAAAATCCAGAGTAAATTTTGATTATCTTCAGTTAAGTGGGAAAAAAGGCAGAGAATAAAAAGAATAGGATGAAAAAGACTAAATGAAAGAGAGATAATATGCAAAACTTGAGAAATGAAGCTGACAGGGAGACAAAGTTGAAAAATCATGTGATATAACACGTGAGCTCATCCATGCAAAGAATCAATGAGGGAAACAGAAGAGAGATAATTATCATTTTTAGCTACTGCTTAGGATATTGCAATGAAGTAAAACATATACCTGAGTTTGAATCCCAGCTTTGTCCATCATTAGCTAAGTGTCCTTTGGCAGTTTATGAAACCTCACTGAAAATCATTTCTCTCAATTGTTGAACAGATAAAACAATAACTCTATAAGAATATTTGGCTGGGCTCAGTGGCTCACGCCTGTAATCCTAGCACTTTGGGAGGACAAGGCAGGTGTTCAAGACCAGCCTGGCCAAAATGGTGAAACCCCACCTCTACTAAAAATACAAAAATTAGCTGGGCACGGTGGCAGGTGCCTGTAATCCCAGATACTCGGGAGGCTGAAGCAGGAGAATCACTTGAACCCAGGCAGCAGAGGTTGCAGTGAGCCAAGATCACACCATTGCACTCCAGCCTGGGCGACAGAGTGAGAGTTTGTCTCGGAAAAAAAAAAAAAGAATATTTGATGGTTAAGTGAGACTACCACCTCTGTAGAACACAGTAGGAATTTAATAAATGTTAGTTTTCATCCCCACTTGATGACTGGGGAAACCTGACTTGTCTTCTTACAGTGCTATGTAAAAATTTCTTTGGGGCCTATTCCTAGAAGTGAAATTACTAGGTTATTGTGGAGTTTAAAAAAATATTTAACCTGACTAAGTATGGCCAGTTCACTCTCCAGGTTGGTTTGCACCAGTCTCCATACCCATAAACAGTATGCAAGTGTCCCTATTCCCCACATCCTGCTAAATGTATTTGACTTACTTAACCTGAACAATAACTCTAGTGAAAAACACACTATTCTTCTCTCCAATGTATGAAGGAGAAAATTAGAGCATAAAGAACTGAACAACCTGCCCAACGTCACTTAGTTTGTAATGGTGGAGACAGTCAAACCCAAGAGGTCTGTTTCCAAAGCCTTCTTTTACTGCTGTATTTAGTATAACAGTTTAGTATAAACCTTGGCCCTCCTTAGCCCTGGCCAAACAGGGTAGCTGAAATCACAGCTTCTTTTTCACCCACAACTCTACTCTAAACCCTTCCACTCCACACTCTCTTAATGGAAACTAGTGCACTAGATGTGCATTGGAGCATTGCCCAAGAAATTTTGAGAAAAAACTTCATGACTCTTGGCTAGGCAAAACTTCAAACAAAGAGGATATATATTCAACTCAATTCAAGACAACAAACAGTGCATACATGCTGCCTAGATGCTTTCTAGATGCATAAGAATTTCTGTCTCGAAAGAACAAAACATGTATTCCTAGAAATTGTGACAGCAAGTAAACAAATATTTAATCATTTTCTTTCACATCAAAAGTACTGCCAGTATTTTTCCCCCTGTTTCCTAAGATGGAATCGTCTTGCTCTTAAAGTTATTGAATCTAGGAAAGTTGCCAATTTGGGAAGTTCCAAGCAGTGGCAGGAGAGGGGACAAGTAATAGGAGCAGTCCTCCTCACACTCCCTCTGTTCCCCGTGTGCAGGCAGTAACGGTATATTGCGTGTAGAGAATTTAAAAACAACAGTAAAACCAATTTTAAAGAAAGGCAGTCTTCTCCTTATTATCACTATGCACTGGCAATTCTAAACAATGTCAGTGGTAACATATTCATTCTCACCCATTGAGGTGAATCTACATTTTTGCGAGTTCCAAGAAACTGCTGTGTTTCAAAGGTGGAAATTTGACCCAGGAGAGCCTTGCCTAAGTCCCTTGTTCACCACTTTGGTGAGCAATTTTAGTCATTAACTATGCAAATTCTTACCCATTGTTCTTAGACAATCCCTCAATGGAGGAGGAAATACTGATTTATTTCATTTCATAATGTAAAAGCTAACTTCATCAGAAGTATGAAATTTTATGGAGATTATTCTGTCAACTGTTTTTTACCACTTCCGTTTCAGATGGAATATAGGGAGAAAGAAGGTTTTCCAGTAAAGGAGCATAAGCCCTTGGCAAGTCTTGGCCTAAGAAGGTAAATTGCTAGTAAGGGATATAGATCATGGACACCAAGAGATGTAGCATCAAATATCGGGTTTTAACATTTCCTACTCCATTCTTCAGAAAGGTTTTGTTGAAACATTGCAGCCCAATGTTAGTTGTACTTTGAAGAATTACACGGGGAATCCATGTCTGCATAGAGGATGGAAGTGATAGGTGAAAACCTTCAAGAGAATGAATAGCAAGAATGAGGTGACAAAAGCTTACCAGCATAGAAATCCAAGGAAATCTGGAGTGTCTAGAAACAAGAAGAATGGATGTGGGAAACATGTAAGCCCCGGAGGCACAACTCAGTGCCTAGAGGCACTAGGGCAGAAAATGTAAAATATAAAGGGATGAATGGAAACCTGGAGGGATCCTGCCTCTCTAAAAATTCAGCCAATGTTAATCACTAGCCAATTGCTGTTCTACTTACAAAAGTGGCGAGAGCTACAACTTTTCTAACAGAATTCCAAAATTTGAGTTTAAATGGAATATTGTTCATTTTTAAAAGCTACAAAATAATGGAAAAATTAATACTTTTTCTTATAGCAACTGCTGATACTCAGGCCTTGAGAATTTTGCACATGAGAAGGATCTGAAATGCACATGATGGGGACAAGGATTGTCATTTGAATGATAAGGATGATCCATTATACATAGATTTTTAAAATATTCATATTAAAACTGTGAAACAAGGCAGCCCATGCTAAGTGATATAACAAAATTACAAGAAGTAATCAGAAAAGCCTCCATGGGAGAAAGGTACTCAAACAGATCCTTACTGTTAGGTAAGTTATCAACAGGGAGAGATAATGGGAAAAGCAGGAAAAGAAGGAAAGAAAAAAGTTAGACACAGAAACAACATAGAAAATGCAGTGAGAGATTTTTTCTACATTCAGCATGTTTGAAGACTTGCAATTGTACATATGCACTGGATAGGAAAGTATGAGAAAGGAGCAAAAGCTAGGTAGGGTCACACCATAGAAGGCTGCAGAGGACAAGTTGAGTGATTTGTACAATGCTCAGTATGCATGTGAGACCCTTGAAGAATTGTAAAGGTCAGTAACTATAAACTTATCTATTTATTATGCATCTAAATTTTCCCAAAATATTATCAACAGTGGCAAATTCATAACATAATTTTCCAAAGTATGCCATAGTACTGGTATTTTCTGTCGAAGTTAAAGCAACAAAAGAGGATTGCGATTAACTACAATAACCTTACCTGCTTCAGTGAATGATGATCATGTGGTTCCAATTATACACACGATAATGTGAAAATTCTTCTACTAAGCAAAGGAGAAAACCTTATGCTTAAATCTAAGGGTGGGGGGGGACGTGTTGCCCTGTGGCTACAGAGCATATTTGTCACAAACACTAAGCACTTATGGATCCCAAACGCCTACCATTGTTTTTCAGAGTCCCCAACGTCCAATGTTTTTTCTGCAGTGCAACATATGTAAGCTGCTTAAATCAGATTCTGACATCACTTCAACTTCAAACTGGAGGCTATGTGAGGCTTCGCAGATGGCAAAAACCATCCAGTTCTCTAAGTGTGTGTTCAGCATAAGGTGCTCGTATGTTCTCTTGGACCTGGCTGGGCTGAAATCTTCCCTGAGAGAGAAATTCATGGTGTTCAGTTTTATGGTGATGAGTCAGAACTCTAGCTACTTGAGCTATGTCTTGCTTTTTTTCTTTTGTAAAAGTTAAGAGCATACTCACAGTGGCTTACCAGCCTCTCAACCAGGCTTAGGAAAATTGAAAATTGACTAATTGCCTTTCTACTGTCTCTAGATGATTCAGGACCCTTTAATCAGTATAGAATTTTTTAGAATTTAACTTCATTCTTCATTTTTGAATACCTCTTCATGAGGTATTCATGACTCAACACTAAAGATATAGTTTCAATCCTAGTAAGAAGAGGCCAATACCTAGATCCAGGATTGAAAGTGAAAAAAATGAACAAACAAAGCATGAAAGAGCCAAGCATTCCAGTTTACCACTGAACAATTGATAATCCCCAACTTGACCTTCAGTGCTTTCCAGTCTGGCCCTATTGTGCTTTCCAGGCCCATTTCTGTAGGTATGCTGTAATCATTCAAACCAGACGATTTTCTCACATTCTATGTTGTCTCACCATGGTCCCTTTGCATAGGCTGATCCCTTTCCCAGGAAGGACTTTCTTCCTTCCCATTCCATCTTTGTGATTCTGGCAGGGCTAGCATATAGAGTCCATGATGGAGGTGGAGGTGATGGAGGGTGGAAGGGAATGGTGAGGAGGGAAATGGAGATTGGAACCAGAAGTGAAAGGTCATGAACTTCTACTAAGGAACCTGAACTTCATTCTCTAAACCATTGTTTCGTAAAGTATCCATAGACCATCTGCATCTGACTATATGAGGACTTTTGTTAAAAGGCATATTCTTGGGTCTAGACATACTAAATTAGCATCTCTGTGCATGAGGCCCAGAACTGGCCTTTTAATAAGCCAGTTAGGCTTATGCAATGAGTTAGGCTTTGGTAATTCTTACACATATGAAAGTTTGAATGTTATAAATATCTCAAAACAGCGAGGCTGAGAATGTGAATAGATGTGCACATTGGAGAGGTCATACGCACAGCAGAATGAGGCCAGGAAGCATGGGGAAAGAGCTTAGAGGGAGAAAGACCAGTTAGAAAACTATTACAATAGTCACTATTAACCTCTCTCTTCTGAGCCCTTCCTCCTTCCTTGGCTTTCACAGGAGGACTCTTCTTGATTCTCCTGCCGCATCTCTGACTGCTTTCCCGAGTCTTTCATGTTTGTCCTCTTCTTCTAGTATCCCTTTCATGACTAATGTTCCTCCATGTTCTGTCTGCATGTCTGCAGTTCTCTTCCTATGAAGAGTCTCCTTAATATGTCATCCACTCCCATAGCTTCAGGTGCTACATGTATACTGATGCCCCACAAATTTATATCTCAAGACAGCAAACTTACATTTTTAACTACCTAATAAGATGTTCTAACTAGTATTTCATGAGCATGTTCAAAATTCACACTCTTCTCTGTCTTTATACCTACTTCTCTTTCTTTAGTACGAATCTCATATGCAGTGGGTTTGCAAAATCCACCCCAAGACAGACACCAGAGAGTCTTAAATGTGTCCTATTCTTCATGCCATCCCTCCACTATTTGTTTCTTGTCTTATCTTCTACTAACAATTGTCTCTTCACATCTGTACCTTTCTTTATATTTCCACCACCATATATTTTGTTCAGACCCCATATCCTGAGAAAATCCCTAAAACTTATCCCTTCCTCAACCAACAAAAAGGCCAAATAGAACATGCATGACAGAGAAACAGGGAAAATCCCCCTAATCAAAGAGTATGAAGTGCCCCACTGAAGAAAATCTTTAATTTAAGGCTTCATATATTCAGTATTTATTTGCCAAAGTGTAAATATCTTTCTGTCACAAGATTCTAATTGCATCTTACTACAACTATAGCATTGATAGATGGCCTCAACTTGTCACTGTCCAGACATGATGTGATCTCATAAGTACCACAATGATGGCATGAGGGAAGAGAAACACTAAATGGAAACTGGAACTGACTCTTTCAGGCCAGTTCCGTTCCCTAGTCTGATATATCAAAATAGTGGCTTTCAGAGGGAGAAAAAAGAAGAAATGCACACACATACACATAAAATAAAATCAATTATGGCCTCATTCCTCTGCCTGTTAATTAAGACTGAGGTAATGGTGGCAGATTTTAATGTGACTCAGGATTCCAAGAACTCAACTCAGGAAGTCCCAGAGTTGGTGGATTAACTGAAGGCTCCTCAGGGAACGGGAGTTTCCCTCACTTGCAAGTCTGCTGGCTGCTAGAGAGCACTGACTGTGGAGAGCACATAGACAGCCAAGACCCCCAGAACAGAGGAGTCCTGGAGACAGGCCTGCCTCCTCAAGTCTTTGAGTGAGGTGAAGGACATTCTAATGCCACTTAGTCCACAGAGAATTTCAGCCTCCATGTGCACCTGAATGGTAACCAGGACCATGACTACTGTTCTACCATGACTACCAGTATTGGGGTTGCCAATTACTGTGGCCACTCCAGTATTGAATGCTCTTTCTTCAGTTACTACTGTTCTAGCACTTTGTACAAGATATACCATTTAGTCTTCTCCAGAAGCACATGAAGTAGATATTGCTATCTCCAATTCAGCTGCAAGGAGACAGAGTCAGGGAAGTTAGGAAATTTCCTAAAAGTCACACTTCTGGTAAATGTTGGATTCGAGATTCAAATGCAGGTTTATGTGAATTCAAAGCAGTCTCTTCCCATTGACTATGCTACTTGTGCTATGTTTTATATCCTGTTAATTGTTCTTCTCTGATAAGTTTGTGATAAAAGTGCTAACAAGTATCAACATTTCCTGTCCCATATTTCAAATACTCCCAGGAGGACTGGGTAGGGTGAGGGTAGATAATGTCATCAAAGGCAATACTCTTTGAAATTAATTTCCTGTATCATTCGCACAAGGGTATACTGACATAAAGGTTATGCCTTTAATGGTTTTGCATCAGACAATTATCAGTAATTAAAAACCTACTAGGCATTAGCTTATTAGATCACTTTTTAAGGTGGCAGTGAGCTTAGATCTAAGATGGAATTAAGTTGTAAATTGTTGTCATTGAGAGACTTACCCTTTTTTAATTCAAGTATAGGAAGGAAAATGTTGAAATTATAAATTCTAGTAAAATCCCGGCTTTAAAGATATTTTCTTTCCCTAAACTAACTGTCCTTATGCCATAGGTTTAAATTCAATTTTTCCATTGGCTTAGATTTTAATACACAATATAAAACACAGTTTAAACTTAGTCAATGTTTTTATTTAGATTTTTATTCTTCCTTAAAAACAAAACTGTGAAAAAAAATAGAAAGAAAAAGATTGGCTGCATTTTTTCAACACACTCAGCACATGCTGTTATAGAAAGATTTGTCCTACAAGCATGAATCTGCTAAAGATTCATAAAATGTGCCATTTGTATTTTTTAGCATTCCTTCAGGCATAGATCCATAAAAGATTATGTACTTAGTATCCTCCGTAAACAAAAGATGCACACATCTTTTATTCTTTCAAGTTTCCCAAATAAGTTCTTTCCTTCTTCCTGTTCTTCTCTAATTGCTTTTTACCCCTCTTTTCTCTATTTTCCTGCACCCAGGACTTAACTTCTTTCTAGTAATTAAAAAACAAGCCAGGTGATGACATCAGCAAGAATGGTGGAGTAAGGACTTCCAAAAATCCTCTTCCTAATAAAAGCAACTAGAACACTAGCAAAAAAAATTGTCAAAATCAACTTTTCAGAACACTGTAAATTAACCAAAGGCATATAACAATTCAGGAAGCCTTTATTCAAGAAAAACTGCTGAATCTTGGTTTAAAAAAAAAAAAATGAGCTTTTTGGCATTGTAACTTGCCCTATTCCCATCCGCTTCTCCCTAGCTCTGTGGTAGCCATGAAAACTGACAGCCTGCAATAAAATTGTAAACTAGCAGCATAGAAGCCACTGGAAGGGTCAGAAAGGGGCTGGAGCTCTTTCAAAGCCTCATTCTCAAAGAATTGTCATTATTTGAACTGTCTGGCAGTTTCCTGAGAAACCCTACTCTCAAGGAATATCTTTATTTGACCTCAGAAGCTCACCTAATGAAAACAGTCTTTTTCTTAGAGGTGTTTGTCAAAAACAATCAGTGGCATTATTTAACGTCATGTCTGCTGAGATGGTGGTAACAGTTGAGGCAAAGAACAAACTAATCAAAAAACTTAGAAGAAAAAGCTGTGAAAGAATGTGGCAAGCATGCAGAAAATTTGGGACCTTTCTTTATACACTGCTAGCAGAAGTGTAAAATGGTATAGCCACTTTGGAAAATAGTCTGGCAATTTTTCAAATACTTAAACACAGAATTACCATAAGCCAGAAATTCCATTCCCATGCACATGTGAAAAAAGAGTTAAAAATACACCTCCAGAACAAAAACTTATGCATGAATGTTTAAAATAGCCAAAAAAGTGGAAACAACCCAAATATCCATCAACTGATTAACAGATAAACAATGTGGCATATCTATATAATAGAATATTATCCACCCTACAAAGAAATGAAGTACTGATCCATGGGTAAACCTATATCTGTAGATATAGATTATAGATATCTACAATATAGATAGACATAGTGAAAACACTGTGTTAATTAATAGAAGCCAGGCCCCAAATGCTACATACTGTATGATTCCATTTATAAGAAAAGTCCAGAACAGAAAAAGACATAGAAAATAGATTAGTGGTAGTCAGGAGTGAGCAGTTGAAGGAAGTTGAGAGTGATTGCTAATGGACATGGAATTTTATTTTGGGATGATGAAAATGTTCTGTAACTAAACAGTGGAGATGATTGCACAACATTCTGAGTGTTAAAAACTACTAAATTATATACTATAAAAGGATGATTTTATGATATATGACTATCTCAATAAAAATAAACAAATAAATACCAAGTTAGAATCTGTGATTAAATTTTATTATCTGAAGCAACAGAGGAAGAATGGCAACATAACACATGGGAATGGCACTGGATGGGGAGTTAGACATCTTCTGTTCTAGTACCAGTTCTGTAGCTAACTTGCTTAAGTTATCTGCAGCAAGCTACTAACCACTCTGGGCTTTATTTCTCTTAAACACAAAATGAAGATTTTTGACTGTATGACCCTTTGTCATCACATCCTACATAGCCCCTGAAATTCCATGACTCAATGTATTGAATCACTGTTCTTATCATCAAACTCTTCCCTTATGAACTCAAGATAAAAAAATGACACACTGTTCTCTGAAACAAACAAACAAAAAATAACAAATAATAATCTATGATGCACCAGGCATTATCCTGGGTGGTTGGGATACATCATTGAATAAAACAGGCAAAGATCCTTGTCTTTATGGAGCTGACAATTTCAGTAAAAGTGTTCTTCCTTCCTGCCTGTCCTCATCCAAAATTACTATCTGTATATATTAATAGTAATAAAACTTTGAAGTTTTGATACCAGATTAGTTAATTATCATCATTTGTCTTTTTGATTAAATGTTACACCATAGAAGTCTACCTGGATTAAACTTCTGCTGACTGAATTTTGTATAACAGACATCTTACTATCTGAGAAGATTATTACCTAGAGGAAAAGGCAGTGACAGGAGCTATATTTAGAAAGTCAATGACAGAGCACCCTCACATTTGACCTAGAGCAACATAATATTTTTCTGTAACCTTGAAGAGATCAGAATCCCAAGAGCCTGGTTAATAACTTGTAGCATACTACCCGCTGTGTTATATCTATTAGCATAGAGTAGATATTAGAATTCAAAGTTAAACTAGTTGTGCTATAACTCTCAAGCCCCATATTTGCCATCTGCTCTATCTTAATTAGAATGAATTTTTTGGCATTGTAAAAAATTTCATCACCTATATCTTCACCATTTCATCCACAAGACAGAATCAACCTCCATTTTCTTCTCCATATTCCTTAAAAGTAGGTCAATGAAAAATTCCAATAAAAAACTGTCTTGTGGAGAAAAATGAAAGTATAGGCCTTTATGTATTTAACTTTGTCCTTTAAAATGTGTGTATAAGTTTCTTTCTATGTATAAGCCTACTTGTGTATTGATTCGGTAAGGACTATTCAAGAGTTAATGTCCAAAAATGAAGATAACTATCAGCAATTTAAGTATGTGGAGTTTTTAATTTTTGCTTTTAATCAATCCATAAAATGAGAGAGGAAACTGCATCATCTCTGAGGGATGTTTTTTAACCTCTAATATCCTTTTAGCTTCAAAAACCCCATCAAGAACATGGCTCATGCCTTTAATCCTAGTCCTTTGGGAGGCTGAAGCAGAGGATCATTTGAGGCCAGGAGTTGAAGACTAGCCTGAGAAATGTAGTGAGACCCTTTCTCAACAAAATATTTAAAAATTAGCTAAGTGTTGTGGTGCACACCTGTAGTCCTCACTACTTACGAGGCTAAGGTGGGAGAATCGCTTGAGCCCAGGAGTTCGAGGTTACAGTGAGCTATGATCACACCACTGCACTCCAGCCTGGGTGAAAGAATAAGACCCTGTCTCTAAAAATAAATAAATAAAAGTTAGATTTAAAAAAAGACCCAGCAACTTTCATTTTGTATTCTTCACTATGTGTTCACTATTTCCCTTTTGAATCCACTGTTTTAAAATGCTTTCCTAAGAAAAGAAAGCAATTTTGAATTGACATCTAGTCCTTCCCTAAAAGGATAAAATTGTATCAAATATAGTGATGGTTTTTAGTGACCTCTGGATCACATTTCAAGAATCCAGTGAGAATCATAGAGACTGTTCATCCAAAAACGCATGTTGTTATCGACACATTTTTGCACACAGTTTTAGGGAGTACGTGACTCTCTAAAGCCTATCCAAGGAATTACTAGGACAAAAATACCAGCTCCAAAAGAGAATTGCTTTGAAAATGTTTTCTCTCCTCCTTCTCCCTTTTTTGCTTTTTTTCCTAGTTGGCAAAAATATAATAACAGGAAATGTGTTGAAAATGAAAGCTAATGACCCATCATCATACAAAAAGATGTCTTCATAAAAGTAATAAAAGAAGTACACATTAAAACAAATGTGAATGATTGGATTGCTTTATTAATCACAGCAAAATTTATCAAGGGTGCAAGAAACCGGGTTCTTATCATATATTGCTGAATCAGACTGTCGTGCTAAAGGAATCAGATTCTTCTCGGTAGGGAAAAATCTCCCATGAAAATTCATGTATATTACTGACAGGGTTGCAACTTTGTATTTATTTTCAGGAATTTGGTTTCAGGGAGCTAGATCATTTAATAAGACTGAAAAAGTGTGGTAAACATTCTTTTAAACATACAGACATATTTGCAGAGCTATAAGAGAAATGCCCAAGTACCAAAAGCAAATGAGGAGCAGGAAACTAGAGTGATAAGCTGATGCTGAAACTATAGCTGCTGTAAGAATGTCTGACAATGTCAGCAACAAAGATGGTGTTTCTGACCATACAAACCACAAAGGACAAGGTCCATGCAAGTCGAGAGTTGAAAGTGCAACCAATACATAAGTTTTGGATATTCTACAGAATAAAACCTTGGTTTAAAAATGAATTGCTGCCACCCAAAGGAGATGAGCTGGAAATATTTACTGAACCTGACTTACGGGAGGGGGAAAGTGTCCCATGAAAATTCATAGCCATAGTTCTCTCCCAAGAGACTAGGTACAAATTTACACCATCTTGATGATACTCGAAACCCCAAATTGGCTTAAAGCAGGATTGAGTTGGTAATACCTCTGCATGTCTGGCAGAAACAAATCCAAACCTCCTCTCAAAGATAAATCATCAAACCAAGCCCTACAATATTTCCACAGATAAAGCCACCAGACAGACATGGTATCATAATGAAACACGTAAAATATATGAGGTAAAATTCACCAATAAGAATAGCCAGAAACAATAACCAAAAGACTTATAGATAATATAAAATAAGAACATTTAAAATAATAAATGATGAAATCAGAAACACTAGAATGATACAAAACAGTATTCAAAAATACTAGGAAATCTTAAAAAGAAAAATAGATTTCTATAAATAAAAATAAAATCATCACAAAATCTAACATATGAGTTAAAAGATTGAATGTAAATTAAAAAGAAAGTTGGCGAAGTAAAAAATAGATCATTTTTATGAACTTCCTATATTTACTCAAGAAGAATATAATCTCTAATTGTTAGAAGTAGTGTTCAACATACATTCAGATGAATCTGTTTTGTGTTAAAGCATATATATACATGTTAGTGATATGTCTGCTTCTTTATCAATTACCGAGAAAAGTATGTTATTATGGAAGCAAAGATTAGAATACCACTTCTTTATACCCATTTAGAAAATGTAATTTTAGGACGGGCACGGTGGCTCATGCCTGTAATCTCAGCACTTTGGGAGGCCGAGGCAGGTGGATCACGAGGTCAGGAGATCAAGACCATCCTGGCTAACACGGTAAAACCCAGTCTCTACCCAAAACACAAAAAATTAGCTGGGCATGGTGGCGGGCACCTGTAGTCCCAGCTACTTGGGAGGCTGAGGCAGAAGAATGGCGTGAACCCGGGAGGCGGAGCTTGCAGTGAGCCGAGATGGCACCACTGCACTCCAGCCTGGGCAACAGAGCAAGACTCAGTCTCAAAAAAAAAAAGAAAAGAAAATGTAATTTTAAATATATATAAATATACTTATTTATAATAATCACAAAAAAAGTAGTAAGAATAAATTTAGTTAAATGTTTCTAAGACCTTTATTAAGAGAAACTATAAAATCTATTTGCAACACATTTTCACTGATGTTAAAGTGATATACACCATAGTCATAGACTATAATATCACTATGTCATTAAAATATCAATTGTACCAAAATAAATATATCAACTTAGCATAATTACAATGAAAATTCTAATAAAGTTTTCATAGAACTTGCTAAGCTGATTTAAAATTTTACCTGGGCAACTAAAGAACCAATACTAGTCAAGGCTCCACCGAAGAAGAGGGTGAAAGACTTTAATCTACCAGATCTGAAGATTTATAATCAAACAATTCGTTATGACTGGACAGAAATAGAAAGGAATAAAGAGCCCAGAAAGACTATATATACATGGAAGTTTGATACATCATAGATCAGCAGAGAAAGGATGTAATTTTCAATAAGTCATGAAGACCAACTGATTTTTCCTTTGGAAAATAAACAGACCATCATCACTTAGGAAAATAATAATCACTTTGGAAAATAATTACATGACTCTTTGAGAAATAATTCATCAGATCTCTATCATACAGTGTACATGTACACTTTAAATCCACATGTATCAAAGATGCAAGTGTAGAAAAAGAAAAACTTAATTCTTAGACAAAAACATAGGAAACTGAGGCAGAAAAGTATTAAACAAGATGCATAAACACACCCCATAAGGGAAACTACTGATAAATTTAGTTTTATTACATTTAAAACTACTTAACAACACACACACACACACACACACACACACATACACACACACCAAAAAATGACAAGGCTCAGGCTGGAAGAAGAGATTTGCAATTCTTGAGATGAAATATTAACATCCTGAACATTTAAAAAACTTACGTAAATCAAAAAGTGGAAAACAAACAAGCCAATAAATATTAGCCAAAATGTAAGAACAGATAATTCACAGAAGAAGAAACCTGGGCAGCCAGAAAGCAAATGCAAAGATGCTTGGCTTCACTGGTAATCATGACTACATAAACTTTTAAAATCACAATGGGATAATGTTTCACATCCATCAGGCTCAGAGTATTTTAAAGTGTAAGAATACACTTGGGCATAAATGTTGAGCCATAGGAACTCCCAAATAAATGGAAATTGCTCCAAATTGGAGAGCACTGTGATGCCTCTCTAGTAAAGTGGAAATTAAGTATCCCCTTAACCCAGTAAATCCACTAATATACAGTGTGGAAGATTCTTCCACATACTTATGACACATGTATAAGAAAGTTTAGCAAAGCAGCATTTACCATGGCAAAATAATTGAAAACATCCTAATTGCCAATCAAAAGAGATTAAATATTTATAGAATTAATGCCACATAGTAATTAGGATCATTAGTCTAGAGACAAGCTGCCTAATATGGCAGCTATTAGCCACATTTGGCTATTGAACACTGGAAATGTATCTAGTCTGGTGTAAGATGCACCGATTGTAAAGGACACAAAGAATTACCAAGATTAACCAAATTAGAAAACAGGGTTAGTAGTTTATATTATTGCTATAAACTTTTATTTATATCCTCCCTTCCAGTATTTTCTGCTGCTTTCTCCAACATTGTTTTCATTTTAACAGTCCTCAATCACAAAGGTGTATATACTGGGCCTTCAAAAATCATACCTAAATCAGTATGTGTTTCTCTAATTTTTTACACACATTTACAAAAAAAAAAGTGTTACTTTTTTTAGCAAAGATTAAGTGCATAAAATTATTTTAGAGGATTGAAACATTTAATCCTCATCTCAAAATACAACACCGAATATATGAGATCTAGAGTTTCAGAATTGTAAACTTTAAACTTAACTTCCAGATTTTAAACTGTACTTCCTGTTCATAGATAATCATTGCATAACTACCCAGGGTCTTAAATTGTAATACAAGTTATCATCCATTAATAAATAAATATTAGTCACAAAAAGGCATTCCAGTTGGGACAACATTGCTGTTATTTTATTTTCAGACATATTGTAATGCAGTCTGGGAAATGCAACACCTACAGACCCAATACATTAGTTACACTCAAAATTTATTGGCAAAGAGAAAGTGAGTAGATATTCAACATGTACCATAAATATCCAATCACTAATGTAAACATCCCTGGCAAACAATTATTTCAACAGTGTCCACTAAATCTTGCTGGCCTAGCAGAGAGTGCTGCAAAATGAACACCGAACCTGTTCCAAAAACCTCCAAAAACCTAACATTCTGAATAAACCTGCCAAGATTTCTGAGATGCATTTTATACAGCACCCTCACAGTCATAATGGAAGATGCCATGTCTAGCTCTGCAGAGAACAATGAAGGAAGTCACAGTTGTTTGGTGACTCAGGCAACACTATGCTTGTGTCAGTTTTGACTGCTCTGTGACTTTAGGCTAACCACTAATCTCACTGGTTCTCAAGAAACACAGAATATAACACAAGGTATATTTTTAATTAGTCATAAGATTTTTGTCTACAATCTAGTAAAATCAGTCCTTAACTATCCATGTTTTTACTTATTCCAATTAGTAAAAAAAGCAAGTGCTTTATTGTAATTATGTAGACCTATATTTTTAATCAAAAGAACACAAAGAAATTAATAGGCATATGTTCAGCCTTTGAATATTTACATTTATAGGCACATATACTTAAAAAGTCAGTTCTATTTAGGGAATAATTTAACCATTTAAAGAAAAGATGATGATTAAGAGAATGGGGAAGTAAAATAATATTAATGCCAATGAAATAACAATGTAAAAATTACTATTCTATACTAGGAATCAGCAAACTTTTCCTGTAAAGGGCCAGATAATAAATATGTTAGACTTTGTGTGTCACACAGTCTGTGCTGCAGCTACTTAACTCTGCCCCTGTAGTGTGACAACAGCCATAGACAATACATAAATGCATGAATGTGGCTGTATTACAATAAAACTTTATTTACAAAAATAAGCATTGGATTAGATTTGACCCTTTGGCTGTAGTTTGGCAACTCCTATCTATAACATTCAATAGTTTAGAAATTTGTGATTGCATAGAACACTGTACTCATTTTTAAAAGAGATAATGCAGTATTAAACAATTCTTGTACTACTTATCAGGTATTTAAACAAAATTAACTTTCCTCTCAGCCAATATTTTTCTTACTGGCTGAGACATAGGAAGAAAAGGCTTCAGTTATATTTGCTTTCTATCACACTGCATTTATCATACTAGTATTTTCTCTATTTGTAAAAGCAAGTTTAAAGTCAATATCAGTACCTACAAAGCATTATGGTAAAATTGGCCAGAGATAAGAACAATTTACATAATGGACTGCAGGAGCCACATCATTCATGTAATGAAATGTATTGATTATTAAGAAAACTCAACAAGCTGTACTGATCAGATTTCTCATGCCAGTGTAGGTTTGTTTCACCACAAAGAAGCAATCGTTTCTCCTATTACCTTTGTGAAATTTCAAGTATATTTTGTTCTGTATTCAGAGAGGTAATACACTCTTGAATGAACGGCTGCTGATTATTTTAGGAGCTTTTGAGCTAAAAATCAAGGTAGATGAATATTTCAGCTCAATCAAAACACAAAACAAAATTATCTCTTCATTGTGAATTCTCTACAACACCTCTCTCTTTCAAAAACTGAAAATCCTCAGTGAAACTGAACAATAAGGAAACATAATAAACCAGATGCTTTCTGTCATTTTCCTGTTTTATGACTCACATATCCTAAGAGTATAGTTTATGTCTATATATTAAATAAATTTTGTTGCCAGCAGCCAGGTCCATATTTGCTCTGAACTGACAGAGAGCTGGGTTCCAGTTCTTACTTTCTAACAGCCAGCTGTGTGTCCTTGAGTAGTCTGGTATGGAACAAAAAATATTCCGGAAAATTAGAAGCTGGGTAAATACAATAACTGTATGGGCTCCTATAAACACAGCTTCATGAAACAGAAGAAATATCAGTATTCGTCAATGAACATCCAGGTGATTTGATGTTTTCTACCCAGTGACCCATGACCAGAAAACATGATGTGCCTTGTCAGACTCTGAGGAATATAGGATGCTTCTTTGGAGAAGGAATGCCCCAACCTACTCTTGAGAAGCAAAATGTTGGTCAGGTCAAGAGAGATTCCTAAAGCCCCTGTATAAGGGGCTACAAAGATCCCAGGTGATCTCTTTTGAATCTGAGATTCCAGAAAAATTCCCTGGCCTTGGAGTGCCTAAAATTTCTCTAGGCATTGCTACAGGAAAAATAATTGCTGATGAGATGAGGACTGGGCTCTAAGGATTTTCCAGCAGTGGACAGCAGAGGCAGGGGCAGAGAAAAACCCATAACAGTGAGAGACCAAAGGCACGGGAGGCAATGAATATTACAGTCCAGAAGACAAAGCTCTAAAATGCTCCCACATGGAAAATCTCAGAAATTGCCACTATTCTTGAGCAAAACACTTTATGGAACACTGAGGCACTGAGGACCACAGTGTCATGTCCAGTTCCATAGCAGATTCATGATGATTATTGATTTTGTCTTTAACTTTAGATTATAGGCAGTATGCTTATTTCTAACATACATGCATATATAAGAATACATACATGCAAACTGGGCATATAGATATGGAGAAATTAAACAATCTGCTACATATCTATTTAATCCACAGTCCCAGGAACAATTTCTTCTTTAGAACCCTTTCTTCTTTAGAGGTGCAATGGTGAGAGACAGGTAAGAGCAATGTAAAGGGCAATGTAAAGAGACAGGTATGAGCAATGTAAAGAAGAGGTTCACTGCTTGAGCAATGGAAGTAAGCCTTCTAGAGAGCACCTAGTCCAGAAAATATTCACGTTCCCTGCTAAAACCATGGCAAACTATGAAATTCTTTCCCATGCAGTCTTGTTGACAGCTCTTAGAAGTGTATTACTGAAGTTGCTACACAGCCACAACCATAATTCCTGCTTCACCCAAATTCCTCCAGTATCAAAAAAAGGGGGCTTCAAATTGAATGGTGTGATGAAAACATCAAATTATTTAAAGATTAAGTCAAGCATTTGGGGGGTAAGAAGAAAAAAATCACAGCAATTGGCAGAGAGTGAGTAAAAATCAAGAAGTGTTTGGTCTGTTCTAGAACACATAACAGTTACAATGCAGGTCAGGCAAGACAGGACAATGTAGCATCCAGATTGGACAAAAAGAGAAAGACCTGATACTGTCTTGGTTATGTGTGGCTAATAACTTTTCCTTCACCTGAGGCAGTAGGGATATTGAATTAAAAGTAGATTAATGTTATGTTCCAACACACAGATCCATTCAACAAACTCATAGTTATGAGAAAAACCTGTACTAAGATGCTACTTTCTTTCTCACACATTGATTCCTAATATTGTTCTTGCAACATAGTGTCCCATGATAAGACTGTAAACCAGTTGTTCCTCGGAGATGTAGTATATGCAAAGAAAAATTTAAAAAGCTCATCAATTATGTGCTAAGTGCTTACAGTACTAATGCTGGGATTTTTTTTTATAATTATTGAGCAACTTCTTTTATCAGCCATTAGGTACTAACAGTATAGCCTTTATACAGACAGGCCTGGGTATGCCACTATTAGGAGCTCTGTTTATTCAGGAGAGAAACTGAGCAATTTTTAGTTACTTAGCAAGGGCAGCACAGCTTATATAAAGAGCAAGTTACTTATAATTTACATTCAGAGTGTAGGTTCTGTTGGGGTCAATTGGTTTCCTCCAGGCACAGTTGCCTACAGAAACCTCTGTGAAGTATACCCCACCTAAATATTAAATTAAAGATTTTGATATACAGTAATCAAAACTAACAACTTGACCTTACTCTTGAACCCATTACAGAATTTAGTGTTACCAAGTCTTATTTATGATCAAGTACACTACATTCTAAATTACACTAAAAGGATGGAAATTAGTCTTCCTATATAAGTGGATAGAAAACATGTCCTTTAGACCAAGGTTCTTCAAATAACACCTATATTAGTAGGCCTTAGCAGGACCTAAATGGCAATTGGTACACGTTTAAACCCTCTGGTGATGCACAGATACCTTTTGTTTCTGAATGAAGGTAAAAATCCAGAAGTCTTGAACACCTATTACATAAGGAGCAAGGAGGAAGTTCTACATTAACAGATGAAAATCTTGGCTTGTATATTCACCCAGAAGGGAAGCCATCTTAGCACTTCAAAAAGATAAGCTATAAAGGAGCCTCCAGGCAGGCCAACATTTTCCTCAAATTGGATTTCTCTAATCCCTGAACTGTGACCAGCAAAGACTTCAGTCTGGAAAATCGATTTTTCAACTACACTTCCTGAGGACTCACCAGAGCCACAAAGTAGAAGAAACAATAATTCTTCTTTGCCCAGTGTATTGATGAAATGAAATCACATGGTATTTTTATACCCACTAGTATAACTGAGAAATAGTCTTGGAATTGGTTACCTCTTGATAGTTAAAATATTACATTCACTAAGGGAGGGAGGTTGTTTATGTACCATGTGGGGTGATACCACACACATGTATTTTGTTCATTTTGATTTCTCTTAGTTTTGTTCAATAAAAGCTGAACTGCCAGGCCAGAGTTTCTTCAAAAGCTTTAAGGAAAGTCGGAGAGGGAAAATAAACTATGGTTTCATCTCAATGTTGTAGTATACAACACAAAGACAAAACATGGGTCCAGCCCCCAAGGAATAGTAATTCAGAGATGGTTGCATCCTGCAACAATGTCTTAAATAATAAAAATAAAGAATTGTTTTAGTCAAAGTCTGCTGTGTTTCCATTTTAATAGTCTTGCATCTGTATTACTGCATGCCACCATGTGTGGCAGGTAGATGAGAAATACTTCTCAGTTCCTCATAAAGCACAATGGTGTTGAAGTGCTGAGGGTTCCCTTGCATGCATATCCAACCACTCAGCAGGAAAGTGATCTCTTAAGCATCTTAAAAAGAATAACATCTCCACCAAGGAACACTGATTCTGAGTCATCTTCCTTTAGCACTTCAACAAGCAAAAGAAGAAGAGTTTTATCTTTCCTTATACTCTCCAGTCTCCTTTGGAGTCTTTTCTCATCCTTCCTGGCTTTTTTACCCATAAATAATTCAACAGGTAAATTCCTTTAATGACACGGTCACATGCCATCTGGAATCATTAATTAAGATATATTTACATTAAAAACTTTATCTTACCTATCCTTTAGTAACAGAATTTTTATGTTATTTTTAACTTTTAGCATTAGATTTTCTTTCTTGTGAAAAAATTAATAACTCAGCAGCTCAGTAATTTTAACACTATTATTAGTTTTCAACAGATGGTGAATTTTACAAGATTATTTTCTTTATTAGTTTTCATATTGGGCTAGATTTGGACAGCACTGAATACTAGGTAATTACTTAGGTTTTATCTCTATAAGAAGTTTGCAGGTTTCTTAGAGACAGGGTTTATTATTAATGGACTTATTTTTAAAGTGCTATAGTACACGGCAGTAACTAGTTTGTCTTCCATAATGATATTTATTGTTTCTTAGGCCGGGTGCGGTGGCTCATGCCTGTAATCCCAACACTTTGGGAAGCCGAGGCAGGTGGATCACCTGAGGTCGGGAGTTCAAGGCTAGCCTGACCAACGTGGAGAAACCCCATCTCTACTAAAAATACAAAAAAATCAGCCAGATGTGGTGGTGCATGCCTGTAATCCCAGCTACTCAGGAGGCTGAGGCAAGGGAATCACTTGAACCCAGGAGGCAGAGGTTGTGGTGAGCTGAAATCGTGCCATTACACTCCAGCCTGGGCAACAAGAGTGAAACTCCATCTCAAAAAAAAAAAAAGATATTTATTGTTTTTCTGTATCTCAAATCTGTCTATGTTAGTCTCTGACACTTATAAATCATTTCAATACTCTTTGTTATCTACCTTTTAGCATCCATTGAATCCTTCTTTAATCTCTAGTTATTGTAGTAGGTTTTAAAACTGTTACATGAGAGGTGAGGAGGTCTGAATTTTAGGCAGGAATGGCACTGACTTTTTAAAGAAACTTGATTTATTTGGACTTCAGTATCCCCCTAGGTTTAAAAAAAAAAAAAAAAGTTGGCCGGATGCGGTGGCTTGTGCCTGTAATCCCAGCACTTTGGAAGGCTGAGGCAGGTGGATCATGACGTCAGGAGATCGAGACCGTCCTGGCTAACACGGTGAAACCCCGTCTCTTACTAAAATACAAAAAATTAGCCAGGCATGGTGGTGGGCGCCTGTACCCAGCTACTCAGGAGGCTGAGGCAGGAGAATGGCATGAACCTGGGAGGCAGAGCTTGCAGTGAGCGAAGATCAGCCACTGCACTCCAGCCTGGGTGACAGAGCAAGACTCCGTCTCAAAAAAAAAAAAAAAAAAAATGTTTAATGTGCTAGGTTGTATATATGTAAAGTTACTTCCAGTGCTAAAATCCTAAGTTTTATAATTAAATTTCATAAGGTTAGATCAATATTCAGTTGACAATTGAACAACACAGTTTTGAATTGCACAGATGCAGTTATACATGGATTTTCTTCCACCTCTGTCACCCCTAAGACAGCAAGACCAACCCTGCCTCTTCCTTCTCTTCTTAGTCTACTCAGTGTGAGGACAACGAAGATGAAGGTCTTTATGATAAACCATTTTCACTTAATAATAGTAAATATATTTTCTCTTATAATTTTCTCAATAACATTTTCTTTTCTCTAGCTTACTTTACTGTAAGAATACAGTATATAACACATATAAAAATACGTGTTAGTCAACTGTTTATGTTACTGGTAAGGCTTTCAGTCAACAGTATGTCTTAGAGGGTAAGTTTTTGGGAAATCGTAAGTTATATGTGGATTTTCAACCTGGTTTATTCAAGGGTCAATTGTATATGCCTATCTTGCCCAGTTAGTTCAGAATATTCAAAATTAAAATTACATGAAAGGTCAAAATAGCATTTAAGCTTCCAAACAATAATAGCATGTAAGCACATATACTTTCTTAGAAAACTCTGCAAGTACATGTGCTTTTCTTTAGATGATAAAATCTTGCTTTTATAAGAATAATGTTCTTCTGCAAAATAGATGTTCCAAAGGTAGAACTGGAATCGATGGTTATAGTTTGCAAAGAGATAGATTCAACTTCAATCTATCAAGACCTTTCTAACAGTCAGAGTTTTCCAATAAATGGATTGACTACCCATGGGGTATTAAATTAGCCTCTCCAGGGAATTCAGGTAGAAACCAACTAACCACTTGGCATTAATGAGAAATTGGACTAAGGATCTTTAACGTTCTTTCAAATTCTGTAGTGAGGGGATTTAAGACCCAGTCAGGATTTCTGAAGTTATTATTTTTTTTTAAATGTCTCTTTCTAACAATCAGATGTTTTAGCAGATAGAAAAGGCTTTTTAAAAAATCAATTTTTCATACTGCTCAGCCATTTAGGATAAAGACACTTTTAAAGATCAAAGACTTACAGAGGGTTTGTTATGTACTTTTTTTTTTTTTTCCTAAAAAGGGATAAGTATCTGCCAGAGCCCGTATAATAAGCTGGATTTATAATATTTTGCCCTACAGGGGAAAAAAAAGTTTGTTGTAGTAGGAGGAAACTACAGCCCACTGTCTGGTAGATTAGATGGACAGTCCTATGAATCTTAATAGGCATTGTCATCCATATACAAAGTCATTCCCAGACAAATGCATTAAAGACATGGAGAACACATGACTTTAGCACATATGTTGTTATTATCCAGAGAAACAGTTGTAGTCCATTTCGATCCAAATAGACAAGGGATAAGGAATGCAGGCCATCATGACAGTGGCTCCTTTCCGTCTCTTCCCAATTCTACATCATTTAGAGATGTATTTTTAGAGCACATGGAACAATTGGTTTATGTTCCATAAATAATGATGCTATATTTACATCTCTTCAGACCCAGTCTGAAATCATGTCTACCTGTGTCTCTGGCCTGTAGAGACTTAAACATAGCTTGGCTCAAATAAGATCTCAACTCCTTTATCACCATAGCAGAAATAATTAATAAGAAACTTTATTCCCTGTACTTAGAAAAGCACCTGAAAAATAGCTTCAGAGCTTAGAACCAAAGACAAAAGGTTGTGATCCTGGGATTAAACTGCTTCTCAGAGATCAGATGCCTCCAAGAAGTATGGTAGGTTTCTCTGACTACAGAAGACCAGGAGATGGAAAGGCTAACCCTGAAATGAGGAAAGAGCAGTAAAAGCAGAGATCAGGGAATAACTATCTGCAACTTAACAGGGCCTGAAAACCTACACAATTATGCACCAGTAATTCAGACACTCAAGTAAGGTTCTTGCTGTTTACAATACTGTATATGACAAACCTCAGCCCAGCAAGTCCAAGAAAAAATGTCAACTAAGCTAAAGGGGCTGAAAAGCTAGAGTTGATCCAGAAAAATAATCAGAATACATATCCTGTGATATAGAACTGCTAGAGGAGATAACTTAGGATCTGAATGAAAATATATTCACTTGAGAATTTTTCAAGTGAAACGTGAAGACCTCCTGGAGCTAAAAGTTACAATTTCCAAATTTAAAAAATTCAACAGATGAGTTGAAGGATAAAGCACTATTGAGGCCCAAATTAGTGATTTGGAAGGTTAAGTGTGAGAACTCTCACATTGTCTTAAAATACAGAGCAAATTAAGGAGATGAAAATCACCAGGTAAAAATAAAATAAGACAATTAAAAAGTAAATGCAGAAGAACTAACATAAGAATATTTTGTTAGCTCCAGAGGAAAAACAGGAGCAGATGGAAGAAAAGAAAATAAACTAATATTAGAAGGAAAATTTCCCAAGGAAAGGAAGAGACCTGAGTCTAAAAATTCAAGGGACTCACTAAGGGCTGGATTGATGAGAAAAGACGTGCAACTAAGCATGCCTTGGTAACTTCATGAACTTGGAAGATACATTTTTTAAAAATTTCACAGACTTTCCAGCTGAAAGAATCACTTAGCTAATAAAGGGAAATTAAAGCCAAACTGAGGATGACTAGAAAATAGAGGAGTAGAAGCAATCTGGCTTCACTCTCCTCCACAGAAAACCACCACCAACTACCCAGTGCCAAAATTATCACCAGCAATATTCCAGGACTCAAAACTGAGTCTGTGATAATCCCAGGGGCCACAGAGAAGTGAAAAACTATGAGCAGAAAGTAAGATAAATGGAACTGTCTAGCCATAACACCTCTCGCCTCTCGCCCAAACTTCCAGGCACTTCATGGAAAAGTCCTCCTGGACTCACTGGAAAAAGTGAGCTTGAGGCAGACATCCAGCTTCCCCATGACCTTGAGTTCCTTCACAGGAAAACTGTTCCTGCTTCAATCTATGGAAAGCATCAAGAGTGCCTGTAGGGTGAATAATTCTGAGGGCAGCTGGAAATAAAGAGTGGAGGTGGGGCTAGTAACCCCCGGCATGAGAAACTCAGTGGCTGCTCTTCATGTCAGCCAAAGGAGATGCCAAATCAGAGATGCTGTTCAGCAGCACCACGCTGTAAGAGGCATGCTCCATAGGTCCTCTGGACACAAACCCCTAGCCAGTCTTCTCACACAGCCAGAGTACCCCATCGGGGATGGGCAGTGCTCCAAACTTTTGTGAGGGCCACAGTAAACCTGGACTTAGTGTCCTATCAAGTGCCTAAAAGGAGGCAGCAGTCTTGAACTAAAGGAACCCAATAGTCAATCTGCATAAAACCTTTAGACAGGTATACTTGTAAAAGACCAAGCCAAGCCAGACAACAAAGACTGGAATAACTAACACTTCCATGTGAAGACATGACATATGTTTATTAAAAAAAAGAGAGAGAGAGAGAGAGAAAACAGGGAACCATGACATTCACAAATGGAAAAAACAATGACCCAGTAACCAAACCTAAAGAGATAGTAATGTGAGATTTTTCAGATCAAGAATTCAAAATAGTAATTTTGAGGAAACTCCAGAAGCAATAAAATGGCAGTAGTAAGTCTTTACCTATCAATGTAAATGTAATAAATTATCCAATCAAATTCATACTAGTACCAGACATCTCACCTTCAATCCAGAGTGAATAATAGCCAGTGGAATAGCATTCACAGAACCACTGAAAAAAAAATGATTATAGTCCAAGAATCCTACATGCAAATGATAAATTAATTACAGGTTGAGGTGAAAGAAAAATATTTTAGGAAGTACAAGACATCAGAGAATATATCACCTACGTACTACCTCTGAGGAAAACACTTTAGAAAATTTCCTAATCAAGAAAAAAAAATCAATAAATGTTAGTTATTCCTAGTATTGTTACTAAATGATCTTACCAAAAATAAAGAAATTAGGTAAAAGAGTAGTAAATGTAATCCAAGTGTAACAATAAATAGGATTTTAAAAAATACTTTCAAATTAATAAAGCGGAGGGCTAGCAGACGGAACAGAAACTTGACCAAAGCAGAAACAATAAAGAAAAATAAAATATAGAAATAAAAACAGAATTTTTGAGATCGATACATAGATATCACCATGGAATACTCTTCAGCCATAAAAAGGAATGAAATAATGGCATTTATAGCAACGTGAATGGAACTGGAGATCATTATTCTAAGTGAAGTAACTCAAGAATGGAAATCCGAACATCGTATGTTCTCACTCATAAGTGGGAGCTAAACTATGAGGAAGCAAAGACATAATAATGATACAATGGATTTTAGGGACTTGGGGGAAAGGGAGGGATAAAAGACTACAAATTGGGTACAGTGTATACTGCTCAGATGATGGGTTCACCAAAATCTCACAAATCACCACTAAAGAATTTACATGACTAAACACCACCTATTCCCCAGAAACCTATGGAAATTTAAAAAAAAAAAGAAAGAAATTTAAACAGAATCTAAGTAATGAAGAGAAAGTGAGACAAAATAAATTTTAAAAGAGTAGTAGTAGTCAAGGAGTCGGGGGGAAGACCAGCTATAGGCTGTTTCAAAATAAGTAATTTTTTAAAAGCTTAATGAAGTATAAGCAAAGAGGTATCATGTAAAGAAAACCAAACAGAAAGTGGGATGAACTGGGGAGGGGTATACAGTATCAACCAGAATGGGATATAACATTAAATATACTAGTCAGATAAAATGGATATTATATAATTATGAATCAGTTAGTACAAGATAGTGAAAAAAGTGGCTGTGTAGTTGTCATAAACATGTATATAACAACCAATATAGCTGGTAGCTCACAAAATCAAACCTTTTTAAGGTGCCAGGATAGCAAAGAATAAAAAGTTAATTACCGTGAGAGTCTTCAATATGTTTCTGTCAGAAATGGACAGATGTAGTAGGTTTGAGTCAGATAAAAATTGAATAATAGAATTCATTAAATGTGAGCTAACATATATTAAGAACTATACATGCCTCAAAATAAACAAGAGGATTTCAGTAAATGTGTGTCCCTGTAATATTTATAAAAATTAGTCATCTTGGTCACAAAGACAATCCTAGTGATTTTTTTTAAGTAAAGATTTTACAGCCACATTCTCAGCATAATACAATTAAAAATTAATAGACCTAGAAAAAATTGTAATACAACAAATAGACAAAAGGCTCATATCAATGATATATGAGCCATTATAAATTGACATAGAGAAGAAAATATCCCAACAGAAAAAAATGGCAAAGCATATGAATGAGCATGCACAGAGAAGATATTCAAGGTCTTAAAACAAGGCAAACATGCTCACATTTACTGATTAGCAAAATAACTGAATAAAATACTATGTATCTACGCCCTGGAAAAATGTACAGACATTCAAAGCAAAGAATTAGAGACTACTTATTTGAGTTGGAGGGATTTCCATTGCATATTATTTTTAAAAAGCAAGATAGTCAAATCTACAGAGACTTGGGGGAAAGGGTGGGAAGCGGGGGGTGAGGGATAAAAGTCTACAAATTGGGTGCAGTGAAAGTACCCAATACAAGTAGACTAATGGTCATCAAGGGCTGGGGATGAGAACAGGGATTAACTATTGATCCCAGCAGAGATCATATTGGGGTAATGAAAAACAACTGATTTCATGGAGACAGAGAGTAGAATATTGGCTACTAGAGGCTGGGAAGGGGAAGGGGATCAAGGTGGAGGGGAAAAAGTGAGGATGGTTAATAGGTACAAAAGTATAATTAGATAGAATGAATAAGGTCTAGTATTTGATAGCGCATCAGGGTGACTACGGTCAACAGTAATTTATTGTATATTTTAAAATATTGAAAGAGTGGACTGGAATGTTTCTAACACAAAGAAATGATAAATTCTTGAGGTGATGGATACCCAGTTACCCTGATATAATTATTATACGTTGTGCTCTGTATCAAAACATCACATGTGCCCCATAAATATATATAACAATTATGTACCCATAATAATGAAAAAATGAAAAATTTTTAAATCATGTTTGGGAAGTGATTAAGTCATGAGGGCTCCACCCTTGTGAATGGGATTAATGATTTTATAAAAGGGGTTTCCAAGAGCTGCCTGGCCCTTCCATCTCTCTGCATGTGAGGATACAGCATTAGTCTCTTTTTGCCCTTCTGCCATGTAAGGCTGTAGTGAGAAGAGGACATCTTGGAAGAAGAGAGCAGCCTTCACCATACACTAACCCAGAGTCTGCTGGCATCCTGATGTTAGGCTTACCAGTCTCCAGAAGTGTGGAGAAATACATTTCTGTTTTTTATTTTAAAAATAAAAATAAATAAAATACTTAAGTAGAGGCAGTATAATATTATGTACATACAAGTTAGTTTATGATCCCACTGTAGGGACTGACAGTTTCCCTAATAATAAATTCATATTCCAGTGAAGGTTCTATAAAGTCTTATCATAAATCCACAAATCAGAAGTGACCATTCCAAGTGCTTCTGTTTTCCACATCTTGATTATCACCTAAACATAGAAAATGTCAGAAAAATGATTTTACTGGTAAAATTATTGGTTTAATTAACATGGAAAATGTTAGAATTGGGCTTGTATTGGTAAAATTAAATATATTCAATAAATGTTTATTGGGTAAAATACTATGAGACCCATCCTCCCTCCAATCCCTCGCATGAGCAAAATAGAAGACAGTGGTGTGTCTTCTGAATTCCTAGGAAAGATATCAAAGTTTGCCCAATAAGCAGACCTATGCCCAACCTTTGCAAATCAATGTGACTATTAGAATATCAAAAGCCAGCTTCCAGAGATCCTGTCGTGTTATCCTGAGTGACCCTTTCATCTAGTATGGAGGTTGAAGAATTTAAAAGAACAAAGAGCCGTGCCTTCTTCAAGCTGACAGACCCAGTTATAGAAGCTATTTTCTGCCTGCTTACTAATGTTTGGTTGTTTAGTAAATGTCTTTATGTGTGTAAAAATTTTGTCGGAGATTTCTTTCATTAAAACCTGAAAGTAAGATTGTGGGGGACTGCTGACTCTCACCAGCCACATCAAACTAGTTGCTACCATTCTCAACCAAAGAACCTCTTCAGAAAGAAATTAGCTGTGTCAGTTCCCAACAATAAAGAAATAAAAGTATCTTTTAAAAAAGAAAACTATATAGATTATCTCTTTATTAAAAGAATAATGCCATGAGTATACACAAACAAAACTTTCATATTAAAGTTTTGGGAGGTCACAGGTTTGCCCATTTCCATTCATAGACTACTGGGTCTACTGCCAACAGGTAAGCCCTCGAACCTTAGATATAGTCATGCAAATTCAACCCTTACTTGAGTAGACAAGATGTGAAAGTTGAAGGACACAGGTAGGATCCCTGATTCTATTCAATTACAGTATTCCAGAAGTAAACTTTTTGGAGGCAGACTTTTAACAATGTACAAGATAGGATAGTTTTCTGATCACAGAGATTTGCATTTCTTTCTCTGCGGGTACAGACCAGTGTATATGTGTCCATTTGGCTGGTTTTCCATTATGGCCGACTAGTGAATGCTAAGATTTCATAATGAGAAAGTCACTGTAGAAGTTTCCTTTCTTGCTTGGGTTTTGAAAAGCAGGAACATGAATGAGGAAATGACCAAAATCTTCATCTCAGTGGAAAACATACAGTAAAGGAGGCAATCCTAAGAAATAAAGGAAATTAAATTAGAAAAGGAATGGATAGAAGTACCTTGAACTCATGATTGGAGATTTTTATTTAATTAAAATGAGACCACTGAGAGGGTTTTGATTAGTTCAATGGGTGATCTTCTTCCACAGAAGTTACTAAAAAGACAAAAATAACTGGCAATTTCAAGCTAATGGAGGAAAGTCGGATGTCTGAGAGCAAATGAAGAGAAAAAAACGTAAAATGATAGTGGCTGTATATGAAATTGAGAGCATAATAGAAGAAAAGGGAAATCTATTTAAAGACATTATTTAGGAAGAAACAACAAGATCTGTTGATAGTGAACAAAAGATAAATTTCCCATTGATGTAAGGTGAAACAAACACACACTTCATCCATCCACCAGCATCTCATGAATCTTCTAAAAGTGCTACTTCCACCATGTTATCTTTCTGTCCCCAAAAGGGAGAGCTTTAGTTTAGAATCTTAGAATAAGGTCTAAATTCCTTATCTTGAAATTTAAGACTTTCTGTAGTATAGTCCCAAATTCTCTTTTTCAAAACTACCTTTAAAAATAATTCTGATAAAGGAAGATATTTATGCAGCCGACAAACATATATATATATATATATATATATAAAAGCTCATCATCACTGGTCATTAGAGAAACGCAAATCAAAACCACAATGAGATACCATCTCATGCCAGTTAGAATGGCAATCATTAAAAAGTCAGGAAACAACAGATGCTGGAGAAAATGGGGAGAAATAGGAAGGCGTTTACACTGTTGGTGGGAATGTAAATTAGTTCAACCATTGTGGAAGACAGTGTGGCGATTCCTCAAGGATCTAGAACCAGAAATACCATTTGACCCAGCAATCCCATTACTGGGTATATACCCAAAGGATTATAAATCATTCTACTATAAAGACACATGCACACATATGTTTATTGCAGCACTGTTCACAATAGCAAATACCTGGAATCAATCCAAATGCCAAACAATCATAAACTGGATAAAGAAAATATGGCACTATTACACCATGGAATACTATGCAGCCATAAAAAAGGATGTGTTCATGTTCTTTGCAGGGACATGGATAAAGCTGGAAACCATCATTCTCAGCAAACTAACACAGGAACAGAAAACAAAACACTGCATGTTCTCATTCATAAGTGGGATCCGAACAATGAGAACACAGGGACACAGGGAGGGGAACATCATATACTGGGGCCTGTCGGTGGGTTGGGAGCTAGGGGAGGGATTGCATTAGGAGAAATACGTAATGTAGATACTTGATGGTGCAGCAAACCACCGTGGCACGTGTATACCTATGTAACAAACCTGCATGTTCTGCACATGTATCCCAGAACTTAAAGTATAATAAATAATAATAATAATAATAATAATAATTCTGATTGCAGGAGTCTTGTGAGTTTCTGTTCCACAACTCAGAAGCAGATTTAAAACTAATTTTATATAATTCAATCCTGATCAAGAGCAGGGCTTTCTTATCCCACTATCTTTCTAAGTGTTCCACCTTCTGTTCTAACATACAGAGATGTACGAGGATGTGAGTTAGATAAATCAGTGAATGTACTTCACATTCAGGTGGAAAACTTTGTGGGATGGATCTGCAGGTGGGACGGGCCTGGGCCGAGACATAAGCACAGGTGAGCTAAGCAATTGACTTTGGTCTATGGCCTGACCATGTGCTGTATTGGCCTCACTAAAGGCTATGTCTCTCTTGCAAGAACTTTCATTTCTTCATTTCACTCTCTCCTGTCATTGGAAGCCCAACTTTTCTTCTCTCAGCTTCTCGTTACTTTTTCACTCATCCGTGTGAGTTGAGAAACCATCGACCTGTATGATGGTTGAGTATTTGTAACCATTATGGCTCCTCAGTGAACAACTGCAGACTCCCATCTAGCTCTGACACAGTTCCAGCTGGAGAAAATAAGAGGTCCCTGTGGGGTACAAGTAAAAGGAGGAAACCGCAAAAATAACCATGAAATAGTTATTGCCATGAAGTTACTTCATATGTCCTTAATTTTACACGTAATTGATTCTTTCTTCAGCAAGAAATGTTTCACTGTTTCCTTGGTATTTTGGTCTGCTTTTGGGGTCTAAGCCACACTTCTAAGACTCTTAGCTTTTCCATTGCCTCATTTCATTATCTTTATTCCCATTCCACTTCAAACTTATGGCCATGTCCTAAATACTTACATCATCACAATTTTTCTCTACCCAATATATTAGGTTAGTGCAAAAATAATAGTGGTTTTTGCCATTAAAAGTAATGGCAAAAAATGGTAATATTAAATGTAACCACCCTGACACAATGCCATAAGATAAATTTTCAACCCTGCTTCATCCCAAAGTCTGCCTTCTTCATATTTATACCTGGACTGCTGATTCATCACTGCTAGAGAAAAATCACACAACCACTGAGATTGATACCATTAAAAATTCATGGCCTCCAACTCTAACTGTCCAGAAATCCTGCAGTTCTTCTCCAGGCAAATCTCTTTCCTATTGTCCACAGTGACTATTTTTATACTTCTCCACCTTCCTCAAACCTCTGAACCAGATGCTGCTCACTTCATTCTCAACAAAAGACCTAACCTGCTGTTTACAAAGAAAATAGAAACCTGCTGCGGGGCGCGGTGGCTCATGCCTGTAATCCCAGCACTTTGGGAGGCCGAGACGGGCGGATCACGAGGTCAGGAGATCGAGACCGTCCTGGCTAACACGGTGAAACCCTGTCTCTACTAAAAATACAAAAAATTAGCCGGGCATGGTGGCGGGCGCCTGTGGTCCCAGCTACTTGGGAGGCTGAGGCAGGAGAATGGTGTGAACCCGGGAGGCAGAGCTTGCAGTGATCCAAGATAGTGCCACTGCACTCTAGCCTGGGCGACAGAGTGAGACTCCGTCTCAAAAACAAAACAAAACAAAACAAAACAAAACCTGTTGTGTGGAATTACCTCAATTCCTCCACCACACCCATAACCTCGTCTGTTTCTGACTATATACCCATATTCTATCCTCCTTCCCTTGCTATAAATGCAAAAATTAACATATGTCCTCACAATGTATTATTCTCTTTTTCATGTATTATTTTGGAGAGGTAAATAGGAGTTTCTGTTGTATAATATTGGAGGCTACCTCCACATTGCCTGACAAGAAGCTGCCTGAGATTAGTGGCTCCTCATTCTCCAATGGGAGGGATTTCTATTATTTTCAGCTTCGTACAAGGTGTGCAGGTTCTATCACGCCAGGGATTTGATATCCATGATAGCAGGTAGCCAGCTGCAAGATATCTGTCTGTGACTCCTTGAGTAGTTGGTATGCAGATCTATACTGCATATTATTTGCTCTCTCCACTTAGTACAAAGGATAATAACAGGAGAGTTAGAGCCCCTTCCCAAGAGCATTGCTCTACTGTGGGTCCAGCTGTGCCCAGGAATAAGGCATATGCAGATCTAATGCATTTCAGCATATAGTCTCTTCTTTAATCATTGTGCAAGAATAAGTAGGGTCATCTTGCTCCAGGAATACAAGTTTACTCACACCATCCATACTGTTAAGTGTGTCCCCAATCATTCGTATCTGACAACCTCTCCTAGGGAGTAAAGGTATTACTACAAGATGCCGGAACTAACATCTGTGACCTTCACCTCAGTTTTAAGATGTTTATCTAGTGGTGTGGTGGGTCTCACTCTGTATCTTACCTCCTTTAGGGCTGTTGACATCATGTAAGAGACAGTTCCAGGTCACTGGCAATGGGAAAATTCCCAAGATGGAGCTAGGTGCTCCGCTCATTCTGACATCAAGATTTACCACCACAACATGCAGGGTTTTTGTTTTGTTTTGTTTTGTTTTTTGTCTTGTTTTGTTTTGCTTTGAAATAGGATCGTGCTCTGTCACCCAGCCTGGAGTGCAGTGGTGCTATCATGGCTCACTGCCGCCTTGACCTCCTGGGCCCAAGTGATCCTCCCACCTGGGCCTCCCTAGTAGCTGGGACCATGGGCGCATGCCATCACACCAGGCTAGCTTTTGTATTTTTTGTAGTGATGGAGTTTTGCCATGCTGCCCAGGCTGGACTTTAACTCCTGGGCTCAAGTGATCCTCCCACCTCAGCCCCTCAAAATGCTGTAAGTACAGGCCCGAGCCTGAGACACGCAGTTTTGATAAACTGTACCCAGCAACATGCAGTCCTGATAAACACCAAAGTGACATGAATCATAAAAATCACAGCTCAAACCATTTCATAATCACAAAAGGAGCCCAAAGCATTAATAAAAGAGAACATAAGATGTTGAAAAGTGATAACAGCCCTTCCTAGGAGAACAAATAGAAGGACAACCAAAACCCTGATGGGCTAACCAAAGACTTCAATGGTTCAGGCACAATTTTGTTTAAAAATCTCACTTTTTAAACCATCCCCAGGATAAGAAATTTATTTCCTGGCACCCCATCAGCACTGATTCATTAAGATGGGCAGCTGGCACCCGCTTTGATTCTGCCTCTACCTATGAGGTAGTAGATGATTCCAGAGAGACTTTCCGTGGAACAGCAGGCAGAAGCTAACTGCATGGTGGTCCAAGAGCCTAAGAAGCAGATTCTACCTGGTGCTGTTTTTTTTTTTTTTAACATATCCATACACTTGATAATAAATTATTAGTATCCATCTTCCACTGGCTTACAGCATGTCATTTCTTCACATTTCTACAATATGTTGCTCGAACTTCACTATCATTTGGATTTTAGTTTACTTTTATTCGGGTGTTTTTTTCCTTGATTTCACATTTTTCTCACGTGAGCTGCGAATACAACTAGACTTCAAACTAGAGCATTTGATCTCCCCTTGTGCTTAACTTTCCAGGAAGATGTCGCAATTGCCCCTGAACAATAATCAAAAGGCACTTCTCTCTCTTCCTCTGAAAAATCACAGCTCCTGGGTGGGGAAGTGAGTGGAGATGTTACATCTCTCACATCCTTACTTTAGTTTCAAGAGTGAGAAGAGATGAAAGAAGATGAAAACAGACTTCAAAACACACAGAAAACTCCTGTATTTACAAAGGGGAAAAATGATGGCGTTCAAAACACTACAGAGCAACGTAAGCAGTATCTCCAACTCCCAAACAAATAAAAGAACCTTTCACAAAAGAAATCGTATGTGACCCGAGACAATAAACCTCTGTACAGTTCAGAAGTTGGTTTTATAGCTAAAATAGTCAGGCTTTGCCTCGACATACCCACAGTTCTGGAACATGAAACTTTTCAATACCCATCATGTTCAAATTATTGCCACCCCATAATTTCCTCAATCCCATTTCACTGAAGTGGAATGTTTTATGCATAGCAGCCATTTTAAATCAAGAGGGGCAGGAAGTTACCTATACAGTCTGTTATGAACTTCCTAAACTTAAGTAAGATATTTCAATCCCATGCAAGGAGAAACCAGTGGTGAATTTATGATATGAGTTTTGTCTTTTAATTAAGAACTTAAAAAAGAGTTGACAAAGTTTTTTTGAAAGTGAGAAGAGGCAAAATAGATCTATTGGAGAGAGTTTCTGAGTTGGAGAGTGGAGTACAGGCAACCTTACGAAGAGCTCGGACCTGGGAATCAGCATTTGCTGTAACTTGTAGTGAATGTCAGGGAAGAGTAGGTGGTGGAGAGGGACAGATTGGGCAGGTGGAATTTAATGTCTAGAGACACATGGTGTCTTTTGGCACAACTGGTGATTATCATCATCAGAGAGGCAACTGGGTGGGGTGAAGTCTCTGTAGGTAGAGGGTGCATGCAATGGGATATCTGGGATGCTGGCCAACAACAGGGAAGACTGGCAACAAGGAAAGAACCTCAACTCCTGGACTGTTGTGTGATTTAATAACTGAAGGAGAATGGAAGGAGCAAGGCAGCATTTCAATACAAATGACAACAATTACTAACAATAATAGATTTGCTAAAACACTGGGAAGGATTGAGTCTTGTACTTCATAGAGGAAACTGAAACTTGAACTACATAGCCTTCCCAAATTCTCTCAGCTAGTGGGTCCCAGAGCCAGATTTATCAAAAGGCAGATCTACTTAGATCCAGAACTCATAAGCACCATGGTGTATTTTACTGAGCTAGAAAGAGCAGAGGTGCAGGGAACTTGGGAAATGATGCACAAGGTTGTGATCCACATATAAGTAAATAGCAGTTCCTGTTTTCATAATGTTAAACGTAAGGAAACATAAGTAAAAGTCTACGGCATTCTAGAATTTACGTAGCACTTTCACTTGGGTTGTCTCAAAACCAAGATAGAAACCTAGACAATCAGGTTCAGTGTCCAAAGACCTAACAGAATCAGCAAGGTTCTGTCTAGGATGACTTGAACATTAAGCCATCCTTTAAAAAACATCTACAAGAATACACAGGAGAAATTTTTTAAGACCTTGGATTAGGCAAAGGGATTTTAGGTATGACACCAAAAGCATGAGACCCAAAATAAAAAATTGTTAAATAAGGCTTATTCTCTTAATAGTGTTAAGAGAATAAAACAGCAAGCATATTTAAGTAATTTATTTTCAAATCACATATCTGACAAGTGACTTGTATCCAGAATATATATGTATATGACTCTCAGAATTCAACATTTTAAAAAATCTCCCAATTTTTAAAATGGTCAAAGGTTTTTAAAAAATGCTTCACCAGAGAAAATATACAAATGGAAAATAACCTTAGTGTCATTAGTCATTAGGACAATGAAAAAATTAAAACCACAATGCAATACAACATACAACTATTTAAATAGCTGAAATCGATAGAACTAACAGTCATAAGTCTGGCAATGAGGCAGAGCAACTGGAACTCTCACACATTGCTGGTAGGAATGTAAAATGGCACAGCCACTTTGGAAAACAGTTTGGCTGTTTCTTCTAAAATTAAATATACACTTACCGTATGACCCGCAATCCCACTCCTGTTTATACACAAGAAATAAAAACTTATATTTACCAAAATAGCTGTATGTAAGCTAATGTTTTCAAGTGCTTTATTCATAATTGCTAAAAGCTGAAAACAACCAAAATGTCCCCCAATTAGTGAAACAGTTGCACATACATTCAGTGCAACATTGCTCAGCAATAAAAAGGAACTACTGATATGTATGACAACGTCAATGATCTCAAATGCATTATGCTCTAAGTGCAAGAAAACCCATTCAAAGACTATACACTGGATGACTTCATTTATATGACATTCTGGAAAAGGCAAGAACTGTCAGGCAGAGAACAGATCAGTGGTTCCCAGGGATTGAAGTGGAGGAGGGGCCAATTACAAAAGGGCAGCATGAGAAATTGGTATGTGTGTGTGATGAAACTCTTTAGTAGCTTGATTGTGGTGGTGAACACAGGACTCTACCTACTAGCAAAATATATACTACTGTACCCCCCCCCAGAAAAGTTTACTGTGAATTGAAGAATAAAAAATCGTAAACATTAAAAACTGATTATATATATATATATTTTACTTTTGCTGAATAAATTCTGTGTGTGTGTATGTGTGTGTGAGAGAGAAAGAGGAAAAGAGAGTAAAGAGAAAGAGATTTTGCCAAAAAAAATGGTTCTTTTATGAAAGTATGGGAAGTACGGACTGTCCCCTCATGCAATGTTTTATGCAGAGTAGCTGTTCAATATGCATTTGTTAAGTCAAAATGAATAATAGAATAACAAAGTATACCAGTTACTTCAAATTAATTTCACTTACAAAATATAAATACCAAAATTAAACAATTAATGATATTTATAACTGTCTCAGTAATGATTCACGTTGAGATCTTTGAACTTATATCACTCTCAACACACAAAACTTGCAAAGTTACATAAAAGCAACAAAGCCAACTCAATTAATTTATTAGCATATTTAAAATTCAGGGTGCCAATGATAATTTTAGTTGTCACTTTAGGTTATAAAGTAGCAATTTGAAAATCATAATAATGAAAAAGAAGACTAGGACATACATATTATGTATGATTATGATTTTCTGCACATATTAAAATTCATCTTTATTATAATTGATGAATATAAAATATATAAAATTACTTTAGAATGATGTGGATACAATGAAAGTATATCAAAGGAATAATATTTCATATGCTGAATGCATTTTATATTTTATTTTTAATCCAAACTTTTGTAGAATGATTCGGTGCTACTTTAAAAATTAAAGTAGCTTGTAAAGAATACAAATTACAGTCATTATCATGATTTGTTTTAAAAACAGATCATTACAGCTTAAATAACTTTCATGTGAAAGAAATCAACAATAATTCAAAAAGCAAAAGAAAGTATTGAGAAAACAACGTAAGTGTGATATTAGCAGATATATTTCACTTCTGAAGATAGATCAATGTCAAATGAAATTATCTTTTGAAAGCATAAACTTCTATGAATTTATTTTAATTTATAAAATAGCTACAGCTGTTAGTACAAAACTCTAATAGTGTTTATTGACATGCACTGAATTGGGAAAAAAAGATACAGGGAAATGAAAAGTGTACACATTCAATAGAATTTTAAGACGGTGTATATGCCCAAGCTCGCCCAGTTTTAATAGAAAGCAAGAATCTGGTTAATAATGAAGCCCCTCCCTAATCTTAAGAAAGTGCAGCAGAAAATAAAACTAAAGAAAAAAATTATCTCACTTTACAATTGTGTATTTTAGACATTTCAATTGCCAGTTTTAATTTTTCCTTGCAACATGAAGCTTTGTTTTCAAGATAGCTAGTGCAGCCTCACATATTAATACTTATGTTGTTATTTCTTTTGGTAGAGACTTGACAAATATTCCTAACTGAACAGTGGAACAACAAGGATATGGAACTTATATCCAGCAACTTTTTTTTGTCCAGAACAACTAGTTCGGAGTTTGCCTATGAGTCAGTAATGTATTTTATGGTGATTACTAATATTTTCTTAGGAGTTCAATAAATATTTGGACAAAAAACAGACAAAAGTTACATTAACTTACCTAAAGTACAGAACTAAATAAAATATTTTGAGAAAATGTTAACTCATGTCACACATCCAAGATGATGATGATAAATTATTTGTAATGGATTGATTGTTATTGGTGCCACAATACAGATGGAATTCTCCTCCTATAAAACCTCATCTAACAAGATTTACATTTCCTTTTACCTTTTTCTATAAAAGTGGTTAATGGTCATGTATCTAGACTGTGACAAGTAAAGATACTGACTTTATGAAAAATCACAGATTATATTCAGCACCTAGCACAGTGACTGGCCCACACTAGTACTCAATGGAAGTTTATCGGACTGATGCGAAATGTGAATAAATTCTATGTAAAAAGAACAAAATTATGCTCTTAGGACATTATGCTAGAGTCAGTTTTAAGTAAAATGGATATTTTATTTTTGGAGGGTTGGGAATATTCTCATACACTATATGCATGAGCAAAAATTTATACAGATTTTCTGATGGAAATTTACTAAGATTTTTTTAAAGTCTTCAAATGTATATATGCAGTGATCTAACATTCTTAATTCTAGGAATTTATCCCAAGGAAAGTATTTGGAATTTGCACAAAAAAATGCCTATGTTTTTAATAATAGCAAAGACTGGAAACCTTCTTCTAAATATATAATAATAAGTGGTTAAATAAATTATGGCAGACTCACATAGTGAAATATATTTGAACTCATTAAAAATGATGCTTTTTATGGAAGCATGTTTGTTTTATACATTAAGTAAAAATGTAGTTTAAATTGGAATGTATACTGTTATCTCATATCTTGTGCAAATATATGTATGTGCATGTACACATAGAAAAGTGGTACGTACCAAGTTGTTAATTATTGTTGTCTATGGATGGAGGATTTTAATTTTCTTCTTTTTCCTATCTGAATTTTATAATTTTTAAACACTAGATTTTATTTATTGCTATTGAAGTATGAAAATACAAGTAAGAAAGTAAAAAAACTGATGCTTGAAACAAAAGAGTAATATGGCCACTCACCGCCACAAAAATGACTAGTTTGCCCCTCTTCTGGCTAAGCTGAGTGATTGGTACTTCTTTATCAACACAACTCTACCCCTGCTATAATCCTCCCACCAGCTAGACACAATAAATAAAGAAATTCAATCATCACCCATCTCTGTTTCTTTCTCTCTCTCTTTTTTTTAATCCCAAGGACTTCAAAACAAAGTCTCTGTTTCTTGATAGCATTCGATCCAGAATGAGTTTCTGCTTTGTAATCCATCCTTAGAACCATTGGCACAAACCCAACCCCATAAGAAGCTCCTCTCAACACCCCCTTACTGAGGTGCTTTCACAATGACACTTAAATGAACTCTCAGATCCTGCTGCACCAAGAAAAATAAACCCAGCTTTGTGACTCTGAGTATTTGTGGTGGTCTTTGGTTGTTTCTTGTGATGATGATGGTGGTGATAATGATATTGGTGATGTTAGTAGTGGTGGTGGTTGTGATGATAGTGAGGCTGGTGATGATGGTAGAGATGATAGTGATGATAGTGGTGATAGTGATGGTAGTGCACAGGTGTTTTTAAAACTAGTAGTATTTGGGACCCAAGAAACCAAAGAAAAATATTCTCTTTCACATAGACAACAACATTATACTAAGTCCTATGACTTCCAGCACAGGAGAGGCAATCTAGTGAAACAGAAAGAAACTATACTAAGAGTCAGGAGTTATAGGTTCTAGTTCTGGTTCTGCCATTAGTTTACTTTGTTACCTGGAGCTAATCACTCAACCTCTCAGGACCTCATTTAATTCATCTGCAAAATGAAGATTTCTGGATTGACTTCTAAAGTTAACTTTTCGTATCGTGCAGCTTTTTGTCTCTGCTCTAAGTTATTAAGTCAGAGACCCAGATTAGATGATCTACAGTCTAGGTCCACTACTTGTTTTTGTAAGTAAAGTTTTTATTGACATGTAGACACATTTGTTTACACATTATCTATGGCTGCTCTCACATTACAGTGGCAGATCAGAGTGGTTACAATAGAAACTACATAGCCCACAAGGCCTAAAATATTTATTATCTGACCCTTCACAGAAAAATTTTGGTACATTAACATGCCCCTGGTCTAGGGGTATGTTAACAAGAGTTTGGTATGTTGAGGATATATCTTATTAGCAGATATATCTTGTTACCTGCTTCACAAGGTAGGGAACTCTTGTTCACTAGTGTATCCTTAGTGCCTATGTCAGTGCCTGGTTTCTAGCATATGCTGAATACATACTTTAAATGAATGAGTGTATTAGAATGAATGACTAAATGAATTATACCTCTGGAGGGCTGAAATGTTTATTCATTAGTATTCTTCCTGTCTTGGAAATGTTTCTATTTGCTGTGGAATTTAAAACATATCCAGATGGAGGGAAGTTTATATATAACACCCATTTTCAGTGTTGTCATATAGCATGTCCAAGTGTATATAGTTCCAACTACATAACAGGGCTTAGTCTGAAGTAAATTCTAGTATGATTTTCAAATACAGTAGCAACATACAATATCTGATGCCACTCAGGAGGCAAGTGTGGATTAATAAAAGTAGAGTCTGAGATTTCTGGAAAACAATTCTTCAGTTAGAGGACAACAGAATCATGTAAAAGTGGAAAAGAATCATCATATGTTATAACCTTAGTACCAGTATTTATTGTTTTCAGATTTCTAAAAATAAGGCTTGTGGATCTTCCTTTTGTTTGATGTAGGCTCATTGAACCAATGTTACCAGTAATGTACCCAAAGTCAAAAAGAGGTTTATGTAGCTTGCATCTTCTGTTTTTCTATATACTGGAACATCCAGTAAATTTCTCTCTCTCTCTTTTTTTTTTTTTAATAGAGATGGGGATCTCGCTTTGTTGACCAGACTGGTCTTTAACTCCTGGCCTCAAGCAGTCCTTCCATCTTGGCCTCCCAATGTTCTGGGATTACAGGGGTAAGCCATTGTGCCTGGCCAAGTAAACTTTTCTTTAAGAAGAAGTGTATTCTTTAATTGGCTCTAGTGATTGTGGGGGCTGGTTAAAAGTGAAATCTGCAGAGTGGGCTGGCAGGCTAAAGAATAAGGGAAGAGGTGATGTTTCAACTCAAGTCAGAAGGCAGTCTGCAGGCAGAATATCCTTTTCCTCTGGAAAAAGAAAAATTGAGTCTTTTTTCCCCGTCTTAAAATCTTCAACTTATTAGATGAGGTCAACCCATATTACAGAAGGTAAGTACTTTACTCAATGTCTACTAATTTAAAAGTTAATCTCGTCTAAAAAATAACTTCACAGCAACATCTAGACTTGTTTTGACCAAATATGTGCGTACTATGGCCTAGCCAAGTAGTCATATAAAATTAACTATCACACTCTTCTATATATTAGCCTCATTAAACTAAAGATTTGAAATGTACAGTTGACCTTTTCTAAAATGAAGATTCATAGAGAAGTCCTTTGTTTTTATATAACCTGATAAAAATTGGACAGCCTTAATATGAGTGTCCTGTTCCACAGAAACATGTATTCAATAACAATGAAAGAAAATCACTGAGAAAACATTTACTAATATCACTGGCAAAGGGAAACATTACATTCAAAACACATAGCAATGGTTTTAAATATAATCTCTCAATCCTTTTTCATCTCCCACAATACAATAGCTACCCACAATGTCTGGTTTTTAGGTTCTAGGCTCATGTATTTAAAAGCCTCAAAACTCAACTTTCATTGGCTTTCCCCCACCCTTTTTCGTTTTTCCATTGTTTCACTTCTCCAGAAGTAATCTTTGCTCCCCCAATTATGTCTTTAGCATTTATAATTTGTCCTCTTTGCCTTTTCCAGTCCCCTGCTTCACCCATTACCTGGGCCAGCGTATGAAAATTTGGGAAACCAGCTGGTACATACAGAAAAGGCAGGGAAATGGTAGTAGGTTTTTAACACTCACATTTTAACTTTTTTAAAATCCTATTTTTAACAGGATTTCAAAAAATTCCCCTGGTATTATTGTTACTTTTGGGAGGGGATTTTTCCACAGGTGCATATCTTTCAAATTGTACCAAAAGCAACCCAACCCACTACTCTTTCATCTACCATCCACTTCTGTTCACAGTCCATACAACAGCGAAAATATAGAGCTTCTTGCAATTCCCCAATACACCATGTATTTTCTGATTCCTATGTTTTGACCTACTATTTCTTAGGTCTTACTTATCCCTTCTCTCTCATTTTGCTTTCATGACTATCCACACATAATTTAACACCTAGCTCAAATATCATTCTCTGAAGCCTTCACCAGCCAAGTTTCTTTCTCCTCTCTGGTTCCATTTTGCTATACATACACCAAAAATAATGCTTTTCATATTACATTGGAACTATTGTTTTATGAGTCCATTCTAATCAAACAGAATTACTTAAGGACTAAAACCTTATTTTGTACATCTCTGCATCCACAATTTCATTAATCAAGACTTTTAGCTACAAGAGATAGAAATCAAATTCTAATTTAGGCATAAAAGGAAAATTACTAGTTTACTAACTGATACATTCTGGATTATGTAAACTCAGATTAGTCACTCCAAAAGAAAGCAAACCTTTTTTTCCCAAATGTCCCACGGATTAATTCCCCTATAAGTTATAGGCACATCTGTGAATTTATGTCAGGTACCACGATTAGCCCAGCCTAAGTCAAATGCCTATCACCACAGGCTCAGGAGACATTGGCATCATAATTATTACCCCAACGGGATCAAAAGTGAGGAAAGGGCGTGCTGATACCAAGAGAAATAGGAAAGATTACGATATGACAGGCAGCTAAAGACCAGGGCAACTACAGTTTGCTACTCTGGAACTTAGCACAACATGTGGTACTTGATAGGTGCTCAAAAAATATTAAATTAATAAACAAAGAGTAGTTGTTGTTCTTGGTTCTATAGCATTCTTAGGATCTAAAAACAACTTTACCAGCATATTGTATTTCTGAAGACAATTACCAACAATAATTAACCTCAGACACAGCATTAAATTCTGATACTTTATAAACCAACTGTTCCCCAAACATTTCCAACCTATGACTTTGGAAATGCAATGGTAACATCATGTAAAAAATAATTGAGAAAGTTTACAAGTAATCAAAAATTCTCATCAAGGTTTAAACATACACACATATACCCACATTAATTTATATATTTATATTTATGCCCACAAATATGCACACATTAATATTTATGCACACACATATATATATACACACATAACAAATGGTCATTCTCATATCAGAGAAATATATCCTAATATAGAGTCACCAAACTATAAACTTGATAAAATCTGTTTTCCAATCAGACCTACAACTACATACTAAAAATGTTCTTATTTTATACACATTGCAAACATGTTTTATCAGGCAAAATGTAAGTTTAAAGGATAAGATCCCTCCTGTTTGGGATAGTTTAGGCACTGTTTTGTCTAAAGAGAAAGAACTAAGCATGATGAAGACAAAAGAACAATTAAATAGTGGATAAGAGAGTAAAGGTAAGCTTTCGGGGCCCTTTTTCCACATGTCATATTTAAATCAGTCTTGCTTTATTGAAGGAGGTTGTCTTTGGTATCAAGTTACGAAAACATCTTTAAAGATGCAATTTTTATGTTTTAAAAATTATGATTAAAATGTCATTTACTTTGTTTTTCAAAACAAGCCATTAGCCTTAAAATATATTTTCTTTTTAAATAAAAACCCAGGATTGACCCATAATCATACAAATAAAAGCATAATCCTTCTCAATAACATTTTAGAGTCTTTCATTCTCTTTTCATTCTACCTCTTATCCTTGCAGCTATTCTCAGCAGCAACAGAAATCCAGAAATAGTGTCGAGCAGATATTTTGTCCAAACTTGTCAAAAATAGGCAACAGACACAGTTATATACAAATAAAGCCTTTACTGAGTCTGCGGGAGCCAAATGAACTATACAAGGTGTTAATTAATTTTGCATTTCTAACATTTCAATCATCATTTCCTTGGAAGTGGACACCCACATGAAGAAAAGAAATGTAGCCACATGTAGCTATTATGTACAAAAAATATTCCTAATATACAAATGCAAACCTTTTCTTGGACAACATTTATATTTTCTATTAGCATCTGGCTCCTTTTTCAATAAAGTTCAGTATTTGTGACAGCCTTTCTTTCAGAAATGTGAAGGCTTCCTTGCCGTGAGCATTTCAAATGTTCAGAAATACCAACTGTGATTCAAATGATTTATAAGGTCATCACCCAAGAAAAGCCATGTACACTGAATTTTCTAGCTGCCAAATAGAGGGAAAATATAAAGAGAGATGTGTGTGTGCTTGAGTGTGTGCGTGTGTGTGTTTGGGGAGGTAACTTCTAGATTGGATGGTGAGACAAAGCAGTAATAAATAACAGAAGTGAAATGTAGAGTGTAAAAAAGCAGACCTTAGTTCCTAGATACTTTAGCCTTCCACAGCCGCCAGAATACTGACTTACACATAGTAGGTGCTCTATAATAATTTTTTTAGGGTATAAGCAAAGAGAGACTGAGTCTCTATGTAAAGTAAAATATCCATAACTAAAGACCCCCTTTAAAAAAGGACAACTTGATCTACTTTATTCTTCATAATAAAACCAACTGACATTTGCTTTGTGCTCACTATCAACTAGATAGTGGGACAGGTGCTTTCCGTGACTGATCTGATTCGAACTTTAAAGTAATTCTATGTGGCATTTATTATTACTATGCTAATTTACAGATGAAGGAAGACAAGCGCAAAGCTCAGAGGAGCTCACAGCTGCTGTGCTTCCCTCCTGGAATCTTTTCCCCTAGCTCTAAACATGGCTGGTTCCTTCTCCTCCATCACGTCCCTGCCTAAATTCCACCTCCTCTCAGCCTTTGCTCATCACCCTTGCCCCACAGAGTCACACTCCATCTCACTTTTCTCACAGCACTTTACCAACACATTACCATCACTTTTAAATTAATTCATTTATTATTTTTCATTTATTCATGACCTAACTTGCTCATTAGTATAGTCATTCCATGAGAATGGTGCATAACAACAAGAAATGTACTAAACATATTTTTATAGGAATTAATAAATGTTTCAAATATCACAGGGCTAGTAAGAATGAAGAGGGAACTCTAACACACATACGTGACTCCAGATCTCAGTAGTTGAATCCTCAGCAATGTTCCTTACTAATTTGTTCATTCTTTCACCTTTTTATTGAGCACTTACTATGTTCCAATCACTTTTCTTAGCAAAGAGAAAGCAGTGGTAAACAAGATAAACAAAACAAAAAACTTGGACTTAAGATGTAATGGAGATAAAAGACAATGAATAGTTATGGAGCAACAAGTGCTATAACCAGGAGAATGCATGAGAGGCAGGGGACTGAAGATGCAGACAGGGAGCCAACAAGAGAGGTTTTGCAGAGAAAATTATGTCTAACAAATAAGTGAAAAGTCTGTAGAAGACCGGTACTTGAAGGCTCAGGAAGAAGCTTCATGGAAGAGGGAATAATGGAAAGTTGTTTCAAGAAGACAGAATAACATGGACCAGGTCTTGGAGGTTGGCAAGGAGAGGACTGGAAGGAAGTGAAGGTCCAGGTCAGGAAGGGTGTTGTAAATGAATTATAGAGTTAGGAATTTAGGTCAAGAAAAAATTGGGGCACTATCAAAAAGCAGTAAACTAATTGTTATAATTACTTTTTGGAGTAGAAAAAGGGAGGATGAAAGTAGCAAGACCTATTGCAGTAGTCACATGTAAATGGATAATAGCAAGAAGAACAGAAAGTAATAAGCACATTTGAGAGCTGTTATGGATATATTTAGAAAGGAGAATTCATAGGATCGGATTGATTTTATATAGAGGAAATGAGGAGGAAAGGAAAGGGTGAAAGAAAACATCCAGATTTATAGCTTGGGCAACCAGATGCCAACACTGAGACATGGAAAACAGGAGCCAGAGCTGTAGAATGGGCAATGGGGAAACGGCTGTGTGGACGGCCAAGGCAATGAGTGCAGGAGGTACATGGGGAGTTTGAGAATAGACTTCCAAATTAAGAGACCCAGGATGAAGTTTGATAGGAACCTAGAGTTCAAGGATGAGTACTGAACTGCAGCTGTAGATTTTGTTTTCATCAGGTGCTAATTGAAGCCATGTGAAGGATGAGCTGGCCTAAGGAAAATACACAGATTGAAGCCTGAGGAACAAGATTCAAGGGAGGCATGGAGAATTAGGAGCTTTAAAAAAAGACTAAGAAGACCCATCCAGAGAACAGGGAAAAAAGCTAGAAAGTGCCACAGGTGCCAAGAAGAGAGGATTTCAGAGTGAGGGGAGCCCAAAAGTCTAAAACCGTTGTAAAGCATATGTGGACTGAACGTGGACTGAACACTGACAGACATGAGGCAGAGGTAGTCAAAGTCATTGATATTCTAGGACTGAATGGCCAGACAGTTGGAGCCAGGATGATGACAGGACAGGACATAGACATGACATCTGTGAGTTTACTGGTGAAGACTTCAACAAATGGCATCTGAGTGTTCAAGGATGACAACAATACAGAGATGTAGAGAGTATGCCAGACTCATAAGCGTCTCAAGGGCATGGGTTTTTCACTTGGGTGGAGGCATATGGGTATACAGATAAATGTGCAATAAAGATGAGCAAGGCTGGCCGGGCATGGGGGCTCACACCTGTAATCCCAGCACTTTGGGAGGCCGAGGCAGGAGGATCACATGAGGTCAAGAGTTCGAGACCAGCTTGGCCAACATGATGAAACCTCGTCTCTACTAAAAATCCAAAAAAAAAAAAAAAAAAAATTAGCTGGGCATGGTGGCGTGCACCTGTAGTCCCAGCTACTAAGGGAGGCTGAGGCAGGAGAATTGCTTGAACCCAGGAAGCAGAGGTTGCAGTGAGCCAAGATCATGCCACTGCACTCCAGCCTGGGCAACAGAGGGAGACTCCATCTCAAAAAACAAAACAAAACAAAAAACAAGCAAGCCTAGTTCCCAACCAAGGCCCTGTTTTATCCCAAGACATAACTTACTTGACTCAAAACAAGGAATAGAAATGAACTTATATAATGTTCTGAAAATTTTTTACTATTTAAGTCAAGAAAATATATGTATGCTTACTGCTTCAAATATTTCATAAAAAAACTCCTACACATTTCAATATTTCAAATAAAAACAGCTGTGATTGGACATCCTAGCTGTCAATGATCTAGATTTTGAAAGACTGTATCATATTAGCTCCAAACTTACAGAAGAATTTGGATGGAAGACAAATCTTTTAGCTAATTTCTATCTCTTAGATCTCTGAATGCATGTCTTGCTGCTTTCCAAAACCCCCAATTCATTAATTAGATCCTGGCAAATAAAAGGGAATTTCCCCTCATCTTGGCAGGTTTCTTTTAAAATGTTCTGATACAGAGGATGGAACTCATAATAGGATATTTTAGCCCACTAGTGGAAATGCATCTTGGAAATAATAACGATTACAATCACCTAATATTTCACATGAGCTTCTTCATCTTTTCCTGGACTAGCTAGCACCCATTTGTCTTTCAATTAGAATCTTTATAAGATAACTTTATGTTTTAAACTTAGGTGCTTTATGTTATCAATTAAGTTATGAGTCATCTTTCTCACAAAACCATTTTTACCCTTGATCTCTATAAACACAACTGTAGCTAAATTAGCCTCTTTTATGTTTGCATAAAGAAAAGGATTCCAAGATCACAGTTTTTCTTCAGAATCACAGACAAAAATAGAAAAATTAACTCACATATATAAAAACAAAGTTTATAGTTATAATTGATAAGAAATGAATGAGTTACTTTTCCTACCATACTCCCATGAAAAGAAGAGACAGGCATTTGGGATAGACAGTGCCAAAAAGAGAAAAAAGTAAACTCTAACTCATTACATCATCTTTCTCCACAGTTCCCAGGAAAAGGCACCTCCCAGCTCAGCACAAGGGAGTTTATTTGGACCTAGGATTTGCTTTTCACATATCCCCAAAATCCTCAGTGTCAAATAATCTTAGGCACATGTGAAAATCAGTGACTTCATACTCCAGTCTGAGCTTCATTTGAGATTTTTTAAAACAAGTAGTGAGGACAGACACTCTAGGATTCCAAAAGGCCTAGGGATCAGTCAAACAAAGTGATTCTGCTGTCCTTCATGGTTGCCTACCTGTAATTCCACCTGCCACCCCCGCTTCACAGCTTGTTCCTTGCTGACAGATCGCTGCCTAATGTGCCACACATCCAGTCTCAGGTGAGACAATGACTGATCCCTGGCCTCCTAGCTTCTCTTACATTTGAGGGTGCCGAGAGAATGCAGCGTGAGCCAATGAGGCATAAACCAATATTTGCTTAAGGAAGTTGGTGACTTTTGTCTTCCTGAAGAGAGAGGTTGAGAATGATTGGATGTGTTTCCTCTTTCTTCTGTCAAGGTGGACAAAATATCTGGCACATCTTGTGATAAAGATGCAGCAAACATATATATATATATATATATGATCAACAAAGTAAGGCAGCAGAACAAAAGAGGAGAAAGCAATCTGATCTCTGATGATAACTTGAGCAACTGAACTGATACCAGAAAAATCTCACCTCTGGATGTTTTGTTTTATGAGCAGAATAAATGCCTACTTATGTCAGTCTTTCAGGTGGACTTTCTGTTATTGGAAACTAAACACATTCACAAGGGATGCACCTTTTTTATTGTTTTCTCACATTGGGCACATCGATTTTAGCACTCGGCTTGTTAGGTTTCTTTTTCTCCTTTTTCTTTTCAGCTGTCTGAGCAGATCTAGACTTTTTTTCCCAACCCAGTGGCCTGTGGAGAGTGGTACTGAGGATGGGTTCCACCAGCTTTAAGAGCTGTACTGGTCCTTGTCCCTTTCTTCTCCTGGGACATTCTTGTCTGCAGTAAGGGGAGTCATAGCTCCCTACTTTATTTGAAGTGGGCTCACCGGTCAGGTCCCACATTAAACCTCCAACCAGAATGACGTGGGGCTGGAAAATTCTTACAAAAAATTTGAAAATACATACTTCATTCTTTTCTGTAAGTAAAATATATCTTCCAGGAAAAGGGTACACACAAATATTGGTGTAGCTTATTAAAAACCCTAGTTAACAGAGCCATTATAAATTTATCTTTTTTCTAAGAGAGAAGAAAAATTATCATGTATAAGTTTATAGTTTGAAGGCACCTCAAGCCTCTTAAGAGGAATTTGGCCAAAGAAGTAAAATCAACCTGTCCCTTAAGAAGACCAAAAAGGAGAGCCATGCCACTGGGGGAACTGGTTTAATTAAAACAAGAGGTAAAAAGCAATGTTCAGAGGTTCCAGGGAGTCTGGAGTTGTACAAAGCGAAGAGAGCAGTGCAGACGAGAATTGCAGTGGGAGAGAAGCAGCCTGGGGCATGATGCCTTCAAGTTAGGTTAGGGTGCAAGGCAGCTGGTACAGAGGCTTACACGAAGCCAGTTGAGACCCTGGGACTTTGAGAGCCTGTAGGTGATGTGCTCGGGGGCATAGGCAGAGGCCTGATGATAGATCGCTTCTCCTACACAGTAGAGTTGATGAAAGCCCTACGGGAAATCTTAAAAAGAAATATGATGTTTTCTCTTGTAACCCCCCAGTGCCTAGTATACGTGCAGTTAAGTGTGCTGATAAACATAAATGCTATGTCCTAGTTTTGTTTTTTCTCTCCAACCAGGTAAGTGCCTTAAGAATGAGAAGCATCGGCCGGGCGCAGTGGCTCACGCCTGTAATCCCAGCACTTTGGGAGGCCGAGGCGGGCGGATCACGAGGTCAGGAGATCGAGATCATCCTGGCTAACACAGTGAAACCCCGTCTCTACTAAAAATACAAAAAATTAGCCTGGCGTGGTGGTGGGCGCCTGTAGTCCCAGCTACCTGGGAGGCTGAGGCAGGAGAATGGCGTGAACCCAGGAGGTGGAGCTTGCAGTGAGCTGAGATGGTGCCACTGCACTCCAGCCTGGGCGACAGCAAGACTCCATCTCAAAAAATAAAAGAATGGGAAGCATCTTTATCCAGACAAGTGTCTCAAAAAGCTTCTTAATTTAATTTAATTCCTCATTCATTCATTTTAGCATTTACTACGTTTTTAACTATATAAATACAAGGAAGAAAATTGAAATGAACATGATCCCATCTAAATAATCATGGGGAAAGTTCAAACAATAGGTACAAAATAAAATGACAAACTTTCCCACCTCCCCCACTCATTCTCACCAATGATAATAATGCCCAGACCACTTACCTCCCTCACCTAAAAAAGTATATATCTAGCCATGTTCTTTAATCTTTTCTAGAGAATGCCAGCTTGCTCCTCAGCTTTCTAAAGTATGTGCATATACCTTCCACAGTGACTCCAAACAAATATTCCAAGGTCTCATTGGACAAGACAACAATCCTAAATTCTCTAGGTCCTTGGAAATTTTATCAAATAAAATGATATTTATTTGGAGGAGGTAAAATTTATTATGATCTTTAAATAATCGTAATTTCTATACTTACATCAGGAAAGACATGAGATGGGTACAGATTCGAACATATTTATTTCTTTAGCCATTCACTCAATCATCTTTATTTGGTTGCTCTGTGAATCTAGGATGTGAAAATCAATGGTCACTAACATCATAAAAAGAGAGACAACCAGGCATTGTGCTACCTCCTGACAAAAGTACACAATACTGCCTATGAAGTAACCTTCCCAAGAAGTCAAACCTGAATCTAGTTAAGGTAATCTGAATCAGATCACCAATTTAGAGAAAATATAAATGCTAAAGCAATACATTTAACACACCGCAGGAATACAATCAACAAAATCCAATCTGTTGGAAACACCATAAAGCAAATAATTTGGTTTCTACAATAAATAAATTGATGGCAATAAAGAGATGAGTGAGAGTCTACATATTAAAAAGACACAAAATAATAGCAACAAATCCAATTCATGAACTTGATTTTGAAGCAAACAAACTGTAAAATAAGTGAGACAAGGACATTAGAACATTGGCTATTACTTGATGATCTTTAAGAAAATGTTTAGTTGTAGTTATGATTTTTCCCAAAGTGCTGCTTTTCCTTAGCAATACATACTGAAATACTTATATAAAATGATATGATGTCTGGAATTTGTTTCCAAACACTTCAAGGGGAAGGAGGAAGTAAATAGAATGAGATTGGTCATGAGTTATAAATAGTTAAAACTAAGTGACAGCTACATGGCAGTTAATACTATCCTATTTTTGTATATTTTTGAAATTTTCTACAATAAAAAGTTAAAACAAAAGGAGCATACATAAACTATTGCACTGAAATAGTCACAGATCAAATAAAAATTGAAAGTTAAACTCTTAAAACAGTTATTTTGCTATAATATGCTATGTAGTTATTTTTTACCCCAAAGGTACCTTTTAGAACTTAGACCAACGAAGTTGGGTACAGTCTGTTTTTAAAAACTAAATAAATCTTTATAGACTTTATAAATCTTTATAGAATTTATTCTAGCTTTCCATACATTCTTTTTTTTTTCTCTCAGTTCACATTAGTGGGACATTAGAAAGAGACAATCAAAAGAATTTGGGGGTGCGGTGGCTCACACCTGTAATCCCAGCACTTTGGGAGGCTGAGGCAGGTGGATCACAAGGTCAGGAATTCGAGACCAGCCTGGCCAACATGGTGAAACCCTGTCTCTACTAAAAAAATACAAAAATTAGCCTGGGATGGTGGCATGTGCCTGTAATCCCAGGTACTCGGGAGGCCGAGGCAAGGAGAATTGCTTGAACCCAGGAGGCAGAGGTTGCAGTGAGCCGAGATCATGCCACTGCACTCCAGCCTGAGCGACAGAGAGAGAGTCCGTCAAAAAAACAAAAAGAAAGAAAGAAAGAAAGAAAGAAAGAAAGAAAGAAAGAAAGAAAGAAAGAAAGAGAAAGAAAGAAGGAAAGAAGGAAGGAAGGAAGGAAGGAAGGAAGGAAGGAAGGAAGGAAGGAAGGAAGGAAGGAAGGAAGGAAAGAGAGAAAGAAAGAGAAAGAAAGAAAAAGAAAGAAAGAAAGAAAGAAAGAAAGGAAGGAAGGGAGAGAGATTTGAGGCTAATCAGGGATAATGGCAAGAAACCAAGAATTCTGAAGAGTAGGTGTTAAAGGAGGTTTGAGATAAAGCTGAAATAACTTTAGCAATTTATGTAGATGATACAATGAAGCTAAGAATAGGGAATGTGTGTGTAATGGAGTCAGGTTAATTAGAAGGAGGAAAATGATTTCAGAGGAGCACACTGAGTTCAAAATTGGAAACGAAACTAAAGGAAGCCAAAATGTAGACATTTTAGGAGAAGAAAATTCTGAGGGAAAAAATCAAATGTTAAGGGTATTAGAAATTTTGAAAGATGAAGAGAAGAAAAATGCCAAGCTGTCCTGTAAATACAAAGGTTTGAAGGATGACTTATGGGCAGACAGCACCTATTTCAGAACTCTTCAGGCTGAGGGTGGAAGAGAGGGTCGAAATGCCATTGTATGAAAGGCTGACCTCTCTGGGGTCTAGACACATTTGAAAAACTCAGTCCCTCTATGGCAGCACATGCTCTACCAATGGAGGATAATAATTCCACAAAACATAATTCAATCACCTTCTGAACCTTCAAATTGCATGTTGCAGCTAATAGAAGTATTGATTCAATTGTCAGAGTCACTGTGCAATTTTTCATTGTACAGGAGCCTAGACGGAGAGAAGTCTACAGCAGAGCAAAAATGGATAATGCACATTTTTTCTTTATTGCATCATGAATGAAGGAAAAAAATTCCTGCTTCTCCCACTTCCACTCATGCAGACCCAAAAACACTCAACATAGACTCAGCCATATTCTCACCACATCAGTTCTAGATATTGAGGCTACACAGTTCAAAGTGTATGGTCTTTGACTTCAGGCAGACCTCAAATCCTGTCCTATCCCTGCCACTCACTAGCTGCATTATTGAAATCATAATCCTTAACTTCTCACCTACTCCATATGGTAGGTATAAGGATTAAATAAGATAAAAGTTACAAAGTACTTAGCCTAGATTCTGGCACATACTAATCGGTAGTGGTGACTATTCTTCCTAGGCTGCTATAAGAGGAAGAATCTCTGATTAGGCTCAGAAACATGGTGAAGGGTTGCTAGGAGAACTTGAAGAACTGCAGCTATTGAAGCCAGTGGTATATATCTCAGCAACCTCCAATGTCCCTCTGTGGGTGACACCAAGCATACTGCTTGAGGAGATCCCACCTAGAGATAATATTAACCACACATTCAAAAGAAACTTGCCTATATGGTGTGATTTGGGGAAAACTCAGACTGTTCTCCAGTTAGTCTGCCATAATGCCTAAAATTCTCTCATCAAGGACAAATTCCTTTGGGGAAAAGATCCAATAAAAGATGATGAACTTTTCTAAAATATTAATCATAATGCATATTATATATTTATTTTTAATCCCCAGCCCTATCATAGTGTCAGACAAAGAGTAGGTGGTTAATAAATTACTCTTAAAATTTCACTGGATAAATGTATATCACAAATATACTATTCCTCCAACACTGTGCAAGGCTTTGGGGAGGCAATAGGGAACAAAATAGATGAAGTTATTGCCTTTACTGAGCTTCTGATCTAGTGAATAAATGAATTAATTCATTAGTGAAGTAACAATAGAATTGTTTAGATGCTTAGACCATACGACCTTAAATTTTTGCTAATGTTTTACAATATTAATTGATTTACCTCCCACTGTAATTTGTCACAATTGTATTAACTACTCTAAAATGCATAGCAGTGTATGGTGGCTATGGTGGTTCATGCTATAATCCCAACACTTCGGGAGATCAAGGTGGGAAGATTGCTTGAGCCTAGGTGTTCAAGTCCAGCTTGGGCAACATAGTGAGACCCCTATCTTTGCAAAAAAGTAAAAAATTAGCTTGGTGTGGTGGCACACACTTGTAGTCCCAGCTACTCAAGAAACTGAAGTGGGAGGATTGCTTGAGCCCGGGAGGTAGAGGCTGCAGTAAGCCATGATTGTGCCACTGCGCTCCAGCCTGAGTGACAGAGCAAGACCCTGTCTCAAAAAACAAAACAAAAAAAATACATAGCAAACAAATATGGTAAGCAGAAAGACCCAGAATTAATTTTTCTTAAAATGCATTTTAAAATGTCTAACACTCGCCTCGTTCCAAGCCAGTCTTATTCTATTCAGACAACTGCTTCACAAAGTAAGCCAAATGTGGTTATGTTCAGATGCCCTGAAGGATTATTTTCCAATTTGGGGATATGCTCTTCTCGAGGACACATTGATGACTGAGTTGCCTAAGCTGGACTTGAAGAAAAGAGAAGAAAAGGCTTAAGCAGAGATAATAAAAATTATTCTGAAACATAAATTGGGTATTACCTTCCCCAAAACCATTGAAAAAATTAAAGCCAAAAGAAGAGGGCACTCTGTAGGGAAAAACTGGGAAAGCTAATGAAGTAGACCAAAAGACTAAGGGTGTCATTAATGCAAAACAATGCATTGTTTAGAGTACACCCAAGGTTATCTAATTTTGTGAAGTTTGTGCTTTTCATTGTCTTCAGCTATTTTATAATTCTGTAAAGGTAGACATTAACCTGCAGAAAACTGATAGCAATGCAAATAATTCTTGGTTAGAGGCATGCAAATAAACTCTGTCCAGTGGAAATTCAGTTGACTTCCCTCTCCCACTGTTGAAGAAGGTAGTTTTGCATCTACTAAGCAAATTTAAATCAGCCTTTCTGATGAGCTTGTGTATTAGTTGGCTGTCAAAATTCTCCTTTGTAGCAACCAGTTTTAACAACTTTTCCAGTTCCTTCACTAATCAGTGAGTGAAATAAAATTTTTGACATGTATCTATTTCATTTGTATAAGTCATGATTATATCCTCTTTTAACATTTATCCTTTACCAATAGTGTGCAAACCAAGTGAAATATCCCCACTGTAGTCTTTATAACTCCTTCCTCTTAAAAGAAATCAAGACTGAGACAAGTTGATCCATAGAAAGTGCTATTTGATCTAATAAGATCAAATAGCATACATAGAAATACAATTCCTACGGACATGGATTTGATAAAGCAATCATTTTACCTTCCTGAAAGGGGTATGAAAGTGCATTTCAGAAGTCCTGGAGGATTTATACCTTGCCCACAGTGGAAGAAAATAATTATATTAGCCTCAAACCATCACCACAGGCTCATTTCAAATAACTATGAGGAACTACAGCCATATAAGCCAGTAGGTACTTAGTATTGTATAGATCTATTTAGAGATGATCATTTAGAGAAATGAATCAATTTTATTAGTTTGCAGACAGGAATTTCAGCTCACCAAAAATTATGCCCATATCTAAGTGTACTTTCCTTACTTCTAGAAGTTAGCAGTGCCCACATTCTCATCACATAATAAAGTCATTCTAAAAGTGGAACAGCATTTCTTTTTTTAATGTGTTCATAACATGTGATTTGCTAAATCTAAAATAATTTATGTTGCTGCTAAATTCCCATTATTGTGTCATTATTCATGGGTTGGTTATTGCAAAACTTGGACTTGGCTAATGATTTGAGACTGACCATGTGACAGGTCAGAGGCAGTGACTCTACACAAGAAACAACATGTGATGAGGCCCAAAGACACATGTTCTCTGAATGAACGCAATATACTCAAGTTATGTTAAACTCAGGTCAGACTTTTAGAAATTGACTTTTGCAAATATAAAGCATATAATTCCCATAAGATGCTCCTCTTATAGGTCTGAAGATTCAAAATGTTATGAATGAAGAAATAAACATGAATGTACACAGAGATGTGGAATTTGTAATTCATTAACAACCATACTTTTCTTATTATATTCACTAGAAGAAAAGCTTCACCAAGGGCCTAGAAACCCAACTCACTACAGTCTACAATGAATTCTTCATCTACGTAATGAGAAATTTTATCAAATGACTTCTAAGACCCTTTTAAGCATGTAGAAAGTACATATTTTTAAGTTTTTTCATACTTTGCAGTTTTTCATAAAACTTCAACACAAGCGAAAATTTTTAGACAGTGGATTTTGAATAAACAAAATAAACTTTTGAATTCAAACCCACCCAGGAAGATTTAGAATTAAAAGTAAGATTAGTTTATTATTTAAATGATTTTTTAAATCAGGCACAATCAAGATAAATGATAGAAATCTTAGTAAAGCCCTCTGGAGCCTGACTAAAGGAGGCAGCAAACAACTTTGGCACAAATGTGCTAAAAGATGGATTGAGGAAGATGTGAGCTCAGTCAGTGTTAGACAGGCCAAGTCTAAGGTGGAAATTAAACCAGGTATGTGAAAATGTAGACCTGGAGCTCATGAGAGATGTCAGGGCAGGACATATAAAATTGATCTCTAAAGCCATAAAACAGTGAACAGAGGCAGACAAGCCATCCAAGAATTTCAGAGAAGGACTGAGAAAAGAAGAAGGAAAAAACAACTGTACATTTCTCCAAAGCCAAGAAAGAGAGCAAAGATTCAAGCACCATGAAAGATAAAAGCAGAGCTCTATTCATGCTCCACCAAATTCAGCAGGAGGCTCCAAAAATTATGGAATAATGGATATTTTCCATTAGCAAAAAAAAAAAAAAAAAAAAGTGCTACTATGGTCCTTGCTTCCTGAAAGTTAAAGATAGTAATTCTGTATTTTCACTCAGAATCAGAATGTGTAATAAATTTTTCTAGATTGGACACATATATGTGAACACTTGTACCTTCCTACTGTACAAGATCAACCTGAGAGCACCTGGAAAAAAAAAGTGTTCTTTCTCTCTTTTATTGATTTTTTTAAGGAGATGATTTTAATCAGAAAATACAAAATTGAGATTAAGATTTAGCATGCTGCAAAAACTAGGCATCTACAGTCATTAGTGTTGAAAAACAAGATCTTTATGAAACAAATATGATGTATTTTATATAATATCTATAAAATATAAAAGACTACAGATTCATTCAAGGCTAGTAAATAATGAAAGAAAACTAATCACATGCAAATGTTAAAAGAGTCAGAGACAATCATGAAAAACCGTGATGGTAGTTGTATTTAGGGAGGGGTGAGAAGCAGGTTTTTAAAAGATAAAATGCAAAGGCTTCTTCTGTACAGTTTGGTAGCACAGAGAGGTGGTTAGTAGCCCTGAAGAAAATAAAATCCCAGGGTTTAGACAGGCTACCTGAAGATTTTACAGAGCATTATTTAAACAGACGGCAAGCGCTGTTGCTGCTTAGCTGCTGTTTATTCCTAGAATCTTCTTCCCCTAGCCAGGTCACCATACGATCCAAGCAGTGCTTCCTTGCACATAATTATTCTCAAGGCAACTACACAACAGAGAGCTGGAAATGAGTCTCGGTTGAATAGCATTCTCTTGATTTGACTAACGCCCCTTTGCATCTATCTGCACACCCTCCTGTAACATTTGCAGGCACTGAATTGTGCCAAAGAGTTTTGACAAAGCTTCAGGTGCGGTCAGTAGCTTTTCCTTTCTTTCTTTTTAGATTGGGAGGGATGGGGGATAAGAGGTGGGGAGATGTGCTGGGGTGCCACAAGTACCACTGTGAGCCTTAGAATGTTTCCCAAGTAGAAAAGAAGTAAACATCATTAGAGAAAGGATTTCTAAACCCGTTGTGCCTGTTAAAAAGACATACAAAGAAAGACCCATGAGGGCAAAAATAACAAACCAGCTCTCAATTCATTTTCCAAATCCTTCCAAGGGTTTAAAATAGTTAAACCAAGGCCCCAGCACATCTTTAACTACCGAACAACACATTCCTTTTCTACTTTTTATGACTCCTCACACAATTTATATTCCTGCTAAGAACCCTGTCTGGCTTCTTCCCCAAACCCATGCCGTACAGGAGCCTGGCTCCATGCAGCCCTCAGGGTCCAGGCTGTGGGAATGCAGGAAGGTGGGGCTGTTGTAACAAGGTCCTGCCAGTGGAGAGAGCCCTTTGGCCAAGAGCACTGTAGGAAGTGCATTGTATGAATTCTGTCTTGTCTTGACACCCTTGTGTGATCCTTAACAATATCAGAATTTCATTAATATGAATATAAAATACATGCTCTTTTAAAACACTAATAATGTATTAGAATTTAAGGCAATATAGTGCCACAACATTGAGAGGAAAAAGCAAATCTATATGACACTCCAGCAGAGTAAATATTGAATACCAGCACGGTATAATTTAAAGGCAAATACTGATTGTGGTTTCACCAACAACCAATCATCTTACAGACTACTTCATACCAACAAAGCTTAGGGTGTATCTAAGCATATGGCAGCAGCACTAAGAAATATCGTCCCTGTTCTACATCGTCATTGCCCTAGGCAACAGATGACATCCCACACTTCCATGTCTGCTCCCAATTCTTGCTAAAACCACTTTATCACAGCATCTCTTGTACAAGTCCCTTTCCTACGTACTCATTCGTTGGATCCTTGTCCAATTGGGAACACAGTTTATTATAGAGGGAAAAAAACCATGTTGTAAAGTCAGAAAGCCAAAGATTCAAATCTCAATTCTACCACTTAGAAGATCTGCTGCTTACCTTCTCAGATGGCATTATCTGTCACATGTTCTCTTAAAAAGTCAAAGCTCGGGGATTCTGGGATGAGCAGGGGACAGATTTCCTGGTGACTCAGTCACTGTCTCTATTCTCCAGGTGGTGACGATCTGAGCCTCATCCGTACCCTCCATTTTGGTTCTTGTTAAGGGGCTACTCACTCTATGCTACAGAGGCTTCCCAGCAGTCATGTGCAATCAAAAATAAAAACAATAAATTTCTTATTAATAGCATTCTATTTGGCCCTAAATTATAAACTGAAGAAATGGCTGGCCTCTGTTCTGCTGTCAAATAATAATACCACTATTTGCACAGTGCTTATTATATGCCAAGAACTTTACACACAGTATCTCATTTCATCCTAACAAGAACTCTATGGAATAGGTGCTATTCCTCATCATTCTGCAGATGAGGAAATTTGGGCACTGTGAGTTTGCATAACTTGCCTATGTTAAAAAGCTATCCAGTGGCTGGACCTAGATTCAAATGCAGGTAATCCCTACCCTGAGCCTGATTTTTTAACCACTACCCTCTACTAACTCAAAGTAGTAGTACTGGGCTAACTGAGAAGAAATGCCTTCTCACTGTTCACAGTAAGAAACGGAAAGAATGGGGAAAAAATAAGAGAAGAGCACAGTAAGAGAAAAACATTTTATCAAGAAGACTTACTTAAGAACAGGCATTATGAAAAGATCAGCATGGTAATACAGGGAGACAAAGCATAAAGCATTAACAGCTAAAGAGAGAACACATCTCCATAATTTTATAATTGTCAATGTGTGATAATCTTCCAAGTTTTATGACAGTGCTTATCAGAGTGTACTATAACTATTGCTTTTCACGTTTATTTCCCTCTTATACTGAGAATGTGGTCAGAGTCCTATTCATCCTTGTACCTGCAGAGCTTAGCCCCACGACTGGCACCCAGCAGACAATCAAATAGTGTTGGATGAATGAGTGAATTGAATGCTGAAAACTCAAGTTAATGTTTATGGGTGCCAAACATTTAAGGATTTTTAGGGAAAGAAGCAAACCACTGAGGCCTGAAGCAGTAAAGTGCCTTAAGGAAGAAGATCTTTACCTGGATCATGCAGAATGAGTGGGATTTTAACTTCAGCTAAGGACTGATTGAAAGATGACAGGGTGTTGTTTTAACGGCATTCCAGCTTTTCTTGACTAAACTTGCCAATTCTAGGAGCCAATACTTAGAAATGCAATATTGTTTTCTTTTATGAGCTAGGTTGAATAATCCTGGGACCAAAAGCTGTAAATAAAAGATAGTACATTTTGGCAAACTCTAAAAAAGAAAGGTGCTAAAGTAAAACTAATTAGAAAGTGTATGCCAAGAAAAAAATCACGACTCTGTTTTTCAAGAATTGTCTCTTCATATAATTGCCTATGGACTTTCTATTATCCGGTAGGAATACTGCAATATTCCAACAGCCTAATTTAGATTTCTCACCACTCCCTAATTCTAACATGTGTTTAAAGAGTTTCATGGTCTTCTGATTATTACTTTAAAAACATATTATCATAAAGAATACACAGTGATGTTGCTTTGGCACCAACATACATTTTCAGAATTACTCTTACTGAAGGATATTGAGATTATAACAGAAGATAATTTATTTCAACCTAACAGGCATACTCAGAACAAGCCATCACTCTTCTGTATTTCTAATACATCATTTTCCTCATTAGATTTTGCTAGTACAACCTTTCCACCCATACGCATTCTTCAATGACATAAGTTTACATTCAATTGATTGCTTATGGCAATCAATTCCTTAAAAGCTACTCTTGAGTTAGGAGCCTGAGTTTATATATGCATCATAGTTTTCAGAAAAAAAAAAACTGAGTTGTCATAATCATCCATGGACATAGAGTTAGAAAATTTAGGAACCAAATTGGAAGAGATAAGGTAGAAATGTATTATAATTGTTTTATACCTTTATTAACATAGATGGAATCATCATTTTCAGTGCCAAAATTTGGGGTGTCTTAATGATCATCCATTATTTCATTCCATAACATTTATTTCCATCACGTTTATTTCCCTCTTATACTGAGAATGTGGTCAGAGTCCTACTCAGCCTTGTACCTGCAGAGCTTAGCCCCATGACTGGCACCCAGCAGACAATCAAATAGTGTTGGATGTACGAGTGAATTGAATGCTGAAAACTCAAGTTAAATGTTTATGAGTGCCAAACATTTAAGGATTTTTAGGGAAAGAAGCAAACCACAGAAGCCTGAAGCAGTAAAGTGCCTTAAGGAAGAAGATCTTTACCTGGAACATGTTTTAAAACATGTTGGGACTGTGATGCTGAATTAAACTACAGCTGGGTTCTTTGTGTGTCATGGACAACATTGATATTTTGATGAAGTACGGGGATCCTTTGTGTATCAGTTTAGTATTGCTGCTGTAACAAAGTAGAACAAACTTAGTGGCTTAAAACAACAGGTAATTATAGTTCTGTAGGTCAGAAGTCTAGTACAGGTCACACCCAAATAAAATAAAAATGTGATTATAAAATAAAAATATAGTTAGTGAAAGAAATATTTAAGCAAATTCGTGGTTTAGTTATACGTCTGCATCTTCACTAATGGTTTAAATAATAAGATCAAGTGGTGAGTCTACTAACTAGTATATTTTTCAAAGGGTTAAGCACAAATGATATTTTAATTTATTAGAAAAAACTATAAATGTAATATGAAAATGTGTGTGAGTTCCATTGGTAACAATGTCACAGCTATTGCCAATACTATTGTGCTTTGTTGCTTATGCTTATAATTGAAAGACATGATAAATTTCAGTTTTAAATCAGTTAAAAAAAGAAAGATGTATGTGCACCCTTCACCCCCAAAATCACACAACTCCTGAGTTTTTAAATCCTAAATTCCTGGTACAGAGATCCTAAAGTTCTGAATTCATCTTTTTTTTTTCCAGTATATTTTAGTGCAAACTTCTAGGGCAGAGAATTTTAGATTGGGCCATATAAAATGAAAATCAGTGACTTTTTAAAAACCCATCTGAGAACGTAGGTCCCAGGGCAAACTGGAACCCAAAGCAAACTGGAACCCAAAGCCAAGATCATCTGGAGCAAAAGCCATTGGAACCACTAACTAGCAGCAACACTTAGATCAAGCTTGTCCAACCCATGGCCCAACAGGCTACATGCAGCCCAGGATGGCTTTGCATGAGCCCCAACACAAATTTGTAAACTTTCTTAAAATATTTTTGCAATTTTTTTTTTAAGCTCATCAGCTATCATTGGTGTATTTTATGTGTGGCCCAATACAATTCTTTTTCTCTCAATGTGGCCCAGGGAAGCCAAAAGCTTGGACATTCCTGACTTAGATGGTAATTTTGGTGAATTGATGGCAATGCTAGAAATCTAAAACAGAGCAAGAGCGGTGAAGATTATCTGACGGGCTCATCAGTAGACTCAACCCAAGGAAATAATCAGTGACCTTAAAGAGACATAAGCAGAACTTCCTGAACTAAAATGCAAGGAGAAGACAAGACGAAAAAGAAAAACAAACAAACAAACAGAATAAAACAGAATAGCCAATAGTTATGGGACAATTTCAAAAGATGTAATATTACAGAATGCCAGAATATAAAGAAAGACAAAAGAAATATTTGAAGTAATAATGGCCAAGAAATTTCCAAAATTAATTATAGACAACAAACCACAGATCAAGGAAGCTCAGAGATAACCCGCAGAATAAATAACCTCCCTCTCCTCCCTCCAAAAACAAAAACTATCTATAGGCATATCATATTCAAGCTGCAGAAAGCCAAATGCAAAGAGAAAATCTTGAAAGTAACCAGAAAGAAATAAAATGCTTTACCTATATAGGAACAAGGATAATAATTACAGCGGACTTCTCACCAGAAACTATGCAAGCAATATTTAAAATATTTAAAGTAACAAAAAGCAAAATATTTAAAGTGTTAAAAGAAAAAAAACCTGGAATTCTATATCAAAATACATTATCCTTCATAAATGAAAGAAAAATATTTTATAAAACAGAAACTGAGGGACTTCATTGCCAGCATATCTATCATGTAAAAAATGTGTAAAGATTGTCTTTAGATAGAATGAAAGCTATGTAAGCCGGATACTTTAGTCTACATTAAAAAGGAAGAGCAAGGGAGAATAATAAATAAAGAAAAAATAAATATTGTATTTTTCATATTCTTAATTGATTAAAAGATAACTATTGCGTATTTATTGTTACTAAATAATAACAATTTCTATCTTCTGGATAACTAGAAGAATGACAGCAACGTCACAAGAGATGCAAGGGACAAATCAGGACTACATGTGAAATGGAATACTTTCATTTGAAGGTGAACTTAGATCTGTTGAAATTTTATATTGTAAACTCTAGGACAACCACTAACAATATTTGTAAAAGTAAGATAATACGCTAAGAGAGAAAAGAAAATGGAATTATATAAAATGCTCAATTAAAATGAAAGAAGGCAGAAAAGACAGCTTTTGGCAACAAATAAAAAACAGTAAAAACATGGTTGCTATTAATCCAAGTATATTAATAATCACTTTAAAGACAAATGATCCATATATACTAATTAAAAGACACACATTGTTAGAGTGAATTAACAAACAGAACTGAACTATATGTTGCATACAAGAAATTTACTTTACATATAGACTCTGATAGGATAAATGTAAAGGGATGGAAAAAGATATACCATGCTAACACTGATCCAAAGAAAGCTGAAGTAACTCGATTAATTTGAGACAATGCAGACTTCAGAATAAGAAAAATGCCATGGATAAACAAGGCAATGATTAAATGATACAGGGACTGATTATCCAAAAAGTCACAACAATCCTAACAATAGAGCATCAAACCATGTGAGGCAAAAACTGATAGAACTTTAAGGCAAAATAGATAAACTTACTATTATAGTTGGAGACTTAAACATCTATCTTTCAGCAATTGATAGATCAAGCAGGCAGAAAATCAGTAAAGATTTAGTTGACCTAAACAGCAATATCAGTCAATTTTTTCTAACTGGCATTTGTGGAATATGCTATTCAACAACACTAGAATATACTTTCTTCTTTGGATCACACAAAATGTTCAACAAGTTAGATCACATTCTGGGCCATAAAGCACATCTTACCAAATTTAAAAGTATAGATATCACACAAAGTATCAGCTCAGACAACAATGGAATTAAAACTAGAGATCAATAACAGAAAGAAAGATATCTGAAAAATCATCAAATATTTGGAAATTAAACAATACACCTTTTTTTAAAGTTCCAGGATATATGTGCAGGATGTGCAGGTTCTTTACATAGGAAAACATGTGTCATGGTAGTTTGTTGCACCTATCAACCCATCACCTAGGTATTAAGCCCTGCACGCATTAGCTATTTATCCTGATGCTCTCCCTCCCTGCACTCCCTTAACAGGCCCCAGTGTGTGTTGTTCACCTCCCTGTGTCCACGTGTTCTCATTGTTCAGTTCCCACTTAGGAGTGAGAGCATGTGGTGTTTGGTTTTCTGTTCCTGTGACAGTTTGCTGAGGATGATGGCTTCCAGCTTCATCCATGTCCCGCAAAGGAATGATCTCATTCCTTTTTATGGCTGCATAGTATTCCATTGTGTATATGTATCACATTCTCTATATTCAGTTTATCATTGATGGGTAATTGGGTTCATTCCATGTATTTGCTATTGTGAATAGTGCTGCAATGAATATATACATGCATGTATCTTTGTAATAGAATGGTTTATATTCTTTTGGGTATATACCAAGTAATGGGATTGCTGGGTCAAATGGTATTTCTGGTTCTAGATCCTCGAGGAATCGCCACAGTTTCTTTTACAATGGTTGAACTACAGTTACCATTGTTACCAACAGTGTAAAAGCGTTCCTATTTCTCCACAGCCTCACCAGCATCTGCTGTTTCTTGACTTTTTAATAATTGCCATTCTAACTGGTGTGAGATGGTTTCTCATTGTGGTTTTGATTTGCAGGTCTCTAATGATCAGTGATGTTGAGCTTTTTTTCATATGTTTGTTGGTCATATGAATGTCTTCTTTTGAGAATGTCTGTTCCTGTCATTTGCCCACTTTTGGATGGGGTTGTTTGCTTTTTTCTTGTAAATGTGTTTAAGTTCCTTGTAGATTCTGGATATTAGACCTTTGTCAGATGGGTAGATTGCAAAAGTATTCCCCCATTCTGTAAGTTGTGTGTTCACTCTGATGATAGTTTCTTTTGCTGTGCAGAAGCTCTTTAGTTTAATTAGATCTCATTTGTCAATTTTGGCTTTTATTGCAATTGCTTTTGGCATTTTTGTTATGAAGTCTTTGCCCATGCCTATGTTCTGAATGGTATTGCCCAGATTTTCTTTTAGGGTTTTTATGGTTTTGGGTTTTACATTTAAGTCTTTTATCAATCTTGAGTTAACTTTTTGTATAAGGTATAAGGAAGGGGTCCAATTTCAGTTTTCTGAATATGGCTAGCCAGTTTTCCCAGCACCATTTATTAAATAGGTAATACTTTCCTCATTACTTGTTTTAGTCAGGTTTGTTGAAGATCAATATCCCTGATGAACATCAATGTGAAAATCTTCAATAAAATACTGGCAAACTGACTCCAGCAGCACATCAAAAAGCTTATCCACCACAATCAAGTCAGCTTTTTCCCTGGGGTACAAGGCTGGTTCAACATACGCAAATCAATTAATGCAATTCATCACATAAACAGAACTAATGACAAAAACCACATGATTATCTCAATAGATGCAGAAAAGGCCTTTGATCAATTCAACATCCCTTCATGTTAAAAACTCTCAATAAACTAGCTATTGATCGAACATATCTCAAAATAATAAGAGACACTTATGATAAGCCCATAACCAATATCATACTGAATGGGCAAAAGCTGGAAGCATTCCCTTTGAAAATCAGCACAAGACAAGGATGCCCTCTGTCACCACTCCTATTCAACATAGCATTGGAAGTTCTGGCCAGGGCAATCAGGCAACAGAAAGAAATAAGGTGTATTCAAATAGGAAGAGAGGAAGTCAAATTGCCTCTGCTTGCAGAAGATACAATCTTATATCTAGAAAATCCCATTTTCTTAGCCCAAAAGCTCCTTAAGCTGATAAGCAACTTTAGCAAAGTCTTAGGCTACAAAATCAATGTGCAAAAATCATAAGCATTCCTTTACACCAACAATAGACAAACAGAGAGCCAAATCATGAATGAACTCCCATTCACAATTGCTACAAAGAGAACAAAATACCCAGGAATACAGCTAAAAAGAGATGTGAAGGACATCTCCAAGGAGATCTACAAACCACTGCTCAAGGAAATAAGAGATGACACAAACAAACGGAAAAACATTGCATGCTCATGGATAGAAAGAATCAATATCATGAAATGGCCATACTGCTCAAAGTAATTTATAGATTCAATGCTATTCCCATTAAATTACTATTGACATGCTTCACAGAATTAGAAAAAAACTACCTTAAAATTGATATGGAACCACAAAAGAGCTTGTATAGCCAAGACAATACTAAGCAAAAAAAAAAAAAAAAGCCGTAGGCATTACGCTACCCAACTTCAAACTGTACTACAAGGCTACAGTAACCAAAACAGCATGGTACTGGTACCAAAACAGACACATAGACCAATGGAACAGAATAGAGATCTCAGAAATAAGACCACATCAACACACTTTTATTTATTTATTTTTTATAATTTTAATTTCTACTTCCATTTTAGATTCAGGGAGTACATGTGCAGGCTTATTACATGGGTATACAACATGATGCTGAGGTTTGGGGTACAAGTGATCCCATAATCAGATCGTGAGCATGGTAGCCAGTAGGTGGTTTTTAAACCATTTCCCTCTTCCCACCCCCACATAGCTTCCAGTGTCTATTTTTCCCATCTTTATGTTCATGAGTACCCAATGTTTAGCTCCCACTTACAAGTGAGAACATGTAGTATTTGGTTTTCTATTTCTGTATTAATTTACTTAGGATGATGGCCTCAAGTTGCATCCACACTTCTGCAAAGGACATGATTTCATTCTTTTTTATGATTGCATACTATATTCCATGGTGTACATATATCATATATTCTTTATCCAGTCCACCACTGATGGGCACCTAGGTTGATTCCATGTCTTTTCTACTGTGAATCATGCTGCCACGAACATGTGCGTGTCTTTTGGGTAGAATGATTTATTTCTTTTGGATATATACCCAGTAATGGAATTGCTGGGTTGAATGGTAGCTCTATTTTAAGTTCTTTGAGAAATCTCCAGACTTTTCCACAGTGGCTGAACTAATTTAGATTCCCACCAATCTTGTATTAGGGTTTCCTTTTGTCTGCATCCTTGCTAGGATATGTTTTCTGACTTTTTAGTAATAGCCATTCTGATTGGTGTGTAATGTTACCTCACTGTGATTTTGATTTGCATTTCTTTGATGATTAATGATGTTGAACTTTTTTTATGTTTATTGGCCTATTGTATGTCTTCTTTTGAGGAGTGTCTGTTAATGTCTTTTGCCGCCTTTTTAACGCGGTTATTTACAACACACTTTTAAATAACATTGGTCAATGAAATCTCAAGATAAAATAAACAGTATTTGAATTAAAGGAAAATTGTAATACAATTTATCAAAATTTGAGGGATTGAACCAAAGCAGTAGTTAGAAGACAATTTATAGCATTAAATGTATATATTAGAAAAGAAGAAAGATCTAAACCCACTCACCTAAATTTCCACCTAAGTAAACTAAAGAAGAAAGAGCATCTAAGTCTAAAAAGCAAACAGGAGAAAATAAGTAATAAAAATTTGAGCAGAACAATGAACTTGAAAATAGGAAAACAATAGTAAAAATTAATGAAAACAAAAGCTAATTCTGGCCTGGCATGGTGGCTCACACCTATAATCCCAGCACTTTGAGAGGCCGAGATGGGAGGTTCACTTGAGCCCAGGAGTTTGAGACCCAGAGTAAGCAACATAGTGAAGCCCCGTCTCTACAAAATAAAAATAAATTAAAAAAAAATAGCAGGCATGGTGGTGTGCACCAATGGTCCCAGCAACTCAGGAGACTCAGGTGGGAGGATTGCTTGAGCCCAGGAGGTCAAGGATACAGTTAGCCATGATCACACCACTGCACTCCAGCCTGAGTGACAGAGTAAGACCCTTTCTCAAAAAATATTTTTAAGCTAATTATTTGAAAACATCAATAAAGTTTATGAACTTTTTGCCAAGTAACTATAAAAAAGGAAGAAGACAACAATTAATATTAAAAATGAATTAAAGAGCATTACTACTGTTCCCAAGGATATTAAAATAAAAAGAAAAGAAATAGCATGAACAATTTTTGGCCCCAAAACTGATTATTTAAATGAAATGAACAATTGCTTGAAAGATACACATTATTAAAACTCACTGGAGAAATAAGTAGCATTAGTCCTAAATCCATTAAGATCAATAATTGCTACAGAATGATTGTTTGTGACTTACCCCCACCATGACCCCCAATTATGTGTTGACTCCTAACCACAATGTGATGACATTTGAGATTTAATTTTGGGAGGAAATTAGGATTAGATGAGGTCCTGAGGGTGGGGCCCTCATAATGGCATTTGTGCTTTGTAAGAAGAAACACAAGAGAACTTGCCTCTCCCCTCCTCTCCTCTTTTCTCCTCTCTTCCATATGAGGACACAGTTAAGTGAAAAGGCAGTCATCTGCAAGACAGAAGAGAGCCCTCATCAGGAACCCAACCATACTGGCACCCTCTCTTCAGATTTCCAGCCTCCAGAACTGGGAGAAAACAAATTTCTATTGTTAAAGCCATTCAATCTATTGTATTCTTTACGGCAGCTCAAGTAGGTTAATACAATAAATAATGACTTTATGAAAAAGAAAGCACCAGGCCCAGATGTTTTCACCAGTAAATCCTACCAAACATTTATGATACCAATTCTTCTAAATCGCTACCAGAAAATAGAAGCTGGAGAAAGATTACTAACTCATTCTCTGAGGTCAGTACTGCATTAACACCAAAACTAGATGAAAACATTACAACAAATTTTTGTTGATATTGAACCTTAAGAACAATATCTATCATGAACATGCAAAAATCTTCAACAAAATTGTAGCAAATTAAATCCAACATTGTATAAAAATTAAATCCAACATTGTATAAGAATAATTATATACCAAGACCAAATGGGATTTATGCCAAATATGGAAGACTGATTCCAAATTTTTAAATCTATCACTGTAATGAACCACATTAACAAACACAAGAAAAATCATATGACCATATAAATCAACACACAAAAACATTTGACAAAATCCAGCATCAAATCATGATTAGAACTCTCACCAAACTAAAAATAGAAGGAAACTCCCCTAATTTGAGAAAGAATGAGGCTACAATAAACCCACGGTTAACATGATACTTAAAGATAAAGAACTGGTCAATTTCTCCCTAAGCTCAGGAACAAGACAAAGATGTCCTTTCTTAACACTCCTATTCAGTATTGTACTGGAAGTCCTAGCTAGTTCAATAAGGCAAGAAACAGAAATAAAAGGTATATTGCCATGGTCTAAATGTTTATATCCCCTCAAAATTCATATATTGAAATCCTCACCCCTAAGGTGAAAATATTGGAAAGTGGGGCCTTTGAGAGGTGATTTAGATCATGGGGACAGTGCCTTCATTTGGGAGATTAGTACCCTTATAAAAGAGGCCTGAGAAACATCCCTCACATCTTTCACCGTGTGAGGTTAGAGAGAGAAGACAGCTGTCGATGAGGAAGAGGGCCCTCATCAGCCACTAAATCTGCCTGCACTTGATCTTGGACTTCCTATCCTTCAGAGCTGAGAAATAAATTTCTGTTGTTTATAAAATACACACTTCATGATATTTTGCTATAGCAGCCCAAATAGAATAAGACATATATAGATCAGAAAGGAAAAAATAAAACTCTTTCTGTTTACAGATGACATGATTGTCTATACTGAAAATCCAAAAAATCAACAACAAAACTCCTGAAACCAATAAGTAAGTCTGGCAATGACACAGGATATGAGGTTAATATACAAAAGACAAATGCTTTCCTATACATATGTATACAAATTACCCCAAATGCAGTGACTTAAAACAATACGAATGTATCTTCTTACGGTTCTGGAGGGTGGAAGTATGAAATTGTTTTAGATGAGCTAAAATCAAGGTGTTAGCAAGGCTGCATTCCTTCTGGGGACTCTATGGAAAAATCCATCTACTTGCCTTTTTCAGTTCCTAGAGGCCACCTGCATTTTGTGGCTCATGGACTCAACCTATTTTCTGAATGAGGAGCACCACATCTGCAAAGCTTTCTTTGATTCTCTGGACTCTCTTTCCATCATTACATCTCCTTTTCTGATTCTGACTCTTCTGCCTCGCTCTTGTAAGTATCCTAATGATTACATTGGATCCACCTAGATAAGCCAGGATAATCTCCCCATCTCAAAATCCTTAATCACATCTGCAAAATACACTTTGCAATTTAAGGTTAAATATTCACAGATTCAGGGCATTAAGACATGGACATCTTTGGAGGCCATTTTTCTGACTACCACAACCAGCAATGAATAATTGAAATCTAAAATTTAAAAAATAATATCATTTATGTTAGCACTTCCCAAAATCAAATAGGTGTATGTCTAACAATATATATGAGAGCTGTATGTATAAAACTACAAAACTCTATGAAAGTAATCAAAGAAGATGTAAATAAATGGGGAAAGATTCTATGTTTATGGATTAGAAGATCCAATATTATGAAGATACCAAGCCATCCCAACTTGATCTATAGATTTAATGCAATCCCAATTAGAATCCCAACAAACTATTTTCCAGAAACCAACAGACTCTGAAGTTTATATGGAAAAGCAAAAGACCCCAGTGTAGCCAGCACAGTACTGAAGAGGAACAACCTAGAAGACTTGCATTATCAAATTCCAACGCTTGCATAAGACCACAGTAATACAGACTGTGATCTTGGCAAAAGAATAGACACACAATTCAATGGAGCAAAAAAGAAAGCGCAGATAGAGCCACATAAATACAGTCAACTGGTTTTTGACAAAGTAGCAAAAACAATTCAATGGATAAAGGGTATTCTTTTTAAAAAAATATAGTGCTGGAATGTGCACACGCCACAGAAAATGAATCCAGACACAGACTTATACCTTTCACAAAAAGGAAGTCAAAATGGATTGTAAATCTAAATGTAAAATTTAAAGCTTTAAAATTTCTTGAAGGAAACAGCAGAAAAATCTACATGATCTCAGGTTTGGTGATGAGATTTTAAATATAATACCATTAACATTATCTGTGAAAGGAAAATTTGGTAAGTTGGACTTCATTAAAATTAAAAATTTCTCTGTGATAGACACTGTTAAAACAATGCAAAAAGAAGCCAATGACTTGAAGAGACTATTTGCAAAACTCTCATATTGGACTTGCATTTTAAAATACACAAAAATTTCAACAATAAGAAAACTAACAAAATTTTTAAAATGAGCATATATTAAAAAAAAATCATGTCCTTTGCAAAAACATGGATGCAGATGGAGGCCATTATCCTAAGACAATTAGTGCAGGAAGAGAAACCTAAATGCCACATGTTCTCACTTATAAATGGAAGCTAAAGATTGGGTACTAGGGAACGTAAAGATGACAGCAATAGACACTAGGGACTGTTAAAGGGGGAAGGGTGGGGCAAGGGCTGAAAAACTACCTATTGGATACTAAGCTCACTACCTGGGTGATGGGATCATTTCTACCCAAACCGTAGCATCACTTAATGTATCCATGCAACAAACCTGCACTGTACCCCATGAATCTAAAATAAAAGTTGAAATTATTTTTTTAAATGGGCATAAAATATGATTAGAAACCTCACCAAAGGAGACATACAGATAGCAAATAAGCATAGGATAAGATAATTTGTCATTAGAGAATTATAAATTAAAACAAAAATGAGATACCACTATAGATCCATTAGAAAGACTAAAATCTGAACTGACAGTACCAATTGCTGGTAAGGGTGGAGAGCAACAACTCTTTCCATCATTGCTATTCAGAATGCAAAATGGTGCAGCTGCTTTGGATGACCACTGTGATTTCTTACAACACAAAATACAGTTTTACCATATGATCTCGCAATTGCACTCCTCAGCATTTATCCAACTGATTTGAAATCTCATGTCCATACAAAAACCTGAATGTAAATGATGATAGCAATTTTATTCACAATCACCAAAAAGTGGAAGCAACCAAGATGATCTCTAATAGGTGAATGGATAAACTGCAGTCACCCATAAAAAGGAATATTATTCGGCAATAAAAAGAAATAAGCTACAAATTCACATAAGGACTTGAATGAATTTTAAATACACGCTGCTAAGTGGAAAAGTTAATATAGAAAAGCTATATACTATATGATTTCAATTTTATGACATTCTGGAAAAAGTAGAACTATGGAGGGAATAAATGGATCAATATTTGCCAGGGGTTCAGTGGCAGAGGGGGATTGAATAGGTGAAGCATGGGATATTTTTTAGGATATAAAACTATTCTGTATAATACAATAATTCTGAATATAAGATATTAAACATTTATCAAATCCAGAGAAATTTACAACACAAGGAGTAGGCCTTGACATATGTAAATTTTTAAAAACTCATTTAAGAGATTGGGGAATAACAGGATGGAATCAACCTCACTAAAGGGGATGGTGGAATAAAGTGCTGACCTAAGTAATTTTGGAAAGAATAAAGGCAAAAGGAACTATAGTCAGCACTGTACTTCCATTGATAGAATTGATTCCTACAAAGCTACAGGTTAATAATTCTTAAGCCAATATACACTTATATTGGAAATGAACAATTATGTAAATGGTTGATGGATGGTGAGCCAAGTGGATGATGGAAGGAGAGGTTAAAGATAAGCAAGGAGAGGTTAAAGATAAGCAAGGGAAGGAGGCCCATATGGTAATGAATTAGAGTTGGAGACATCAATATGAACCAATGTTTAGCTTAATAAAGATATCTACATATGGAAACATTTATAGATACATGTCCATTCATACACATACATAGGTTTCCTTACTCGGTCAGCTAAGAAGACCTGGAAGGAAGGAGACCACAGTAGCAAAGAACAGACCTAGTATCCAAACCTTGATTTCTAACATCATTCTTTAATCAAAGGAACCAGAACTCCCTAGAGAAATGGCTGATTCTAGGACAGGGGTAAGTTTATACTAGATGAGCCTTGAGCATCTTGTAGTACCCAAACAAACAAACAAAAAGACAACGATATAGTTATGTCAAAGGGATATAGAAACCAACGGAAAGAGGTCCCGGTGGCCAAACCTGGAATAATTTGAGTAATAAAGTAAACCAAATTAGTATTGAATTATAGCCCAAAGTATAAAATAATATCCATGAGTTTATGCTGATGTAAATCAATTATTTGAATAAATAAATAAACAAAAAAAGATTAAAATATATAAATGAAGTTACAGACATGCTAGAAAAAAATCTTAAAACTTTTTATTCCCATAAACTAGAAGTGAAGAAGTTAATTGAGACGCATAAGCAATAAGATAAAATAGATTTGAATACTGCATAAAAATTTGATATTTCTATATGACAAAAATGATCATAAATTGAAGTGAAAGTAAAAATAATATTTGGAGCAAACAATTTAAAATTTCATTACGTAGGACTGAATTCCCTAATATATAGAAATACATTTTAGGCCAGATGCAGTGTCTCACTCCTGTAATCCCAGCACTTTGGGATGCGGAGGTGGGTGGATCACTTGAGGCCAGGAGTTCAAGACCAGCCTGGCAAACATGCTGAAGCCCCTTCTCTACTAAAAACACAAAAATTAGCTGGTCATGGTGGTGCACGTCTGTAGTCCCAGATACTTGGGAGGCTGAGACACAAGGATCGCTTGAACCCAGGAGGCTGCACTGAGCCGAGACTGTACTACTGCACTCCAGCCTGCACAACAAAGCGAGACCCTGTCTCAGAAAATAAAATAAAATATATATTTTAAATGATCAAGAAAAAGGAAAATGTTACCTAAAAATGGACAAAGAGTATACACAGATAGATCACAGGAAAGCAATGCATAAGGATTTTAATTATATTAAAGGATGTTTAGCTTCAGGGACAAAAGAAATACCAACTACTCTAGAATGAAAATTCTATTATTGTAAACTAGTTTCTCAAAGGTGAAAATATAGTAGGTAATGTACTATGTTGGTAATATTAGTGGAAACAAGTATTCTTATACATTGTACTTTTATGGCATACAATTGAGTAACATATAAAATTTTAAATGCATATACCTTTGATTCAGAAATTCCACCTAAAATAACATTCAAATGATGTATTTACATGTGTATACAAAAAAATCATGTAAAGGATGGTCATAACAATATTGTTTATACTAGAAGAACTTAAGTGAAATATGTGTATAGGAATCTATTACTATGTAAAATTTGTTTAAGTATACACACACACACACACACACACACACACACCCTTCATCACACATCAACTTGAATGTACTTTAAAATAATAGATTTCGGCTGGGCGCAATGACTCACACCTGTAATCCCAAGACTTTGGGAGGCTGAGGTGGATCACGAGGTCAGGAGTTCGAGACCAGCCTGAACAACATGGTGAAACCCCGTCTCTACTAAAAATGCAAAAATTTGCTGGGCTTGTTGGTGCGCACCTGTAATCCCAGCTACTCAGCAGGCTGAGGCAGGAGAATCGCTTGAACTCAGGAGGCTAAAGTTGCAGTGAGTCGAGATCGTGCCACTGCACTCCAGCCTGGGCAACAGAGGGACACTCCATCTTAAAAAAAAAAAAAAAAAAAAAAAAGAATAGATTTTGATTTTTATGTATATTCTGTTTTAGAGCTGTAATTATTGCCTGGCTTGATGTGGGAAAGACCCAATAAATCAATAATACTTAAGCATGAATGATTTATATTATCTAATGTGTCAGTCAAGGCAGGCTGCATCCTGCTATAGTAAACAAGCAATGTTACAATTTTAGAAGCCTAAAACAACAAAGGTTTGTTTCTTGCTCCTGCTACATGACATGCAATATAGTCTTTCACCACTAGTCACAATCCATCCATTCATTTCTTTCTTCCATGTATTTTTCACATTTCTTAAAATTGTAGTGAAGGGCACAGGCAGGGCATTTATAGCATGACGAATCATGGTGGATCTTGCCTCACTTTCTCAGACATTAGATTCAGTTTGTAGACCTTAGTAGGTCAGCCTTGAGCTTGCTTCACACCATTCTTGCTCAGTGACTCCAGCTAACGGTGATGTCATCATCTCAACCATGATGAGGCATTCTGACAGAAGGTTGAGAAGAAGGCAAATCATAACTGGTAGTGATACATATCACTTTCACTAACATTTTATTGACTGGCATGTTCTATGGCAAATTCTTCTGTGCTCCTAAGGATGAAGAAGTGTGTACTCCTAAGGATGAAGAAGTGTATCCTACTATTTTGCCAGAAAATAGAAAATCAGAATATTAGTGAACAAGCACTTAAATTTAAATGACCTCTGAATCCTTAATCCCATCTACTACTGCCTCCTTGATAGCATTTTTTTATATATTGAAGAGATTTATTCTGAGCCAAAGATGAGTGACCATGGCCCATGACACAGCCCTCAGGAGACCATGTGCCCCAGGTGGTCTGGGTGCAGCTCGGTTTTACACAGTTTAGGAAGGCATGAGACTTCAATCAATTTTTACATTTAAGAAATACATTAGTTTTGTCCAGAAAGGTGGAACAACTCACAGCTGGAGGGTGGGGGGATGCTTCCAGCTTATAGGTGGATTTTTACATTTTCTAGTTGACAAGTGGCAGAGTTTAAAGACCTGGGATCAACAGAAAGAAAAGTCTTGGTTAAGATAAAGGATTATGGAGATCCAAGTTCTTATTTGCAAAGGAACCCTTGAGGTAAAAGACTTCAGAGAGAAAAGACTGTAAAATGTTTCTTGTTTCTTATCAGACTTATCAGACTTAAAGTCTGTGTTGCTGTTAATGCCAAAGAGGTATAATGAGGCATGTCCGACCCCCACTTCCAGCCATGGCCTGAAACAGTCTCTCAGGTTAAATTTTAAAAGACCCCTGAATGAAGGAAGTCCATTCAGATGATTGGCCCGGGAAGGGGGGGTGGGGGAGAGTGGAAATGCAAATATATAACCTGAACTTTTAGTTCAATATATAAATTCTACCACTTGTCAACCAGAAAATGTAAAAATCCACCTATAAGCTGGAAGCATCCCCCCACCCTCCAGCTGTGAGTTGTTCCACCTTTCTGGACCAAACCAATGTATTTCTTAAATGTAATTTTATTTTTGGTTTACATTCTCCCCCTTCTGGCCAAGATTTGCCAGAAGCAACATCAAGGGCCAGCAAATCTTTATTTTGTCCCATAGAGTTGCCAGGATGGCTTGGCTACCTGCCCCATGACCACCCTGTCCCTTGATGGGACTCCCTATCACGGAGAGCATTAACAGTCAAAAGACTTATAGCCGATTAATTGTTCTAGGCCAAATAGAAATAGATGTGGACAGTCATCCATCACCTCTTAAAATCATTATTTTAAGCAAAAAGTCAACAAACAAAACCAAAAGGCAAAGTTACAAGACTCATTTATTTTTAATTTCTATGTGTTGAGCTACTGTAAGCTTGGTTTTCATTACAGACTTAGCAATTAGCTATATAAACATAAGCATTGTTCTGCAACTTATAACTAGGAGTATTATATCCAGGAGGCTTTGTCATGAGGTATCTTTATCCTGTCAGTAAATATTTTCTTTTTATTGTATGGGCAGCAGAAAATTATTTATGGCTGGGGTGGATGCAGAAGTGACACATAACATCTTAGAAGACTTGTTTTACCAGCTGTTTCAGCATCTTTGTATCCCTCCTTGGTTTGGAGGGGTCTTTTTAAATAAGTCATTAATCTTTCTAAAATTTCATGTCTCGCTTTATACTGGTTCCAACTCTTCAATTTATAACACAAACAAATTATCTCCCTTTCTAAAGTACAATTTTAAAAACTTCCTCCACCTTTGGTCCTAATTGATCTATCGTTGAATTTCTTTCCTCCATTTCTTGTCCAAACTTCTTTTTTTTATTTCGAGATGGAGTCTCGCTCTGTCGCCCAGGCTAGAGTCCTTTGTCATGATCTCATCTCACTGCAACCTCCGCCTCCCGGGTTCAAGTGATTCTCCTGCCTCAGCCTCCTGAGTAGCTGGGATTACAGGCGTGTGTCACCATGCCCAGCTAATATTTCTATTTTTAGTAGAGACAGAGTTTCACCATGTTTGCCAGACTGGTCTCGAACTCCTGACCTCGTGATCCACCTGCCTCAGCCTCCCAAAGTGCTGGGATTACCAGCGTTTCCCAAACTTCTTAAAAATGTAGCCAACACTCTCTTTACTTTCTCAGCTTTCATCCACTTCCCAACTATTGGAATCTGACTTCCACTACCTCCACTCTATTAAAAAAAAAAAATGCTATCCCTAAAAAAATCAACATCTTCCTAATGATAAACTTCAATAGATGTATTTCTGAGATTTTCTTACTGGAATATTGGAAAGATATTGATCTCTAGGGGATACTTCTGGCTTATGGCCTAGGTGTTTATCTGGATCACAGAGTTTATGTCATGACAAGTCGTGGTAGATTCTGATCTCTTTTTCTCAGACATTAGATTTAGTTTGAATTCTCTCTCTCTTTCATTCAAAAAATTTTAATATTACTTGTAATTGTCTCCTGCTTAGAAAATGCCTTCATCTGGAGGAGCTGGAATGAGCCTTAGGAAGTCCTAGACCTTAAGCAGAACTCAAAGTTTTTCCTCCTTTACTTGGTTTGATTTTCCTTGGATGTACATTTCTTCATCATCTAAATAAAACACAGAACAATGAGATTGGGTGTTCCAAGTAACATACCTATTCTAAGTAAAAGAGTCTTTAAGGTCTTTCTATGTGTCAACCAAATACCTAAATTACAGTTCTACATTACAGTTTGAGGCCAATACTTCATCTGGAAATAAAATGTATTGTTTGGGTTTGGTGTGGCCTGGCTTTCTTTTCTTTTCTTTTTTTTCTTTTCTTCTTTTTCTTTTTTTTTTTCTTTTTTTTTTTTGTACGTATTCTTCCAGAATTTCTTGGAGTTATTTTAACTGAGTGGAAGGCAATTTGCTCAGGATCCTTGGACCCAACCAATTAAGCCTTGCAAAATGATTAAGAACTTTCTGAAGTACTTGACTGCACTAAGCACTATCTTTGAAACTCTCCACTCCCTTGATGCCCAATTCTCTTGTTTTTAAAAAAAGATCCTGGACTCGGTGGCTCACACCTATAATCCCATCACTCTGGGAGGCCCAGGTGGGTGGATCACTTGAGGTCAGAAGTTCACAACCAGCCTGGTCAACATGATGAAACCCCATCTCTAGTAAAAATATATATTAAAAAAAATTAGCTGGGCATGGTGGTGCATGCATGTAATCTCAGCTACTTGGGAGGCTGAGGAAAGAGGATCACTTGAGTTGGGGAGTCAGAGGTTGCAGTGAGCAGAGATCACACCACTGCACTCCAGCCTGGGCAACAGAGAGAGACTCTGTCTCTAAATAAATAAATAAATAATAAATAAATAAATAAATAGTGTCCTTGTCCTTTTTATGACCTCTTTGTGCCTACCCTCTGTTTCCTTTGTGTAACTCTTATCTCTGTCTGCCCTTTAAATATTGATGTTAGGGGGATTCCTAGACTCTATCTCATCATCACAATTTTCCAGTCCCTGGGAAATTTCACCCACTAGCATAGTTTCAAGTGAAACATAAATGTTCCCTATTCCCAAATGTATATTTTCTGCACATATATCTCCCATGAAATACAGACTCATCAAACTGCTTGCCTGCTAGACTATTACCCCGGTTTATCCTAAATGCAGCTTGAACTTAGCACACAAACACCTCAGTTTGAATTATCTTTGGACTGCCCTGCTCTAGCACTAAATATTTTTAATTCATCCTCCTAAATATGCATTGATGCCATCGCATCCTCTTTCTCTGGCACTATGGCACTGTGTCAGAATACGTCAGAATCTGCACTAGTGCTTCTGCTTCTTAACCACAATCCAGCCTCCATTCTTGTTTTGGTCTTGGTCTCCACAGTACTGCCAGAATGCTGCCCTGAAAGGCAAAGGTGATCATATTTCTACCTTGCTCAAAAACCTTCAGTGAGTTTCTAAAATGTGTAAGAAAAATCCTTATTTCATTAACATGAATTGTAAGGCTCTTATTGTGCTTTCCTACCTCATCCTTCACCACAATCTTGCCTTGCACTTTACACTACAGAAATATTGGACTGTTATTTCCCTCATAGACACTGCTATTTCAAAGGCATCTTCTCTTGCTCTTGCTATCTTTTTTGTCCAGATGATCTTCTAGCTCTACTCCTAAACTGCACTTATTATATGCTTCCAATTACCCATGGCATCTCTCTATTTTTGAACAAGCCATACTGCCTTATAACTATACATTTATACTGTCTTCAGAGACAGTAGTCAGTATGGATCAATAATTTGTCTTTATTTATCTTCCTGTTTCCATATCCCAACACAATCAATGATACACATTCAGCACTCAATGAATGTTTATAGTGAAAGGGAGGGAATGAAGGAAAAATGAAAAGAAGGAAAGGAAAGAGAAAGAAAGAAAAGAAGAAAATTCTAAGGAGTATCACCACCCAAAGAACCTATTAATAGTGGTGGGCCCAGAAACTGAGAAGGAAAGCTAGCTTGGATTATCAGAATTTCACAGGATCTCCTCAAACAACATAGCACATATGACCACGTGCCTTCTTCATACCTTCATTTGAAACAGTATTTGAAAAATCGTTGGCAAATTATGGACTGGGTTGATGATACCACTACCAAGAACTATACTGTTTATTGCGTGTCCCCTTTTTCAGAGTCTTTCGGAGAAAGATGCTTGGGGAATTCTTGACTAACAACAGAGCTAAGTACCATTAACTCTCAATTTTTCAAAAACCGATTACCTAGTGTGTGGATTTGCCAGACCTCTTGATTGTTCTGTTTCAGGCTATTTAATTGCTCATTAGAGAGTCGAAGGGAGAAGGAGATGAGTCAACCACATCTGTCACTTGTTAGTGCCTACAGTAAAAATTTATTAGTAAAGAGGATGAAACCATGCAATAAACATCAATTTCATTTTTATATTATACCCAATCTTCATTCTCACAGATAATGAAAAATGGACTCTATTCAGCCCACATTTTCCTAGGAACTAATTTTGGAAATTCCCATGTTGCCATCACTCAGGATTTTTATGCATACAGGCATCCATATATAATGTACATGAGGCATTGCAATTGCCCCTAATAGAGGCCAATATATAAATTGCTTCATTGCTAACCAATGACACAACTGAGCATGCGCCCTCCAGTCAAGGGTCATGGTGCTGTAACCATAGTAATCAACATAATGCTTCCAACAATTCAACTAAAATTAAAGATAGAATTTTTTAGAAATACTGTCATAATACTATGTATATCTAACATAGTATATATCATATACTATGTATATTTAACATAATACTAACATAATTCAGTAAAAGTCTGAATCCACAGCTGCAATTTTTGTTTCTCTTTCTTTCTTTACAAACTGCTATAAAGTTAGGTATTTCTAACTCATATACCTTGACATTATTTATCTGGTCATCTATTAGATTTTTATTCTGTCTGGTGTTATCTATATAACACCAGACAGAAAACATTTATGGAAACATTTGTGGCTCCCATCTATCAGGTCAGTTCTAAGAAGAAACAAATTTTGTGTTGTAATTCTGAAACCTAAAGTGCACCAAGCATTAGAACAAGCCTTGTTGACTATCCAATTTAACAGAGGCAATTAACTCTGCTTAAATGACCTTCCAAAATTAAACTATGCAATATGGCACATCTCAAAGGCCAATCTAAATTGCAAAGACTGTATCATTGTTTTTCACATTATCATGTTCATAATTTTCCCTCACTTCTTTTTGCTGTGGTTATTTTCTATGTCAGAAGCTGCTGTTCAAACCTTCACATAGTTAGAAGCCATCTAAGTTTGTGCTGGAACTTCATATTCTAGATTTCTCCAATTGTTCTAGTAGTTTTCTGCCTCATTTCACATCTGCTTGACAAATATGCTAATGAAGCTCTTTTCCCTTGGCCCCTGACAAACAAGGAAATAGCAGATTTATTACCTTTTTCTTTTTGGTAACTAATAAGTACAAATGCTATAAATTTCTCAACAGGTAGCAAGTTGTTTAGAGCTTTGTTTTCTTAGTTGCTACCTTTTCATAAAATATGAACACAGGAATTTGAGTTCAAAGTAGGAAATAACATGTATTTGCTCTATTTAACTAGGAATAATTATTTTTTCCAGAGAAAACACTACAAATAATGTGCACCTTCTCAAAAAATACACAACAATTTATAATGTACACAATGCTCAATGGTTTTTATTATTAAAGCACCATCACTATTTGGGCCATTTTACTAACATGACCTGAATAGTAGATCATTTGTGCAGCACCTTGAAGACCTTCTGAAGAATTCGTGTGTCTAAAAGATCAGAAATTATTTCATAGTACAATAATATTTAATATTCGTTGAGGGAGAAAGAAAATGTTATCACTATTAATTATCCAAGGGGTTTTTCATATCCATATTTGTCAGTCAATAGGATGGCAATACCAAAAGCCTAAAGGTGCAGAAAAACTTTACTATATTAACATAGCCAAATTCTACACATTTAATAAAATTAAGGTGGAATCCTGAAATTTTCATCCATGGCACAAAATATCCCTTTAAGGTGTTTACTAATTGTTAAATCATGATTTTGGACTTTTTATTCTGACTTCCTTTCATTTTTAAGTTTTTAATGAGGTATAATAAACATACAGAAAATGGCACAGATCAAAGCTTTATAATTTGAAACCATTTCACCAAATTGAATACACCTGAAAAACCACCACTCAGAGAAACAGAACATTGGCAATCTCTAAAAGCCCTGCTCATGCCCCTCTTCCTATCACTATTCTCTCTCAATCCTTAAGGGTAACCACTCTTCTGATTTCTAACACCACATATTAGTTTTGTCAGTGTTTGAAATTAATATAAATAGAATCATACAATGTGTGCTGTTTCAGGTCTTTATTATTTCATTCAACATTATTATTGTTGTGTATGTCAGATTCATTCCTGGTGTGGCACGTAGTTGCATTTCATTCATTTTCATTGCTATATAAGCATTTCACTGTATTTATATACAGTAATTATGCATTCTACTGTTGAGGACGTTTGGTGTTATTTCCAATTTGGAATAATTACAAATAGGTCTGCTACAAACATTTGTGTGTATATATATTGATGAATATATTCATTTCTATGTGTCATATACCTAAGAGTGCCATAACTAGGTCATAAGGTATGCATATAATCAGCTTTAGAGATACTGACAAACAGGTTTCCAAAATATTTATAGCTATTTACACTCCTATCAACAGTGGGTGAGTGTCCCAGTTGTTCCCATATCCTCAACAACACTTGGCATTTTCTGTCTTTTCCATTTTAGCTTTATTGACTTTTAAGTTCTTGCTAAAATCTTGGTAGAAACAGTGAAGTGAAAAAAAATAAATAAATATCACTACCACACAAATATTTAGCATCACAAAAAATAAAATGGAAGTAGAAATTGAAAGTCAATGACTTTTCAACAACAGCAAACTTGCAAAGTATCTTTCCTGTGATACTAAAAGATGCATTCATAATTCATAAAGGGTTATCAAATTCTGTCTTTTAGAGCAACTGTACACATATATTCCTCCATATAACATGATACATTGTATGAGTTCATGAAGAGTATAAATATAAAACCAAAGAAACTAAAACACTACAGATTTTCTCCAAATTTCTTTCCAAATCACATACTTGAAGCAGTATAAAAATTCCCATTTCTTCATTCATTTATGTAATTTTGCTCTTGCCAAAAACTCTGCTGGATGTTAGAGATACACAATCAAATAAGTTATGACCCCCACTCTTAACCACTTAAAACTAGTGGCAAGTACAACAAGTAACAATAACAGTAAAGAATGAAACACATGATAGAGAAGTACACAGGGTATTGTTGGAGCACAGAGATATTACTGTGGGTGGGAGCGGAGTCATGCCAAGAAAATGGCACACTGGGGATAAAATTCAAGCTGATTTGTGAAGGAATATTAGAATTAGCTCAAACAGGGATTTGTGAGAGGGGCTTCTAGGCATGGGAATAGAATGTTCAATACCACCAATCTGATACTGAACTCACTTTACTACATTACCTCCAGGGCAGGAAATGCCAAGATAGTCAAGTCCAAAATTATTTCTTGCAATGAATCAGTGATCCCCTGAAGCTTTCATCCACCTGTCCTGCTTCTACACTTTGATGCAATAGGAGACAAGTCTAGCTACTTTTTTGTGACTTCACATCCTTTCTCCATAAAATAAAACATCCTAATTTCCAAATGTACTAAAAGGAATAAATGCATAATAAAGATAAAAGAATATTGTCCTAAGTAAAGATAATAATAAAAATCCATATGACAAAGACATTCTAGACAATATATTCTGAGAAAAATGGCATCAATGTGCTCTGTTTTCTCTTTTCAGAACATTTCTGGCACTTAGGAAAGGAAGAAATAACTGAGGGGGAAAATCACAATCTAATAAAAGCATAATGACCTCTCCAGGAAGAGGAATATGGTTCCAAGTCATTAAAGACAAAATACGCATTACACAAAAGCACAATAATTTAATTGAAAAAAATTGCTCCATTCATCTGCTTTCCTGTAATTATTAATATAATGTATTTTTTAAATAAAGATGTCAAATTACTTTTGCAGTAGTTTCCAAAAGGTAAACTAAAGCTACAGTTCTAGCCAAAAGAGTTGTATTGAATTTTTCCATGCATATTAACTTTCTATAGATGTGGCAAGGTCAGAGTTTTTCTTCTGAAAGAGAGAATAGACACAAGAGATTTTTGTGTTTCATTCTATTTACTGACATTGAAATTATTTGATGGGGAGATGTTTATTGGAAGACACACAGACATAGCACAATTCATGTTTAGGGAGATGGATTTCTTGCAATTGTAAAAGTCAATGGCATTTCACAAATGCTCTCAGCACTCTTTATTGACATTCTGGATAGATATTTTTACTAATGAAATGAGTCAGAATTTCATGAAGCATTGATGACATAGATAAATGCCAACTTATTTCAAACATCCCCCAATGTCATGATGCTTTCAGAACTGATTTCTGTTGCACATTTTGGAATTATCTTACTTTGCATGTTTATAACTTTTTCCTTCACAATGTAGATTTACATAAGTTGAGCAACAGGTAAAAAATCACCTTCTTTAAGAGTTTTGGAAAATTGGTAGGATTTAATCACAAATTAAATAAATATACTTCTAAATTTCATAAATGGGAAATATGACACTGAACCATGAGAAATTCAGAATGTAAAGAATTGCCCTTTATCTCACACATAGTTATGGGGGAAAAGATTCTGTATAATATTGTAACAATATCATATTTTCCACAACTTGGGAGATGAAATACAAATTTTAATTAAGGAAAACATATAGAAAGGTAGGTTACCTCCTTGAGTTGCGGAAACTTCTTAAGAGACAGAACATCTAATAAAATGAGACACGGTATTCACAATCAATAGAGAATATAAAATAATCTCCCTTTCTTTTATCATAATTTTAAAATATTTTTTGGACTGAAATATCTACTTAATGCTTATTCTGTCCAACATTTAGCTACATGATAAAGAAACAACAACCAAAATCTTAATATGCCCTAAAAATTTTTATTTTTACTATAAAGTTTGGTTTGTGGAAGGTCATTACACAACTATGATATCCATGCATCAAAAATGAAAATTTACAAAAATAAGTTGTCAAGCATACATTGAAGTTTTATCCCATTGAAGAAAATTATTCTCACTTGTACTAGAAAAATAAATGCACATAACAATATTTATTTCTATATGTATTATTGCTCACCCCTTTCGTACCCTTTTAATTTTTGTAAAAGATTTGGGATTCTTTGAAATAAAAGCATATAAATAAACCCAAAACTATTAACTCATGATAAAAAAATTTAAAACGACTGTAGCAGGAGAGCTAAAAAGAAAAATTATATAAAGTCTTGACTGCAGAAAAATATAGCAAGTGATTTCAAACCTTAGCTCTAAGTTTCTAGCAATCTAGGTCAAAGGACAATACAATGAATTTCATATCTCTTATCATCAAGTAGACCATGAACTCATTGGTAGAGTTCTGAGCTCTTGGAGAAATTTTTCATAGGGATTTTTACAAGGACTTTTAACAAAGTAATGAATGAAGACCTTGACAGCAGGGTTTTTTAATGCAACAGAAAAGTTTCCTATTATATCAGACCATCTATGAAAACTGATAATACAATATTTAAAGAGTTCACTAATAAAAATTATAAAGTGAGACAGAGGAATATAGCCAAGCTATGTAACTTTTTGGTCTTCAAGCTCACATTAAAATAAAGAATAAGATGATAAGTTTTTAAATTACAAGTGTTTTTTAATTATTTCTGCTGGAAATAATTTTATGCCACAAGCATGTAATAGTAATAACATTTTGCCCCACAATATTAAAGTAAAGTGGACCATTCAGGAGGCATGTCATGTTCCTCCTATGTTGTAATGAAACCTCTGGAGAAATATAGCAAGTCTTAGACTAAGAAATACAGAACCAGAAACATAAGCAGAGAAACAAACATGCACCAGAATAAGAAACGAAGACTTATCTACTCTTGTGGAAAAGCCTCTCTGTCAGCAAGAGTTTTGACAAAAGTTCCACAGAAAGGTATCTGCTAGAGAAGTAGGATTGCCCAGTATTTACAGTCTAGTCTCTGGACTATTACCATGTTATTTACTAGACTGCCTGAGTTCAAGGCCCAAGCATATCACTTTCAGGCTGGAAACAGTGGACGGTTATTTAACATCTCCAGCAGTCCTGTGACTCTTCAAAATAAGGTTGATGAGGATAATAACAATATTTATCTTACTGCATAAAGTAACCATGGAAAAATCAACCACGTGAGTTGTTTAACACAATACCAAATATCTGGTAGGTATTATCTCAATGTTACAGACACCCAGTGTTTTTTACTGATAAAAATGAATGTATTCTATATATCAGGCATATACATGAGACAGCATTTTGTTTCAAAAGTTGAAAAGCCAGCCTTCTGTTTTGTCTTAAAGGTGAGTCATCAAAATGCATTATATTTTATTGGAAGATTGTTTCACAAAATACATTGAACCCAGGAAAAGAAGAGGAGTTTATATCTAGAATCCAATTTTAATCACAGATTTTTCAGCTGGGCACAGGTTTTATAAAATTAGATTTATTTGTGATCATTAGCTCAAGCATTCACTTCATAGTAAAAAAAAACTAATTTACAAAGATTTGCATCATCTGAAATTTTATTAGACCCAAACGTTCAGCTTCGGGATACTTTAGCAATGATTTTTAATGTTTTGTAAAGCTCTATAAACTTACTACATAAAACAGAACTTCAGTAGTCACTTTGCTTTAAAGTGAAAACATATACGTACTTACAACAACAATAACAAAAGTAAATTACTAACTTTTCTTTTGAGACTGAGTTTGAGGTCTCACTTTCCTGGCCATAATGCAAAGCTAAAATGGGTTCCCATTCATAAACTGAAGAATTCAGAGTCCAGTATGACCTTCACTAGAAATTCTCTTCCATAAGAAAATGTCTATGATTCTACTTGACATGCCATAATATCTTTTTAAATACCCTGACCTTTTTTTGCTTTGCTTTCTCTGTTTTGCATGACTTAATCATAGACCCCTGAGACATGGTTACTCTTTGTCTTGTACTTGATCTTAGAGAGGGAAGTTGGAGCAAATGTTCTGATATCAATGTCACTGAAAAAATTTTCTTCAGTAATTAAATGATTCACTGTTTCAACTATTTATTTCTACAAATATTTATTAAATAGTTACTATCTAATTTTTCTTACCCCAAAAGAGGAAAAAGAAAAGGAAGGCCCATTTAACAGACCAAAAAAATTATAAACACCATTATTTATTGACTACTTCTTCTAAGCCAAATACCTAAAAGGTAGGTAGACTTATTTTTACTACTCTACAGATTAAAACTGATGTTCATAACTGATGTTCACCAAGTCACAAGGCTGAAGTGATCCGCTCAGAGCTGTCCAATCTCAATGTCTATGTTCTGAACAACTCCTCCTCTCATGATGTCAATTTTTTTTTAAAAGGAGGGCCAGAACATAAATACACAAGAAAATGAAACATGGCTAGGACTTTCTAAGAGCAAAACTTAATATTCAGAAACCTGAAGCATGTTTTAAGTTAAAATAAAAAGCCTAGAATATATTCTATTCCTAAGTAGGCTCATTCTCATTCAATCTGATACTATACCAAAATTTTCAAATCATACTTTAAAATTCTTTTCCAATTCCCAGCCCATTCTTACTCTGAATCTCCCATTCTTATCAAGAGCATATACTTGCTTCTTTGTATGGATTAAATTTGCCAAGATATTTTGATTCTGAGATTTCATGGTTAAAAAGGAAAATGTACCAGAATAAGATCATGATTCTGTTTCTTCACGTGCCCTCAGTCTCTGGCCACAGAAAAAAAGGTATATTTTGGTCCAAAAGACAAAATACTAGGTTTCTACAGCTGAAATTCTTTTCAGTTTACATTTTCTTCCTGGAAGTTTGTAGTATACCTTTGCATACATTTGAATTTTTCATCTCAGTTTAGAAGCAAGTGATTTAGCATATCTGCCTTATTGAGGGTTTATATTTTAATTAAAACTTTGTCATCTGGTTCTTTCTTGGCTGCTTTTGAAATTGCATCCGCTGATTGAGAATAACAAAATTCTCAGTCACTTCCTTCCTACCTCAATGCCTGACTAACCTCAGGACTCAGGCCCAGAGAAAGAGAAAATGCTCTTGGAAATCATGGAGAAGGCCACAGTGGTTTATTCCTGAGCTCTTTGTCATTCTGATTCTATTGTGGCTCACTGAATGGTGTACATTTACCCAAAAAAAGTCTGTAGGTTTTAACCATGGCCATTCTTCATCTTGCAGTAATGTGAAAACAACTCTAAGTAATGATACCTGAAATAAAGCATTATTAAAGGAAAAATGAGATCACTTGAAAGGAAAGAGCACAATTAAACAGAACATTTTCTAAAACCGTGCACAATTTTAAATGTAAATGCTGACACTTACAGATATTTATCTGTTCCATACGTACTCTCTCCATCTGAAATATATTTTCCGAACGGTATACCTTGAATTGGTATGAAAGTTCCTGTTTATCCATTATTAAGCAATACAGCATCTGGGAAGCCCAGACCACAAGCATGTATGTGTTTATTTTTCAAGGGCAACATTGCCATCTACAGGATATGAAATGACAAAATTTCACCACTCCCTTAAACATGTTTGCAGTCAAAACTAGAAATCGCTGAGATTGAAATATGTGTCCAAATTCAGTCCTATTTGATTATCCTGCCAGACACCATATTTCACAAATTATCTCATCTCACAGCTAACTAAAAAAAATAAAAAGAAAAGAATGCATTAAGCTGACTGCCAAATGTCACAGCTTCTTTGTCTTTGAAAATTGCATTAGGGGTTTACTCAAAGGCTTTTCACCATGATAAATGTTAAGGAGCTGAGAGAAAAGCTATCAGAATGAGGTGGTTAGGTTTTTAGTTGGTTATAACTAACACCAAATTCTCTGGAAGTTAGCTGAATATGTGTTACCTAAACTTCCTCATAGAATTCAAATAACGCAACAGCTTTTCCTTCATAGATTTCAAGTAACAAATAGAGCTAATCGTTTTCCCCTAGTACAAGGAGGCAACTGATATCTGTTGCTTAAAGAATCTGATCATTTAATCAGACTTCCCAACATTCAGATGGCATGACAAAGGGGAGGCTCTCAGACTGTTTTGTGAGGGAAGAAACAGAGGCACAGTTAGGTGCTGACCTTGAAAAGCTTAGCTCATTGTCAGGCTGTCCTATTTTAGCAAAAGTGAGAGACAGGAAAAGGGAGACAACATAACTCATTTTCTCCGTTTTGACACACAGGCTAAAATATGAGCCAGGAAAAGATATAGAATATACAAATGGTATTAAGAAGCTATTTTTGACTGCTCAGTCTGACCTCAGTTGAGTTGAAATTGGAATTACAATATTTATTAGAAAAAGCTTGCGTTTCAGGAAAAGCTATTACAATTTTCTAGTACATTTCTAATCTCCTTTCCTGGAGATATTTAATATTAGGATGTATAATTAGCTCACTCTAAGTCCTTAATTGTGGCTCGCCTAGAAAGTAAGTGATGGACGTGCTGGCAGCGTATGACCCTACTGTCTTGTGATTTTTTTTTAATCAACTCCCACAGAAAAGATGGGAATAATGTAAATTAAAGCCATCTCAATCATATAGTGGTGTGTAAAAATCAAGTTTACTTTATTATCACACTGCTAACTAGAAAGTATTCTATGAAAAAATGGGGTTTGAGCACCAAAGAAAAACCCTCATTAAAACAAGAAAACAGTTTGAAAGAACTCAGTATTGGGGTTTCGTTTCCGATGTGTGCTTTACAGCTTTTCATCATATATCCAGCCTGTTGTCTGTGTATATGAACCAAGTTTGAATCAAAAGATTCCCTCCAAAAAAAAAAAAAACCTAGCCATAAAAACAAGCTTAATTTATCTGTAGTCCAGCTAAATGCAGTCACCAAACTAGAAATGTTTACATGGACTAAACAAGTAGCTTTTTATCCGAAGGAAATTAAATAAAATAAGGGGCCACCCTTTGTCTAAAACCAGTATGGTTACTTCCATTGAAAAGTAGTTTATATCATATCATCCATTGCTAAAAATAAGATAGAGGGCACCCTCTTAATAGAAACTGTTTTCCTCAAGGTTCCCAATGACCCCAACATTGCCACATCCAAAGGGCAATTCTTAGTCTTCATTTTATTTGACACCTGAGCACTTGACATTATTGTTTCATACTTCCTGAAACATTGTCTCCAGCTGGCTTCCAGAATATACTATACTCTTAATTTTCCTTCCAAGACCTTGGCCACTTCTCTCTGCCTCTTCTTCCTTTTTCTGATCTCTGAATGCCAATGTGCCCTCAGATATCAGTCCTTAAGCCACTTTTCCTCCATATCCACACTAAATATCTAGATGACTTTATCCTTCCTATGCTTTAAATATCATCTGTATGCTAATGACTCCCAAATGTATATGTCAGCCCATATTTTACCTCAGCCCTAGACACTTATGTCCAAATGCCTATTCAACACCTCCATTTTGCTATCTAATGGAACATCTCATGCCTGATATGATTAAAACGAAATTTTTAAAAATTATTTCACACCTCTGTACTTGCTTCTTTTTTAGGGTTATCCATCTCAGAAAATAACATCTTTCAGACATGCAATACATATTTACTCAAGTAGTTTGTAATTAATTAATTAAATAACACATGATGGCAGCGATATGACCACATCACCTCAAGAGAATGATAGTGAGAGACTAGGACTCTATGATTAGGAAAATTACCCCAGTAAATGGAAAATGTAAACAGTATTTTCTTATGGAATAGTAGGGCTCATAAGAAAGATGTGATCCATAGAGAACAACACATACTAGAGCCTTTCGGAGGATGGGTGGTAGGAGAAGGGGAGGATCAGTAAAAATAACTAATGGGTACTAGGCTTAATAACTGGGTAGTGAAATAATCTGTACAACAAACCCCCATGACACAAGTTTACCTATGGAACAAATCTGCACTTATACCCCTGCTCTTAAATAAAAGTTAAAAAAAAGGGGGGGTTGGGGGCCGGGTGTGGTGGCTCATACCTGTAATCCCAGCACTTTGGAAGGCCGAGGCAGGTGGATCACCTGAGGTCAGGAGTTTGAGACCAGCCTGACTAACATGGTGAAACCCCATCTCTACTAAAACTACAAAATATTAGCCAGGCGTGGTGACTCACACCTGTAATCCCAGCTTCTCCTGAGGCTGAGGCAGGAGAATCACTTGAACCCGGGAGGCGAAGGTGGCAGTGAACCAAAATCGTGCCATTGCACTCCAGCCTAGGCAACAAAAGTGAAACTCTGTCTCAAAAAAAAAAAAGATGTGATCAAAAGAGGACCTACCATTCACACTTTTACTCACTTCACACAGCACTTATTTTAGAGTTGAATTAGGGATGTCTTCATGCCACAAAGACCCCTGTACTCTATATTCCACCCTCCTAAATGCTAGTGCAGTAAGACAGGCTGTCCTGATATTGGTAACAATGTCCAAGATTGTGGGAGATTGATTTCTTCCCACTATTGACTCTACTAAGAAACGAAGGCTGATACTAAAATAACTGGAAATTACATTTAAAACTTCAGTGAGGCTTACAGAAGTGGGTTGTCTGTCCATGATTATCTGTAAGGAGTATATGCATGGTCACACTGGACCTTTAAATTAGTTAAAAGGAAAATAGAAACATGTCATTTAATTTCTTCATTATTTTGCAAATTTAAAAAAAAATTATTCTGTTTATTATGGATACATAATACACATATTTATGGGGTACATGTGATATTTTGATATAAGCTGCCATGTATAATGATTAAATCAGAATAATTAGGGTATGTGTCACCTCAAGCATTTATCATTTATTTATGTTAAGAACACTCCAATTCCATTCTTTTAGTTATTTTGAAATATACAATAAATCATTGTTAACTATAGTTACCCTTTTGTGCTATTGAACACTAGATCTTAGTCCATCTATCCCTTTGTATTTTTTCATTAATCATCCCCCTCTTTACCCCCTCGCTACCCTCCCCACTACCCTTCCCAACCTCTGGTAACTATCATTCTACTCTCAATTTCCATGAGTTTGTTTTTCAGGCCCTACATACAAGCAATGTTTTGATACAGGAATACAATGTGTAATAATTGCATCAGGGTAATTGGGTATCCATCACCTCAAGAATTTATCACTTTGTGTTAGGAACATTTCAATTCCATTCTTTTAGCTATTTTTAAATATGCAATAACTGATTATAGACTGCAGTCACCCTGATGTGCTATCAGGGTGATATACTAGATCTTATTTGTTCTATCTAACTATATTTTCATATCCATTAACCATTCCTACTTTTTCCCTTCCTCCCTGCTCCCATTCCCAGCCTCTGGTAACCATTATTCTACTCTCTGTCTCCATAAGTTCAATTTTTTAATTTTAGCTCCCACATAGGAGTGAAAACATGTGATATTTATCCTTCTGTGCCCAACTTCTTTCATTTAGCATAATGTCCTCTGGTTCCATCCATGTTGTTGCAAATGACAGGATTTCATTCTTTTTTACAGCTGAATAATATGCCATTGTGTATACATATCACATTTTCTTTGTCCATTTATCTGTTGATGGACACTTAGGTTGATTCCATATCTTGGCTATTGTGAATAGTGCTGCAATGAACATGAGAGTACAGATATCTCTTCCGTGTACGATTTCCTTATTTTGGATAAATACCTAGCAGTGGAATTACTGGATCATATGGTAGCTCTATTTGTAGTTTTTGAGGAATCTCCATACTAATTTCCATAGTGGCTGTACTAATTTAAATTCCCACCAACAGTGTAAAATGGTCCCCTTTACTCTACATCCTCACCAGCATTTGTTATTGTCTGTCTTTTGGATAAAAGCCATTTTAACTGGGGTGACATGATATCTCATTTTAGTTTTGATTGCATTTCTTCCTCTGATGATTCATGACGTTGAGATTTTTTCATACACCTGTTGATCATTTGTATTTCTTCTTTTGAGAAATATCTATTTAGATCTTTTGCCCATTTTTAAATCAGATTATTTGTTTTTTTCCATTGAGTTATTTGAGCTCCTTATATATATTCTGGTTATTAACCTTTGCAAATATTTTCTCCCATTCTGTGGGTTGTCTCTTGACTTTGTTGTTTCCTTTGCTGTGTTTTGTCTATTTTTGCTTTGGTTGCCTGTGCTTTTGAGATACTACTCAAGAAATCTTTGCCCAGACCAATGTCCTGGAGTTTCCCCAGTGTTTTCTTCTAGTAGTCTGATAGTTTCAAATCTTATATTTAGATCTTTAGCCCATTTGATTTTATTTTTGTACATGGTGAGAGACAAAGGACGAGTTTCCTTTTTCTCTATATGGTTATCCAATTTCCCCAGCAAAATTTATTGAATAGGCTGCCTCTTACTCAATCTGTGTTCTTGGCAGCTTTGCCAAATATGAGTTGACTGTAAATGCAATGATATGTTTCTGGATCCTCTATTCTTTTCCATTGGTCTATGTGTCTGTTTTCATGCCAACACCGTGCTGTTTTGGTTACTATAGCTTTGTAGTATAATTTGAAATAAGGTAATATGATACCCCCAGCTTTGTTCTTTTTTCTCAGAATGGCTTTGACTATTCTAGGTTTTTTGTGGTTCCATATAAGTTTTAGGAATTTTTTTTCTATTTCTGTGAAGAATGATATTGGTATTTTGTTAAGTATTGCATTGAATCTGTAGAATGCTTTAGGTAGTATGGTCATTTTAACAATATTAATTCTTCTGACCCATGAACAGAGTACTTTTGTGAAATTACATTTTGTAAGACATGCTTTAGCATTTTATGGATCGAAACATTGAGATAAATAGAATTACTTTTGTATTGAATTTTAACTATTAGAACTGATAAACAAATTCAGTAAGGGTACAAAATAAATATACAAAAATCAGTAGCATTTATACGGCAACAGTCAACAATCTGAAAAAGAAACCAAGAAAATAATCCCATTTACAATAGCCACAACAAAAAAAAAAAATGGAGCAGAAAACCACAGAAATAAATGGTCAATCCATACAGCTTTAAAAAAAAAAGAGCCTTAGAAAGATCACATCCAATTATCCCAAAAGAGTCACTATTATTAGGAATACCAAGAAACTAGAACAATTTCTGACCTTTTAAAACAATAAGAATATAAATATGTCTACATAATTTTGGTATTTTTCTGCCTTCTAAAGATATTCCTATCTATCCCCCAGAGCTGTATCTGGAAAAAAAAAAAGAAAAAGAAAAAGAAAAGAAATGAAATGAGGCAATGAAAATTCTAACAAGAACGTTTTTCACAATAGAACACACACATCTTCAAGCCCAGCTCAGGGTATACTCAGCTGTATTTTATCTCAGGCATATGAATGTGGTGGAGGAGGAATTTCAAGGTGGTGGGATATATGCATCTCCATTTCTTCATTTATCCATTTCTCTCTTTACTCAATAACCCTGTTTGAAGAGACAGATATCAGCACATTGCCGAGTGCATGGGAGTGAGCTTTGTCAGAGCCTGGCAAGAAGATAGAGAACTCATTAGAGCACAAGTTAGAAACTGATGCATACAATTAACTAACGAGGAGACAGCCAGACTACTGCTCTAGAAGTAACTGATTTTTGCAAACAGAGATTTGATAGAGCTGATTTGTGATGTCTCAAAAGAACCCCTCTTCTTCCTTATTCACTCACTGTCAGTAGCAGAAACTAGACACAGGCAAAATGTGAACCTGGTAAGAATTTCTCCTTAATACATCATTATTCTTTCCTCATGCAAGCAACACAGGTTGTTTTAGACCCTTAATCAAGGCACAGAGGATTCTCAACATGATGCACCTGCTCAGAGCACCGGCAAAGCAGAGGCCCAAAACAAAGAAAGGTTAAGAATTTGATGTTTGATATATTGTTGAAAGCATCAGAGTAGTCAAGATATGGGGAGGAAGGCAAAAATTGGGGGAGATATCTGTGGATCAATTTATCTATTATTATATAGATAGATAGCAAGAGACAGAAGAGATACCTCCTCTTTTCAATGTCTCAGGATGCTAAAGTTTTGATGGGTCCTACACAGAATGTCAATTATCAGCCCACTTCCCTGTGGTCCCCCACTTGCCTCTCTTCCTCTTCTCTCCCATTGAAGTAAAACTGCCTCAAGTCTCATATAATGTTGCTGTAATTATTCACTTCTACAATCCTCCTAAAGAGTAACTTAAGAAATTAGAAACACACACACACACACACACACACACACACACACACACAGAGAGAGAGAGAGGTATATCTTGTTCTATTGTGTTTCACTTTGTTACGCTTTGCAGATGTTAATGTTTTTTACAAATTACTTTCAATGGCAAAAACCACAATTACTTTTCCACCAACCTAATATATCTGCTATGGTAATCTGTGATCAGTCATCTTTAATGTCGCTATTGGAATTGTTTTTAGAGCACCACTAACTGCACCCATATGTAACAATGAACCTAATAAATAAATACTGTATGTGTTCTGACTGCTTACCGACTGGCAGTTCCCTCATCTGTCTGACTTGCTGCTTTGCTGCAGACCACCATAGTGGCAAGACGATAGCCTCCGCCTCATTTCTGTCTTCTAATGAGTATATTTTATTGGTAGAATCTAATTCACATTCAGACCCCTAACAGCAAGAAAGCCTGAGATATGTGCATTTCATTTACCAGTCTCCACAATAAGGAAAGAACACAGAATATAATGGGAATCGATGATGAGTACCAACAGACAACTTCCAAAACCAAAGTTCTTCAGAATTATTTTTCAATTAGTATAGAAAACCATTTGATCCATTTGTAATCTCACTTTTAGGGAAAATCCCAAAACCCAGTTTTTGACATTTTTGCATACCTGACATTTTGCGTACCTGATATTTTGCATATCTACCATATCTTATTCTTTATTCAAATTAAAAGAGTAATCAGGCTGGGCGTGGTGGCTCACGCCTGTAATCCCAACACTTTGGCAGGCCGAGGCAGGTGGATCACGAGGTCAGGAGTTTGAGACCAGCCTGGCCAACACGGTGAAACTCCATCTCTACTAAAAATACAAAAAGTAGCCGGGCGTGGTGGCACACACTTGTAGTCCCAGCTACTCAGGAGGCTGAGGCAGGAGAATCGCTTGAACCCCGAAGTGGAGGCTGCAGTGAGCCGAGATCGTGTCACTTCACTCTAGCCTGGGTGACAGAGCGAGACTCTGTTTCCAAAAAAGAAAAAAAAGAGTAATCACGGCAGAAAGGGTGATGGAAACAATAAATCTCTTTTGTGTTCAACTTTTCCTTTGGATATTTATAAGAGAAGGGGAGAGTAGGCCGGGCGCGGTGGCTCATGCCTGTAATCCCAGCACTTTGTGAGGCTGAGGTCGACAGATCACGAGGTCAGGAGTTCGAGAACATCCTGGCCAACACTGTGAAACCCCATATCTACTAAAAATACAAAAAATTAGCCAGGTGTGGTGGCAGGTGCCTGTAATCCCAGCTACTCAGGAGGCTGAGGCAGGAGAATCGTTTTAACCCGGGAGGCAGAGGTTGCAGTGAGCTGAGACCATGCCACTGTACTCCAGCCTGGGCAACAGAGCAAGACTCCATCTAAAAAATAAAAATAAAAACTAAAGGGGAGAGTTGAGAGCCTGCTATTCAACCAGTGTAACAACAAACTAAAACACTATAGTTTAGCTTATTAATTTTTTGTTTATTAATTTAGTTATTGGTTGCTTACTATATAAGAGGTTTTTTCAAATATGTTTGACAGTTATGTGTCCACTAAATTGACTTCTTTTTAAACTACAAAGATATAATCTCTTTTATAGCAAGAATATAATCTATTGATTATGTGAAACAAGATAACAGTTATGTAGAATATTTAAAATATACATTAATTTGCATATTTTTATTCAGAGGCTTAGTAGGTCTCTACTGAGCAAATTAATTATAAAGAAAATAATTATACAGAAATTCTATAAATTATGTAACAAATGGAAGTTTATGAAGGAGGAAAACCTTGGAAATCACAATTATTAGAAAAAGTAAAGTATGGCAAGAAATCACTTAAAAGTAATTAAAATTCTTAAAGGTTGTGGTAATATGCATTTTATTCTATGACCTCTTGAAACGTCTATGGAGAGGTTGATTTTTCATAAAGGGTATCCTGGGGTGCTTTTACTATTTATATATTAAAGGGTCTGAGTTATAAAGGAGGAAGTGAGAGAGGAGAGGAAAAGAAGTGGAGAAGACAATTTATCCATAGAGTGACCATCAAACTGGTTTGCCTGGAACAGCTTGGTTTATATCTCTAGTTATTTTTATTTTAAGAAGTTTCCTGGTTTGAGAGATAAATTATATAGTCATTCTAATTGGTAAGAGGAGTAAAGAATTGGGATTATAAATAACATTAAATTAATTGCATATGTAATGGAACATGCAGGGAGTGAAAAATGTAAAGAGGAGAGGAATCTCTGAAATTGGGTCAGTTGCCAGAAGAAAAGCATTATATGCCAACTGAAAGGAATGATAAAGGGCAAGCCAATAGGCAAAGGTCAGTTTACAGCTCTTCACTAAATAACATTAGATTTTAGCTCTTCTCATCTTTGATTCTTTGCCAAATCAATTGGGATATGAGTATTCCTAGTTTATCATAAATCATGAGTCGGAAGGCACATATGTATGGTATGTCGTTCAACCTCTTTCAAATAGCCCTAGACCCAAATTTTCTAAGACAAAGAGTAACTACAGAAGGCCTTTAGTATTTACAGATTTAGCATCCTTGCAATCCATTTTGGCTTTCCTGAAACCGGCCTTTCCTGCCGTACCTGCTATGGAGACTCTTATGTCTTCACCCCCATTCATAGCTCTTGCTCATCCACCTGACCTTTAAATGCTGGCAATCATAAATGTATAAAAGATATTTGGGGGAACGTTTAGTAAATTTGTGTACAAACTAGGTGTTACATTGTTTGTGAATTATTGTCAGTTTTCTTAGACATGATAATGGCACGGTGGTTATGTATAATAATGTCTTTAGTTTTAGGACATGCTGAAGTATTTAGGAGTAAAGTTTTATAATATCTGCAACTTACTTTGAAACAGTTTGGAGAAATATGTGTAGATAGATACATCTATAAATACATGTGCAGATTGATACATCTATAAATACAGATGTAGATTCAGATAGGTAGATGAACAAAATACGACAAAATGTTAACAAATGGTGAATCTAGGTGGTGGGCATACAGCTGTTCGTTGTACCATGTAACCTTCTCCAACTTATGTATGTTTGAAATTTTTTGTAATAAAAAATAGAAAAAAGCTTTTTAAGTCCGTTTTTTGGGTTCTAAATCCCTCCCCCGACTCTTCCCCTGTCAAAATTTTTCTGTCGTACCCTTTCTAGATGACCTTGTTTATTCTTTACCTTTAAACGCCATCCAAATAGAGTTAATTGCCCCCAAATTGTCTTTGGCTCAGACCTCTCCTCCAAACTACAAAATAGATAATATAGCCAATTAACTATCTGGCATTTCAGCTAGATAGCTCATGGGCATCTCAGGTTTGACAGGTTTAAAACTGGTCTTGATTTCCACCTCACCTCCCAACAAATCCATTCATTTCCCAATGTTCTTCAACTAAGTATTTGACAGTTTTTTATAGCCAAGAGCTTAAGTCAGAAATCTGGATTAAGTCAGAAATTCTTGATTTCTACCTCTCTGTCTTCCTCCATCCAATCGATTAATAAATTCTATCAATTTTACCTCCAAAATATAACTCAACTATTAAGTTTTCTTGAGATTGTCATTACTACTCTGTTCCAGCCACATAACTATCCTTGTTTGAACTAGAGTAATACTCTCATAATAGGTATCTGTATTTCCTTTCCTTCTCCTTTATATTCTCCAAAGAATATACACATTAATTTTTTTAAATATGAATCAAGTCTTTGAACTGTTTGTTTAAAATAAAAAGGCTTCCCATTGCAGTTATAAAAAATCCAGGACCTTCAAGTTCCAGCCTTGTCCAGCCCCTGGCCATCTCTTCCATTTCATCTAGAGCTTCACTCCACCCGTACACGCTGTTCTCTTCACACAAGGTTTCTTTTTGTGCTCATAAATTTTTACGCCATTTTCTCCTCAGAATTTAAGTCCATGATCTTTCATCTGTCTGGCATGCACTTTATTTTTATTATTTACCAAATTCTCAAATAACACTCACTATGTGTCTGGATTCTTTTTTAAAAAACTTTAGGAATATTGACTCACTTAACACAACAATTTTATGAGGTAATTTCTATTATTTTCCTCCTTTTATACATGAGGAAAATGAAGCATAATGAAGCAGAATGACTGAAAATTGTATACAGATCATGCTGTGTGCTGAATTATGTTCTGCAAAAATGCAAATGTTGAAGCCCTAACCCCCAGTGTGATGGTGTTTGAAGACAGGGCCTTTGGGAAGGGTATTAGTCAGTGTTCTCCAGAATAACAGAACCGAACCAATAGGAAATATATATACATATGTACCTACATAGACAATGGGGGATATGAGAAAGGGAGAAAGAAAGAGAACTAGAAAGAGAAAGCGATTTATTATAAGTTATTGGCTCATGCAATTATGGAGGCTGAGTAGTCCCACAATCTACTACTTGCAAGCCGGAGACCCAGGAAGGCTGCTGGTATAATTCGAACACCTGAGAGCTGAAAAGCTGATGGTGTAGATTCCAGTCCAAATCTAAATGCCTGATAACCAGGCATGCTGAGGACAGGAGAAGATCAATGTCCCAGCTCAAGCAGTTAGGCAGAATGAGAATGAATCCAACCTTCCTCTGTGTTTTTGTTCTATTCAGGTCCACAATGGAGTAGGGAGGATCTGTCTTACTCAGTCCACCAATTCAAGTGCTAAATTTTTCCAAAAGTACCCTGACAACCTAATAGACATCTACAGAACTCTCCACCACAAATAAACAGAATATACATTCTTCTCAGTGCCACATGGCACTTATTCTAAAATTGACCACATAATTGGAAGTAAAACACTCCTCAGCAAATGCAAAAGAACTGAAATCATAACGAACAGTCTCTCAGACCACACTGCAATAAAATTAGAACTCAGAATTAAGAAACTCACTCAAAACCACACAATTACATGGAAATTGAACAACCTGCTCCTAAATGACTCCTGGGTATACGATGAAATTAAGGCAGAAATCAAGAAGTTCTTTGAAATCAATGAGAACAAAGAGACAACATACCCAAATCTCTGGGAAACAGCTAAAGCAGTGTTAACAGGGAAATTTATAGCACTGAATGCCCACATCAGAAAGCTAGAAATATCTCAAATAGACACCCTAACATCACAATTAAAAGAGCTAGAGAGCCAAGAGCGAGTTAATCCAAAAGCTAGCAAAAGACAAGAAATAACTAAGATCAGAGCAGAATAGGAGATAAAGACACGAAAAACCCTCCAAAAAATCAATGAATCCAAGAGCTGGTTTTTCGAAAAAATTAACAAAATAGACTGCTAACTGGAATAATAAAGAAGAAAAGAGAGAAGAATCAAATAGACACAATAAAAAATGATAAAGGGGATATCACCACTGACCCCAGAGAAATACACTACTATCAGAGAATATTATAAATACCCCTACACAAATAAACTACAAAATCTAGAAGAAATTAATACATTCCTGGACACATACACCATCCCAAGACTAAACCAGGAAGAAGTCAAATCCCTGAATAGATCAATAACTAGCTCTGAAATTCAAGCTGTAATTAATAGCCTACCAACAAAAAAAAGCCCAGGACCAGATGGATTCATAGCCAAATTCTCCCAGAGGTACAAAGAGGAGCTTGTACCATTTCTTCTGAAGCTACTCCAAACAATTGAAAAGGAGGGACTCCTCCCTAACTCATTTTATGAAGCCAGCATCATCCTGACACCAAAACCAGGAAAGAACACAAAAAGAGAAGAAAATTTCAGCCCAATATCCCTGATGAACATCGATGTGAAAATCCTCATTAAAATACTGGCAAACTGAATCCAGGAGAACATCAAAAAACTTACATACCATGATCAAGTCAGCTTCATCTGTGAGATGCAGGGCTGGTCCAACATACACAAATCAATAAATGTAATCCATCACATAAACAGAACTAATGACAAAAACCACATGATTATCTCAATAGGCACAGAAAAGGCCTTTGATAAAATTCAACATCCCCTCATGTTAAAAACTCTCCATGAACTAGGTATTGGTGGGACATATCTCAAAATAAGAAGAGCTATATATGAAAAACCCACAGCCAATATCATACTGAATGGGCGAAATCTGGAAGCATTCCCTTTGAAAACTGGCACAAGACAAGGATACACTCTCTCACCACTCCTATTCAACATAGTACTGGAAGTTCTGGCCAGGGCAATCAGGCAAGAGAAACAAAAAAAGGGTATTCAAATAGAGAGGAAGTCAAATTGCCTGTTTACAGAAAACATGATTTTATATTTATAAAACCCCATCATCTCAGACCCAAAACTCCTTAAACTGATAAGCAACTTCAGCAAAGTCACCAGATACAAAATCAATGTACAAAAATCACAAGCATTCCTATACACCAACAATAGACAAGCAGAGAGCAAAATCATGAATGAACTCCCATTCACAATTGCTACAGAGAGAATAAAATACTTAGGAATACAGCTAACAAGGAATGTGAAGGACCTCTTCAAGGAGAACTCAAAACCACTGCTCAAAGAAATAAGAGAAGACACAAACAAATGGAAAAACATTCCATCCTCATGGATAGGAAGAATCAATATTGTGAAAATGGCCATACAGCCCAAAGTAATTTATAGACTCCATGCTATTTCCATCAAATTACCATTGAAATTCTTCACAGAATTACAAAAAAAAAAACCTTAAATTTCATATGGAATCAAAGAAAACACTGTATAGCCAAGACAATCCTAAGCAAAAAGAACAAAGCTGGAGGCATCACACTACCTGACTTCAAACTATACTACAAAGCTACAGTAAGCAAAACAGCATGGTACTGGTGCCAAAACAGACTTGTAGACCAATGGAACGGAAGAGAGCCCTCAGAAATAACACCACACATCTACAACCATCAGATCTTTGACAAACATGACAAAAACAAACAATAGGAAAGGATCTCCTATTCAGTAAATGGTGCTGGTAAAACTGGCTAGTCATATGCAGAGAACTAAAACTGGACCCCTTCCTTACACCTTACACATGAATTATCTCAAGATGGATTAAAGACTTAAATGTAAAACCCAAAACCATAAAAATCCTAGAAGAAAAACTAGACAATAGCATTCAGGACATAGGCATGGGCAAAGACTTCATGACAATAACACCAAAAGCCAATTGCAACAAAAGCCAAAATTGATAAATGGGATCTAATTAAACTAAAGAGCTTCTGCACGGCAAAAGAAACTATCATCATAGTGAACAGGCGACCTACAGAATGGGAGAAAATGTTTGCAATCTATCCATCTGACAAAGGGCTAATATCCAGAATTTACAAGGAACTTACACAAATTTACAAGAAAAAAAGCAAACAACCCCATCAAAAAGTGGGCAAAAAATATGAACAGACACTACTAAAAAGAAGACATTTATGTGGCCAAAAAATATATGAAATAAAGCTCAAAATCACTGATCATTAGAGAAATACAAATCAAAACCACAATGAGATCATCTCACACCAGTCAGAATGGTCATTATTAAAAAGTCAAGGAACAGTAGATACTGGTGAGACTGTGAAGAAATGGAAGCAATTTTACACTGTTGTTGGGAGTGTAAATTAGTTCAACCATTGTGGAAGACAGTATAGGTGATTCCTCAAGGATCTAGACCACAAATACCATTTGACCCAGTAATCCCATTACTGGGTATATACCAAAAGGAATATAAATCATTCTACTATAAAGACACATGCACATGTATGTTTATTGCAACACTATTTACAATAGCAAAGTCATGGAACCAACCCAAATGTCCATCAATGATAGACTGGATAAAGAAAATGTGGTACACATTAAAAAGCTTATCCACCACAATCAAGTTGGCTTCAGCCCTGGGATGCAAGGCTGGTTCAACATACGCAAATCAATAAACATAATCTGTCACATAAACAGAACTAATGACAAAAACCACATGATTATCTCAATAGATGCAGAAAAAGGTCTTCAATAAAATTCAACATCCCTTCATGCTAAAAACACTCAATAAATAAGTACTGATGGAACATATCTCAAAATAATAAGAGCTATTTATGACAAACCCACAGCCAATATCATACTGAATGGGCAAAAGCTGGAAGCATTCCCTTTGAAAACTGGCACAAGACAAGGATGCCCTCTCTCACCACTCCCATTAAACATAGTATTGGAAGTTCTGGCCAGGGCAATCAGGCAAGAGAAACAAATAAAGGGTATTCAAATAGGAAGAGAGGAAGTCAAATTGTCTCTGTTCGCAGATGACATGATTGTATATTTAGAAAACCCTGTTCTCAGCCCAAAATCTCCTTAAGCTGGTAAGCAACTTCAGCAAAGTCTCCGGATACAAAATCAATGTGCAAAAATCACAAACATTCCTATACACCAATAATAGACAAACAGACAGCCAAATCATGAATGAACTCCCATTCACAATTGCTACAAAGAGAATAAAATACCTAGGAATCCAACTTATGAGGGATGTGAAGGACCTCTTCAAGGAGAACTACAAACCACTGCTCAAAGAAATAAGACAGGCCACAAACAAATGGAAAAACATGCTCATCCATGGTCATGAATAGGAAAAATCAATATTGTGAAAATGGCCATACTGCCCAAAGTAATTTATAGATCAAGCTACCACTGACTTTCTTCATAGAATTAGAAAAAACTACTTTAAATTTCATATGGAACCAAAAAAGAGCCTGTATAGCCAAGACAATCCTAAGCAAAAAAAAAAAAAAAAAGGCTGAAGGCATCATGCTGCCTGACTTCAAGCTATACTACAAGACTACAGTAACCAAAACAGCATGGTACTGTACCAAAACAGATATATAGGTCAGTGGAACAGAACAGAGGCCTCAGAAATAATGCCACACATCTACAACCATCTGATCTTTGACAAAGCTGACAAAAACAAGCAATGGGGAAAGGATTCCCTATTTAATAAATGGTGTTGGGAAAACTGGCTAGCCATATGCAGAAAACTGAAGCTGGACCCCTTCCTTAAGCCTATTACAAAAATTAACTCAAGATCGATTAAAGACTTAAATGTAAGACCTAAAACCATAAAAACCCTAGAAGAAAGCCTAGGCAATACCATTCGGGACATAGGCATGGGCAAAGACTTAATGACTGAAACACCAAAAGCAATGGCAACAAAAGCCAAAATTGACAACTGGGATCTAATTAAACTAACGAGCTTCTGCACAGCAAAAGAAACTATTATCAGAGTGAACAGAACAGGCAATCTAGAGAATGGGAGAAAATTTTTGCAATCTATCCACCTGACAAAGGGCTAATATCCAGAATCTAAAAGAAACTTAAACAAATTTACAAGAAAAACACAAACAACCCCATCAAAAAGTGGGCAAAGGATATGAACAGACACTTCTCAAAAGAAGACATTTATGTGGCCAAAAAACATATGAAAAAAAGCTCATCATCACTGGTCATTAGAGAAATGCAAATCAAAACCACAATGAGATACCATCTCACACCAGTTAGAATGGCAATCATTAAAAAGTCAGGAAACAACAAATGCTGGAGAGGATGTAGAGAAATAGGAACACTTTTACACTGTTGGTGGGAATGTAAATTAGTTCAACCATTGTGGAAGACAGTGTGGTGAGTCCTTAAAGATCTAGAACCAGAAACACTATTTGACCCAGGAATCTCATTACTGGGTATAACCCAAAGAATTATAAATCATTCTACTATGAAGACATATGGACATGTAGGATTGTTGCAGCACTATTCACAATAGCAAAGACTTGGACCAACCCAAATGCCCAATGATAGACTGGATAAAGAAAATGTGGCACATATATACCATGGAATACTATGCAGCCATAAAAAAGAATGCATTCATGTCCTTTGCAGAGACATGGATGAAGCTGGAAATCATTCTCAGCAAACTAACATAGGAACAGAAAACCAAACACCCCACATTCTCACTCATAAGTGGGAGCTGAACAATGAAAACATATGGGCACAGGGAGGGAAACATCACACACCAGTGCCTGTTGGGAGGTGGGGGGCAAGAGGAGGGATAGCATTAGGAGAAATAGCGAATGTAGATGACGGGTTGATAGGTGCAGCAAACTACCATGGTACATGTATACCTATGTAACAAACCTGTAGGTTCTGCACATGTATCCCAGAACTTAAAGTATAATAAAAAAAAAGTGGTACATATACACCATGGAATACTACACAGACATAAAAAGGAATGAGATCATGTCCTCTGCAGGGACATGAATGAAGCTGCAAGCCATCATCCTTAGCAAACTAACACAGGAAAAGAAAACCAAACATATGTTCTCACTCATAAGTAGGAGTTGAACAATAAGAACACATGGACACAGGGTGGAGAACAACACAGACCAGGGCCTGTTGTGGGGTGGGCGATGAGGGAAGAGAATTTAGAGGACAGGTCAATAGGTGCGGCAAACCACATGACACACATATACCTATGTAACAAACCTGCATGTTCCACACATGTATCCTGGAACTTACAGTAAAATTTAAATAAATAAATAATACCCTCACAGACATGCCCATAAATAATATTTAGTCAGTTATCTGGGCACCTCATTGCCCAATCAAGTTGACACACAAAATTAACCATCACGGGAAAAGAAATAATTAGGGTTAGATGATGATATTAGTTGCTTTACAAGAAGAGCATGCTCACTCATATATGCTCTGTCTGTCTGCCATGTGAGGACACAGCAAGAAGGCAGCAAGGAGTGTCCTCACCAGGAGCCAAATCGGCCAGCACCTTGATCTTGAAATTCCCAACCTCCACAACTCTAGGAAATAAATGTCTGTTGTTAAAGCCACCCAATGTATACTGTTTTATTATAGTATCCCTAGTAGACTAATGCAGATCATAATTAATAGAAACAGGTTTTGAACCCACACTGAAGCTTCCAAGTCTATACTTTACACAACAACACTCTACCATTATAGGGGTGAAGAGATGTAACACCTGTTACTCGCCCATTTCAAGGTCCACAGCTGATACCCCATAACAGAAACAGATTAAAAAGAGAAACATATAACATATTTATTCAATCAAAGTTTTCTGCGACACAGGAGTCTTCAAAAATGAAGACCCAAAGATTCCAGGAAAACTGTATTTTTATGCTTCGGTTCAATGAAAAATAGACAGTCATGTAGGAATGTGATTGGACAAGAAGGGTATAATCTAATGGTAATTGAGAACGGAATCCAGCAAGGCCTCTTTGTTCAGATTCTTTTTGTCTTCTCTATGTAGCATTCCTTCCTCTGGGAATGGGACAGGACACTTGTCATATGAGAACCTCAGGGAACAAGGGAGAAGGTCAGAGAGTGACATTTCTAGGCTCTATGGCTTGCTTTGAGGAAGAGGAATTCTGATTTCTATGACCTGCTTCAGGGGAGAAATGAGGGAAGCGGAAAAGAGGGTGGGAGATGGTCAGAGGAAATTTCTTACTTCTGGGGCTCTTCCAATCTTCCTCAGTTCAAAGAATTAAACACACTAAAGTGCCACACTATACTTTGAAGTATCATATTCTGAGCTTCAATACCACCTTAGAGTCTGTTCTTCTCCAGGCCCTTTGTATCTTAAATTAAACATTACTACTTTAAATAATCTTTTCTCTGAGTACCCTACTTCATCACAACATTTTAGTGTTTCCTTCACTGCACTTTTCTCAAAGTATTATGCATATCCTTTCTTTTTTTTTTCTTTTTTTTTTTTTTTTTTTTTTTGAGACCAAGTCTTGCTCTGTCACCCAGGCTGGAGTGCAGTGGCGCGATCTCGGCTCACTGCAAGCTCCGCCTCCTGGGTTCACGACATTCTCCTGCCTCAGCCTCCCGAGTAGCTGGGACTACAGGCACCCGCCACCACGCCCGGCTAATTTTCTGTATTTTTAGTAGAGACGGGGTTTCACCATGTTGGTCAGGATGGTCTCGATCTCCTGACCTCATGATCCGCCCGCCTCGGCCTCCCAAAGTGCTGGGATTACAGGCGTGAGCCACCGTGCCCGGCCCATTGTTGTTTGGTTTTTTTTACCTTTTTGCTTACCAACTATGTAACAGGTACTGCTAGGTAATGGTAATGGTAATGGTAATGGTATACAATAATAAATACAAACAGACCTTGCTCCTACTCACATAGAGTTTATAGTGTAGATTAATCTTCTTTTCTTGCAAATATCAGGATCATAACACCAGTCGAACATGAACACAAAATGGAATTGAGATTAGCCAGGAGACAAGCATGAAGATGAGAATAAGGCAAGGATGGTCCAGGTTGGGAAGGCAAGGGGAGCTGCTAAGGCAGAGTACCTGATAAGAACTTTCCCCCTCCCTTAGAAAGGGGCAGTGCTTCAGCATCTGTACATGTCAAGCAGTACCTGAGGTGGACTTCAAACAGAAACAGCATGATCTGATGGCTTAAAAGATGGATGTCCCTAGAAAGCAGAATGAGCCATGATAGAAATTGAAATCTTGCCTTCATCTTTCAAAAACATGAAATCAGTATTCTGCAACATACTGGGGCACTAGTTACTCCCCTGATTTAAACATCCCAGATAAATGGAATTCATTTAACTCTGGATGTCTGGTAAGGAGTCAGCGACCAAATATACCCAATTGAAGATGAGGGTCTCTCATTTCTAAGAGGGCAGGAACTTAACTAACTGCAGCTGCAGTATACAATCTCAGGCTTGGCCTCGTGACTGCCATGATGTATAAGCCTCTTAATAGACATAAAAGAGGAGACAGCACTTATGAGAATCTTGTAGCTTTCAGTTTAAGCAAATGATTCACTCAGTCTCAGAAGCCTCAAAACCCAGTGAAAACCTTCTATATGCCAACCACTATTCTATGCACTATAGATGTAGAGGTTTAAAAAAAAAAGAAATAGAACAAACACAGTTCTGCTGTTACAAATCTTATATTCTAATGAGAGTAAAATAAATTAACCCATGAATAAAAAGTTATTTTGATAATGATAGATGCTGTGAAGAAAATAAAACAGGGTCATGTGATAGGGTGACTAAGTGTCAACTAAGTATCGTGGAGACTGCTAATTGTCTAAAAGAATCCATCTTCCCCTTCTTTATTTTTTTAATTATTTATTTGTTTGTTTGTTTGTTTGTTTATTTATTTTGAGATGAAGTTTCACTCTTGTTGCCCAGGCTGGAGTGCAATGGCACAATCTTAGCTCACTGCAACCTCCACCTCCTGGGTTCAAGCAATTCTCCTGCCTCAGCCTCCAGAGTAGCTGGGATTATAGGCACCTGCCACCATGCCCAGCTAATTTTTTGTATATTTTTAACAGAGACAGGGTTTCACCATGTTGGCCAGGCTGGTCTCAAACTCCTGATCTCAGGTGATCCACCCGCCTTGGCCTCTCAAAGTGCTGAGATTACAGGCATGAGCCACTGCACTGAGCCCATCTTCCCCTTCTAGAAGTAGAGTTGTATTGGACACATGACTGTTTTGCTAATTATATTTCTAGACTCTCTTTGCAGCAAATGTGGCCATGTGACAATGTCCTCACCAATAAAATACAGAAGGAAATTATGTATGCCACTTTTGGTTCTAAGAGTTAACATACTGAGCATGCCTCATCCATGCTCTCTTTCCCCTTTCCATTGGCTTTAAAATGTTTGCAGTGACAATCCAGCATTAATAATTCAGATAAGGACAATACTCAACAGAACAAGATAGGAGGATCCTGGATCCATGAATGACCTCATGGAGTAGAATTTTCCCATAACCTGAATCAATTATGTCAATACCATAGCAGCTTACCCTTTCTCCACCTAGGCAACTGGGGCTTGAGGCAGAACTATTAAGTGGGATGGTAAAAGGAGATGGCATTTAGGAGATGAGGGTTGCATAATGAGAAAAAATTAGCCATATAAATGTGTAGGAGTGGGACAGAAAAAGCATTTATTGCATGCCAGAGAGAGCCTGGCAAATTTCTATTCGAGATCTCAGTAAGACAGCTATTACATTAACACCAGAACCACACGTACCGGTAAACCTTTGGCAGAGGGCTAGGAGCTAGATTATGACGATCTAGGAAGGGTTGAAGGTAAAGAACATAAAATAAGCCCAAGAACAGGCCAGACCGAACGCAAAGACCAGAATTTGGTGATCACAGAGGTTTCTATGTAGTGTCCAGCTTTCACCATCAAAGGTCAAAAGAAAGTGAATGGCTAATGTTTGGACAAACAGAAGTAGTGGGAGATATGGCAAGCAGCTGGTCAGACAAACCATAAATATTTAGTAATTTAATCATTTAACATAAATTTGTTTTTGTCTTTATTTGTTAAGTTACCATATGTGTGTATGTGATAGTATCTGTTCTGCTATTATGTGCTGCTGTATTTTTTCCTTAGCAAGTGTTGAAAACTGTTTCTTTGTTTGGTCATTCAAATAACACGCACTGACCAACACACAGTGGTCTCCATGTGCCTGATATTTCAAGCAGATTCACAAGAACATATACAGAAAGACAGAAGGGAAAGAATATTTTACCATTAAGAGGGAATGTTAATGTCTAATGATTTTTTAAGCTCCCGTAAGATACACATGAAAATACTTTTCTGAAAGGCTCTGAGATGCTCAAAGAATGACGAGCAAAGGCAGGAACACAAAGACCTATGAGAATGATTAAGAAACAAGCAAGTCAAAGGAGGAGATGAGGCAGAATAAAGCAAACAAGAGGCAACATCAGGGATGCCAGAAGCTGAAAAAGTTTGTACCTGAATCTAATTTTATATGTTTCTCACTGGGGCATAAGTCTAAGGTGACTAACATAGAAACTACAGACAGAAATAAGTAAAAACGCAAGCAGGAGTGTAGAACAGAGGTCTTGCCAAATAAGCTCATTGCTTTTTATTCTACCTTCAATGAAGATGGAGAAAACATTTGCTAATTGTCACAAAATTCTTTAAGTGGAGGCCAATGGGCTTAATGCTTCTCATTCTGTCATTCAGGGCTGTAAATATTCTTGCTCCATTGTCCCTTTTTCGTCTCCTATCAGAGTGAAAAAGAATTATTATCTCTAGGGAGTTAGAAAGTTTTGCAAAATGTGAAGAGCTCTAATTTGATGTGGTGTTGCAATCGTTGTTCAGTCTCCCAGGCTAGCGGGCATGGTGTTCTGATCCTTCCCTTCAGCCTGAGAATGCAGATGAAGAAGGTGTTCAGGGAAACGCTCTATTGTTCTGTCCTCTCCCACAGGGGAAAAGGGGAAAGGTGGTTTCAGGGCTACCGCGAAGCACCATTGCTTTCTCCTGAGTTAACTGTCATCTCACTCCTCTAATAAAACCCTTCAACACTTCCTCATTCCCCTCAGGATTTAGTAAAAACTCTAGAGCATGATTTAGAAGACGATTTATCTCTACCCTTCCCTCCTGGTCACATCTGTCCACATCCTCGCCTTACGTTCTTGAGTTCTGGTCATGCGGAACTATCCAGAAATTCTCAGAAAGCGACACGCATTCTTTCTTGTACCTTGTACCTTCTTACGCCTTCTCTCTTTCTTAGACCTTGGTTGCCCTTCTCTTGTCCCAGTAAACTTTCCTACTTGTTCTTCTGTTTTCAACCTAAATCCCACTTCCTCTGGGAAGAAGCCCCTGGCACTTCCCAGTCTGAGGGGGTGCCCCTATGTACCCTTGTGACATTCCGTATCACCCCTGTTGAAACACAAACATGTCTGTCTGCTTCCTCTCCACCACCAGGAGGGCAGTCTGTGTCTCCCTGCCATTGCACCACCAGCACCTAGCTCAATGTTTGCCATATGTCAGGGAACCAATAAATATTTGTTCAGGGAATATGCTTACTTTCTTTTTTGAGATGGGGTCTTGCTCTGTTGCCCAGGCTGGAGTGCAGTGGCATGATCTCTGCTCACTGCCACCTCTGCCTCCCGGGTTCAAGCGATTCTCCTGCCTCAGCCTCCCAAGTAGCTAGGATTACAGGTGCCCGCCACCACACCCGGCTAATTTTTGTATTTTAAGAAGAAGCAGGGTTTCACCATGTTGGCCAGGCTGGTCTCGAACTCCTGACCTCAAATGATCCACCCACCTCAGCCTCCCAAAGTGCTGGGATTACAGGCGTGACTGTGCCCGGCCTTCATTTGAAAAAAAATAAAAAAATAAAAAAAAAAGTCAATAACGATCATTTTTAGGCAGCAAAAAATAAAGTCTCAAATCAAATTTCTAAGTGCTATTCTCAGCATGTCCAGACATTGTAGTTCCTGAATCATACCTCACTTCTCCTTACTTATGTTTACACTAGTTTTTAAAAAGCAGCCCTTTGGCCTATGAAAAACTAAAGTTTGAATTCTTTGTTTATGCACCTTTAGTTAAATAATTCACTTGACACAAGTTAAAATGGCAAATATTGAGGAAAAAACTGTGGAAGACAGTTTCTGGGAAGATCATAAGAACTCTACAAAAAAACCTTTATTTAACTCTGCTAAACAAGAAAAAAATAGAAAAAAATTTTCAAGGCCCTTTGACTCACAAAGCATTATCTCTGCTTTTAATTTCTTACCAGTGATTTGGTTGACACAAAGCTATAAGATTAAGCACTAAGATACCAAAGCATATGTGTCTAGCATGTTTCCTTTTAGGTAAACTTGGCCCAATTCATTTATAAATACATTTTCTATCACATCCTTGGAGAAGCTGATCAAAGCGGCCTCCAACTGAGTCAAGATAGACAAGGAGTCACCGTGACAATTCCCATCACACACTCTCTCTCAGGAAATTTCTGTGGCTTATTCAGGTGCTTCCACATATAGTAGAAAGATATTCTTTATTAAAAGGAAGAAACAGGCATAAAATGAGAAAGCTGGTTATAGTTTCCCCAAACTCAAGATATGCTATTTTAGAATGTTTCTTTACATAGAAGGCCACTTGCCCTCACTCCTTCTTTCATTCATTCAATAAGCACTCATGAGACATCTTCTGCTCAAGGCAATGAGGATTCTATACAGCAAGGCATGTTCTTGTCCTGAAAATGTTCAGCGTTGTCACACATATTTTTAGAAATAATAACCATCATAGACGGTGAATACCAGAAGAGGATTATAACTTTAGTATTATTTGCATATGCATATTTTGGCTTTGAATAATCCACTGCTATGTGTTTTGCCAACATTAACTTATATATATTTTCCATTCCCACTGTGATCTAAGTATCTAAGTATCTTGACAGGAAGGAAGCTGTTTTATACTGCTTCTTGTCATGCATAACATTGTTTCCCTAAATTTTCCATAACTCACAGTAATAAACACAATTTGCATTGTGACTCAATACACACATATACACTTATAACAAAAATTTCACAAAAATATACCCACCATTACTATATCAATGCATTTTGGTGTTTTCTATTTTGTAATACTCTATTCTAACCCATTTCATGTAAAACAAAAAACATGCAAGTCATGACCCACTAATAAGCCATAACTCTTGGTTTAAACAAAATTACTCCAAAGACTTGCAAAGTATTTACGAAACATGGAGTGATACTTGGTAAACAACCACATGACGGGCCGGGCGCGGTGGCTCACGCCTGTAATCCCAGCACTTTGGGAGGCTGACACAGGCGAATCACGAGGTCAGGAGATTGAGACCATCCTGGCTATCATGGTGAAACCCCGTCTCTACTAAAAATACAAAAAATTAGCCGGGCATGGTGGCGGGTGCCTGCAGTCTCAGCTACTCAGGAGGGTGAGGCAGGAGAATGGCGTGAACCCGGAAGGCGGAGCTTGCAGTGAGCCGAGATCGCGCCACTGCACTCCAGCCTGGGCGACAGAGTGAGACTCCGTCTCAAAGTAGATAGATAAATAAATAAATAAATAAACAAACAAACAAACCACATGACTAAAGGTCATGTGGCATAGGTACAGGTATTGGAATCTGGAGTCTGCAATAAGACATATGTGAACTTTAATCAAGGCTCTGCCAATTACTGGACACAGAACCTTAAACAAGTATTTAACCTCTTTAAGCCTCAATGCCATTATACGGAAAGTGGTGAAAATTCACAGTACCTACCTGTTGAGACAGTACAAGAGATCATGCATACTAAGTATTTACTAAAATGAAAACCATACATTAAACACATAAGAAAATGTTAAAATTTAGGAAATCTATTCAAAGAAATGAAAACAATACTTGAGAAGAAAATTAAAAGTACTTGGCATCGGTCAATTTTCACAAGATGTTAGGGAAGTGAACTTCAAGTCGAGATAGTGGATACTTCACAGACTATCTAAGTAAAGATATATTTCATGGGCTAGGGGAATATAAGAATGGGTTGCCAGTATAGACCATTTTCTGCTGAGTTACAGAAAAGAATAGCGTCCCATTTGTTTGATGCAGATTAGATTTGGTCCAAAAAAAAAGAGGAAGATGAGGGAAAAATAAATAAGTATTTTTGAAGTTTCATCGAGTCATATGATCGTACAGATGAAGTTTGACAAATGAATCAAGAATGGATACTCAGGGAAAAATGCTTCCTAATACTGCACCGAGAAAGCTGAATCAAGTCCTGACACCTGTAGAATGACCGTAGGGCTAATTTGAATAGCACAGGTATCACAGGGGCATTTTGGCCTCGATTATGCCCACTGTCTACACTGCCATCTGTGACATCTTTCTTGGCTGCATGGACTCACCCAAAACATAATCTAGAGCAGCCTCTCTAACATGATTCCTTAGTTTAACATCTGCCACTCAGAGGATTCTAAGACCCTTTAGCAAAGAAAGTTTAAGAGGTTCACTCCCAAACTTTCCCAGCCCATTAATCTTATTTTATCATTTCACTCACCCAAGACAGTTCTACTAACCCTAGAGTCAGCTGGTGGAGGACAGATGTCCACAGGGTGCCCAAGGGACTAAGAGACTTGACTTCTACAGGACATTTTTTACACAGTCTCTAGAAAGCTATGGTAAATCAACTTAATAATCATGTATCCTCAAATGCGGAGAGGGCACCATTGTAGTTCATATCCCCTGAATCTTAAGGCAGCTAAAAGGTGAGGGGAAAAGAAATCACTGTCTGAATACATGATACTGGAGCTTGTTATAGAGAAGAGCAACGACAAGAATGACTTCAATGAAGTGTGACCCACTTATCCACAAGACACTGATATGCAAGCATTGGCCTTATGGACCTGCCAACAATGTTAGAGAACAAATAAAAGAACAGAAAGAATATAGTTCCACCACATCCACTGAATTAAACAGGCAAATGGTGAGGATTCAGCATGGAGCTATATGATGCATAAGTAATCAGAGATAGAGACTATATGTCCATTCAGCTGGAAACAGATTCCGGCTGCTACTTAAAATACCAGCAGGAGTGTCGATCTACCATGCCATCGATATTTTTTTCAAAATGCTCAGGCAGCCAGATAAATCACTCTGTAGCTTCCCCCTGCTACCTATGGATTGACAGTATTTATAAACAGATGTGTTAACCTCCTCAGAGTCCAAGGAAATGTTCCTACCGCACTGAAGAGCTTTTACAGTTCATATATCAAGCAAAGGGGACAGAGCGGTCTTTTTTGTTCACATGCCAGTGTTTCTAGCATCTGGGTTACAGCAAGAGCCAATAATCCCTTTTGTGTAGCCAGTGGTAGCAAGTGGCAAAATACTTTATCCCTGCCATAATACAAAGGATCTCCAAGCAGGTTTTAGCTTCTCCCTTCTAGTTATTTGCAATGGTAGAATGAAGAAAACACATTTTATCATGTCTCAAAGGTCCTTTACAATCTGAGCCCTGACTCGCTTTCCATCAACTGATGTCCTCACCTAGCAGTCCACTCCAAGGACACACAAAATGAGTCACTGTGCCCTGAGTAGACTGTGTTCTACAGTATCATGGAATCTGTGCATGACCTAGTGAGAGCTCTGCTGGAATGCCATACATTCTTCTCTTATCCACAAGGAGGGCGCCCACTTATTTTCATACCCTAATTTAAACATCACCTAGTCTCTAAACCCTTACCTTACTCCTCCAGGCAGAATTCACAGCCTTGTTTGTACACATTCTAGACTGCAAACTCTTTGAGGACCGGACACACCTCCCAGAGAGTTTACTCAGCACAGTGTCTGGCATATAGTAAGTTCACAATGAAGGACTCAGATGAAGAATTTTTAGGTAAATGCCATTGTCTCCTCTTACCAAAAACAGAGTAAGGGGACTGGGGAGTTTACAGGAAGAAAAATGGAGGTAGAGGAACATCCATCTGGCTGAACACCAATGGGCATGCCAGGGAAGGGAAGGTTTTTTCTTTCTTTTGTTGCAGTTGGGTTATGCTTGAAAGTGGCTACCATCAGGTAATAAAGCAACAATTTTCAATGTCAGAGTTCCTAATTATGACCTAAGAATGGGCTTTCACAGATCTCTTTCTGCCCTCATCCTAGATTTATAAGCAGATCCGCAGTTTTCATCATATCTTCAGAAATGTTCAAAGCTTAGAAAAGATTACAGACTACTGTCCAATTTTTTTTAATGTGGACATGCCAAGAAAGCACTGTTTTAAGGTTTTAATGCTACTCCATCGTGTTGATGATATTTAAGAGAATAAAAGTGACAGAGAAAAACATCTATAAATTGCTTTGATACAACACTTTACTCAATGTAAAGTTACATTCCTATGCCTTTGTATATATTTTTTCACTTATCACAAAAATATATAAGAAGTCAATAAGTGTTTGTTAAATGCTTGCTTTGTGTCCTACAATGTCATACCTACATTTGGGATGCTTGTACTCAGATAAGTCCACACAATTATTTAGGAAATAGGAAAGAGAATCCACAATACTTGTAAAATTTGGTGGTTCACATAATGAATGCTGTAGGAGCCAGATGTGGAGCTGACCAAGGACAGGGAAGGTTTCTCAGAAGACCTTGAGAAGGGTACCTTCTGCCCACAAGGGTCCTATGGAATAGTAGTGTTTCAACCAGGAAGCAATGTGATAACCAGATATTGAGCTTAAATCAGAAAGCCTAAGTTTTAGGCCCAGTGTTGCTGCTTACTGGCCATGTAGCCTTGGGCCATTTATTTTTCTGTGCCTCAGTTTCCCCAGAAGTCCCATGAGAATAATGTCTTTCCCTTTCCTCTCTCCATGACATGTTTGCTGGGCTCCAACAAGATAGAGCAGGTGAAAAGCATTTTCCAAGTTACAAGCCACTATACTGTTGCATGTAAAGATGCTGCTGGAAGTGGTCAACACAAGTACACAGAATCATCTGTGACGAAGAATACATCATTTCCTTCAGTCTGTTTTAGTTTTGTTGTCCTGTCTGTCCACAATCCAATGTAAGGTTCTTTGTGTTCATTTAATAACATTTCTTGTCAAATTTCTCATACATAAAGTTTTATGTACAAGCAGCACAACAACTGCCATCTGGCTGCTACGATTATTTTCAGAAAGGGGCGAGTGAAAGAACAGAAACTTCATTCTAGCCAAAACTAAGCAGGCTTTCTTGTTAAGGACTCTCCCAGAGGTGGAAAATTTCAGCATTCACATCATTTTTTCCTTTCAAAGCCTCTCTCCCCTGAGCCCTCTGCAGCTTGTCCACGGTACACAATTCGGAATCACCCAACCACTTAGGACACTGGGATCTGGAGGCAGCAGCAAATGTATTTCACATTCAAGAGGAGAAACATTAGCAAGCACAACATTTAATACGCTGTGTGCCGCAAGGATCAGGGGCTTAGACTTTCCATTTCAGCTTCACTAGTTAGACTGCAATCTGAACAAGAGTGTGCAGTGAGGCAGTGTGTTTGGCCCTCATCTGTGCCAAGCAGCAGTTTTATCATCAGTAAGGAAGCATTAAGTGAACCCCAGGGATAGCATATGTACTGTATTTAGAGGAAGGGGTGAACATCGATCAATGCTGTGTAATTTAAAAGGTTTTCATGCTGTTCATGGGAAGCTATATAAGCTTAGATTCCTTTGTCCCAGTTAAAGAGAAAATGGTTCTAGTAAAGAAAGATGGATTTAAAATAGTGGTTACCCATGGAGTGAACCTAAGTGATAAAAGAAGACAGATAGGATAATGGACATCGACCAGCACATTAGAGGATGCACATATTATTTCATATTTGCAGAAGTGCACACTTTGGGAATTCTGAGCTAGACACTCATTCAAATGAATCTTTTTATTGCTTTTGATTACACAATCTTTTAGTCCCTCCTTGTCAGTTCCCAGTTGTCTCCTATTAGAGAATTACAATCAGTCTTTATGCCAGAAAAGCATAAACTTGAGGGGAGAGAAAGGACAAACAGAATGGGGTGGATGATAAGGAAAAGGAGATATATGAGTCAAGATTTCATTATGCAAGTTAAATTTACACTCCTGTGCCAGGAATAAATAAACATAAACAAGGATTGCAGACCCTCCTCATATACAAAAGATTGTAACTTCATTCAACCCTACAGTCTAGCTGTCTGATTTACCCTGAATTTGTTCATCAGCTCCCTGCTACCAGGCTTGTGTCTCAGCTGTCACCACAGCACCTACCGGTATCTTATCATTCCTTCACAATCCAACTCAAGTGCTATCTTTTCAAAGAGCTTCTCATATTCTACTACTTGGAATGAATCTCTCTAGCAAATTGCTGTAAAGTACAGTTTAGCACTTAACACAATGTATTTGGTTTAGGATTGTTATTTATGTGCGTGTTAAGTTGCCCTCTCCACCACCAGCACCACATTATGAGCTGTGAGGCCAGGCACTGTGCCCTAACCATCTGGAGTTCCCAGCGGTGCTTGGCCCACTATTAGTACACTGTGTGCATGTGTTATGCTCATGCAAATACAGGCAGTGCACAACCTGGAGTCCTGCAATTGTGACCAACACATACATAAGACTGACTCAACAATCACCACTCCTCTTCTGCCTTTCAAGAAGGGTTGCTGCGCTCTCAGCTGCCTGCCACCCAATTCCATGATGCTTGAGTTGCTTGAACTCAAATCTTGTGAGTTTTGTCAGTAACTTTTTTTAGAGGATTGCCTAAGCTAAAATCCATGCAAATAGAACAAATATAAATGACACTTATTCTCACCTTTAATTTGTAGTTGTGGTGAAATCCACAACCTTTAAAATTTGACAAAAGCCTTTGATATTAGGCTTAGAGATATTTATAAAGTTTACCTAGTACATGAATTTCTCTAGGAAATTCATATATAGTAACTTATATAACCCTCATAACAACCCCATGTGGTAATATTATTGCTCCCACTTTAAAGATAATGCAAACTAAGGCATTTAATACAAATATAAACTAAGGCAAGTTTAAGGAACTTGCTTCTCACTGCTTAAGTAGTGGAGCCAGGCTTTGAATCTTGGAAATCTGGCCCCAGAGTCTATGTTTTTAACCAATGCAGAGTGCTCAGTTGGAGGAGTCAAGTTCTCTGAATCTCTAATACCAATACAGGAAAAACTGTAGTTTACTTGACATTGTGTATGATGTTAAAGCTGAGGTCAGGACCTGGGAGTTAAAAACTAGACATGGTGGATCCTGCTTTTTTGCGGTATATCCAGACCAAGCTTAATGGCTAGATGTTGATTCAGCTTCCAATTGCTTCCAGTTATTTGTAGGATTGAGGGGTAATTATAAAAATAATATAGAATTGTTTACTTGAATATTAATGTGTATTTTTGAATAAAAATGAAATTTTAACTATTTACCAGAAAACATACTATACATAAAGATGCTTTTCTAACACCCAAGAATAAACTGGATTAAAGTTCAAACACTCCCCAGAGTTTTTAGTAAAAAAAAAAATTACTTTTCCCAAAAAGATACTGAGTTCTCCTAAGGAATTATTTAATAGATTAATGCTAGATCTAAGATTCAGATTAAAGTCTTTCTGTTATTAGAAATTACCTTGCATTTTCCCTTAAGCAATATGGAGAGGGTACATCGTCCCCTCTCTGGGGCCTGATTTGCACAGGATTCCTATGTAGTTCTTTCTATGGGTCCTGCGCCTCACCCACCTTGGCCACTCCCCTTCCTAGACCCTTTCCTCATCAAATCCTCCTTGTTCTTCAAAACTTGTCTCAAGCACCTTCTCCCTGACCATCAGCGCACCTGAGATGGAACTTTTCAGAGCTCCTATAGCACCTTGTTCACACCTCAGTCATCAGCAATCATCACATTCAACTAAAAAAACCCAAAACTTACAGCCTTCCTCTGAGACCATGAGCTCCTGGGAGCAGGTGCAACCTGCTTATTCAGCCACGTCGTATTCAGGTTTCATCACCAGCATCTAATACAGGGCCTGGTGCATAGTAGACATTTGTTCCTTCATCCAAAACATCTGTATTGAGTAGCTAATGTGTCCCAGGCCATATGCTGGACTAGGTATATCATGGTAAACAAAAGCATGATGATTCCTGCCCTCATGGAGCTCATAAACTAGCAGGAGAAACATATCAACCAAACAGTCACACTACATTGAACTGATATCAAAATACAACCAGGATGACTGTTATGATGGGAAGTACTCAGAGATTATAATAAAGGAAAATGAAATCAAATAAAGAGAAAATGTTTTAGGGGAAAATGTCATGTTGGGTTTCCCTGAGCAAGTGGCTATTGAGCTGAGTTCTGAAGGATGAGTGAGGAAGAATGTTCCAGGAGAGTAGCACCTGAGGCAAAGGTTTTTTGAGTGGGAGAGAGGATGGCCTAAGTGTTCTGAGACAGTTATGGAAAACAGAGCAGAGAGAGCAATGAGGAGAATATGAGAACAGACAGCAGAGAGATGGCAGAGACCACACCCTGCACAAGGCCTGCAGGACCAAGAATTTTCTTCTTTATCCTGAGGGCACTGGGAAATGCAAAAATAATCAATTTATGTTTCAAGATGATTTCTCTCCTATAGTGTGGACAGAGACAAGACGGATGGCTAATGAGGTGGTACACTAGGATATGATACTTGTCCTGAACCTGCCTTTGTCCAACAAGTTCAAAGGTTCTAAGGCTGGTTTGAGGAGTTGAAAGACCAGTATAGAAAGCAGTGAATGAGAGAGTGGGCAGAATACACTAGAGTAGGTAGCAAAGCAAGAAGACCCCAGATCATCCTGGGCCTTGTAAACCATATTATGGACTTTAGATTTTACCGTAATTGCAGAAGAACGTTAACATCAACTCTGATATACCTATAGTCTCTTAGTTTAATCTAGAGACCAGTGGGGTGGAGGGCAGGGGTTTTCAAGAAAATACTGCCTAACAAATTTTCTCTCATCTCTTTATACATAATGGTTCTTGGACTTGGAAAAAAGGCAGGGAGACCTCACTGTTTTACTGGTTCATCTGACATCAAAATCTTGATAGCACCTATTTTAAACAAGCTCATCTATGGAGTCTCTAAAGAAAACTTTTCTATACCTGTTTCAAATGATGTCCCAAAGCAGCCTAGATCCTGGAATTTTTATTAACATCTACAATAATTTTTAGATAGCACATCCCCTGCTAATAAAACTCCTCTCCAAACTTGGCCCCAGAAACAAACCACATCATTAGTCAGGCAAGATTTCCAAAATGCCCACTCTGTACAGAGCACACATTTTGTCTCTCGAGTCAGGTAAATAAGCTATATTGCTCACACATTGCTAAAACTCAAATCCACACAGGCAATGAGCATAACAATAGAATTTGCCTGCCTTTCCCACTGCTGTTTTGAGGGAAAATAAGATTGATTTGCCATAGAGGGTCTACTTTTCATTCAGAGGGTACTCTATGGGTCAAAGAAAATATTTCATTACACTATCATGTCCTCAAGATCATTCTGTGTTTCTGATTACAACAGTCTTTCCTGATGTGTAGCAGGAATTCTGTAAGTTTTCCCTTGGGAAGACTCTTCACAGCAGCCACTGGCTCTCTTACTGACTCAAAGGGAATCTTGCTGTTGATTTTTATGGCTACAAAAAACTTGACATAACCTTCCTACTTCAGCTCTGCTCTGACATGTTGACAGATTCATTAGCTGGACATGCCAAATTATCATAATTTAGGAAGCATAAAATATATGCCTAAATGAAGGCAAAGCCAACTAAAAATAGCCTTCTAATCAGCTTTTAGAGGGGGTGTGGGTCAAAAGATCAGCAAACCTGCTAATGATTCACGTTTCAACATCTTGCCAACAAGATACTTTAATTGACCAGTTTCCAGCTGTTCTGCCCAGCAAACACTGCATGTGGTTCTAAAGAATAGAACTGAATCTCAGCCACGGCCCTGCATACTTAAGATTAGGAGACAGCTCTGCATGCACCTCCTCTTGATGCAAAAAAATTTAGACCCCCTACAGAATCCTATATGGAAGGAAGAGCTGGAAAAAAAAATGTGTTCACGGCCTGACGAGCAGGTAGCAAAATATTGATTTTAGCTTCTTAAAACAAGTAAAATATGTGGGCTTGGGAAAGAACTACATGTGGGAGAGGGAATCATATCTCATAAGATGAGAGGTGATAAAAGGAAAGCAAATTGAGAGAGGGAAAAGGCCAGCAGCTTCCTCACTGCAAGCTCTGAGGCTGTCAGGTGTCGTGGTTTAGCTGAGTTGGGTGGGAAGTTTCTTGGGGCTGTAGCTAGGAATCTCACAGCGCTGAGAGCTTCCTGTTCCCAGGTGCATATTAGAGATAAGCATGTGGCCCAGCAAGCAACCAAGGTGCCTGGAATCTCCTGGCGCCCTGTGTTCTAATACTGGTCTTCGTGTTCTCTGTGTTTCAGATCGTATAAAAGAGGCACGAAATCTGCTGATCTCAGTAGAAAGCCCCTGAAAGGAAAATGGGACCTAATGAAAATCTGTGCTCTCTGCAAAAGGCGCAGCCTGCTGGAGGTGGGAGGAGCCTTGGACTGAGACCTTGGGATGACAGTGAATTATTTAGCTTCTCTGAGCCTCAGGCATTACTCTTAAGGTAGGGGCAATGATGCCTGCTCTGGGCTACTGCGAAAAACAGAAGGTATGAAAGTGCTTTGAAAATGTGATGTGCCATAAAGAGAAGACATGATTAACGTGAGCCTGGCACTGTGTACTTGGTGGAACTTCAAGAAGGACAAATGAATCAAATAACAAGAGACCAGCCTTTGCAAGCATTCACCCAAGGTGGTAAATGGAGAGTTAACCTAACAGCTTTCAATATGGCCTCTGGCTGCTTAGAGAACAAACTGTTGTTGGACATAACTGAATATTTATGGGCAGGGCACTCCTGATTCTTCCCACAGTCCAAATATCCTCCAGTAAGGAAGAGACCTCAGGAGAGTTGTATCTCTAAGGAGGTCTTATGTTTGATAGATTTATTGGTTCGTTGGTTGTTGTGTGTTTGTTTTTAACATTAAAGAAAGGTGATCACAGACTTTCCATAGAACAGCTTCTCAAACTGGAATGGGCACACGAATTACCCAGAGAACTTGTTAAAATATAGATTCTGATTCTGCAGGTCTGGGGTGGGGCTGACATTCTATCTTTCTGACAAGCTCCAGGGTGATGACCATTCTGCAGGTCCACAGACTATGCTTGAAGTAGCTCAACTGTAAAAGGACATTTGAGAGAAGCCTAGAATAATCTAAGATATTGAGTAGTTTAAGAATAGAAAGGACCGTAATTTAAAACTCTAAATCTCTGTATGAAGACAGTGAGCCCTAGGATTAGCTGACTTGTTCAGCATCAGCAGATCTTTCACTGCCCACAAAATCAGCCCTCCACCAGTCTTTCTATCATGCACACGGCCCTTTTTCCCTCAGCCTTATTTCCCTGTCTTTCTTTCTGCTCCTCTTGAAAGTAAAGGAGGGAGGAAGGAAGAAATTAATATGAATGTGGCACATAAAATATATCCTAGCTATGAATTATGGAAAATCTCTTACCTAAGGAGATAAAGGAAGCAAAGAGGATAAGTTTCTGGGGGGAGGGGGGTAGCTAACCACATCCCAGTACTTAATGTCCCACAGTGGTATTCAACTTAATGTGATGAGTGCTTTGTTTCTAAGGGTAGTCTCTGGTGCCTATGCACAGACCAGTAGACAAAGCTAAACCCCCATTTTAGTCTGCATTACCTATAAGAGGGCATATTTCCCGAAGCACCAGATACCTAACTCACTCGTCTCATTAGGGCCCTCAGAAGAAAAATCTCTAAATCCAAGGAAGGGGGAAATAAAAGTAAAACATTTGAAACTGAAGATTATCTCCTTCTATTCTTGGACTATCTTCTAAAAGGGAAACGAGGGAAAAGTACAATTGAACTTCAGCTCTGCTCCCAATCACACAAATTTATGTCATGTTTTAAAAGCTTCATTAAAGTTTCAGTTTCTTTTGATGCCAATTCTCTAACCAGAAGCATTAAATTGGGAATCATTTATTTGCATTATCTCTTTCTGTCTCACGGGGTTTCACTTAAGAATATGAACTAAACCAAAGGGAAGGAAACTGAAAAAGTAAAAAGAATTGCTTTTGAAAAAAACTATTAAAACTCGGCAAATACTCCAGGATAAACACACGATTTGCTGTTTTAGAGATTTGCTACGTTTCCGCCCACAATTTGACTGCAAATGGAGTATTTGAGAAAAAGTTTGGCTCCAAATAAGGTTTAACACATACAAGGAAATATTTGTTCCCTAGTGCTTCTATTATGCCAGTAAATATTGAATAGCAATGGGTACACTTCACACCATGAAAATTTTCCACTTCAGTCAGCACTGTACTCAGGGCCTTTCCCAGTTTCAGCATTAAAGTTTCACAAGAAAATGTGCCAACAATGATTGTGCTGCTGGAACTCCACAGAACTCTCCTAGGTTATTTGTATTTCATTATTAATATGTATTTGTAAACACCCTTGCTAAGATCAGAGCCCTAGCATAATTAAGATCAAAATACCCTAGCCTTATTTGGGCACAACCCCCTTTCACTGGGGACTTTCTACACAAGATAAATAATGAGATAGATTTAAGGGTTCAGAATGTTTTTGTTAGACCTAAACAGCTTCTTTCAGTTTGCTGAGGTGCCATTAACTAAATAACCACCTACAGAGATCAGTGTGATACCTACGAGCCCACAGCATTAATGTAACCTTAAAGATTTACCCTCCTCCCCAGAAGTGGGATTTCTTATTTATTAGTTCTTATAATAAATAAAAAATTGCACTGGTCACAACATTTATTCAACAGATTAAGAAACAATGTTAGATCATATATAGAGAGTGAAATCAGAAGAGATGTGCATTCGTATTGCAATACAGATACGTAGTCATTAAGTCTTATTTCTCCATGGGTTACCAGGCACCCTAGGAGACTAAAGAGGTGTGCGAAGAGGAGAGGGAAGTATGGTAGGTACGAGCCCTCATGATAGAAGACATTCAGGCTGTGCACCCAAATGAACCTTCCTATTAGCAGTCACTGGCTTGGAGCCCATCAACCAGTTTCTGCTACATCTTCACCCACGTATCTAATCATTCTCATACATCTTCTCATCTTCTGTCCTCTCTGCCGAACTCTTCTTCTGGGCACATTTGACAAAACACATTTAACACCCGACAAAACACATTTAACAGCCCTAATAATCCAAAGAAATGAAAAAAAGCATTGGGATTGGTAGACACAATAAGCAGAAAGTTGAGGTCATCTCAGGGTATTTGGAGGATGTAAAGGGCTGTAACAAATAGAAAAACAAGAATGATAGAAATTTTCCAGGAACTACTGGCTACTGTGTGCCACAGTACAAATGGGGCAGCACTTCTTTCCAAGTTGTGAAACTAGGACAAGAAAAGAACTAAAGTGAAAAAAAATTTTCTTCCTATATTGAGTAACTGCCACCCAAAAATTGCTAAAGTAGCCTCGTAATGTCCTGAGTGACAAATAGACATCACCTAGATCTGTAAAAAGATAGGGCAGGTCAATGGACATATATACCTTATCTAAGAATCTACTAGTTGAAAAAAGGAAGACACAATATCTTGAAGACATCAGCTTTTCTCAAATTAATCTTTAGGTTCTATATGATTCTAATTGAAACATCAACAGAGTTATTCATGAAATATGACAGACCATTATAAAATGTATATAAAAGTATAAACATTAAAGAATAGCTCTGAATGTCATGAAGAAGAATGAAGTGGAGGAATTGTTTTAGACAGAAAAGCTTAACATAAAGCCATAGTAATAAAAACAATGTGGTACTGCTGCTGTAGGGATGACAAATAGACCAATAAAATAGAATAAAGAGTACATAAACACCCAGAACATATGAAAACAACATCTAATAATGATAGTCAATATTAAAGTATATTTATCCAATAACATAATGCTAAAGAGCATAAACTCTGGAACCAGAATGTCTTTGTACAAATCTCAGTTCTGCTACTCACTAGCCATGCCTCAGTTTGCTCATCTGCAAAATAATATGAAAATAATTTGTATCTCATAAATAAAATACCTCCTAGTATTCAAACCCTTGTGAGGTGCCCTTCTGCATGGAATCATGGCTATCCTTTTGTGATCCCTAGAATACTGAGGAAGTGATAATGTGTGACTTTCAAGATGAGGCACAATGAGCATTGAAGGTTCTATCATGACTTCTTGGATCAGTCTCTCTGGGGTAGCCAGCCATATTGTAAAGACACTCAAGTAGCCCGTGGAGAGGCCTAGTGGAGAGAAACAGAGGCCCCTATCCAATAGCCAGCAAACCTTGACACACATGTAAGCAAGCCACCTTGAAAGCGGAACTTCCATCTTCAACCTTGGTTTCAAATGGCTACAGCAATAATTTCAGCAAAGGTCTAATCAAGTTTCCGGTACTTTGCACGCACTGGATAAATTAGAAATTCTGTTAATATTGTCATTGGACAATACTGGAGATTCAGCAGAAGGTCCTGGTACAGAGAGCCCTATTCTGTGCCCACAAGGACAGTGTGTATATTATCTTTGCTTTCCCAGGGCCCAGTAGGAGTTCAATAAAATATGTTTTTTGAATGCCAATTATATGCCAAGCACTGTTCTAGGCAGTGAATGAATGAATAAATGCCTAAAAAACTTTCCAACTATTCCATCACAGCAATGCATAGCACAATGAATAAAATCTTAGCATAGAAAAAAGGAAAAAATCAGGAACTTAGACAAATAATCTTTTAGACCAGGCCAAATTCCCTAAATTCCATTAGAGAGACTAACTCACCTAGTCTGGCTGAGAACTTTGTTCTTTTTATTTATACCATTGAAATACTCAGAAGGAAGACACATCATAAGAAGAAGATTAGCAGAAAACTTAAATAATGAAATCTTTACATAGTTCTTGTATATTTCACCCAGCTTTTAAACTTTTATCTCTACAGGTTGATTTAAGTTGCATTGAATTTAAAAAAAACAAAGTTTATGGATCTCTCTCTCTCTTTCTATATACATATATTTTAATCATATTGAAATATGTATCTCTGGTTTTCTTAATTTAATCAGTCCATCTGGAGGCAAAAGAAAGTTGTTTCTTTAAACAACTTAGAAGATATTTTTGGACACTATTTTGAAAGTGGATGGCTTTGAAATTATGCAAATATTTTTATTCTGACATGAAGATAATTTTTTTCTAGTTATAGGTGGTCCTCACATTGCATATTTCTAATATGTAGGAAATTTATTTACTATGGTTTAGCTAAATAATACCATATCCCAATAACACAGTTCAAATTTTAAACACAGCATATTACCTGTGAGTACAGTAATTATATAAAGTACAAACTTCACTGCTAACTCTTCAGTCCACAAACATAAAACCCAATGCACATCGTGATAGATGACTGACTACACCAATTCTTTCACAGTCTGTCAGTTATTCATCGAGCACCATCTGTATTCATTTCACACACAGACAGGAAAGCATGTAGTTGTGTTGCCTCCTTGTCTACAAGTGATAAAACCATAGGACATTTTACAAAAATTTATAATCAAAAGAGAGAATTGACTAACAAAGATTAAAATGCAGCAAAAATACAAAAAGTGAAGTAAAATTATATGCTAGATTTGAAAATGTTAGTGAAGATAGGACAAGACCTAGGCCTGAAAGATGATATGGTATGGTATGACCCATAATGAAAAAGTCCAGTGAATAGAAAAACAAAGTCGAGTTGCTCCAACATTTTTTAGTTTAAATTGCACAATGAATAGAAAGTCACTTATTGTTGAAATGGAGCATTTACTTATATTTTGGGTTGAAGACTGAAATCAAAAAGAAATCCTAATCAGTGTGGCTAGCATTGAGGTCAAAACGATGAGGTGAAAGGAAACCATAATTATGAAAGAAAGAAACAGGAAAGAAAACTATAATTAAGAAGAATTAAGCAAGACCTTTTACTGCCAGAAAAGGCTACTTTCATTGTTTTGTAAATCTTCACAAATTTATTAATGGTAAGCTATCTGGTGAACCTGTAGCTCAGATAAAGATACTGCTGTGAAATTTACACCCAGATTCCAAAGAGATATAGAAAAAAAATAGCTGACCATGGAAATGTTGACACTACAGCCATTCAAGAGACTCTTAGATATTCAGCAAAAGAAACTTACTGAGGGCAAATTTATCAACATAAATGAGGTATGTGATTGGGATGAAAAGGGTGACAGTGTCCCAGAGGAATTGATGCCAACAAAAAAGGGCACGTTAAAATAACTATCAGAGATATTTTACAACATTGAAAGTGCACAGGATAAAATGTTAAAAGCTTATCCAAACTTAGAAAGGAGTATGAAAATTTTCCAAGGCATGGAAAAGATGCTCATTCCATATCATAAGTTATATAATAAGCAGAAGGCAAGCACTATTCAAACTATGCCTGAAAAATTATTTGCAAAGAACTAAAACACTTTAATTCTCAATGCTTCTAATGTTGTAAATTACAACATCCTAAGTGAATATTGGTGTTATTATTCTTTCATTTCCCTATACATTTATAACCAACAATGTCTTTAATGTTGTGACAAAAAGAAAGTTTTTATGTCATGTAAGTTTTCCCATTGATTATTAATATCACTTCTTACCATTTTATCTTGCACAATCATTTTTACTGTCCTGAACTACCAAAGTGAAGATTGGCAAAGTGAAGATTGCCTGCATTTGGTAAAGCAGTCATGATGAAAGAGAAAAGGGCTGGGCACAGTGGCTCACACCTGTAATCCCAGCACTCTGGAAGGCTGAGACGGGCAGATCACCTTAAGTCAGGAGTTTGAGGCCAGCCTGGCCAACATGTTGAAAACCCGCCTCTACTAAAAAAACAAAAATTAGTCAGGCACAGTGGAGCACACCCGTAATCCCAGCTACTCAGGATACTGAAGCAGGAGAATTGCTTGAACCTGGAAGGCGGAGATGGCAGCGAGCCGAGATCGCACCACTGTACTCCAGCCTGGGCAACAGGGCAAAAAAAAAAAAAAAAAAAAAAGCAGAAGCAGAAGAAGAAAGAAAAAAGAACATATGTGTAATATATGACTGATGTGTTGTATTCCAGTGTCTAACAGTATAGTTAAAACAAATTTTAATCACCTTGACTAGCTAGATGTTTAAACTTAGAATTTTAGGATAAAATGGAAAAACTACTTCTGCCTTTTCCCAAATATGAGAGGAAATTTGCTTTTTTGATTTGTATACCCAAGAGTAGAAAAAGCTCTAGAATAAGTTTCAAGAAGCCTGAGTTCAAAACTGGGCTCCCTCACAACCGAAGTCAAATCCTTCTTTCATTCTACAAACATTTACTGCCAGATGCCCTGTTTTGTGTTGAGGATACAGAACTGAATATGATGTGGAATTTGTCCTCAAAGAACTTGTATCCTATTAGGAGAGAAAAAACAGAAACAGCTACAGTACATTTCTCATCTATAAATCAGATCTAATAATGCCTATCTCCCAGGGTACTGTGAGGATAAAATGAAACTGTATGGAAAACCATTTTGCTATCAAGTAGTATACCAGTACCAGCTAGTAATATTGTCATTGTGGCACCTGACAAAAATTAGACCAGCTTACTCTTATCCAGTGGTTCTCACAGTATAGTCTTCAAAACAGCAGCATCAGCATCACCTGGAATCATGTCCAAAATGCATATTCCTGAGCCTCACCCCAATGTAGTGAATCAGAAACTGGAGGCTGGGCTCAGAAATCTGTGTCTTAAGCCCTCCATGTGATTCTGATGCAACTAAAGTTTGAAAGCCACTGCTGAGTCTTATCTATATAAGATAAAAACACAGGTACTGTGAATCCTAGTACATACAAAACACTCCCTCTCAATTATCAATGAGGAAATTAAAGCAGAATATAACCAAGTCTTCTAATTGGCCAGAAAAAAATAGCATCATAATGAATCAAAGGTTATAAAAATCCTCATGTTCTAATCTAGTCCATGGTCATCCTGCTTCAGAAGTCCTCCCACTAAGATGAAAATCAGAGTAGAGCCCCTGCCCATAATAATTTCACTGATGGTGTAGGCTATGTTTTGAGTCTGAGTTTAAAGTAAACATTACAAATTACAGAAATCCAAGTAAGCTTTTTGTTAAAAAAAAAAAAAAGTAAAAGACTATATTATTTCAACTAGATGATCATGACTAACTCAATTTGAAAATTCATCTTAGAGAATTTCATGTACTCTTCCATGGCACCTTCAGGTAAATACCCTCAATGTTAATAAAGCTTTATTGTTTGAGAAAGAAAGTTATTTCTTACACTTTCAAGAACAATTTGGGGGAGGTAGATTCAAGATGGCCGAATAGGAACAGCTCCAGTCTACTGCTCCCAGTGTGAGTGACGCAGAAGACAGGTGATTTCTGCATTTCCAGCTGAGGTACCAGGTTCATCTCACTGGGGAGTGCCAGATAGTGGGTGCAGGACAGTGGGTGCAGCACACCGTGCATGAGCTGAAGCAGGGCAAGGCATCGCCTCACCCGGGAAGCGCAAGGGGTCAGGGAATTCCCTTTCCTAGTCAAAGAAAGGGGTGACAGATGGCACCTGGAAAATAGGGTCACTCCCATCCTAATACTGAGCTTTTCCAATGGGCTTATCAAACGGCACACCAGGAGATTATATCCCACACCTGGCTCGGAGGGTCCTATGCCCACAGAGCCTCACTCATTGCTAGCACAGCAGTCTGAGATCAAACCGCAAGGTGGCAGTGAGGCTGGGGGAGGGGCGCCTGCCATTACTCAGGCTCGAATAGGTAAACAAAGTGGCCAGGAAGCTTGAACTGGGTGGAGCCCACCACAGCTCAAGGAGGCCTGCCTGCCCCTATAGGCTCCACCTCTGGGGGCAGGGCACAGAAAAACAAAAGACAGCAATAACTTCTGCAGAATTAAATGTCCCTATCTGACAGCTTTGAAGAGAGTAGTGGTTCTCCCAGCACGCAGCATGAGATCTGAGAACGGGCAGACTGCCTCCTCAAGTGGGTCCCTGACCACCGAGTAGCCTAACTGGGAGGCACCCCCCAGTAGGGGCAGACTGACACCTCACACGGTCGGGTACTCCTCTGAGACAAAACACTCCTCTGAGACAAAACGTCCAGAGGAACCATCAGGCAGGAGAATTTGCGATTCACCAATATCTGCTGTTCTGCAGCCACCGCTGCTGATACCCAGGCAAACAGGGTCTGGAGTGGACCTCCAGTAAACTCCAGCAGACCTTCAGCTGAGGGTCCTGACTGTTAAAAGGAAAACTAACAAACAGAAAGGACATCCACACCAAAAACCCATCTGTACATCACCATCATCAAAGACCAAAGGTAGATAAAACCACAAAGATGGGGAAAAAACAGAGCAGAAAAACCAGAAACTCTAAAACTCAGAGCGCCTCTCCTCCTCCAAAGGAACGCAGCTCCTCACCATCAATGGAACAAAGCTGGATGGAGAATGACTTTGACGAGTTGAGAGAGGAAGGCTTCAGAAGATCAAACTACTCCAAGCTAAAGGAGGAAGTTTGAACCAATGGCAAAGAAGTTAAAAACTTTGAAAAAAAATTAGACAAATGGATAACTAGAATAACCAATGCAGAGAAGTCCTTAAAGGACCTGATGGAGCTGAAAACCATGGCACGAGAACTACATGGCAAATGCACAAGCCTCAGTAACCGATGCGATCAACTGGAAGAAAGGGTAACAGCAATGGAAGATGAAATGAATGAAATGAAGCGTGAAGAGAAGTTTAGAGAAAAAAGAATAAAAAGAAATGAACAAAGCCTCCAAGAAATATGGGACTATGTGAAAAGACCAAATCTACGTCTAATTGGTGTACCTGAAAGTGATGGGGAGAATGGAACCAAGTTGGAAAACACTCTGCAGGATATTATCCAGGAGAACTTCCCCAACCTAGCAAGGCAGGCAAACATTCAAATTCAGGAAATACAGAGAACACCACAAAGATACTCCTTGAGAAGAGCAACTCCAAGACACATAATTGTCAGATTCACCAAAGTTGAAATGAAGGAAAAAATGTTAAGGGCAGCCAGAGAGAAAGGTCAGGTTACCCACAAAGGGAAGCCCATCAGACTAGCTGTTGATCTCTTGGCAGAAACTCTACAAGCCAGAAGAGAATGGGGGCCAATACTCAACATTCTTAAAGAAAAGAATTTTCAACCCAGAATTTCATATCCACCCAAACTAAGCTTCATAAGAGAATGAGAAATAAAATACTTCACAGACAAGCAAATGCTGAGAGATTTTGTCACCACCAGGCCTGCCCTGAAAGAGCTCCTGAAGGAAGCACTAAACATGGAAAGGAACAACCGGTACCAGCCACTGCAAAAACATGCCAAATTGTAAAGACCATCAAGGCTAAGAAGAAACTGCATCAACTATTGAGCAAAATAACCAGATAACATCATAATGACAGGATCAAATTCACACATAACAATACTAACTTTAAATGTAAATGGGCTAAATGCTCCAATTAAAAGGCACAGACTGGCAAATTGGATAAAGAGTCAAGATCCATCAGTGTGCTGTATTCAGGAAACCCATCTCACGTGCAGAGACACACATAGGCTCAAAATAAAGGGATGGAGGAAGATCTACCAAGCAAACGGAAAACAACAAAAGGCAGGGGTTGCAATCGTAGTCTCTGATAAAACAGACTTTAAACCAACAAAGATCAAAAGAGACAAAGAAGGCCATTACATAATGGTAAAGGGATCAATTCAACAAGAAGAACTAACTATCCTAAATATACATGCACCCAATACAGGAGCACCCAGATTCATAAAGCAAGTCCTTAGTGACTTATAAAGTGACTTAGACTCCCACACAATAATAATGGGAGACTTTAACACCCCACTGTCAACATTAGACAGATCAACGAGACAGAAAGTTAACAAGGATATCCAGGAATTGAACTCAGCTCTGCACCAAGCAGACCTAACAGACATTTACAGAACTCTCCACCCCAAATCAACAGAATATACATTCTTTTCAGCACCACACCACACCTATTCCAAAACTGACCACATAGTTGGAAGTAAAGCACTCCTCAGCAAATGTAAAAGAACAGAAATTATAACAAACTGTCTCTCAGACCACAGTGCAATCAAACTAGAACTCAGGATTAAGAAACTCACTCAAAACCGCTCAACTACATGGAAACTGAACAACCTGCTCCTGAATTACTACTGGGTACATAACGAAATGAAGGCAGAAATAAAGATGTTCTTTGAAACCAATGAGAACAAAGACACAACATACCAGAATCTCTGGGACGCATTCAAAGCAGTGTGTAGAGGGAAATTTATAGCACTAAATGCCTGCAAGAGAAAGTAGGAAAGATCTAAAATTGACACCCTAACATCACAATTAAAAGAACTAGAGAAGCAAGAGCAAACACATTCAAAAGCTAGCAGAAGGCAAGAAACAACTAAAATCAGAGCAGAACTGAAGGAGATAGAGACACAAAAAACCCTTCAAAAAATCAATGAATCCAGGAGCTGGTTTTTGGAAAAGATCAACAAAATTGATAGACCTCTAGCAAGACTAATAAAGAAGAAAAGAGAGAAGAATCAAATAGATGCAATAAAAAATGACAATGGGGATATCACCACTGATCCCACAGAAATACAAACTACCATCAGAGATTACTATAAACAGCTCTACGCAAATAAACTGGAAAATCTAGAAGAAACGGATAAATTCCTCGACACATACACCCTCCCAAGACTAAACCAGGAGGAAATTGAATCTCTGAATAGACCAATAACAGGCTCTGAAATTGAGGCAATAATTAATAGCTTACCAACCAAAAAAAGCCCAGGACCAGATGGATTCACAGCCGAATTCTACCAGAGGTACAAGGAGGAGCTGGTTCCATTCCTTCTGAAACTATTCCAATCAATAGAAAGAGAGGGAATCCTCCCTAACTCATTTTATGAGGCCAGCATCATCCTGATACCAAAGCCTGGCAGAGACACAACAAAAAAAAAGAGAATTTTAGACCAATATCCTTGATGAACATCGATGCAAAAATCCTCAATAAAATACTGGCAAACCGAATCCAGCAACACATCAAAAAGCTTATCCACCATGATCAAGTGGGCTTCATACCTGGGAAGCAAGGGTGGTTCAACATATGAAAATCAATAAACGTAATCTAGCATATAAACAGAACCAAAAACAAAAACCACATGATTATCTCAATAGATGCAGAAAAGGCCTTTGACAAAATTCAACAACCCTTCATGCTAAAAACTCTCAATAAATTAGGTATTGATGGGACATATCTCAAAATAATAAGAGCTATCTATGACAAACCCACAGCCAATATCATACTGAATGGGCAAAAACTGGAAGCATTCCCTTTGAAAACTGGCACAAGACAGGGATGCCCTCTCTCACCACTCCTATTCAACATAGTGTTGGAAGTTCTGGCCAGGGCAATCAGGCAGGAGAAGGAAATAAAGGGCATTCAACTGGGAAAAGAGGAAGTCAAATTGTCCCTGTTTGCAGATGACATGATTGTATATCTAGAAAACCCCATCGTCTCAGCCCAAAATCTCCTTAAGCTGATAAGCAACTTCAGCAAAGTCTCAGGATGCAAAATCAATGTGCAAAAATCACAAGCATTCTTATACACCAATAACAGACAAACTGAGAGCCAAATCATGAGTGAACTCCCATTCACAGTTGCTTCAAAGAGAATAAAATACCTAGGAATCCAACTTACAAGGGATGTGAAGGACCTCTTCAAGGAGAGCTACAAACCACTGCTCAAGGAAATAAAAGAGGATACAAACAAATGGAAGAACATTCCATGCTCGTGGGTAAGAAGAATCAATATCGTGAAAATGGCCATACTGCCCAAGGTAATTTATAGATTCAATGCCATCCCCATCAAGCTACCAATGACTTTCTTCACAGAATTGGAAAAAACTACTTTAAAGTTCATATGGAACCAAAAAACAGCCCGCATTGCCAAGTCAATCCTAAGCCAAAGGAACAAAGCTGGAGGCATCACGCTACCTGACTTCAAACTATACTACAAGACTACAGTAACCAAAACAGCATGGTACTGGTACCAAAACAGAGATATAGACCAATGGAACAGAACAGAGCACTTGGAAATAATATCACACACCAACAACCATCTGATCTTTGACAAACCTGACAAAAACACGAAATGGGGAAAGGATTCCCTATTTAATAAATGGTGCTGCGAAAACTGGCTAGCCATATGTAGAAAGCTGAAACTGGATCCCTTCCTTACACCTTATACAAAAATCAATTCAAGATGGATTAAAGACTTACATGTTAGACCTAAAACCATAAAAACCCTAGAAGAAAACCTAGGCAATACCATTCAGGACATAGGCATGGGCAAGGATTTCATGTCCAAAACACCAAAAGCAATGGCAACAAAAGCCAAAATGGACAAATGGGATCTAATTAAACTAAAGAGCTTCTGCACAGCAAAAGAAACTACCATCAGAGTGAACAGGCAACCTACAGAATGGGAGAAAATTTTCACAACCTACTCATCTGACAAAGGGCTAATATCCAGAATCTACAATGAACTCAAACAAGTTTACAAGAAAAAAACAAACAACCCCATCAAAAAGTGGGCAAAGCATATGAACAGACACTTCTCAAAAGAAGACATTTATGCAGCCAAAAAACACATGAAAAAATGCTCATCATCACTGGCCATCAGAGAAATGCAAATCAAAACCACAATGAGATACCATCTCACACCAGTTAGAATGGCGATCATTAAAAAGTCAGAAAACAACAGGTGCTGGAGAGGATGTGGAGACATAGGAACACTTTTACACTGTTGGTGGGACTGTAAACTAGTTCAACCATTGTGGAAGTCAGTGTGGCGATTCCTCAGGGATCTAGAACTAGAAATACCATTTGACCCAGCCATCACATTACTGGCTATATACCCAAAGGATTATAAATCATGCTGCTATAAAGACACATGCACACATATGTTTATTGCAGCACTATTCACAATAGCAAAGACTGGGAACCAACCCAAATGTCCAACAATGAAAGACTGGATTAAGAAAATGTGGCACATATACACCATGGAATACTATGCAGCCATAAAAAATGATGAGTTCACGTCCTTTGTAGGGACATGGATGAAGCTGGAAACCATCATTCTCAGCAAACTATTGCAAGGACAAAAAACCAAACACTGCATGTTCTCACTTATAGGTGAGAATTGAACAATGAGAACACATGGACACAGGAAGGGGAACATCACACACCGCGGCCTGTTGTGGGGTGGGGGGAGGGGGGAGTGGTAGCATTAGGAGATATACCTAATGCTAAATGATGAGTTAATGGGTGCAGCACACCAACATGGCACATGTATACATATGTAACAAACCTGCACGTTGTGCACATGTACCCTAAAACTTAAAGTATAATAATAATTAAAAAAAAGAACGATTTGGGATAATGCAACAAGTTAATTGCCATATTTTGAAAATTTTTTTATTTTTTATTTTTAAGTTCTGGGATACATGTGCTGAACATGCAGGTTTGTTAAATAGGTATACACGTGCCATGGTGTTTTGCTTCACCTATCAACCTGTCATCTAGGTTTTAAGCCCTGCATGCATTATCAATTCCATTGGTTTCATAAATCAATATTTTCCTAGACAAAATATTGAAAATTAACAAAGCTATCTTCATTTTCACATGCATCCACTGATTATCACCTAGGGAATAATGTAGTGTAGCTCAACTGTTTATGACAAAGCCACCCAGAAACAACACAGGGCTTAGAATATAATAAGCACTCAAAAACATTTTTGAGTGAATGGATCTTCAGTGTTGACACATGAATAATAACGGTTCCCATTTTTTTAGTAACTACCATACATCATAACCAATACTCACAAAATCTCTGTGAAATACACACTAATGTTTCCATTATACAGATGAGAAAGCAGAGGCTCACATAGGCCTTTTTTAAAGTCAATGTTATTCATTTAGTGAATGGCAAGTTAAAAATTTGAACAGCGGTCCCTCTGACTCACAAGTCCTTTCATTGATGAGGATACACTGAAGGACCAGCCACTGTGACTTTCTTTATCCATGAAAGACAGCACATTATGTGTGCCAGGGTAAATTATCTCACAAGCCAAAATAAAGAAATCCACGTTGGTCTTAGAGAATGTCTGTTGTTGGTTTAAATGACTGTATGAGAATCTGGCAGCTTCCTTTGCTTTCTGAGCTACTTATCATTGCAATTTCAGTTGAAGTATTCATTTCCCTGTTAATAGAATTTACCCCTGTTATTGATGAATTTATTTAGAATAGTAGGATTCCTGGAGTACATGAAGGCTTTTTGCCACTAAAAATTACCTGGCCCAGGACCACAAATTGGTTCCTTTATTTTATTTTTAACAGAAGCACAGGTGCTAATTAGGTGCTCTTTCAAGCTGCCAGAATAAGATTCTGAGGTCCCCAACTGCTGTCAGTCTCATCATCATTAGCCCTGAAGTGGTCCTCTATGAGGAACTTTCCACACTTGACATGTCCCTGCTCTTTGCAAATTATTTTAAATGACTTCTTAATTAGAAGTACTATGTTGCCCATTGCTAATGGAGCAGGCCTGAAGCTGCAGAGTGGTCAGGAAATAGCGATAGTTCTGATTCCCCTCTTTTTCCTCTGAGGACCTCTGTTTTTCACTGAAGTAATTGTGTCTACGCTTTAGACAGTGCTGTGTATTTTCCCAAAAAGAAACGTGAAGTCTTTATCTCTGGGTTGCAGATTTTTGTAGGCATCATAAAAGCCAGATCTAGTTAAACTTATTTTAATTTTTTTCCCTTCACCAGTGACTTTTGAAAGACATGGAGAGGAGATTATTTCTTTCAGGAAAAATTATGTGTGTAGTCTGTGTCTCCAACCCAGGTAATGATTCCTATATGTTTTACAAAGATATTGAGCAGTCTGCCAAAGGAAGTGTCCTCTTATTAGGAAGACCTGTCGGCAAGAGCTCAGTGAGGCGGCACAGTCAAATTCAAAGAAATCCATTTTGCCCATACCGGTTAGGAAAACATATAATACTACCTCCTTTTACAAAGAATTTGTTTTGCTTTTTTATTCTCATTATTATTCAAAATTTTGCTTAATAATTCTTAAGTAAATAAAAAGAGAAAAATCATTCTTCGATTTTATTTTATTTTAAAAATATGTTGTGGGCTACCTAACCATTTGACAGGGAAAACCATAACAGATGGTGATACACATTGTCATTTGGAAATTGGTAGGTAAACTCCTGAAAGCTCTCCAGCAGCCCCTCCTTGTAACCCTGGACCAAAGTCTATTCAGACCTAAGAGGATTCATCAGCCTTAATTTGTAAGTGAGGAAAGACGCTTCCAGGATTAAGCCGTGCTAAATTCCTGCCTCCTCTTCCCACAGTTGCTATGCCCATGTCTTAGTTGATGTCTGCCTGCCACAACTAGCCTGCACATCCCGTTGAGGTCAGAGAAAACTTTACTCATCTTTGTTTTACCTCTTCTTTTCATGTAACCCAACCCCACCACATCAGTGTGCTTAGTTCATGGCAAACGAATAGTTAATAAATGCTTGAAGAATGACCCGAAAATTTAAAGGTACCTGGTACGAAAAATTGATTGCTGAGTCAAATGTGCCTCACCTGTTGCTTTCAACAACGATACTAACATTTATTCAGCATTGCTACATCCTAGGCACTCTGCTAACTACCTTGTATGCATTATCATATATATTCATCATATTAAGACTATGAAAAATGTATTATGCCACCCCATCTTAGAAGAAACAGAGGCTTCCAAGGGAAGATGGCTTGCCTCACATCACATACTAAGAAGTGAGCGAGCCAGGCTTCTAGAAGGAATCACCAGAGCACTCACCGTTAATCAGAACTGGAGGTTACAACATAGCCCTTCAGGCCATATCCTCTGCCTAGAGCTAAACTTCATCCGAAAGCACATCCAGCTGAAATGCAGTCAATTATTAACTAAGCTTAAAATCTGCTGAGCTTCAGGAAAGTTGCAGAAAAACATTAGCTCTTACCAACTGGTAGCTTGTGAGTGCTTGTACTGTACCACCCATAGCCACATAGCTTTCAAGGCAGTGGTACCTAAAGGGTGGTCCCAGGATCCACTGTATCAGACCCATCGGAGCACTTGCTAAATAGAAAGATTACTAAACCTCACACCAGACTTTCTGAATCAAAAATCTCTGTAGTGAGTCCCAGGAGTGTGTAATTTTTAATAAGTTCCCCAGAGAATAGATTCTTGGGCACACTAAAGTTTCAGAACTATTGTTTCAGGGACTCAAGGCTGAGGTTTCTCTGGTACACAAAGTCAGTCTGTCTCTTTCTTTTAAATGCAGATAGTAAGATATGCATCACATCCCCAATGCAGCTTTCACCATCCATACTTTGAGAAAAAGAATGTGGCTATGACGTTTATCTGCAAGCCCCTTAATTTATAGATAAACAAACATTGAGATAAATTAAGTGATTTCCCCAAAATGAGATTTTAAGACAAGTTTCCTAATTTTCAATCTTGGCTTTTTCACAAGCTTAATTAGAATCATTAGAAGTAAGTAGTGTACCGCTGTTAGATCACACTTTGCAAAGTGTCTGGAGAAATGTCTAATAGACTGATCAGATAGGACAGGTCCTGGGAAATAAAGGGAAGAAATCATTGAGCTAAATTTAAAGCGATATGCAATCACTCTAGGAGATTTTCCACTCTCTACCCATAAATTTACTAAAACAATAAAAGGTAGAATTATGTCATCTTTTATTGCAAAGCCCTATATTTATGATTTTATGGCACAATATGGAGACAGCACATGTTATTTCAGGGCTTCTTCTGTTTTAATAACAGCATATAAAAATTATTGCTGATATTTTGATTTTGGTTTAGTTTTTATTTTTAGGGAAGACGCCACTGCAAGTTACTCTTACCGTGTGCTACTGCTCAGGTCACACTTTCTTCTTCACCTTTGGTGATGAAATATTAACTTTTACCTTTCTAAATTCCTTAAAATCTTTGTATTTACAATATAGAAAAAATCTGAAAGTAGCTAACTGCAAAGTAAGAAACTTCAAACCACAATCTCTTTCTCTCATTTCACAGAGTATGAAAGCAAGTTACATTCACTGAAGAGTTGTCCTTTCTCTGACAAGTTCAGAACAAAGCCAACAAATCGAATCTTCAGAAAAAACAAATACATTTTAAAATATCCAGATATAGTTACTTAGATGTGCAAAAATTAAACTACCTAATTCTGAAATATTATTCTCATTCTTAGTCTGTGACTTGAGTTTATAGTCAGCCTTATTTATTGGGTAAACTGAAGGAGAAGGCCAATGTTTCTAGTTACCCTGAGATCTTTAGTCTATGCATACACAATGACAAATTTTCATCATGAAAATCTTACTGGAAGTGACCATTCCAAAAACCCATCTGTTGCCTAGGATGCCTCCTTATCAGCCAAGGTCGGATATTCAAGCTTGTCCTATGGAAAAGCAGAGAGCAGAAAATGGACTGCTATCTCAAAGGTGGATATGTGAAGTTACCAGCAAATCATTGGGTAGTTTCACGGCATCAGGCACCTTGACTAGGAAAACAAGAAAATGACCAGTTAGATTCTTTGAGTTTGAAGAGATTAAGGACCCTCCCTAAAAGCTGAATTTCAGCCAACTGACAACCCTACAGCTAGGGTATAACCTATTATATTCTGTACCATGGAAGTTACAGAGATGAAACAAAAAATACTTTCTTATTGAATCCCTGTTTTAAAAGATGTGAGGGTGTAGAAAAGGGTGAATAGAGAACATAGAAAGCTAGTGATGTGGTCCAAGTCTACAACCAAAAATTGAAGTCTTACTGCTTGAGGCTTTTAGTCTGATAGCAAATTAAGCTTAGAGAGTCTTGAGATATCATGCCAAAGAAGATCAAAATGATCTTAAGCAAAGCCAAAGTTTATGTAAGTGTTCAACTTGCAAAAATACTAGCAATAAAATGTTAGTGTCAGTACCAGTCTCTGAGAAGCCAAAGTATTAGCAAATTACTCCTTAGAGAGTTTAAAATAGAATTTGGTCAGTTCTATCAATCTGGCTAAGTTTGACTTCTGGAGAGGTCAAAATAAATAGACTCAAGGGAAAAGGGCAAATTTCCCTTTCTGTACTCTATCACAAGGGAAAAATCTTGTATTAACCACATGACCACACAGACTATGGCCTTCCAGTGAAAAGAATCAGTCAACCAAGCATCTAACTGTGTATGTCTGCCCCTGTGTCTTTGTCTACATGTCGCTATCTGAATGTACATCTACATCTCCTGATCATAGGCAAGCTTTCTAAGAGGAGATAGGATGACAAAATAGAATTCTTAAACCAAGCACCAAATGGAGCAATGATGAAGAATGCAGAGATAAGTTACCACAACAAGAAATAGCAGGACATTAGGGGCTCTGGACATGGTAAAAGATGCTGACAGAAGGAAAGAACAAAAAAAAGGAAAACTTTAGCATGGATATTCTAGCCTCCCAGAATTAAAATTCTCAAAAGTTCTCATATGAAAAAAAGTTGGACCTCACATAGAAAACCAAAAATCTAGCTATGTAAAGCATTCAGCTACTAGACTGGATATTGTTTCCGTTTCTATTGACATAGACATGGGATGACTCTGAATTTGCTACCTGTACATCCATCCCAGAAAGACACATTTGTATAGGCAAAACACCCATTCCTAAAATGGCAAACACTAAACTTATAGTGAAACATGACACTTTCTTTTAATATAATCAACATATTTCATAATAACATGACTGATTTCCTTACCCGCAAAAATGATAATTATTACTCCTCCCTCCTCTCTCATTGGATGCTTTACATATGAAATTTTATCTCATACAGGAAAGCACTTTATAAAGCATAAAGTACTGTATGTGTAGAAAGTATCGTTATTAGTACTGATGAACATTGACACAAGACATCCAGGCACAACCAGACAATAGAAGTATATAATCATGCAGAGCTGATAGTAGGAGTTGGAAGAGTTAGTCCTGTGTCCTACTTCAGTTTTCGTTTTTGCTTACTATGCCTGCACAATCCACAGTCTATTCAACCATTCCTTTTAGGGGCCAGCTTTGCACTAAGCTGATCATATGTCACAATAAATTCAAAATTTCTTTTTAATCAGTGTGCTCACAAAGCATGGGCATTTCAAGAATCAGAAGTAAATTGCAATTTGGCCTGCGGACTGAGAACATAAACATTTTCATTATCCAAGAATGATTTCAATTTTCTATTGCTTTCCAAAAATTGCATGACAGTATGAGGCTATAGATTATTAGGCTATGATGCACCATATTTTTAATTAAAATTAAATTTCAGTTATCTATCAGGCAATCCAAGTGAAATGCACAGTGTAATAAATTTCAGAACTTATTCTCTCTGTCCATTAGAAAATTCCACTAAATTCCTCCATACTACATTTCTACAGCTATAGACAAATGCTTCTTAAAATCTCTTCAAAAAAATCATCATCCTAAACGATACACATATGTACATATATTTTTGTATTTTTCAAATTAACTCATTGAGGAAGAGCACAAAACATCTTTGAGATTCATTGAGAATGTTTCATGTGTTAGTAAACATAATTTAGGGACAACTGTCCAATGTGGTCAGCATATTTTTTTCACCAGCAGCAATGAAGTTTTACAGCCAATGTGATATGGTAGATAAAACAGAGGCCTGGAGGTCAGGAGAACTGGTTTCTAGAACTTGCTATACCATCGAATTCTGTGTCATTTTGGTTAAAATATACCATCACTCTGGAATTTATCCCCACTAAAATGAGGCAGGTAGACTCCATTATACAAAAAGTCCCTGTGACAATCCCTAATTTACTTCCAATAACTGTGCTTTCCTTTTTCCTTTATAGTAGAACCTCCCAGTTTTATCTAGCCTCATGGCTATTCAGAATAAAAACCTCATTTCCCATCTTTCTTTGCAAGTAGGCATGACCCTATGGGTAAGTTTAAGTCAATTCATATGAATAAAAACTTACCTATGGGTAAGTTTAAGTCAATTCATATGAATAAAAATTCATACTCATAAAGAGAAGCAGTATACCCTCCATTCCTCAATTTCCTGCCCACTTTCCACAGGCTGGAAGGCAGACCTGGAGATAAGCTCTCTTGAAGTATATGGACAAAGACTTCGTACCCTAGTGATGGCAGAGCCTGAATCCCCAGTACCATGGAGCTGCCATACAGATCCTGGCAATTAAACCTGGCCTGCAGCAAGAAAGAAAAATAAACTTCAAGTTGCTATCATTTGGAGTGTTTTGGAATTGCTAAACTTTACTTTATGCTCCCTCTCAGTTTGGAGGACAATGTCATGTAATGAAACATCATGAGATTTTGAAAAGATACAGACCTGTTTTCAATACTGAGTTTCCTGCATGACTTTAGGCAAATTCCTAAAAATCTCTGTGTTGCTATTGTCTCATTCCAGATCATGTAAAGAAATTGAGCATATTAGATCGCACAGTAGTTGGTAAGTGACCAATGGTAGTGGTAGTGGTTACTATGAGTGTTTATTAAATGATATGACATGATAATTCTTAGAAGAACCTGGTGCCATTCAGTTTTGTCATTATTTTAGGATAATTTATAGCTCTCAAGGCACTAAACTATCACCACTTACTGAACTGGGTATTTAATCATTCTCTAAGACTTTGAGAATTCTGAATGTGTTTTAAATACAAACTCCTTTGCCCATATTCCAGACTCTATCTTATCATCAGTGGGAAGTGTTTTGATCCAGTGTAGATTAGAAGACCAGAGTCTCCGAGTTTTAATTCCCTGTCTGCTCATAACTTTTGAACAGCCATTGAGTTTGCACCCTGCCTGGGATTATGAAACAAAGCTAGGTATTTTTGCAAAACTCGATACTTGAAATTTGGAATAAGGTAATTTGATGAAAATATCATGACTGAGGCATAAATATTTTCCTTGTGGATAATTTTTTTAAAATACATAATCCTGACATCATATTAGACTTGACGATGAGCAGTTGAAACCACCTTGCTCCTCCCTACACCATTCTCTATTGTCACGAACTCAGCCAACTCAGGCAGTAAGAAAAGTAATCTAAAGCTTCCTCAGGGGAATGTGTTTTTCATCCCCCACAGGCAAATCTTAAAACTAATTTACTAAACATCATGAAGGTTTTTTTTCACCTTCCCTCTGAAATTCCAGACACTGGCTTAGAATAGAATTAAATTACAGAACCGGTTGCTTTTACCTGGGAAAGAAATTTTACATTTGTTCTGAAATGCTTTCTGTCTCTAGTAGGAATAGAGGTTAGTCGTGATTATAAGCCTTCATCAAGAGGAGTCATGGCACGAAAACGTTTCCCCAGAAAGTCTGTGACTATACATCTCTTCTATATTATGACTTGTGTGGTTGAAAATCTGTAATCCTTTTTCATTTTGAAATAAATACCTGCCTTAACCTTCAAAGGACTGATATAGAGTTTTGAATTATACTTCAAACAAAAAAATTAATAGATAAATGTTGAAATCATTAAATAGTTTTTACCTATGAAATAAAAAGAAAATTACTCATCCCAGGCCATTGTTACATGATGTATCTTTTTTGGGGGGTAGTTTTTTTTTTCTTCAACCAGCACGCATGAGTCTTTTCTTTCTACCTGCTTGTCATCTTTCTGTCAAAAGATTTCTCACATCATATTCTTTTTACCTCTCAAAACACTTCACTTTAAAATTTTATCACAGGATTTTCTACTTTTTTTTTAGGTTATGTCACATAACACAAAATGTAAAAAGGTCCTATTTTTAAAAAGTCAGCCTTAATAAGAAGCAAAAAAGATTTAACTGACTATTCAGAGTATCTTTTCTGAATTGAATCTATAATCATTCTCCTTAAAATTTCTCATATAGTTCTAAAGCTTGATAGACATTTGGCCTCATTAAAATTAATGTGACATAACTATAAGAACAGAGAGAAGAAAATGGCAGATGAGGGCTTCTTTTTCAGTCCTAAATCCTTTCCCTGAGGCTCCCTTGCTTCGAACCAGGAGAATCTGGCAGGAGGAATCAGTTTTGACCAGAGTTAAAAGTTCATACACCTTAACATACCTATACCATTGTAGAAAAGTATCATACCTTCACGAGTCCCACCTTTCTCTTTGAATGCACTTTACTGACTTCTTATTGGTTTTCTTGCAATTTGAATGGTGAACATAACCATCAGTCCTCTACAGACTTTTCCTGTCTTCATTCGGGTTCCACTGTCACAGCCCCTCTCACAGGTCTAATGGCACTGTATAATCAGAGGGGTAAGACCAACGCGGTCAGGTTACCTTCTTGGAACTTCATGGAGAGCAGGTTGGGGGCTCAACACAGAGATGGCTTCCCAGACCCCAGGCCAACAGTTTGCCAGGTAGCGAAAGAAAGAGGAGAAAATAAAGCATCCTATGAATTTTTCAGTCTCATGATCTGCAATACCTAGAAATCAGATCTGCATCTCATCCTACAAAATTTGATAAGAAAAGAATCAATTTCTCTCCCATTTGTGAGAACTTCTTCCCATATCTTTCACTACGGGCGTATTTTCTCCTTCAAATCATACAGATTTTATCATATCCCTGAACACTTGCTCCTGAGCTCACTGTTCAGTAGAAACAGAATTGGGTCATAAAGTTTGCGTTTAAAAATACTTATCCAGGATTGAATTTAGAATTGTTTTTCCCAATGTAAATAACAAAAGTATATGTGTGTGTTTTAGCAAATTTATCTGAGTTAGGATAAGATCGCTATGTTACATTTCTGCATTTTACAGTTTTTTAGGGTCAAAAGTGGAGCAGATTATATATCCAGTTTAACTGTAATCTTCAAGCACTTGAAAAATCATTTTTTAAAAAAATGTCATTAACCTCTTGAGCCTAAAAAGGCAAAAACAATGATGTGGAAGGCTTGACTGGGGAGATTACTGATGAGCTCATAGCTCTATGTTTCATCCTCACCAACTGAATTTAACATAATCCCAGCACTTTAGTGGTCAGAACCTAGAAGTGTAATTAAGGGATGTAGATGGTATAGCTCAGCATAGAGTTATACCACCAGATCTGTACTAATTCTGGGCTCTGGGGTTTCATTTCTTCACCCAAAATCAGCGATGGTTTATTTGATTTACTTCACTTTACATGGGCTAAACATGAAGAAACCAAAAAGGCTAAAGAATAAGCAAGGAATTGTAATGTGTTTTGAATGCTTGCTACATATACTTCATTTGTGCTAATCTGTAATAGTTGTATTAACCCAATTTCACAAATAAGGAAACTGAAGCTCAGTTAGGCCATGGAACCACCCATAATTGCAAAACTCTAAATGGCCAAGCAAAGATTGAAATGCAGATTTGTCTTAACCTAAAATTCATGCTGATTTCATGACATACAGGTTTCTTCCCAGAAGGCTGACTTTGTAGTTGATAGCTATCTAGCTTAAGAAATAAAATCAATGAAGTGGCTCTGAGCACAATAAGTGATGACTATTTTCAATGTGTTCTACTAAAACTTTGAAATAAACTTAGCTTTTTCATAAGAATCACGGAATTCACTTGATGGGTCTGGCAAATAGGTTCATGTATAGGGCACAGTCTCACTACAAAATGACCTAGGAGTGAAAAAAAACAAAAGACAAATTGAAAAAATGCCAACCCACATTGTGATGTACTGTCTACTAGACAGCAAGTAATCACTTACAAAGACCTGGATGAAGACCTTGGTGGACCAGCACTTCCTCTTCCTATTAACATTTAAAACAATAACTAGATTGAAAAGTTCAACTTGTCAGTTCAGAATATTTCAAGCCAGCATGACATTTGGCAGGTAAGAAACTATTATTAGGCAAATTTCTTAATTCATATTTCCTAACACCTTATCAAATGTGGCTTTGTTTTCTTTTCCCTTACCTTCCTCTAAAAGACTTCAAAAGTGTCTTAATTTTACAATGCTTATTCATGGTTCTCCAAATGGAAATTAAGAGGAATTTGCCTGAAGAGATAGATCCTTCTTGATTATATTCCCCAAATCTATAGTATCTATGTTTTTATAGCATATTCAACATGGACATATCATTCACTGAATGTAGTACATGAGAGCTCAAGGAAGGCTGTGTGACCCAGAGGAAACCTTACACTGCAAGGAATTCTAGAGTCGCAGTTTACTGTCCTCATCCCTTCTTCAAAACTGACTCCTACCCAGAGAGCTCTCTCAACTTTTCATTTAACACTCTTTTTATGTTTCCACTTCTATTGAAAACTGATCAATTGTTCTTAAAACCCAACTTTCAACAATTTGGCTATCTTATCACTAGGATACTAGCAGACAAACATTAAACAACTTGATTCTGCTTCTTTAGTTGGGAACTCTGTGCTTTCTCAAATATAAACAAACAAGACCAGGCACAGTGGCTCACGCCAGTAATCCCAACACTTTGAGAGGCCACGATGAGAGAACTGCTTGAGCCCAGGAGTTCAAGACCTGCCTGGGCAATACAGTGAGACTCTTTCTCTACGAAAATTAGCCCAGCATGGTGGTGCACACCTGTGATCCCAACTACTAGGGAGGCTGAGGTGGAAGGATTGCTTGAGCCCATGTGGTCAAGGCTGCAGTGAGGCATGGTCATGTCACTGCACTTCAGTCTGGGTGACAGAGGGAAACTCTGTCCCAGAAGAAAAAAAGAACAAAATGTATACAAACAAACATATAACATATTTAGGTTTACCCTAATAATAAACTAAACTATTTCAGTGTCAGACAATAGCCATTCTAGCTAGGCAGAAAATGGTGGCTGGAAGTATTTTTTACAGATCATGGTTGATAACAGCACAAAAGGCAGAACAACTGAGATCAATGGATTATTTGTTTCATACAGTCAGCTACTGATTAGCAGTGACATTTTCATTTCGTCCCCAACTTGCTTTTTTCTTGCTTCTTTATTTCCTGGATGTCAACTCTTTTTCTAGTTTTGATATAATATATAAAAACATAAATGTTAACCTAAGGAAACATTAGAAAAATAAATGAACCATAACCATAACAAATTTTTATTGTATATTTTAAAGCCCAATATGTTTGTACTTTATTTTACTGATATATCATAATTGCACATATTTGGGGGGGGTTCATGTGGTATTTTAACACAAGTATACAATGTGTAATGACCAAATCAGAGTAATTGGGATATCCATCACTTTGAATATTTATCTTTCCTTTTTGTTGAGATGATACAATTCTTCTTTTCTAGCTATTTTGACATATATAATAAATTATTAACTATTATTTTCCTACTATACTATCAGATACTAGAACTTATTCCTTCTAACTGTATTTTTGTCCCCATTAACCAACTTCTCTTTATTCCCCTACTCTCTTTTCCATTCCCAGCCTCTGGTAACTACCCATTATACTCTCTACCTCCATGAAATCCACTTTATCAACACCCATATAGGAATAAGAACATGTGACATTTATCTTTCTGTGCCTGGCTTATTTCACTTAACATAATGACCTCCAGTTCCACCCATGTTCTTGTAAATTACAGGATTTAATTCTTTTTATAGCTGAATAATATGCCATTGTGTATACATACCACATATTTTTTATCCATTTATTCATTGGTGGACTTTTATGTTGACTACATACTTTGGCTATTGTGAATATTGCTATAATAAACATGAAAGTGCAGATGTCTCTTTGATATACTGATTTCCTTTGTTTTGGATTTATACCTGGTAGTGAAATTGTTGGCTTATATGGTAGTTCTATTTTTAGTTTCTGGAGGAACCTTCATACTGTTCTCCATAGTGGCTAGAACTCATTTACATTCTCACCAACAGTGTGTGAGGGTTCCCATTTATCCACATCCCATTTATCCACCAGCATTTGTTACTGCCTGTCTTTTGGATAAAAGCTTAACTGGGGTGGAATAATATCTCACTATGGTTTTGAATTGCATTTCTCTGATGATTAGTAATGTTGCATGTTTTTTTCATATGCTTGTTCATTTCTATGCCTTCTTTTGAGAAATGTCTATTTAGTTCTTTTACCCATTTTTAAATTAGTGAGATTATTTTGGTTTTTTTCTTTTGTGTTGTTTGAATTCCTTATATATTCTGGTCACTAATCCCTTGTCAAATGGGGAATTTGCAAATAATTTCTCCCATTCTGTGGGTTGTCTCTTTATTTTGCTGACTGTTCCATTTGCTGTGCAGAAGCTTTTTAGCTTGATGTAATTCTATTTGTCTATTTTTGCTTTGGTTGTCTTTGCTTTTGAGATCTTACCCAAAAAGTCTTTGCCCAGACTAATGTCCTAGAGTGTTTCCTCAATATTTTCTTCTAATAGTTTCATAGTTTCAGATCTTACATTTAAGTCTTTAATCCATTTTGAGTTTATTTTTGTATATAGCGAAAGATGGGGATCTTGTTTCTTTCCTCTGCACATGGATATCCAGTTTTCCCAGCACCGTTTATTAAAGAGATTGTCCTTTCCCCAGTGTATGTCTTTAGTGCCTTTGCTGAAAACACATTGGCTGTAAGTATATAGATTTATTTTAGGGTTTTCTGTTCTGTTCCATTGGTCTGTGTGTCTGTTTTTATGCCAGTGCCATGTTGTTTTGGTTACTAGAGCATTGAAGTATAATTTGAAATCAAGTTGTGTGATGCCTCCAGCTTTGTTCTTTTTACTCAGGACTGATTTAACTATTCTAGGTCCTTTGTGGCTTCATACGAATTTTTTTTTCTATTTCTATGAAAACTGTCATAGATATTTTGACAGAGATTGCATTGAATCCGTAGACCACTTTTGGTACTATCAAAGCTAAATTTTAACAACTTTGGGGGTAATCTCTAATTTTAGAGTATAATATTCATTTATTTATCAAGGCCATCTTTCTTTCAGCAAACAAATATACCTTCTATATGCTAGGTATTGGGGAAGAAAAAGGATAACTCTTAAATAATCCCTGCTCTCAGAAAACTCAGTCTAATGATGGGAACAGATGGGCTATCAGTTATTGATTTCCGCACAATAGCTGTCTGACATCTAACCACAAAAACTCAATGGCATAAAGCAAAAAGCATGTATTTATTAAAGCAATAATCCTGTGAGTCAGTGATGCAGTCTGGACTGTATATAAGGCTGTTATTCTGTACTTTGCTTGGATTGCTCAAATATCTGGGGGTCAGCTGGCTCTTAGCTGATCTCAGCTATCTTTGGCTGGTATTATTGGGGCTGTCTGTCCTCTACATATCTCTCATCCTCCAAAAGTCTAGCCCCGTCATATTCTCAAGATAATGGGAGAAGCACAAGAATACAACCAGAAATACTCACGTAGTTTTTCCAAACTCTGTCTCATGACTGCTCACATCCCATGAGCCAAACAAGTCACACAGCCAAACTCAGAATCATATGCCCTCGAGTGGGAGGACCCTTAAAGTCATATGGTAAAAGGCACAGACACAGGGAGAGGTAAAGATTGGAAGTGGCCGGGCACAGTGGCTCACGCCTGTAATCCCAGCACTTTGGGAGGCCAAGGCAGGTGGAGCACAAGGTCAGGAGTTTGTGACCAGCTTGACCAACATGTTGAAACCCTGCCTCTAATAAAAATACAAAAATTAGCCGGGTGTGGTGCTGCATGCCTGTAATTCCAGCTACTCAGGAGGCTGAGGCAGGAGAATCACTTGAACCCAGGAGGCGGAGGTTGCAGTGAGCCGAGATCATGACACTGTACTCCAGCCTGGGCGACAGAGCCAGACTCCAACTCAAAAACAAAAAAAAACAAAAAAAAAAAGAATGGAAGCTACCGTTACAATCCACCACTGAAGAACGAACAAACAAGAAGATATCCTCTTGTTCTGAAACAAGAGGCTGGTGCTATAATAGAGATAGAAAAGAATACTATGGGAGTTCAGTGGAAGGTCTAAATCTCCCTTTCCAGAAAACCAACAAAGTTTTAACCAAATAAGTGATATGCAAGCTGGTTCTTAAAGGCTACCTATCTGAAAAGGCAGAAAAGGACTCATATCTGAAAGAAAATGCACATGTGATAACACAGAGATGTGATTAAGCATACTATGTTGGGAACAATGAAGACTCAGTGTGGCTGGAGTTGAAGGTACAGATGAAAAAATGAGAAATGATGTTTGTGATTTAGGTTGAACTGAATAGAAAGGTTTTGTATTTCAACCTGTTATTACCTTGTACGCAGCTTATTTGATTGTAAACCTCTTAGGGAAGGGGCTACATCTTCAGTAGTCTCTCTGTTACCCATAGTGCCTTGCACATAGGAAATACTCAATCAGTGTTAGCTACATGGACTTCCACTCCACTGGTGGAAAAAAATCACAAGTTGACCACATCATGGAGATGAACTAGTGATGTACAAAGACATCTCTACAAGCAAGTGTAAGTCTAGAGGTCATCTCTTTCCATATTAAGTTTCAAAACTTTCAAATCTGACCTACTGACCTAGTGTCCTTAAGCAGATTTTTGGACTTCAATAAATTTGATTTTTTTTTTTTTTTGAGACGGAGTCTCGCTCTGTGGCCCAGGCGGGAGTGCAGTGGCGCAATCTCGGCTCACTGCAAGCTCCGCCTCCCGGGTTCACGCCATTCTCCTTTCTCAGCCTCCCGAGTAGCTGGGACTACAGGCGCCCGCCATCACGCCCGGCTAATTTTTTTGTATTTTTAGTAGAGACGGGGTTTCACCGTGTTAGCCAGGCTGGTCTCGATCTCCTGACCTCGTGATCCGCCCGCCTCGGCCTCCCAAAGTGCTGGGATTACAAGCGTGAGCCACCGCGCCCGGCCAATAAATTTGAATTTATAAAAAGGCCAAGAAAATTTTATTTTCATACTCATATTTTCTCCCTAAAAACTAAGTAGTGAGACTAGGTTATATTCAAATTCCTAACATCTCCATGATGTTAACTTTGGCTATTTGGGTTTATTTTACAACCTCTGGTGTGGGACAATATGATAAAATGCAACTTAGGAAGGGATATTAAAAAGGAAGCACATTGTAGCCTAAGGTACTATTCCAACCCTTTTCAAAGGCTATCTTTAAAACCAAAACTAAACTGCCCAGCAATGGTCCCAAGAAGATACCTAAAATGAAATGGTGGCTAGGATTGTGGGAGTGGCATCACAAAGGCTACAGCAGGGCTTTCCTGATATAGTGATGATTTTCTGCTAAGAGGGAAAAATACAGTGTAATTTTAACTCACATGAGTTAGAAGAAAAAAAGACTGGAGATTATTAATTGTAGATGTTTATTTTCTGACCTCACAATTCCTTGAGGTTACTTCCCTGGTGGAACACGCCAGGTATCACTCCACATTGCTCATTACTAATTTATCTCCATGAAAGAAGAAATCAGTTATCTAATTAGTAGGTGCTATGAATATGATGAGGTGGAGCTAACCTATTATAAAAGCTAATCATTTGGACTCAAAAGGCAAGACTGGTTGGACAATAATATTTCTAAGTGTATCTGTTCTGCCAATCCAAACTCTTCCCAGAGTGGGCTGTCCATTGGGCTGACTTAGAATAGATATGAGCAAGTCCATTTGTCCATGTTCTTCCATCAGCTGCATCAATAATAAAGCCACTATCTTGATTACAAGATAACTTGTGTCTTCTTTTCATGGCTTCCAAAGATAAAAAGATAATAAAGAGGTGTTATTTTTTGTTCTTCTTGCTGCAAAAGTGGATACTCTGTCTTATCCATCCTAGTGTTCCCCACGGTGCTAAAATGGTGTCAGACACACAGTCAATGCTCAAAAAACTTGTTCAATGAATGGGAACAAGAATAATTTAACATCAAAATCTAGTCTTTTCTTTGATCTGACATCTCTTGGGTTCCTTTAGAGAAAAGTAGAGTTCCTCTTGGTGTCACTAGTCAACATTTTTCTTCTGCACACATTTATTCAATTTCTCAAGCGTTAATGGTCCATGCAACTCTTTTATCTCCCCATTGGACACTCTGTAGCATGGTGACCACAAAGACTTTATCAAGTGCTTTGTCATTCTTTGTAATGACAAGGTCTATATGGATTTAAAATACCACCATCTGTGATCAGTTTGAGGATTTCACAGAGCTAACTGGGACCCATTTCAATGAAATACTAAACCTTTATCACTCTAACTGTTGTCTCCAGTGACTCAATGAAAGCTTCCTGAATGCTACTCTTCTCAAAATGAAAGGAGTAAAAACGATATTGCATGCCTGTGATTTCTCCAACTCTCCGTAGAATTTCAAGTTGTTCTCAATTATGAAAATGATAACCTCAAAATAATCAAATAGTTCTCGAGTCTTTTCCAGTGCTTTCCTACTGTTTCTACAAGAGAAAATGTAATATGTTGGGAAAACCCCTTTGCAATAAAGATTAAGGCTGGTTTGATACAAAATAGAAAGAGAGAAAAGCCAGCTGATGCTTAGATTTGATACAGTTGTAAAGAGGAAGCTATGGGAGGATTTGTAGGCAGGAAAAGGAAGACAAGTAGAAGGGAAGGTAGTCATATAAAAATAATACCCTGTCTTATCTGCCAAAGTATAGATTCAGGTTGGCCCTTGCTGAGAAATTTCAAAGGAAGAGCATGTGTGTTCTACATGGCCCATTAATGGCTACTAATTCATTGCAGTGATAAGTCAGTCTAAAACATATGCATTAGAGTTAATAGAAGTATAAGCACTTAGGGAAATGCCAACAAACTATTTCTTCTTTATTTGTCCAAGTAAGCCTATAGCTCTGGTAACTGTACATATAAAAAATTGAAAAAATCAATCAGTTAATACATATCAAGTAACTGCTGGGCATTAAGAGTTCTATCATGTGTCATGAAGACCAATGAAACACAGATGTCTGCCCTCAAGCTGCACAGTCTGCTGGGAATAGAAACACATGTTGTCAAGCAAGTTCATGACCACATGCAACCTTATCTAAAAGATCCAGATAGTAGGTTGAAGGTATCCTTTTCTTGTTTTACCCACAAATGATCCTTGTTTCTCAATATAACATTGTGAGGGCCATTGAAAAGCATTTGCTTGCTTTTCTCAACCGGTATCTCAAGTGGTAACTGCCAAAATTCTCGTGGTTTCAGGAATTAATCAGTTATAGACATATAGAATGTATGAGCTAGAAGGAACTTCAGGCTGGGCGCGGTAGCTCACACCTGTAATCCCAGCACTTTGGGAGGCCAAGACAGGTGGATCATGAGGTCGGGCGTTCGAGACCAGGCTGACCAACATGGAGAAACCCTGTATCTACTAAAAATTGTTCAATGAATGGGAACAATAATTATTTAACATCAAAATCTAGTATTTTCTTTGATCTGACATCTGTTGGGTGAGATGGTGGTGTGAAAATACAAATATTAACCATCTCTACCAAAAATACAAAATTAGCTGGATGTGGTGAAGCATGCCTGTAATCCCAGCTACTCAGGAGGCTGAAGCAGGAGAATAGATTGAACCCAGGAGGCAGAGGTTGTGGTGAGCCGAGATTGTGCCATTGCACTCCACCCTGGGCAACAAGAGCAAAACTCCATCTCAAAAAGAAAAAAAAAAAGGAACTTCAGAGAACTTCTGATTCAAGTTCTTCATCCTTTCCAATTAGGAAACAAAGACCCTGAGAAATGAGGTGACTTACTCAAGGTCTTACACCAATATGTAGAACTCAAACTATGGTCCCCTGTTCAGAACTAGGGGAATTGATAGCCTGCTAAAAATTGATGAACTAAAGAATTTGTTTTCTTTTAAAATTATAACCGTCTATGAAGACATTCTAATCTCTATTTTATAGATGAGGAAATAGGTTCAGGAAGGTTAATTCACTTTTCCAAGGTCACACAGCTTGTAAGTGGCATAGCCAGGACAGGTACTAAAGTCTTTCCAACTTTCACACCACCAGGCAGCTACACTCTCTCAATGCAGTAAGTTAACTTAGCGATATGCAGTTTTATCTCCAGGCCAGACTCCAATATAAATCTATTTCTCCTCCCTGGAGTCTGAAAAGGCAAACAATTCTCAAAATTTAAATCAAAACATGAAAGCTTCTTTTCCTACCCATGGGACTAAGAAGGCAGATTTCTTTTCAGGTGTCTCATTTGATCTTCTTAAAAGGTTCTTTCCTTCTGGCCATTAAAATAAGTGCTATCAGCAGGGCCAAACCACTCAAAGGCTATAGCAGCAGACTGATCAAGTGGAGTGTCTTTGTAAACACTGCACTTCGATTTATTTCACAGGGACTATAAAAGGGAGGCTTTTATCACCATGCTTCTGTGATAAAACAATGGGAAAACACAGGTGTTATCTGCAGTGGCCAATCAAAATGTCTAGAGCGTGGACCTGAATAGGCCCAAGTACTATGGCAGCAGCATAGCCTCTCTGCCTGGGCCATCATGTCAGCCATTTGCTAGCATGCCATTGTTCCTATAAGGGACTAATACAAGAGGCCTGCCAATGGCAAATGGGACCTCTGAGCTCTTCTGAAAGGCAGGACAGTGGACGGCTCAAGCACAGGATCTAGGAGACAGAGTAACTTGGACTCAAGCTGAACTCTTTTTTTTTATCATGTAATGTCATAGCCAATTATATAATTTGATTTTCAAATTCTACATCTGTGGAATTGAAATAAGGACATCTACTTCATAAGGTTGTTCTAAGAATTATATGCTATATATATATAAAGCATCTTAGAACAGATCCTTCAACATGGAAGGGAAGCTCAGTAGTAGGAGGTTCTTGCTGACCTACCTTATTTCTCTTCCCTTCATCCTGATAAATATTAATAGAATTATGGAATTTCTGAATAGCCACCTATTAGAACTAGAATTCACAAAGTCTTCTCCTATGCATTATAATATACAAGATAGTATATGCTCCTTATGATGACCTAATAATGTAGCAGGGCTGCATGGCATCACTCCCATTTATAAGACAGGAGGGAGACACCAAATGGGGACCAGCTTGCCCAAAGTCACAGTAGAGTAAGCAACAAAGCAGGATTTGACCCCTCTAGATATTTTCTTTCTTGGGTTAGCACTCATTTCACTGAATTGTGCCAATATGACATGTGTTCAGATAGAGCTCTGATATTTCTCTGGCTGTGTCCCCACCCAAATCTCACCTTGAATTGTAACAATCCCCACTGTCAAAGGCAGGGCCAGGTGGAGATAATTGAATCATGGGGGCTGTTTCCCCCATACCATTCTCGTGGTAGTGAATAAGTCTCATGAGATCTGATGGTTTTATAAATGAGAGTTCCCCTGCACAAGCTCTCTTGAATGCCACCATGTAAGATGTGCCTTTGCTTCTCCTTTGGCTTCTGCCATGATGGTGAGGCCTCCCCAGCCATATGGAACTATGAGTCCGTTAAACCTTTTCCCTTTATAAATTACCCACTCCCAGGTATGTCTTTATTAGCAGCATAGGAATAGACTAACACAAGCTCAAATCAATATTATACTTTACTATAAGTAAATTAAACCAAGAATTGGCCAGTTTAGACTGCCAATCTAAAGAGACCACACTTCCTCTTCAAGATGTCTCACTGTCACTGTTAACAAAGCAAGTGGTTATGTAGTTGTCTCTTTTATAAATAATTATGAACATCTGAAATAAAATCTCTTGCTGTAAAAGTGTTCTGGTTACTAAAGAGAAAGTCTTTTTCACAGGCATTGTTAAGTGATACACTTCAATTTGTCATGGGTCTTGTGTTATCTTATCCAAGGTAGACTTCAAGGTGACTTGATGAGGCTCCTGAATTACAAGACAAGACGTGTAGGTTCCAACACCAGTTTTGTCTCTAACCTATTTTCTGGCCATGGATTCTCAACTGCTCTTTATAGACTTTACTCAGCATCACCTGAAAACTCCGATAAAGCACAGTAATACTAAGACTATTTTCTTTCTACATTTACAATGACTGTTTTATTTTAATTTTCAGTCTCACGTGGTGGAAAACACCTGGATTGAGAGTCAGACTTGCTGAATCCCAGGCCTTGATTTACACTTACTACCTCTGTGGCCCTGGAAAAGTCACTTGGCTTCTCTGAGTTTCTCTTTGATTGACTAAATAAGGATAATGTCTATCCTCCCGGCTCTTTATGCATTGTTGTTGTAATTATTGAACATGTGAATGTTCATGGTCAATTGCTTTATGCTGTATATATTTGTAGTGAGTATGAATTCCCCAAATCTGGGTGTAATAAAAACCTAATTTGTTAAGATTTCTAAATCATATTAATTTCTAACCTTGCAGGTTGCGAGGAAATTTGGTGATTCTAGTCATTGCTGGAGCTCTATCACTTCCATGTCCCTTCCAGAACCCTTGAAAGATATGAAGGGTCACAAAAAGTTTGGAATATTCATAGAAGCACTGCCTGGACACCATCAGTTACTTCTGAAGTGATCATTCCCCAAGACTGCACAGGCTCAAGAGGGCAGAGAGCTCCTTGGCTCCTTGCTAGTTCAGGTACAAGGTGCTCTTGTGACAGCTCCCCATCATCCCCTCTCCACTAGCTTCATCTGAGGCAAGCCCCCATCACACATGTATTTTCATATGCAGAGTGGATTTTTTTCATAGAAATCCAACTAAGAACACTCCTGGGAATGTACCTGCCCTCAACATGACCTGTCTACTCCAGTCTCTTTCTTCAATTCCTTACTTCTGCTCCATTCTCAGACTGCTATGAAGAAATACCTGAGACTGGGTAATTTATAAAGAAAAGAGGTGTAATTGACTCACAGTTTTGCATTGGTGGGGAGGACTGAGGAAAGGTACAATCATTGGAGAAGGCACCTCTTCACAGGGCAGCAGGAGAGAGAAGAATGAGAACCAAGCAAAGGGGGAAGCCCCTTATAAAATCATCAGATCTCATGAGAACTCACTCACTATCAAAAGAATAGCATGGGGGAAAACACATCATGATTCAATTACCACCCACTAGGGGAGGTAATTGTATATTTTTATGGCTGAGTAGTATTATGGAATACTACACAATATTTAGTAGCATTATGGAGTTCTGCACAATATTTTAATTGTGGAATACTGTAATTAGTATTATGGATACTACTCAGCCATAAAAAGAAACGAAATAATAGCATTTGCAGAAACTTGGATGGAGTTGGAGACCATTATTCTAAGTGACATAACTCAAGAATGGAAAAATAAATATTGTATGTTTTCACTTACAAGTGGGATCTAAACTATGAGTATGCAAAAGCATAGGAATCATATAATGGACTTTGGGGACTCAGGGGAAGAGTCGGTGGGAAGTTAGGGGTAAAAGAGTAAACATTGTGTGCAGTGTACACTTCGGGTAACAGGTGCACCAAAATCTCAGAAATCACCACTAAAGAACCACCTGTTCCCCACAAACTATTGAAATAAAAATTTAAAAAAGAAAGCAATGGTTTCTGCAATGGGTGCATAGGGAGACTCAGTGCTTCAGGCCCATGAAGGTACCCACTTCACTTTGGTAAATAGGCATCGTGTGATCAGGCTGATGTATGTAAGCAGCCAACTTGTCAAAGAAAAACTTGAGAACTGAAATAGCCATCAGCTGTGCTGCAGGACAGTGAATTAACACTCATGGAGCAGACAATGGATTGTTTTTAATCTAAAAAAGTAGCCTAAGGCACATTCTGAGGGCTTTAGCTCCCTGAGAAAAGGTTCTATGATGGACTGAAAGATTCCTATGTTGCTTTCTCAGTCCCCAACACAGACTTAACAATTCTGCAGAACCACTGTGACCCTTTAGATTGCATAGAGATTAAGCCTCCTAAGGTTGAGATGCAGAAAGGATGCACAGCTGGCCTAACTGTGTTGGCACATGGACGAATACCCTGTATTCAGGCCACTGAAGTACTGTTCCCTTCTCCCTCTCCCTCTGCCCTGTGAGGGAGGGATCCTTCTGTGGCAGTTTCGAAGTGAGAAATAGGCCCTCTCTGCTAAAGATAAGGATCATCCCCAGACGGGAATGTGGGGGAGGGGGATGGGCAGGATGTATGGTAATGGCTCCAGATATCCAGAAAGGGGAGCCACTAGGTCACATTTTCTTTTTTTTTTTTTTAACTTTTAGTTTAGGTTCAAGGGTACGTGTGCAGGTCTGTTATATAAGGCAACTTGTGTCACATCAGGTTGTCGTACAGATTATTTTGTCACCCAGCTACTAAGCCTAGTACCCAATGGCAATTTTTTCTAATTCTCTCCCTCCTCCCACCACCGTCCCCCCACCCCCCGACCCACAAGTAGGTCCCAGTGTCTGTTGTTTCCCTCTTTGTGTAGGTCACATTTTCAATGACCTTCCAGAGGGAGATGGCCCCACACAGATCACAGGAAAATCAAGTTGGTAGAACATTTCAAGGATTATACCTTCTTAACTTCAAAGCTGCAATCAGCTTGAAGTCCCCAAGTCGAGACTATCAGTGCAGTGTACACTCTCTCCCACACTACAAAAAGTAAAGTGCTAAAAGGTTCACGAAGCCACATTGTGATGCCAGGTAGATCCCTCTTAACTAACTTACTGGCCAATTTACTCCACTATTTCTACCTGATAGCCCAAGCAATTGAAAATTATCTCATCAAATGGTCAAATTAATACAGCTCAGCCATATTCAGGCTGTTCTGTACATAGTCAAAAGTGCAACCGTGAAAAACACATTACAAAAATAATCAACAATATGTTTATTGGTACCATCCAAAATCACAAGTCACAAATGGTAAGTAAGAAATTAAACTTTGATTGTCTTTAAAATGCTTTCAAAAAACTTTCATACTTGTAGGAGAAGAAAAGCAATCCGTTCAATAACTGTGTTAGAAAGTATCTATTGTTTGAAAGGCATGGTGGTAACTTCAGAAACTTCTTGGTTTTTCACACGTGATGTTTTATTCATTTCACTCACCTACTTAAAAAAACGTCAATGGCTCCCCATTGTCTGAGGAACAAAGTTGATGAGTTACTCAAGTCCCTTCATGATTTGGCACCAACCACTCTTCTAGCTTTCTCTCTCCCAACTCCTGCTATACTGCAAATAAGCAGCACCACTGTCAATTAAAAATGCCTTTCCCGTTCCTCTCACTCCATCATGGAGTCTCATACACACTTTGAGTCATGCTACTCTTTCCCCAAATGGGCTGCATCATTTCATCCTTGGAACAGAAATTTTTAACTTTTATCAAGCTCAGAAACATGTTTAAAAGGCAAACGTTGGGTTATATTCAGAAAGTTTGTAATTTAGTAGATCGAGGGTAGCGTGATGAATCTATATTTATAACCATACCAGTTGACTCTGACATAGACGGCCCAAAAATCACATTTTGAGTAATGTGGCTTGGATAATGGGCCCATGATCTTTCCTCACTCTGAAATGCCAGTCTTTCTCTTGTCACTCACAAAATTCCTATTTATTTCCCAAGACAGGTCAAATGTAATCGCCTTCCCCTTCTAGTCAAAATAAATGGTTTCCCTCCCTGTGCTCCCCATGTACTCAGCACATAAACCTCTTACCAAATTTATCACATTCCATTTTATTAGGTAAGTGATTGTCTTCTCAGATAGATGACAAACTACTTGTGAACTGCAGCTATGTAGCATAGGTGCTCAATAAGTATTTGATTAATATACAAACAAATGATCTTTGATGATAAGGTTTGCTGTGAGTTGAATTGCCACTACTTTCTTACTGTCTAAACCCTAGAGATTCTCAGTTTCCAGGTCAATATTACCTCTTTCATAAATCCTTCTCTGAGAAGGACCAGGAATATATCTCCTCTCCTGTGTGACAATGGGTCTTGTTTTGTCCTCATACAGCATTTATTACATTGTCTTGCTATATAGTTATCTGTGTACATTCCTTATTTCTCCTGTCTTGTCCTTCTTTGTGTCCTCAAGAGAACACTGCAGAGTGCCTGGCTCATAAGAAGTTCCCCCTAAAATTTTAGAATTAGATTGTACATGGTCAGCTTGCCTAGTAAAAGTGTAAACCCTTAAGACAAGCTTGTCCAACCTACAGCCTGTGGGCGGCATATGGCTCAGGGTGACTTTGAATGCAGCCCAACACAAATTTGTAAACTTCCTTAAAACATTATGAAACTTTTTGGCAATTATTTTTAGCTCACCGGCTTTCATTAGTGTCAGTGTATTTTATCTGCGGCACAAGACAATTCTTCTTTTCCCAATGTGGCCCAGGGAAGCCAGAAGATTGGACACCCCTTCCCTAAGACAATTTAAAGACGTCAATTCCTTTTCCTAGTTACAGTAGAACAAAATTAGAATACAAAAATTATGAAGGCACCTAGAATGATGCTTTGCTCTTTGGATATATCCTAAGTAAGAATTGTGAAGTTTGCAGCAGATGGACAAGTGACAATTTTCTAAATGTAGAAGTTTGCAGCTCTGAAAAATACACTTGTACACTTGTACAGGTCTCTGGTTTGTAAGAACTGTTTCCACTTTTTATTATTGCTCCTGTTATTACTACTGTTATCACTTCTTATTCTGTGGATGGATACACTCAGATGAGGAAATAAGGTAGAAGCTGCTAACATCCTATGTAGAAGTTCTCAACTGTTTATCCTTAAAGAATATATCAACATTTCCCCCTCTCAATATTCAAAACACCAATTACAAGAAACAACAAGAGAAAAGTTATTCATTCATTCACTCATCTAGTTATTCTATAAGAAAAAAATGATGTATGGTTAAATATAAGGACCATCTCTTTATCTTCTGTGTAGGCTGACCCTAGCACAGCTTCTGCCTAGTACATTTCCACCTAGAATTTGTGGATTGATAATGAATGAATGAACAAAAAATGTATCAACAAATGACTAAAAGGACATACTGGCAGAGTCCTTCAAGGCTGTTAGGACAAATTTAAAGTGAGTGAGTTATTGTCAATTATGTGAACAAGGTAATCCATGTTTCTTTAAACTCATAAGTAGCCTTTATTCCTCCCACTGTATCTTTAATTTGTAAAGAGAGGGGATAGACTTTTGTCATCCAAGAAGCCCTTCTTCTGCACAAAGGATGCAGTTAATGTCATAACTTTACCTCTATGCATGTCTTAAATTGGAAAAGCCATTCATATATTTCATATACCCTCAACAACTGTGAGATTTTCAAATAAAGTGGCAGTAGGTAAATAGATTTCTGGAACTGTGTCTGAAATAAGCAGTTATCTTTGGTAAGCAGCATGCTGTCAGTTGGCAATGAAATGTAGTCAAAATTGTAGTATAAAGAAAGCTTAAATACTAAGAGAATAACCAAGAACTCACTTACTGTCAAAATAGTGTTGAGGGCACTATACTGCATGTATGACAGGCAGATGTTCATCAGCATGGCAGCTACTAGAAACAGCAGCAAAAGCAGCCACACCGTTGTGCAGTGTTCCGTGATGACTGCAGATTGCTTGGGGGTAAAGGCTTCATGCAGCTTTACAAACAACTGAGCTCCAAAGAGTAAAACTGTGTTAACTGTGGCACCATGGCCACTGTAGCTAACCAGAGGGCTCTGTCACTGCAGGAAGCCTACATACTGTTTGAGAAGACTTCTTGGCAGGTTAGCTAGACTAACCTACAGGAAGAGAAACTTCCCCAGTTACAGGTCTGTAGTCACGGCCTGTGAATTAGCATGCTCCAGGAACCAGCTAAACCAGGACTAGGGAGCTCTTTCCTCGGGCTTTTATTTTAATGCTGTGACCACAGGAAATTAAGCATGCAGGTGAACACTTACAAGAACTGTCCAGAGCCCTTTTGTATTCTATAATAGGAGTCTGCATTATCATCCCATTCTTGAAAGCACTGGAAAATAGATAACAGCTAAATCAGGAATTGTCAAACTCGAGCAATTGTCAGGAACTAAATGGTGGTGCTGAATACAAGTCATAATTGAAATGCTCAAAACCCTCTAAAGCAATATTAAAATCTTCATGACATTGCAGAGTCTTCCTGAGACTCCTATATACGGGCAGCAGCACTGAAGAGATTGCACTAGTAAAAATGTCAGCCATAGAGTTTGTCTTGTACCTCATTACCTGGAAAAATCATTGGGGTTTTTACAGTCCTCTGAGTAACTATTTATAGTCACACACTCTGACCTTGAACATCAATGTCGCATTAATACAAACCATTCAGAGAAACGAGAATAACAATATATGAGGTTAGAATAAGCATTAAATGTATCGGGATACCAAGGAAGAAAAATACGTGGGAAAATGATGGCATGTTTAAAACTGAAAATGAGCTATTCACTCACATTAAACTAGGAAATCTATGCCCAGAGATAGAAATAAATTGTTTTTCTTATCAGAGCATCATTTCAGTATTACCTAATCTTTCCTAAAATCTCTAGAATCTTAAGAAGACTTTCCATACCGTATTGAGTTCTAGAAAGCAAAGTGCATTTTAAAAATACTTTAAATAATGCACCAAAATACAAAAAATGCAAAGCCACTTATGAATATTGAAATTTAATAGAAAGCAAAATTCTGCAGACCTAACTAATGAAGAAATATAAGGTGCTCAGACCAAGAAAGGAGTATGAACAAAAGCAAAGTCAAAAGACTAAGTTAAGTATGTTCCTGAAACATCTGGAACTAGCTGAATAACAGGAAAGTCTTTTCTGGAACTAAATCACTAATGGAAGAAACATGAGCTTTGGATTCAGATGAATTTCCATTTAAATTCCACCTTCAGCACTCTTAACTTTGCAAGTTTTTACCCTATCTGTGCCTCACTTTCCTCATCTGTATAAAGGGCTTCAGAGAGAATATTTTTATGTTTCTACAGAGTTAGGAATTTTTGAGCAAATTTTATTGAGCTTGGAACCTTGACTAAAAGCAAATATTGGAAGACAATTTATAATAGATTATATGGAGAGAACTCCAGAGACATTTACCTCTCAGGGTTTATGAGTTTACATTTCAAGGAAGTCTGAGGCCTGGAACCAGAAAGACATCCCTGGTTGTAAAGATGGAAATGGTAGTTATCTTTTGCTTAGAGAGATTATTTACATTCCAGAGAGTTAGAGTAAGAACCCGGAATCTTTCTCAAGGAGCAAAGGTTTTTCTGCCTCCTTTGGTTGGAGACAGAATGCCTATAAGCACAAAGATTTATTTTTTTCAGGATTCCTCACCTGCAATACAGACCCTGTACGTGCAGGTTTGTTCATCCTGCTCTCATCATGTTCCTTGGAGATAAAAATTGGGGCACAGGGGAACCACCTAGTTGTTATTTGCTGGAAATAATAATCAATCTTCTCTGCTTCAGAAACCTCATGTGTTGCATTCAGGATTCATATTAATAAAGATAAATATTAAAAACTCAACACTGTTCTCACTGTTAGATATATACAGAGAAACAGAAGGAATAGGCTAGGACAATCCACATGGTGCTAGATTAGTGGTGGAGGCATCAATAAGATGGTTAACTTAATATGGATATAAATGCCTACATATAAAAATATTTATAGATATGTGAATATACACATATGTCTACCAGGTGATCAAGGTCAACATCAACATCAATAGTGATAAACCATGATGATAGTCTGTATGTACCCTTGATATGATGTGATGAAATTGCGCTTTCACTCTGTGATTTTTCCTCTCCATAACCCTTAACCCCAGTCTAACCATGAGAAGAACATCAGACAAATCCCAATAGAAGGGCACCTTATGCTATACCTGACCAGCGCTGCTCAAAAACTGAAACACCTCAACTTTTAGAAAAAATAGAAGAAAAATCTTCATGAGGTTGTAGTAGGCAATTTTTTTAGGTGGAACACAAATAGCGCAAACTATAAAGTGAAACCCTCCTAAACTGAACTTTAAGAAAATAGAAATTTTATGCTCTTCAGAAGCTGTTAAGAAAATAAAAAGATAAGCCAAAGATTTGGAGAAAGTATTCGTAATACAAATATCTAACAAATGACCTGTATCCAGAATATACAATGATCTCTTATAATTAAATAATTACAAGCAAATTTCCCATTTTTAAAATATTGGCAAAATAATCAAACACACAATTCACAAATCATTGCTCATAAGAGAAACGCAAATTAAGTCCAAAATGAGATACCAATACACAAAATTGTTTGCTAGGATGGCTCAAATAGTAAGACTGAAAATATCTCATTTTGGCAAAGACATGGAGCAACTGGAACTCTCAAACATCATTGTTGAGAATGTAAAATATTAATAGTATACCACTGTGAAAGTCAGTCTGGCTACATCTTGTAAAGATAAATATGAACTTAGCATTATCATACAACCCAGAAAATGCACTCCTGGTTAATCACTCCAGAAAAATAAAAAGTTAGCTATAACCAAATAAATGTCCACAGATGTTCAGAGCAGCTTCATTCACAACAGTAAAATAAACTAGAAACAATCCAAAGTTCACTAGGTAAACAAATCATGGCATAGTCATTCAATGGAATACTATGCGGTGATAAAATGTCATAACTTACTCAAACATGCAAGAATAAAAAATCCCAAAAACATCATGTTAAATAAAAGAAGCAGACACAAAAGAAAAAAAAACTCTGATTCAATATATAGAAGCTCCAAAAAAGAGAAATCTTTGCGGAATAAAATGGAATAAAACAAAGATGAATGATGATTTAAAAAAAAAACACCTATGGTGCAAGGGCCTGAGCAGGCTGTAAACCCAGCAAGGAACAGCTTACACCAGGATGACAGGCAGACTTAGAGAGCACAGGGTGAAGGAGGGCCAACAGGAGGCAACTGCAGAAAGCCATGGAAACATCCCAGGGGGAAAACAGCCCGACTTCAAAGACTGCCTGGGTTGGACTCTCCTATATCATACATGAATAATTACTGCTTTAAAACTTCAAAACGTGGAGGATGACTATCACCCTCCATTATCTAACTCCCAAATGCTTCAATTGAGTGCTTCTCCATATATCTAAATACAGAAATATTTTTAGTGATCATGAGTTCTACACAATATTTTAATTTAATGTTTCCGTTTGCTCAGCAACTTTTTGTTTTCAGACAGGGTCTTGCTCTGATGCCCAGACGGCAGTGCAGTGGCATGATCACAGCTCACTGCAACCTCGAACTCCTAGGCTCAAGCAACTCTCTCATCCAGGCCTAGTGAGTAGCTGGGACTACAGGCGTGTGCCACCATGCCAGGCTAATAATCTTTGTATTTTTTTGTACAGACAAGGTATCACTGTGTTTCCCTGGATGGTCTCGAACTCCTGGGCTCAAGTGATCCCCCTGCCTCAGCCTCCCAAAGTGCTGGGATTATAGGTGTGAGCTGGCACCCGGCCAGCAACTTTTACACTCTCACACACAGACACATGCATGCATATATTTTGAATTATCTGAATGTTTATCTTATAACTGAGGGCTTTCTGTCCTGTAATTTCACTATCTACATCCACATCTTCCTTGGCAATGGCAGTAATGTGAAGATACTGCTTTCATTGCCCTAGGCAAATACGAAACAAATCAATGATGCCATTTGCCAAGTGTAAATCAAATGACCTCACAATGCATTGTATAAACAAAGGTTTCACTATATTTAGAATGGAAATGTAAAATAACTGAATCACTGAATAACACAAACATGCTTAACTCAAAAGCATCTGTGCTTGAATAGTCAGTATCATATTCCTATTAGGAGGAAAATTTCATTTCAGCCAAACATTATCTGTCACATTAAGTTAATGGAGCTCTGAACTTTATCAATCTCGTGATTTGTATTTATTTTGTAAATTGATTTTGGTTTTTTTGGTTCTTTGAAGCCATAAACATAAGAAGTGCATACCTAGTTTTAAGCTAATGTATTTAAATATTTATGAAATTTAAATCTACACTGGTGGGAGATACAAAATTGTTTTAAATTATTTTTAATGTTATTTTTAAATTGACATACATGCAAATGGGTTTTTCTATACAGTTTTGTAAGTTTAACAAATACATAGATTTGTTCAACTACTGCTACAATCAAGATACAACTGTTTCATCATCCCAAAAACTCTCCCTTAGGCAACCACTTTGTACTCACACTATCTCCCAACCTTTAACCGCTAGAAACCATGGATCTGTTCCCTATCACCATAGTTTTGTCTTTTAAGGAATGTCATATTAATGGAATCATACAGCATGTAACTATTTGAGACTTGCTTCTTTCCCTCAAAAAAATGCCAAATTGTTGCATGTCAATAATCCCTTTCCTTTCATGGCTAAATAGTTTTTCCATTGTATAGTTGTACCACAGTTTGTTTATCTAGTCACTCATTAAATTAGATTGTCCCCATTTTCAGTCATTATGAGCAGAGTAGATAGAAATATTAATGTACACAGGTTTTGTGTGAACATAAAATATCAGTTAAGTAAATAGAAATGGAATGGATGAGTCATATGTTTTTTATATGTATACATGTATGTATACATATATATATCTATATGTTTAAACTTATAAGAAGTTGCTAGATTGTTTTCCAGAGTGTATGTACTATTTTATATTTCCAGAAGCAATGTATGGGACTTCTAGCTGCTCTGCATCCTCAGCAACACTTAGTATTTTTATTTCAGCCATTCCAATAGGTTATGTAAGAACATTGCATTTTGGTTTTAATTTCTATTTTTCTAATGGGTAGTGATGATGACTATCTTATTTGCTTATTTGTCACTCATATATTCTCTTTGGTTAAACATTTTTTCAAGTATTTGGCCCATTTTTTGATTGGGTTCTTTTCTTATTGTTGACTTTTGAGAGTTCTTTTATATTCTGAATCAAAGTCCTTTGTCATATACGTGGTTTGCAAATATTCTTTCAGCCTACAGATGTCTTTTATTTTTGTCTTAACAGTGTCTTTCAGAGATGTTTTAATTTTGATGAAGGTCAATTTATCCTTTTCTTTTCATTTGTGATTTTTGCTTTGGTGTCCTATCGAAGAACTTTTTCCTAGCCCCAGGTCATGAAGATTCTCCTATATTATCCTCTAAAATTTTATAGTCCTACACTTTATATTTACATATATAATTTATTTTGAATTAAGTTTTATAAGGTGTGAGGTCTGAGTCAACATGCAAATTTTTGCATGTGGACATTCAGTTGTATGAACACCATTTTTTGAAAAGGCTATCCTTTACATTGAAATGCCTTTGTATCATTGTCAAAAATCAATTGATCTTATGTGTGTGGGTCTAATTCTGTATTCTATTATTTTTTGTTGCTCTGTGTATCCATCATTTTGCCAATGCCACACTGTCTTGATTACTATCTTGGTTACTTTATGTCTTAACATTGGGTAGATTTAGCTTCCAATTCTTTCTTTTGCATTATTAACTTTTTTAGGTATTTTAATTTATTTTGTTTCAACTATATCTCAGTATAATTTTTAGTGGTTTCTCTAGTGATTACCAAATGCATACAAACTATTCACATTTTTAGAATTAACACTTACCACTTTGAGAAGAATATGGAAATCATAACGTCCTATAGGTCCCTCTCCCCCAATTTATGTCGTAGTTGTCTTACATATTACATCTACTTCATTGAAAAGCCTATCAAAAATGTTGTAATTTTTCTTTAAACCATCAAACATTTTAAAGTACTAAATAAGAGAACCATTTATTATATTTACCTGGGTATTTACCATTTCTGGTACTCTTCTTTCATTTCAGATGTTCCAAGTTTTCTTCTTGTATCATTTCTCTTTTGCCTGAAGAACTCCCTTCAGTGATCCTTTTGGAATAGGTCTGCTGCAACAAACTCTATCCGTTTTCTTTCATCTGGGAATTTCTTTCATCTCCTTACTTCATAGATTGTAAGTTTTTTCTTTTGACATTTGAAAAACGCCATTCCATTTCTGGCTTTTATGGCTTCTGACATGAAATTTATATTTATTTGAATTGTGTTTCTATAACTAATCATTTTTCTTAAATTATGTTCAAGATTTTTTTCTTTGTGTTTAGTTTTTAAGAGTTTGATTGTGATGTGTCTGAATATGGATATCTTTGGGTGTATCTCAAAGGGAAGGGGTCCTTCAGCTTTGTGAGCCTGTAGGTTTCTGTCATTTGTCCATGTTAGAGATAGGAAAATTTTTCATCCGTATCTCTTCAAATATGTTTCTGCATACTCTCTTTCTCCTCTTCTTTTGGAACTCTGATGTCATAAATATTAGACCTGAGGCTGTAGTCATTTATTTTCAACTTTTACTCTTCATTTGTCAAGATTAGATAATTTCTATTGAACTATATCCAAGTTCACTAACTCTTTCATCTATCATTTACATTCTGTTACTGAGCTCATTTAGTTCTAAAATTTCCAGTGGGTTCTCATTTATATCTCCCATTCTTTGCTGAGACTTTCTATTCTGACATTCAGTTCAACAGTGCTCACTCTTACTTGGAGTACTTTTTAAAATAGCTCTTTAAAGTCTTTCTCAAATTAACCCAATATCTGTGCCATCTTGATATTTATATTTGTTGATTGTTTTTTTCCGTTGATATATACCTAGTTGTTCACATGCTGAGTAATTACGGATTATGTTCTGAACAATTTTATTATTATTTTTTGTGACCCTGGGATGACTTTCTTAAATCCTACAGAGAATATTTGTAGTTTTATTTTAGTACCCAACTGACCTGCTTAAATCCAGGCTTTAAGTCATGACCAGTTATCTATGGGCAGTGGTTGCATTGTTTAATTAAGCTTTCAAAGACTTTACAGTGCTATTCAGATCTGTCCTGAATGTGAGCCACCCAGTAGTCAGTTTGGATGTTGGACATTGGTGTATCCCACATTTCAGTTCTCAAAGTCTATGTATATTTTTTGACATTGGAGCCACACCTATGTGGCTCATGGTTATGCCTGGGAGCTCATTTAAAACTTTAAGGGTCATTTTCTCAAGTTTCTCCCTTACAAGGAGCTCCTTAATACTTTCTGATTCCCTGTAATCCTACTTTTTGGTTATCTGGCCAGAATAATGGGGCTTCAGTTACCCCGCTCTGCCTTATGCCCCCCACAGCTGTGCCCACATCTGGAGTTAAGCTGTAGAAGGACAGAAAGGGAGGAAACTCATAAGAGTTTATCCTCCCTCTGAGGACCACAGCTCCTCTGATTGGAAAGGAAGGTTTTGGCTACTGTAGGTTCGTGTTGGCTTTGTTGTTGCCCTTCTCACAGGATTTCTTGAGGGCTGAGGAGCAGGGAATGTAAAGAAGAAAAATAAATAAGAAAATGATAAAGGGACATTTTCTGCACTCTGCGTTAGCTTTAGAAAACTCCTTTGCTGCTCTTTGAGCCAGAACTAGAGGAATTCTGGAACTCTCTCTGCCCACACTAATGCTCACCTCCAGGTTTCTGGCTGCGTTGAGCTCAAGTCAGAAGATATTGAAAGGAACTATATGGAAAACTCACCATCAGTTTGGTGATATTTTGATTCCGGTATTCTTCCCAATCTTTTCTCAATGCTATTTACTTTTTACAGCCCTCAAATAGCTGTTCCGTAAATCCTGACCATGTGTTTTAGCTGCATTGAGTGAAAACAACAGAGTGCGGTATGTTTATTCCATCTTGCCTAGAACTAGAATACCCCATAAAAAATTATTTCTAATTTAGAGGCTCATACATTCTCCAAACTTGAGAAATACAATTGTTCTATATGCCTGAATAAAGTTAAACCTCAAAAAGTCTGGCGTTCATTTTCACATAGTCGAGCCCCTTGAGTACTGCTTTTATGCCGTATTACAACTATTAATATTCCTTTGGCTTCTATCAAAGGTCACTGCCAGAAGCATACATGTGATATTTGTAACTGCAATCATTATAAAAATATTAGGCCATCACACATTACATTACTCAATGACCCTTTACAAAGTTCCATATGAAGATTTGCTCTTTTTTAAAAAAATTAATACAGTTCTGGGAAAAATTTCATTTCCTTTAAGAAACAAAATGCTTAGAGTTTTCTAATAACATTGGATCAACCAGCAATTATATACTTTATCTTTTCTTATCTACCAGAAAGCACAAATTAGAAGCCTTATCATAGTTGTTATAAATATATTATTTTATTTTCCTTGCTAATTTTTTACGTCCCTTCTACTTTTTACCATTTCTTTGCATGTGCATTTGTTGCAAGTCTTCACAAATTATTTTCAGAATAAGATAAAAAATGAATAAAAAATAAATAAACATAAGTAACTGAAGCCTTAATTGGCATTTTTCTAAGGTTTTATTCCCATCCCATAGAAACTTTTTCTTCTGAAATTTTTTTACAAGCAGCAAGATATCCAGTGACTTGCCTGATTATTTCATGTCCTAAAGTATTTTCTTCCTACATTTACATTGACATCTGAAAATGCTAATGGAGTTTCTCTCTGGGATAGGGATCATTAAGTCAAAGAACTGAATCAAAATGAGCAATGAAAGATAGAATTTGTTCATGGCCATAACAATAGGCAGTGATGTTAATGAGCATGGCAATTTTTATTGAATTTATGCAGTGCATTGCAGATCTGGAAACGCTTTGCTTGATTTTGGGACACAATCAGTTCAAAACCTTAAATACACCCCTCAGGGCTTATTCCCCTATTGATTAGAATTAAAAACAGTTGCCCACATGAAAGCCTGGGGCACTGATAGGTAAGGGACACCAAAGTATTTTACTCAGTGATGAAAATAAAAAGCAATTACAGTGAAACTCACTTCCCAAGAGAAGGTAAGAGCAAAGCCTCCCATTTGCCCACTTGTAGCACAATTTCATAAAATTAGAAGATGTGACTTTTCAAGAAAATTAGGTTAATGTCAGCAGCAGATTGGAATTGATAGAATTCTATTTATTGCCTGTACTGTGACTCTCACTCCAGATAGTGCCCTATTCTCCAGGGTTGGAGCCCTGATGCAGCACCTCTGCAACCTTGTCTGTGCTCTGTGCCTCTTTGCAGTAAGTATCTCTCAGTAAATAAGCCAGCCTTTCTGCCTTGCATACATTGTTGTTCTGCCTCCACAGCAATCCTGCTCCTGCCCTCTGATCAATTCACTCTGCCCTCCATTTTCTCTTCCAGACAGCCACCGAAAGGAAATTGCCCTAAAATTCGTTTAGAGTCTCCCTTGTCCTTTCATCTCTCTATTTATTCTTCAGAGAATATTCTCATTCTCTTTAGTGGCCTTGGTTCTACTTATTCTGAAGTCTGGATACACAAACTGTATCCAACAAAGTCCTGACAAACTGCCTGCATCCATCTCTCCTTCAGAGGCTCTGTACCCCGTCAATGTTGCCAAGTTGGACAGCTATCCCCATCATTACATGTCATACCAGGGAATCATTGCTAGAATAAAGCAAAAAAACACACAGGTCAGTAAGTCTATTGATAAAGAAAGTGTCCTAGGGCATGGAATGATGAGTTGGTATGAGACTGATTCTCACAGCAGGCAACCCAAACAGCAAGGTACCATGCCCTCTTTTCTGCGGTGGTTAGAAACAGGCATCAATTGCCAGTGCCTTATACTCAATTTCGGAGTCATGGCCTATCTACCCTATCTTGTTTCCTTCCAAGACCCAAATAATAGAGCAGCTTACAGAATGGGTCAAGAATCTACAGTGTTGAACTGGAAGGGACTTTAAAGCTCTTCTAGTCCAAACTCATATTTTTTGTAACAATTGCAGAAGCTGAGATTCTAAGAGGTGACTTGACCGAGGTCAAAGCAGAAATTCAAACCCAGGGTGTCCATCTCACAGCTACCATTTTTCTGTGAGTCTGTTCTGCTCTTTTTCTATACCAAGGAAACTTCTTCCTGTAAACATTCTTACTGCTGACTTCTCTACTGATATTAGTATCACCAGTCCTCTATGACATTTTCAATCGTTGCCTTTCCCTTGTTTCTCCTTTAAAATAATCTATAAAGAATCACACATTTCTAGCTTCCTTTACATTCCTCACTTATCCTGCTCTACCTCAAGCCATTTTTATCACCTGACATGACTCCATTAAGCTTCCAAAATGCTGGCTCACTAATATTTCTAAATTACACTGCTATTATTGTCACTTCTTTGTGCAAAATTTTTTTGTAACTCCTCCTTATTTCATTAGAAACTAAATGCAAGCTCAACGTCCTCCCCAACACGACTCCGGTCTCTTGCTGGTCTTAGTTTCTACCACTTCCCCTTATATTATCAAGTAGAAAGCTGTTTTCTAGCATAACTAAAATAATAAACCACTGATATGGTTTGGCTCTGTGTCCCCACCCAAATATCCTGTTGAACTGTAATCCCTGATGTTGGGGGAGGAACCTGGTGGGAGGTGATTGGATCATGGGGCCAGATTTCTCCGTTGCCATTCCCGTGATACTAAGATCTCATGAGATCTGGTTGCTTGAAAGTATGCAGCACTTCTCACTTTGCTCTCTCTCTCTCTTCCTCCTGCTCCCACCACGTAAGTTGTGCCTCCTTCCTCTTCGCCTTCTGCCATAATTGTAAGTTTCCTGAGGCCTCCCTTGCCATGCCTCCTGTATAGCCTGTGGAACTGTGAGTCAATTAAACCTCTTTTCTTTATAAATTACCCAGTCTCGGCTGGTTCATTATAGCAGTGTGAGAACAAACTAATACAACATATCAAATATTTAATAGTTAATTTACTGTATTAATCTGTTCTCCTGCTGCTAATAAAGACATACCCAAGACTGGGTAATTTATAAAGGAAAGAGGTTTAATGGACTCATAGTTCCACATGGCTGGGAAGACCTCACCATCATGGCAGAAGACAAAGGAGAAGCAAAGGCACATCTTACATGGTGCATGGTGGCATTCAAGAGAGCTTGTGCAGGGGAACTCTCATTAATAAAAACATCATATCTCATGAGACTTATTCACTACCATGAGAACAGTACGGGGGAAAGAGTCCCCGTGATTCGATTATCTCCACCTGGCCCCATCCTGGATATGTGGGGATTATTACAATACAAGGTGAGACTTGGGTAGGGATACAGCCAAACCATATCATTTACCATGAATCAAATTTACCATAAATCAAGGAACTGTGAGTCCTGAGGCAGAACTGGCCATAGGCAAAATTAATGTTTTTCTCCTAATACAACATTAAATACTTAAAATATTGCCAAATACTCTATCAAATACTGAGAATAAAAGGTGATTAAGATATTTTCCTTGTCCTCAGGAACTTATCATTCTACAAATGACATGGAAACATGTACGACTAATCCTAACTGGGTTAGATGCATGCCACATTAGAGGTAATAATAAAGTGTTGTGGGCACTCAGGGACATTGGCCTTCCTGCTTGTCTTTTTGAATTTCCATTTCTCTGTCTCCTTTCCACTATTCCTTTTTCTCTCCTATTGCATCTCTTTCAAGAAATTCTTTTATGGATCCCCACCTAGATCTCCTATATGCTAGATCTTTTTCTGACAGGCCTTCCCCTGGCCACCACTTCTTGATACCCTCTCAAAACACATTTTTTTCATGTGTTTCCTTAATGTCCTCAATCCTTATCAAGATGGCTGCCTGGCTAATTTGACAACAATTCTAGTTCAAATGTTAAAACTTAACCGTGGTTTCGTGGAACACTTCTTACAGATAACATTGCATTTTAAACAGGACACAGAGCAATGAGAACATTTTAGTCTAAAAGATATTTTGGAAAATGTTCTGATTCTCTGACACTCAGGCTGGGACTAAGGTAGAATCCAAGAGGTAATGAAGGATTGGGCCAAGTGGTTCCCAAAGTGCCTTGATGACAGATGTATTTAAGGAATGAGTATGTAACGTTGTAGCTGAGGAGCTGTGCTAATCAGAAAGATTCCAGAGTAGCATTAGGAGTGATGAATTCACCTTAGTGCATGTATCAAGAGACAATGCTAGTGGTAAAGAGCTAAGACTAGCAAGTTCCACGCAAAGCAAATGGAGGAACCAAGCTGCAGACTATAACCAACTGTACCCTGACAATCTCTAATATATATAGGGTGCTCATTAGAGGGTGAATGACTTTGGCTTTAGGTGTGGGGATAAGATGAAAAAGGGAAAGAGGTATCTTCTTCACTAATCATAAGAATGCCTTATATTTGTTTAGAATTTAAAGTTTACACATTATTTTATAAATGTGAAGTTCTCATAATCCCATTAAGATAAGCAGGAAAGAAACACAGTTTATAAATGACAAACATGAGAGGTACCCTATAAACATCTGTTGGGTAGTTGATTTGTAGATTGAGTGACTGTTTGGTTGATTGATCAATAATCCACAAGGAAAATAGCAGTGTTCCTTCCCAATAAGGCAGGAGAGAGGGTGGATCTAACCATTTTTTTCAATGAGGAACTAAAGCTTAAAGAGGTCAGGTAGCTAGTTCCCCATCACCTAACTCACAAGTAGACCCAGAGTTTTTCTTAGCATGAATTGAGGATTAATTTCATTATAGTGTGTTTATTTATAGACCAGCCTCTCTGGCATACCTGATGATACCCTCTGAACAATTTCCTAAATATCAAGCTAGCTCTCCAATTGCTAAGATAGAAATGTTCTCAAAAACCTACGCTGGATCCAGAGTATATGCAACAGGAAAACAACAGGATGAAGAGCAAAAAGTAAAGATGTCTTTCACCTTTATTCTTTTCTGAACCTCCATACTCCAGCTGTGGATTAAAAAGTACACATACACACACACACACACACACACACACACACACACAAACACACACACACCTATATATATACATAAATGTATGAAACATAAAGGATGATAAGGGACATACTGTAATAATTAAGTTGAAAAAAATCCCTTAAATTTCTCTCCATAAATGTGAGGCAGAAATTCTAAATTTTCCTTTTTTATCTTGTAGTTTGATCCAGAGTAGTTTACTTGTTCTCTCTTAATATCAAGAATTCATAATCAGGATGCATGTTAATAGTATTAATTTTATTTCCTCATTTATGTTTTTCCGTGTCAGTGACTGGAACTGCTGGGTGAAAAACAATTCTGAGAAAAGATGGAAGGAAAATAGAAATCTTTTTACCCACACTAGACCTCAAAAGTTAGAAAAGCACTTTGCGAGGCATGAGTATTGAATAGGGTCCAAAAAAAATTCAAGAAGAGAAATCACTCATTTGTAGATGGCTGTCAGAAATTGGGAAGTAATGGAATATCTAATTCCGTGAAAAGAGTTATCAATTGCTAAAATAATCTGCTTGATGAGTACAAATAAATTTGGGTTAAAAAAATAGTGTGGGTAGATTTGTAGGTGGTTCTAAAACTCAGAATGAGGAAGTTGAATCTGATGGAGAAAGAGAAGGAGGGAAGGAAGGAAGGAGGGAGGGAGGGAGGGAGGGAAGGAAGGAAGGAAGGAAGGAAGGAAGGAAGGAAGGAAGGAAGGAAAGAGAGAGAGAGAGAAAGAAAGAAAGAAAGAAAGAAAGAAAGAAAGAAAGAAAGAAAGAAAAAGAAAGAGAAAGAAAGAAGGAAGGAAAAGAAAGAAAAGAAAAGTAGGAAAGAAAGAAAGAAAAAAGGAAGGAAGGAAGAAGAGAGAAAGAAAGAGAAGAGAAGAGAAGAGGAGGGGAGGGGAGGGGAGGGGAGAAGGAAGGAAAGAGAGAAAGAGAAAAAAGAGGGAAGGGAAGGGGAGGGGAGGAGGAAGGAAGGAAGGGGAGAGGAAAGAAAGAAAGAGAGAGGGAGGGAGAAATAGAGAAGGAAAGAGAGAAAGAGAGAGAGAAGGGAAGGGAAGGGGAAGGGAAGGGAGGGGAGGGGAGAAGGAAGGAAAGGAAGAAAGAGAAAGAAAGAGGGAAGGGAAGGGGAGGGGAGGGAAGGAGAGGGGAGGGAGGGGAGGGGAGGAGGAAGGAAGAGAGGAAAGAGAAAGAAAGAAAGAGAAAGAAAAGAAAAAAGAGAGAGGGAGGGAGGAGAGGAGAAAGAGAGAAGGAAAGAGAGAAAGGAAGGGAATGGAAGGGAAAAAGAGGAAAGAAAGAAAGAGAGAGAGAGAGGGAGGGAGGGAGAAAGAGAGAAGGAAAGAGAGAAAGAGAGAGAGAAGGGAAAGGGAAGGGAGGGGAGAAGGAAGGAAAGACAGAAAGAGAAAGAAAGAGGGAAGGGGAGGGGAAGGGAGGGGAGTAGGAAGGAAGGAAGGAGAGAAGAAAGAGAAAGAAAGAAAGAAAGAGCGGGGAGGGAGGGAGGAAGGGAGGAAGAGAGAAGGAAAGAGAGAAAGAGAAAGGAAGAGAAGGGAAGGGGAGGGGAGTGGAGGGGGGTTGGGGAGGGGAGTGGGGGAGGGGAGAAAGGAAGAAAGGAAGGAAGGAAGGAAGGAGAGAAGAGAAGGAGAGAAAGAGAGCAGGGAAGGGAAGGGGAGGGAAGGGGAGGGGAGGGGAGGGAGAAGGGAAGGAAGGGAGGAAAGAAGGAAAGGAAGGAGAGAGAGAGGGAGGAAGGAAGAGAAGAGAAGGAAGGGAGGGAGGAGGCATTTCATGGAGAGGCAGACAGGCAAGAAATAAATAGAAAGTGTTGAAAGAAAGGGAGAAAAATCTCAGAGCAACAAATATCTGGTAGGAATTGTCACATCACAACTTATTTAATCAACTCAGCAACCTGCTCTATGACTATTATTAACTTCATTTTCTAAATGAAAAAAACTAAGACTCAAGAGGTATAGGTACTTGTTCCTAACTAACAAATGATGGATCCAGATTTTCAACCAAGAACAACAGCCCCACACCAACCTGCCTCCTTAAATTTAGGCCAAAATTTAAGCTCTTCAAAATGTTTCTGTGGCAGTGATATTGGGGGCATGGAGGTTGTTTGTTCTCCCTTCAGGAAAACCTGCTGTAGGGATGCGCCACACCTTTGGAGCCACTGCAGTTTTCACACCATACCTCCCCCAGGCTGCTCCCAGCCCATGAATGAGCCCAGTAGTACATGAACCAGGCAATTCCTGCCCAGAGGAGACTCCTCTAATATACGCCTTTGGCATAGGGACTCTCCTCCATTGGCTGAAACTTTCTCAGGGGCCTGAGGGTCTTACCCAATCCTTTCTTCTTTCTCTCTTTTCTCAGGTGGCAGACCAGCACTTCAGTCTGACAACTTCCCTTACCTTCTCCTAACCTCTGGTGTTTTACCCAGTAAACCTTTTGCAGGTCTAATCTTACCTTAGGGTTTACTCCTAAGAGGGCCTGAACTAACACAAGCATCCATTCACATGCATAACAATACCCTGGATAGATCCAGACTTTTATAGTCAGGGTGTAGCCCAAATAGGACAAGCTATAGATTTACATACAGTTTTCAGCACACTCACTGCAACATCTGGGAAAAACATGGTAGACCACAAAACTCTCTGCCAACACCAGAAGATGGCATGCTCCCCACTGGGAAACCATGATTCCAGGTAGTATGGAAGGCACACAGGACTCTCCCTGGGGTGAGTTAGGATGTGGAAGAGATAGAGACAGTGAGGTTTATTCAAGTCAGTCCAGCTCAAGGATTTAGGATGAGAATGAGATGCTTAAGAGGCTCTTCCAAAAAGCTACCACCCTTTAGGGTATCATTGTCACTCCAAAAGTTCTTTAAAAGATTCTGGGATTTTTTCCACTCTTCTGAGAAGATGCATAGTCACAGACATATAAATCTACACTAGCCCACTTCAGAGCACAAACTCACTCTTATAACTTCCCTTCAGAGGCTGCAAACATTTTCCTGTTAGCATCAATATCTAATTCATATATTCTCACATCCTCACTTAGAGGATCAGATGTATCATAAATTGGAGAAAGGAAAGAACAAACAGCAAGTCACAGGACTCTGTCTAATGATAATTACCAGGGAGTTTACTGGTTCCACAATGCTTGTCTCACAACTTATAGAAGATACATGTAAGTAACATCCCAGGCATGAGAATGAAATGAACATGTTACAATGGAACATTCACACTCCTAAATTATAATGTTGATGAATCAAATATTGTACACAGTAAATAATGAACAGCCACTGATTGGAGTTTAGAAATTTTTCCTTTTCCTTTTTTAGACAAATTAAATATATATACTGACCACATCTTTATGAGGATTTAGTCAGATTATTGTATACCTCAGTTATTACTACCTCCTTATCACCTTCATGGAAAAAGTGCCTTCTACTTTCTTCCTAAAATGTAATCCCTCCACAAAAGGCTGTCATGAAGCATACACTGCACTCGTCCTCACATGTCCCTCCCCGAGCAAGGCTACTGGTGCTCACTGTGGGTGCCACCTTCCTCTGTCTCTGGGGTTCTCATCAGGCACAGCTGTCTCTGTCTTCACCCGGTTTCAACACAAGCAGCAGAGGTTTGGGGTCAGGTGACAATGTGTAATAAAAAAGGTGGTAGAGAAAGTGTCAAAGGGTCATCCTCCTTTTTCAAAACCATTTTGACACTTTGAAGACTGGTGATGAGGACATGCAATACTTGGGGCCACAGGAAGGAAAGTATGGAAACAACAAAACCTGTATACACTATAAAGTTCTTTGTGAGATAGGCAGAGAATAGGAACCCCATTAAAGAAATTTGACATTTTATGCACTGCCTACTAGATACCCTGTTTTAAATCACAAAGTGAGTAAAAAGAATTGAAAGAAATCAGGCTCTTAGTTCTGAATTCCACTGTTTTTTATTTGATGATAATATCATTAAATCCTACATGTCAAAGATAAGACAAATAACTAGCTGAAAACCTGAAATATAAACTATTTGTTAGAGTTTTATTGAGCATTTTATGCTAAAAATAAATTTTTTAGGTAAATATTGTAGTACGCCAAAATAATTCCACAATAAAAGAGATAAAAATATGGTATCATATAATATAGAGTGAAACTATTATCCTCTTAATATTTTAACAAACTGAATTTAGACCAAAATCTTAAATGTTAACAGTCATCCTTTTGTGATAGTAACTATGAATTATCTTTTTAAAAATAATAAGTTTTAAAAAATAAAAATATAGAAATGAATTTAGTAGAAACAAAATTACTCCACTCTGTCTCAAAGCTCTTGAAATGAATTCCCAAGGACTGAAGTAGAAGTAACTCTTACATTCAACTTGGCATTTTCCATTTATTGCTTTGAGCTTTAAACGGCAAAGCATTATTTGTATCATAATAATAGCACTGAGTTATAAAAATTAATGTATGGATATTGGTTACAACAGCTGTGGCCCACTGTAAGAAAACCTAATACATAAAAATGTTATTTATAAAAAATTAGGACTTTTTATTAATATTACCAAATAACTATTTGCCTTCAGAAATGATTTACTGCAGAGTATTTTAATTGTATGATGTAACCTATTTAATAGTAAGCGTTAAATGAGTGAATGATGATGTCTGAGCTACTGACACCTGGAGAATATTTAATAGTATTGGTTAAGAGGTGTCACAGTGCAGCATAAGTGGAACTTTCCTTTTTAGTAAGGTCTCCAGGGAGAAAAGCCTTTACCTACCAAGTGGCCATAGAAAGAAATCTTCCCATAAACATAGCACACAGAGTGAGGAGATTCATAAGCAAGACAGAATGGTATACTACTATGTAGCCATTAAAATTCAGGTTGTAGAAGGATATTAAATGACATAAAATCTTTTACTACTAGTGAGTGAAAAAACAGATCAAAAAAGAGTAGTTGGAGAATAATCGCATTTTTTCAAATTATACAAACAAGCATACACACAAATTTATAAAAAAACAGGGGATATATACCAAGATACCGGGGCAATCATTGATTTTTGTTTTCATTTTTACGTAATTCTGTAGTTTCCAAATGACCATGTCTTTCTTATAATTCTTGTATCAGTAGCACAGACTACATTGTGCAATGGTAACAGACATCCCAGGTTCTCAGCAGCTTTTACTAAGAAAAGTCAATTCTTGCTTACATACGTGGGCAGAGAGTCTCTGATCATGGAGTCCAACAGCAACCCACACTGACAGAGGCTTCGTCTCCACGCATCCTTCCATGATCACTGGGACCAAAGAAAAGACTGTGGTGAATTGTGCACAGCTCTGAAACTTCTACCTGAAAGGAACACATGTCACTGCCACTCACATTTCATGGGCAAAACAAATCACATGGCCAAGACTGACTTCAAAAAGAGTAGGCAAGTATAATCCTACCATATGCCCAGAAGAACTGGCTAAAACTCCTAGACAGATACTAAATCACAAGGATAATACTTAATTTTCTAAAATATATTTCTGGGTCTTCCAAATTTTCTAAAATATCATGTGTCTTTTATAACGCCTCTGAAAAAGCACACAACCAATATTATTCTTAAAAAGAAAAAAACTCATCATTACAAGATACCAAAAAAATATTTTTCAGATAGAGAAGATAACATCACCAGAAGAGAATAATTCTAACAGTTACAAAATAAAGTAAGCTTAGATTCAAGAGAAAACGAGATTTAATGTTATGTCAATGATCCTAGAGTAAGAAGTACACTGCTTATTACAAAAACACAAGCAAGAGCATATCCCTGAAGAAGCAGCCCCATCAATTAATACAAAATCATTGGTTAAAAGATATCATCCAGTGAGAAGGAATGAGAAAATGATACAATAACATACTCTACACTCATAACTGTTCATATAAATCCTGGCTTTGGGTCATTACAGAACCTATGCATAGTCAAATGATCATTCTTATATTTATACAAATAAATAAATATTTATTGTGTACCTAACTATAGGCTATGCACCATTATTGATCTTGTAACAGAGCAATAAACAAAACAGATGTGCTCTTGCACTCATAAAGCTGACATTGTAATGTGGGGGAGAGGAAAGACAATAAACAGGTAAGTCGAAGATGTCCAGGTGGCAATAAGTGAATACTTTATGCAGGGAAAGGGGACAACAAGGCCTGGGATGCTGCTTGAGAGAATGGTCAGGTAAGACCTCTAGGATGAAGTGACATCGAAGCAGAAATCTGAAGAAATTGAGAGCAAACATGCCAGTGTCTCAGAAAAGAACATCCCGGGCTGAGACTAGCAATTGCAAAACCCAGAAACTATATCTTCTAACAGCAGCAAAGGGCTGGTGAAGCCGGAGTAGAATGGGCAAGGAGAGAGCTGTAAGAACTGGGAGCCAGGCAGGAGCCTGGGGGTGATGACAGTGCCCTTGGAGTCATGGTAGAAAAAGGCCTTCAATTTTTTTTCTTGTCTAAAGAAAGCCATTGGCAAGTTTTGAGCAGAGAAGTGACATAAACTTACTTTCATTTTGAATGGATCACTCTGGTTACTGTGTGAAGAATAAATAGTCTATAGCAGAAACAAACTGACCTGTTAGAAGGCTGTTGCAATTGTCTAGATGAGATGTTCAAAGTACAGTGAGAATGGTGGAGTGATGAAAACATAGAGGATATTGTAAGTAGAACCAACAGTATTTGTTGATGGATTGGATTTGGTGTTTGAGAAAGATGAGTCAAGAAATACTTCAATATCATTTTATAAAGCATAGTCTAAGAACTCCCTCCTACTCATTATTGTATAGGAGTATCTAGAATGAATGAACCCTACATAACTATACCCTTGCCTCACATAGAATTTTTTTTTAAGAAAGCATATTTCTTTCTGCCTGGTTGGCCTAAATGATAGAATGGTAAAACAGATTCTAATTTAATTTCCCCCAAAACCCCTGACATGCATATAACTTTTGTTTTGTTTTTATTAATAGAGATGGGGTCTCACTATGTTGCCCAGGCTGGTCTCAAACACCTGGGCTCAAGCAATCCTTTCAGCTTGGCCTCCCAAATCACTAAGATTACATGTGTGGGCCACCACCACGCATGGCCCATAAAACGTTTCATTCTACTAAATTTAAGTAATGTATACCGGTTAAGTAATATTACATGGAGTCTAAAAATAATCCTTTCTGACTTATTTGTAGATTTAAGAGGAAGGTCTTGGGGAGCAGTGCAAATAAAGCAAGGGTGAAATTGAATTTCTCATGGCAGTAGAGCCCTCTTTCAAAACAAGCCTTGATTGTTGTGGTTTCTTCCCAATATTGTATTTAATACAAAGACTACAATCAACTTTTTTCCTTAGCAACTCCTTATATCCTGTATAGAACTCTTCTATGGTATAACTTTAGCAATCTGTCCAACACCAGTATGACTAAAGACTGGAGGGATTATTAAAATTTAAATGTTAAATGTCTTAGAAAAGCGAACACCTATAAACTCCATGACAGATTTGAAAATGAACTTTGGGAAGACTAAATATCAAAAACAAACTATATAAGAGCTATGAAAATTTTTGTCAGCAAACAAGACCTAGAGGAAAAAACAATTACAACAATGGAACCATGAAAGAGAATGAACAGTCTATATTAAATTGATAAATCATCACCAAAAATCCCAGTGAGAGAAAAGAGGACATTGTTAGGGGTTGCTACACGTAGCATCTTTCAGGCAGAAATGGCAGCCGGACATATGGTTATAGATTTTCTTTCTTTTCTTCATCACTCCGCCCCAGCTGAGAAATCCTCTGTCAGTCTTCGCTTACCAGCTGGTTAAAATAAAAATCTTACCTCCTTTATGAACTCTTTCTAATCTTATAAGGAAAATGTTTTCATATCAAGTAAGAAAATAAAAACTTCCTCAATAGGCTGAAAGAAACATTTTTAAACAAAATTTTGGATGAGCATGTTATAAGGCAGTACCAATTTCTATATTTAAGAAAAAAAATCCTCATGCCAAAGCTCGACTAAAAACATTTCCAAAATAACTAAGGATTGATTTATAGAAATCTTGCCTCGCTTTTTTATTTCTCTGGCATAACTGTATGCCCCTCTGGGCCTGATACCAAATATGCTTCGGTTCTTCTATGTAAAAATAAGTCGATAGAAGGTAAAGGAAAACCATTATTTCTTTTTTACAATGACTAAATCAAGTGAGAAAGAAGGTAAATATCAGATATACACTTAACATGACATCTTTGCCTTAATTATTTGCATATTTACTCATTAATTAATAGACAATGGCCTCCATTCTCTTATTCACCTTGTTAGGTAGAACAAATATCTAAACTACTAGTTCTCACTTCCAACTGGAGGAGGAGGATGGGCAGAAGGATTGATTATCAGAACCTTCAAGGGCATAATTTGAAACTCTCCCACAGGTTAATCAAATGCCAAGTCTCCATCAGTTTATTTTTTTATTCTCCACCTTCCTCACCACCACCACTCCCAACCACCATGCTTAAGAACTACTAACTTATGTATAAATTTTTTGAATAAAAAACAATTTTGTCCTCTTCTTTTAAGCATCTCACACCTGAGAGAGAAGATAACTTTTTATTTTTAGTCAAATACAACTGCATGAGACCTAACCTAGTGTGTAACATCAATATGGGTAGGCTGGGTCAGATGAGATATTTACCTAATATTACCTATTGATTCTCCCAAAAGGCCACAAGAAAACCTGTTGATCAAAGAATGTTAAGTTTATTAGACCTACTTTAGCAATAGCACCCTGACAGAGTGTTAACAGTGTCTCAGGAAGAGGTGGGCTGGGAAGCATGTTTATAGATCTTGGGGTGTAGGCTCAAGCAATTCAGACAGGTTTGCAAGACACAAAACAGGGATTAGGCAAGATGTGTGACATAATAGTTTCAGGTTGGTGGACATCTGAAGCAAGAGTCTTGAAGAGAATCTTGACAAGTGAGCTGTTGCTTGATAAGCAAGCTGCTTGCTCAGGTGTGCTGTCTGTTTTCCAGATAGGAGAGCTGTTTACCCAGATGAGCAAATTATTTCCCAGAGCAAATTAGTTTTCAGAAATTTCCTGAAGTAAACAATGAGGTTATTTATTGATTTACAGACTTATCTTCCTAAATACAAATATCCTGGAACAAATAGTTGATTTGTTGACACAGGTGGCCTCAGTTATCAGTTCTGAGAGTTAAGTAATGTGGATACAGGTGGTGCCATTCTCATGAAAAAGACCAACAGCTGATCATAAATCCAATTCATAATAAATAAGGGAGGTAAAAGTCCAACAGGGTTAAAAGCAAACCAAAAAGTTGGTTGGAGCTATGGGCAGAAAAAAATGAGTCACAATATCAGTCTTTGGGAAGATAGGAATTGGTAGGGAAACAACATGAGAAGTCATGTTTAAGTAAGTCATCACAGAGACCAGGAAAATTGAGACATGTCCAGATTCTATTTATATGTGATGCTAACTCAATGCAACATATATGGACCTGACTACATGCAAGTGCCAGACAGGCTGGAAAGTTCAACTATCACTGGCTTCCCTAGTTCTCCAGCTTATAGATTACAGATTATCAGACTTCTTAGCTTCCATAATCACATAAGCCAATTCTATAATAGATAGATAGATAGATAGATAGATAGATAGATAGATAGATAGATAGATAGACAGACCTTAGGTATATATTCTTAGGTATATAGATATACCTAAGATATACCTAAGAATCTATATCTATTTACTCAAAGAATATATATATACATATTCTTTGAGTAAATAGATATATATATTCTTTGAGTAAATAGAGATATATATTCTTTGAGTAAATAGATATAGATTCTTAGGTATATCTTAGGTATACATTCAGGTAAGGAAACGTTTTTATCAGAAACATTTTGTCTATATATAGACAAATGTCTGTATACATATATAAATACATACACACACAGAGTGTATATATATATATACACCCTTTGCTAGCCTCCCTGTAGTGTCTCTTTTCCATTGTATTAGGCTACTCCAGAGACACAGAATCTCTCTTTCCCCCCTTCTCTCTCTCCATATATATATAGGAATTGGTAGGGAAACAATATGAGAAGTCATGTTTAAGTAAGTCATCACAGAGACCAGGAGTGTATACTCTGTGTGTGTATGTATATATATATGTATATATGTATACAGACATTTGTCTACATATAGACAAAATGTTTCTGATAAAAACATTTCCTTACCTGAATGTATACCTAAGATATACCTAAGAATCTGTATCTATTTACTCAAAGAATATATCTCTATTTACTCAAAGTATATATATATATCTATTTACTCAAAGAATATATATTATATATATTCTTTGAGTAAATAGATTCTTAGGTATATCTTAGGTATATCTTAGGTATATCTACATACCTAAGAATATATACCTAAGGTTATCTATCTATCTATCTATCTATCTATCTATCTATCTATCTATTATAGAATTGGCTTATGTGATTATGGAAGCTAAGAAGTCTGATAATCTGTAATCTATAAGCTGGAGAACCAGGGAAGCCAGTGATGGTTGAACTTTCCAGCCTGTCTGGCACTTGCATGCAGTCAGGTCCATATATGTTGCATTGAGTTAGCATCACATATAAATAGAATCTGGACATGTCTCAATTTTCCTGGTCTCTGTGATGACTTACTTAAACATGACTTCTCATATTGTTTCCCTACCAATTCCTATATATATATGGAGAGAGAGAAGGGGGGAAAGAGAGATTCTGTGTCTCTGGAGTAGCCTAATACAATGGAAAAGAGACACTATAGGGAGGCTAGCAAAGGGACCATTAAAAAATAATTCCACACTAAATCTGTAAATACTGAAAAAGTGTCTGGGAAGATCAGGGCATGAACTACAAGGAAGAGATCTCAAAGTATGTATGTTGAAAGGCGTGTCATCTAAAGGAGTGGCATAATTTAAAGAACAGACTCTTGAAGTGACTTAAAGGGTCACTCTTCAAAATGCATAATTTAGGGGGTAAGAGTAGGGAAAAAAAACAAAATAGAAGCTAGAGATATCCTTTGGTAATTGGATAGTATGATGGCTAATTTTATGTGTCAACTTGGCTGGGCCACATGCCCAGATATTTGGTCAAAAACTATTGCAGATGTTCTGTGAAGATGTTTTTTGGATACAACTAACATTTAAATAACTGGACTTTTAGTACATATTACCACCCATAGTGTGGGTGAACCTCATCCAATCAGCTGAAGGCTTTAATAAAATGAAGACTGATCTCCCTCAAACAAGAAGGAATTCTGCCAACAGAGTGCCCTTGGGCTTGAACTACAACTCTTCCTGGGTCTGCAGCCTGCAAGCCACCCCTGTCAGATTTTAGACTCACCAGACTTCCACAATCACACTGACTGATTCCTTAAAATCCATCTATCTATCTATCTATCTATCTATCTATCTATCTATCTATCTATCTATCTATCATCTATCTATCTGTCTACATCCTGTTGATCTGTTTCTCTTTTCCTCTGGAGAGCCCTGCCTGATAGAGATGCTAAAGAGAAAACAGAAAAAAAGGGGAAGTTTAGGGTCTTAGCACAATTAAACTGTAAGATGTGAGGACTCACCCACCTTTCCCCACCAAAGAAATAAGCAAACAAATGAACAGAAAACCTTACTAAAGTATCTAGACTGTGCTATACTGACAGAAAAGGGTGCCGTTAAACTAAGAATCTTGTAAAATTACCCCAATACCATAAAAAATGAACAAAGGGGAAATAAAATCCATAAATAAAATCCAAATAAGATCTTAAAAAGATGGTGTTTTAATACATATATATAAACAGAAGAAAATGTACCCCCCAAAAAAATCATGAAGCAGAAGAAAACTATAAGCCAATAACCTAGAATAATTGTGCTCAAGCATTTGAAGATATAAAAACCACCTTAAATCAGAAATTCAAAACTCACAGAAATGAACAAAAAAGAAAATAAAAAGCAAAGCAAAATGAAATGACAACTAACTGAACTCCAGAAATAACTAAGAAAAAGTCGAAAATATTTCAGATAATAAAGAATAAATTACAGGGTGCCAAAAAGAGAGAATAAACTGAAATTATATTTTTCATATGGGACATAAAAGAAAGACAGGAAATAACCAAAATGGTTACAGTCAGACCACCCTGAAAGTGCTCAATCTCATTTGATTTCAGAAGCTAAGCAGGATCAAACCTGGTTAGTATTTGGATGAGAATAAATAATCAAAAGGTTAAAAATGACATAAAGAAAGAGGTAAAAAGAATCAGAGAGAAAGTCCTATGAATGGAAGACAGGCCAAGAAGGAATAATATTCCAATTATCAGAGTCTCTAAGAAGATAAATAAAAAAATGGAAGAGTGCTAATATTTAAAACTATAAGAAAATGTTTCAAAAATAGAAAAAGACCCAAATCTCCAAACTTTTCAATGTCAGATAGTTCCAGTGCCCCATAAGATATTCCAGAGTATTACAAAGAAAGGAAAACTCTGTAACTCCTTTTATGAAGCAAGTGTAACTTATATTAAAACCAAATAAAGTATTTTTTTAAAACTAGCAATCAGTACCATTCATGAATACCAGTCCAAAAATACTAAATAAAATATTAACAAATCCATTTCAGTACCACAAAAATATACCATGACCAAGTGGGGTTTATTTCAGGAATATTAGATTGGTCCAATATAAGAAAATGTATTAATATATAACATATTAATGAACCCAGGAAACAAATGATGTGATTATCTCCATAGATGCTGAGAAAGTGTTAGACAAAATTCAAGGCCCATTCATAATTAAAATATTCAGGAAAACAGAAATTGAGAGATACTTTCTTATCACAATAAAGAGAGATATATATGCCTTAGGGCAATGCCACCTCAGTAGCAATGAGCACAGCTAGTACCCAGATTTTGATTTCTAAATACCACTCTCCAAGTAGGCAAAAGTTTGAGAAGAAACAAAATATTAGCATAGTCACAAAGAATTTCCATCCAGATATTTAAAATTACAGTGGAGAAAACAATAACTTTACAGTAGAGAAACATCACAAGTACCACCTTATTGCTTGGTACAAGTAATCAAGGTTAACATTTCCAATAGCAGCATATTAGCAAATCAAGTACCTCCTGATGTACACTAGGAATGAAAAAAATCATTTCTGTTGTATTCTTGCCGTAAAGCCATAACCTCAAGCTAATCATGAGAAAATATCAGGCTGTGATTGTTAATTTTATTTATCCACTTGATTGGGCCATGGGGTGCCCAGATATTTAGTCATACATTATTCTGGGTGTTTCTGTGAGGGTGTTTCTAGATGAGATTAGCATTTAAATTGACAGATTGAGTCAATTTAATGGAGGGAAGCAAATTTCCCTCCATAATGTAGGTGGCCCTCATTCAATCAGTTAAAGGTCTGAATAGAACAAAAAGTTGACCCTCTCTGAGTAAGAAAGAATTCTCCTGCTTTATGGCCTTCAAACTAGATTATCAGCACTTCCTTTGAACTGGAACATTAGCTCTTCCTTATTCTACAGCAGCTCCCAGCCTTCAGACTCAAACTGAGAAATCAGCTCTGCAGATTTTAGACTTTCCAGTTTCCGTAACTGTATGAGTCCATTTCTTCTAATAAATATTTTTGTAGGGGTGTGTGTGTGTATGCACATGCACACTAATGTGCTGTTGGTTCTATATTTATGTAAAACTTCAACTAATACACAGGTAAACTCAAATTAAAAGACATTCAACAAAATAACTTACCAGTACTCCAAAGGTATCAGGATCGTGAAAGATAAGAAAAAAGAGAAAATTTCAGATGGAATAAAACTAAGGAAGCACACAACTAAATGCAATGCAGTATCCTATATTAGATACTGGGAACAGAAAGAGGGCATTAGAGAGAAAACTGATAAAATTCAAATAACATCTATAGTTTAGTTAATACTATTGTACCAGTGTCAACTTTCTGATTTTGATCATTGTTACATCATTATATAAAATGTTAAACATCAGAAAAGGTGAACGCTACACAATAACTTGTTTTGCAATATTTTTGTAAGTTTAGCCATACTTCAAAATTAAAAGTTTAGAATTTATATATAGGTTTTTATACTTATCATTTGGTAATAGATAAGAGTCTAATTGGCAGCCATTTGTTCTACCTTTCTATATATACATTTTAACTAACTGAAAAGGTGTAATTTGGGAGGAGAGTGCCCTGTGTGAGTTGTCTTGACCCTAGAGAGGTATATGGCAAGCCAACACTATAATTGCCGTATACAGAAGACAAAGGCTATATAAAGGTAGGCACAGGATCTTTAATAAAGCAAATGCAAAAGGGCAGTAAAACAACACAAAGGAAGAAGGGCATAGAAAGCTTCCCAAAAGAGGAAAAAGAAGCGTGTATTAAAAAGCCTAGGGCTTAGAATGCAGATGATGGTTTCCCTGGACAGTTCTAGCATAGCATTATAAATTCAAATCCTGCCGGTGCCAAGACAGGAATCTAAATGTACTCCTAGTGAAAGACAATAGGAAATGAGGGAATTTGAGAAGTAGACCATCCACATCTATATAAAGGTATTCAAATATTTAGTCTTTAAACTGTGAAGGCATCTGGATTTGGTCTCTGACTCACTAGTTTTCAATCCATGGTAGGCTCTAGAGTTTAAGCGAGAAGGCAAATGGATTTTGAGATGTCTGTTCAGCCCATCATAAGATGAGAATGTAGACCAGGATTACAGACAAAAACCCAGTTTAAAACTAAAATATTTATATTGTATGAGTTTTGGAAATAAGATCATAGGCCCAGAATATTTTGAAGTATGGCTCTGTCCATTGAATTAAAATCTGAATTCAGGAAGGAATGGGTGGGGGTAATTATCAGACTTCTGCAAAATCTCTCACCTCAAACTTTAACACAGAGGCAGAGCAAGATGGCCACATAGGAGTCTTTACTAATTGTCCTCCCAGCAAGAACACCAAATTGAACAACTATCCACAAAAAAAAAGCACCTTTATAGGAACCAAAAATTATATGAGTGACCACAGTATCTGATTTTAACTGTATATCACTGAGAAAGACACTGAGGAGAGTAGGAAAGAAAGTCTTGAATTGCCAATGCCACCCCTCCCCTATCCCCTACCCCTACTCCCACCCTGTGTAGCAGCTGCATGGTATGGAGAGAGAATCTGTGTGCTTGGGGGAAGAAGAGTGCAGGGATTGTGGGAATTTGCATTGTAACTCAGTGCTGCTCTGCCAGAGTGGAAAGCAACACAGGGCAGAACTCAGCCAGCATCCATAAAGGGAGCATTTAGACCAGTTCTAGCCAGAGGGGATCACCAATCCCAGTGGTCAGAATCTGAGTTTTGGCAAGCCTCACTACTGCGAGTCAAGGGCTCTTAGGTCCTAAATAAACTCAAAAGGCAGTCTAAGCCACAAGGACTGTAATTCCTGGGCAAATCCAGATGCTGTGCCGGACTCAGAATCAGTGGACTTAGGGGACCTGCAATCTAATGAGATACCAGCCAGGGTGATCAAGACATGCGTGCACCACCCCTCCCACAACTCCAGGCAACACAGCTCACAGCTCCAGGAGAGAATCCTTCCTTCTGCTTGGGGAGAGAGGAAGGGAGATTTCATAAAGAGGGCTTTGTCTTCCGACTTAGGTACCAGCTAAGCCACAGTAGGATAGGGCACCAGGTGGAGTCCTGAGGCCCCCATTTCAAGCCCTAGCACCCAGATGATGTTTCTGGACATACCCTGACCCAGAAGGAACCTGTTACCTTGAAAGGAAGGACCCAGTCCTGGTAGCATTCATCACCTGCTGAGTAAAGACTATTTGGGCCCTGAATTATTAGCAATGGTAAAAAAAGGTAGTACCTACCATGGGAGGTAGGTGAGACTCTGAGACTTCATGGCTTCAGATGTGACTCAGCACATTCCAAGCTGTGGTAGAGTTGGGGAGAGACTCTGCTTGAGAAAAGGAGAGGAAAGATAAAAGGGTACTCTGTCTTGCATCTCAGGTACCAGCTCAGCCACAGTAGGGTAGAGAACCAAGTGGGCTCTGGAGCTCCCCAAATCCAACCCTTCGTCCTTGGATGGCATTTCTGGACCTGACCCAGGTCAGAGAGGAGCCAAGTGACCTGAAGGCAGATTCCCAGACCACAAGCTAACTGAAGAGCGCTTGGCCTTGAGTGAATATTGGTGGTAGCCAGGAGGTACCTGTCATGGGCCTGGGGCAGTGGTGGCCATGTGGGAAGACCCCTCTGCTTGTGGAAAGAGGAGGGAAGAGTGAGAAGGACATTGTCTTGTGACTTGGGTGCAAGCTCAGCTGTAAAAGAATAGCACTGGGAAGATTAGTAAGGTTTCTGACTCATCTCTGGACCCACCTGAGAGTAGGGCGAACTCACTGCCCTGAAGGGAAAGACACAAGCCTAGCTGACTTCACAGCCTGCTCACTATAGAGCCCTAGGGACTTAAGCAAACATAAGTGGTAGCCAAGTAATTGTTACCACAGGCCTTGGGCGAGACCCAGAGCTGTACTGGCTTTGGGACTGATCCAGCACAGTCCCAGTGGTAGTGGCCACAGGAATATTTGAGTCACCACTCCCCCAGCACCAGACAGCTCAGCACAGAGAGAGAGAGAGACTTTGTTTAGGGAAAAAGAAGGAAAGAGAACAAGAGTTTCTGACTGGTAATCCAAGGAATTCTCCTGGATCGTACCCAACACTGCCAAGGTGGTCATTCTATGAGTCTATAAAAGTCACAGTGTTACAAGGCTTGGGATGCCCTCTAATGCACATATGGCTACAATAACCGAAGACTTAGATAACAACAATCAATTCCCTTTTAATACTTGGAAAGACTTCCAAAGAAGGATCAGTACAAACAAGTCCAGACTGTGAAGATTACGATAAATACCTGACTCTTCAATACCCAGACATCAATGAACATCCACAAGCATCAAGACTATTCAGCAGGAAAACATGACCCAAACAAACTAAGTAATGTACCAAGGGCCAATGCTGGAGAGACAGAGATATATGACCTTTCAGACAGAATTCAAAATAGCAGTGTTGAGGAAACTAAAAGAATTTAAGATAACATAAAGAAGGAATTCAGAATTCTATGAGATAAATTGAACAAAGACATTGAAATAATTAAATAGAATCAGCCAGAAATTCTGGAGCTGAAAAATATAATTGACATACTGAAGAATGCCTCACAGTCTCTTGACAGCAGAATAACTCAAACAGAGGAAAGATTTAGTAAGCTTGAAGACAAGCTATTTGAAAATACACAGAGGAGACAAAAGAACAAATAAAAGAATAAAGCATGCCTACAACATTTGCAAAATTGTCTCCAAAGGGCAAATCTAAGAGTTATTAGCTTTAAGGATGAGGCAGAAAAAGAGATGGGTAGAAAGTTTATTCAAAGGAATAATAACAGAGAACTTCCCAAACCCAGAAAAAGATATCAATATTCAAGTAAAAGAAGGTCGTAGGGCCAGGCATGGTGGCTCACAACTGTAATCCCAGCACTTTGGGAGGCCGAGGTGGGCAGATCACCTGAGGTCAGGAGTTCAAGACCAGCCTGGCCAACATGGTGAAACCCCGACTCTACTAAAAATACAAAAATTAGCCAGGCATGGTGGTGTGCACCTGTAATCCCAACTACTAGGGAGGCTGAGGCAGGAGAATTGCTTGAACCCAGGAGGCAGAGGTTGCAGTGAGCCAAGATCACGCCACTGCACTCCAGCCTGGGTGACAGAGCAAGACTCAAGACAGAAAGAAGGAAGGAAGGGAGGGAAGGAAAGAAAAGAAAGAAAGAGAGAGAGAGAGAGAAAGAAAGAAAGAAAGAAAGAAAGAAAGAAAGAAAGAAAGAAAGAAAGAAAGAAAGAGAAAGAAAGAGGAAGGGAGGAAGGAAGAAGAGGAGGAGGGAGGGAGGAAGGAAGGAAGGAAGGGAAAAGAAAGAAAGGAAGGAAGAAAAGAAAGAAGGAAGGAAGGGAGGGAGGGAGGGAAAAAGAAAGAAAGAAAGAATGAAAGAAAGAAAGAAAGAAAGAAAGAAAGAAAGAAAGAAAGAAGAAAGAAAGAAGGGAGGGAGGGAAAAGGAAAGAGAAAGAAGAAAGAAGGAAAGAAAGAAAGAAAGAAAGAAAGAAAGAAAGAAAGAAAGAAGAAAGAAAGAAGGGAGGGAGGGAAAAGGAAAGAGAAAGAAGAAAGAAGGAAAGAAAGAAAGAAAGAAAGAAAGAAAGAAAGAAAGAAAGAAAGAAGAAAGAAAGAAGGGAGGGAGGGAAAAGGAAAGAGAAAGAAGAAAGAAAGAAAGAAAGAAAGAAAGAAAGAAAGAAAGAAAGAAAGAAAGGAGGGAGGGAAAAGGAAAGAGAAAGAAAGAGAGAGAAAGAAAAAAGAAAGAAAGAGGAGGGAGGGAGAGAGGAAGGAAGGAAGGAAGGAGAAAGAGAAAGAAAGAAAGAGAGAGAGAGAAAGGAAGAAAGAAAGAAGAGGGGAGGGGAGTGAAGGGAAGGGAAGGGAGGAAAGGGAGGGAGGGAGGAAGGAAGGAAGGAAGGAAGGAAGGAAGGAAGGAAGGAAGGAAGGGTGGGTGGAAGAGAGAGAGAGAAGGAAAGAAAGAAAGGGAAAGAAAGAGAGAGAGGAGGGAGGGAGGGAGGAAGGAAGGAAGGAAGGAGAAAGAAAGAGAAAGGAAGGAAGGAAGGAAAAAAGAAAGGAAGGAAGGAAGGAAGGAAGGAAGGAAAGGGGAGGGGAGAAAGGAAATACCAAGCAGATTTAGCCCAAATAAGACTACCTCAAGAAATTTAGTAATTAATCTTCCAAAGATCAAGGATAAACAAAGGATCATAAAGGCAGCAAGAGAAAAGAAACAAATAATGTACAATAAAGCTGCAGTGCATCTGGACAGCAGACTTGTCAGTGGAAACCTTAAACGCCAGGAGAGAGTGGCATAACATATTTAAAATGCTGAAGGAGAAAAAACTTTTACCCTAGAATGGTTGAACCAGTGAAAATATCCTTAGAACATGCAGGAGAAACAAAGACTTTCCCAGACAAACAAAAGCTGAAGGATTTCATAAACACTAGACTTTTGTATTAAAAAAATGCTAAAGGGACTTCGTCAATCTGAAAGAAAAGGACTATTAATGAGCAATAAAAATCATGAGGTACAAAACTCACTGGTAATAGTAAGTATATAGAAGAACACAAAATATTACAACACTGTAATTGTGGTGTATAAACTACTCATATCTTAAGTAGAAAGAATAAAAGATGAACTGCTCAATAATAATCACTAAAGCAACATTTTAAGACATAGAGAGTAGAATAAAATATAAATACAAATAATAAAAAGTTAAAAAGCATGGAGATTAAGTTAAAATGTAGAGTTGTATTAGTTTTCTCTTTGCTTGTACCTGAAACCAGCAAGTCTCAGAGGCTTATGAAGGCCCTTGAGGTAGTATTTATCTATTGTTGTTGGTTATTCAGCGCCCAAGGGCCCCTCAGTTAGCGGATGATAAATGCTGTCAGGACTGAGTCCTTTCTTTCAAGAGAGCGAGTTCCCTTCTGTCCCAGGTTGTGTCTAGAAATGTTGTCTGGGAGCTAGGGCCTGGAATGGGGCCCTAATGACTCTGACTGGTGCCTTATCCTGCTGTGGCTGAGCTGGTATCCAAGATGCAAGACGAAGTCCTCCCTACTCTTCCCTCTTCTCTCCTCAAGCAGAAGGAAGTGGTCTGTTTTGGAGCTGTGAGCTGTGCCTCCAAGGGTTAGAAGAGGGGTTATGCCAGCACTCTTTTGACTGCCCCAGCTGCTGTCTCAGTTTGTCATGGGCCCATCTAGTCCACTATCTCTGGGCCTATTTCAGCCCTAGGACTCGCCTAAGAGTTGCAGTCATTTAGGCCTAGACTGCCTTTCAAGTTTACTTTGAGACCAAGAGCATTTTGGCCCTTGGTGGCAAGGTTTGCAGGAACTGAAGGTCAGACTGCTGGGATTGGCAATTCCCCTCTGGCTAAGGTTTAAATGCTCTTTCTGTGGGTGGGCATTAGCTGAGTTTGGTCTGGTTTTCCTTTCTGCTCTGGCAGAACAGCACTGAGTTCAATGCCTCACAGTTGTTGTGTTTTCCCTCCCCCAACCCCCAGAGATGCTCTCTGCACCATGCCAGTGCTGCTGGGGGTTGCAGAAGGGTAGTGTTGGCAATTCAGGACAGTTTTTGCTATTTCTTCAGTGCCTCTTTCAGTGATATGAAGTTTAAACCAGGTACTATAGGTACTATGAGTGCTCACCTGTTTTTGGTTCTTATGAAGGTGTTTTTTCTGTGTAGATAGCTGTCAACTTGTGTGTGTGTGTGTGTGTGTGTGTGTGTGTGTGTGTGTGTATAACAGGGGAGCTTTCTATTCTGCCACCTAAAGATGCCACCTAGTCTGCCATTTTGCTCTGCCTCCCAATTTGCATCTATTGAACCATCAGGGTGCAAGTGCTCTTCATGCATCCCTGGGATACATCCTAGTTGGTTATGATGAATGATCTTTTCAATATGCTGTTGAATTCGATTTGGTAGTATTTTGTTGAGGATTTTTGCATCAATGCTCATCATGGATATTGGCCTATAGTTTTCTTTCTGCAGCTCTTGGATAAAATGTTCTGTAAATAACTATTAGGCCTATACCAAAAAATAGAGGAGGATGGAATACTTCTAAACTTATTCTATGAGGCCAACACTACCCTGTTACCAAAAACAGACAAAGACACATTATAAAAAGAAAACTATAGACCAGTATGTCTGATGAATATTGATGCAAAAAATCCTCAAAAAAATACTAGCAAACCGAATTTAACAATACATTATGTTGCGGGAAGTCAGGGACCCCAAACGGAGGGACCGGCTGAAGCCATGGTAGAAGAACATGGATTGTGAAGATTTCATGGACATTTATTAGTTCCCCAAATTAATACTTTTATAATTTCTTATGCCTGTCTTTACTGCAATCTCTAAACATAAATTGTGAAGATTTCATGGACACTTATCACTTCCCCAATCAATACCCTTGTGATTTCCTAAGCCTGTCTTTACTTTAATCTCTTAATACTGTCATCTCATAAGCCGAGGAGGATGTATGTTGCCTCAGGACCATGTGATAATTGCATTAACTGCACAAATTGTAGAGCATGTGTGTTTAAACAATATGAAATCTGGGCACCTTGAAAAAAGAACAGGATAACAGCAATTGTTCAGGGAATAAGAGAGATAACCTTAAACTCTGACCGCCGGTGAGCCGGGCAGAACAGAGCCATATTTCTCTCCTTTCAAAAGCAAATGGGAGAAATATCACTGAATTCTTTTTCTCAGCAAGGAACATCCCTGGGAAAGAGAATACGCGCTTGGGGGTATAGGTCTATAGACGGCCCCCCTGGGCGTGCCTGTCTTTTATGGTCTGTAGACTGTAGGGGTGAAATAGACCCCAGTCTCCCATAGTGCTCCCAGGCTTATTAGGAAGAAGAAATTCCTGCCTAATAAATCTTGGTCAGACTGGTTGCTCTCAAAACCCTGTCGCCTGATAAGATGTTATCAATGACAATGGTGCCCGAAACTTCATTAGCAATTTTAATTTCACCCCGGTCCTGTGGTCCTGTGATCTCGCCCTGCCTCCACTTGCCTTGTGATATCCTATTACCTTGTGAAGTACTTGATGTCTGTGACCCACACCTATTTGCACACTCCCACCCCTTTTGAAAATCCCTAATAAAATCTTGCTGGTTTTTGTGGCTTGTGGGGCATCACGGAACCTACCGACATGTGATGTCTCCCCCGGATGCCCAGCTTTAAAATTTCTCTCTTTTGTACTCTGTCCCTTTATTTCTCAAGCCGGCCGATGCTTAGGGAAAATAGAAAAGAACCTATGTGAATATCGGGGCAGGTTCCCCAATAACATTAGGAAGATCATTCATCATGGCCAAGTGGGATTTATCACAGGGATGCAAGGACGGCTCAACACACGCAAATCAATCAGTGTGATACATCATATCAACAGAATGAAGGATAAAAACTGTATAATCCTTTCAATTGATGATGAAAAGCATTTGATAAAATTCAACATCCCTTCATGATAAAAATTCTCAAAACATGGGGATAGAAGAAACATACCTCAACACAATAAAAGTCATACATAGCAGACCCAATGCTACTCACACTGAATGGGGAAAAAACTAAAAGCCATTCCTCAAAGATTTGGAACAAACAAGGAGGATGCCCACTGTCACCACTGTTATGCAACATAGTACCAAAGTCCTAACTAGAGCAATCAGACAAAAGAAAGATATAAATGCATCCAAGTTGGAAAGGAAGGAGCCAAAATATCTTTGCTTGCAGATGATATGATCTTATATTTGAAAAAACCTGAAGACTCCACAAGAGAACTGTTAGAACTGATAAACAAATTCAATAAAGTTGCAGGATACAAATTCAACATACAAAAATCACTAGCATTTCTATGTGCCAACAGTGAACAATGTGAAAAAGAAATTTTTAAAAAGTAATCCCATTTACAATAGCCACATAGAATTTAAAAACTAGAAATTAAAGAAGTGAAAGATCTCTATACTGAAAACTGTACAACACTGATGAAGGAAATTGAAGAGGACACCAAAACATGGAAAAATATTCCACATTTATAAACTGGAAGAATCAATATTGTTAAAATATCCATACTACCCAGAGCAATCTATAGACTCAATGCAGTCCCTGTCAAAATACCAATGACATTCTTCACAGAAATAGATAAAAACAATCCTAAAATTTATGTGGAACCACAAAAAATCCCAAATAGCCAAAGCTATCCTAGAACAAAACTGGAGGAATCACATTACCTCACTTCAAATTACACTACAGAGCTATGGTAACCAAAACAGCATGATACAGGCATATAACAGACACATAGACAAATGTAACCAAATAGAGAACCCAGGAACAAATCCATACACCTACAGTGGACTCATTTTTGGTAAAGGTATCAATAACATACACTGGGGAAAAGACAGTCTCTTCAATAAATGGTGCTGGTGCTGGAAAACCTGGATATACGTATGCAAAAGAAAGAAACTAGACCCCTCTCTCTCACTATATGCAAAATTTAAATCAAAATGTATTAAAGACTGAAATCCAAGATCTGAAACTATGAAACTACTACAAGAAATCATTGGGGAAAATCTCCAGGACATTGATCTGGAGCTCAAACAACTCTATATAAATAAATCCAATAATCCAATTTTTTTAAATGAGCAAAAAATCTGAATAGTCATTTCTCAAAAGAAGACATACAAATGGCAAACAGGTGATCAACATCACTGATCATCAGAGAAATGCAAATCAAAACTACAATGAGAGATATTCTCACCCTAGTTAAAATGGCTTTTATCCAAATGATACACAATAATAAATGCTGGTGAGGATGTGGAGAAAAGGGAACCCTCATACAATTGGTGGGAATGTAAATTAGTACAACCACTGTGGAGAACAGTTTGGAGGTTCCTCAAAAAACTAAAAATTGAGCTGCCATATGACCCAGCAATCCCACTGCTAGGTATCTACCCAAAAGACAGAAAATCAGTATATGAAAAGAGATATCTACAAGCCCATGTTTATTGAAGCACTATTAACAATAGGCAAGAGTTGCAAGCAATCTAAGTGCCCAAAAAATGAATGGACAGAAAACATGTGATACATATACACAATGGAGTACTATTCAGCCATAAAAAAGGAAGAGGTCCTGTCATTTGCAACAACATGGATGGAACCAGAGGCAATTATATTATGTAAGATAAGCCAGGCACAGAAAGACAAACTTCGCATATTCTCACTTATTTGTGGGAGCTAAAAATTAAAGCAACTGAACTCATGGAGATAGAAGGATGGTTACCAGATGCTGGGAAGAGTAATGATAGAAGGGAGGTTGGGTTGGTTAACAGGTACAAAAAATAAATAGAATGAGCAAGATCTAGTATTTGACAGCACAACATGGTGACTATAGTCAACAATAATTTATTGTACATTGTAAAATAACTAAAAGAGTAGCATTGAATTGTTTGTAACACACACACAAAAAAAGGATAAATGGTTGAGGTGATGGATACCTCATTTACCCTAATGTGATTAATAGTGATTGTATGCTTGTATTAAAATATCTCATGTACCCCATAGATATATACGCCTACTATGTACGCACAAAATTTAAAAATTAAAAATTTTATTTTAAAAAGAAACCCTTAGCAGATCTTTTTGTTTGTTTGTTTGTTCTTTTTTGAGACAGAGTCTCATTCTGTCGCCCAGACTGGAGTGCAGTGGGGCAATCTTGGCCTTCTGGACTCAAGAGATTCTCCTGCCTTAGCCTCTCAAGTAGCTGGGATTACAGGTGCCTGCCACCACACCCGGCTAATTTTTGTATTTTTAGTAGAGATGGGGTTTCACCATGTTGGCCAGGATGGTCTCAAACTCCTGACTGCAGGTGATCCACCTGCCTCAGCCTCTCAAAGACCTGGGATTACAGGCATTAGCCACTACACTTGGTCTATCAGATCATTTTATGTGCTGTATTTTATACATAAGCACATCCCAAGATTCCATCTACCCCACAGCTATCCAGGAATTGTCTTTGGACCCACGGGAGAGGGAGGCTCTTATATTCAACAAGCTAGTAAACAAATTTCAAAAAGCCAGAATATTCATTTCAGAAGTAATTCAAGTACCCAGGTTGAAAATTGGAAGAGTAACAGTAAATGAGGTCAAGTGTATTTTTGACAAGAGATTCAAACATGCACATTGAAAATAAGGGCATTGCTGTAAACGAGGTAAAATACACATCTAAAAAGACTTAAATAAACATTTGTAATGAAGAGGAGTCACAGTATTCCATCAGTGAAACAACTAACATTTGATATTGAGTATTTACAGAAGAGTCAAGATTTGTTCCAGAGAATAAAACATTAAAGGTTCTTCTGTTAGTTGAAGTTTTAACTAAATATGTGACTTGGGGAGAGCTTTCTCTTCAGTCAGGCTCTGTAATCTCTCTCTCAGGAATGACTCCTCTAACAATGGCTAAAAGAAGAAGCCCCAAACACTCATGGTTTTTCATAATAAGAGTATTTTTGCAGAGAAAAACAAAATTATTCTTTTATATTAAAATATCACAAAAGGTTTCATAAACTCAAATATCAAAGGGCATAAAAACTCAGAAATAGAACCATTATCTCAGTGTGAAATTTAACAGCTTATTGCAATTGTTGAAGTCTAATAACATGTAAAAAAAAAAAAGGAAAAATGGTATAGTATGTTTCCAAATAGTATATATCATTGAATATAATGACACATTCTTTTGCAAAGGTCTTCCCTTCTCCCCTTCTCATAAGAATTTGTATATCATGCTTTCATCTTCTCTAAAGATCATGAAAACAAGAGTCCATTATCTGTGAATAAACATTTCTTGACCACCTCATTCTCCCCTAACGTTTCTTTATTTGCAGCCCATGAAATATTATTTGAGCAAAATTAAACATCTTCACAGAGGAAAAATCAGGATGCACAGCCTATTATAAGAGATACTTGTGTGTTATAAGAACTGGCGTAACGGCATCCTATTTCATAATGACTGTTCCCAGATATAGAAATTACAGGCATCTTTTACAACCAGGCAGAATTCTGACCATCTCAACTGTGTCTGTTTTCCATCTTTCAAGCTTGATATTTATTTCTTTGAAAAGGACAATGAGTGCCACGCTGGATTATACAACCCAGCTACATCTGTTCTCTCTTGTTTTCTAGATATTACATTCATTGTATTTCACAGCATGAGCCCCCAATCAAGATCCCGAATATTGCTTCATGATAAATGTCACAGATGAAAAAATGGACTGGCGCCAAAGTCATTAACACAGCTCTGGCCCATCTTCCTGAACAATGCCTCTCATTGCTCACATTTTTCCTTGAACAAAGGTACCATAGAAACTCCGTTTTCAAACCAAGAAACTTTCTGTCCGATATTTGTATAAATATGTCAGCTGTGAATTGGCTGATATGCCTTGCCTGAACACCACCCTATTTGGATTCATTCTGTTATTCTGCTTGTCATCCCTCTGTGCTCACCATCCCATAGCATTTCACTCTTCAGGGTAGGAAAGCACCTAATAGAGGGCATGTCACATGGAACTGCATGGCCTTGCCCCAGAGCTCTTTGATGAAGCAGGGTCTAAGGTGCCCACAGTATCAGCCAGAAGAGATTTTTTAGGCAACCTGCAACTTCAGCTAACCAGAATCCCCAGGATTTGGTGCATTCTAGAATCATAGACTTAGAAATCGTCAAGGGACCTTAGAACTCAGTTAATTGAACCCCTCATATTAGACATAAGCATACGGAGGCCCCGACAAGCTAAATGAGTTCTGTCGACTCACATAGCTGCTTGGTCACAGAGCAAAGACTTGAAATCAGAACTCAGCTTTCTGGCACGAGCTCTATGATGCCAAAAAATGCTTTGTTACTTACGCTAAATGGAAGCTTCTATTACATTTAAGAGCCAGATTTGTTTCCTGTTATTTTAGACTTTCAAAAACTTATCTCTAAAAACATTTATCAAAATATGAATTCAATTTTCATCCTTGTACGTTGTGCATTAACGATGATTGAACTTTTCTTTGATGATTGGTCTCCCTAAAAGTTGGCATTTTGTAGCCAAGTTATCGTAGTAGAGTGAGGTAAATGGAAATGTCAAAATTATAGGTGACTAGATAAAACCTATGTTGGCCTGAATGAAATTACTGCTTTAAATATATACTGATTATTTTCTTGTGGTTTTTCTTATTTTCCTTAAGCTTAAGGACAAAAATAATTTGAATTAGCTTCTGGTGTCACATAATCGAGGCTTTTCTGTATTTATCTTGGGCATCTAAAAAATAGGACAGATTGGCCAGGAGCGGTGGCTCATGCCTGTAATCCCAACATTTTGGGAGGCCAAGGTAGTAGATCACGAGGTCAGGAGTTCGAGACCAGCCTGGCCAACATGGTGAAACCCTGTCTCTACTAAAAATACAAAAATTAGCCAGGCATGGTGGCATGCACCTGTAATCCCAGCTACTTGGGAGGCTGAGGCAGGAGAATCACTTGAACCCGGGAGATGGAGCTTGCAGTGAGCCAAAATCACGCCACTGCACTCCAGCCTGGGAGACAGAGCAAGACTCCATCTTGAAAAAAAAAAATAGGATAGATCCTGATATAATGGTTAGCCCAATTTTTCAACTCCAATTTTTTCATATATTTCAACATAACTCATATTTGATTTAATCTAGCAGGTGTTTTTCAGTTCTTATGATATATGTTTGGGGAGAAGAAGAGAGAGATTGAAATAATCCAAGGTACAGGTGTTCTCTTCTATAATCTTTCCTTTCTTTTTCGCCCTACTGATATAGAATTTCTAAATTGTGCTTTTGGGTTTTTTTTTGTTATTACCCTTAAATCTTAAAATAGTGTCATCTTCCTGACAAAGACATTAATATGTTTCCGGACTATGACCCTTTCCCTCTTTTCTTAAAATATAAATCTCTTTCCTTTCAGATTAATTTATTCTTATTGTAATATCATCTTGAATAGTTCTTCTAATAATGGCTCATAGGTAGCAAACGCACTCTTAGTCTTTATAGGTCTGTAAATGTCTTTATTTCTCCCTCTCTCTTGAATGATAATGTAGCTAGATATTGAATTTCAGACTAACATTTATGTTCTCCTCAGACATGTGAAGATATTACTACACTGTCCTCTGGCATCTTTTATTATTTTATCTTATTAGTCTAATTTTCATTTTTTGAAGTAATCTGTTTTTCTCACTGACAACTGTTAAGATTTTCAATTTATCTACATCTTCAGTTTCATTACAATGTCCATAGATTTGAGTTATTTTTTATTTATTCTGCTTAGATCTCAAAATGCACTTTTATCTGAGGACATTGACTTTTTTAATACTGATAAATTTTCAGCTATTTTCTTTTCATATTTTTTCTGCCATTCCCTCTGTCTTATTTTGAAAGCCTATTAAACATATATTAAAGTCTCTCAATTATGCTTCCATATCCCTTATCTACTCTTTCATATTTTTAAAAAATCTTTCTATATCATGGTGCTATGTTCTGGGTACATTTTTCAATACTATCTTCTAATTAGCCAATTATTTTTCAACTGTATCCAGTCTTGAGTTTATACTAAATGTTGGAGTTTTTTTATTTGAATGATTGATTTTTTCATTTGCGAAATTTCAAAGTGGTTCTTCTTCATATCTACATGGTCTTTTTTCATTTCTGCCCAATCATGTTCATTATGTCCCTGCTTTATTTTTAAATGTTATGCTTTCTTTCACCTTGCTGGAGCTCCTAAATATACAAAAACTTTTTTAGACAATACTTTGTTTTTTTACAAGTAGAGTGAGTTTATTTTCTATTTGATAATTTTCATGGCTGTCACAACATTTATTTTCTGTGAGTGAGTTAAAAATTTGGTTCGGAGACTCATCTTGCATATGAGTATTTTTCCTCACTCTGTATGTTTACCTACCTCTGACTAGATGTCTGGTTATTGCTTCTATCAATTCTTCAAGGGACCCTCAGGCAATCCAACAGGACTCTTGATCCATAAAGAGGGCTATCATTGACAGGGTCACTGAGCTAGTTGGTGGTTTATCTCAAATCCTAGCTACTAGGCTGTATCAGGGATCTTTTGCTCCCCTAAGCACTCACTTATAGCTTTTGTGGACATTTTTACCGCAACAGAATTGGACACCTAGCTAACTCTCTCTACCTCTGGCCCTGGGGTTCAGAACTATTCTCTGCACACCACCTTTTATCTCTGTTCAATTTTGGGGCCAAGGTGGTGTTGATTTCAACATGGCTATAATAATAATAATAATAATAATAATAATAATAATAATAATAATAATTTCCATCTAACAAATATTTCCACTTTTCCTTCCAGGCACTGGTAAGATATTACCTCTCTACCTTAGACATGGCCTTGTGATTTGCTTTGGTAAATAAAATATGAGCAGATGTGGCATGTGTCTCCTTTAGGTAGAAGCTGTAAAGAGCTAGTACATGATTCATCATGCCCTCTTTCCTCTGCCATAGCAACTAGCAATGCCCCAAGTAGTAGTCCTACCATCCTCCTGGATGTCAAGGTGAGGATATCATGGAGCAAAGCCCTGAATCAACACACAATGGGAATATAGTGTGAACAAGAAATAAATCTTTCTGTTTTAAGCCACTGAGATTTTGGTGTTGTTTTCTATAGCAGCCTAACCTAGACCACCCAGACAGATGTATTTATGTCTTTTAAAATTTTTTCTTTTTAAATTTTAATATGTTACTGCTATGCGTTTTTAGCTAAGAGAAGTTTCAAAGCATGAATTTACAATGAAGCCTTGCTCTAAATCCAATCTAAGTCTTCAAGGAACTTTAAATAGTGTGGTATTAAACAAAATAAATGTGCATAAAATGTTAAATGAACAATGCAAGTATGTGTTTATGTGTCAAAGTATGTGGTTTCAGTAATAAGTGCTATAAAATGCTAACTTGAATATACTCAAGTTCTTCTTCACTTGTTTCCATTCTAAATGTATTTCTTATACTTGAAAAGCCTTTCAATCTCTTTTTTCTTTTCTGTAAAAAACCTATTATTAGTAAATTTATCACTTTTGTATTACTCAGAAAATTCCACTGTATTTTTTTCTAAAAGTCTCTAGCCAGGAACTTCAGTGGATAAAGCTGCAAATAGGCATTTCCCTCTTTTCCTTTCTTTGTTCCTTTGTTTCTCTGTTTCCTTTCTTTGTTCTTTTCTCTGTAGCATCAGGTTGCAGTTGCAGACAAAACAGAAGGAAATGGGAAATTCCTCATTTGGCCCCTGAAGATAATTCTTTTGTTCTTTTCTTCATAAGTTCCTTTATTTCCAGTGGTGCAGAGCAATAGATTTAACAGGGTTTTTTTCCTCTGTGTTTTATAAACAATACTCAGAGTAACAGCTAGAAGCCAGGGACCTAATCAAGTACTAGATGTACGGTGACTCTGTTTACAACTAAATTGACAAGATAGAAAAATTACAGAGGAATTATGCCAAAATCACCCAGGAATTTTGAACTTCCCACTTCCATCTTTAAATGTGGAATTCCTTCCTTCACTGATTCTTCATACCCCTTCCTCTAATCCAACACTCACCTAAATCTTCTTAGACCGTGCACAAAAGTGCATTCTGTATATGAGCATAGCTGTATAACTTGGTACACAGAACCAAGATAGACAAAGGTATTGCCAATTTTAAAAGCATAACCTAAATAATATTGTACTTTATACTTTTGTCTTAATTAGTATTCTATTGTTTCTTAAATTCAATATTCTGTAGATAAAAATAATATTATTTTTCTATTTAATCTCTCACTCTTACATTTCCATGAGTCTCCCTGTTTTCTATGGTTCCTCTAGAGAATAAGATAGTATGTTATAATTCACCCTTTGACTGGGAATATCCCATTTTCCATATAAATGATTCAGAAGGATTTCTGAGGCAGGATGAAATGTACTTTTGAAATGTACACCAGAAGGGCCTTTCTTTAACTTAATCACGGACTTTTAGTGCAGAAAAGGACCCCAAAATTTATCTAGTCCAATGTTTCTCAAAGTGTGTTATGCATTCTGCTAGTGGTATAAATTGCAAACTGCATAAGTGATGATAATGCAATTATGGAAACATCATTCTTGATATGATTTTCACTGTTAGTCCTCAAGTGTATCTCCTTTAATTTGGTTTTTATTTATTCATTTCAGGGTTACATTTATTACAAGTGAACTGCTTTTGTGTTTGTTATTTTAAGTTTCCTTTTCAAATATATATATTTTTATGAGTTAGTTGAGACAATGAAATATGGTAGGTTAAAAAGTGGACAGTTAGTATATAAAAGTGTAAAGGCCTTGAAGGGGGTACATAAATGACCAAAGTTTGTGAAACAATGATTCTAGGCTCCTCATTTGATATATGAGAACCAGGGAGATGAGGTGATTTGTTCAAAATCATCCAACTTCAGAGCTGCATCCAGACCTCCTGCTCCTAGTCCTATTCCTTGTTCCTGTCTATCCTACTGCCTCCTTAATGCTCCCACCTCTCTTAACAAGAATATTCATTCCTATGTACAGTGTAGGACAAAGTGAACTCTTGTGAACTAGAAATGTTGCAAAATTAAGTGAACATATTAAAAGTTTCTTCTTTTACCAAAGTAGCTGTCCTTTTCCATCAGAGGTAAGAAAATTAAGTTGCTGTCCTTCACTTGCCCAGAAGTGATCGTTATGCCATTTCTTGTGGGTGCACTGAGCCAGAACTGCAGAGGTAATAGGTTATTATAGGAAAAGTTGGCTTTGACATTTGTATGATAAATTTGGAGTCAATTAGATGAAAAATACTCCATTAGATAAAGTGAGTGTACCAATTACTGTGAAGATGGCCTACTGCTAATAATATAATTGAAATTTAGAGAGAGGAAGGCTCAACCCTCCAGAAACTGACTACATCAGGGACAGTAATACAATCATATAAACATTTGTGCTTTTAGCCATTTTCACTTGCTTTCCGAATTCTCCTAATCGAATGTCTTTTTCATGTATATATTAAAATCCCACCCTGTAATTAGCTCCAAGATGAGATAGTACTTTGCCATAAAATGTAAAATATAATGAAACAGTTAGACATCTCTTCATTCTAATGCAAGACATGTAGACACATAACATTGGTAACCCAAATATGATATTTTTTAGATAAAAAATCAAGCCTGTAGCTAGGTAAGTAATGATTGCTTTTTAGCTCATCCTAGAAGGAGGATATTTTAGACTAACTGGGGAAAAAGAAACTCATCCACATAGTGTGCTCTCTACAGCTGTGAAGTAGCTGTCAGGGTCCAGCTGCCAAGGTACTTCAATCTCAATTGAACAAAACGAGAACAAGTACGTTCTAAGAAACAATCCTGCAAAAGGATGGCCTAGTATTGCATTCTTTTTCATCTTCAATGATTTTGTGGCCCATATGAATTTAAAATGTAAAATGAAATATTTATCAACAATCAAAAACAGACATGTCCAACTGCGTTATCTGAATTCAATGCTTCTTTCATCTCAGAAAATAGAAGGCTCCTCAGAAGTGCATTCACCTGCGTCAGTAAAGCATCCTTTCAGAGGATACGCTATGAAATTTTAACCCCATCATCTCACAGGGGCTTATGTAGGGAAAGTTACTTTAAATTCAAGTGAGAATTAAACACAAGGTGCCCGCTATCTTATCCAGAATTTAAAATTCTTTTTAATTAGTACTGTAAAATATAATAGCAATAGCTACTATTTTAAGCCCGATTGTGTGCCATAGACATTCATACATGGTTTGCACCCTTTTACTTATTTTATCTTTACAAAAGCCCTGCAGAGTAGTTGTTAATATTTACCACTTCATAAATGAGGATAGTGAGGCTTAAATATGTAAATAAATTATCAGCTACTAAGGGGTAGAAGCTACATTTGGACTGAGATCTGTTTGTCTTTTAAATACTGTCTTCCCACTACCATGAGGCCCCCTTCCATTCATTTCCAAAACTTTTTATTTCTTTATTCTCTGCCTATATGCCTAGAAATACCTCATGATTCTTACTGCTAACAGGTTTCTATTTACATCCTATTGGTCCTGGAATCTTTTGATGGCATAAAGGTGGATGTTTGGTCCTAATATCTCAACGACCTTTTTCTCCTGTTTCCCACCCCATACTGCTCTTTGCCATTTCCACATTCTGATACCTCATATAAAACTCTAATTCCATCTGCTACCTGGATCTCCTGGCCATGACTGAGTCATTTCTGCAAGGATAAGGAGGATTCTCATGAACACCCGGTTCCTGGTAGTTTCCAGAAACACCTTGTCTCTCATTCCTTAACACTATATCTAGACTTATATAAGCAACTAATCTAGCTAGTTCTGCACACCCCCATATTACATTGACTAGTATGTTCAATCAAACAAATACAATCTATTTGACCTAAACTCTAAAATGAACTGAAAATTATGACTGTCCTTGAAGCTACCTAGCAAATGCATAGGTATTCTTTGTGGTTGTCAGATTCTGTCTTATTCCATGTCTTTCAAAAGCTTCCCTAAAATCTAGACAAACAGGATATTGGCACAAATAATAGAGAAATTTGCTGCTTTCTTAACATGTTTAGGTTGAGAAGTTTCCAAACTTTCAAATTCCTCTTTTGCTTTCCAGTAGACTCTTTCTCTATAGAGTATGGTGCATGCGTGTGCACACATGCACGTGCACACACACACATACACAGAGTCTGAGGTGGGGCTAAGCAGAGTTGAAAAGACTCAGACTACCATGGCTGCAGTTTTAAAGTTGTTTTCCTCCCTGCATGGCACAGGCAATGAAAAGATCCATTTTCTCTGTCTTTCCACCACCGTCTTCATAGGTCATTTGTGTATGAGTGCATTGGTTACACTGCTTATATCCATAAAAACAAAGGCCATGGCTGGGGGGTTTATGTTAATAATTGTAGTGATAAAATTGACACCAAAAATAGAGTATACACTAGTCTTAACCCTTTGTTTTTAACAGATGAACTCCATAATCAAGCAAGTATCCTATTTAATATAGACCGTCAATAATTGTTAAGAAATACACCCTGTCTTTGCCAGAAATATATTCTCTGTTGGGCATATTTTCTGGCTTAATCCTTATGAACCCATAGAAAGATCTGTATCATTCCTATTGTAAAGTTTAAAAACCAGAACACAGAATATCATAATTCAGGTCTATCTTCAAAGCCCATACTCTGTTTCACCTCAATCTTTTGCTTCCTAATCAATTTCTTCCATTTGTGATATTGCTCATCGGCCAATATATTGTTTTGCCTAGGTGGTAGTGATGAGCTTTTCTTTTTTCTTTGTCACATCATTAATGAGCTAGGATAACTTGCCTTACATGTGTCACAGGCAGTTACCAAACAGAATTACAATTTTTCAACCGGCTTGTGCTATGTGTTTTTAAAACCCAAAGCAAATGTCACAGTGTGCACTGCCAGTGGGCTCCTCTTTGTTAGCAACATCAAAAGAAGTCCATTTCTCTCCAAGGATAGGAGCCTCTTTTCTTTTATTCAATAAAGCACACAAGACAGCAAACCCTCGGTAGCACTATTTATGGAAATCATTTATGATTGCACTTGGATCTTCAAGCAGTCAGTTCTGCCCTGGCTCCATTCACCACTTCCAGGAATCTTGCCAGCCTGATGCACTCACATTCCATGCGTTGAGACTTTATTTTTATCGTCCTACTGGTATCCTATCACTGTTGCTGTAATAAAAAGTTTTATTTCCAGAACCAAACAATTATTTGTTAGAATATGTGGAAGCTGGAAAATTGGTTTGTACCTCAAGGAGCAGTGAGAATGCAAGAAAATCTGCTCTCTGGCTGCTGCATTGATTCTTGGTTGTAGAAAGAAATGGATAAGAATTAAAATGCCCTCCATCCACAGAATTGTTCAAACAGGTTTTGATTAAGCAAGGAATCTTTTCCAAAGGGTTGCTAAAATAATAGGCCTGGTTTTAAGTCAAGGAAGCAGTCAGACAAATTGGTACTTAAGACCAAATATTCAAATGCAGAGACCTATATTTGTACCTGCTATGAATACAGAGGGAAAAAGAAGAACAATTCCCTTACTGCTCACATTTTTAACAACTTACTAGGTTTTCTACTTGAGTTCAATCATTCCATATCTAATTCATTAATTGTCTTCTATGTAATATTAACTCTGCTTGGGAGTAGTAGACTAGGAAGTTCCCAGTCCTCTGAAGGAGGAAGGCAAGTAAACAAATCATTGTAACACAGGGTGATGAATATTCTGGTGGAGGTTTAATTAGAACTTTATTGGATCCCACAGGAGGCACATTTAAACCTAGCTGGGGAGTAGGGGCATGGAAGATTTTCTTATGCATCCTAAATTGAGTCTTGAAAGACATGCAGAGGGTACGGTGGCTCACACCTATAATCCCAGCACTTTGGGAGGCTGAGGTGGGCAGATCACCTGAGGTCAGGAGTTCGAGACCAACCTGGCCAACACGGCAAAACCCCATCTCTACTAAAAACACAAAAATTAGCCGGGTGTGGTGGCACATGCCTGTAATCCCAGCTACTAGGGAGGCTGTGGCAAGAGAATCGCTTGAACCTGGGAGGCAGAGGTTGCAGTGAGCTGAGATCATGCCACTGCATTCCAGCCTTGGAGACGGAGCGAGACTCCATCTCAAAAAAAAAAAAAAAAAAAAGGAAAGACATGCGGAAATTAGCTAGCAATGAGTGGAGGAAAGGACACAGGCAGCAGCACAGAGAAAAAGAGATAGTGTGGTGTTTGGGAAACTACAAATGTTTCAGGATAACCAACAAAACTACATGGAGCCACCCAGATGTCCTACCATCACATTGTTCACATATTTAAAAGTAAATTTATTGCCCTTCCTAAACCTCAAACTTTCCATTCTTCTTGAATTTATACCAAGTTCAATACCTTGGGTTCTCTTTTAATTTTTTATTTTGCCTCACTCTCCCATTTAATCACCAAATTCTATCTCTTCCAATACCATATCATGTTTGGTCTTAATCTCTTCCTTTTTAATCTCATTACCAATATACTAGTCCAAGCCTTAGACCTTATTCCCAGACTTTGGCAATTGCTATCTTCTCTTTCTATTCCCCCAACACATTCCACTAACTGCCATTAGGCTGAATTTCTTGATCTCGATCACATTGCTCTCTCCTCAAAACTCTTTAATGCTGTATAAGATAAAGCCCATTCTCCTGGCCAAACAGGCAAGTGATCCTTAACCCAACCCCTACTGCTTTTCTAATCAGAGCTCTTGTTATGCTTCTACAGACCCTTCCCTTCAGTCAAATGGGTCTGCTCCCTCATTATATTTTTCCTACCCTAAATTCCTTGTTTCCACCATAGACCACATTTTAAAATTCCCAATTGAATCCTGCATATTCTTAAACTACCTCACTCATTCCTTTCATGCAGCCTTATCAGACCAAACCTTGGTTCTTTCTCCATCCTAAGAACCAGGATATTTTAATGCTTTAAGAACAAGTTTAGTAAAGAAAGGAAAGTGAATGTTTATTGAGAATCTATAAATACCAAGTTATTTAAAACTCTGTGCGTTAAGTGTTATATTAAAAATAAGGCAAACTGAAGTTAAAAGAGGCTAAGTAACTTGGCCACGACCACACAGCTAATGTATTTGAACGCAGGTCACTATCATGCAGGATTTTTTTGTTTCTTGCTTCAGCTAAATCCAGATTCTTGTTTTAAGACCAGGAAAAATTAGGCACATGGGCACACTGAAAGGTGAGGAGAGCAGAATTTATTAAAAGAAAGCTCTCAGCGAATAAAGGGGGTCCTGCCAACAGGCTGCCACCTCTCAGATAAAATACCACACACGAGCTGAAGAGGCCAAGCCCCTTCCCCCTGCATAAGGCACAAATTTCCCGTGGCTCCACCCCACCCTCCCAGTGTGCAGATGGGCCCTTAGTCTGAGCCACTCCACTTTGATTTATTTCTCTTACTGGGCATGTGTTAAGGGACAGAATTTTTCACTGTGGGCATGTTTAGGCAAGCTCCCTGTGCACAATTCCCTGGGTGGATTTTGCTGTCTCCTGTGTCTCTCAACTATAATTCCAAAGCCTTTGATTTTTTACCTATGCCATATAGCCATTTCTAAATTAATCATCGTTATCATTGTTACCAACAATCTAGCGCTTAGCATGTGCCAAATATGTATTAATACCTTGAGATGATCCCAAAAGTGTCGAATATGAGTTCACAAAGGAAAGACCAGAGAGAATGGGGAAATGATAATATTCAGAGATAGTAACTCACAATATCTTAGAACTATTTAAAGATATGAACTAACTCTCACATACAAGCCTTAGCACAAGTCTAAGCAGACTAAATAAAAAAGAATTCACTTGGCCGGGCGCGGTGGCTCACGCCTGTAATTGCAGCACTTTGGAAGGCCGAGGCGGGTGAATCACGAGGTCAGGAGATTGAGACCATCCTAGCTAACACGGTGAAACTCCATCTCTGCTAAAAATACAAAAAATTAGCCGGGCGCGGTGGCTCACGCCTGTAATTGCAGCACTTTGGAAGGCCGAGGCGGGCAGATCACGAAGTCAGGAGATAGCGACCACGGTGAAACCCCGTCTCTACTAAAAATACAAAAAATTAGCCGGGCGTGGTGGCAGGCGCCTGTAGTCCCAGCTACTCAGGAGGCTGAGGCAGGAGAATGGTGTGAACCCGGGAGGCGGAGCTTGCAGTGAGCCGAGATCGCGCCACCGCACTCCAGCCTGGGTGACAGAGCGAGACTCCGTCTCAAAAACAAAAACAAAAACAAAATTCACTCTTGGACAAATTGTACTGAAAACACAAGACAAAAAGTTTGATTTTTTTTTTATTGTACCTTATCCTCCAAGTATCCTCTTTTCAAATGTATACACCCTTGAAAGTAACCATATTCAGTCATTTATGCATAGCTAGGAATAATTAATTGGTTGGTTGGTTTCTACCCACATCACCTGGATGAGAGGGTTCTGGGGTTTTAGTGGATGGAGGGTCATTTGGGGACATGAGCATTCACTCTGAAAGCCAGTTTTGAGTGACTTGCAGTAAAGGCCTTGGATATAAAAGAGCACAGACAGAATAAGAGCACTTGATGCTGAGAAGGAGAAGGAAACACAGAGAACAAGGGAAGACAAGGCAAGGGGGATGATAACACATTATTCTACCTCAAATTTGGCTTCAAATTTCTATTTGCTGCTATTAGAAATTTTTAGAAAATTATCATATGCCACATTTACCTCTGAAGGTCCCAACAACAAATTGGGCTGATCCTATAACAAACTATACCTGGCAAAATGTTATAGCAATAACATTACATAACACAGAATACACCTAAGAGCTGAGTTTCAGCCTTCAGTCCATAGTATGCCGATTGTGTAGTCTTAGAAACTGTGCTACACCAGCATTAGCAACTATAAACAAGTATAATGCTACCTGCTCCATCTCATTTATGAAAATGAAATGAGTCAACAAATGTAAACATCTTATTCGTCTATGACATGTGAAAACATGTGAAGTATTGTGGTTGTTATGTCAAATGAACCATGATAGAGAGGTGAAGCATCCACTTACATTCTGTGTAACTAAAGACTATCATGAGCCTCCTAAGAAAAGCCTTGGCCTTATGTGGTTACCCTTCAAAAGCATTTAAACAGACATTTCCCAAGCCCTAGAAATGAATCATTATCAAGATCATAATATAGAACCCAAAGTAGATTCAAAGGTCAACAAGTCACCCATGAGGTATGTGATGGTAACAGCATTTTTAGTTCCTTCTGAATGATCAGACCCAAGTTGGGTTATTGTCTATAGGTGGCCCAAACTGGTATTTTTCTCTCTCTGCATCCTTCCTTCCAAAAAGCACTGGAGCACATAATTACTTGATTTTCACACAAATGGCCAACTGTCTCAAATAACAGGGAGGTGAGGCTAATTTAATTCTGAGAGCACAATTTCAATGCCTGTCACTGAAAACATATCCATTTCATTTATTCTTGTTTGATTCAAACAAACACATTTTTAAAAGTTAAAATAAGTCTGATTTGCTTATTTAAGAAATTCTCTTTACTGACAAGCCGATATTTGTATTGTATCTTAGATTTGTTCTGAGCCACTTTGTTAAAATAAAATCAGGCCAGATATAATGAGAATGAATAAATTTAAAGGACAGCCTTGCATATGTTTCTTTAGGATTGAAACATGTCATTGCTAATTCTAAGGATCAAGTAGAGTAGACGAGGGCAATATTTAGGAAATACTTTCACCACAATCATGCGGAAGGTCTCTAGGCTGTTTAATAAATGTTTAATAAATCCTCTGAGCTGACATGTGCATAAGGTAAAATGCTGAAAGATGAATCAGCTTCTCCACAGCTCACATCCTCTAGCTACAGAAATATTCTAATGCCAACACTTAAGCTATTAAAAATAGTGAAATAAATTCCTACTCTAAAAGGAATCTTGGCGACACCCTATATAATTTGTTGACACCAAATGGCAATGGGCCTTCCCTAGGCATTTATTTTTCATCATCCTTTGTCCTATATTACCCTGGAAGAAAATATTAACAACTGAAAAGCTTCATTGGTCTCTGACCTTAAAAAATTCCAGTTACATGATTTTATCTTTAAAGATAGGGATTAAAAGCCCTGACTCTGGAGACAGGCATCCCTCAATTCAAATCACAACTCCTCTTCTCTTATTAGCTACAGAACATGGCACAAGTTCATTGGGTTCTCTAATTCTGATACCTGTTGTATAAATACAAGTGGGGATGATATGCCCACCTCCTAAGGGTGTTGGAAGAATAGCATTGTGGTTAAAGGTATGGATTCTGAAGCCGGTCTATCTGGATTTCTATCCTGGTTCACCACTTACTAGCTGTGTAACCTCAGACAAGTTACACAACCTTTCTATACTTCAATCCTGCCATTTTTAAAATGAGCCTCCTGGAATTGATGAATTATTAAGTAAGATAATGCATATAAGTAAGGTTGCCAGATTTAGCAAATAAAACTACAGGACACTCAAATTTGAATTTCAGGTGAAAAACAAACAGTTTCTTGTCTCACAATTATACCAAAATTATTTGTTTTTATCAGAAACTCAAATGTAACTAGCCATCCTCTCTTTCATCTATTTTATATATAATGTACGTAAGTAAATGTTAGGCCTGGCAAGGTGGCTCATGCACCTGTAATCCTAGCACTTTGGGAGGTCAAGGTGGGTGGATTGCTTGAGCCCAAGAGTTCAAGATCAGCCAGGGCAACATAGCAAGACCCTGGCTCTACAAAAAATACAAAAATTAGGTGGGGTGGTGTACACCTGTGGTCCCAGGTACTTAGGAGGCTGAAGTGGGAGCATTGCTTGAGCTCAGGAGGTGCAGGTTGTACTGAGTCGAGACTGTGCCACTGCACTCCAGCCAGGGTGACAAAGCAAGACTCTGTCTCAAAAAAAATTAAAAAGAAAGAAAGAGAGAGATAGAGAAAGGAAGGAAGGAAGGAAGGAAGGAAGGAAGGAAGGAAGGAAGGAAGGAAGGAAAGAAGGAAGGAAGGAAGGAGGGAAGGGGAAAAGGAAAAGAAAAAGAAAACGTGCATCCTGAGTAATCAATATGTGAGCTGGTATTTAAATTCATGAACACAGGGCTTAGCACACACTGACTGCTCAGTAAATAAGAAGCACTGATAGAAATTCACCATTGGCTCTGCCTCTCTTTTAGTCTGGGCTGCCGGCAGGCACAGAGCTGGGTTCAAATATACATTTTAGGGCAAGCACAGTGGCTCATGCCTGTAATCCCAGCACTTTGGGAAGCTGAGGCAGGTGGATAGCTTGAGCTCAGGAGTTTAAGACCAGCCTGGGATGGTGGTAAAACCATGGTGAAACCCCATCCCTACCAAAAATACCAAAAACAAATTAGCCAGGCATGGTGGCCTGTGCCTGTGGTCCCAGCTACTCCAGAGGCTGAGGCGGGAAGATGGCTTGAGCATGGGAGGCAGAGATTGCACTGAGCTGAGATCGCACCACTGCACTCCAGCCTGGGTGACAGAGTAAGACCCCATCTTAAAATAGAAAAAATAACAATTAAAAATTAAAAACAAAACCCAAGCAAATATAAATTTTAAATACACTTTGGCACAATAACACTGCCCCTCCATTCACACTGAAATAATCAGGCCTCGCTCATCCAAGCACTTATTTATTCAATAAATGCCAACCATTCATTAGATAGTTATTATGTGTTAGACACAGAAACTGGTTCTGAAAGCTAAGAAAGAGAAAGGTAGGGAGTGTTCCCACAAGAAGCAAGAGGTTACCAAGTTTCCTCCCACATCTCCAAAATCATTGTTAGGATTACATAAGATATCACAGGTAAATTACTTTGCACCTTGCCAAGTACCTGCAACATGTTCAGAAAATGGAATTGCCATTCTTATTGTTATTTACATTATTTTCGTCAATCTTAGCAGATAAAACTTAAATCAGCTTGTATATCTCACATGTATTTTGTTTATCTGTTTTCTTTAAGAAAACCAATTCTTATATCTTACTGAGCAAAAACTGTCTCCTTTGTGACATGGTTAATTTTATAACAGATGTTAGTTACATATATATTATGCAATAGTATGCATTGTAGTGGGATAATCCAATATGCCTTTCAGATGATAATCAAAATTCTTTCTACAATACCCCCAAATGATTCCAGGTATCTAAAGATATACTCACAAATACAGTATCTCACACAGCATTTCATGGATAGATGCCATCAGAAGACTTTTAACTTCACTGGGAAGCCAGAAATTGATTACCTGTTTATCAGCTGAAGTTTTCTATAAGTTTCCCAAGTTTCTCTTACTATAAAATTGCTTAAGATGGCAAAACATAAGAACCTTGTCACCCATCATCTATGGTCTTCCTCTGTATAGAAATTTCCAAATGAATAGGGCAAGTGAAATTTAACAACACAGTCATACAATGTAGATATTGGAAAATTCCTGAAACAAGATTTAAAGACGTGTTCATAGTCACCCAATCACAGCATAGTTGCACAGGTAACATTTAGTGAGCTGCCCTTCATAGTCACACAGCTAATAAGTGGCAGAATCCAGCTTCTGAACTCCAAGAGCAGGTACCTTTCAGTTTTGTGGCTTTAGTGTCTGTTGCAGTGGAGTGTGTTGAAGACAAGAATTGCCTGCACAGTAGCATTTTAAGTTCTAGTAACCATCACCACTCGGTGGAGAATAGAACTATTCTGTTCTCCTGGAGAACAGAACTATTAAAATTGTTGTTTAAATAAATTGGCTTTAAAAATGCAACCATGTCTTCCAATCCCAGGAAATCCTATCCGGATCTCAGCACTGTTGGACCTGGAGTTTTCAGAGTGAGAGAAAACAATTTTTGCATTCTAGGGTGGATGCTGAAATATATTTTCTTCTTAAAAAGTTTGACAACACTGATGAGCCCTTATGGTCAGCCAAAGAAAGGCAACAACCTACCTACAGTTTGAGGGAATTCTTGAACTAGCAAATTTATTCCAAATGTAGGAGATTCATAACAAGATGTTAAAAAATATATTTAATGCAGAAAATGTTTGACTTTACTGTAGGCAAAGTACATTGCTCGAGAGATTATTGTGATTTGAGTGTTTCTCCTTCTGGATAGGTTAGAGGAAAAAAACCAGTCTAGATACAAGGATCAGAACCCCTTTCTAGTAACAGAAACATGAAGAGTAAGGAGATAGGATGGTGTCAGAACTGTCTAAGGAGCCAGACAGCCAACAGGGGGACCTCCTATGAACGGGACCAGCTAAAAGGCTAAGAAAAATGATACCCAGCGTGGTGACACTGTAATCTCCTCATGGTGTCCTCAAGCCTTCAGTAAAACACTATTAAAAACAAAATGGGGCCTCTTAGGATACAAAATGCATGAAAAGAGCTGTAGCAAAAGAGAATGGGCCAGAAGTTATCAGTGGAGAAGCCCAGAGCAAGACCCTGGAGAGAGAAACCAGCACATCCAATGTAGATTTGTGGAACATGTCAGTGCTCCCCAGTGATTTTCAGAAATACTTAAGGCAAGAGTAGAGCTCCTGTGATCATGGAAGACAAAGCCTGGGCTCTATGAGCTGGTACTTAAGAGAAAAGCAACCTGGCCCTTCACCCCATTTCATCTTTACTTCACAAAGGCAGAAGAACTTGGGAATGTCTGGGTTATCTCTGCTGTATCTTCCAAAATTATTTTACCAGGAAAATACTTACTTTGAAATAAGTTCTGTGTACTCTCCTTATGAATTCTACCTTCTCTTTATTCTACTCACAAATTCAATCTTTCCTGCTGTTCCCAAATTATCAATTTTGTTCCATTACATGTTGAGAGATGACTTCACTTTGCTATGCCTTCATTTATTCTGATCTGATTGTTGGAAGTGTTTTCAATCAATGTGTTCCATGCTTTGTTTTAGCCTTTTTCTTTCCCCAGTAGGGAGGGCAGTGGGAAGGGCAGGAAGGACCAGGTGCTTGAGGAATAGTCCTAAATGTATTCAAACTGAAACTAAAATGAAGCAAAATATGTGCTCCAAACTTTTTGCATTTTTAATACTTCCATTCAAGAGAAGAGCAATGCTTTTGTAATGCCATTTTCTTAGGCTCCTTTCACTATTTGTCTTGCATAGCAAGTTGTCTCACTTCCTTCTTCTCCCACAGAAGTGCTACAGTCTCTGTTTAGTGGTCCTGCAGGATCCTGTATAATTCACCATATTGCCTTCCAGCCAGCTTCTGTGTAATCACTGCTAGATGAATTGCCCAGGCTACAGATGTTTCACTAATTATCTTTTCATCATAACGATATGCAAACCCACTTGTATCCCTCCACACCCTCACTCATTACAATAATAATGTCTCGTTCCCTTTCTACAGTGTCTCCATGCTGCAGGACCCCAGAGTGCTCAAGAAAAACAGGAATTGTTTCCTACCTCCCCTACTATTAGTTAAACATTCCTCACGCTAAGAAATCCCTAGCAAAGTTAAACAGTTGAAGAGCCAGAAGTGAGAAGAATTTATTTGATTAAGGCCTCAGGAGACCACTATTTGGCAAGAGTAATTCCTGGGAGATGGGCTTTACTAAACCCGAGCCTGAGTGACACTGGCTGCAAGCAGTGTCTTAGATTTTGTTTCAAGGGCTTCAATGGCACAAGCTCGTTTGTATAAAACCTATTCTGTAAGACATGACTTGTAAACAAACTCTAAGCCTTGCAGATGGGTTGTTCATGATCAACTTTGCACAGTGATAGATATACTGATGTGACTGGCCCATTCATAGAAAGAAGGGTGAACCGAATCATGGGGTCATTGTGACATTAAGTAGATAGTTTTCTAGTTCCTTCTTAACTTCTCCCATCTATCAAATAGTTACTTCACTTGTTCTTCTTCCTAAACTGCAAAAAAAGTCGTGAGCTTTTCAAGCTACAGTTCAACTTCCACTAAGTTTCCTGCTGTCTCTCAAGTACTCCATATTATCTCTTTTCCTCCCTTTTCACATCCTGGTCCATCTGTGTCCATTATACCCATAAGCCCACTCATCCTTCCAGGCTCATTATAAATAACACCAGTTTTTACTTAACATCTATTGTGACAGGTTCTGGATACAAAAACTGAAATCATTTCTGCCATCAAGGAGCTTGTGATATAGTTAGGAGAAGAAGATACATAAAATAGGAAGCATTATAAAATGTGTAACCTGAATATGACTGGAGCACCTCAGGGTCCATTCTCTGTGTCACAATGATTAAAAGAAACTGCAATCTAGCAAAACTAGACAATTGAAAATAATTCCAGTTTTTACATGATCCCTTGAGATATTATGTAATTCCAAAGGGGTGTGTGATAAATAATTCCTTGAAGATTATCTTCCAACATGCTTTGTTATATCCTTATTTATATGTATTGCTTATAGTCTGTCTTCTCCCATAAGCATGTAAATTCTGTAAAGTCAGGGGCTTTTGTTCTGTTCACCGTGTATCTTAGGAGTGTTAATGATACCTAGCTCACCATAGTCACTAAATAAATAATTATTGAATGAATAAATTGCCTTACCTTTTATACTCAATACATTCTGACCAGATGAAACTGCTCCTCAGAATTCACTACAAAAAAAAAAAAAAAAAAAATCCCACGACCAGCTTTCAGATGCCCCTCCTCACTGAACCACAGCTGCAATAAATCTCTTTTATCTTCTCCTGCTAGGCAGTATAGAATGCTAAACAGGGAGGCAGGGAAGACTTCAACTCTTCTAGAGTTGTTGCCTCAAGATACTGGATGTAGACTGTGAAGTAGGATCTATTGTTTCATTGTAAGTATGCATGTGTTTACTTTTGAGTCAGCTTTTCCACTGGGACATAAGAGCCCCACAATGCTTTCTTTAATATTCTAACACCCAGTGCATAACTATGTTTTTTTAAAAAAGGAGGCGCTCAATAGGTATGTGTTGAAAAATTTAATGAATGAATAAACTAAATTTATATGCAGGCAAATTGTTAAGTTCTGGAGCCTCTCACACTAGAAGAACTGACCTGGAGTCAATTCTCAGAGTAATCGACTCTACATCTAAATATGTTCATCTTTGAACAAATTCGAAGATGGGCATGACACACTTAAAATGGGAATTATTGTGTTGTTTCCAGCATTACTTATGCTTGATTTCTTTGAATGTTAGGCATTTTTCTGGAAGGAGATAAAGAGAAAGCTGATGATGCTACTGTTAAGAAATGTTTGCTTTCTCAACAAATGCCACATGATTTCACTTATAAGTAGGAGCTAAATACTGTGTGTGTACACATGGATATAGAGTGTGGAATGATAGACAACAGAGACATGGAAGGGTAAGGAAATGAGAGGAGGGTGGTTGATGAAAGATGACTTAATGGGTACAATGTACATTATTTGGGTGAGATCCTAAAAGTCCTAACTTCACCACTATGCATGCTATAAAATTACACACTTTACCCCACACATTTATACAATAAAGTTTGCTTTTTCAATGTGATTTTTAAAATATAAAAAACTTGATCTATATATAATTCAGCACATAGGACTACTGTCCTATGTACTCCTGTCTTCCCAGATTGTACAATAAGGTGTGTGTGTGGGTGTATGTATGTATATGTGTGTGTATACATTTAAAAATCTGTGTCAATTATAAACGATAAAAGTGATCTCATAGTCTGTGAGGTCTCAGGGACTTACTGGGTTTATTAGCAGGACAAAAATTTGTTTGGTATTAAGAGGCAAAGTCCCATAACATCAAAATTTCTCCTCACTCTTTCAGGCCACAAATCAAACAAGAAAATAAAGCAAAATTCCTACTCAACCTGTACGGCTCTTTCATGGATCTAGTACCAGTAGTGTTTTCCTTAAGCAACAGAAAAAGGAGAGAACAGGATATTTTAGTTTATATGTATGTATGTACACAAACAGACACACACACACACAGATACATATTTCTATAATTGACGGAAGTGCGGAGCAGATAGCAATTGAAAGAGAAAAATGGGGACTATGTAAGCAACCTGAAACAAATGAAGCTCCAGATAACTAGGGAAGAATTTTTAAAACTCACATCTATCAGTTACTAGGTATCACCTCATTATTATAACTTGATATTTGAGGCAATAAATTAGAACCTAACAAGGTAGAAATTAGTAGAGTATAATATATAGAACAAATGCAAAAATTAAGTATGAATTTCAATTAAAGAGCACCTTTTAAAAGTCTTTGCTTTGTACTTAATCTAATGAATTCCTCTCTAAGAGATTGCATTATATTCTCAAAATTATTTACCCGTCTTTCTATTCTCACTTTTTAACAATAGGATTTCGGACAGTACGTTTTCCTGGTCTTCTGATGTTGGCCTTTTCTTTGTCCAGAGAATGTGAACAGAAATGACTAGGTCCCTGTTGCGAATCCAGACTTTAAGAGACATTCCATATTTCTACTTGCCCTTCTTCTCACTTCTGCCACCAACATGAGAAGAGCCTTCACTGATTTTCCTGTTGGACCAAAAAAGATGACAAATACACAGAGTTGCCCTTGCCCTAATCAGCAGTTTGGAGTCAACCCCTGTTGATTCCAGCTTTGATCAACAAAATCTCAGTCTATCTGCAGATGTGAGACAAGGAATAAAATGACATGAACTGCGAATTTTATCCCTGATCTTAACTCCAAAAATCTTCAGTAAATTTCCAAAAATTGTATGTGGTTTTGTGTAATTGAGTTCCTTGTTAAAGATGATTAAAAAAAAAAAAAAAAAAAAGCTGGGGTTGTACCCAGTCTAGAATAGGGCTGAAAGTGAAAGAGATATAGCTCATATAGATGAACAGCCAACATCTGTGTGACAAATGAGAACATAAACCTACCTATAATTTTTTATAAATATACTTTAAGGTAAAAAGTATAATTTTGTGACTCAACTTAGTGTCTCAGTGAATTCTGGCTATAATTTATAATTTGACATGACTGAATGATTATTGAGATTTCTTATTTCTTTCTGAAAAAAATACATTCGTTGATTTTCATCATTGTACTGCTGGGAAAAAATATTAGAAAAGTAGACTTGGTGACAATGGGGCAGAATTACTATATAGTAATTATCTCATCTATTCAGACTGCTATGACAAAACACCATGAACTGGGTACTTTACAAATGACACAAATTTATTTCTCAAAATTTGTGTAGGCTCGGAAGTCCAAGATCAAGGTATGCACAGATTTGGTATCTGCTAAGGACCCATTTTCTGATTCATAGATGGTGTCCTCTAACTTCTCCTCACAAGGTGAAAGGGAGAATTAGTCTCTTCAATTCCTTATAAGGGCATAATACCATTCACAGGGGCTCTACCTTCATAACCTAATCACCTCTCATATGCTCCACCTTCTAATACCATCACATCAGGGATTAGGAAGCTACATATGAATTCTAGGGGACACAAATATTCAGACCAGAGGAAAGGCTAAAACTATAACTGCTATGGGAGCATGGTCAATCTTAGCAAACAAGGTGGTTGGATTTTTATAACTATGCAAAACACAGAGGACAAAGTCCATTTCCCATTAACAGGATAGCACTACATAACCTGCTCCATCAAGTTTCTAGCTTCTTAGAGGAAGATGAGTAGAGAAAACTGAATTGACCAAGAAAACCTAGAAGTGACTGACGTTAACCTGAGTTATGTACAATTAAATTTCTGCCATGGAGCTAAGTGATCCTTAACACAGAAATTAACTTCAGTTATATGAAAACAAAGAAAGAAGGTATTTTGATATAACTGAGCAAGTGGTTTATAAAATTCATACCTTTTATATGTGTATTGAGTATTTACTATATGCAAATCACTGTGCTAGGTGTTTGTGGGATACAATGCTGAGTCAAACACCATCCTTAAATGAGTCTAGTTTGTACAAATTATGTGATCACATACAGTGATTCTCTCAATGTGAAGCAGCTTAGGAAGAGTATCCACAAACTCTGAAAGTGTTCAGGAAAGGGAAGAAATTATTTTGATATGGTATATTCTGGGAAGTTTTATGGAAGGAAATTGGATTTTAAGGAAACAGAGATGAAATTCCAACATTCTGGGTGCTCCTTTGAGAATGTAGTAAAACATTTGAATTTACAGGAATTAGATTTGTACAAACATGTGGCTGAAACATAATCTGTTAATTGAATTTTGCTTTTTCTCCAGCACTGTCACCCACTTGCTAGCTTGAAGCTGCTATGAAAGCAGTTTTGGGCATTTACATAATGAAGCACAAGCATAAGAAATGGCACTTAGAGTCAGAGGATTTGAACTGAAAGTAGTAGCACTAACAAGCAAATATACATATAAGCTTTAATGCTTTCACCTCAACTTTCATTATTTTCTTCCTTTTAACTACAACAGAAGTAACTAAGAGATTGTCACATTCTTGCCACCATGGCAGTTCCTAGCACTTGAAACAGGCCCAGCAGGCAGGCAGGCAAAGACGCTATGCAAAGGACACAGTGCAGGACAGAGACCAAGTTAGGAATAAACCAGAGGAACTCCTGAACACAGGCTCACTGAATCCACATGGCATTAATCATAAGAACAGAAACCAGGAAGAAAACAGACCAGCCTAACCAGTTGAATGTGTTCTCAAAGTCGTGTTATGTTAATTGATTCTCTGGATCACTTGCCCACCAAAATAAATGAGAAAGAGGAGACAAAAGATAAAACTTATCAGCTATATTCTGAGACAAGCTAAATACAAAATCATGAACAAGTGATTCTGATTTTCTGAGTCTCTGTTTCCTTGTTGATCAGAGGAAAATTAACTGGATGATTTTCAAGGTGCTTTTCTGCTGTGGAAATTCAAATCCCAATACAATTGAAAAGAGTAAACACAAAAAAAACCTTAAAAAAAATCTAGAAGAGGAGGTGGAAAGAGATGAAGGAGGAAATGGGTGAAAAAGGAGAGGGACAGAAAACTTCCTTCTAGGAGCATCCATACACAGAAATGAGAAAGAACCAGTGCAAGAACTCTGGCAAGTTATATGGCCAGAGTGTCTTATGTCCTCCAAATGACTGAACTAGTTCTACAACAAGGGTTCTTAATCAGCCCAAGTTGGCTGAAATGACCCCAGAAACAGAATTCAGAATACATATAAGAATGAAGATCATCAAGATTCAGGAAAAGGGCAAAACCCAATTGAAATAAACTAAGAATCATGATAAAAACAATACAGAAGCTGATAGATGAAATACCAAGTATTAAAAAAAAAAGCTGACCTCATAGAGCTGAAAAACATACTACACGAATTTCACAATGCAATTGCAAGTATTAACAGCAGAATAGGCCAGGTGTGGTGGCTCACACCTGTAATTCCAGCACTCTGGGAGGCTGAAGCAGGTGGATTGCTTGAGTTCAGGAGTTCATGACCACCCTGGGCAACAAAGTAAGAGAAACAAAGTTTCTCTACACAAATTTCAAAAATTAGCCAGGAATGGTGGCACACCTCTGTGGTCCCAGCTACTTGGGAGGCTGATGTGGGAGGATGGCTTGAGCCTGGGAAGCAGAGGTTACAGTGAGCCAAGTTTGTGCCACTGCACTCTAGCCTAGACAACAGAGCCAGACTTTGTCAGAAAAAAGAAGGAAGGAAGGAAGGAAAGAAAGAGAAAGAAAGAAAAATAGACCAAACTGAGGAAAGAATATCAGAACTTGAAGACTGGCTCTCTGACATAAGACACTTAGATAAAGGTAAAGATAAAAGAACAAAAAGAAATGAACAAAACCTCCAAGAAAAGTGGTTTTATTAAAGAGGCCAAATCATAGGCTTCTCTGAAAGGAACAGAGAAAAAGCAAACAACTTGGAAAACGGTTCAGAATATCATCCATGAAAACTTCCCCAACCTTGCTAGAGAGGCCAGCAGTCAAATTTAGAAAATACAGAGAACTCCTGCAAGATTCTACACAAGAAGATCATCTCTAAGACACAGAACATCCCTAAGACATAAAGATCATCCCTAAGATTTTTTCCAAGGTAGAAGTGAAAGAAAAAATGTTAAAGGCAGCTATAGAGAAAGGGCAGGTCACCTACAAAGGAAACCTCATCAGGCTAACAGTGGCTCTTTCAGCAGAACCATACAAGAAAGAAGAGAGTGGGGGCCTATGTTCAACACTCTTAAAGAAAAAAAATCTTCAACCAAGAATTTAATATCCAGACAAACTAAGCGTCCTCAGCAAAGGTAAGATTCTTTCCATATGAGCAAATTCTGAGGGAGTTTGTCACCACCAGATTTGCCTTACAAGAGTTATTGAAAGCAGCACTAAATATGGAAAGGAAAGACCATTACCAGTCAATATAAAAACATACTTAAGTACACTGATCACTGATACTATGAAACAACCACGCAAACAAGCCAGCATAATAACCAGCTAACAACATAATGACAGGATCAAATCCACCCATATCAATATTAACCTTGAATGTAAATGAGCTAAATGTCCCATTTAAAAGGCACAGAGTGGCAAGCTGGATAAAAAAGCAAGACCTAAGAGTGTGCTGTCTTCAAGGGACCATCTCACATGCAAAAACACCCATAGGCTCAAAATAAAGGGATGGAGGAAAATCTACCAAGCAAATGGAAATCACAAAAAAGTAAGAGTTGCAAACCTATGTTCAGACAAAATAGACTTTAATCCAGCAAAGATCAAAAAAAGACAACAAAGGGCATTACATGATGGTAAAGGTTTGAATTCAACAAGAAGACCTCATGATTCTAAATATATATGTACTCTACACAGGAGCATCCATATTCATAAAGCAAGTTCTTAGAGACCTATGAAGAGACTCAGATTCCCGCACAGTAATAGTGGGAGATTTCAACATTCCACTTACATTATCAGACAGATCATCAAAGCAGAAAATTAACAAAGATAGTTAGGACCTGAACTATACATTGGACCAAATAGATCTGATAGACCTCTACAGAACTCTCCACCCAGAAAGAGCAGAATATACATTCTTCTCATCACTACATAACACAGACTCTAAACTCAACCACATAATTGGACATAAAACAATCCTCAGCAAAATGCACAAGAATCGAAATCATACCAAATATACACTTGGACTACACTGCAATAAAAATAGATGTTAAGACTTAAAAAATCACTCAAGACCATGCAATTACATGGAAATTAAACAACATTCTCTGAATGACTTTTGGGTAAATAATGAAATTAAGGCAGAAATCAAGAAGTTTTTTGAAGCTAATGAGAACAAAGATACAACATAACAGAGTATCTTTTACACAGCTAAGACAGTATTAGAAGGGAAATTTATAGCACTAAATTCCCATACCAAAACATTACAAAGATCTCAAATTTACAATCTAATATCACAATTGAAAGAATTAAAGAAACAAGAGCAAAGCAACCCCAAAACTAGCAGAAGATAATAAATAACCAAAATCAGAGATGCACTGAAAGAAACTGAAACACAAAAAGCTATTCAAAAGATCAATAAATCCAGGAGTTGGTTTTTGAAACAATTAATAAGATAGATGGGCTGATAGCTAGACTAATAAAAGAGAGAAGATTCAAATAAATACAATTAGAAATAACAAAGGAGATGTTATCACTGACCCCACAAAAATAAAAATAACCATCAGTAACTACTATGAATACCTCTATACACACAAGCTAGAAAATTTAGAAGAGATGGATAAATTCCTGGACACATACACTCTCCCAAGACTGAACCAGGAAGAAATTGATTCCCTAAACAGACCAATAATGAGTTCCAAAATTGAAACCATAATAAATGCCTACCAACTAAAAAAAAGCCCAGGACCAGATGGATTCACAGCCAAATTCTACCAGATGTACAAAGAAGAACTAGTACAATTACTACTAAAATAACTCCAAAAAATTGAAGAGGAGGGACTCCTTCCCAACTCATTCTATGAGGCCAGCATCATCCTGACACCAAAGCCTGGCAGAGACACAACAAAAAAGAGGACTTTGGGCCAATATCCTCAATGAACATTGATGCAAAAATCCTCAACAAAATACTTGCAAACCAAATCCAACAGCACATCAAAAAGTGAATCCACCATGATCAAGTATGCTTCATCCCTGGGATGTAAGCGGGTTTCAACATACACAAATCAATAAATGTGATTAATCAAATAAACAGAACTAAAGACAAAAACCACATGATTATCTCAATAGATGCAAAAAAGGATTTTGATAAAATTCAACATTGCTCCATGTTAAAAACTCTCAATAAACTAGGTATTGAAGGAACATGCCTCAAAATAATAAGAGCCATCTATGATAAACCCAAAGCCAACATCATACTGAATGGTCAAAAGCTCAAAGCATTCCCCTTGAAAACTGGCACAAGATAAGGATGCCCTCTCTCACCACTCCTATTCAACATAGTATTTGGAAGTCCTGGTCAGAGCAATCAGGCAAAAGAAAGAAATAAAGGGCATCCAAATAGGAGGAGAGAAAGTCTAACTATTCCTGTTTGCAGATGACATGATTCTATACCTAGAAAACCCCACACTCTTAGCCCAAAAGCTCCTTCAGCTGATAACATTAGCAAAGTTTCAAGATGCAAAATCAATGTACAAAAATCACTAGCATTCTTACACAACAGCCAAGCCAAGAGCCAAATCAGAAACACAATCCCATTCACAATAGCCACAAAAAGAATAAAATATCCAGGAATACAGCTAACCAGGGAGGTGAAAGATCTTTATAATGGGAATTATAAACACTGCTCAAAGAAATCAGAGATGACACAAACAAATGAAAAAACATTCCATGCTCATAGATAGGAAGAATCAATATAATTAAAATGGCCATACTGCCCAAAGCAAATTACAGATTCAATGCTATTCTTATCAAATTACCAATGACGTTCTTCACAAAACAAGAAAAAAAGCTATTTTAAAATTCAAATGGAACCAAAAAAATATTCCAAACAGCCAAGGCAAACCTAAGCAGAAAGAACAAAGACAGAGACATCACATTACCCAACTTCAAACTATATTACAGGGCTATAGTAACAAAAATAGCATGGTACTGGTACAAAAACAGACACATAGACTAATGGAACAGAGTAAAAAGCACAAAAATAAGGCCACACACCTATGACAATCTGATCTTCGACAAAGCTGACAAAAACAAGCAATGGAAAAAGGACTGCTTATTCAATAAATGACGCTGTGATAACTGGCTAGCCATATGCAGAAGATTAAAACTGGACCCCTTCCTTGCACCATATACAAAGGATTAAAGACTTAAATGTAAAACCCAAAGCTGTAATAACCCTGGAAGACAGACTAGACAATACCATCCTGGACATAGGAGCAGGTAAAGATTTCCCGACAAAGATGCCCGAAGCAATCACAACAAAAGCAAACATTGACAAATGGGAACTAATTAAACTTAAGAGCTTCTGCACAGCAAAAGAAACTATTAATAGAGTACACAATCTACAAAATGGGAGAAAATATTTACAAACTATTCATCTGACAAAGGTCTAACATCCAGCATCTATAAGAACATAAACAAATTTACAAGAGAAAAACAATGATTAAAAAGTGGGCAAAGGACATGAACAGACACCTTTCCAGAGAAGATCTACATGCAGCCAACAAGCATATGAAAAAAGGTCAAAATCACTGATCATTAGAGGAATGAAAATCAAAACCACAAAGATATACCATCTCACACCAGTCAGAACGGTCATTATTCAAAGGTCAAAACATAACAGATGCTGGTGAGGTTGCAGAGAAAAGGGAATGCTTATACACTGTTGGTGGGAGTGTACATTCGTTCAACCATGGTGGAAACCATTGTGGTGTGTCCTCAAAGAGCTAAAAATATAACTCCATTTGACTGAGCAATCCCATTACTGGGTATATACTCAGAGGAATAGAAATCATTCTATCATAAAGACATGCATGCGTATGCTCATTGTAGCACTATTCACAATATAGCAAAGACATGGAATCAACCTAAATGCCCAGCAATGACAGATTGGATACATAAAATGTGGTACGTATACACCATGAAATTCTAGGCAGCCATATAAAAGAAGGAGCTCATGTCTTTTGTGGGAACATGGATGGAGCTGGAGGCCATTATCCATAGCAAACTAATATAAGAATAGAAAACCAAATATTGCATGTTCTCACTTACAAGTGGGAGCTAAAAGATGAGAACACATGGACACAAAGAGGGGAGCAATGAACACTAGAGCCTACTTGAGGGGGGAGGATAGGAGGAGGGAGAGGATCAGGAAAAATAACTATTGGGTACTAGGGTTAGTACTTGGGTGAAGAATTAATCGGTACAACAAAACCCCATGACACAAGTTTACCTATAAAACAAATCTGCAATAAAAGTTTTTAAAAAATAGAAAATTTCCTTCTATTTTTTTTAAAGTGGACATGTGTTATCTATATAAATATTTTAGTAGTAACAGGCAGTTTGCTATACTTTCTTAACCCATGATGTATTCTTGATCTCATTAAGACCCAAGCCCAGGCTGGGCATGGTGGCTCATGTCTGTAATCCCACCACTTTAGGAGGCCAAGGCAGTCAGATCACTTGAGGCCAGGAGTTCGAGACCAGCCTAGCCAACATGGCGAAACCCCATCTCTACCAAAAATACAAAAATTAGCCCAGTGTGGTGGCACACACCTGTAATCGAAGCTACTCAGGTGGCTGAGGCACGAGAGAATCACTTGATTCAGAGGCAGAGGTTGCAGTGAGCCAAGATTGTGCCACTACACTCCAGCCTGGGTGACAGAGTGAAACTCTGTCTCAAAAAAAAAAAAAAAAAATCCAATGCCTTGTAACTCAACTCTTATTGACAAAATGAGATGGTGGAGTAGAGAAAAACCCAGGCATTTTTTATAGACGTGGACATCTTATCTCCAAAAAAGTTTAATCCTTCTATGTGGTATTCCTGTGACATGTTGTCTAGCAATTTTCACAAAAGCTGCATTATTTTCTTCTAATCTTTCTTTATCGGGGCTATATCTCCCAGCTACATTTGGTCCTATGTGCATAAAAGTTACCCCCTGTTACCAGCAGGTCTCATTTTATTCACCAAAGTGGTACATCACTACACACTTACGTCTTCTCTATGAGAAAATTCCCAGTTGCTCAGAAAGCAATAAAATGCATCTCTGTTTAAAACTTCGATAGTGTTCGTGCTATCTCTGAACACAATGCTATTGAACCATGTACAGACTAACACAGGCATTCTTTTATTCCCCAAATAAGCAAGCACTAATATAGATATTAAAGAGCTTTCAAGTCTAACTTTATTTTGTTAGCCTCAGGCTGGGTGCCAACTTGCCCTGAAATGCCACCAGATAAGTTTGAAGTAGACCTATCACATTCTCCTCCAATAGGAGCTCATAGTCAATGACAAATTTTTCATGCAGATGACAAATCTCCAAATATCTGTTTTCAACTTACCATGTATAATTTAAAATAATATTATACATAGACATAGTACATACATATATATAAATGTACATATATATTAGGCATATTTCATAAATTATTATTATACCAAAAATTCTAATTATTATGCCCCAAACTGTAACGAATACTGAGTAAAATGAGGCATTAATTTCCACGGTCAAGGAACCCACAAACTGGTGAAAGAGACAAGATTATAGGATCACTTTTCTACGTAAAGTATTAAAAAAAATAATACTTAACAATTATTGATTATCCACTAGATACCAGCCACTTTTGCACATTACATGTGTGGAGTTATTAAATTGACACAAAAACCCTGCAAGGTAAATGCTATTATTAAATTCATCTTATAAATAAGGTAAATGAGGTATAGAGAGATTAGGTAAATCACATACAGCACATAAGGGTCAGAGTCAGGATTCTAAGCCAGCATATGTTAACTATTATACCATACTGCCTCAATACAAGAAAAGAAAACAAGGATAAATGAGGGCAGAATGCAGCCAATAATAAACTGGCAAATGAGTGGTGCAAATAATATATACTTGAGGAGAATCTAACACTTCATGAGCCCCTGCTACATGCCAGGCTTTGGGCAATGCAGAACCAAGAAGCTGAATATTCATGCTTTATGCTGTGGGTTTTACACCAGTGGTTTAATGTTTGATTATCTACTTTACACAGAGCCTCAATGTGCTATTGCATAAAATAAACCCCATGTGTGTCAATTACCAGGGACCTAAAATTTAGGTCATTGCTCATTAACACATTGGAGATTTCATCAAAAATATTATCTTAAAGCCTTCTGGATCTCAGAAGTGGGAAAAAAAGAGCCTATGCAAAGCACAAATTCCCTGTTTGGATCCACCTTGAATTATCTATATAACAGTTCATTCTAGAACAGTTATCAAAGAGAAGTCTACGCTATATATACCCATTGAGATCTACAATCAAAACAGCAAATCCTCTTTATGTTATTTTCTTCTGTTATTTTCAATGTAAATTTACCATGTATTCAAAGCCAAGTATTTGGCCTGATTAAGGTCTCATGAAATTGAATCTTTACATTGTCTTTAGGGGCAAAGCAAGGAGGAAAAATATGTGATGAGCTTTGGTCCTGAAGTACACCCAAGACAATGAAATTGCAATTATTATACTTAAATATCTTCATTTTTCCCATTTGAAATAGGGTGTACAGGAAAATGGAAAACGTAATTCACTGTGAAGAGCCAAATTCACTTTGTAGATAAGAACTAAAGGTCTGTGTGCGTTTCACCAGTCTGTCCTAATCTCCCAGGGTACTCAAGCAGATGATTAAATAAGTCAATCAGCAGTTGGCTTTGCTAGCCCTGCAAAACTGGTGGCCTTTCCCTGGCTAGCCCAGTAAATAACTAATGGTGAGATTGACACAATTCCTGGTAGCCACTATCTCCTCTTAACATTTCCAGCAGCCTCTATTACTTAAGAGAATTCCACACACTTTTCTCTAGTGTCTAAGCCCACTTCCTACATTACAGACCAATTCAAGCCCCACTTTGCACATGTAGGCATCCATGGCTGCCCCCCATGAGAGGACTTACTCTACTCTGGATCTCTGTGATATTTGTTTTCCACATTTTTTTACCTTGGTTCTGAGCATGGCGTACCTGTCTTCTTGTGCTGGCTACATTTGTACGTGCATATGTTTTACTTCCTAACTAGACACAGGGCATAGCACAAGGTAGTGAAAGTCTACAATTGTGTGAAAACCATGGTCTTTGAAGACACACAGAGCTGAGCTGAAACAGGGTATATAGCTGCAACTGTGTACATTTCTTAACCTAGATAAGCATAGGTTTTCTATTCTACAAATAGGCCATGAAGGGTTGCTGCAAGGAAAAAATAAGAAATAAACGTAAAGTAGCACAAGCAGGGGTGCATGCATGAACAAACACATCATTAACAAAAGAGTATACCTTTCCTAAGCACAACAAATTTTTCTCTTTTTTCTTTTTTTAACTTTTAAGTTCAGGGGTACATGGGCAGGTTTGTTATATAGGAAAACTTGTGTCATGGGAGTTTGTTGTACAGATTATTTATTTATTTATTTATTTTTTTTTTTGAGACGGAGTCTCACTCTCTCGCCCGGGCTGGAGTGCAATGGCGTGATCTTGGCTCACTGCAAGCTCCACCTCCCGGGTTCACGCCATTCTCCTGCCTCAGCTTCCCAAGTAGCTGGGACTACAGGCGCCCGCCACCATGCCCAGCTAATTTTTTGTATTTTTTAGTAGAGACGGGGTTTCACCGTGTTAGCCAGGATGGTCTCGATCTCCTGACCTTGTGATCCACCGGCCTCAGCCTCCCAAAGTGCTGGGATTACAGGCGTGAGCCACCTTGCCCGGCCTGTACAGATTATTTCATCACTCAGGTATTAAGCCTAGTACCCATTAATTATTTTTCCTGATCCTCTCCCTCCTTCCACCACCTTCCACCCTCTGATAGGCCCCAGTGTCTATTGTTTCCCTCTATGTGTCCATGTGGTTCTCATCATTTGGCTCCTACTTATAAGTGAGAATGTGTGGTATTTAGTTTTCTGTTCCTGCGTTAGTTTGCTAAGGATGATGGCCTCCAGCTCCATCCACATTCCTGCAAAGCACATGATCTCATTCTTTTTTATGACTGCATAGTATTCCATGGTGTATATGTTCCACATTTTCTTTATCCAGTCTACCACTGATGGATATTTACGTTGATTCCATGTCTTTGCTATTGTGAATAGTGCTGCAATGAACACACACATGCATGTGTCTTTATGATGGAATGATTTATATTCCTTTGGGTATATACCCAGTAATGGGATTGCTGAATCAAATGGTAGTTCTATGTTTAGCTCTTTGAGAAATTGCCACAATGCTTTCCACAATGGTTGAACTAATTTACACTCCCACCAACAGTGTACAAGCAATTATTTTTCTCTACAATCTTACCAGCGACTGTTATTTTGAGTTTTCAATAATGGCCATTCTGACTGGTGTGAGATGGTTTCTTACTGTAGTTTTGATTTGCATTTCTCTAATGATCAGTGATGTTGAGCTTTTTCTCATATGCTTATTGGCCACATTTACGGTTTCTTTAGAAAAGTATCTGTTCATGTCCTTTGCCCACTTTTCAATGGGGTTGTTTTTTTCTTGTAAATTTGTTTAAGAACACAATACATTTTTGCTTTCAGTTCCTTTGTATCCTTCAGCTCAACTAGGACATTGATTTGCACATAGTAGGTACTCACAACTTCAGAACATTTTTTAAAAAGCAGAGTTTCTTAAATAGGTTAAGTATACTCTTTGCAGTATACTTAAAGGACTTCATTATACAATACAGTACCACATTTACCAAGGAGGTATGATTCTGAGGCCTCAGTGTGCTTCAGAGACTTGGGCAATTTGCTCAGCTAAACTAGCAAACAACATTCTCTGCATCTGTAAAAGGTTGGCAAGTTCATAGTCAACATCATGAAAACACCATAAAAATTTTTAATTATTTTAAAATTTCACAAATCTAGCATCCCTCCTCTAAAGGCATTTTTATTTCCCCTATGTTTCTGTTTATTTCCTTAGCTGCTTCTCTAAAACAGAGAAATTAAAAAGAAGTTTTTATAAATTATACCAAGAAATAACAGAAGAATCCAGATGAGGATTTTTCCAAGGAAAAGGGCAGGCAGAAACAGAATTTGGAGCCTGGCAGTTTTTAAATTACCATCAGGGTAAGGATTAGGATGACTTTGATTTCAAGTGATAGAAAACCAGCTTGAGCCAAAATAAAGAGAGGAAAGGAACATTTAATAATAAGGATTCTTAGTACTCATGAAATCCAAAATCTGTGGAGCAGCTCAAATCAGTTAAAGTGCCAGCAGTTCTCTCTCCATTTCTCACAGCTCATCATTGCTACCTCTAGCATACCTGTTTCATTTCTCTCTCTTTCCTGCTTGCTCACTCACTCACCCTCACTCTCTCTCAATTGCCTTCTTACTTCTCTTTCCAGATGGCCGTTAACTTAGCCACCAACAACTCTCAGGCAGCACATCTTCCAGCTTTAATTATCAGTAACTTAAGATATTTCTCAGTTTTAGTCCAAAGTCTTAGGACAAAATGCTAATTGGCCCAGTTTGGGCCGGGTACCCAAATCTGGAACTACAGACTGTAGCCAGAGGATAAGGTCACATTGCAAAGATAAATCAGAAAAAGGGAAGAGAGAATCTAAGCAGGATAATGAAATGTTTCATGCGCATATTTGGCCTTAGGTACTTCTCATACCTCCAACAGAAGGCCCTTTTTGTTGTTCCTTATCTGTCACATTGTACCATGAAACAAAACTCCAAAATGTCTTTACCCAGGCATAAGGTAGTTTCAGTCACCCCCACTGGATATGATGATCATAAATTCCTGCAGACATATTCAATGATGAAACACAGTGAAGAATTCCTGACTCTCTAGAAGAATAGAGATGAAATAATCTATTAAAGCCTAATGATACTTATATAACTTCATAGTATTTCAACGAACTACTTTGCAGCCATTAAAATCTTACTTTTTAAAATAATCGAATGATACGCAGCAATGCTCACACACACAAAAAAAGTTAAGTAAAAGGGCAGGTGAAGAATTTACATAGCACAATTCCAAACATGCCATATGCTGAAAATACACCAATAGGTATATGTGGATGTCAGAATTATGATATTTTATTTCTTTCACTATATACTTTCTATAGTTTCTAGATATTTTATCAAATACATATTATTTTATAACTATAAAATTAAATGGTTAAAAGGTTTAGTAAAGGGTTAGACATAGGTCACTAGAGGGTAGATTGTACCGTAGGTACCAGGAAGCTATGGGTCACGAGTCCTGTCTTTCTTTTTTATAATTCTCCTCATTTTTATCACCAACAATTAGCATGTGGTTAAGCCAGAAAAGATTTGTCAGAAAAAAAAATGTACTAAGCTGTTGGGAGTAAAGAGGAGGCTGAGGGAAGGAGAGAAGTCTGAAGGCAAGTCAACCACCCACCCCAAGTCCCATACACAGGTTTCCCCGCTTCACAGACACACTGTGAACCCAGGCCTGCCACATAGACTTCCTTGTCTCAACAGCTCTTTTGTGGCTGCATCGCACATGGACTTTCTAGGCTATTTCACTATTGAAACCAAAGAAAAAATTTTTTTAATTCATTGGTGTTGCTTTTTGCAAGGAGCCATTATGGCTTTGCTCTGCCTTAGCCTCTGGTCATGGAACTAGATCAAGAGAATGGGTTTCAAATCAGCAGCAATGAAGACAAAGATTCTGGCCAGGCTCCACCCAGGATTACTGGACATTTATAATTGGATTTATAATTTCCTACCCTTAAGCACTGGGGATCAACCACTTCTCTGTGGTCCAATCTAGCACTTAGATTGGTAGTATCAGCTCAACTTTTAATAAGAAAAACAATCAAAGAGCTTACAAATTCTCTGAGTCTGTAAATTTCAAGAGAACTCTCCAAATGTATAATCCAAGTTAGTTTTGATAATCACAGAGTCATACATGAGTGAACATTTAAATGGTGCAGACTCTTTCTTTGTGTTTACTGAGATGGACATTCTGGCAACCTTTGTCTTCCCCAGTCTCTCATACTTGAGAGCATTTGAGTGCCAGGTCAAATACACTCTTCCCCAGGTGGCTAAAGCAGCTTTAAAAAATATTGTTGTCACTGTGTCAGATCAAGTGGAGAGGAGCAGAAATATGACTTGGGAGTCTCTATTGGTATTAGGCAGCAGGTTAGGTAGAAATTAGATTGCATTTGCTGGGATTCCATATAATGCCCTGAGAGAGCAAAACTGTTCAGTTCTCTTTATTAGTGCTAGATTTATAGTTCAAAATGAAGATTAAATTAAGAAAAAATATCAAAGTTAATGTTCTAAAGAGCTCTTTAAATTCAAGATGTTCAGTAATGTGCTTTAGCATCTGATCTGGCATTCCCAGCTCCAGAGTCACTCTTGAGCTAATCTGCTGGGCTCATTGCTATTGAACCAGTTTGTATAAATCTACTATCTTCATGCCAGCCCTGTGCTTGGAAAACCGTAATAGCTTTTTTTTTTTTTTTTTTTTTTTAAAGACGGAGTCTTGCTCTGTCGCCCAGGCTGTAGTGCAGTGGCTCAATCTTGGCTCACTGCAACCTCGGCCTCCCAGATTCAAGCAATTCTCCTGCCTCAGCCTCCTGAGTAGCTGGGATTACAGGCACACACCATCATGACCGGCTAATCGTAATAGCTTTTGAATGCTCATGAAACAAATCTGGATTCCTCTGTCCAGTTCTCAGGAACTTCCAAAACTCAGACGAAATCTCCCTAGTCCACCTCCTCATCAGCTGCTCCAATTAACCTTCTTCCCCCGACCCTACCTGGATGGTGGCTCATTACCCTACAGGCTACAGCCACACCCAGCCTTATCCCAGCATCTGGCCTTTCTTCATGCAAGTCTTCTCCACTTCAAACATCAAAACCCACCCTCAGTGCTTGGTCAAGTCCTAGCTTTCCTTGATTTCTCCAGTCCACAGAAGCCTCACCATTTTCTGAACTATTGTAGCACTCATGGGTCATTTATTAGTAGGACTTTAAGAGAACCCAAAATGATGAGAGGTATTCAAATGAGAAGGGAGGGAATACATCCTGCCCACCAAATACACGGAAATAGTGTCAGAATTCCTATGAGCTTAAGCTTAAATTATTTACACATTAACTTCCATCATTTTAAATATTGAAAGGTTCCCCTCATTCTGATATTTATTTTACTTTACCGGAAGTCCTACATTTACTCTTTCCTCTTCTAGACTATGCACTGAGAGCTGAGCTGAAGTCTCACTCCCCTTCCTATCTTCTTTTTTTAATTTATTTATTATTATTATTATTATTATTATTATTATTATTAGATGGAGTTTCGCTTTTGTTGCCCAGGCTGGAATGCAATGGCGTGACCTCAGCTCACCTCAACCTCTGCCTCCCGGGTTCAAGCGATTCTCCTGCCTCAGCCTCCCGAGTAGCTGGGATTACAGGCATGAGCCACCATGCCCGGCTAATTTTGTATTTTTAGTAGAGACGGGGTTTCTCCATGCTGGTCAGGCTGGTCTCAAACTCCTGACCTCAGGTGATCTGGCCCCTCAGCCTCCCAAAGTGCTGGGATTACAGGCGTGAGCCACCGCGCCCAGCCCACCTTCCCTTCTTCTAATTCCCAGCACCGTGCTAGCACCATGCCATGTGCCTCTGGTAAACAATCAGGAAACTGAATTTCTAGAAATAAAAAATATGACAAGAATTTCATTTGGTTACGTAATTAGGGACTTTATTGGGATCTAATCTGTGCTGAGTACTGTACTAAATATTTTAATATATATTAGCCTTAATTTTCATGACACCACCACAAATTAGGATTTTTACAGATGAGGAAAAAAGCTTGAAGTTGAAAAGCTGACCAAAGTCACACAGCTGTCAGTGGTAAAACTAAGACTCGGATGCGGGGATATCTGACTACACCAGGCTGCCTCCTTAAAGATGCAAAGCAAGGGCCGGCAGCCCCTCTGTGCTGGCGGGTAGACATCCGGACAGGGCCTTCTCCACGGCCCCTAGCGAAGCCTGTGTTCTCCAGCGCCATCTACAGCCCTTGTTCATAAAGAGCCCGTTACACGGCCTCCTGTTTCCCCGGGGTAGCAGTTAGAGGTCAGCTGCTGCAACTTCAGCTGCCAAAGTTTTTTAAAAAGCAAATGAAATTAGAGTGGAAATTTGGAAATTCCCGTGCCACATGGCCTCTGCAGTGCTCCATCTGTCAAGAGTTGGTTTTGAAGACTTTAGAAACTGTCATTCATCTAACGGCTTTGCATTATTTCTTCTGGGAAAACCCATTGCCGGGCTCAAGGCATTATCAATTTCATGTCCTCCTTGCCCTAAACTTCCCAGAAAAAAAAAGAAAGAAAGAAACGTTGCTGTCAAACTTCCTGTGGAAGCATAATTAAAAATTCTGTTCTTAGACCATCTTCACTTACAAACGTACACACCGTATTTTCAAATGGAAAGGTGTTTCCTTCCGTTTCTTTTTTTCTTTTTCAGATGAGTTATGCCATTTTATAACAGCTCCCAAGAGATATTGAGGCCTGGAGAGAAAACTGCTTTTTCCAAGTTTTTTGCAAAGACATCAGTAGGGACTTTAAGTCAGGGTTGACCTAATACTAATAATCAGATAATTCCATTCTCTCAGCCCCAGCAAAGATTTCATGAGCTTTTCTAACTTAATAAAAACTAACAAAATATCTTAGAAATCCGTCTGCCTCTAGTGAAACAGTTTACTTGTTACCAACGCTACAAGGCTATCCCGAAGTCTAGGTTAAAATAATGAAAACAAATAGGGAGAAGGTGTTACTTCAAAGCATCTATCTCAACTTTTGCAGGGGGCTAATGATGGTCTGGATCTATGTTTTATTCAAATAAAGAATGGTTCAGGGCACATATGTCTTAGAATTGCACTTGGTTTCTTCATTATTTTATCTTCCTTCTTCTTGAATACAGACATAAAGAATTCTAGAGTCTCTCTGTAATTCTCTATAACATGAAAAAAAAGGCATTGCAAGTGTTTTGGGTATAATTGTATATTCTGAATTCATTCTTAAGTGTTGTGACCACAATTACTAATTGGATCTAAGAATTTCCTAGAGTTTTTCATTTTCTTTCCCAGATGCACAATCTTCAAAGCACAGATTTTACAGTCTAACAGACCTAGTTTTGACTTCATAAGTCCACACCCTTCCCAGCTGCATTATATCTATATCGTTACTAAACTTCCTAGAATATCAGTTTCTTCTTCCATATAATGAGGACAATTAGACCTATCCGCAAGTGATGCTGTGAAGATAAAATGAGATATATAAGTAAAATACCTCACATAGTATCTGGTATAGTCTAGTCTCAATAAATAGAATTTGCCCTACCTAAAACTATAGTTCCTGCTTTTTTACATTGTTTTAACATGGCAGGTTTTTAAAATAAGGCAACACAAAGCAAACATAGATTCTCTTTTTCTGTTTTCTCTCTTTGAAATCTTCGCTTTATGAAAAAGATCCTGTAATGCATGCCTATCATGTTTCCTTTCATGTAATAACTTAGATTGGTGATTTTCTCAACAATAATCATATCGAAATATAAATGAATAACTGCCATAATTCTGTTTTTGACAGATTTAAATAAAACGCCACATGAATATAAAGTCATTTTTCATATCTTCCTGTGGATGATGCTACGAGAATAAGCTTTCAAATAACACATGGAGAAAATGAAAACAAAATCACTCACTTTTAATTCGTTCCTTCTTCTAACAAGAGAAAGGCAGTAATCAAAATATAAAAAAAAATAAAAAAAGACAACATTATGAGCTAATTCTTGAGTATTCATAATTTCATAACAGCATAGTTACACTCTAAAAAGAGAATCTTGTTTTCAACTTTAGTAGTAAAACATAAACTGGAAAGAAATTGGGATTTAGTCCTGCCTCTACCATTAAGTCACATTATTATTTAGGGGACACCATTTATCTTGCTCTGAAATAAAACTGTAAATAAGCTCCCCCAGCTCTTGAGACAATAGCTCCCTGTGGCTAATGGAGACAATTAAATTTAGATCACAGTAACAAGTAGCCATGGTGGGGTGAGAGAAGAGTCACACGCTCTCTGTTCTTAGAAAAGGCAGCTTTTGACAAACATCCCGTTGTTTTTTGTTTTTGTTTTTGTTGAGACGGAGTCTCGCTCTGTGGCCCAGGCTGGAGTGCAGTGGCGCGATCTCCGCTCACTGCAAGCTCTGCCTTCTGGGTTCACGCCATTCTTCTGCCTCAGCCTCCCGAGTAGCTGGGACTACAGGCGCCCGCCACTACGCCCGGCTAATTTCTTTTTGTATTTTTAGTAGAGACGGGGTTTCACCATGTTAGCCAGGATGGTCTCAATCTCCTGACCTCATGATCCGCCCGCCTCGGCCTCCCAAAGTGCTGGGATTACAGGCGTGAGCCACCGCGCCTGGCGACAAACATCCTGTTTTATACCCTTAAGCTAGAATAGTTCTTGTGACGGGAGCCAAGAGAAGCCATGAGAGAACCCCCAACTCCAGCTCAGCCTTTTGGAAGGAACATCTGACAGACTTCTGGTTTTGGGATTGGGAAGCCACCCAATCAGAGTTCGACTATCTGGACCAATCAGAACGAAATATAAGCTTGACTCTTTTGTCTACGTAAAAGAACATGATTGGCGGGGCGCGGAGGCTCATGCCTGTAATCCCCGCAGTTTGGTGGGCCAAGGCCGGCAGAGGACGAGGGCGAGAGATCAAGACCATCTTGGCCAACATCTTGGCCAACATGGCGAAACCCTGTCTCTACTAAAAATACAAAAAATTAGCCGGACGTGGTGTCGGGCCCCTGTAGTCCCCCCTACTCGGGAGGCTTAGGCAGGAGAATGGCGTGAACCCGGAAGGCGGAGGTTGCAGTGAGCCGAGATCCCACCACTGCACTCCAGCCTGGGCAACAGAGCAAGACTCTGTCTCAAAAAAAAAAAAAAAAGAATATGATTGAGACATGGGGCAGGAAATTTTCCTGCTTAAGCCAAACTCTTCCTTTATTCTTTGGAGAGCACACCTTCACTTGTATTGAAGACCATGCCTCCCCAATCTGCAGATTGCGTTTCGTAGAAAATAAAGTTCTTCCTTTTTCCTCCACAAATCTCATGGCCTTTTGTTAACATTGCTGAATCTCATGCTAGAGCTTCTGTCCAGCTAGTGCAGGTGTTGGCCCACTAGCCCCATGAGCCAAACCCTGCGTGCTGCCTGTTTTTGTAAATAAAGGTTTATTGAAACACAACCACATCCACTCATTACGCATTGTCTACAGCGTCTATTGCACTGCATTGGCAAAGTTAAGTAGTTGCAACAAAGATGATTAGGCCCACAAAACCTAAAATATTTACTATTTGGTCCTTACATAAATTTTTCATTTTGATGAATTTCAATTTGACTACTTTTCCATGGTTTGTGCTTTCTATATTCTAGTTAAATAATCGATCCTAAAGTCACAAAGATTTCTATATTTTTCCTAGTTTTAGAGTTGTGGCTTTTACATTTAGTTCTACAATTAATTTCAAGTTACATTTGTGCATACTGTGAAACAAGAATTGACAATTTATTTTTGGTAATATTGATATCCAGTTGCTCCAGCAACATTTATTGAACATACTTTCCTTTCTTGTTGGATTGATTTAGCACCTTTGTTGAAAATTAATTGGCCATGTATTTGTGGTCTATTTCTCAACTCTATTGTGTTCCACTAATTTGTGTCTCACCTTATGCCAATACTATATGGCAGTGATTATTGTGGAAATACAGAAATCCTTGAAAACAGGTACGGTAAGTTCTACAACTTTGTTCTTTTTCAAAATCATTTTGGCTATTATAAATCTTTTGAATTGCTGTATAAATTTTAGAATCAGCTTGTCCAATTCTAAAAACATTTTTATTTTTAAACTTTATTTTTAATTAACAAATAAAAATTGTATATATTTATCATGTACAATATATGGTTTTAAAATATGTATACATGCAGCATGACTAAATTGAGCTAAAAACACCTTGCTGGGATACTAGTGGGAATTGCATTGAATCTATGCTGTATATCAATTTGGAGAAAATTGACATCTTAACAATATGAATGTTTTAATCCATGGACAAGATACAAATCTTCATCTATTTGTATTTTCTGTCTTTTTTTTTTTTTTTTTTTTTTTTTTGGAGAGACGAGGTCTTGCTACATTGCCCAGGCTGGTCTCAAACTCCCAACCTCAAGCAACCCAGCAATCCTCCTGCTTTGGCCTCCCCATGTGCTGGGATTACAGGTGTAAGCCACTGTGCTCAGCCTATTTTCTTAAATTATTTCAACAATGTTTTATGGTCTACGGTACACATGTTTTTACATATTTTGTTAAATTTTCCCCTAATAATTTCATGTTTCTGAATGCTTTTGCTAAAGGTTTTGGTTTTTTATTTTTAAATAGATCATGTCTAGCATATAGAAATATAATTATCTGAGTATACCTCCCTTGTATTTTCTGACCTTGCTGTTTTGTAAATCACTTAGGATTATCTATGTATGCAATGTCATCATTTAGTAAAGGCAGATTTACTGCCTTCTTTCCAATATGAAGATATTTTATGTCTTTGCCTTGCCTTATTATATGACTAGGACCTCTAGTGCAATACTGAACAGAGTGATCAGAACAGACGTTCTTGTCTTGTTCCTGATGGTAGGAGGAAAGCATTCAGTCTTTCACCATTAAATATGATGCCAGCCCTTTATTAGGTTGAGAAAATTCTCTTCAGTTCTTAATTTGCCATGACCTATCAAATGGTTGTTTAATTTTTTCAAATGTCTTTTTTCTGCATCTTTTACGTTGATCATGTGAATTTCCTCATTACTAATGTTAATATGGTGAATACATTGATTTTTTTCATGTATAACTTCCTGCGATAAACAGTAACTATGTACTGCTTTAGCTACATTTTTTAAATTTTGCTATATTATGCTTTATTTTTATTCAGTTCAAAATATTTTCAAATTTTCTCTATTTTTTTACTTTAGCCATGGGTTGTTTAGAAGTATGTTAATTTCCAAATATTTGGGGATTTCACAAATGTATTACTATTTCTAACACAATTCCACTGAGATCTGAGAGCCTATATTGCATGACTCCAATCCTTTAAAATTTATTGAGACATGTTTTAATGGCCTAACATATAATCTATCTGAATGCCCACATATGCTTTTTAAAAATGTGTATTCTTCTGTTGTGGTGTGGAATATAAATGTCAAATAGATTAAGTTAGCTGACAGTATTGTCTAAATCTTATATATCTTATTGAGTTTAAGTCTTTTCATTTTATCAATTACTGGGATAAGAGTGTTGAAATTACTAACTGTAATTCTTACTTTGTCACCGTTTTTGAGTTCTGTAAGTTTTTGTTTCATATATTTTGCAGCTCTGTTATTATTTAGGATTGCTATGTCTTCATGAATAAAATTTTTATCATTATAAACTGTTCTTCCTTATCCCTGATAATATTCCTGTTTAGAATTTTACTTTGATATTAATATTATCATCTTGGCTTTCTTAGAATTTACATGCTTTTTTAGTCCTTTACCTTTAATTGCTCTGTGTGTTTACATTTTAGTTTAGCTTCTTTAGAGTGCATATATATTTGGGTCTTGTTTTTTTATGTAGTCTGTCAATTTAGCTTTAAAATGGAGTATTTAAACCATTTATATTTAATGTAATTACTGATGCAGTTGAGATGAAAGAACTGTGTGTTTTCTCTCATCTCCAATACTCTGTGCTTCCACATTATTGCATGTGACAAGTACGTTTTAAATTTCAAAGATCATCCATATCCATTATCCCATTGATCTTCACACCAATCTGTGAAGAAAACAGATCGGGTCCTATGATGCCTATTTTCAGATAAAAAAAATTACTGTCCAAAGAGTTAAATAAAGCTTTTCCAAAATCATGCAATAAATTGTGTCAAAATGAGCATTAGACAATAAATGGTCAAATTTTTATTCTACCACTCATTCTATGACATCAACAATTATATTACTTTCTTCTTAACAATTTATTGACTATGTTCTGATTAAATAAACTTTACAGGCGTATTTTCCAAAGCTAATCAAAGCATATTAAAAAACTAATAATGGCAAAATATTTATAAGGAGAAAGTGATACAGCAGTCATTTTAAAATGAGCAGTGCATAAAACAAACATTCAATGATACATTACTAATAAATTTTCTCATACATAAAATGATATATATCACATTCTCCACAGGTTTGTATAAGTCATTTAAAGCAAACTCAGCAGCAAGCAAAGCTGAAGGCTATCCTCAAATTCTAGCCTCCCCCACCCCACCCCAGAAGATCAATGTGAATGATTTTCTGTAGAAGTAAATTTATACCCAGTACAATCTATAAGAGTTTCAAGCACAAAAGACTGGCCGTGCTCAAGGAAAACAGAATCTCTGAGTAGACTGCCTGGCAGCCCCAGATAATAATTTAGTGTTTTGGGGTCAACCACTCAAAACATTACATTTCCTTGGCATGCACACTGACATCTTAGGCTTTAACTGAGCATACAGAGCCCTACACGTCATTACCAGACCAGGAAAATAGCCACAGTTCTCATGATGAAAGGATTCAAATGAACTTTATTTGAAAATAAATAAAGTATAAAATTAAGGGTGCCATTTTATACTGGATCCTGGATCCCCAAAAGGAGGGAAATACTCAGGAGCAGACAGTGCAGTGCTTCTACTCTGCATTTCATTGCAAGGCAGCCCAAAGTCAATCAGCCCATTTTGTAATCAGCCCATCCCTAATGGGAGTCTCATCTCTCAGTGAGGGGTGAGTATGTTTCCTTATCTTCCAGGTGGCCAAGAGCATGCTTCTCTGATCCGAGTGTGCAAAGAGTCAAGTATCCCTCCGTAACTACTATTAGCCATCTTCAAGGGATGGCCAATGAATATATATATATATATTTCCTACCTAGTTATTACACACCAAAGCTCTCTCATAATGTGAAGTAATTTCTGATACCCCCAAAACTCAAAACCGTCAGATAATGCAATGCAAAACAGAACAGAGCCTTTGATTTTGAGAGGAATCTATCTGCTTTTAATTCCTGGGGTTTCATAAGGAAAACAGAAGTTTTTTTCCAAAATGGGGTCTGTGGCGCCTCTTCTGTTTTTCCCAAGGAGTCCCAGGCTACCAGAAATTATCTCAGGGCCTCTCATGTGTGCATTAAGAGTGGCAAGACATGTAATCCCAGCACTTTGGGAGGCCGAGGCGGGCGGATCACGAGGTCAGGAGATCGAGACCACCCTGGCTAACACGGTGAAACCCCGTCTCTACTAAAAATACAAAAAAATTAGCCAGGCGTGGTGGTGGGCGCCTGTAGTCCCAGCTACTCGGGAGACTGAGGCAGGAGAATGGCGTGAACACGGAAGGCGGAGCTTGCAGTGAGCCGAGATCGCACCACTGCACTCCAGCCTGGGCGACAGAGCAAGACTCTGTCTCAAAAAAAAAAAAAAAGTGGCAAGACAATAAAAACGGAGAAAAATAATTCAGTCAACTGAGAAGAAAAAGCCTTTTCCAGAAAAACAAGTTCCAAGAAGAGAAAAACATAAAGGCCTTTTAAATATATCTATAGCTTGTTTATCCACTTTTAATTAAGTTGACTTCTAACCATAGTGCTCTTTAAAAAAAAAAAAAAGAAAGAAATCCTTTCAGATCTCTTATTACCCGACTTTAGCCATGCCAAGCAGCCAATATTTCTAGTTTCTGAGATTTACCAGAGGTAACCTCTTAGGTGCTTAGAGAAAGGAAAATTTAAGACAGTCCGTGGAGGAGAACAGAATAGACAAAGTCACGCAGATACTAAACCAGAAACGACTTACTTCCTAGGTGGGGAATCAAACCCAGACCACCACTGTGAAAGTGCAAAAGCCCTAACTACTGAGTTACAGCATAGAACAATCTTCAGTTCCTTTCGGAGAAAGAGTCTAGAGTAGTTAATTTTGAGCTTGCAAAGGCTTTTAACTATTTAATATAATTTGTAGAGCTGACTATGACATGAACCCTAAAATTCCTATTCCCTGGAAGGTGGAGACGAAGAGACAGTACTGCCATGTGATTAAAAGGTCAAGTTCCCAAGGACCTAAAACAAGGTGGAGACTTCATCCAGCTTTTCTGTTTGTTTCAGGGACCTGCAGCCAAGCTTGTTACTGACCAGCTTGCTGGGTGGTCTTGAAAAGCGGGCTTACAGGTGTTCTAAGCCCGTGTTTTATCCTAAAGTACCCCTCAACACAGAAAAACAAATTCATAGCACAAAATACACCAGCTTAAGGCTAGCCTTAGAATTCTTTTTCGCATTAATCAAAACTTTACAGAGGAAATAAACACTGGGTTTTTTTTTTTTCTTTTTCACCATTCATTCAACCATTTGCAAAGAGAGAGAGAGAGAGAGAGAGAGAAGCCAGAAATCTGACTGGTAAGAAATTCTTACCCTTTCGCCGGCATGCCAGGCTTCTGGGTTCCCTTTCCCTGACCGGCCCTAGTGATCCTGCCTGCAGCACCATCGCCCTGGGGGCCAAGCCTCATCATAAAGAAAAATTATTATTTTTTGTTCTGGCTAGAGCAAAATATGTGTGATAAAACATAGACATTAGCCACTCTGCTTAGCACCCAACATCAAACCGGCAAGGCTTAAATTTGCCCCCAGATAGGCCCCTTCTTTAATCCAACCTTCCACTTGGAGTTTCAACATGTCGTCCCTGGGCAAGATGGTCATCCTGAGTAATAGAAAAGATAAGAAAGAGAAAGGAAAAGCACAGAACGAAAGTATCGCCTGTGGCAGGGTGGGGAAGTCGAAATGATCAGGGAGGCCAGAGGAAGCCCCCCCATTGCAGCGACACTGGAAAGTTCAGGCGGCTGCGGCTGTTGTCATGAAGGGATTTTTTCCAGCAGTCCAGTCAGCTGTCAGGTTTCCCTTTTTAGAAAGGAAAAAGCTCCCCATGTCCCACAATCCTGTACATGCCTAACCCTGTCACCCACAGCCATCAGCGAAGAGTGCAAGGCAGATTAATCCAAAGAGAATTAACATCCCATAGTGCCGAACCTGTTCTTAAAGGGACTTTACTGAGAGGGACCTCTAACCCCCTAAATCTTATAAGGGACTCTAACCCTCCTAAGTCAGGCCTCTAACCTGAGGTCGGTCAAGCGTCCTTGCCTTTTATTAAGAGGGGTCTCTAACCCACTCTGTCTTAGGAGAGACTCTAACTCCCCTAAGTTGGGCCTTTAATGCAATCCCATTCTGTACCCAGGTATCCTATCACTTACGCAAAGTCACCCAATCAGTGCTCCAGTCTATTTCCTTTGGGTCGGGGGGCCTCCTCAGTATTGTCTCTTTTGTGGTTTGCGAGAAAGATGTTACTGGACCCCAACACTTACCCAAAGTTAGCCTTTGGGTCAGGGTTTCCGCAGTATAGTCACTTCTGTGGCCGCCAGAAATACATTACAGGACCCCAACACTTATTCTAAGGTAGCCGTTAGGTCAGGGTTTCTGCACTATAGGCCATTCTGTGGTTGCCAGAAATATGTTACAGGAAAGGGGACCCGATCCAGACCCCAAGAGAGGGTTCTTGGATCTCTCGCAAGAAATAATTCAGGGTGAGTCCGAAGTGCAAAGTGAAAGCAAGTTTATTAAGAAAGTAAAGGAATAGGCCGGGCGCGGTGGCTCACGCCTGTAATCCCAGCACTTTGGGAGGCCGAGGCGGGCGGATCACGAGGTCAGGAGATCGAGACCATCCTGGCTAACACGGTGAAACCCCGTCTCTACTAAAAATACAAAAAATTAGCCGGGCGTGGTGGTGGGCGCCTGTAGTCCCAGCTACTCGGGAGGCTGAGGCAGGAGAATGGCATGAACCCAAGAGGCGGAGCTTGCAGTGAGCCGGGATAGCGCCACTGCAGTCCAGCTTGGGCGAAAGAGTGAGACTCCGTCTCAAAAAAAAAAAAAAAAAAAAAAAAGAAAGTAAAGGAATAAAAGAATGGCTACTCCATAGACAGAGCAGCCTAGACACCTTTTTGGATGTATGTCTTCTTAGCTCATAAGACCATTTATTTTCTATTAAAATTCAAGCGTCTGTTAATCGAGGCTTTTTTTTTTTTTTTTTTTTTTGCTGTTACTATTGTTATTATTTTCTTTCTTTCTTTTTCTTTTTTTTTTTTTTTTTGGTCTGATAGCAGATGGCATAGATTCTGATTAACTATATGTAGATGATTTCGATTATTTGTTTGATTTTCCCAGTCACTGATACACAATATAAAAATCTGCCACTGGATTCTGATATATCAGAAAAACATATATAAAGAAAGTGTAACTTAACGTTAAAAGATAGAATCCAAGGCAGTAACTTCTCTTAATCACAGGAAACATATTAGGTATTTTCTTGGCCTGGCTCCTCTGGAAATTCCGGGACCTCTGAAGCAAGAATTAAAATGCTAACACTTTATTTGGAAAGCAGAAACCCAAAATGGTGAGAGTAAAGAAAAGAGGGAAGGAAGGCAAGGGAAGATAAGATGCAAAGATATGCAATGTGTGACTTTGCTGGCTACATTTCACAACTGTAATGAAAAGAGACATGTATGCATATTTATTCAGCACATGGAGAAGGTTGCAAGGAAGACCTGAACGAGAATAGGTTTTATTTATTAACCACTTACTAAGAAAAGAAGTTAATATCAATATTGTCTCAAAGGCTATATTGTTCAGGAACTTCTGAACAATATTGTTTAGTTTAGGAACTTCTGAAATTCACTTATTCAACATATTTCTCAACAGATTATAGTCAATATATTTCTCAATACATTATATATTCAATATATTTCTCAGTACATTATAATATTCAGATAAGATTCAGATTGAATGATGATGAGATAATGGAAAGCAAACAACAATAAAAACTTCAAAGAAATCCTTTTCAATTTTACAAGAGGAAGATTATGTGATTGGTATGACATTCAAAGAAGATATCAAGGCAATTGGTATTTTCAGAAAACTTCAGACATGAAATATGTAAGGAAAAAATACCACCAAGGAATTTCTAATTAAAACCTTTCTTTTTGATCTAAAAATTTTCTCTTCACTGCAGCAGTAAATATTTATGAGCATTAGAAAGCCCAATATTTACTGGGTTAATTGCTTTTTTAACAAGTGAACACTTTTAGAGAGGTCTTCTTAGGCCCAATTTTGTTCTCTTGAGCTACTCACCACTCATACACACCATCAAATAAATGGGCCACTCAAGCATTTTTCTAGTATGTGAGCCTCTCCACCGCATATCACACCTGATTAGATAAAGAAAACTCAACTAACACATGAAGAACTAGTCTACAGACAGCTCTGTGCCAATCCCATTTAACAGTTATGTAAGAAAGGTTTAAACTGTGAGTACATTCAAAGAAGGCACCATACGCCTTCCTAGGGAATTAGAATTGACTGAGAAAATGGGTCAATTAGATTGAGACACTGAACTTTCCAGATTCATGTGTATTTGGAGCCTTGTCAGGGAGATCTGGCAAATTAGGTAGAGAAAAATTTAAGAGGTCCAGAGAGAAAAACGGTCTCTGCCAGCCTGCAAGGAATAAGATATGGTAACGGTGCTGCATCCAATTCGATAACTGTCCAGGTTCTGGGACTAGCCCTTTATAAGAAGAGTAACCACACAATTTGTCTTCTAAGCTTGGTGTGTTAGTTGCCTAGGGCTGCCATAACAAATTACACAAACTTAGTGACTTAAAACAGCAAAAACTCTTTCTCTCACATTTCCAGACGTGACCACTGGGCCAAAATCATGGCGGCAGCAATTAGCTGGGCGTGGTGGCAGGCGCCTGCAGTCCCAGCTGCTCGGGAGGCTGAGGCAGGAAAATGGCGTGAACCCGGGAGGCGGAGCTTGCAGTGAGCCGAGATCGCGCCACTGCACTCCAGGCTGGGCGACAGAGCGAGACTCCATCTCAAAAAAAAAAAATCATGGCGGCAGCAGGGCCACCCTCCATCTGGAAGCTCTAGGAGAAAATCAGCCTCTTACCTCTCTGAAAGTTTTTGGTAGCTGCCAGCATTCCTTATCTTGTGGCCATACGGCTCCCATTTCTGCGTACCAAGCCCTCCTCTGCCTCTCTCTTACAAGGAGATATATAATTGCCTTTAGAGCCCAGTGGGAGAATCCAGGATAACCTCTCCATATCAAAATTTTTAATAATCGCATCTACAAAGACCTTTTTTCCCTATAAGTTAACATTTACAGGTTACAGGAATTAGGATCAGATATCTTTTGGAGACTTTCTATCATCTACACCAGGACATCTTTGAAAGTAAAAAAGAAGGGCTAATTTGTAACACTTCAAGGATAAAAGACAAAATCTAGGTCTGGCAAAGGCATAAGAATGATACAATGGACTTTGGGGACTTGGGAAGGGTGCGGGGGTGGCGAGGGAAAAAAGACTACAAATAGGGTGCAGTGTACACTGCTTGGGTGATGGGTACACCAAAATCTCACAAATCACCACTAAAGAATTTATTCATGTAACCAAATACCACCTGTACTCCAATAACCTATAGAAAAATAAAATTTAAAAAAATCTAGGTCTGACCCAGGCAATCTGGATATATGGTCTCCCTGGAGTCCTAAATGAACTTCTAGACCCTGGGCCATAACAAAATCAGTTATCTCACCCCTGCAATGATTATCAATGTTCTCCCTGAAGCTACCATAGCGAACTGATGCCAAATTCACTTTCTGCCCCTGAATTTTAAAAGAGGTCGCCATATCTTTCTGATGCATTCTCTTTTTAAAAAAAGAGAATTTTTCCGACGGGTGTTTTTCCAAAGGGCTTAAAAAACGGCGCACCACGAGATTATATTCCGCACCTGGCTCGGAGGGTCCTACGCCCACGGAGTCTCGCTGATTGCTAGCACAGCAGTCTGACATCAAACTGCAAGGCGGCAGCGAGGCTGGGGGAGGGACGCCCGCCATTGCCCAGGCTTGCTTAGGTAAACAAAGCAGCCTGGAAGCTCCAACTGGGTGGAGCCCACCACAGCTCAAGGAGGCCTGCCTGCCTCTGTAGGCTCCACCTCTGGGAGCAGGGCACAGACAAACCAAAAGACAGCAGTAACCTCTGCAGACTTAAATGTCCCTGTCTGAAAGCTTTGAAGAGAGCAGTGGTTCTCCCAGCACACAGCTGGAGATCTGAGAACGGGCAGACTGCCTCCTCAAGTGGGTCCCTGACCCCTGACCCCCGAGCAGCCTAACTGGGAGGCACCCCCCAGCAGGGGCACACTGACACCTCACACGGCAGGGTATTCCAACAGACCTGCAGCTGAGGGTCCTGTCTGTTAGAAGGAAAACTAACAAACAGAAAGGACATCCACACCAAAAACCCATCTGTACATCACCATCATCAAAGACCAAAAGTAGATAAAACCACAAAGATGGGGAAAAAACAGAACAGAAAAACTGGAAACTCTAAAAAGCAGAGTGCCTCTCCTCCTCCAAAGGAATGCAGTTCCTCACCAGCAACGGAACAAAGCTGGATGGAGAATGACTTTGACGAGCTGAGAGAAGAAGGCTTCAGACGATCAAATTACTCTGAGCTACGGGAGGACATTCAAACCAAAGGCAAAGAAGTTGAAACCTTTGAAAAAAATTTAGAAGAATGTGTAACTAGCATAACCAATACAGAGAAGTGTTTAAAGGAGCTGAAGGAGCTGAAAACCAAGGCTCGAGAACTACGTGAAGAATGCAGAAGCCTCAGGAACCGATGTGATCAACTGGAAGAAAGGGTATCAGTGATGGAAGATGAAATGAATGAAATGAAGCGAGAAGGGAAGTTTAGAGAAAAAAGAATAAAAAGAAACGAGCAAAGCCTCCAAGAAATATGGGACTATGTGAAAAGACCAAATCTACGTCTAATTGGTGTACCTGAAAGTGATGGGGAGAATGGAACCAAGTTGGAAAACACTCTGCAGGATATTATCCAGGAGAACTTCCCCAACCTAGCAAGGCAGGCAAACATTCAAATTCAGGAAATACAGAGAACGCCACAAAGATACTCCTCGAGAAGAGCAACTCCAAGACACATAATTGTCAGATTCACCAAAGTTGAAATGAAGGAAAAAATGTTAAGGGCAGCCAGAGAGAAAGGTCGGGTTACCCTCAAAGGGAAGCCCATCAGACTAACAGTGGATCTCTCAGCAGAAACCCTACAAGCCAGAAGAGAGTGGGGGCCAATATTCAACATTCTTAAAGAAAAGAATTTTCAACCCAGAATTTCATATCCAGCCAAACTAAGCTTCATAAGTGAAGGAGAAATAAAGCACTTTACAGACAAGCAAATGCTGAGAGATTTTGTCACCACCAGGCCTGCCCTAAAAGAGCTCCTGAAGGAAGCGCTAAACATGGAAAGGAACAACCGGTACCAGCTGCTGCAAAATCATGCCAAAATGTAAAGACCATCGAGACTAGGAAGAAACTGCATCAACTAACGAGCAAAATAACCAGCTAACGTCATAATGACAGGATCAAATTCACACATAACAATATTAACTTTAAACGTAAATGGACTAAATGCTCCATTTAAAAGACACAGACTGGCAAATTGGATAAAGAGTCAAGACCCATCAGTGTGCTGTATTCAGGAAACCCATCTCACGTGCAGAGACACACATAGGCTCAAAATAAAAGGATGGAGGAAGATCTACCAAGCAAATGGAAAACAAAAAAAGGCAGGGGTTGCAATCCTAGTCTCTGATAAAACAGACTTTAAACCAACAAAGATCAAAAGAGACAAAGAAGGCCATTACATAATGGTAAAGGGATCAATTCAACAAGAGGAGCTAACTATCCTAAATATATATGCACCCAATACAGGAGCACCCAGATTCATAAAGCAAGTCCTGAGTGACCTACAAAGAGACTTAGACTCCCACACATTAATAATGGGAGACTTTAACACCCAACTGTCAACATTAGACAGATCAATGCGACAGAAAGTCAACAAGGATACCCAGGAATTGAACTCAGCTCTGCACCAAGCGGACCTAAGAGACATCTACAGAACTCTCCACCCCAAATCAACAGAATATACATTTTTTTCAGCACCACACCACACCTATTCCAAAATTGACCACATACTTGGAAGTAAAGCTCTCCTAAGCAAATGTAAAAGAACAGAAATTATAACAAACTATCTCTCAGACCACAGTGCAATCAAACTAGAACTCAGGATTAAGAATCTCACTCAAAACTGCTCAACTACATGGAAACTGAACAACCTGCTCCTGAATGACTACTGGATACATAACAAAATGAAGGCAGAAATAAAGATGTTCTTTGAAACCAATGAGAACAAAGACACAACATATCAGAATCTCTGGGACGCATTCAAAGCAGTGTGTAGAGGGAAATTTATAGCACTAAATGCCCACAAGAGAAAGCAGGAAAGATCCAAAATTGACACCCTAACATCACAATTAAAAGAACTAGAAAAGCAAGAGCAAACACATTCAAAAAGAACTAGCAGAAGGCAAGAAATAACTAAAGTCAGAGCAGAACTGAAGGAAATAGAGACACAAAAAACCCTTCAAAAAATTAATGAATCCAGGAGCTGGTTTTTTGAAAGGATCAACAAAATAGACCGCTAGCAAGACTAATAAAGAAAAAAAGAGAGAAGAATCAAATAGACTCAATAAAGAATGATAAAGGGGATATCACCACTGATCCCACAGAAATACAAACTACCATAAGAGAATACTACAAACACCTCTATGCAAATAAACTAGAAAATCTAGAAGAAATGGATAAATTCCTCGACGCATACACTCTCCCAAGACTAAACCAGGAAGAAGTTGAATCTCTGAATAGACCAATAACAGGCTCTGAAATTGTGGCAATAATCAATAGCTTACCAACCAAAAAGAGTCCAGAACCAGATGGATTCACAGCCGAATTCTACCAGAGGGACAAGGAGGAACTTGTACCATTCCTTCTGAAACTATTCCAATCAATAGAAAAAGAGGGAATCCTCCCTAACTTATTTTATGAGGCCAGCGTCATTCTGATACCAAAGCCGGGCGGAGACACAACCAAAAAAGAGAATTTTAGACCAATATCCTTGATGAACATCGATGCAAAAATCCTCAATAAAATACTGGCAAAATGAATCCAGCAGCACATCAAAAAGCTTATCCACCATGATCAAGTGAGCTTCATCCCTGGGATGCAAGGCTGGTTCAATATACGCAAATCAATAAATGTAATCCAGCATATAAACAGAGCCAAAGACAAAAACCACATGATTATCTCAATAGATGCAGAAAAGGCCTTTGACAAAATTCAACAACCTTCATGCTAAAAATTCTCAATAAATTAGGTATTGATGGGATGTATTTCAAAATAATAAGAGCTAGCTATGACAAACCCACAGCCAATATCATACTGAATGGGCAAAAACTGGAAGCATTCCCTTTGAAAACTGGCACAAGACAGGGATGCCCTCTCTCACCACTCCTATTCAACATAGTGTTGGAAGTTCTGGCCAGGGCAATTAGGCAGGAGAAGGAAATAAAGGGTATTCAATTAGGAAAAGAGGAAGTCAAATTGTCCCTGTTTGCAGACGACATGATTGTATATCTAGAAAACCCCATTGTCTCAGCCCAAAATCTCCTTAAGCTGATAAGCAACTTCAGCAAAGTCTCAGGATACAAAATCAATGTACAAAAATCACAAGCATTCTTATACACTAATAACAGACAAACAAAGAGCCAAATCATGAGTGAACTCCCATTCACAATTGCTTCAAAGAGAATAAAATACCTAGGAATCCAACTTACAAGGGATGGGAAGGACCTCTTCAAGGAGAACTACAAACCACTGCTCAAGGAAATAAAAGAGGATACAAACAAATGGAAGAACATTCCATGCTCATGGGTAGGAAGAATCAATATCGTGAAAATGGCCATACTGCCCAAGGTAATTTACAGATTCAATGCCATCCCCATCAAGCTACCAATGACTTTCTTCACAGAATTGGAAAAAACTACTTTAAAGTTCATATGGAACCAAAAAAGAGCCCGCATCGCCAAGTCAATCCTAAGCCAAAAGAACAAAGCTGGAGGCATCACACTACCTGACTTCAAACTATACTACAAGGCTACAGTAACCAAAACAGCATGGTACTGGTACCAAAACAGAGATATAGATCAATGGAACAGAACAAAGCCCTCAGAAATAATGCCGCATATCTACAACTATCTGATCTTTGACAAACCTCAGAAAAACAAGCAATGGGGAAAGGATTCCCTATTTAATAAATGGTGCTGGGAAAACTGGCTAGCCATATGTAGAAAGCTGAAACTGGATCCCTTCCTTACACCTTATACAAAAATCAATTCAAGATGGATTAAAGACTTAAACGTTAGACCTAAAACCATAAAAACCCTAGATGCCATTCAGGACATAAACCATAAAAATGCCATTCAGGACATAGGCATGGGCAAGGACTTCATGTCTAAAACACCAAAAGCAATGGCAACAGAAGACAAAATTGACAAATGGGATCTAATTAAACTAAAGAGCTTCTGCACAGCAAAAGAAACTACCATCAGAGTCAACAGGCAACCTACAAAATGGGAGAAAATTTTCGCAACCTACTCATCTGATAAAGGGCTAATATCCAGAATCTACAATGAACTCAAACAAATTTACAAGAAAAAAACAAACAACCCCATCAAAAAGTGGGCAAAGGACATGAACAGACACTTCTCAAAAGAAGACATTTATGCAGCCAAATAACACATGAAAAAATGCTCACCATCACTGGCCATCAGAGAAATGCAAATCAAAACCACAATGAGATACCATCTCACACCAGTTAGAATGGCGATCATTAAAAAGTCAGGAAACAACAGGTGCTGGAGAAGATGTGGAGAAATAGGAACACTTTTACACTGTTGGTGGGACTGTAAACTGGTTCAACCATTGTGGAAGTCAGTGTGGTGATTCCTCGGGGATCTAGAACTAGAAATACCATTTGACCCAGCCATCACATTACTGGGTATATACCCAAAGGACTATAAATCATGCTGCTATAAAGACACATGCACACGTATGTTTATTACGGCATTATTCACAATAGCAAAGACTTGGAAACAACCCAAATGTCCAACAATGATAGACTGGATTAAGAAAATGTGGCACATATACACCATGGAATACTATGCAGCCATAAAAAAATGATGAGTTCATGTCCTTTGTAGGGACATGGATGAAGCTAGAAATCATCATTGTCAGTAAACTACTGCAAGAACAAAAAACCAAACTCCGCATATTCTCACTCATAGGTGGGAATTGAAAAATGAGATCACATGGACACAGGAAGGGGAACATCACACTCTGGGGACTGTTGTGGGGTGGGGGGAGGGGGGAGGGATAGCATTGGGAGATATACCTAATGCTAGATGACGAGTTAGTGGGTGCAGCGCACCAGTATGGCACATGTATACATATGTAACTAACCTGCACAATGTGCACATGTACCCTAAAACTTAAAGTACAATAATAAAAAAATAATAATAATAATTAGAGTAATACTTAATAAATGAGTAAAATTCTTTTTAAATTTTTGGTTTGACATAGCCAGACAACTTATTCAACTCTTCATTTCACTTTATAGTAGATACAAGATGGCTGGAAAGAGATAACCTGACAAATACATTTATGTGATAAGCGATGAAATAAAATGTTCTTAAGAAAAAAAAAAAGATCTTAATTGGCTTTTTGAAATTTTTTTTAATGTTTATGAATACATAGTAGGTATATATATTTATGGGGTACATGATATATTTTGATACAGGTGTATGGGGATGATTCATGGGTATAAAATATAATTATATACAATTAATAAGATCTATTATTTGATAGTACCACACAGTAACTACAGCCAGCAATAATTTGTTGTATATTTTAAAATAACTGAGGGAGTACAATTAGAATGTTCATAACAAAGAAATGATGAATGCTAGAGGTGATGGATACCCCCATTTAACCTGATATGATCATTACACATCTCATTTGTTTTTATAAAACCAGTATGAGTTTCAGTGCTTTGCCATCAAACAGCCATTTATAAGACACAGGACAAAATTCAAGAGTCAAGTTTCCTTGCCTCTTCCATTTTTAAACATATGGTGCCTTCCTTGAATATACCCACAGTTTAAGCCTTTCCTATATAACTGTTAAATGACATACTTGAATTTCTGTTTAATAAGTAAGCAAATAATAAATATATCTTCCAGATGTCAGCAAATAAGTGAGGAGAAAATATATAATGACAGAAAGACTTTTCAATTTTTCATGAAACGGTATCAACCAGGCGTCTGCCTTTTCACTAGCTAAGTTAACGTTACCTTCATTAGACTACATGCAAATCCAGTAACTTTACTTTCAGTGACTGTGACATAAAAGATAACAGAAACTCTTCTGCACCACATTGCTTACTTTTACAATAATTCAAGTATTGGGTACCAGAAACCATTACCAACAAGCAAGTTCCAGTACCTTTGGAGGCACAAACGAACAAATGACACTCTCTGGAGTAACTTCCAATATATTTGCACCATGAAAAATATAAGAATCTCAGAATATACATAAATCAAAAGAAAGTTTTTATCTACATTACCAGAGATTTTAACACTAAATCTACTGAATATTTTCCTTACCAACACAATAATCTATGCCACTGAACATTACTATTTGGCTGGTCACTAATATGGTGGCCTATAATGCAAAGAGCCATTCCAATAAAACCTTCCCACTATGACTGCACTGCTCTTAATGGTTTTATTTCTAGGAACATTGCATGGCAGGAGATGCCACTTCCCTCTTCCTCCTATCAGACTTTGCATTTCTTTGATATAAAGCACCATTCATAACCATCTTTTTGTTTTCTCCCATTCCTTCCCTTTGCAATAACAAAGGTTAGGATTGTTGGATAATTCAACATAATGTCAAAGTACTAAGTCAGTGCCGCATTTTTAGCTGAACAACCCAGAATTTTCACTCAAAGGAAGCCACGTTAATCTTACAAAATCAGGGAATCTTCAAGGAAAAATAGGGCAGGTGCTGTGTAAAAGAAAACGAACTGCCTCTTTTCTTGAGAAGACAATTTGACATACATTTCTTGAGCCTACTCAACACCAGACACTATTCTAGGACAGAGATAAAGTCTCTCTCCATTAGGCATTTGCAAACACTTAGAGGAAACAAACAGAAAAAAATAAAATTTTTTAGGTTGTCAAATCCAAAACAGAAGACTATGTGTTTCTTATGTACTAATGAATCCTAAGTCCTTAAAACATAATAAAGACTCAATAAACAGTTTCCAAAATAAAAAAATCAAGTAGTACATCATGCATAATGTCACATGAATAGTTACCTTTAGAAAGACTTAGAAATGTCTATAAGAGGTCGCGCGGTGGCTCATGCCTGTAATCCCAGCACTTTGGGAAGCCGAGGTGGCGGATCACCTGAGGTCAGAAGTTTGAGACCAGCCTGGCCAATGTGGTGAAACCCTGTCTCTACTAAAAATGCAAAAATTAGCTGGGCATGGTGGCGGGTGCCTGTAATCCCAGCTACTCAGGAGTCTGAGGTAGGAGAATTGCCTGAACCCAGGAGACGGAGGTTGCAGTGAGCTTAGATTGTGCCACTGCACTCCAGCCTGGGCAACAGAGCAAGACTTTGTCTCAAAAACAAAAAAAAGAGAGAGAGAGAGAAAGAAAAAAATGTCTACAAGAGTTCAGAAGGTGAGAGAAATTACTCTGGTTGGGGAGTTTCAAGCAGGTGACACCAGGAAGGGAAGGTCAAAACTGGATCCTGAAGGGCAAGTAGAAATAGTGATACCCAGGAGAAAAATAAAAGTTGCATTCAACCAATGAAGGAGAGATTAACTGGGCCAAGCCAGAAATGGAGTGTAAAATTAATGGTTGCTAAGACTAGAAGGACTAATTGGGAAAAGATTGTAAAAAGTGTCTTCAACCACACAAAAGAGTTAAGACGTTTTTCTGTTCTGCAACAGTAGAACTATCAGCCACACTAAAGGAGACCTGGGTTCAAGTCCTTGTTCATTAACTAACTAGATATAGAACTCGAACCAATTCATTTTTCTTATATGTAGTAGGTAAAATTGAGCTAGAAATTGACCTAGGGCATTTCCCAGTCTTGCTAAATATAAAAACCACTTTATAAAGTAAAAAAATTACATTATTTGAATGATAATAATTGTACTTTTTAAATAATACATCATAACATTTAAAAAAGACATTGACTATGAAATATAGAATAAAAAGGCTATTATGAATTTAACATTGCTTTTAACATACTTCTACTCTATTGCTTACAGTAGCATCTTTATTCATCTGAAAAGTCCTGATGGGTATAAGGCTGATCACATTATGGCTTAATTTGCATTTCTCTGATTACTAATGAGATTGTGCATCATTTTGTGTATTTATAGGTCATTTTGAATCTTCTTCTATGAAATGCCTGCTCATGCCTTTTGTCCATTTCTTTATTGTGTTGTCTTTCATAACTGATTTAAATAATACTTTGTATATTCTATTAATACATACACAGTTCTTTTCAATATTTTTCTTTGTAAATTTTTTCTCCTAGTTTGTGGATTGTCACTTTCTTTATGGTGTCTTCTAATGAAAAGAAAGTCTTTGCTTTAATGAAGTTAAATTTATCGATACTTTCCTTTATGGTTTGTACTTTTTGTCTCCTTAAGTAATTCTTTCCTTCTCCAGGGTTATAAAGACATTCTCCTACGTTTTCTACTAAATTTTAAATTTTATCCTTCATATTTTTTCTTCATATATAATGTACATATATCAATGTATAAATAATATATCCTAATTTTTAAGAATTTAGAAAATAACACAGAGGCAATGATATGGTTTGGCTATGTCCCCACCAAAATTTCATCTTGAATTGTAGCTTCCATAATTCCCACATGTTGTAGGAGGGACCTGGTGGGAGATAACTGAATCATGGGGGCAGTTTCCCCCATATTGTTATTGTGGTAGTGAATAAGTCTCATGAGATCTGATGGTTTCATAAGGGAAACCCCTTTCGCGTGGTTCTCATTCTCTCGTATTGCCATGTGAGACATGCCTTTCACCTTCCACCATGAATGTGAGGCCTCCCCAGCCACATGACACTGTGAGTACATTAAACCTCTTTTGCTTTATAAATTACCCAGTCTTGGGTATGTCTTTATCCACAGTGTGAAAATGGACTAATACAAGCAATAACTATTAACCTTTTAGTATATTGCTTTCAGTTTGTTTCTATGTTTGTATATTTTTAATAAAATTGAAATCAGCTTCTTAGTCTGCTACTTTTATTTAATATTATTATATAAGCATTTCCAATGTCATTATTAATTAAATATGATTTTTTTCTTCAACTTTATTATGGTTTAATTAACAATTTAAAAATTATACATATGGTGTACAATGTGATGTTTTGATATGGGCATACATTGTGAAATGTGTATATATATATGTATATATATACCACTTTTTTCTTTATTTATCCACTGATGAACACCTAGGTTAATTCTCTATTTTGGCTAAAAACTATAGTAAGCAAAACAGCATGGTACACACATAAAGACAGATATACAGACCAGTGGAACAGAAAAGAGAATCCAGAAATAAATACACACATTTATGATCAAGTGGTCTTTAACAAAGCTGCCAAGAACACACAATGGGGAAAGGATGGCCTCTTCAACAGTGTTGGAAAAACTGGATAGCCACGTGCAGAAGAATGAAATTTGTCTCTTACTAAATATACAAAAATCACCTCAAAATGGATTAAAAACTTAAACATGAGAACTGAAACTCTAAAACTACCACAAAGTTACCAAGGGGAAAGCTTCTTGACATTGGCCTTGGCAAAGACTTTGTGGATGCAACCCTAAAGCACAAGCAACATAGGCAAAAATAGACAAATGAGATTGCTTTAAACCCAAAAGCTTCTGCGCAGCAAAGGAAACAATCAATAGAGTAAAAAGCAAACCTGGGGAATGGGAGAAAATATTTGCAAATCATACATCTGACAAGGAATTGATATTCAAAAATATATAAGGAACTCAAACAACTAGCAAGAAAACAAATAATTTGATTTTTAAGTGGGCAAAGGACCTGAATAGACATTTCTCAAAGAAGACATAAGAACGGCCAACAGATGATCATCTAGTCACGAGAGAAATGCAAATTAAAGCCATAATGAGACATCATCTCATACCTGTTAGAATGGCTATTATCAAAAAGACAAAAGATAACAAGTATTGGTGAGGATGTAGAGAAAAGAGAATCTTTGCACACTGTTGATGGGAATGTAATCTGTTCTAGACATTATGGAAACCAGTAGAGAGTTTCCTAAAAATATTATAAATGGAACTATCATGTGATCTAGCAATCACACTTTTGAGTACATATTCAAAGAAAATAAAATCTGTATGTCAAAGAGATATCTACACTCCCTCATGTCTATTACACCATTATTCACAATAGTGAAGTTTACTTTTCATACATACTTTTCATATCAGTGAAGTCCACCTGATATATGTTTGTTGTAGTGTGAGATGGGTATTCATGTTGATTTTTCCAAGTAATTATCCTGCATAATTCCTGAATATTCCATTCCCCTCCACCTGCCACTGATTGGCAAAGCCATGTCTGATGATTAATTTTATGTGTCAATTTGATATACAAGAGCCTGGATAGAACAAACAGGTGGAAGAAAGGCAAATTCTCTTTCTCTCCTTGAGCTGGGACATTATTCTTCTCCTGGCATTGGACATCAAAGCTCCTGGTTCTCAGGCCTGGGCTTACACCAGTGAACTTCTGGGTTCTCAGACTTTCATCCTCAGACAGGGCATTACACCATTAGCTCTCCTGGTTCCCAGGCCTTCAGACTCAAATGGAATTACACCACCAGCTTTCCTGGTTCTCCAGTGTGCAGATGGCATGTTGTAGAAAGCTTTGGCCTCCATAATCATGTGAGCCAACTTCCATAATAGATTTCCATATATATATATTTATATATATAATCCTATTGGTTCTGTTTCTCTGGAGAGCCCTGACTAAAACACCATGTCTGCCTTACACATTTCTCTATTTGCATGGATTTGTTTAAGCATTCTTTATTCTCTTCCACTGGTCTAGTTATTTAAATTTCTGCCAATGCCACACTATTTTAATCACTATAGCTTTGTAATAAGTCTTTATATCTGCCCAAGCAAATACCTCTATATTATAAAGCTCCATTAAATATCCAAACATGCCATTGTTCAAAATGCACCGTTTGGATACTTATTAATATTCACTTACTAATAAACATGACATATTATCTTTTCTCATAGGTGGGGGACGGAATGAACAAAAATACCTAATTTAAATATTCAATCACTTATGGATAACTGGAAATAAATTTGAATGATATTCTGGGCTCATATTTTGAGAATGCTTTTGTTACCCATGCAATACATAGAGAAAAGCAAATGCCAGATTACCCAGGCACATCTAAGTCACCTATATGAGAGACTACCCAAATAATGACTCTAAAGCAAAATAAAGCATGCCACCTCTGGAGACAACAAAAGTCTTTATTTACCTTCTTAAAGAAGTGATAAGTTCAATAGGTGGTGAGAAAATGTTTAAAAATAACTGACTTATCTCAAAAGTAGTCTTAATTTTTAAAGGCCAAAGGATACCCACAGGCCCAGTTGTTAAACATGCAAACACATGTGAATTCCTTTTGACTACGTCATTTACATGGCAATATATGTGCAATAATATTTATAAATAAAACCTTGAATAAGGTTATGGTTTAATATGCATGTCACACTCTCCGAGTCTTTCTGGTATAAAATTTTTTTTCAAGTAATATGCCTCTTCATTCATATGCTACATTTTTTTTCTAAAGGTTACACAATAAAATGAATTATAGTTGAGTGCATAATTCTACTTGAATAATCAAGCTCATTTGGGAAGTCAGTTCTAATGTCTGCAGCTGGGCTGAAAAGGCATTGCTGGGCTCACAGCTATAAGAGCGTCAATGTCAGCAGGGGAACACTTGGAAAATGGGTAACATCTTCCCTTCACAGCAGCACTTTTGGCTAAATGGAATGTTGTGCTCTAAACTAAATTACTTCAAGTCTATTTGTGAGACTCAGTTGGATACACGTTTCTTATATAAACAACGGCTGGAGATAAATCTGCCAAAACTGGCATGCTGATTTGTATTTTTAGTTATGTAAAACTTTTAGGCCCAGAAATGGAATCCACAAAAGCATGTTATTCTAGCCCCCAAAATTTCTTGGGTATTTTATTGAATACATTATAATGCTTAATACATATATTTACTAATGGTCTCCTGGTACTACAGAAATTATACTCATTTCTCTGGACTGTCCCCCAATGACCAACTTAGTTCCAGGGCATTTCAGCTACTACCGAGTAAAATTGGTAACTAGGGAATTTAACTAAGCTGCCAAAACTCTTCAATATTAAAGACAACAAGTAAGGGCTTTCCTCAAGGGATCAAGACTTAACCACAGTTGGAAACAGAGGAAATTCCTTCTAGTGTTTTCACACATATAAGGGAAGGGTATAGTTCAGGAGTTAGTGAGCTCTAAATTAGGCAGAACACCACCATGGTTTCACCTACCAGGAGGTAGAAATGTAAGAATAAAAATCTAAATAATTCGTTTATTTCCATTTAAAGAGTGAAGGAAAGTATGCAAAATTTTGGCAGGAAGAATTGAAGACTTCAGAATTCCAAAGGTTTGTGGTGCAGCATAAATCACTTCATTCTCCTTGGATAATTTTTTTAAACCTAACTTTGTAGCCTCCAGTGTATTTTTTTTTTCAGCATCTCCATCACCTATGCCCCCTCCTCCCATCTCTAACATAACTGCTTTAGTGATGATCCCAGAAGTCTCTAACTATTGTTCAGAGAGAACAGAAAATCCCACACTAGTAGAAGTGAAATGGAAAGTACAGTAGGAGTCATATACATTTTAGGAAACTACGCTCTGTTCAGGTCCTGATAGAAAAGGAAGACAGCATTTGCTGTGAGACGTAAAGTGCTCTGCTGGTCATATATAAACTTTTCAGTATAGCATCTGATTTCATGCATGAGAAAACGGAGAGACACAAGTGCATTGGCCACTCCTCACAGCCCTCCCTTCTATGACAGGTGGTGGGTTTGCGGTTTCAGCACCTGTTCCAACCCCCTTCTAGCATGCCAAAGCAGGCAAGCTGTATAATTATATTTCCCAAACTCTTACAGCTAGCATTCTACGTGTTATTCAATTTCCACCAATCAGGGATTGGTGCAAGACCTTGATTTGGAACTGGGTCACTTGGAGAGAAAAGCACTCATTCAGACTTTGACTTGAAATGGGTTTACATGAGGCAAGCAAGGTGAGATGCAGGACACCTATTTTCCTGGCGTAGAGCCTGGCAGAGTCGGCGGGTTCTGGTGTCAGTAACTATGGTGGTGACTTCTTGAATAGCAACTTCATCCTCCTGGCAAAGGCAGCAGCTCTGTTGGTTGCTTGTCCCTGCACTATGGTTCTGGTTATAGCTCCTCCTACTTGAGTGTGTCTCTTCTCAGTGAACCTTTGAGGCTTCTCAATGGAACTTTGAGGTCTCTATTCGTTTCTCTCAATAAATGCTTTTCTAGTTAAACAAGCCATAGTAAAGTCTATTGTGTGTACGAACTGTGGCTACTAACATGACTTAAAAATCTATAAAATAGTCTAGAGTTAAACAGAAAACCGTTCTTCCAGCCTTCATCTTTCTCCCCTGCTGGATGCTTCCTGCCCTTGACTATCGGACTCCAGGGTCTTCAGCTTTTGGACTCTTAGACTGACACTACTGGCTTGCCAGGCAGGGGTTCTCAGGCCTTCGGCCACAGACTGAAGGCTGCACTGTCGGCTTCCCTACTTTTAAGATTTTGGGACTCGGGCTGGCTTCCTTGCTCCCCAGCTTGCAGATGGCCTATTGTGGGACTTCACCTTGTGACCCTGTGCATCAATACTCCTTAATAAATTCCCTTTCATATATACATCTATTCTACTAGGCCTGCCCCTCTAGAGAACACTGACTAATACAACAATCATTGAATGAAATAACCTTGTAGCACTCTAAAAATTAAGTAGATTAAGAACTAAGCCTTATTTAACAAATGGTTTGCATATCTATGTAAAAAAATATGCATCTGTAAATTGGTCAAAAATGATGAACTTTGCTTTAGACACCAAGAAAATACGAACAATCCTAAAACTATAAGCAAACTATTCTCCTAAAGTATACTTGCAGTAGATTGGTTGTGGCCTTGATTGTATTTGTACAGAACATCAGTGTTCTAAATGGTGACTGAATTTCTGTCACCTCAAAAACATTACATAAGTTGTACTAGAGCAGAAATGCCACAAAATTACCATTAAAAAAAGAAATTAAAAAATCACATTAAGAAAATAGTGATTATACAAAACAGAAACAAATTAAATAAGAAAAAATTAACTTACTATGAATGCTGGTTCTTGAGGGGACAAATGAGTTTAATCAGATGGTGAAAATTTAGAAATCATTGTTAAGCTTCTCAACAGAATATTAGAAATCATGGTACTGATTCATTTTTATGTCAATTTCTTTTTCAGAAAATTATTACATCCATTTCCAAGAGATGAATGTGCCACTAATATTACACACACAGCTTTTCAGTTTCAATTAGTGATATTTTGAGGATTCATAAATACAATAGAAAAGGGAAGGCCAAAAGACATAAGGAAAGAAACCTTTTCTGAGATAACTATTCATTTTTAAAAAATGAAGATAGTTGTGTAAATGTGCAATAAAAGGTTATCTCAGCATGTCTGTGGTGTTCAAACCCTATACATTCAACAGAAAGGAGTGGCCCTTAGTTGGTTCCTGGGAAATAAACCATAAGCACTTGGAATATCCTGCCTGATTAGATTCTTTGTATATATGAGGTCTTGGACCACACCAGACAATTTGTGCTAATGATGCAATTTATGGAGAGTGCCTCTTTTTGTTCCCCTGGAGTCTTGGGTCATGCTATAATAGTTTGGCCTCTGGGCAGGGTGTCATGGGCACCCTGAACACCAAGGCTCCAGTGAGCTTCCCCGGTAGGTCATACATCATACATGTCATCTCACATAGTCCCTCGGAAAATTAAGAGTTGCATATGACTCCACTAGGAGAGAACAACAAGAAGTTTGAGGCTGGTTTCTGCTGGACTCTACCCTATGCATCTTTTCCACTTGCTAATTTTAATCTATCTCCTTTCCCTAAACCATGAGTATAAAATCATTCTAAGTTCTGTAAGAATTATCAAAACTGGAGTAGTCCTAGAGACTCCCAAGACAGCAAATTTAAGAATATGGCACAAGGTAGATGTAGTAAAAGGATATTACATAGAGTAGAGTTAATAGAAGACAGATCACAAAGAAGAATAGCATTTTTCCACAGATGGGAAAGAAAATGATTTTGAAAGTCACGTGACCTCATCCATAGATTTCTGATTTATTACAAAGAGGATAACATGCATCTAAAAGGGAGAGCTCTGGTGGTCACTGTCCTGATCAAGGGATCGAGCTCAGAATCACCAGAGAGTAAGAATACAAAGACCTCCTGCAATGCAGTGAGAAGTGCCAAACAACATCTCCACAGCATTCTTGCTGAAAATGTTTGACCTGCATCCAGTCAGGAAACAGACAAACATGGACCATGAGATGTTCTGCATGACAGCTTTATTGCACTTTTCAAAACATTCAGTGTCATGAAAAATAGAAGGAGATGATAAAGCTGTTCTGGTTTAGGAGAGACTAAAGAGACAATGGGAATGAAATAATGCATCTCCTTTGATTTCGGAGCTAAAACAACAATAATAATGATATAATGTAATATGACACAATATAACAAACTATTGTGGACATTTGGGGCATGATCGGGGCAATCTGGATACGAACAATATTGAATTAATGTTGATTTTCTTAGTTGTAGCAAATACCTCTGTTTGGAAAGATGCATGTCATGCTGAAGTATTTAGAGGTAAACTGTGATGTCTGTAATCTATTTTCAATTGTTTAGCAAAAGAAAAATGTACGTAAATGGTATTACCAATGAAAGACAGGTTACTTGAGGAGAGTAGATTGAGTGTGATTTTTCCACAGATGAAGAGAGAAAGGTATGTAGATATTCACACAGTCTCAAAGTTTGGAGAGAGAGAAAAAGATTGGGAGACAGAATGAGAGAGAGAAAAAGTGGGCGTGACAATATGTTAACAGATAAGGGGTTTGCTTTTCTTGTCCTTTCCATTTTCCTGTGGATGTAAAAATTTTCAAATGTTTATCTTTAAAATAGTTTTTTTCTCTTTAAAAAAAGAAGCAGCAGAGGAAGAGGAAGAGGAGGAAGAAGAAGAAGAAAAGAAGGAGGAGGAGGAGGAAGAGGAGGAAGAAGAAGAAGAAAAGAAGAAGGAGGAGGAGGAGGAAGAGGATGAGGAGGAGGAGGGGGAGGAGAGGGAGGAGGAGAAGAAAATAGAGAGGAGGTCATGCTGCTTTCTCATATGCATGCATCAGATGATGAACCAATAGTTTGTGTGGCTGAGGTTGCTATTTTGTGTGTGTTGGGAAGTTGGTGTGTAGAATTAGGACACAAGTACATACACAAACCATATTCACACACACACACACACACCTGTCATTTACATGTATTGAATTACATTTGCAATTCAATTATTCATAACATTAAGATTGGATTAAGTGTAGAAAAAAATGTGGGAAGGGAAATTGCATTTTTTTTCTTTTTTCTTTTTTTTTTTTTTTTTTTTTGGAGACAGGGTCTTGCTCTGTCTACCAGGCTGGAGTGCAGTAGCACGATCTTGGCTCACTGTAACCTCCACCTCCTGGGTTAAAGCAATTCTCCTGCCTTAGCCTCCCGAGTAGCTGGGATTGCAGGTGCATGCCACCATGCCCGGCTAATTTTTGTATTTTTAGTAGAGATGGGGTTTCGCCATGTTCGCCAGGCTGGTCTCGAACTCTTGACCTCAGGTGATCCACCCATTTCAGCCTCCCAAAGTGTTGGGATTACAGGCATGAGCCACCGCACCCATCCAGTATTCTTGCATGTAATTATAGTTGAGTGTCTGAAATGGAATAACAGTATAACATCATAAAGTCTTTTCCATCGTATACACCCATAGAAATATAAAGTCTTGGAGCTAAGTGAAAGTTTGGAGATTTGTATCACTGGAGAATTAACATCCAAAGACCTCTCTCTTTGGGTAGAATATTATGCTAGTAAATATTCTGGGGTTGGAAATCAAGTAGATTTAAAGAAACAAGACAGTATAACCCCTGCTCTTAAGAAACTCGAATTCTCATTGGAAAGGTCTGACACATTGTTTTTATAAAGACTATTTCATTTCCACAAACATCTTTGAAATTATCCTATTGGAAGATTACCAAAATCCTAGAATAACCCAAACAAAAGAGTTACATTAAATCTCCTTTAGAAGACTAAATTATTGACATTTTGGTCCCAGTACCCAAGTGTCTGATTAAAATGCTGCAGAGAAACACCGTGAGAAGTTGAAATGTTATTACCTTGAGAAGATCCCCACACTAGAAATGAGACAACTGAAAAGGGAGGAAAGAATTCTGGGCTGGGAGTCTTCGGAACTTGGCCAGGTCCCATCTCTACAGTATGCTGTATGTGTCAAATGGGGAAAATCAGCCAACATCTCTAAGCCTTAGTTTTCACTACAAAATGTTCTCTATAATAATTCTGATGATTGTTATAAAAATAAAATAGCTTAAATATGCCAAAGCCTTTGTAATCAGTTCAGCATCCTGAGTATATTAGGTGAGGAGAGTTGAAGATCTTGAGAGTTGATTCCCAGTCACCTGCTCCTTGACCTCTACCTCTCACTTTCTCACCAGTTCCTACTTCCCTTCACTCAAAGTAGAAGAGCTCATGCTAACTTTCAAATAAGCAGCACTTCATCAAGGAAAGTTCTAGAGGTTGTAAGAGGAGACATGGACCTACTCTTCCACATCAAACATCACTTTTTTTAAAACGAAGTACAAACATATACCAAATTAAACTGCTTGAACTAGGAAATACTTTGTTCTGACAGGTTGTAAGGATCATCTTATGCTGTTTACTTTTGGAAAAATCAAGAAAGTGTTTGAAGTGTTTCTTAAATTGATGAAGCATGTTTCTATACACTTTCTGGAAAAAAAATACACAATACACTTTTCTCCACATTAACTGATTATTTTATGAATGCTCGAATATTAAAGAGAAATGTGGCTCTCTATTTAAATAAATGCTCCTAAATCCAAGAATGATAACTAGATAAAAACTATTTAAAAACCCTTCAGACTAGCTGAAAATCAAAGCCATTTGTGTGACATAAGAACATTTTAGGGGACAATCATTTTGTGATCCTCTCTGGGAGAATGTTAAATAAATTTGTGTACTTTTTCTCCAGTTTAAAAAAAAAGAAAATTTTAGAAGTGTACTTTTATTCCTCTGAATGAGTCAGGATTGTTATGATTGGAAAGGGTGTTGAATTTGTAAACAGTTCACTTGGGTTCGACCAAGGCTTGGCCATTGATTCACTTGGCTTTAAACAAATCATTTGATTTTCAGGGCCCCAGTTCTCTCCAGGTAAATTAAATGCATGTGAAGTATTTTTTCAACTGTAGCATTTTATGCACATCATTATTTTAAACTTTGATTCTAACTCAAATTTCATTCACAATTCTGCATTTTCTAAAACTGGAAAATTGTGAGTTGGTCGTCCAATATAATTATTTGCCACCTACTTGACGGAAATGGATTTTAACTTCAGAATGAAATGCTTTTATTGCCTAACCCTTGACACAGAGTGCAGTAAAATATCCCATCAGCGTGCCAATGAGCCAAGCACATACTGAGTTTATCCCTCAAAAATGCATTATTACTGAATACTAATTTTCATCATTCAATAGAAAATATCATAAATTGAAATTATAAGTAAATGCCTTATTTCAAACTGCAAGGTAACTTCTGAAATGACTCCATTAGTGATTTGTACTGACATTTTGCCAGGCTGTGACATAACTGAGCTATTGTGAATTAATTTATCTTCTCTAAAACTGGTATGTCTCCCAATGCACCTGTCCCAATTACCATGACAGTTTCCTTCTGCTTCAGCCTAATGATACAGCATTCACTGCTCTGCCCCTTCTCTCTTATCTGTGGACAACTTGAAAGGCTAAAAAACAAAGGACTAGATTCTATATCCAACCTCTCTGAGGCTGTATTTCTTCTTTTCTAAAAGAGAGATTATTAATATAAATATCTGTTGTTCATATTAATTCAAATATATATCAGCCGTGTTATTACCTTCTAATATTTTAGCAAGCTATTCACTCAACATTGACTATTTAAAAAAAAAACCCATTGACTGTTTCTTTGTATTTCCCTTTTTTCAGCAATTTCTGCCCATGTTCTAAACAGCAAAACAGTCATCCAACACACGGGGTCATTTGTTAAATTCAATTTTATGAAAATATTTATAATCTCTACCATGTGGTCTAAATCCAAGCATTGTACTAAACTCTAGAGATGCAAAGATAAATAAGACACTACCTCTATTTTCACGATGTTTCTATTTAGTGAGAGGACCATAGAATGAATAAAAATAACTAAAATTGTATATATGCACATATGTATATTATTTGTTTATTGTAAGTGCTACAGAGGCATATCCATACAAAATACTGTGGCAATGCCAAGGAGGGGGCAGTCACTAATTCTTGCTAGGGAGTTCCAAGGAAATTTTGCAACGAAGGTAACATTTGAAGATTGGAGAAGTTACTGGAGCAGAGAAGGAAAAAGAGGAAACTTATGGCAGAAGAATCAACACAAGTAAAACCAGAGGCCAGCAAGTGTGTAGAGAATGGGATAGAACAGATTAACCAGAGTGAATGACTGATGGGCAAGACACCAAGAGATGACCTGGATGTTGAATGGCAATACCAAGGCTCTTAAATGTTATCATATAGAAAATACACAATGAACAAAGTTTTTAACCAGAGTTGCATAATCAAATGTCTGTTTGTTTTGAAATGCTAACTCTGGAGACAATATTATAGATGAACTGGATGTGAATAAACTGGAGATGATGTTTAAAGCAGGAAGAGTAGGGAGATATTCTTTTGGAGACAGATAGAGAGAGAAGATAGATTTCAGAGACATTTAAGATGTAGACCCCACAGCACATGACCAGATGAGGGTAGAAGTGAAAGTGAGGGAATTAGAAAGAGGGAAATGTCAAAACAATTCCAAGGTATCTTGGGGAATAGGGGTGAAGGAGCAATGATGATGGGAGAAGAAATGTTGAGATCAACATCAGGCATATAGACTGTGAGGTGAGGTGTCTTCAACATAGCAAATTGAAAAGTTTAGTTATTTGTTGGAAAAAATGCAAGTGAAGTCCAAGTAAGAGGTGGATGTTGGGAGATGTTACAAATCTGAGGCTCACTGGTGTCTAAGGAGCAGCAGAGGTCCTGAAGGTAGATGCAATAGCCTAGGAGAAGTTAGATGGGAAGAAAAGAAGAAGAATGGCAGGGCCTGGGGAATACCTAGATGGAAGAGACAGAGAAGGAAGAGAAGAATGCAAAAGAGAATGAGAGCAGTAATTGAAGATGTTGAGGTAGACCTATGAGTCGTCGTGTTAAATGGAGGAGAGCAGAGCAGACCACAACGTAAAAGAGCAGTGAAGGGCTGTTCCAGGAAGCAGTGGAGAAAATATTTATGGTTGATTATTCCATTACCCAGTAATTTCCAGAAATACATACCAAAGGGAGAAGTGGAGTGCTGGAGTGATCCAGCCGATTGTAGGGTCTGTACTAACTCCTGGGATGCAGGCCTATCCACAAGCACTAAGGTGAGTGTAATAGAGCACTCCAACCTAATCAGAGAGAGGGGTGGGGAAAGATCCTCTGAGGAAGTGATGATGTGGCTGAGATTTGATCAGGAAATGAAAGTTAGCTGAGTGAGAAGGAAATGAAACAACATTACAAAACAGGGATCACCAGGTGCAAATTCTCAAGGGCAGAAGGAACAAGGGCGTGAAAGGGGACAGCGAGGTGTGGGCTCCGAGCCTGAAGGAAGAGCAAGCATATGAAGCTGGAGTGGTGTCAGGGAACCACACCATGGAGGACCCAGCAGCCAGTGGTAAGGAGAGGCCATTAAATGGTTTTAGCTAGGGAAGGAGACAGAGTCAGATTTTAAATTTTGAAATGATCTAGTCAAGTGGTTTAGTAGGTAAGTGTAGGTGGCTCCACAAATATAAAAATATAATTTTTCAAAGATGACTAATCCTAAGAATGATTCATCTTAGGTTTCATGCTAAATGTGCTCCAGATTCACTCTTGCTCAATGAAAGATAGTATGAAGGATTATTCTCCACCCCTCTAGGGCAGGATAGATCCTTGCTTGGCAAAGAGCAATACCTGTTTGAGATGTGGATGTAAGTCACTGGAATTAGAATTGAAAATGTTCTGAAGAACCAAGAACTTATGCCCCTGCTTCTTCAAAATATATACAAACTCCCAAGCTAAGTAAACTAAAACTGGTTAAGGCCCTTCATAATCTGGCTCTGGCTACCTCAACTTCACTTCTTCCTCCTTTCCCTCTTCACCTTACACTGAAGCCATACTCCCACTTGGAGCTCCCTGCTCACATTAGTCTCCCCAGTTTGTGGATCTTTGTCCCTGCCCTTTATTTCTAGCTGGGTGATGCTTATGTAACCATCCTTCAGGTTAGAGTTTAAAAAATGCTTCTTCCAGAATTCTTTCTGAATCCTCAACACCGACATAAACGAATGCCCTATACTTCCTACATCCATGCACACATTGCTGGTCTCTGTAGGCATGCCAAGTCCCCTTCCAGATGTCATTCAACTGGCAGCTATGGGGAAGACAGAAAAGTCTGTGGGCCAAGTAGAGGTCTCTATAGGAAAAGAGAAAATGATTGGAAGCCAGGGAGATCAGAAACAAGTCCAGGAGTGAAATCCACTACTCTGTAGCTCAGAGAAATGAAAAGAGATTATTCTGTCCTCATAACCCTCATCTACTTCTTTTAAAGTACTTAGAGGTAAGAGTAACACAGTGGGAGGTCACCATCAAACCTCTTCCAACAGCCAACAAGAAGATTCACTAGAAATCTTATTCATTCCAACTAACTGATTTGCAAAATGGAAGTCCAGTTAATCATGTAACTGAATTTCTTAGGAGATTTAAGGGAGGGTGAAATAATTTACAAAGAAGAGAAAGGGATTTATGTTTTTAGAAGTTTCAATGAGGATTGACTGAGGATAACAAAGCCTGGAGGGAATAAAATATTGCCTCCCCTCTAATAGATAGAGTGGCATTTTGGGAATGGCACTGTGATTTCTTCCAACTCTTTGACGTTGATCTGGACTGTTTTTTTCTGTCACCCATCACGGCAACGTGACTGTTTTTGCTTTATTTGCATGCCATGTCACACAACCACACAAACTGAGAATCAACACTAACACTATTATCATTTTCAGCAAATCCATATAGCCATTTAAAGAAATTAGAACAGATGATGGGGGCAGACTATGACGATTCACAGTAATGTGACCAACCAATTTATTGAGAAACAGGGACTGCCAGAGATACTGAGAAAACAGTCCCAGGAGTTGGAGAATTTTACTAAACTTACAGACAAGTTCAAACTGCCAAACTCTCCAATGACTGAAATGTGAAGATCAGCGGTTGGTCCGAATGGTATCATTTTTGCCCTGCTCTGGAAATTAAGCAGCTCTGAACTGATAAAGTCCATAATTTAACACGTAGAGCAAATTGCTAAAGCACTTAACCAGTGAGGTACTAATCTTCCTTTCCTATGTGAACTTGAGCTGACTCCTGACAGCAAAATCAATTGAAGAGATTTACCCTAGGGATATCTTCTAAAAAGCAGTGTAATCAGGAGATAAGAGAATTGGATGGGTATTGCGTTATCACAGCCCTCCACCAACCGAGGCACCAGATGCCAAAGGCTTCCCACAGCCTTGAGCCTGGAGCTGCACTCCTCTCAAGCAAATCCCGCTGAACTCACGGTACTTGGAGGTCAAGAAATCTTTTCCCATATTGATTTAATCTTGTCACCTGAAACACCTGAGGTCAAGCAAATTCACCACGCTGGTTCCCGGGGGCAGTTAAGGGATCATAGAAGAAGAATCTGTGCTTTTTTGTGTGTTACAGAATGCCTTGAGCTACCTGCTCAATGTATTTGATGGCTGAAAAATTTGCATGTGTCATATGGCTTCTTAAAGTGAACTGTCTGCTTTGAACTCACAGGGGTTCTAGAAATCCAATGTATTAATCTTGCAAACTTTTTATTAGAAACAAATAACATTTGTTACTTAAAACAATGAAAAGATAGTTGCGGGCTCATTGCCACTTGTTATGTCTTGAGACCACACCCTGGCCCCCATGTCTATCCACACAACAGAGTATGCAGTGTGGTGTTATAGAAAAGGTAATATATGTAAACATGAATTGCTGCTCTACACCTTGCTAGATATGTAAACTTGGCTCAGTACTCAACCTCCTACACTGTTCTCTTACCTGCATCTTATCTCATCTGCCTCCAAGAATTGTTATGGGGATTGAATGAGATAATATAAAGTACCTAGCAAAGGCCGTGGTACAAAAAAGTATAAACACCATTTTCCTTTATTCTCCCATTAATATTAATGTTTGGTCTGAGTGTTGAATAAATTTAAGTTTCTTGACTAGTATCAGAACATATTTAGAGTAATATCAGGAAAGGACACTCACCCCTAGAGCTGAAATTCCCATAATTCTCTTTGTACATATTCTTTAACCAACCCATTCATTACACAAATTCTCCCAAACCTTTGTCTTTAGCTTTGTCTTCTCACATGCCTACTCATCTCTACTTATGTTTGCCACCATACCTCAAACCATTCCACAAGCCAAATGGATTTCAAAATGAATGTATTTGTGAGGGAAGTTTAATGTAACTGTGAAGATTATGATGTCTAAAGTTAAATTATGACTATACTGTAAGATTATACATATATAAAGACTATGGGTTTTCAGTGAAAATTCTATAGCTGGTCAGATGGAATAACTGAGAAAAGGAAGAAATGGAATACTCTTTGGGGTTTATTGAGGGTCTGTTACCAAACTCCTGCCAATTAAATGTCAAAGAACCTATCTATCAGGCCACAACCAGAACTTAGAAAGCTACAGGTAATCTGGATACTTGTGCCAAAAAAGGAGCTTTGAGTTTGAAAGAATAAGTAATATTCTAGGGAGACAGGGTGGCAGTCAGAGGCCACCTGAATATGAATCAGGCAAAAGGCTAGGATGAAAAGAAGGTAGGCAAGATCTCTATTAAGTTATAAGGCAAGATCTCTATTAAGACCTTTGGGGTTAAAACATACTTATCTGTGGATTGGATTACTGGAAAATTGGCCACTTTGAAGTCAAGAAAACTGAAAACAGCTTCACAGAATGCTAAAAATTCAGGCATGAAAGACAAGTGTTAACTAATCATTCAAAACTTGGATAACTGCTATAATATCCTTAGAAATGATGCCTCTATTTTGGAACATCTCCAGTGACTTAAAAAAATTCACACATTCCATTTTAGACGGTTCTGACCATTAGAAAATTCTTCTATATCTTGAGCCAAAATCTGTCTCTGAAAGTTCTATTACTGGTTACAGCGCTAGCACTCAAGTTTATATAGAAAGTCTAATTTTACATTCACATGGCAGGCCTTCAAATGTCAGAAGGTGGTTATCACATTCTCATTTTCAGACTATTTATTCCCAGTACTTTTAACAGATTGTTTACATGGCATGGCTTACCCATATTGGTTATTCTTTTTCATATCTCTTGGCCACTCAATTTGGCTTTAGCCTTTTAAAGTGGACCACTGGGACAGGAAAGGAACAGAACTATAAACACTCTCTTTCTAGACACCTATGTGTATTCATACAACTTCAAGTCACATTTTCTTTTCTTTGAAAGCCTCATTACATCATTGGTCAATTGTATGCTTACTGTCAATTCAAACTTTCTGTCTCTTAGAGCAAAATTTCTGAATACAAAAAAGAGACCAAATATCCATCCTTATTAAATTTCAGCATAATGAATTCAATTCATTCTCCAGCTAGTAAAGATTTTTTGTTAATTATTTTATTATTCACAACTTGAATGGGCAGACTTCCTATATTTTCTTTCAAGTCATTGGCAAAAATATCAAAAAACTACAAGGCTAAAAAAACTTCCTTTCAATTGAACAGGAATCCATGTTTTCAATCAAATATTGGAGTCAAACCTGTATGTCTCCATCTTTTCACAAATTAGGGAGACCTTATCAAATTCCTTGATTAAGTTTAGATACATAATATCATTTTGCCTGCATTTCCTTAATAAGTCCAGAAATCCTACCCAAGATAGAAATGAGGTAACTATAGTATGAATGTATGTCAATCCTTTCCATGTTTCAATCATCATTTTCCACTTTTGGTAAATCACAAATCTGTTTAATAAGTCACTTTTGCTGGTATTGTGGTTATGTATGAAAATATTCTTTTTATTTTTTATATGAATACTGACATATGTAGGGGTAAAATTACATAACTGAGATTGTGTTAAAATTACTAACAAAAAGGGGAGGAGAGTTTCCCATTGATGAACAATAATTATGGCTAAGTATTGACAGAATTGGGCATTTTGTTTGCAGACATCACCCTTCTCTTACAAAATTTTTTGATAATTGCTTGACTTTTGTCCCCCACATCTTGCCCAGTCTCCACAATTTCTCTGCAATAACAAATAGCCATTCAATTAATTCATTTGAAATTTCTGAGTAACCTAAGATGTCATTCATAAGATTTGAAATCTGAACTGCTAATGCTCCCTCATCTTTTTTGTTTTGAGTTTGCATCCTTCATTTCAATGTTTGCCCCACTCTTTTTAATATGAAGATCAATTTTAACAAAGATGATACAAGGAAATTTACAGGGTCACTTACAAAACTGTATCTTCTTCCCGGCTGTTGTTACTCTGCCTCTTCCTCGATCTGTTTCTTGTTCTGAATATAATGAAGAAATCCCATTTTATTGTCAGTGGCACTTTTCACAAACTTGAGTACCCTTCAACTTTATGGACATTATTCTTACACATGTGGACCACTCTAGGATTTTTTATCATTAATTTGTACTTTTTAAATCACATATCTCTCAAAACTCTGAGTTCACAATTCCCACTAATTTTTATTTTTTAAGAGACAGGTTCTTGCTATGTTGCTTAAGCTGGCCTCAGGGGATGGATACTCCCACATCAGCCTCCTGAGTAGCTGGGTGTGCACCACTGTGCCAGCAAAATTTCCCCCTAATTTTTATGAGATAAATGGTTTACAGTATACAGAATCAAAATGGCATTTCGAACAACTTCCCAAAGCTGTTGACATCTTCCCTTTAATGTAGAATGCCATGAAATCATGCCTATGTTTTCCTTGATATTTTCTACACTGACCCTCTTGAAGTCTGTAGCACATGGTCAACCATAGCAGGCTTCCCCTCAATGAATATGATGAATTCTAAAATATTATAGTGACTTTCCCCAAAGCTTCTGTTCCTCTCACTTTGCCAATAAATGTATCCTATATTTCGGAGTCAGACCAAAAGGAACTGTTTCCCTAATGGCCTATCTTTCAGGAGATTGTTAACAGCTTATCAAAGAATGTCATGAGCTTACACACACTCAAATTTTTTGCAGGTTGAGATTCTAGGAGATGTCTTAATTGAAATCCCTCAATCATGACTTTGGCCTGGCATAGGGTCATCTTTCAGATCTCTGTCAAAAGTATATCATCTCTTTCTTCCTTCTGGCCAGAAAGCTTGGAGAACACTCTCCCAACAATTTCAGATTTCTATTTCTATTTTCCTCAGCTATAATCTCACATCATGAGTTTCTACACTAGTTTATGGCCCCTTGATACATAAATATAACTATTTCTCTAATTGATTTTCAAAAATGTCTGCCCTCTTTAAAGAGATTCCATCACCATCTTTTAATTTTGAATCACATCTCAATTAATCTCAATGATAACTGTGAATGTATACAAACCTCTTGCCATAAATTAAAATCGCTCAATATCTTGTTAATTTCTAATGTTCTACAGTGGTATATGTGTTGGAGGCTATAATTTTGGCTTTTGGTACCATTACTGATTTTCCATGTAAATCATAAGCATCTCCTACATTCCCTCCTACTATTTGCATTCTGCAAAATCATGCTCTACATCAGTGTATTTCATTACTTATCTTCTTCCCCTGTATATTCAGTTTAAATTTCACTCAAATAATTTTGAACTGTGTTCCTACCCTAGCCAAAATCCTATCATTCTGGGGTCTTAAGTTATAGCTCAAAAATCTAAATTCTATTTCAAATGCAACATCCACTGAACATCAACATTTTCCTCGTTCATGTATTTTTTCAACAGACATCTGTTGAGAAAACACTTTGTACAATGTGGTCTGGTAAGGATTAGAATAGTAAAAAGAGACAATTTCCCCACCCTCTAATGGGTGGATTCAAGTAAGCAAATGTAATTTTAATATGTATCTAAGCTTTCATCCTAAGGCAATAAGTTTACCCAAGTTATTCCGTTTCTTATAAGACTTCTATACCATTGTTACCACGAATCTTCTCTGATAAACACAGTCAACCTCTCATGAATCAACAAAATGAGATAATGATCAGTGTGATTTGATAGATTTGTGACAACTCGGTCAGTTCTCACATACCTGTTCTAGGAAAACAGAACACCATCCAATTTACTATACTAAATCTACCTAAAACTAACTCCGTACAGCTAACTCTGTAGCCTGAAAAAGAAGATACAAAACAACATTAAGCATCTCCTTCCTTGACCTTGTAACAGGCTTATCTATATAAACTAGGACTTAGTAATTGTGCCACTTGATCTGTGGAATATGAGCTGCTACCATTTCTTCATAAGATCCAAATTCCCCTTTTCTGGGAAGGGTCCCATACACATAGTATAACTCAAGCTAAAGTAATATTCCCTGCTTTCTCCAGTGTCAGAATCTTCCACTTGCTAGTAGTATTTATCTTTCACTCTTTATTAAAACTTTCTTTTGTTCTCCCTTTAGTCTTTATTTCTTCCCTTCTGACTAGAAATCACTCATCATCTCTAACCGGTTAGAGTTTAGAAAGCCTTGAGCCTCTATGTGTCCTCCTTTGTAGGAACATCAACTTTTTAAGGGAAGGAAAAATTCTTATTCATCTTGATGCAGTCTCTTATCTAGATGATGTTGACACAGGCCTGAGGCCTGGCAGCTCATAGGTGACAGGTAAACATCTACTGAGGTGACCTAGGAAGAGAATTGACAGCTCACATAATTGGTCAGAGCCTCTGGCAGGAAGACAAACATCTTGCAGGCTCAGAAGTGTACACATTGTAGATTTTTATAGGAAATAAAGACCTTCATAGTTTCCCTTAGGAAATATTTCTTAAACTCCTGTAACTCACTGCCTACAGGCTTCTTTGAATACTGCCTTGAAGGAAGCCAAACATATGTCCCCTTTCCTCTATCTCTGCCATCTTCTCTTCAAAGCTTGGTACTTAATGACTTCAGTCCTCGTCAGTTCAAACATACTCTAATCTTTTTAAGTAATATTAATTACAAAAAAAAAGTACATCTACAAAACACTTTCTCAGCCACTTCCTTTTTCCTCTTTTCTCTGTTTGCTCTGGACTTCTCAGAGTCAGTAGGATAGAATGTCTCCCCACAGCTTTAGAAAGACTTTAAACATAATTGACTGCATGGTATTTCTGTAAAAATATAAGCAGGGGGTAGGGAATGGATAGGTATATTATTTATGAATAGGTTTAACATGAGCTCTGCAGCTCCTTTTCTTGGTTGTGCACTCATCTGAACCCAGATAATGGAGGTGAGGGCCACTAAAGGAAAGATGCTGCCTGGTATACTTTCATTGCAAGGCTGCTTGAAAAATTAGAATACCATGTCAAATACCCATTTCTAAGAATGCCTTCAGATAGCTCAAACATTGTGCAAATTAGCAAGCAGGGGAAGAATTAGATTAAAATTTAATATTTAGATTCCCCCATGTCCTTTAAACATAACAGTAGAGTGGTTCCCCTCTGTTCTATTTGCAGAAAAAGTCATAGACATTTTGCAAACTAAGGCAATTAAGTGAGACAATTCAAAATCCTAAAATTTGCCCTAGGGAACTTCTCCATTTAAAATGACAGTAGAATCTCCATGTACCTATATAATAAACAGAGTAGAATCTATTGAGAATACTAGAAAGCTTGCAATTTGCAATGCTTCCAGAAAATCAAAAAAAATAGAAAATCAAGTAAAACTGTTCAGAATCCCCAGTAATAGTCACAAAGCAAAATAAATACCTTAGGTTTCCAGGTACATATTATGTACCCTTTTTTCATTTTTTATAATATTCCCAAAATGTCATCAAAGTAATTTACTCCATTTGTCATAGGTTACAAGGTTTGACCTATAGCTTCCAGCAGCATAAACAAAATGCTGCAATATAGAGAAAAATTATTCATAAGACTTTCTCCAGTCATTCCAAATGAATTATCCCTTGATAATCCATTTGAGGTGGAGGAAATGATCCAAGGGAATGTTCAAGTTACAAAAATGTTCAACATACCAATGGAATAAAAAATTTAGGGTCCCAAAGGAAACCCTGGAAGGAAGGCACACAAAACAGTAAGGCCGGGTCCTGCATGGATTCCATGAGTGAACAGAAAGGAAAAGGAGACACGATCCCTCTTCCCATCTGATTAGTTTACTAGAGCTACCATAAAAAAACACCACAGACTGGGTGGCTTAAACAACAGAAATTTATTTTCTCAAAATTCTGGAGGCTAGAAGTCCAAGATCAAAGAGTTGGCAGTAAGGCCGCTCTTCTTGGCTTATAGATGGCTATCTTCTCACTATGTCCTCACATGGTCTTCTCTGTGTGTCTGTGTCCTAGTCTGCTCTTCTTGTAAAGGTACCAGTCATATTGGATTAGGATCCACCCTAGTGACTTTATTTTAACTACCTCTTTAAATACCCTACCCCCAAATATGATCTCATTCTCAGGTACTAAGGGTTAGGACTTCAACTTGTGAATTTTGGGGAAGACACAATTCAGCCCAGTTGTTTGCTATGGGATTGAGCTAACCAAAGGAATCAGATTTCAATCAGACTCACGTAAATCAGAGATCTCACCAGCATTGTGATTTACTGGTAATTTTAAGGATACAAGCAATCAAAAGGAACAAAAGGTGGAATAAATATATATTCTCTGTGTATAATATCTCTGTGTGTATATATATGTATATATGTATACATATACGTTTTGTGTGTGTGTGTATATATATATATATTACATACACACACACACACACACACACAGATATTTCACTACAATTATATTTAAGGTTTACCCCACTGAAAACTTTATCTTATTGTGTACACCTATTGTGTATTATATCCAACACCTCCTTTTCTGGTAACTTCTTTCCTCTTTCCCAGCCATTCACATGATAACCGCAGTGGCAAACTCTCCTTCACCTCACCCCTCAGAATCTCTTCACTAGATTTCAGCCCACCAGATAATTTACCTAGTCTAGAAGCAGATACCTTATCCTAGCTGCTGTAGAAACCACTTTTCTGAGAAAGTCATTCCAGCTTGAGTCTTTGAAGCCCTCTTGAACTCAACAGTTGTGGGCAGTCACTCTTTTGCCATATGCATATAAAATCAGTTATATAGAAAGAGAAAAGACTTAATCAGATCCACTGAGCGAAGCAGAAGTGAGAAAAAGAGAAGCAGCCTTAATTGCATGCCAATCCCTGCTTCTAGGGTATCCTGGGCACTGTCAGCCCTTGGGTCCTGTGTGACAACTGTGACTATATCCTAAAAATAAGTGCCTTCTCTTAGAAATATATTTTTTATTGCCTTCAACCAAAAGAATTCTAATATGTAACTATAGACCTATATTTAAATTCTGGCATGGTCACTTGATGATCGTTTGATCTTATATTATTTGTTTTCTCCAAATTGAAGTTTCTTTATTTATAAAATACAGACAATACAATTTAACTTACAAGTTAGTTGTATAGATTAAATATTAAAATATAAACTATAGGACACACTTTATAAATGGCAAATATTTATATATGACCGACGCCTCCAACTGCCATTCTTAGGATCCACTGCAGTGTTCGTGCCAAGGCCGTAATTCCCCCAGGTGCTCCCAGCCAATGAAAGCCTGATGGGGGCCACTGGAGCTGGCCCATTACTGTCCAAAGCGGGAGTCTTCTAGTGGGAAGTGTTTGCTCAAGGACTTCCTGTCAGCCCGCTCAAAAGTTTCTCAGAAATACACTGCAGTCTGAGACTCCTCCTACCCAATCTGTCCTTTCCTCAAATGTTTCACACGTCCAAACCCTGAAGCACTGCCTAAAGGCTCTACCAAGCAAATCTTGTTCCCTCCCAAATACCCACTGCTGACATGTCCCCAAAAAAATCTCATTCATATATAATTTCACGTTAATATTTTCTTCTCAAAGGACCTGAAGTGACACAATGACAATTTGCACGCAGTATTTAAACTACCAATAAAGAACTACTATTGTTGTAAATACATAGCACATTCTACACCATAGTGGCCATTCCTAACTGGAATGTGGCTCTCAATCTCTGACTGAACCCAGACATGATCTCACACATTTAAAACCCATATTAACCATAAATTGACCTGACTGGCATATTTACAGGTAGATCCGACATTAACTTCCAATCACTACTAAGAAAAACATCTGTGCCTTGGTTCCTTCCAGCATCTTTGCAGCTTTCCTTGTTACATGACTTTGCCTTCACTAAACCCCACCTTTGTCCCAGGCTGTTATAAACCTCAAACTAGTCTGTCCTAAATCAGTACAGTACAATTATTAAAGCTTATAGAATGTTTTGACTTTAATTTTAAACAACATCTGGATTGTAGACTCTGGTTCAACTTCTCTTAATGTCCCACTAAAAATATACATGAAATTAAAAGAAAAAAAATACCTACATGGAAAACCTAAGAATGTCAGTCAAATTACTGCTCATCTGAAAAATACTTGCACAACCTGCATGACTTAAAGAGTAAAATTCAGAACCAAAACCAATGGGAAAATACAAGATTTGATAGTGACCCAGAGTATATTGAACGCTCTTGACAAAGACAGGAAAACACTATCTGCCTGCCTGGTAACTCAAGGTCCCAGAGTACAAATCAGTTGCAAGCAATCCCATGAGTAATACTTTTGAGGTGGCCAGTACACTTGCTTCCCCATCTTTAGTTAGTATTTCTCTTTCTACCTTCATACAGACAGCACAATTCAGAAATCAACATGTACTGTCATATAGATATATGGTACTATATTGTGTATTGGGGAATAAAAACCAGCATATAAAGTTAAGAAATAGGAGGAGAGATAGGAAGAGCCATATTAGCAGTGACTAGCAGGACTTACAGCTTTTCATATACTACCTTGCTTCAAATTGTCCTAAGTCAGGTACTGAGAGTAGGAGAGCCTCCCTCAGCCAGAATAACTGCATGAGTTAAAGGCCTACTAATAATATACATGGAACTAGAATTTAGCACAGCAGTCTACTTACCAGTCATAGATTTCAGAATGGTATTTAACAAGACCCAGTTGGACCTACGGTGGGGACAAGACAGATACATCTTCTCTGTTGGCAAATACTGAGCCTGGGAGAGTTTCTTTTCATTCACACATAAGGATACACAAATCCATAAGATCCGCAGAAACAAAATACTAGAGATTAATGGAACACCACCCCGAACACACAAAAGAAATGCATACCTCTGAAAATGACACATTAGAAAAACCAAAGCAAAATTGAAAAGACTATTGACATTTTGAATGGAATATCAAAATACATGCATAGTATGAAAAGTAGAGGAAAGACATTACAGTTAATTCATTTGAGAGAAAAATACAACTGCAATAGATAATGAAGGAGCCTATAAATATATAAAAATACAAAATCAAAATTAAACATGATTTAAAAATAAAGAACAAATTTACATGGCAGAATATAAAATTGATGTCACAGAGAACAAACCAAAGAGGCTATTCCAATGTATACAGGCATATGACAGATAAAAATAAAAATAAAGAACATAAAACTTGCAGAGGACAGAAGACATGAGATCAAAAGAAACAAAATAAGTAATCAAAGATATCAAAGAAAAACATATGTAAACTGCTGAGAGGAAATCATCTCCTACATACATTCTGGAGGGGAAAAATGGTGAATTATAAAGACTAACTAGAGAGGAAATATCATGGAGGCCTCAGAATTCTTATCTGAAAAATAACAGTGCTTGATAATATTATTAAAACTACAGGATTTAGGGGAGGCCATTGTAACTTAAAAAACATATAACCATAATTATTTTGTGTGTATGAAGGTATAAGAAAGATATTCAAAAAGAGTTTTTATGAGTCATTAAGAAAAATATTTTTTTAATGAGCAAGGAATACAAAGAAAAGCTCAAAGGGAGATTCCAAGATGGCCAAATAGAAACAGCTCCAGTCTGCAGCTCTCAGCGTGAGCAACATAGAAGTCAGGTGATTTCTGTATGTTCAACTGGGGTACTGGGTTCATCTCACTGGGGCTTGTTGGACAGTGGGTACAACCCACGGAGTGTGACCCAAAGCAGGGTGGGGCATTGCCTCACCCGGGAAGTGCAAGGGTCCGGAATTCCCTTTCCTAGCCAAGGGAAGCCATGACAGAAGGTACCTGGACAACTGGGACACTCCCACCCTAATACTGTGCTTTTCCAACAGTCTTAGCAAATGGCACACCAGGAGATTATATCCTGCTCCTGGCTCGGAGGGTCCCATGCCCACGGAGCCTCGCTCACTTCTAGCACAGCAGTCTGAGATCGAACTGCAAGGTGGCAGCCAGGCTGGGGGAGGGGCATTCACCATTGCTGAGGCTTGAATAGGTAAACAAAGCAGCCAGGAAGCTCGAACTGGATGGAGCCCACTGCAGCTCAAGGAGTCCTCCCTGCCTCTGTAGGCTCCACCTCTGGGGGCAGGGCATAGCTGAATAAAAGGCAGCAGAAACTTCTGCAGACTTAAACGCCCCGTCTGACAGCTTTGAAGAGAGTAGTGGTTCTCCCAGCACAGAGTTTGAGATCTGAGAACGGACAGACTGCCTCCTCAAGTGGGTCCCTGACCCCTGAGTAGCGTAACTGGGAGACACCTCCCACTAGGGGCCAACTGACAACTCATACAGCCAGGTGCCCCTCTGAGACGAAGCATCCAGAGGAAGGATCAGGCAGCAACATTTGCCGTTCTGCAATATTTGCTGTTCTGCAGCCTCTGCTGGTGATACCCAGGCAAACAGGGTCTGGAGTGGACCTCCAGCAAACCCCAACAGATCTGCAGCTGAGGGTCCTGACTATTAGGAGGAAAACTAACAAACAGAAAGGACATCCACACCAAAACCCCATCTGTACATCACCATCATCAAAGACCAAAGGTAGATAAAACCACAAAGATGGGGAGAAACCAGAGAAGAAAAGCTGAAAATTTGAAAAACCAGAGCTCCTCTTCTCCTCCAAAGGAATGCAGCTCCTCACCAGCAACAGAACAAAGCTGGAAGGAGAATGACTTTGATGAGTTGAGAGAAGAAGGCTTCAGACGATTGGTAATAACAAACTTCTCTGTGCTAAAGGACGATGTACGAACCCATCACAAAGAAGCTAAAAACCTTGAAGAAAGATTAGATGAATGGCTAACTAGAATAAATAGCGTAGAGAAGCCCTTAAATGACCTGATGGAGCTGAAAACCATGGTACAAGAACTGCATGATGCATGCACAAGCTTCAGTAGCCCATTTGATCAAGTGGAAGAAAGGGTATCAGTGATTGAAGATCAAATGAATGAAATGAAGCAAGAAGAGAAGTTTAGAGAAAAAAGAGTAAAAAGAAATGAACAAAGCCTCCAAGAAATATGCGACTATGTGAAAAGACCAAATCTACATCTGATTGGTGTACCTGAAAGTGACGGGGTGAATGGAACCAAGCTGGAAAACACTCTTCAGGATATTATCCAGGAGAATTTCCCCAACCTAGCAAGGCAGGCCAGCATTCAAATTCAGAAAATACAGAGAATGCCACAAAGATACTCCTCAAGAAGAGCAACTCCAAGATACATAATTTTCAGATTCACCAAAGTTGAAATGAAGGAAAAAATATCAAGGGCAGCCAGAGAGAAAGGTCAGGTTACCTAAAAAGGGAAGCCCATCAGACCTACAGTGGATCTCTCGGCAGAAATTCTACAAGCCAGCAGAGAGTGGGGGCCAATATTCAACATTCTTAAAGAAAAGAATTTTCAACCCAGAATTTCATATCCACCCAAACTAAGCTTCATAAGTGAAGGAGAAATAAAATACTTTACAGACAAGCAAATGCTGAGAGATTTTGTCACCACCAGGCCTGCCTCACAAGAGCTCCTGAAGGAAGCACTAAACATGGAAAGGAACAACCTGTATGAGCCACTGCAAAAACATGCCAAATTGTAAAGACCATCGATGCTAGGAAGAAACTGCATCAACTAATGAGCAAAATAACCAGCTAACTTCATAATGACAGGATGAAATTCACACATAACAATATTAACCTTCAATGTAAATGGGCTAAATGCTCCAATTAAAAGACACAGACTGGCAAACATGGATAAAGAGTCAAGGCCCATCAGTGTGCTGTATTCAGGAGACCCATCTCACGTGCAGAGACACACATAGGCTCAAAATAAAGGGATGGAGGAAGATCTACCAAGCAAATGGAAAACAAAAAAAAACACGGGTTGCAATCCTTTGTCTCTAATATCAAAAGAGACAAAGAAGGCCATTACATAATAGTAAAGGGATCAATTCAACAAGAAGAGCTAACTATCCTAAATATATATGCACCCAATACAGGAGCACCCAGATTCATAAAGCAAGTCCTTAGATACCTACAAAGAGACTTAGACTCCCACACAATCATGATGGGAGACTTTAACACCCCACTGTCAACATTAGACAGATCAACAAGACAGAAAGTTAATAAGGATACCCAGGAATTGAGCTCAGCTCTGCAGCAAGCAGACCTAATAGACATCTACAGAACTCTCCACCCCAAATCAACAGAATATACATTCTTCTCAGCAACACATCACACTTATTCCAAAATTGACCACATAGTTGGAAGTAAAGCACTCCTCAGCAAATGTAAAAGAACAGAAATTATAACAAACTGTCTATCAGACCAGAGTGCAATCAAACTAGAACTCAGGATTAAGAAATTCACTCAAAACCACTCAACTACATGGAAACTGAACAACCTGCTCCTGAATTACTACTGGGTACATAACGAAATGAAGGCAGAAATAAAGATGTTCTTTGAAACCAATGAGAACAAAGACACAACATACCAGAATCTCTGGGACACATTTAAAGCAGTGTGTAGAGGGAAATTTATAGCACTAAATGCCTGCAAGAGAAAGCAGGAAAGATCTAAAATTGACACCCTAACATCACAATTAAAAGAACTAGAGAAGCAAGAGCAACACATTCAAAAGCTAGCAGAAGGCAAGAAATAACTAAGATCAGAGCAGAACTGAAGGAGATAGAGATACAAAAAACCCTTCAAAAAAATCAATGAATCCAGGAGCTGGTTTTTGGGAAAGATCAACAAAATTGGTAGACCACTAGCAAGACTAATAAAGAAGAAAAGAGAGAAGAATCAAATAAGTGTAACAAAAAATGATAAAGGGGATATCACCACCGATCCCACAGAAATACAAACTACCATCAGAGAATACTATAAACACCTCTACACAAATAAACTAGAAAATCTAGAAGAAATGGATAAATTCCTCGACACATAAATCCTCCCAAAACTAAACCAGGAAGAAGATGAATCCCTGAATAGACCAATAACAGGCTCTGAAATTGAGGCAATAATTAACAGCCTACCAACTAAAAAAAGTCCAGGACCCGATGGATTCACAGCTGAATTCTACCAGAGGTACAAAGAGGAGCTGGTACCATTCCTTCTGAAACTATTCCAATCAATAGAAAAAGAGGGAATCCTCCGTAACTCATTTTATGAGGCCAGCATCATCAAGATAGTAAAGCCTAGCAGAGACACAACAAAAAAAGAGAATTTTAGACCAATATCCTTGGTGAACATTGATGCAAAAATCCTCAGTAAAATACTGGCAAACCGAATCCAGCAGCACATCAAATAGCTTATCCACCACGATCAAGTTGGCTTCATCCCTGGGATGCAAGGCTGGTTCAACATAAGCAAATCAATAAACTTAATCCATCATATAAACAGAACCAAAGACAAAAATAACGTGATTATCTCAATAGATGCAGAAAAGGCCTTTGACAAAATTCAACAGCCCTTCATGCTAAAAACTCTGAATAAACTAGGTACAGATGGGGCATATCTCAAAACAATAAGAGCTATTTATGACAAACCCACAGCCAACATCATACTGAATGGGCAAAAACTGGAAGCATTCCCTTTGAAAACTGGCACAAGACAGGGATGCCCTCTCTTAACACTCCTATTCAACATAGTGTTGGAAGTTCTGGCCAGGGCAATCAGGCAGGACAAAGAAATAAAGGGTATTCAATTAGGAAAAGAGGAAGTCAAATTGTCCCTGTTTGCAGATGAGATGATTGTATATTTAGAAAACCCCATCATCTCAGCCCAAAATCTCCTTAAGCTGATAAGCAACTTCAGCAAAGTCTCAGGATACAAAATCAATGTGCAAAAATCACAAGCATTCCTATACACCAATAACAGACAGAGAGCCAAATCATGAGTGAACTCCCATTCACAATTGCTTCAAAGAGAATAAAATACCTGGGAATCCAACGTACAAGGGATGTGAAGGACCTCTTCAAGGAGAACTACAAACCACTGCTCAACGAAATAAAAGAGGACACAAACAAATGGAAGAACATTCCATGCTCATGGATAGGAAGAATCAATATCATGAAAATGGCCATACTGCCCAAGGTAATTTACAGATTCAATGCCATCCCCATCAAGCTACAAATGACTTTCTTCACAGAATTGGAAAAAACTACTTTAAAGCTCATATGGAACCAATAAAGAGCCTGCATTGCCAAGACAATCCTAAGCCAAAAGAAAAAAGTTGGAGGCATCACGCTACCTGACTTCAAACTATACTACAAGGCTACAGTAACCAAAACAGCAGGTACTGGTATCAAAACAGAGATAGAGACCAATGGAACAGAACAGAGCACTCAGAAATAATATCACACACCAACAACCATCTGATCTTTGACAAACCTGACAAAAACATGAAATGAGGAAAGGATTCCCTATTTAATAAATGGTGCTGGGAAAACTGGCTAGCCATATGTAGAAAGCTGAAACTGGATCCCTTCCTTACACCTTATATAAAAATTAATTCAAGATGGATTAAAGACTTAAATGTTAGACCTAAAACCATAAAAACCCTAGAAGAAAACCTAGGCAATACCGTTCAGGACATAGGCATGGGCAAGGACTTCATGACTAAAACACCAAAAGCAATGGTAACAAAAGCCACAATGGACAAATGGGATCTAATTAAACTCAAGAGCTTCTGCACAGCAAAAGAAACTACTATCAGAGTGAAAAGGCAACCTACAAAATGGGAGAAAATTTTTACAATCTACCCATCTGACAAAGGGCTGGTATCCAGAATCTACAAAGAACTTAAGCAAATTTATAAGAAAAAAATCAAACAACCCCATCAAAAAGTGGGCGAAGGATAAGAACAGACACTTCTCAAAAGAAGATATTTATGCAGCCAACAGACACCTGAAAAAATGCTCATCATCAATGGCCATCAGAGAAATGTAAATCAAAACCACAGTAAGATACCATCTCACACCAGTTAGAATGGCAATCATTAAAAAGTCAGGAAACAACAGGTGCTGGAGAGTATGTGGACAAATAGGAACACTTTTACGCTGTTGGTGGGACTGTAAACTAGTTCAACCATTGTGGAAGACAGTGTGGTGATTCCTCAGGGATCTAGAACTAGAAATACCATTTGACCCAGCCATCCCACTACTGGGTATATACCCAAAGGTTCATAAATCATGCTGCTGTAAAGACACATGCACACATATGTTTATTGCGGCACTATTCACAATAGCAAAGACTTGGAACCAACCCAAATGTCCATCAATGATAGAGTGGATTAAGAAAATGTGGCACATATACACCATGGAATACTATGCAGCCATAAAAAAGGATGAGTTCATGTCCTTTGTAGGGACATGGATGAAGCTGGAAACCATCATTCTGAGAAAACTGTTGCAAGGACAGAAAACCAAGCACCACTTGTTCTCACTCATAGGTGGGAATTGAACAATGAGAACACTTGGACACAGTGGGGAACATCAAACACCAGGTCCTGTCATGGGGTGGGGGTAGGGGGGAGGGATAGCATTAGGAGATATTCCTAATGTAAATGACGAGTTAATGGGTGCAGCCCACCAACATGGCACTTGTATACATATGCAACAAACCTGTACATTGTGCACATGTACCCTAGAACTTAAAGTATAATAAAAAAAAGAAAAGCTCAAATCACCTATGAACATATGAGAAATACTCAATCACACTAGTAAATTACAATATTAAGATCCTATTTCACACTTGTTTAATAAACAAAATTGTAAAACTCTAAAAATATCAAGTATTCAACTAATAGAATAAAATGAGAACTGTCATGCCTTGCTAGCAGGAAAAGAAATTAGTGATCATCCCCCACCCCAACCCCAGAACACAAAATTAAACAACTATTCACACAAGAAACACCTTCATAAGAACAAAAAATCAGAGGAGCACTCACAATACCTGGTTTTAACATCATATCAAGGAAAGGGGCGCTGAAGATGGAAAAGAAATCAGTCTTGAATTGCTGATACCACCCATTCCCCTTCCCCAAGTAGTGACTACATGGAGAGAAGAGAGGATCTGTGTGCTTGCGGGAGGGAGAATGCAGTGAATGCATGAGAATGCAGAGAATGCAGTGGAACTTTGCAATTGGAACTCAGTGCTGCTCTGTCACAGTGGAAAGCAACACAAGGCAGAATTCAGCTGGTGCCCACAGAGGAAGAATTTAGGCCAGCCTATCCCAGAAATCAGAAACTGGGTTCTGGCTAGCCCCCACCATTGCAGGCTAAAGTTTTTTGGGGTCTAAATAAACTTGAAAGGCAGTCTAGGCCACAAGAACTGCAATTTCTGGGCAAGTCCTGGTGCTGTGCTGGGCTCAGAGCCAGTAGACTTGGGGTGCATGCAACATAATCAGAAACTAACTGGGGCAGCCAAGGCACTGTTCATGTCACTCCTCCCCTAACCTGAGGCAGTACAGCCTGCAGCTGTGGGAGAGACTCCTTCCTTCAGGTTGAAGAAAGGAAAGGAAGAGGAAGAGGACTTTGTCTTGCATCTTGGATATCAGCTCAGGCACAGTAGAATAAGGCACCAAGCAAAGTCCTGAGACCGTGATTTCAGTCCCTAGCTCCTGGACGACATTTCTAGACACACCCTGTACCGGATGGGAAACAGCTGCCTTGAAGGGAAAAACCCAGTCCTGGCAGGATTCACCACCTGCTGTTGACTAAAGAGCCCTTGAGTCTTGAATAAACATTAGTGGTTGCCAGGCAATACTCGCTACAGGCCTTAGGTGAACCCCAATGCCGTTGTGGCTTCAGGTGTGACCCAGCACACTGCCAGCTGTGGTGACCATGGAGAGAGACTCCATTGGCTTGAGGAAAGAAGAGAGAAGAGTAAAGGTGACTTTGTCTTGCAGCTTGGGTACCATCTTAGCCACAGTGGGGTAGAGCACTAAGTGGACTTCTCAGAACCCTGATTCCAAGCCTTGGCTCATCGGGGGGCATTTATGGACCCACCTTAGGGCAAAGGGGACCCCATCGCCCTGAAGGGAAAAACCCAGGCCTGGCAGCATTTACCATAAGCTGACTGAAGAGCCCTTGAGCCATGAGTGAATATCAGCAGTAGCCTAGCAGTACTCGATGCAGATCTGGAGTTGGGGTGGCCATTGAGAGAGGCTCCTTCTGCTTGAGGAAAAGAGAGGGAAGAGTGAGAAGGACTTTGTCTTGCAGCTTGGGTATCATCACCTCAGCTGTAGTAGAATAGAGCACCAAGTAGATTCCCAAGGTTTCCAACTCCAGGGCCTGGCTCCCAGACTGCATTTCTGGACCCTACCATGGATAGGGAAAAGCTTGCCACCCTGAAGGGAAGGATACAATCCTGGCTGGATTCACCACCTGCTGATTGTAGAACCCTTGAGCCTTGAGGAAACATCAGCGGTAACTTGACAGTGGTTGCCACAGGCCTAAGGCAATACCCAGTGCTTAGTCTGCCCTAACACAGTCCCGAAATGGTGGCCACAGGGATACTTGTGTCACCTCTCCCCCAGTTCCAAGAAATTCAGCATGGAGAGAGAGAGACTCTGTTGGTTTGGGGAAAAGTAAGGGAAGAGAACAAGAGTCTCCACTTGGTAATCTAAGCAATTCTCCTGGTATTGGGGAATCTGCCCCGACATTCATGTAGGTTCTTCTCTATTTTCCTTAAGCATTGGCCAGCTTGAGAAATAAAGGGACAGAGTACAAAAGAGAGAAATTTTAAAGCTGGGCATCCGGGGGAGATATCACATGTCAGTAGGTTCTGTGATGCCCCACAAGCCTCAAAAACCAGCAAGTTTTTATTAGGGGGTTTCAAAAGGGGAGGGAGTGTGCGAATAGGTGTGGATCACAGACATCAAGTACTTTACAAGGTAATAGAATATCACAAGGCAAGTGGAGGCAGGGTGAGATCACAGGACTACAGGACCGGGGCGAAATTAAAATTGCTAATGAAGTTTCGGGCACCATTGTCATTGATAACATCTTATCAGGAGACAGAGTTTTGAGATCAACCGGTCTGACCAAAATTTATTAGGCAGGAATTTCCTCTTCCTAATAAGCCTGGGAGCACTATGGGAGACTGGAGTCTATTTCACCCCTGCAGTCTCAACCATAAGAGACAGGCGCACCTGGGGGTGCTGTTTATAAGCCTATACCTCCAGGCGCGTATTCTCTTTCCCAGGGATATTCCATGTGAGAAAAAGAATTCAGTGATATTTCTCCCATTTGCTTTTGAAAGAAAAGAAATATGGCTCTGTTCAGCCCGGCTCACCGGCAGTCAGAGTTTAAGGTTATCTCTCTTATTCCCTGAACAATTGCTGTTATCCTGTTCTTTTTTCAAGGTGCCCAGATTTCATATTGCTCAAACACACATGCTGTAAAATTTGTGCAGTTAATGCAATTATTACAGGGTCCTGAGGCAATATACATCCTCCTCAGCTGACAGGAATAAGAGATTAAAGTAAAGACAGGCATAGGAAATCACAAGGGTCTATATAGATTGGGGAAGTGATAAGTGTCCATGAAATCTTTACAGTATATGTTTAGAGACTGCAGTAAAGACAGGCATAAGAAATTATAAAAGTATTAATTTGGGGAACTAATAAATGTCCATGAAATCTTCACAATCCATGTTCTCCTGCCATGGCTTCAGCCGGTCCCTCCGTTTGGGGTCCCTGACTTCCCGCAACATCCTGGATCTTACCCAAGACCAAAAAGGTGGTACCTACACAGATCTGCAGGAGTCATAGCATTACTAGGATTGGGATTCCCCTTAACACATATATGCCTGCAATGACCAAAGACTTACATCACAACACTCAATACCCTTTGAATACTTGGAAAGCCTTCCCTAGAAGGATGAGTACAAACAAGCCCAGACTGTGAAGATTACAATAAAAACCTGACTCCTCAATGCCCAGACATTGGTGCAAATCCACAGGCATCAACACCTTCCAGGAAAACATGACCTCACCAAATGAATTAAATAAGGCACCAGTGACCAGTCCTGGAGTGGCAGAAATATGTGATCTTTCAGACAGATAATTCAAAATAGCTATTTTGAGAAAGCTCAGTGAAATCCAAGATAACATGGAGAAGGAATTCAGAATACTCTCAGATAAATTTCAACAAAGAGATTGAAATAATTTAAAAGAATCGAGCAGAAATTCTGGAGCTGAAAATTCAATTGACATATTGAAGAATCTATCAGAGTCTCTCAACAGCAGAATTGATTAAGCAATAAGAAATTATCTGAAGTTACAAAATTTACTGCTAGTAGTAAGCACACAAACACAGAATATCCTAACACTGAAATTGTGTATAAACAACTCATATCTTGAGTAGAAAGACTAAAAATAAACCTATCAAAAGTAATGACTAAAACAATTGTTCAAGACATAGACAGTATAATAAGATATAAATAGAAACAATAAAAACTTTAAAAGCAGGGGATAAAGTTAAAATGTAGAGTTCTTTTTCAGTTTCCTCTTTGCTTGTTTGTTATTTTGTTTTGCAATCAGTGTTATGTTGTCATCAGTGTAAAATAATGGGTTATAGGATGTTATTTGCAAGCCTCATGGTAACTTCAAATAAAGCAATATGCAACAGATACACAAAAAATAAAAAGGAATTGAAACATACAACCAGAGAAAATTGACTTCCCAAAAAGGAACACAGGAAGGAAAGACTACAAAACAACCAGAAAGCAAATAACAAAATGGCAGTAGTAAGCCCTTATTAATAATAACACAGAACATAAATGGATTAAATCTCTAATCAAAACATATAGAGTGGATGAATGGATAAAGAAAACAATACTCAGTGATCTGTTACCTAGAAGAAACACACTTTACCTATAAAGACACACATAGACTAAAAGTAAAGGGATGGAAGAAGATATTTTGTGCAAATGGAAACCAAAAAAACAGAAAAAATAGCTATACTTATATCAGACAAAACAGATTTTAAGACAAAAACTATAAAATGAGATAAAAAGGCCATTATATAATGACAAAGGGGTCCATTCAGTAAGAGAACACAACAATTGTAAATATATATGGACCCAACATTGGAGTACCCAACATAAAGCAAATATTAGAGCTAAAGAGAGAGATAGAACCCAATACAAGACCAGGCGTGGTGGCTCACATCTGTAATCCCAGCACTTTAGGAGGCTGAGGTGGGTGGATCACAAAGTCAGGAGTTCGAGACCAGCCTGGCCAACATGGTGAAACCCCATCTCTACTAGAAATACAAAATATTAGCTCCGCGTGATGGTGGGTGCTTGTAATCCCAGCTACTCAGGAGGCTGAGGCAGGAGAATTGCTTGAACCCAGGAGGCAGAGGTTGCAGTGAGCCAAGATTGCACCATTGCACTCCAGCCTGGGTGACAATACAAGACTCCATTAAAAAAAAAAGAACCCAATACAATTATAGCTGGAGACTTCAACACCCCACTTTCAGCATTGGACAGATCTTCCAGACAGAAAATCAACAAAGAAATATCAGCTTTAATCTGTACTGTAGACCAAATGGACCTAGATATTTACAAAATATTTACTAATAGCTTCTGAATACACATTCTTCTCCTCAGCACTTGGGTCATTCTCAAGAATAGGCCATAAGTTAGGTCACAAAACAAGTCTTAAAGCATTTTAAAAATTAAAACAATAGCAGACATCTTCTCTGACTACAATAAAATAAAACTAGAAATCAATAACAAGAGGAACTTTGGAAACTATACAAACACATGGAAATAAAACGATGTGCTCCTGGAACGACAGAGCAAGATGCCCAAATACAAGCCTCCATCAATGGCCCCCACTTCACAGGGACCCAAAATTAAAAAAAAAAAAAAATCTACACACAAACACCTTTATAAGAATGAAAAGCCAAGTGAGCAATCACAGTATCTGGTTATAACTTCATATACCTGAGAGAGGCACTGAAGAGGGAAGGAAAGAGAGTCTTCAATCCCCGATGCCTCCTCACCCCAGACAGAGGCCATGTGATGAGAAGAAAGAAACTGTGAGCCTGGGGGAGGGAAGACCCAGCAGTTTTAAGACTTTGCATTGAATTCAGCACTGTTTTGTCACAGCTGAAAGCAAAACTGAGCTGAACTCAGCTGATGCCCATCCTCACCGGCAGAGGGAGCATTTAGATGAGTCTTAGCCAGAGGGGAATCACCTATGTCAGAGGTTGGAACGTGAGTTTCAACAAGTCTCATCGCCATGGGCTGAAGTACTCTGGGGTCCTCAATAAACATGAAAAGAACTCTAGGCCACAAGGACTGCAACTTCTAGGCAACTCCTTGTGCTTTGTTTGGCTTAGAGCCAGCGGGCCTGGGGACAAGCAACCTAGTGAGATACCAGCTGTGGAAGATAAGGGAGTGCTCACACCACCTGACCCCCAACCATAGGCAACACAGCTCACAGAAATAAAAATGACTGCTTCCTTCTGCTTGAGAAGAGGAGAGAGAAAAGTAAAGGGGACTTTGTCTTTCATTGTGGATACCAGCTCAGCCACAGTAGGATAGGGCACCAAGCAGAGATGTGAGGCCCCCATACTAGGCCCTTGCTCCCAGATGACATTTCTAGACACTCCCCAAGCCAGAAGAAAACCTGCTGCCTTGAAGGGAGGGACCTCATACTGACAGGATTCATCACCTGCTGACTAAAGAGCCCTTGGGCCCTAAATTACCAGCATGATACCCAGATAGTATGCTGTGGGCCTTAGGTGAGACTCTAAGATGTGCTAGCTTCACTAAGACACAGCACATTCCCAGCTGTGGAGGATATCTGCTTGAGAAAAGCAGGGAGGGAAAAAGTAAACGGGACTTTGTCTTGCACCTTGGTACCAGCTGGGTCACAGTGGGGTAAAGCAACAAATGGACAGAACACCCAATGGGGTAGAGCACTCTTGGGGACCCCAATTCCAAACCTTGTCCCTTAGATGGCATTGCTGGACCTGCTCTGGGCCAGAAGGGAGTGCACTGACCTGAAGGGTGAGTCCCAGGCCTGGCAGCATTCACCACAAGCTGATTGAAGAGTCCTTGGGCCTTCAGTGAACATTGGTGATAAGCTGACAGTACTGCCCATGGGCCTTTTGCGGTGGTGGCTATGGGGAGACGCTCCTCTACCTGTGGAAATGGTAGGTAAGTGTAGGAAGGGCTTTGTCTCATTTGTGAGTACCAGCTTAGCCACAGTCGAACAGAACACCAGGTAGATTTCTAATGTATTTGACTCCAGTCCCTGACTCCTGGATGGCATCTCTGAACCCACCGGGGGACTGGGGAAATTCACTGGCCTGAAGGAGAGGACACAAGCTTGGCTGAATTCACCACCTGCTGATTATGGAGCCCTATGGCTTTAGTGAACATAAGCAGTAGCCAGGGAGTGGTTACAGCAGGCCTTGGGTGAGATCGGTGCTGTTCTGACTTCAGCACATCCCAGGGGTGGTGGCCACAGGGGTGCTTGTGTCGCCACACCCCCGGCTCCAGATGGCTCAGCACAGAAAGACTCCATTTGTTTGGGAGAAAGTAAAGGAAGAGAACAAGAGTCTCTGCCTGGTAATCCAGAGAATTCTTCCAGATCTCACCCCACCAAGACAGTACCTCTATGAGTCTGCAATAACTACAGTGTGACCAGGCTTGGGATGCAGCCCAATGCCGATATGGCTTAGATCACAACACCCAAGTCCCTTCAAATACCTGGAAAGCCTTTCCAAGAAGGATGGATACAAACAAGACCAGACAGTGGAGACTACAGTAAATACCTAATTCTTCCATTTCCAGACACCAATGAACATCCACAAGCATCAAGAACAACCAGGAAAACATTACCTCACCAAATGAAATAAATAAAGCACCAGGGACCAGTCCTAGAGAAACAGGATCGAGAAGCTACATAAAAAAGCAGTCTGGCCACTTTTTTGCACAGCAGCTGTGCTGTGTTGGGGGTCTGCTCCAGCTCCCCCACTGCCTCAGACTCTCCAAAGCCCAAAGGCAACAATGGCTGTGGCTGTGAAACAGCAAAGATGGAGGCCCACCCCTCCCTCTGGGAGTTCCATCTCAGGGTGGTATGGACCTGTTACTGGTGCAAAAACACCAGTGGGGTGGTTGTAGACCTTGATTGTGAGATGCTGCCCAATGAAGAGAAACAGGAACTGGGACCTGTGTGAAAATGCAGTCTGGCAGCCTCAACATAAAGCAGCTATGCTGTGTTGAGGGAGCACTCCAGTCCCTAGTCACCTTGGATTCCCAAGCCCAAAGGCAACAGCAGTTAAGGCCATGAAACAGCAAAGATGGTGGCCCACCCTGCCCTCTGGAAGCTCCATCCCAGGGAGGTTTGGGACTACTTCTGGCTAGAAAACACTCGCAAGGGTGGTTGTAGACCTCGGTCAGAAGATTCCACCCACTGAAGAAAAATGAGGTCTGGGACTCACGTGGAAAAGCAGTCTGGTCACCTCTCCACAGAGTTGCTGCACTGTGCTGGGGGACTACTCCTGTCTTCAGTTAACTCAGATTTCCCAGAGCACAAGGGCAACAGTGGCTAAGGCTGCACAATAGTAAATACAGTGGCCCGCCCCTCCCTCTGGAAGCCCAGTTACAGGGAGGTGTAACACTGCTACCCGTGGCTGGCTGAACTTCCAAGCCAGTGAGTCTTATCCTGCAAGATGCTGTGGAAGTGGGGCCTGCAGACCATAGCTGCCTCATCCCCTAGATTTAGCCCCTTTCCTAGGAGTATGTATGAAGGTCTAACCTCCTGCTTTGCCAGAGTTGCAGCTGCTTTTGCTGAAAAGCCTGGGTATCTAAAGCTTCTGGGGCTCCAAGTGTACCTGAGCAGCTGCTCTGCCAGGACTCCATGTAGCCCTGCATATCAGACTGAAGACCCTGGTGGAGTGGATTCATGAGGGGATCTCCTGACTCATGGGTTGCAAAGATCCATGGGAGAAGCATGGGTCCCTGGGGCTTCTCACTCACTCACCACTTCCCTGGGCAGGGGAGGCTCCCCTGGCTCCATGTGGCTCACAGGTGGGTGGTTGTCCCGACTTGCTTTTCTTCATTCTCTGTTGGTTGAGTTGTTTTCTTGATGAATCCCAATGTATGTACTTGGATGCTTCAGTTGAAGATGCTGTATGTATCACTCCTTTTATTTCTCTCTGTGAGAGTGTCACACATTAGCTGCTTCTAGTCATTTATCTTACACTTTTCTTTCTCTAGTTGTTGATATTTAGCTTTATTCTATTGTGGTCAGAGAAGATATTTGATATTATTTCTTTTTTTTTTTTTTTAAGTTTTTTTGAGATGGAGTTTTACTCTTGTTGCCCAGGCTGGAGTGCAGTGGTGTGACCTTGGCTCACTGCAACCTCTGTCCTCTGGGTTCAAGCAATTCTCCTGCCTCAGCCTCCAGAGTAGCTGGGACTACAGGTGTGTGCCACCACACCTGGCTAATTTTTTGTATTTTTAGTAAAGATGGGTTTACCATGTTGGCAATGCTGGTCTCGAACTCCTGACCTCAGGTGATTCACCCACCTCAGCCTCCCAAAGTGCTGGGATTATGGGTGTGAGCCACCACACCCAGCCTTTTTAATGTTTTAAGACCTGTTTTGTGACCTAACATATGGTCTATCCTTGAGAATGACATATGTACTGAGAAGAATGTGTATTCTGCAGCCAATGGATAAATGTTCTGTAAATATCTATCAGGTCCATTTGGTCTATAGTGAAGATTAAATCTGATGTTTCTTTGTTGATTTTCTGTCTAGAAGATCTGTCTAGTGCTGAAAGTGGGTGTTAAAGTCTCCAGCTATTATTGTGTTGGAGTCTATCTCTTTATCTCTAACAATATTTATTTATATCCTGGGTGCTCTAGTGTTGGGTGCACATATATTTACAATTGTTATATCCTCTTGCTAAATTGACCCCTTTATCATTATGTAATGACTTTTTTTTGTCTTCTTACAGTTTTTTCATGAAACCTATTATGCCTGTTATAAATACATCTACTCTTTCTCTTTTTTGGTTTCCATTTGCATGAAATATCCTTTTCTATCCCTTTATTTTCCATCTATTTGTGTCTTTATAGGTGAAGTGTGTTTCTTCTAGGCAACAAATCACTGGATCTTGTTTTTTAAATCCATTCAGCCACTCTATGTCTTTTATATCAGAGTTTAGTCTATTTCCATTTAATGTTATTATTAATAAGTAAGGACTTACTTCTGCCATTTTGTTATTTGTTTTCTGTTTTTTGGGGGTCTTCTATGCCCCTAACCAGGCTCCCCAGCCACTCCCATCAGTGTGTTTAGGCTGGCAACAGGTCCATACCACTTGGGGCAGGGCTCCCCCCAGAGGGAGGGGCAGGCCATCATCTTTGTTGTTTTGCAGAGTTTACTGTTGATACTTTCAGGTACTAGAAAATCTAAGGTGACTAGGGACTAAAGTGGACCCCCAGCATACCACAGCAGCCCTACAGAAAAGTGGCCAGACTGTTATGTGGGTCCCTGATCCCGTGTCTCCTCACAGCATGGGTTCTCCTGGCCTGAGTCTTCAGCCACCCCTTACCCCCACTTCGGCTATCAAGCCAGTTGCAGCTCTGCAACTCCCTGGGACAGAGCCCCAGTGGGAGGGGTGGATTGCCCTCTCTGCTGTTTTGCAGCCCTCACCCTTATTGTCTCCAGGCTCTGGAGAGTCCATGGGGAGCAGGGGTTGGTCTGAACCCCCAGCACAGAACACCCACCTAACAAAAAAGTGGCCAGACTGTTCACACAGGTCTCAGTTCTCATTTCTCCTCACTGGGCAGGACCACCTGACCTGGGACTCCAGCACAACCACTCTGCCCCTGTCTGACCACTTTAATCAGAGGCAGCCCAGCATTTCTCTGAGAAGAAAATCACAGAGTCAACCCACAACCCCTCCATCTCTGCAGTTGCAGTGCCCTTCTTTTCTGGGAACCCTTACCTCTCACTCTTTACCACACAAGGCCCCTGGCTTATGACTGCAGAACAGTCACCCCATCCACAGCTGAGCATACCCACTGGTAGTGGCCCAGAGGTTCCCTGGAAAAAGTTTCCCAGAGACATCTGTCAGCCCCGCTGCCACTGCCACAGCAGCAGTTCTAGCCCTCCTGCCCTTGGTCTGGGAAAGAACCTAAGGGCTACACATGAGCTTACAGCACAATTCAGTTACCATACAGAGAGGAGAACAGTCTCTACTCCTGGTGAGCCCTCGACCCCCTGTTTTCCAACAAGTGGAGCCCAAGGTTCACACCAGGAGTGAAGCTGCCCCACCCCACTGGCTGAACACTTCTAGTAACAGCAGCTCCATAGTCCTTGGAGATGGAGCCCCCAGGGGCAACTGAAAGCCCCTCTGCCACTGCCTGTGCAGTGGTGCTACCCCTGCTACCCTTGAACTATTGAAGGAGCAAAGGCCGTAGGTACTTTATCCACACCTCCAACAAGCAGCAGTCAACCCAAGGAGAGGAAGCCAGCCTGTCTTTCACTGGTCCCACACACCCCGCTTGTCATCAGGCAGGGAACCCCCAGCTTGGACCCACAGAACAGATTCCATATGCCAGGTTGATTGCACTGAGTGATTGCAGACCTGCATCTCTCTGGAGTGGAGCTCCCAAAAGACAAGTAAAAGACCCTTGGCCACAACCACTGCTAATGTCCTTTCCTCCAAGTTGGGAAAGAAATATAAACCCTGAGATGACTCCAGAGCTGCGGAGGGCAGCCAGGGAGTGCCAAGCCGTGATCTATAGCCAGCACTCAAGTGAAAAAGGAGCCCACACTTTCAGAGCATTGAGAGGGAACACATCTGCAACTGTGAGGAAATATACGGGAGCCACTCAACGGAGCAAGAGCCTACCAACTGACCACTAAGCCTAAGTGCCACCTGCTGTATCACACCCCAAACCTTCAACACCAAAAATCCCTGGCTAACATAACCCCCTGTGAAACCAAAGACAAGTCAGCTACAAATAAATACCATGCACAAAGCCTCAGCCCTGTGAAAATATCCAGAAAAGAAGTTTACTGACCATACTCAATCTACACTGCAGTTAAAGAACATCCACATGCAGAGATGAGTAAGAACCAATGCAAGAACCTCAGCAACTCAAATGGCCAGAGTGAATGTCCTCCAAATGATCACACTAGTTCTCCAACAAGGGTTCCTAATCAGGCTGAGATGGCAGAAATGACAGAAACAGAATTCATAATATAGATAGAAACAAAGATGATTGGGATTCAGGAGAACAACAAAACTCAATCCAAGGAAACTAAGAATCACAATAAAACAATACAGGAGATGACAGACAAAATAGTCAGTATAAAAAAAAGAGCCTAATTGATCTCATATACCTGAAAAGCACGCTACAAGAATTTCACAATGCAATCGCAAGTATTAACAGCAGAATAGGCCAGGCTGAGGAGACAACCTCAGAACTTGAATACTGGCTCTCTGACATAAGACAGTCGGACAAAAATAAAGAAAAAAAATGAAAAGAAATGAACAAAACCTCCAAGAAATATGGGATTATGTAAAGAGGACAAATCTGTGAACACTGGCATCCCTGAAAGGGAGGGGGAGAAAGCAAGCAACTTGGAAAACATATTTCAGAATGTCATCCATGAAAAGTTCCCCAACTTTGAAGCTGTAGTCAAATTCAGAAAGTACAGAGAATCCCTGCAAGATTCTACAGAAGATCATCCTTAAGACACATAATCATCAGATTTTCCAAGGTCATAATGAATGAAAGAATGTTAAAGGAAGCTAGAGAGACAAGGCAGGTCACCTGCAAAGGGAATGCCATAAGGCTAACAGCAGACCTCTGGGCAGAAGCCATATAAGCCATAAGAAATTGGGGGCCTATATTCAACATTCTTAAAGAAAAAATTCTTCAACCAAGAATTTCATATCTAGACAAACAAAGCTTCCTCAGCAAAGGAGAAATAAGATCCTTTTCAGGTAAGCAAATGCTAAGGGAGCTTGTTTCTACCAGACCTCCCTTAGAAGAGATCTTGAAAGGAGCATTAAATGTGGAAAGGAAAGACCATTACTAGCCAATACAAAAATACACATAAACACATAGACTAGTGATACTATAAAGCAACACACAAACAAGCCAGCACACTATTCAGGTAACAACACAATGAAAGGATCAAATCCACATATATCAATACTAACCTTGAATGTAAATGGGCCAAATGCCCCATTTAAAAGGCAGAGTGTGACAAGCTAGATTTAAAAAGCAAGACCCAATGGTATACTGTCTTCAAGGGACCCATCTCACATGCGATGACACCCATAGGCTCAAAATAAAGGAATGGAGGAAAAGCTACCAAGCAAATGGAAATTAGAAAAAGGCAGGAGTTGAAATCATAATTTCAGGAAAAAAAAATTAAACCAACAAAGATCAAAATAGACAAAAAGAGCATTACATATGGTAAAGAGTTCAATTCAACAAGAAGACCTGATGATTATAAATATATATGCACCCAACACAGAAGGACCCACATTGATAAAGCAAGTTTTTAGACATCTATGAAGAGATTTAGACTCCCACACAATAGTGGGAGACTTCAACACTCCACTGAGAATATTAGACAGAACACCAAGGCAGAAAATTAACAAAGATATTCAAGACCTAAACTTAATATTAGACCAAATGGATCTGATAGGCCTCTACAGAACTCTCCATCCAAAAACAATGGAATATACATTACTCTCATCACCACATGGCACATACTCTAAAATCGACCACACAATTAGACACTAAACAATTCTCAGCAAATGCAAAAGAACCAAAATCATACCAAGCACACTCCCAGACCACAAGACAATAAAAATAAGAATCAATACTAAAAAATTGCTCCAAACCATGCAACTACATGGAAACTAAAGAACATGCTCCTGAATGACTTTAGGTAAATAATGAAATTTAAGGCGGAAATCAAGAAGTTCTTTAAAACTAATGAGAACAAAGATACAACATACAGAATCTCTGGGACACAGCTAAGGCAGTGTTAAAAGGGAAATCTATGGCACTAAACACCCACATTGAAAAGTTAGAAAGGTCTCAAATTAACAACCTAACATCACAACTAAAAAAACTAGAGAATCAAGAGCAAACCAACCTCAACACTAGCAGAAGAGAAATAACCAGTATCAGAGCTGCACTGAAGGAAATTGAGACACAAAAAAAATTCAGAAGATCAACAAATCAAGGAGTTTGCTTATGGAAAAATGGATAAGATAGATAGGTAGCTAGCTAGAAAAATAAAGGAGAAAAGAGAAGATCCAAGTGAACACAATCAGAAATGACAAAGGAGATGTTACCACTGAACCTACAGAAATACAAACAATCATCAAAGACTACAAACACCTCTGTGCACACAAACTAGAAGATCTAGAAGAGGTGGATATATTCCTGGACACATGCACCCTCCCAAGACTGAATCAGGAAGAAATTGATTCCCTGAACAGACCAATAATGAGTTCTATACTTAAATCAGTATAAATAGCCTACCAACCAAAAAAAGCCCAAGAACAGATGTATTCACAGCCAAATCCTACAAGATGTACAAAGAAGAGCTGGTATCATTACTACTGAAAGTATTTTTAAAAATTGAGGAAGAGGCATTCATCCTAAGCGCATTACATGAGGCCAGCATGATCCTGATAGCAAAACCTGGCAGACACACAACAAAAAAAAAAAGAACTTGAAGCCAATATCCTTGATTAACATTCATGCAAAAATCCTCAACAAAATACTTAAAAACTGAATCCAGTAACATGTAGTAAAGCTAATCCACCATGATCAAGCAGGCTTTTTCCTTGGCATGCAAGGTTAGTTCAACATATGCAAATCAATAAACATGGTTCATTACATAAACAGACCTAAAGGCAAAAAATCATATGATACAATAGACACAGAAAAGGCTTTTGATGAAGTTCAACATCCCTTCATGTTAAAAATTCTCAATAAACTATGTATTGAAAGAACACACCTCAAAATAATAAGAGCCATCTATGGCAAATCCACTGCCAACATCATACTAAATGGGCAAAAGCTGGAAGCATTCCCTTTGAAAACAGGCACAAGACAAGAATGCCCACTGTCATCACTCCTATTCAGCAGAGTATTGAAAGTCCTGGCCAGAGCAATCAGGCAAGAGAAAGAAATAGTGTATCCAAATAAGAAGAGAGGAAGTTAAACTTTCCCTATTTGCTAATGACATGATGCTATATCTAGAAAACCTTATAGTCTTAGCCGAAAAGCTTCTTCAGCTGATAAACAATTTCAGGACAGTTTCAAGATACAAAATCAATGTACAAAAATCACTAGCATTCCCATAAACCAACAACAGCCAACCTGAAAGATAAATCAGGAATGCAATTCCACTCACATTTGCCACAAAAAGAACAAAATACCTAGGAGTACAGCTATTTGGGTAACTGGATAATTGTATAGGTGAAAGATCTCTACATTGAGAATTACAAAACACTGGTCAAAGAAATCAGAGATCGAGACCATCCTGGCTAACACGGTGAAACCCTGTCTCTACTAAAAATACAATAAATTAGCCAGGTGTGGTGGCAGGTGCCTGTAGTTCCAGCTACTCGGGAGGCTGAGGCAGGAGAATGGCGTGAACCAGGGAGACGGAGCTTGCAATGAGCTGAGATAGCACCACTGCAGTCCGGCCTGGGCGAAAGAGCGAGACTCCGTCTCAAAAAAAAGAAAGAAATCAGAGATAACACAAGCAAATAGAAAACCACTCCATGCTCATGAATCAGAAGAATCAATGTCATTAAAATGGCCATACTGCCCAAGGCAATTTACAGATTCAATGCTCTTCCTATAAAACTACCAATGACATTATTCACAGAACTAGAAAAACTATATTAAAATGCATATGTAACCAAAAAAGAGCTCAAATAGCCAACACAATCCCAAGCAAAATGAACAAGATGACAACATCGGATTACCCAACTTCAAACTATACTACAGAGCTACAATAATCAAAACTATAGAAGAAGATTGAAACTGGACCCCTTCCTTACACCACATACAAAAGTCAACTTAAGATGAATAAAAGATTTAAATGTAAAACCCAAAACTATAAAAACCCTAGAAGACAACCTAGACAATACCATTCTGGACATAGGAGCAGGCAAAGATTTCATGACAAAGATACCAAAAGCAATCACAACAAAAGCAAAAGTTGACAAATGGAATCTAATTAAACTTAAGAGCTTCTACACACCAAAAGAAACTATCAACAGGGTAAACAGACAACCTACAGAATGGGAGAAAATATTTGCAAACTATGTATCTGACAAGGCCTAATATCCAGCATTTATAAGGAACTTAAACAAGTTTGCAAGAAGAAAACAAACAACCCCATTAAAAAGTGGGCAAAGGACATGAAAAAATCTTTTCTAAAGACATACATGTAGCCAACAAGCATATGAAAAAAAGCTAAATATCATTTATCATTAGAGAAATGCAAATCAAAACCAAAACGAGACACCATCTCACACTAGTCAAGAATGGCTATTGTTAAAAAGTCAAAAATAACATATGCTGGCAAGGTTGCAGAAAAAAGGGAACACTTATACACTGTTAGTAAAAGTGTAAATTAGTTCAACCATTGTGAAACGCAGCATGGTGATTCCTCAGAGAGCTGAAAATAGGATTACCATTTGTCTCAACAATCCTATTACTGAGTATATACCCAAATGAATATAAATCATTCTACCACAAAGACGTACACATGCATATGTCTGTTGCAGCACTATTAACGATAGCAAAGATGTGGAATCAACCTAAGTGCCCATCAATGGTAGGCTGGATAAGGAAAATGTGGTACATATACACCATGGAATACTATGCAGCCATAAAAAAGAACAAGATCATGTATTTTGCAGGAACGTGGATGGAGCTGGAGTCCATTATCCTTAGCAAATTAATGCAGGAACAGAAAACCAAATGCCACATGTTCTCACTTATAAGTGGGAGCTAAATGATGAAAACACATGGATACAAAGAGAACAGACACTGGGGCCTAATTAAGGGTGGAAGGTGGGACAAGGGAGAAGATCAGAAGAAATAACTATAATATACTCTGTTTTCTCTTCAGATCATATTAAATCTTTCACCTTTTACTAAAGAAAAAATAACTATTGGGTATTAGGCTTAGTACCTGGGTGACAAAATAATCTGTACAACAAACCCCCATAACATGAGTTTACCTCCATAGCAAATCCGCATATATACCCCTGAACCTAAAATAAAAGTTTAAAAATTAACTAATTGATTAAATAATTAAATGATTTAAAAAGCATTATTTTGAGAAGGGGTCCATAGATATCACAGACTGCCAAAGGAGTTTACTGCCTAAGAATGATCAAAACCCTGCACAAAAGCAACTGGGGTCTAAGATGATTCACACTCCCCAGGGAAGCACTAAAGTGGAGTGTTTCTGTGTCTTCTAAGAAGGCAGGTGCAAAGCAGGGGAGAGATGGTGTCTAATGGATTCATTTATCCATTCATTTATTCATTTAAAGATACTTATCAAGGGCCACTGTATGCCAGGCACTGTGCTACACCCTGGGGTCTCTGCCTCATGGGGATTATGTTCTAATAGAGAGTGACAGCTCTTAAAAAACAGATATGCAACAAATAATACAGGTTGGAGACATGAACAATGAGGAATTGTCACTTGGAAAAGAAACAAAAGTTTTAGGCAAGGGGAACAGGGAAAAGTTCAGAGACAGCTTTCCTGAGCTATGAAAGAGAGAGAAGCTCTTGGGAGCTTTAAGGTCCTAGAGCTGTGCTGTCCAACATGGAAGTCACCAGCCCCATATGCCTACTGAGCACTTGAGATGTGCTGTCTCAATTGAGAAACAGATTAACCCAATTGAGATATGCTGTGAAGATAAAATATACATTGGATTTTGAAGACTTAATACAAAAAATGAATGTAGATGATCTCATTAATAACATTAAAAAATGATTATATGTTGATAATAATTTGGATATATTAAGTTAAATTAAAGCATTATTAAAGTTAAAAACAAGAACTTTGGAAGTATACAAATACATGGGAATTAAACAATATGCTTCTGAATGAACAGTCATGAAGAAATTAAGAAGGAAATTGAAAAATTTCTTGAAACAAATAAAAATGGGAACAAACATACCCAAACCTACAGGATATTGCAAAAGCAGTACTAAGAGGAATGTTTATAGCTATCAGCAACAAAAATCAAGAAAAACTTCAAACAAACAGCCTAATGATGAATCTTTTTTATTATTATTATTTTTTTTTTTTTAGACAGGGTCGAACTCTGTCACCCAGGCCGGAGGGCAATGATACAATCTCGGCTCACTGCAACCTCCACCTCCCAGGCTCAGGTGATTACCCCACCTGAGACTCCCAAATAGCTGGGACCACAAGCATTCACTACCATACCTGGCTAATTTTTTTGTATTTTTTGTAGAGACAGTTTTGCCATGTTGCCCAGACTGGTCTTGAACTCCTAGACTCAAGCAATATGCCCACCTCAGCCTCCCAAAGTGCTGAGATTACAGATGTAAGCCACCACACCTGCCCTAATGATGCATCTTAAAGAACTAAAACAATAAGAGCAAATGAAACCCAAAATTAATAGAAGAAAAGAAATAATAAAGATCAGAACAGAAATAAATAAAATTGAAATAAAAAAAGTATAAAAGATCAACAAAATGAAAAGTTGGTTTCTTAAAAAAATAAAATTGGTAAGCTTTTAGCCAGGCTCACTAAGAAAAAAAGAGAGAAGACTCAAATAAACAACATCAGAGATGAAAAAGGAAACATTGCTACCTATATGACAGAAATTCAAAGGATAATTAATGGCTACATTGAGCAACTATATGACAATAAGTTCAATAAATTGGAAAATCTAGAAAAAATAAATTCCTGGACACACATAACCTACCAAGATTAAACTAAGAAGAAATTTAAAACTGAATATCAATAACAAGTAATAAGATCAAAGCCATAATAAAAAGTTTCCTAGCAAACAAAAGCCCAGGACCTAATGGCTTCCCTGCTGAATTCTACAAATGTTTAATGAAGAACTAATACCATTTCTACTCAAATTATTCCAAAAAATGGAGGAGGAGAGAATACTTCAAAACTCATTCTACAAGACCAAAATATTACCCTGATACCAAAGACAACAACACATCAAAAAAAGAAAACTACAGGCCAATATACCTGATGAACATTGATACAAAAACCTCAACAAAATAGTAGCAAACCTAATCCAACAACATATTAAAAATATCATTCATCACGACAAAGTGGGATTTATCTCAAGGATGCAAGGATGGTTCAACATATGCAAATCAATCGATATGATGCATCATATCAACAGAATGAACAGTAAAAAACAAATGATCATTTCAATTGATGCTGAAAAATTATTTAATAATATGCAACACCCCTTCATTATAAAAACCCTCAACACACTTGGTATTAAGGAACATACCTCAACAAAATAAAAGCCATACACAATAGACCCACAGCTAGTATTATACAGGGAAAAAAATGAAAACCTTTCCTCTAAGATGTGGATTGCAACAAGGATGCCCACTGCCACCACGTTATTCAATACAGTACTGGAAGTTCTAGATAGAGAAATCTGGCAAGAGAAAGAAATAAAGGGCATTCAAATTGAAAAGAAAGAAGTTAAATTATCCTTGTTTGCAGAAGATATTATCTCATATTTGGAAAAACCTAAAAACTGCACCAAAAAACTACTAGAACTAATCAACAAATTCAGTAAAGTTGCAGTATATGAACTCAACATACAAAAATCAATAGCATTTCCATGTGTCAATAGTAAACAATCTGAAAAATAAATCAAGAAAGTAATCTCATTTACAATAGCTACAAATAAAATTAAATACCTAGGAATTAACCAAAGAAGTGAAAGATCTGTACAGTGAAAACTATAAAGCATTGATGAAAGAAATTGAAGAGGAAATAAAAAGTAGAAAGATATTCTATGTTCATGGTTTGGAGGAATCAATATTGTTAAAATGTCCACACCCAAAGCAGTCCACAACTTGATTCAATCTCTATCAAAATATCAAATGACCTTCACAGAAACAGAAAATACAATCCCAAAATTTATATGAACCACAAAAACTCAGAGTAGCCAAAGCTATCAACTAGACCCCTATCTCTTGCCATATGCAAGAGTCAAATCAAAATGTATTAAAAACTTAGATCTAAGACCGCAAACTATAAAACTACTAAAAGAGAACACTGTGGCAACTTTCTAGGACGTTGGTCTGGGCAAAGATTTCTTGAGTAATATCCCACTAGCATAGGTAACCAAAGCAAAAATGGACAAATGGGATCACAGCAAGTTAAAACTTCTGCACAACAAAGAAAACAATCAACAAAGTCAAGAGACAACCCACAGAATAGGAGAAAATATTTGCAAATTATTTATATCACAAGGGATTAATAACAAGAATATATAAGGAGGTCAAACAACTCTATAGGAAAAACTCTAATAATTTGATTTAAAAATGGGCAAAAGATGTGAATAGATATTTCTCAAAAGAAGACATACAAATGGCAACAAATATATTAAAAGGTGATCAACATCACAGATCACCGGAAATGCAAATCAAAACTACAATGAGATATCATCTCATCCCAGTTAAAATGGCTTTTATCCAAAAGACAGACAGACAGAAATGAATGCTGGTGAGGGTGTGGAGAAAAGGGAATCCTCATATACTGTTGGTGGGAGCATAAATTAGTACAGCCACTATGGAAAACAATTTGGAGAATCTTCAAAGAACTAAAAATAGAACTGCCATATGATTCAGCAATCCCACTGCCAGGTGTGTACCCAAAAGAAAGGAAACCAGTATATCAACCAGACATCTGCACTCCCATTTTATTGCAGCACTATTCATAATAGCTAAAATTTGGAAGCATCCTAAGTGTCTATCTACAGATGAATAGATAAAGAAAATGTGATACATATATACAATGGAATACTATTCAGCCATAAAAAAGAAAGAAATCCTGTCATTTGCAACAACATGGATAAAACTGGAGGACATTTTGTTAAGTGACTAAGCAAGGCACTAAAAGACCAACTTTGCATGTTCTCATTTATTTGTGGGAACCAAAAATTAAAACAACTGAACTCATGGACACAAGGAGTAGAATCATGGTTACCAGAGGCTGCAAAAGATAGTGGGGAGGAAGAGTATTATGGAGATGTTTAATGGGTACAGAAATATAGTTAGATAGAATGAATAAGGTCTAGTATTTGACAGCACAACAGGGTGATTACAATAAACAATAGTTTATTGTACATTTTTAAATAAATTGTATAATTGGCATATTTGTAGCACAAAGAAATGATAAATGCTTCAGGTGATGGATACCCCATTTACCCTAATGTAATTATTATGCATTACACACTTGTATCAAAATATCTCATGTAACCATAAAAATTAAAAATTTAACAACTAAATAAAAAACAGATTTATCAGCCAAGTTTAAAACACAGCAATTTTCATTTCCTACAAAAAGGAATTCAAAGCAAAAAAGGATTAAATGGGAAAAGAGTAGTTTTATATTAACACAAGGTACACAATCGAAATATACCAAAAAACATAACATTCAAAGCTAGCTTTGTGAGGAATACAGTGGGCAGAATAAAGATATAATAGCAAACATTTACTAGTAAGGTTCTCACTATATATCAGACTATGCCAAGAGTGCCACGTAGATTATCTTATTTAATACTCATAAAAATTGAATAAACCCATGTCCTAGTATCAGCTAGGGTTTTTTCAGTTAGGAAAACTGAGGCTAGGACAACCACAGAGGCAGGCATTTGCAGAGACGGGATGTGGGCCTAGTATGGTCTGAATGTTTATGTTTCCCAAAAATTCATATGTTCAAATCTTCACCCTTAAAATGATGGGGTTAGGACATGGAGCCCTTGGAAAGTAATTAGGCTGTGAGGGCAGAGCCCTTAGGAATGGGATTGGCACCTTTATAAGGGAGGCCAGAGAGAAAGCCCTACCCCCTTCTACCATGTGAAACCACAGTGAGAAAGCACAGCTTATTAAGCATGAAGTGAGCCCTCACCAGAAATGAGATAAATGGCAACACAATAATAGCAGGTGACTTTAATACTCCACTGACAGCACTAGACAGGTCATCAAGAGAGAAAGTCAATAAAGAAGCAATGGACTTAAACTATACCCCACAACAAATGAACTTAACAGATATTACAGAACATTCTACCCAACAACTGAAGAATATACACTCTGTTCATTGAAACATGGGACATATTCCAAGATAGACCATATGATAGGCCACAAAACAAGGCTCAGTAAATTTAAGAAAATCAAAAGTACATTAAGTACTCTCTCAAACCACAGTGGAATAAAACTGAAAATCAACTCCAAAAGGAACACTCAAAATCATGCAAATACATGGAAATTAAATAACCTGCTCTTGAACAATAAAATCAAGATGGAAATTTAAAAATTCCTTGAGCTGAACAATAATAGTGACACAACCTAGCAAAACCTCTGGGATACAGCAAAAGTGGTGCTAAGCAGAAAGTTCATAGCATTAAATGCCTACATCAAAAAGGCTGAAAAAGCACAAATAAATCTGAGGTCACACTTCACAGAACTGGAGAAGCAATAACAATCCAAAGCCAAACCCAGCAGAAGAAAAGAAATAACAAAGATCAGAACAGAACTAAATGAAATCGAAGCAAAAAAAAAAAAAACAGACAAATGAAACAAAAAGCTGGTTCTTTGAAAAGATAAATAAAATTAACAGACTATTAGTGAGATTAACCAAGGAAAGAGGAGAAGAGATCCAAATAAGCACATTTAGAAACAAAAAGGGAAATATTACTACTGATACCACAGAAATACAAAAGATTATCCAAGGATACTGTGAACACCTTTATGCACATAAACTAAAAACCAAGAGGAGATGGATAAATTCCTGGAAATAAACGACCCTCCTAGATTAAACCAGGAAGATATAGAAACTCTAAACAGACCAGTAACAAGCAGTGAGATTGAAATGATAATTTTAAAAATTACCAACAAAAAAAGTCCAGGACCAGATGGATTCACTGCTGAATTCTGTCAGACATTCAAAGAAGAATCAGTACCAATTCTATTGACACTATTCCACATGCTAGAGAAAGAGGGAATCCTCCCTAAATCATTCTATGAAGCCAATTTCAGCCTAATATGAAAATCAGGGAAGGACATAACAAAAAAAGAAAACTACAGACAATATCCCTGATGAACATAGATGCAGAAATCCTCAATAAAATACTAGCTAACTGAATCCAACAGCATACCAAAAGATAATCCACCGTGATCAAGTGGGTTTTACACCAGGAATGCAGGGATGGTTTAACATCTGCAAGTCAATAAATGTGATACACCACATAAACAGAATTTAAAACAAAAATCACATGATTATTTCAATAGATGCAGAAAAAGCATTTAACAAAATCCAGCATCCCTTTATGATTAAAGCCCTCAACAAAATCAGCATACAACAGACATACCTTAAGGTAATGCAAGCCATCCATGATAAGCCCACAGCCAACATTATACTGAATGGGAAAAAGTTAAAAGCATTTCCCCTGAAAACTGAAGCATGACAAGGATGCCCACTTTCACCACTTCTATTCAACATAGTACTGGAAGTCCTAGCCAGAGCAATCAGGCAAGAGAAAGAAATAAAAGGCATCCAAATCAGTAAAGAGGAAGTTCAACTGTCACTGTTTGCTGATGATATGATCATATACTTAGAAAACCCTAAAGATACATCCAAAAAACTACTAGAACTGGTAAATTAATTTAGCAAGGTTTCAGGATACAAAATTAATGTACATAAATCAGTAGTTCCACTATACACCCACAGCAACGAAGCTGAGAATCAAATTAAGAACTCAACCTCTCTTATAATAGCTGCAAAAAAAAGAAATACTTAGGAATATACCTAACTAAGGAGGTGAAAGAATTCTTGATATGGTTGGCTGTGTCCCCACCCAAATTTCATCTTGAATTGTAACTCTCATAATTCCCACCTGTTGTAGGAGGGACCCAGTGGAGGTAATTGAAACATGGGGGAAGGTTTTTCCTGGGCTATTGTCATGATAAGTGAATAAGTCTCATGAGATCTGATGGTTTTAAAAAGAGAAAATCCCCTTTCAAAACCTCTTTTTACCTGCTGCCATCCAAGTAAGATGTGACTTGCTCCTCCTTGCCTTCCACCATGATTTTGAGGCCTCCCCAGCCATCTGGAACTGTAAGTCCATTAAACCTCTTTCTTTTTTTTTTTTTTTTTTTTTTTTGAGATGGAGTCTCACTCTTTCGCCCAGGCCGGACTGCAGTGGTGCTATCTCGGCTCACTGCAAGCTCTGCCTCCCAGGTTCATGCCATTCTCCTGCCTCAGCCTCCCAAGTAGCTGGGACTACAGGTGCCCACCACCACGCCTGGCTAATTTTTTGTATTTTTAGTAGAGACGGGGTTTCACTGTGTTAGCCAAGATGGTCTCGATCTCCTGACCTCGTGATCCGCCTGCCTCGGCTTCCCAAAGTGCAGGGATTACAGGCGTGAGCCACCGTGCCCGGCCCCATTAAACCTCTTTCTTTTGTAAATTTCCCAGTCTCAGGTATGTCTTTATCAGCCGCGTGAAAACAGACTAATACAGTAAATGGGTACCAATATTGGGGTGCTGCCAAAAAGATACCCAAAAATGTCGAAGCGACTTTGGAACTGGGTAATAGGCAGAGGTTGGAACAGTTTGGAGGATTCTGAAGAAGACAGAAAAGTGTGGGAAAGTTTGGAACTCCCTAGAGACTTGTTGAATGGCTTTGACCAAAATGCTGATAATGATATGGACAATGAAATCCAGGCTGAGGTGGTCTCAGATGAAGATAAGAAACTTGTTAGGAACCAAAGCAAAGGTGACTCTTGTCATGTTTTAGCAAAGAGACTGGCAGTATTTTATCCCTGCCGTACGGATTTGTGAAACTTTGAACTTCAGAGAGATAATTTAGGGTATCTGGTAGAAGAAATTTCTAAGCAGCAAAGCATTCAAGAGGTTACTTGGGTACTATTAAAGGCATACAGTTTTAAAAGGGAAACAAAGCATACAAGTTTGGAAAATTTGCTGCCTGGAAATGTGATAGAAAAGAAAATCCCATTTTCTGAGGAGAAATTCAAGGCAGCTGAAGGAATTTGCATAAGTAACAAGAAGCCAAATGTTAATCACCCATACAATGGGAAAATGTCTCCAGGGCATGTCAGAGACCTTTGCAGCAACCCCTCCCATCACAGGCCCAGAGGTTTAGGAGGAAAAAAATGGTTTTGTGTGCTGGGTCCAGGGTCCCTCTGCTGTGTGCATCCTAGGGACTTGGTGCCCTGAGTCCCAGCTGTTCCAGCCATGTCTGAAAGGGACCAAGGTACAGCTTGGGCTGTTGCTTCAGAGGGTGGAAGCCCCATTCCTTGGCCGCTTCCATGTGGTGTTGAGCCTGCATGTGCACTGAAGTCAAAAATCAAGGTTTGGGAACCTCTGCCTAGATTTCAGAGGATGTATGGGAATGCCTGGATGCCCAGGCAGAAGTTTGATGCAGGGGCAGGGCCCTTATGGAGAACCTTTGCTAAGGCAGCGCAGAAGGGAAATGTGGGGTCAGAGTCCCCAGAGTCTCTACTGGGGCACAGCCTAGTGGAGCTGTGAGAAGAGGGTCACCGTCCTTCAGACCCCAGAATAGTAGATCCACCGACAGCTTGCGCTGTGTTCCTGGAAAAGCTGCAAACACTCAATGCCAGCCTGTGAAAGCAGCCAGGAGGGGGACTATATCCTGCAAAGCCACAGGAATGGAACTGCCCAAGGCTGTGGGAGCCCACTACTTGCATCAGCGTGACCTGGATGTGAGACATGGAATCAAAGGAGATCATTTTAGAGCTTTAAGATTTGACTGCCCCACTGGATTTGGGACAGGCATGGAGCATGTGCCCCTTTGTTTTGGCCAATTTCTCCCATTTGGAATGGTTGTATTTACTCAATGCCTGTACCCCCATTGTATCTAGGAAGTAACTGACTTCCTTTTGATTTTATAGACTCATAGGTGGAAGGGATTTGCCTTGTCTCAGATGAGACTTTGGACTATGGACTTTTGAGTTAATGCTGAAATGACTTTGGGGGGTTTAAGACTTTGGGGGTCTGTTGGGAAGGCATGATTGGTTTTGAAATGTGGGGACATGAGATTTTGGAGGGATGGAATGATATGGTTTGGCTGTGTCCCTGAGCAAATCTCATCTTGAATTGTAACTCCCACAATTTCCATGTGTTGTGGGAGGGACCCAGTAGAGGTAATTGAATTATGGGTGTTGGTTTTTCCTACACTATTCTCATGATAGTGAATAAATCTCATGAGATCTGATGGTTTTAAAAAGGGGAGTTTCCCTGCACAAGCTCTCTTTTTTGCCCGCTGTTATCCATGTAAGATGTGGCTTGCTCTTCCTTGCCTTCCACCATGATTGTGAGGCCTCCCCAGCCATGTGGAACTGTAAGTCCATTAAACCTCTTGCTTTTGTAAATTGCCCAGTCTTGGGTGTCTTTATCATCAGCATGAAAGCAGAATAATAAACTTCTGCAAGGAAAACTACAAAACACTCCTGAAAGAAATCATAGATGATGCAAACAAATGGAAACACATCCCTTGCTCAGGGATGGGTTGAATCAATATTGTAAAAATGACCATACTGCTAAAAGCAATCTACAAATCCAATGCAATTCCCATCAAAATACCACTATCATTCTTCACAGAACTGGAAAAAACAATTCTAAATTTCATATGAATCCAAAAAGAGCCTACACAGACAAAGCAAGACTAAGCCAAAAGAACTAATCTGGGGGCATCACGTTATGTGACTTCAAACTATGTTGTAAGGCCATAGTCACCAAAACAGCATGGTACTGGTATAAAAATAGGCACATAGACCAACAGAACAGAATAGAGAACTCAGAAATAAACCCAAATACTTACAGCCAACTGATCTTCAACAAAGCAAACAAAAACATAAACTGAAAAAAGGACACCCTATTCAACAAATGGTGCTGGTACAATTGGCAATCCACGTGTAAAAGAATGAAACTGAACCCTCATCTTCTGACCTTATACAAAAATCAACTCAAGATAAATGAAAGACTTAAATCTAAGACCTGAAACCATAAAAATTCTAGAAGATAACATTGGAGAAACCCTTCTGGACATTGGCTTAGGGAAGGATTTCATAACCAAGAACCCAAAAGCAAATGCAACAAAAAAAGATAAATAGATGGAACTTAATTAAACTAAAAAGTTTCTGCACAGCAAAAGACAAAATCTGCAGAGTAAACAGACAACCCACAGAGTGGGAAAAAAATCTTCACAGTCTATATATCTGACAAAGGACTAACATCCAGAATCTACAAGGAACTCAAACAAATCAGCGAGAGAAAAACAAACAATCCCATCAAAAAGTGGGCTAAGGACATGAATAGACAATTCTCAAAAGATATACAAATGGCCAACAAGCATATGGAAAAATGCTCAACATCACTAATGATCAAGGAAATGCAAATCAAAACCACAATGTGATACCACCTTACTCCTGCAAGAATGGCCATAATCAAAAAATAATAGACGTTGGCATAGATGTGGTTAAAAAGGGAACACTTTTACACTGCTGGTGGGAATGTAAACTAGTACAACCACTATGGAAAACAGCATGGAGATCCCTTAAAGAACTGAACGTAGATCTACCATTTGATCCAGCAATTCCACTACTGAGTATCTACCCAGAGGAAAAGAAGTCATATTTAAAAAGATACTTGCACACGCATGTTTATAGCAGCACAATTTGCAATTGCAAAAATATGGAACCAGCCCAAATGCCCATCAATCAATGAGTGGATAAAGAAAATGTGGTATATATACCATGGGCTACTGAGCCACAAAAAGGAATGAAATAATTGCATTCACAGCAACCTGGATGGAATTGAAGACTATTGTTCTTAGTGAAATAACTCAGGAATGGAAAACCAAACATCTCATGTTTTCACTCATAAGTGGGAGCTAAGCTATGAGGGCACAAAGGCATAAGAATTATACAATGGACTTTGGGGACTTGGGTGAAAGCGTGGGAGGGGGTTGAGGGATAAAAGGCTACACACTGGGTACAGTGTACACCGTTTGGATGACGGGTGCACCAAAGTCTCAGAAATCACCACTAGAGAACTTATTCATGTAACCAAACACCACCAATTCCCCAATAACCTATTGAAATAAAAAATAAATTTTTTTAAAAAAAGGTTACAAACTTTCAGTTATTAGATAAACCAGTTTTGGGGATCTAATGCACACCATGAGTGGTGATGGATGTGTTAATTAATTTTATTGTAATTATTACATAATTTAGATGTAAATCAAGTCATCACGTTATACACCTTGAAAAAAAAAAAGTAAAAATTGTAACTCACTTTCCCTGACTGTAATAAATTACTAACAATAATATAGTAGCAGTAATTAGTAGTAAAAAGTCCACACATTTAGTAATTTTAAAACATTCTACCAAACTATTTGATCAAAGTGTACATCAAAATTCCAATTTTAAAACTATGTAAAAATATTATCAATAATAGATAATTGATACAGCAACTGTCATATCTAACTTTTTAAATAATCCTCTTATAGTAACTATAAAAATCTGCTTAAAGCCAATAAGCATAAAACTAAGAACATATATGCCAATCTAACATGTAGACATCTGAAAACTTTATTATAAGACAAGCAAAAGGAGACTGGAATAAATGAAGTCTCCTGTTTCTGAATAGAAAGGACATTACCAAGGCAGTTTGGAGGATCTGGGGCACAGAAGCCACTAACATATATTACCATTAATAGGAGTGATAGTAGTAATAATGCATTATAAGCAATAATATTCATATTTTTGAATTTTTAAGTAATTCTATTACTTCCCTATAATAATCTGACTTTTCCAAATTTTCTATAATTACCATGCATCCCTTCTATAATTGAGGTGAATTTTCCTTTAAAAATGAACTGTTTGTCAATTGTATTTTATCATTCTGTTTGCCAGATCTGTTATTCTGGAATTCAGTTTGATTTGCTCTTTATAAATTGCCTATGGCTGCTTTAACTTACCCAGAAATGGCTTTTACATTTGGGTCTATGATGAAGCCATGGGGTGGTGGATTTTACAGATTCTCTAATTTGAGTCAGGAGGGAAACTCCCCTATTGAGCAAAACCTGAAGATCCTCCTGTATTAATAATTGTTGCATAATAAATTACTCCCAAAAGTTATTGGTATAAATTGATCATTTGTTTGCTCACATTCTTACGGTCAGCAATGTGGGCAGGACTTAGTTGGAATGGCTCACCTCTGCTCCACCTGGGCTTCCTCATGTTTGTGACCAGGTGGCTGGTTGACCAGGGCTGGTTTGATCTGGAAAGCCTCATTTCTGTGTGCGGCAGTTGGCAAGTCTTTTCGCTTGGCACCTCAGTTCTCCTCCACTGAGCCAGCCTGTTATCTGGGCTTCCTCAATGGTAGATTATTTTCAAGACAATGAAAAAAGAATCTGCAAGTCCTGTTGAAACTTCACCTCAAATGTCACACAATGTCACTCTGCCACATTCTATTGGTCAAAGTAAGTCACAAGCCATCCCGGATTCATGGTGTGGAGGGCATAGACTCCACCTTTCCAGGCAGAGTAGCAAAGTCCCTTCACAAAGCAGCAGGAAGAATTGCTACAGCCATCTTTGCAAGTAATCTTCCTCACTGTATCATAATTTATTCATCCTTACATTTTTTTAAGAAAGTTTTTAAGTGCCTCTTAAGTGCTAAATTCTGTTCTAGTCACTGGAGCACAGCAGTGAACAAGACAGACATAGTGCTTGCCCTTGTGGGAGACACAGCTGTCGAGGAAGACTTGCACTGAACCATGATAACACGTGTTGTGAGTGCTACAGAAAAGTACCAGGCTGGACTGGAGACTAGTGTAGCTGACTAACCCAGAACGGGAGGTAGCAGGATGCAGGTGGGGAAGTCAGGAAGACAGTATTATTCCCCATGTGTATCAGAGTTTTCTACTTCCTGTATCTACTTGGGTTCTAATACCTCATTTTACTGTATCTGTGCTGCAGATGTATTTATTTCTCCTCTACCATAGAATTGTATGGTTACAAAATGAAAACGGAAGAAAAATTGGGGGGAAATATTCCTTTCAAAGAAAGTCTAGAACAGTCTTGGGGCCAGGGGGAAAGAAGAACTAACTTTTGTGAAATCATAATTTTTTTATCATGTCAAAATCTTTTCCTAATTGAGGAATTTATAATTAATTAAGAAAGCTGGACTTTTCAAGTGCACGACTCTCCCTTTGATCTACAGTGCTCCAGGCTGTAGTTCCCAGATGCCTGAAGATGGTTTTAACTGAAGTGTTTCCTTAGCAAAGGCATTTTCTGTGGCACAAAATGAAAACACAGTTATGGTGCATTTTGTCAGAAGATCCAAATCGATAAGCTGAGATGCCAGGGTTTGAAAACCTGATGTGCTGGAGGTGGTTGACTTACTAATCTATAGATAGCACACTAAGTAGAGGATTTAGGATCTTTGATGACTGTTCAAAGAGTGTTTGAGATAAAGAATACGGTGGGAGAAGAGGTAGAACAGAAGAGCACGTCAGAGACTTGTCACACAGCTGCAGGAAAGCTCTCCACCAAAGCGTTACTCTCTTCCCAGCAGGTTTGTTGGAAATGTGCTTCTTGTGTTAAGTTCAAAGAGTCTCGTGATAGGTCTGTGAGGTAGATGCTCCTGGGGGTGTGGTGTGTGCTGTCAAAGAAAATAGCAAATAGCAGCAGGCTCTCTCAACAAGAAGTATGGTTAGAGTTCAAAGTGCTATGGGTGTTGTTAAGGAGTATTTAATCAATGAGTCAACAAATATTTTAGAATCTCTATTATGTATTAGACACTATGTTAGCTTTCAGGGATATAATGTTGAATAAGACAGACATCATCGCTGCCCTTATAGGGATTATAGTCTGCTGAGGAAACGGGTAGTAACCAGGCAGTTCCAACACCATGTGAAAAGAACAGGGATAGGGAAATACAGAAAACTATGGAAACAGCAGTGGCGCACCTACCTCAAACTTCAAGACTTCCTGACAGAAGTAGCATCTGAGCTGAGCACTGAAGGACCCACAGTGGCTAACCCAGAGAAGAAAAGGACATCTGGTTAACAATGGCAAAATCCACTAAAATGAAAGAGAATTTTTAAAATAAAAGACAGATAAGCCTACAAGAGCAAAGAGGATGGGAAAGAAGATGCCAACAAAAAATCTGGGAATTTGGAAAGCAGATTGACAAATGGAAAATGGCTTAGCTGAGTTGAGGAAACTGATTCTCAACCAGTAGAGAGAAGAACCACAAAGCAACATCATTTGTGCTGCTGAACCCCTCAGTGCTGTAGAACTCATGACACCTGGTACCTAAGAAAACAGTGGTGAAGATGGCTTTAAAACCAGTGCATTGATTGAAACTCTAAGAGGGAATTCAATCTCCTCCTCCACACGGCCCAGCCTGGCACCTGCCCATCACCTACCATGGCAAGGCACTTCAGGTTTTTCTTTTGGAGAGGGTAGAACAGGTCCCTGGACTAAAGACACAAGGTACAACCCAAGACAAAAAGGAACCCTAATGGAAATAAGTCTCACACTGAGTGTTAAGAGCCTCAACTCTCTTGAACCATTTAGTATCCTGGACACAGACTTACATTCTATTCTCTATGACTGGAAAGTTCTTTTCTAAGGAACCTGAATAACTGAAGAGAAAATACAAGAATGGTCTGTAACTGGGGAGTTACATAACCACATGCCATAAAAAGGTTGCCATACAGTGAAGACCACAGTTAACAAGCATGTCCCACCGTGCCCATGTATATAAAGCTTCCAAATATGTTTTTTGTGCCCCACTCCTAAATGCAAACCGTCAAGAATTATTGGACATTGTAGGAAATTTTCTAAAATGGAAGGCAGATATCTATTCTAAAGCAAACAAATAATTCAAAAAAGCAAACTAGGGCAGCCCAAGGTGGCTCGCACCTGTAATCCCAGCCCTTTGGGAGGACGGGACAGGAGGATTCCTTGAGCCCAGGAGTTCAAGACCATCCTGAGCAACATGGCAAAACCCCATCCTACAAAAAATTAAAAAACTAGCCAGGCATGGTGGCACACACCTGTAGTCCTAGCTAATCGAGAGGCTGAGGTGGGAGGATTGCTTGAGCCCAGGAGGTCGAGTCTGCAGTGAGCCAAGATCGTGCCACTGCACTCTAGCCTGGGCAAAAGACTGAGACCCTGTCTCGAGGAAAAAGAAAAAGCAAACTAGAAGAAACGGAGGCTGCAAACAGAGAAGAAGTTAACTTCACCAAAATTTTTTTGAGGTGTTCAACAAAATAAGAGAAGAAACAACAGAGACTTCCATTTTTTCATTTGCCCAAGCTACAAATCTTGAATTCATCCTTGACTCCTTTCTTTCTGACACACGCCCATAGTCAATCTGTCCTACTACACGGCAACCAGTCATCCTTTTAAAACGCAAATTGATTATCTCACTCCCTCATCCAAAAGCCACATCAAATTCTGTTTTCATTCAGAGTAAAAGCTAAAGTGGCTTCAGGGGCTTAAGGTGGCTCACCCCCACCACATCACATCCCACTTTTAGAATGTCATGTCTTTGACTCTCCCTCTCACTCACTCTATTGCAGTCATGCTAATTTCCTGGCTTCTCCAACACATGAGGCACACTGCCTTTGGGACTTGACTTTAGCTGTTCCCTTTACCAAGACACTATTCCCCTTCCTGGAACACTGTTCCCACAGACAACCTTTGGATAACTCCTTCATTATCTTTGCCTTTGGTCAAGTGTTACTTTCTCAATGATGCTTACCTTCAGTGTACCCCCACCCTCACCCACCACACACACACACACACACACACACACACACACACACTTCTAATCCCCCTTTCTCTACTATACTCTTCCTTTCATCCACAATATATATTACATTCTAACAGGTATTTTGGCTCCTGGTCGATTACTCTCCACTAGAATGAGGCTAAAAACTGTATTTTGTTGAATGATGTATTCCAAGCACCTGAACATAGCCTAATAAATAGTAGGCTATATTAGTTTCCTAGGGCTGCTGTAATAAAGTACCAAAAATAAGGTGGCCAAACATTATATTTCTTGTCTCATAGATCTAAAGGCTGGAAGTTTGCAATCAAGGTGTTGGAAGGATTTGTTCTGAGGAGGTTGTGCAGGAGAATCTTTTTCATCTCTCTCCTATCTTCTGGGGGTTTTCTGGCAATCTTTGGTGCTCCTTGGCTTGTAGAGGCATCATTCCAACCTCCATCTTCATCTTACCAGTGTTCTCCTCTGTGTCTTCACCTCATCTTCCCTCTGTGTCTGTCTGTCTGTCTAAATTTCTCCTTTTTATTAAGTACGCCAGTCATATTGGATTAGAATTAATCCTAACAATCTTTTTTTAACCTGATTCGCTCTATAAAGACACACATAAGATCACATCTGAAATATGGGGGTTAGGACTTCAACATATGAATTTGTGGAAGGGGACACAATCCAACCCACAACATAGACTCTAAATAAATATTTGTTGTCGGGCACAGTGGCACATGCCTGTAGTCCAGTCTGGTCAACATAGCAAAACCCCATCTCTAATAAAAATTAAATAAATAAGTGTTGAATACTGAATGAATTTTGTGTCCATAAAACATGAAATATTGCCAGGTGCAGTGGCTCATGCCTATAATCCCAGCACTTTGGGAGGCTGAGACTGGCGGATCACTTGAGGTCAGGAGCTCGAGACCAGCCTGGTCAATGTGGTGAAACCCCATCTCTACTAAAAATACAAAAGTAGCCAGGTGTGATGGCAGATGCCTGTAATCCCAGCTACTCGGGAGGCTGAGGCAGGAGCATCGCACGAACCTGGGAAGCGGAGTTTACAGTGAGCCGAGATCTAGCCACTGCACTCCAGCCTGGGTGACAGAGCAAGACTCCGTCTCCAAAAAAAGAAAAACGTGAAATATTTACAGAGCAACAATTAACATTCTTATAATAGAAATTTAAAATGATAGTAGAAATCTCTTTTTTAAAACTATGGAAATGTAAGAAACTACACCTAAGGATGTCTTTAGAAAGCATAACAAACACATGAAGGGTTAGAAAATAGGAGATAAATCGATTTTTTACAATTAGAAAATCAATTCAAAAGTCCAACATCCGACTAATAAGCATTTCAGAAAGAGAAAAAGAAGAGAGGGAATTATCCAGTAAATAACTCAAAAAATATTCTTAAAAACTGAAGGACATAATTTCCATGGGACTTTGAGAGAAAAAAAATCCTAAGAGTTTGAATGCACTGAAGAGATACTCACACTTCTGAAGGAGAGTTTGGGAATAAGACGGTGAACAAAGAAAGAGAATTAAACAAGAAAACAAACAAGATAATTATTAAGCAAATCAGAGGATTTATGCAAAGAAGATAAAGTTTTCCCAGCCTACCACATGACTCAACTGTGAATAACTCCAAATTTATAATATTACTATATTAGAAAGATATGTGTTCATGTGTATATATTTACATATGTAGGTAAGAAGGGGAGAAGGAAACTCAAATTACCTCTTCCTTAGTGGGAAGTCAATAGATGATGTCTAACATTGAAAAAAGAACAAGTAGTAAAACCGTAATCATGTCATTTAGAGATACAGCTGCCAATACCAAAAGAAATAGCCAAAAGAGTTTAAAACAGTTAGCTCTGGGGGCAGGGAAGGGATGAAGTGGGTAGAAGATCACTGATTTTTATAAAACTTATTAAAGAACTATTTGACTCTCCAAATTTATGTCATAATGTGACAAAATAAAAAGTAAATTTCAAACAGAGAAAGGGAAGAATAAGAAAAGAGAGGAAGGATTTTCCACACAGAGACAGAAACAAAGGCAGGGGTAATTAGAAAGACACATTCAAGAATATGAAATGAGTCCACTCTGAAGCACAGAGCACTTGGGGACATCAGTGGTGAGAGAGGAGATGATTGAATCAGGTGGAAAACAAACATGCAGGGCTTTGTGAGCCAGGAGAAAAGAATCTGGGCTTAAGAGCAGTGGGGTAATTTAAGGAGATTGGGAATGTAATTAGATTTGCCTCTGATGAACAATCACTAAAACAGTGAGCATGAGTATGATCTGGGTACAAATAGGCTATGGTAAACCCAAGGACAGTTCTCACTGAGGCTCCGTGACTCTGCGGGCCAGACTTTACTCAAGAACTGTTGCCTCTGAAGTCCCCTCCTGATCAATCAGTGTCCCTGGACGACACCACAGGGCCAGGCTCCTGATAACCACAGTATAGCTGGCTTGGCCTTCAGGCTAAAAAGTATGGGGCCAAAGGAAAACCAAAAGACCCAGCATCCCAGGATGAGGCTGGAGTCATGAATCAAAACAGACTCTCCAAACCAAGCCACAAGTCTAAAGAGGCCAGAGGCAGAGAGCCACAAAGCAAGTGTAAATCAAAGGGAGTGTCACAGGAGTGGGGACAAGCAGGGTTGGCAGAGTGCTAAGAGGCAGTCCGAAGGGATACCCTGAATTGTTCAAATGCAGGAAAGGGTCCTTTCCTAAGGTATAGTTACCCACTGCCATGTAACAAATCACCCTAAAGGTTACTGGCTTAAAACAAGGAGTGTGTGTGCTCGTGATTCTGTGAAACAGCAATTTGGCCTGGGTTCAGCTGGGCAGCTCTTCTGTTGGTTTTGCCTGGGCCATTCCTGCAGCTAAAGATATCAGACCAAGATGGTGCCAGGTGGTCTAAACTGGGCTCCTCTACATGGCTGGAAGCTGGTGCTGGCTGTTGGCTAATGGATCTGCGAGACTTAGCTGGATTGACTATCTCTGCTTTATATGACCTCTCATCGTCTTGTAGGTTACATCACATTTCACCATATGGCAATTACAGGGAAGCATTCTAAGGGAGTGAGGACTGGAGCTTTAAGGCCTATGTTTGGAATTCTCATGATACCACTTTCTACTGATCAGAGTCCCAAGGCCAGCCCAGACTCAGGGGTGGGGAGTGAGACTGCATCTCCCAATGAGAGCAGCATCAAGTCACATCAACAAAGCACATACACATAGGGAGAGGAGAAACTGTTGCGGTCAGCTTTGCAAACAGTGCCTCAGGTTACCAGGTCAGCCCAGAGGTCTCCGGGAGCCTTCAGAGGTGAAAATGGCCAAATATCACACCTGCTCACTTCTCATTGAACTTAACAGCAACAGGACACCTTCACTTTCCCAAAGGAGGTAGAGAAGTCCAAGCCCATAACATCATGGCTTATTGAGTGCCATCAGTTACATAGAAAATAGTTTCATCCCCGGGTGCTTTTAAGTTATAATTTAATTGTAAATTATAAGTAAAAATGTTTGGGGGGTATTGTTACAGCCAGTGAATTTCTGTTCTTAAAAATGTATTTCAACCCCATCTCTACTAAAAATACAAAAAAAAAATTAGCCAGGTGTGGTGGCATACACCTGTAGTCCCAGCTACTCTGGAGACTGAGGCAGGAGAATGGCGTGAATCCAGGAGGCGGAGTTTCCAGTGAGCCAAGATCGTGCCACTGCACTCCAGCCTGGGTGCTGGTGCAAGACTCTGTCTCAAAAACAAAAAAAGTATTTCATAATTATTTCAAAGTAGCTTCAATTAAATATCTATTTAATATCCTTACCTCAAAAAATTCCACCTATGAACTCTAAGATAGGCACCACCTAACAAACATATACAGCTACACCAGTCATTCTGACAGAAATAGAGAATAGGGTTCATCTTCCCTGTCAGGTAACCCTACTCTGAGAGTATTTAGAGCCAGAGAGAGCTCCCTCCAGGCACCTTGGTCCCAGGCAGGAGCCAAAGTTCACATGGCCTCTGGCCACCCAGATCCTTCTATTTCCAAGCCTTTTGTAGTCAGTCTTTTCTAGGATATCAGTAGTCTGAGTTCATCTGAAACACTCTTGTGGAGAAAACATAGAGACCACCCTCTGTTTGCCTATCACCCACTTTTAGAAGGTTGCTTCTTCTCCCATTACTTCTCTCCCCCTCAGGCTTTGGTCCGTAGTATTCTATTCTTCCTTATATTGAAAAAAAAATACACAAAGTACTGAGGAAAGGTAATATATAAAATATCAAGACAACAAGAAAAAAGAATGCCTTTTTAAAAAGTCAAAAATAAATTTGGTAATTAGTCTTATACTTCCCCAATAACATAGCATCTATATGTTAGTTCCATTTGTTAGTTCCATTTGTCACTTTAATCTATATTTGTTGGTCACTTATTATTCAACAAATGTTTGTTGCTCAGATGTACTCTGCATGGGACACAGGGGCTACAGAGATAAACATGACCTTCCCTGATCACAGGGACTTCACAATCAAGACAAGGAGACATTTGTAAAGTAGAGTGTTGAGTGGCTGACCAAATACCTGAGAAGAGGCTTCTTTCACTGGTTTGAACCTCTTCATATGAAAAACTCAAGAGTAGGGAGTCAAATAAACTCATAATATTGTATTTGTATAACCGCAAAATGTCTGGCTTTAGTGAAGGAAATTTTTTTTTAATCATTAGGTCAAACTAGTTTTATGTAAACACGATCTTGGCGAGCACAAGTCAAGAAGTTCTGTTTTCTGGTTCCGTTGTTTTCAACTCCATTTAACAAATGGAGCATTGGCTGGATGCAGGAAATGGGTTCAGAGACATAAACACATCTCCAATGTCAGAAAGCTTTCAATCTAGAAAAAAGATGGGCTGTTAGGCAACTGTGTACAATTCCCATTTCAGTGTCAAAATAAATAGACCAATAATCTGTACTGTTTTTCTTAAGATGGTTGTATGATTTAAGTAAAGGAAATGGAAGGAAGCTTTGCATAAAATTAAGGAAAAGAGAAAAAGTTGAAATATCTCCATCCTCTAAGAGAAAATATTTTGAGAACAAGACAAATCTAATACACATAAATGTTTTAAATGGCAAAGAAAACCAAATTACCCAACTGGAAAATAATGAAAACTTTGGAAAACATGATTTTGAAACAAGCTCTTACAAAGTTTAAGCTGAAATAAATAAGATCTGAATTAATTATGTCTCAGAGCATTTAGATAGTTTATGCCTTTAGTAAACTGTTTACAATGTTCTAAAAATACTGAGAACTGGTAAAAGACCACCAGAGTTTTGGAAAAAAAAATGCCAAGACATTTTTATAAGACACAGAACTTTCTAATATACTCAGCTTTGTTATCTTACTAGAAAGTCCTAGGCAGGGCATGAGAGGAATTATAGAAATTGTTTTAAAGCTTCTAGAATATAATGGCATTATGACTAATATGCTTCAGGCTTTTATGAAGGAAAAAAAAACTCATATTAGACGAACCTGGGAGATGTTTTTGATAGAATGCCAGAATTAATGAATGGAACACAGTAGGTGTTGATTTTATGTCATTATAAGTTAAGCCTGTTATTTTGCAGTCAAGGAATGAAAAATAAATATCAAACCAGCCTGACCTGCTCTCCTGATTTAATAGCTTAATTTCCAGAAATGCCAGTGAAAAATAGCACAAATGTTTGCCTAGGCCAATTCTTCTTTATTACAGTTCATCCATTTTCCCTTTTCCACAAGGAATGCAGCACCTAACAGAGCTTAATTAAGTTTATATTTTATGACAGAAACCACATTGCCTTACAAAAGAAAGCTTGTTAGAAGCAAGAGAGGAGGATGTGTCTCAGAACCCAGTCCATAAGAAAGCAACCAAAGATGGCTACAGTATTCTATGGATCCTTATGCCTGGTGGCCAATGCAACGATGAGGACTCTCACATGTTACAATAATGGACGTTTTACACTAAGTAAAGGTAGTAATGGAAATCACCTACATCTATGTCAAGAAAAGAAAAGTGTCTCTGGGAGATTCATCCTTAGCCCTAATGACACTTTCCTTTCATCACATAGGTTTGTGGTTTCTATATTCTTTCTTTTCTTAAAATTGAGAAAGGATGTCAGAAGGATTCTCCCTGGCCCCTTCTTGAACGTGTTAGAGGTTCCATGTCTAATGAAATTCCCTTAAGGTAAAAAGGTGCTTAAATGTGTAACAGTTTATTCTGTCAGTGGAGTTAATGTGTCAGAGCCTCAGGAATTAAGTTGCTGAAAAAACTTGCTTTCTAATGTTTTGTTTTGTTTTTTGTTTTTTGTTTTTTGAGGAGATTGGCTTGAACCCAGCAAAGTGACGGATTGCCTGTCAGAGCTAAGTGAAATGCAAATGTTTAAAATAGGATCTACATCAGGTATATAATTCAAATGAAAATAAAAGCAGGTAGCATTGTTGAGACTGCTCTGATAAAATAAAAATAGAAGTATGAATGTTTCTGTTAGGATAGAGGCAATTGCATGGAAAAATAAAAGCCAAATAATAGTTGCTCAAGCAAATCGAAAATTTATTATATGACACTCTCAAACAAAAGAAGTCCAGATGGAAACAGTACAGATTTTGTATCGACTCTTCCCAGTGACATCAGAGATGTAGGCTAAACTCTGTTCCAAAAACTTGGCAAATGGCTTCAGTTTTCAAGGTTACCTCACAGTCCAAGATGTTTGGCAGAGTTCCAACCATTACAAAAGCATTCCACACAGCAGGAAGAGTAATGGGAGAAAAGGCAAAAAGGCCCTTTTCCCAGCCAAGTTATTGAAGGGATTTGTTTCCCAACGAACTACAGCTCCTCCATATCATAATAAAAATAAGCTTACAGAACCTGTTTTCCATCAGTATCAGAATCAACTACTAATTTATCAACCCTGTCAGCCTGGCTTTTCAGAAGAAAAGGGATATAACTGGTGGCCATGCCACCTGACAACCAGGCAAGTGGCTGTTTGAAAAGCACCCTAGTGAGAACCAGAAGACTGGATTCTGATCTGCAACTAGGTCTCCGGCTCCCTGACTGATCTGGGACAAGTCACCCTCTGAACTTGAGTTTATTAATTTGCAAAATGACAGGTCTCAACTAAATGATCTTTAAGCTTCCCTCTGGTTTTTATTTTGTATGAATTATAAATCTTGGTCTCAAATTCCTCATCTGAAAAATCATAAAAATAAATAACTCTACTTTTAAAGATACTGGTCAGGCATGGTGGTTCATGCCTCTAATCCCAGCACTTTAGGAAGCCAAGGCAGAAGGATCACTTGAGGCCAGGAGTTCAAGACCAGCCTTGTCAACATAGCAAGACCCTGCCTCTACAAAATTTTAAAATTTAACCAGGTGTGGTGGTACACACCAGCAGTCCCAGCTACTCAGGAGGGTGAGGTAGGAGGATCACTTGAGCCCAGGAGTTCAAGGCAGCAGTGAGCCATGATTTCACCACTGCATTGTAGCCTGGGAGACAGACAGACCCTGTTTCTAAAAAAATAAATAAAATATACTATCTAATAATTGTTTGCGGATAAATTCCCTCAAAACAATTCTTGAGCAACGTGCTATGCACCAAGTACTATGCCAACTGTTGAAGACACAGACAAGAATAAGATACATTTCCCTTTTTTAGCTCTTTTAGGAATCGCCAAACTGCTTTCCACAATGGTTGAACAAATCTACACTCTCACCAACAGTGTGTAAGTGTTCTCTTTTCTCCACCACCTTGCCAGCATCTATTAGTTTTTTACTTTTCCATAGTAGCCATTCCCACTGGTGTGAGATGGTATCTCATTGTATTTTTGATTTGCATTTCTCTAATGATCATTGATATTGAGATTTTCTTCAAATGCTTTTTGACCACATGTATATTTCTTCTGAAAAATGTCTGTTCATGTCTTTTGCCCACTTTTTAATAGGTTTTTTTTGTTTTTTTCTTGTAAATTTGTTAAAGTTCTTTATAGATGCTGGATATTAAACATTTGTCTGATGCATAGTTTGCAAATATTTTCTCCCATTCTGTAGGTTGTCTGTTCACTCTGTTGATAGTTTCTTTTGCTGTGTAGAAGCTCTTAAGTTTAATTAGATCCCATTTGTCAATTTTTGCTTTTGTTGTGATTGCTTTAGACATCTTTGTTATGAAATCCTTTCCAGTTCCTGTATCCAGAATGGCACTGCCTAGGTTGTCTTCCAGGGTTTTTATAGTTTTAGGTTTTACATTTAAATCTTTTATCCATCTTGAGTTGATTTTTGTATATGGTATAAGAAAGAGGTTCATTCAACCCAGCAACCTCATTACTATGTATATACCCAAAGGAATATAAATCTTTCTACCATAAAGACACATGCACACGTATGTTCATTGCAACACTATTCACACACGCACACAAAAAGACAAGAAATCAATCTGAACGCCCATCGATGACAAATTGGATAAAGAAAATGTGGTACATATACATGATGAAATACTACATACCCATAAAAAAATGAGATTATGTCCTTTGCAGGAACATGGATGGAGCTGGAGGGCATCATCCTTAACAAACTAACACAGGAACAGAAAACCAAATACCACATGTTCTCGCTTATAAGTGGGAGCTGAATGATAAAGCATGGACACGCAGAAGGGAACGACAGACACTGGGGTCTTCTAGATGGTGGAGGGTGGGAGGAGGGAGAGAATCAGAAAAAATAACTATTGGGTACTAGGCTTAGTACCTAGGTGACAAGATAATCTGTACAGCAAACCCCTGTGACATGAGTTTACCTATAAAACAAATCTACACATGTACCTCTGAACCTAAAGTAAAAGTTTTAAAAAGATACATATGATGCCTTCAGGGAACTTACAATTCAGTAAATGAGACAGAAATATAGTCAAAATTCATAATACTGTGTGAAATATGCAACAAAAGGAAGGAAAGTTGGAGGACAAGGTCAGGCTAGGAGAGTTAAAGATAGCTTCCCAGAGGAGGTGATGTCTGAGTCGGGTTTCGAAAACAGAACAGGAGTTTGCTAGGCAGATAAAGGAGGAAGGGCATTCCTGGCAGACATAATATTGTGAAGACAGAGGAATGAAAACTCACAATGTTTTCAGAGAAGTATAAACTATTCAGCACTACTGAAGCTTAAAGTGTGTTGGAAGTAGTGGAGAGTGGAGAAGATGAGAACTAAGATGTTCGTGCCATTCTAAAGAGGTTTAGGCCTCATCTTGTAGCACTGGGAGACTATCGTGGTATTTTTAGAAGAGGACTGACAGGGTTTCACTTTAGAAAGGTCATTTTGGCAGCAATGTGAAGAATCAATCAGAGGCCAGCAGCCAAGCTAAGAGGCTACTGTAGACATCCAGGCTAGTGATGGTGAGGGCTAAAATTAAGACAGAGTTCAGAAATTCTTTGTTGTGAAATCCAATGGACAGTCTTTAGTCCTTCACTGGCCTGACCTCTCAGCAGTAGTTAACACTAACGAGCACATGCGCCCTCTTTAAAACTCTTTTTCTTTGAACATTGATAATATCATACTTTCCTGATTTTCCTCCTACTCTCCAGTCTCTCTCCTTCTCTATGCTCCTATCTTTCCTTGCCAACCCCTTAAATGTAGTATTTCTCAATTCTCTATCTTTGGCCCTCTGCCCTTCCCACACTATGAATTCCCCCTGTGTATCACATTTACTTTCTATATTTTAAATAGGGATGGCTCCCAGATCCATATCTCCATCCCACGTCACTGTCCTGATCATCAGACTCATACAGCTGAGAGCTCAGTAGACACCTGTGAGCCCTAGGAAGATAGGATCAACGTCCTGCTTGCACAAATAAGTGGGTGTGGGGATATGCATGTATGAGTGTGTGTGTGTTTGTGTGTGTGTGTAGGAAGAGCAAACTGTCTGGAAAGTGTTTATATCAGTAAGCTGAGGTTATTTTTATGGAAGAGGTGAACTTTCCCCTTTTTATATTATGTGCATGTCCACGTATTCATTTGAATGTTCCATAATGAGCATGAACTGCTTTTATGATTTTTAGAAATCTAAAGAAATACAAAGGATTATTTAAAATTGCATACTCATACCCTCAACTGCACTCCATGGCCATGGCAACGGCCTCTTCCCTCCTTAGATATGTCCTCCAAACTGCTACTAGAGTTACTATCATTCTCACTCACTTCTTAAAAACCTTACAGGATCAAGTTCACTCCTTGGAGTGACTCCTGAAGCCCTTCACAACCTGGCCCCAGGCTTGATCCCCAGTTTTATTTCCTATTCCATTTCCCTGCTCCCTCTTGGTCACACTGAATGCACCATTCTGCATATACAATGTTTCCCTTTGCAAATGGATGCCTTCACCCTTGCCACTTCTGCCTTGAGTGCCTTTCCCTATTTCCCCTCCCCGCAAAAAAAATCTCATAATTCTTTGAGACCCATGTCAGTGTTATTTCCTGACTCTTTCAAGTAGTTATGACTTCCATAAACATGAAAGGAGTTGGTGGACCTCCTTTTTAGCATTTCCACAGTGAATTGTAAGGCACTTCTCTTCCTATCTTCACAAGACTATGAATTCTCCAAGAGTAACAATCCTGCCACAGCTTGCCCTTGTCTTTCCAACACCTGGCTCATCACCTGTCTCATAGAAGATGTTCAATCAATGTTTATAAATGAAAAAGAGGTAGATGAGCAAATGCACTTGGGAAATTTGTGAGAAGTTCTTTTGGCTTTCTTCTACTTCTCTTCTCTTTACCTGATACTCCATTTCCACCAGCACTGTCATTAGCCAATCTCCAAGACCCTACTTTCTACCCATACCCCACATATCAAGGTAGTCTCTCATCCCTGCTAATGCCTTTGCTGTAAAATTTGAAAGTGCTGTCCTTAGATGATTTGCCAGGCATATGACCTCTGACAATGGCTCAGCAAATAAGCTTCTGTTTCCTTATCCAATAAATGATGGTGATATGCAAGACTAGAATTAGTTGTTGTGAGAATTAAATGGGATTGTATGTGTATAGCAACTACAACAGAATTTGGGTCCCCACGGGAAATTCAACAATACTTCTCTTCTCCTTCATTCCTCCCAGTATTGCTCTCCATTTTACAAGGGTCCTTGAAAGCAAGAAAGACTTTACCATTTCTAAAGTGACTGTTTGATGAAGCTAATGGCAGGTGATGGTGGAGCTAGTAGTGGCGAAAGAGAATCCTGGAGAGAGAATCCTGTGTGATCTCCTTAGATCATTTCACAAATAGCCACTTGCTTTGTCTCCTTAAACAACCCTTCCCCCAGTCATCCCTATGGTAGTTCCTCCAAAACACCCAGCCCTCCTCTCTCTCTCAGGCTCTTTCTGCCCGCATTCTCTGCCTAGATCATTCTTACTCATTTTTCATGGCTGGGGACAAGGGTCACCTCCTCTGTAGAGCCTACTCTGATGCCCTGAAATTAGGTCACTCCTATGTGCTTCCACAGAACCTAATGCCCCCCTCTCCACTTGCCTACAGACCATTAAGCTCAGGACTCCATCTCTGGGTCCTCTTCCCAACACTAGAGGAGAGTGTCCTCAGAAGTGGCAGGATCCTCCCTTTCCACAGTGCTTAAGAGATTCTGCTCCAGAAAATGGCCCAGCATTGATATCCAAAGCTGTGGAGTAAGTAAATAATAACTTAATTACAACTGATATAGAGAATTTTAAATCTGAAAGTCATTAGTTGAGTTTGGAACAATAAAGAGGTTCTTATTGAATCGTTTCAGGGCACAGAGTTGCAAAAGATGCCATTATCACTGGATGATGTGGTGGGAATTCCTGGCTCTTGTCTATATATTGGAATTTAATTTCTACCTTAAATAAATCTCACTCTCAATGGGGGTTTTGACAGTACCAGGGCCATTAATGAGAAAGAAAGCCCTGGAAACCTAATTATCAGCTCAAAAGACATCCAGGGACAGCCATGTAAGGGAAAGGTGTGAAATCTGACTGCTGTATCATTCTGGGCTTGTGCTGTGTCTAGGTGTTTGTAACAAATGCAATTATTTTTCTCTAACAGACTTTTCAAAGAATGGCATTTAAAGTGACTATATAGTAAATTAAAGAAAAGAAAGTTACAAATTGTATACAGACATCATCAAAAAGAGAGCCACAGTGTGCTGACAAAGAAGACTGCTCCTTCAAGCAAGGTTGCTGCCCATTCTCTGATGGGCAGCCTTTAAATTTAAAGGTGCAGGTGGCCAAAAAATACTCTCACAAGAAAGAGTAACAGAACACTAGGACAAAATGGCTCAGAGATTCTATTCCTTTTTATTTTTCACTCAAAATAAATGCTTTAACTGGCAAAAACAAGCTTTTCACCAGATGACGGTGACTTTACTGTGTACGTATTAGAGGCTATGCTGTTTTATTGTTTCATCCTGTCCTTCCAGTGGCCTGAATTCAGTAGCCCTCTCTTTGCACATAATCTTTAACAGCATACTCTGTTGTCTGATTATCAAATTGTCTCAGAAACATTCAGAGAATTTTGGAAATATTCACTGCAAAAAAACATGTGACAATTCACCTTACCGGAGGATAATTTGGTCATAAATATCAAAGGCCTTAAAAATGTGCCTACCTTCAACACAGGAATTTGCTCTCTAGGAATTTATCCTAAGAAAATTATTAAAGATGTGTGCAATTATGTGTATATAAGGATGATCACTGGAGTGACAACTTCAAACTGTATAAGTATCTGACCGTGACAAATAGCAAAAAAAATTATGGTGCAGTCACATAATGAAATGAAATAGCATCTAAAACTATATTATAGACATATTTATTGTCACAGGGAGATGTTCAGAGTATAGTAAATAGGAAAAAGTTTGCAAAACAATATGAATAGTATGATCTTATTTTTGTGAGGAAAATAATATAATAGAAATCTTCTTTATTTGACCTAATTGGGTCATGGGTTTTGTTAAAGAAAAAAGTTAAAGTGGTAAAACATAAAAAAAAAAAATACATAAGCATATAGATTACACATTTTCTTTAAACCTAAAACATGAATGTATACTCTTCTACCAGTCACTTGTTAAGGGCCAACACTCACTTTTGGGGCTGTAGGGGGCTTTTTATACAGTTTTGCATTGTCTGTCTTTAGGTACTGCACTTCATGTACTATAAACATTTCCAGTTTCAATTTCTTTAACTGGGGAGAAAACATAGAGACCCTTATGAAGCAATCTAAGTTCAAAATCCTCCCATACTTTTATAATTTTATTCCAACTCTGGCAATTGTCTTACCTACACCTAGTCTGATGGAAAATATTTAGCAAGTTGACTTTCAAAAATTTTTTCCATAGCATTAAAGCTAATTTTTATCAGTGACTCACACCTGTAATCCCAGAACTTTGGGAGGCCAAGGCAGTTGGACTGCTTAAGCTCAGGAGTTTGAGACCAGCCTGGGCAACGTGGTAAAACCCCATCTCTATAAAAAATATAAAAAATTAGCCAGGTGTGGTGGCATGCACCTGTAGTCCCAGCTACTCAGGGGGCTCCACTTGAGCCCGGAGGTGAAGGCTGCAGTGAGCTGTGTTCGTGCCACTGCACTCCAGCCTGGGCAACAAAGTGAGACCCTGTTTCCAAAAAAAAAAAAAAAAACTTTTAAAATAAACTTAATTTTCACAGAAATGACCCTTTTCCAAAGTCATATTTCATCAGTTTGCAGACTTACAATAACACAACCATTATAAACAGATATCGGTTAAAACAGTATAAATAGATTTGGGCAGGTAAATGTACACTTGAGAGTAGCCTGCTAGCCACATCAGACAAAAAATGCTTGCTAAGCAATGGAAAGCATTGTTTAATCCAGCACGCATGCCGAATAGAGGTCAGGAAGAGGTAGAAATGCTCCTACCCTTATACTATGCGTGACTTGCTCATGGGCTCCCTATACCATGCGTGACTGGCTCATGGGCTCCCTTTAGCATGCGTGGCTGGCTCATGGGCAACCTTCTGGCCTCAGCCTGTGTCACCTCCCCACAAAGCCTTCCATGACCATCCTAACTACTCCTCTTATTCTTCATCACACCACATCATCCTGGTTTTATCTTCTGAAAATCATCCTTTGTAATTCTCCTATTTACCGTCGAATCACTTGCTTATCATCTGTCTTCACCACTAGAAACTAAACCTGTCCATCGGGTTGCACACTAACACCAAGCACAGTGCTTAATGTAGTTGTCATTTGACACTTACTTAGCATACACATATATACCTATTGTATATATGTATGAATACTTGTAGTTTAAGTGATCTCGTGATTTCAGGGGAAACAAAATTATTCTGTCTCATCAGAGAGAGTAATGTAATCTCACAGTGATATTTGGATGACATTATACATATATATTTGGGATGCAGCCTTAATCTGCATTCTTTTCCCCTAATCGGAATGTCTATATTCATTTATTTTCATTTAATATCCATCCTCATCATAAACAAATATTAAATATCAAAAAGAATATAATTAATCGCTGAACAACTCATAGGCAATTATAACCTCCAGAACGAGGTGAAATAGGGCCTAAGAAATAGTCTCTTGAGGCTTCCTACGGATGTTGTTCCTATAAAACCAGCTGAGCCATCTGTTGAGAGGTGGCATCAAAGGTCAGTTGTTTTCAGCTCCTGGAGATTAGACATCTTAAAAGAGAGATCCCTAACATGAAAAAAAAAAAAGTATATAAAAAGTTGTAGTAAAGCAAAGAGCCAGGAAGAGTTTAACTCTGAGAATAACCACTCTGGTGGATTCTAAGAGATTGGTGGAGGAAGGTCTTTCAGTTCTGCAGCAACACTAGCTAGTTGAGGTTTGTGAAGCTCTCGAGCTAGGATGTCAGTGCTTTTGGTGACATTATTTAGTCACCAGTTTTAGTTACCCCTCATAAAAGGGCATACATGACCCAATCACTTCACTAGGCTTCCTTAGTGACCCAGTCAGCAGCTTGTCCATGGAGAAATGTAACACATGCGTGGTTGGCTGCTGTGGTGAGTTCTTCAAGCTGACAGGTTTCAACTGGCAGGGCTTCCTCAGAGAGTATGGGAAAGGGCCCTCTGCAAGACAACAGTTCCCAACAGGGATCTGGGCAGTCAGGTTTTAGTTCTCAGTGATGCTGAGTCAGACAGACAGGAAGGAGGAAAATTGGAAATGTCAGTTTTCAGAATTGTAGCCAGATATTGAAGTAAAATGAAAGAATTAAAAATTACTTCTGTGGCATGGTTACTTCTGTGGAGTAAGTTACTTCTGAGGCATGGAAAAAAGAAAACAAAGTCAATCTAAAAAATGTTCTAGGCCAGCCGCGGTGCTTCACGCCTATAATCCCAGCACTTTTGAGGCGAGCTGAGGCCAGGAGTTTAAGATCAGCCTGGCCAACATGGTGAAACTCCATCTCTACTAAAAATACAAAAATTAGCTGGGCTATGCATTTGTAGTCCCAGACACTCAGGAGCCTGAGGCAGGAGAATCACTTGAACCTGGGAAGCAGAGGTTGCAGTGAGCCGAGATCACACCACTACACTCCAGCCTGGGCAACAGAGCAAGACTCTGTCTCAAAAAATAAAATAAAATCTATAAGCATAATGTTTAACCTAATTTTCAAGGAAAAGTGGATATTACATCTAATTTATAAAAATAGATTAGCATGGCCGGGTGCAGTGGCTCATGCCTGTAATCCCAGTACTTGGGAGGCCAAGGAAGGCAGATCACAAAGTCAAGAGTTTGAGACCAGCCTGACCAATACGGAGAAACCTCGTATCTACTAAATATACAAAAATTATCAAGGCATGGTAGCACGTGCCTGTAATCCCAGCTACTCAGGAGGCTGAGGCAGGAGAATTGCTTGAACCCAGGAGTCGGAGGTTGCAGTGAGTCGAGATCACACCACTGCACTACAGCCTGGGTGACAAAGCAAGACTCCTTCTCAAAAAAAAAAAAAAATAGATTTAACATAATCTTTACAGAGAAAAAAATCTTGACATATAATAATTCAGAGACATGACATACCATAAATATGGAAAGCACACCTAAGACTATACCAAGGCTATATCAAGAGTATCAAGTAAAGAGATTCAGCAAGTCTTGAGTATGTGGTAAACCTCTGTATTTTTATAAAACTGCAGGGATAAGTGATGTAAATTCCCAGTTGAAACCTGCTGGCCTGGAAGATGTTAGATTCAAATTAAAGCAGTAAAGTTGTACCCAAGTTAACATTTAAAAAGTAACTGAATCTATGAATGATAATACTATACTGTTGTTGTCTATTATCAAGCAAAGCAGTATCAGGACTCAGATATTAATAAATAGAAACATCATGGACAGCAAGGGCATTGACAGTTCTCTAGAAACTTCTCTGAGAGCATATAATTTCCAAACTATTTGTGTTAATATTTTACTCTTACAAACTTAACCTAGAGAAGGCAAAGCCCCTCTTCTGATTTGACAACTCTTCCCAAGCAACTCGTCAATAGTAGCATATCACATAAACCTAATTATTTCTAGTGCCTCTCTTTTTACAAGGTGAAAAAACAAATTCTTTGTGATTTTCCAGGGACCCTCTGGAAATCTCAAACATCAGCTTTATACACAAAAGCTATCATTTAGGATTCATTCTGGGGAAGGTAGAGTCTGACTTACTATGGAGTACCCAAACACCAGTCAGAAACAGCACAAAGTGCTCCAAGAAGCCTTGTTACCTGGGTGGAGTGAACAGGGTTCCAAAGGTGAGGATTCTGCTCCTGCCTGAAACACAGCACCAAAACTGTGAAAGACAAATTGCACCAGTCAACCAAGGAGATGACTTTACTCAGGTTGTTGGGATAAGGAGAATACTTATTAATGAGGAAGATCTCAGACAATGAAAGGAATGTAGGGCTTCATGGAGGCAGATAAGCAAGTTCAGCATTTGCCAGTCTTACAGGAGCCATGAGGAAGGCTGGGGTGGGTTTTACCCAAGAATAGACAAGGGCAGGATGATTCTTTGCTGTGACAAGGACTCCGTCGTCAACCAAACTTTAGTCAGTCTCCTCTGAACCCTCTTCTCAACTAGGCCTGAAATTTGGCCTGCTGAGCCCAATCTAGCAAAAATCCTGCCAAACCAGTTCAACAAGAATTCCCCACTCTTCATACCTAATCAAGCTCCTCTTAGTAATTTTCCATCCACGGACTTTCTCACCCTGCCTGTTGGCTATGGATTCCTAGCTGTTTCTGTTATATTCAGAGTTGAGCTCAATCTCTCTCCCCTATTGCAATAGTCTTGACCCCTGCTGCAATAGTCTTGAATAAAGCCTTCCTTGCCTGTTTAATTTCGTCCAGTGCAATTTTTCTTTGACAACAGCCATTTTCAGGACACAAACATATGATGGGATATCTTAACTGTCAGTGCTTTCTGGAAACACAGGGCTCAGATAAAGTTCAACATTGTCAGAGGATAAAACAAAATTGCTCTCCCACAGTGGTTTCCATCAAATAATTAAGTGCTCTCTTGATTAAGTCTAACTTCTTTCTGCTCATGAGTGAAACATCATTTATCAAAATGTATTCTTTGAGCATTTACTCTGGGTCAGACTACATGAAGGGGAATACCAAGATGATTAAGACAGAATATGAGAAGAAATCAGGTCTTCCATAATGCAGAGAACGTCTTATCTTGTTAAAAAGGCAACTAACCAAAAATATCTTTCAGATTTTACTCCCTGTACAATCATGACCCCTTTATAGAATTTCAATGTCATAATCCTTTTTGTTCTCCAGAACAAATGCTGTGCCTCCCTTTGTTTTCAAATGTATATCCGACCTCTTTTCAAATGTATATTTGGCATTCTCTCAAATATATATTATCAGTACTCCTTTTATATATGCCCCTTTCAAATAGATTTTTGGAAGTCTGGCAACTTATGATAAGTTTGCCTTCTCTTCCCCTGTTCAGTGTCTTTTTGTCTGCTTTTTCCTACCTCAGTGCCATGAGGCTCCTCCCCAGCTGACCACAAGGCCGAGCTTGAAGGGCTGATTGAGTGTAAAAGAAAACCTGTCATTTTGATGTGTTAAAAAACTGGGCCAAGGCAGTTCCTGGCCCCTGGTTTATGCATTCCCCCATTTCTTTCTGTAATTCGGGTCTTGTAAGCAACAACATCTTGTCTTAAAATTCTGGATCTTTGGTCTTTACACACACACACACACACACACACCTGCCCCTTACAACAGATCACTCCATTGTAAATACAGCTGAGGTAAATTCTCTACATCAGATCACATCTAAGATAATAGCAAATCCATGTCCAAAGAGCGCTTTAGGAATCTTAAATGTTAAGTTTCTTCTCAGAGTCCAAGAGTATGGTTCTCTGTCAACAAGGTTTATTAAAGAAGTCACTGTGTTTTAACATGAAAGTTTTGGTACAAGAATCAATTGGACACAACCCTAGCCGTTCTCTAGTGCACTCTCGCGCTCTCTCTCTCTCACACACACACACATACATTTTTACTATTTTATCATCCTAAACACCTGTCAATCCATTACACACATGTCAAACTGACCCATCCTGACTTGTGCAAAGCTTTCTGTCTTCTCGCGCAGGGCTACTGGAACAGATGTCAGCAAGCGAAGTGTAGAGCACAGCGAACAGAACCTTGGATAGTGCATTTCTAATGAGAACTTCAAGTCTCCTCTTGCCTTTTCTTTCTAACACATCCTTCTGGAACTCTAGCTCACTCATAGGATCTACAGAAAACTACAAGCCAGAACTCTCCCTCACCATGCTTTGTGCAGGGAACCAGTCCTGTGGGTGGAAAAGAAACACTTCTTACTAAAAAAAACTTTCCCTTGTAAGCTCATGATAATAGCACCTGCCTATTAAACGACACTCCCTTTCTGAAACTTTTATCCCACCTATAGGCCATATTTTTGGGTGAGTGTTTTGCGTTTGAAGCAGCTGCCAGGATGTTATGGGCTGGCGTGATTGCAATTTACAGGTATTTCATAAATCACGGCAAGATTGAAAACGCTTGTGACAGATGAGGCTTTAAATTGTCATCCTGTCTTTTTATGGGCATTAAAAAGGTGGACCTGGTGACATATTCTACAGATGCATTCCCTTCTGCTCAGCCAAAAAATCCATACCTTGCACAGCACCAGAGAGAAAGAGAGAGACAGAGGTCTCAAGGGTAGTAAACTACAACTCTCCACATTGTGTTTTAGAAGAGGAGAAAATCCGAACATTAAAACTGTGATCCTCAGCATTTGTAAATTCTTGAAAGGCAAGATCCTTGATTCATCTTCTGCCCCCAGCACAATCTGTGAATTTCATGAGCCCCAATGAATTCCCAAGTGCTATGAAATTTAAAGGAAGAAAACATTGGATCAATTCTCCTTGGGAGAACAAAGAAACTTAAATTTCCTTAATGAAGATCACAAAGTCAAGCAATGGCTCAACTGGGAAACTCATGAGAAAATGACCAGTGCCTGCTGTCTATACTCCCTGGGCCATAGTTTCTCAGTTTTGGCTGAACATTAAAATCACCATAGATGCTATTTAAAATACCCCATTCCAGACCAATTTAATCAAGTGTAATGGGGGTGAGTGCAGCTGAGGCCCAAAAGTTCTCCAGGTGATTCTAGTATGCAGCCACTTTGATGCTCATTGGTCCAAAAGCACAAAAGTAGATAACATAAAGGAAAGAAACGGGTAGGAAGTCATATATCAGGGAGCAGGGCAGATTCTAGCAAGCTAGAAACCACATGCCTGGGTAGGGATTTAACAAGTACTATTGCACCAGGCACGGTGGCTCATGCCTGTAATCCCAGCACTTTGGGAGGCCGAGGCAGGTGGATCACCTTAGGTCAGGAGTTCAGGACCAGCCTGGCCAACATGGTGAACCCTGTCTCTAGTAAAAAATATAAAAATTAGCCAGGCGTGGTAGTGGGTGCCCATAATCCCAGTTATTCGGGAGGCTGAGACAGAAGAATTGCTTGAACCCAGGAGGCAGAGGTGGCAGTGAGCAGAGATCGTGCCAATGCACTCCAGCCTGGGTGACAAGAGCGAAACTCCATCTCAAAACAACAACAACAACAAAAAAATAACAAGTACTATTGCTGCTTAGCTCTAGCTGGAAAAAAATGGGCCCGCTGCCAGATTTTCTGATGTTAAGAAAATCCAGAAATTGGGGGGATTTTTTTAACATGAAATCTCCCAGTTTTTAAATATTGAAGGATAATTCAAGAACTTTAAAAATATTATGCAACCTAAACAAAATATATCTTGGAACTACAAGTTTGCTACCTCTGTCCTAGATATGCTGACTTAGATATCAGGAATTCCATAAATAAAAATCCTTCACCACCACTATCATAAATGGCTAGCATGATTCTCTCAAGGCCACAGGCAAGCTTATGGAGAAGTATTCTAATGAGACCCACAAGTAGCAGTTACTGAGATACAGGAGTCTCCCTTCTCTAAAGTATTCCTTTGTGTGGTTTCAGTTACCTGAGGCCGACCAGTCCAAAAATATTAAATGGAACATCCAAGAAACAATTCATAAGCTTCAAATTGTGTGCTGTTCTGAGTCACATGATGAGATCTCATGCCATCCTACTCAGTCCCTTTGTCCAGCGTATTCACTGTAAACACTCCAGCTGTTAGTCACTTAGCAGCTGTCTCGGTTACCAGACCAGGAAAGCATCGTGTGTGCGTGTGTGTGTGTGTGTGTGTGTGTGAGACATATATATGGTTTAGTCCTCTCTACGGTTTCAGGCATCCACTGGGATGGATCCTGGAATCCACTAGGGAGTCTTGAAAGTGGGGGAGGCCTTGGACAATATCCCCCTCAGATTAGGAGGGGCTACTGTATATAAATGTCACCAACAAACGTGGAAGCCATGATTGTTGGATTGGCCCTCCCATTTTTATATTTTAGATTGCATTTCCCCAAGTGAAGCTGCTCCAGGGAAGGGAGCTGGCTTCCACGTACACTTTGTTGCTGTACTTGTCATCGTCTGAGGGGACTCAGAAATTCAGTCACCATTAACCCCAGACCTTCATTTGGCCTTGTCTCTCAGAACCGCTGAAACAACTCTTTTATTTGCTTTTTCAGTGTTTGCTGACACAAGAGTCCAGGAAGTGCAGGAGGAAAGAGAAGGAGGACAGCAATCAGTCACAGCTCCTTCCAGCATTCACACAGTGACTACCACTAATTACGCCTCTCAGACCTGTGTTTGAGCAGACCTATTTTCTCTATGAATTAATGCCAAGTGACCTACTTTTCTACATATTATTCATTATTTGTTCTGCTGTTTTATCGATTTTGAGACTGTTGTGCTACACAGGAATAAAAAAAAATCCAATACAATAAAACTCCTCTCATTGAAAATAATATAGCCACACCATGAAATATAAATTTATTTTTTCTTTATGAAAAGATAGCATCTGTAGACTACATTTAGGCTGTGGGAATTAGCTGAAGGCTGCTTCGTTGGATTAATAAAAACAAAAAGAAATATAAATATGTTAATGTTTAGACATGAAACCTAAGATAAAATAATAGACTACATTTCTAAGTTTTAAAACTTGTTTGCTTATAATATTCTAGAGATATTTATTTCATAAAAGAGCACAATGTTAGTTTTACAAGACTATATGTATTTTCTATTTATATTCCTCTTGTCCCATTTTTCATATGCATTATATCATCTGATTTTATTATGTCTCATATTTTATTTATTCATTTATGAGGCTGTGGGATTTTATTTCTTGAAATCTTTGTGGAATGTTTACTAAAAAACAGATCATTAAAAATAAAACCACACAGCTCATATGCTTTTTGTTTTATATGCAATTATAAATGTATTTTCAAGGCAATTTTAATGCCCAATTTTCACAAAGCATCTTCTTCTCCCTGTGCGGCACATACTCTAAGGAAATCTTAAAAAGAGGCTGTTTGCATAGCTTTGGTAATTGAAGCCTCAGAGATCCCACCCACCTAGGAATGCAAAGGAGTGACTTGCATTCCGTTGAGAGAAATAATTGTATTTTTTTGGTGCAAGTGGGTTTCCCAGAGAATATATCCTTGCCAGGGGTTGTTGGGAGAGAGCAGTTTGGAGAGAGGCAGGAATCATTGGGATACAGGACATAGCCTGGAGGAGCCTTCATTATCCAGTGTGGCTGCCATCTTGCTATCTCAAATGCTCTCCCACCGATCTGCAGGAGCATAGTGCACATTGACTGTCAATGCCATGTAGCTACATGAGGATATACCAATCACACTCACCTCTAAAGCAGTGAGTGTCACCACTGTCAATTTGCCCTGCCCTTTCCTTGCTTTCACTTCCTGTGAAATCAACAGCAAGGCTTCCCCAGGCATAGAAAACCACCAATACAACACTGCCTTCCTGATGAGGCCATCCAGAACATAGAGCTTGGGAGTCATGGTTTTGCAATGGTGTGCCCTACAATCTCCCCTCTCCTCCTTGGATCTTCCTGTGCTGATAGAGGGACAGTAAGGAGAATTCCGGAACTCCATGAAAAAGGAAAATGTTTTGATCCATAAAACTTCCAGCCGGGCACGGTGGCTCACGCCCGTAATCCCAACACTTTGGGAAGCTGAGGCAGGTGAATCACGAAGTCAGGAGTTCGAGACCAGCCTGGCCAACATGGTGAAACCCCGTGTCTACTAAAAATACAAAAAAATTAGCCAGGCACAGTGGCAGGTTCCTGTAATCCCACCTACTTGGGAGGCTAAGGCAGGAGAATTGCTTGAACACAGGAAGCAGAGGTTGCAGTGAGGCGAGATCGCGGCTACTGCACTCCAGCCTGGTGACAGAGTGAGACTCTGTCTCAAAAAAAAAAAAAGCTTCCATCCAAAACTAGGAAACTGGATGTGTGTTCGGGTCCTAAGAGCCTTCCCTTGCTTCCACTTTCTTTATCACTTTCATGTTTGATACATGAAAGTAATTCACAGTTGTCTGTCCTTAGACAACTCAAAGGTCACTCCCTTCAGGAAGCTCTCCCACATAGGCCTCCCATCACTCCCATAACTCCCGTTATGCCCCACAGCATTGTCCCTATTGCATGATCCTATGACCTTTAGTGTGGGGGCCTGGCTTCCATAGTAGACTGTGAATTCCTTGAGTCAGTGCCTGAGACTTAACACATCGGTAGCCCCAGTGCTTAGCCCAGAGTATGAGACACTTAAGAGATGCTCAGCAAATGGCCATATATTGTTCACACATACAGTCTATAACCTATGCAGCATCTCAACTCAGTTACAGTTGTATTCATTCATTCACCAAACATTTACTGATCACCTGCCTGTTGCAAGATGGGGCTAAATAGCAAATATACATTATTTAATGTGAAGTTCACAGTTCTCCTTCAAGAAGTGTATTTTTCTTATATTTTATAGGTATGTAAACAGACACTCAAGAAGTTTTTCTAACAAACGTCAGAAAGCCAGTAAATGACACAGCTTTGATTTAATCTCAGGTATATTTAACTTGAAAATCTGTTTTTCCTTTTTAATCTCAGTGCTACTCAAAGAAAAAGACTTCTATGGTGTATTATCATTAGGAGAAAATAAATTAAAAAACAAATCTGTGAGCATGACCTTCCCACCATGCTCACTCACACAATATCTCTCTCTCCCCCACCCCTCTCTCCTGCATAATTAAAAATATCCATTGTTTGGAAGACCATTATCTCAAAAAACAAAGTCAACATCACCACCTGAACTAGAAATATTAAGTATCCCACAACTAGTACTCATATTGCTTCAAGTGATTTTATCAGAAATATAGTACCCATATTGCCTTATTATTCATTTACATTGAAAAAGAGAATTATGCTACTACAGACAACTTCACAGGCCCTACTACGTGTTACAACCTGTCTTACTATCTGACAAGCCCCCAAAAGTGAGAATCACAGATCTAAAGGACGGGTTACTCGTTATGAGCTTATCAAGCTGAAACTCCAATATTTAAAAATGTAACTCTAGAAAATTCCCTTATAATGAAGAAACAAATATTTTTAAACCAAAACTACAGTGGAACCAGTTCCTATGCCGGAAGCATGATGCTGTTGCTTGATGGGTGTCCAATCCAAACTTGTCTCTGGTTTTATATAAACTGTCTTCCTGAGCCCCACAGCAAGCAACTATCCACCTGGTTTATTAAAGTGAAGGAATTGCTTCCTGTTTGCAAGCTAAGTGCAAGAGGATGTAAAAATAAATTTGTAAGGCCAGTGAGAGTTGCTATAACCCTAACGCATTTGTCACTTTTATGCTATCACCACCACCATCCACTGATGGGACCAGATTTAAGAGAGTTTTCAGAATTCAAAAGAAATGACCTTCCCTCTTGATACAAACAAATGGAAGAACATTCCATGCTCATGGGTAGGAAGAATCAATATCGTGAAAATGGCCATACTGCCCAAGGTAATTTACAGATTCAATGCCATTCCCATCAAGCTACCAATGACTTTCTTCACAGAATTGGAAAAAACTACTTTAAAGTTCATATGGAACCAAAAAAGAGCCTGCATCGCCAAGTCAATCCTAAGCCAAAAGAACAAAGCTGGAGGCATCACACTACCTGACTTCAAACTATACTACAAGGCTACAGTAACCAAAACAGCATGGTACTGGTACCAAAACAGAAATATAGATCAATGGAACAGAACAAAGCCCTCAGAAATAATGCCGCATATCTACAACTATCTGATCTTTGACAAACCTCAGAAAAACAAGCAATGGGGAAAGGATTCCCTATTTAATAAATGGTGCTGGGAAAACTGGCTAGCCATATGTAGAAAGCTGAAACTGGATCCCTTCCTTACACCTTATACAAAAATCAATTCAAGATGGATTAAAGACTTAAACGTTAGACCTAAAACCATAAAAACCCTAGAAGAAAACCTAGGCATTACCATTCAGGACATAGGCATGGGCAAGGACTTCATGTCTAAAACACCAAAAGCAATGGCAACAAAAGACAAAATTGACAAATGGGATCTAATTAAACTAAAGAGCTTCTTTACCTGTTCACTACCATCAGAGTGAACAGGCAACCTACAAAATGGGAGAAAATTTTCGCAACCTACTCATCTGACAAAGGGCTAATATCCAGAATCTACAATGAACTCAAACAAATTTACAAGAAAAAAACAAACAACCCCATCAAAAAGTGGGCGAAGGACATGAACAGACACTTCTCAAAAGAAGACATTTATGCAGCCAAAAAACACATGAAAAAATGCTCACCATCACTGGCCATCAGAGAAATGCAAATCAAAACCACAATGAGATACCATCTCACACCAGTTAGAATGGCAATCATTAAAAAGTCAGGAAACAACAGGTGCTAGAGAGGATGTGGAGAAATAGGAACACTTTTACACTGTTGGTGGGACTGTAAACTAGTTCAACCATTGTGGAAGTCAGTGTGGTGATTCCTCAGAGATCTAGAACTAGAAATACCATTTGACCCAGCCATCCCATTACTGGCTATAAACCCAAAGGACTATAAATCATGCTGCTATAAAGACACATGCACACGTATGTTTATTGCGGCACTATTCACAATAGCAAAGACTTGGAACCAACCCAAATGTCCAACAATGATAGACTGGATTAAGAAAATGTGGCACATATACACCATGGAATACTATGCAGCCATAAAAAATGATGAGTTCATGTCCTTTGTAGGGACATGGATGAAATTGGAAATCATCATTCTCAGTAAACTATTGCAAGAACAAAAAACCAAACACTGCATATTCTCACTCATAGGTGGGAATTGAACAATGAGAACACATGGACACAGGAAGGGGAACATCACACTCTGGGGACTGTTGTGGGGTGGGGGTAGGAGGGAGGGATAGCATTGGGAGATATACCTAATGCTAAATGACGAGTTAGTGGGTGCAGCACACCAACATGGCACATGTATACGTATGTAACTAACCTGCACATTGTGCACATGTACCCTAAAACTTAAAGTATAATAATTAAAATTAAAAAAAATAAATAAATAAAATAAAAATAAAAACTTGTTCAGATTTGAAAAAAAAAAAAAAAAGAAATGACCTTCCCTCTCATAGGAAGAGGTGCTGCCACTCTTCCAGTGACCCTAAATGGACAACATATGCATAACATAGCAGCATCTATAGATGCCAAGCACTGGGCTAGCTGATCCTTTTTCGTGTCTGGAAAAAAAAAATAACAGTCTTAAGAAGAAGAAATGCAAGAAAGCCATACACCCTAGAACCAATGTCACCTGCCCAGGCACTTCCTTACACAACCACTAACACAGAGAAAGGAGGGATTCTGGGAGAATACTACTGCCACAAGAGGGCTGGTCTGCAATGTGTCAGCATTCCCAAATAGCTTTTAAAATTCTGGGAAAATATAAAGCCCACACTTTATTCTCCAAACGATATTCAGTAAAAGCTTATTACACCCACCAAGTTTCCTTGGACAGGGAGGTTTCTTAGCGTAATGGTACAGCTAGTTACAGTGTCCAGGAAATTAATCTAGGTCAGGATAAAGTTAAACCCACAGTCTGGCATGCCTGATTTGTCATTATAAAACCAGACAGCAAGACAAGAGCAAAGAAGTATGATCCTCAATTCTAAAACCAATGATCATTCTAGAAGCTTCACAGCATTATCAGGGACAAGGGTTCAAGAGTAAAAATTGTGGTGAGGAAAGTTAGGGGGCAGTAAGATGTTCAAAGGAATTGCAACCTGTGTGCTTATTAAAGGAATGGTCAGAAATTATGCTTACTATGTTGATTGGGCATGAAATTGAAGGGTTTGTTGGTTCTACTCAGAGGTTTGGCCACATCCTGTGGGCAATAGAGAGTTTAAGCAGGAAAAAAAATCATAACTGGATTTGTTTTTTGAAGGTAACTCTGAAGGCAGGAAGACTAATTTAGAGACTTTGGCAACAGAACAGTAGAGAAAGGGTGAGAGTCGCGCCCACACACAGAAACACACACACAACACAAATCTTCCCACCTCATCCTACCCTTGCATTATTACTGACCTGCAAAAGACATTCACCTTTTGTTTTTATACTGAAGGTCTATTTCTGCCAGTTCCTTGCCCCACATAAATGAAATTTTGGATATAACCCTAAGCAAAGCCAGGGTACTACATGGCCCAATCAAATACATAAAATCAGAGTCCAGCAACCAAAAACAAAAAAAAAGAAAAACAAAAAAACTAAAATGGAACTCTACACTTTACTTGTACTCTTCTAACAGCGTTAAAAGGGAATCTAACTTATAAGAAAGGGCACCACTTCTCAATTCCGTTTCTTTCTCCTCCGCATTTCTCTCATAGCCTCTCTCTCTGGCTTCTCTGAAGCCCCTTTTAAAATACTCTGCACCACCCACCACAAACACAAACGAAACTCTTCACCATCTTAGCTTTACCTCATGCCCACTCTCTCCTCTGTTCTCTCCCAACATTTAATCAAATACATCTGTTTAGTTCCTGTAACTCAGGGAATTCCCCTTTCCTGTCACGCCCCACAGTTTCACCCTCTGCCCTTTTCATGTATCTGGATGACCAAAGAGCTGGGCACTGGCCTGACATGACCAAAGGCTCTTGGCAGGCATGGAGAATCTATGGGGGCAAAGAACATATTTTCTGTACAAACAGCTAAAGTTAAGGGGAGATAGCAAGAAGAATGCATGCTATCACACACCTAACTCCCTGACTAGACGGTCAGCATTTTGAAGGTAGGAACCATGTCTACTTTGTGTCTCTAGCAAAGTTTAAAACATTAAATGAATAGAGAAACGAATGCTTGCATCACTGTCTCTTAGAGAGCCACCTCCTTTTTAATGCTTCTCCTTTCTGCTTACTGACCTGTATCTCCTTATAAAATAAGTCATCCTTATGAGTGGAACAAGGGACCATGGAGACAACTGCCTGAAGCACTACCTATCATTCATCCTCTTTGCCAATTCCCAGAGCAATTAGAGGAGTGTAATTAAAAATGTCCAAAAAGTCTCTTAAATATTTCAAGCATCAGATATTCACTAATATTAGTAACAAATTTATTTAATCTCAAGCATCTTTCTGCATTTGATAGATTGTAAAGAGGAATTTATATGGAATGAGACAGGGTACTTCTTCTATTAAAATGAACATAAATAGCTCATGAAGGATGGTTCACTATAACAATTTGCATAACAAATGCACTTCATAAAAAAACTGTATAACAGGCACCCACTGTTCCAAACTCATGAATATTTTGAGTACTTAAGTAGAGCACAGAATGTAAATAGGAGGGGAAAAAATAAATATTTTTGCTAAAGCTTATCTGTAAACAGAAGTCTTAGATTGCATTTGGGTTTTCCTACCACTTATTTCTTTAGCATGTTGTGTCTTTAAATATATATATTTCACATGAAGTTTTAAAGCAGTTTATAAAATAAACTGATAGCCAACAAAGCATATTTAAACTGGTTATTTAGTATTCTAGTCCTAACGCAGGAGAATGGCATGAACCCAAGAGGCGGAACTTGCAGTAAGCCAAGATTGCATCACTGCACTCCAGCCTGGGCAACAGAGTGAGACTATGTCTCAAAAAAAAAAAAAAAGAAAAAATATTCTAGTCCTAATGGGTTAAGTGTTTCAGGTGGAATACTCTGATCATACACGTAAATTTCATCCCTGCCATAAGATCTGGCAATGCTTAGCTGACATATTCTTGCAAATTACTGGAAATACCACATTCCCAGCTATGAAATTAAGTAGTATAAGCCAAAGATTCCAATAGCTACATTAAACAAACACACCTCCAGCAAATTTCTCTGCCCCAACTCAAGCAAATAGAATACTATCTTGTCTAAACAGCAACTTGCAGTTTTCCATGTTCAATATTGGAAAATAATCCAACTCTCTGGTGGTGTTTTACTACATTTTCAAGACCTTCTTTCCTGTCTTCAAGGGGGAAGGGAACCAGGGACACAAGATCAAGGGAAGTCCTTCCCAGGCTAGACACTGGTCCAATAACTAAAGAGTAATTGCTCAGATTCAAGTAAATCTGATATAATTCACAGTAGCTAGCTATGGTTTTTACTCAAAATATAGAACCCAAAAAGATTTCTTTAAGAAAAACTTATTGTGTTTCATTGCTAAATTATAAACTGCATTGACTATACTAGTAAATAGAATCCTTCAGTTAAATAAAGCAAACAAATGTGATTTTAGTTTTGACCACTATTCTCTCTCAAACAGAAAATAAATCCTTTCCAAGCAGTGATATCTAGGCCATTATCTCTACTTTGCTTTTAGCTGTTTTTCGTACATCACTGAAAATTTGGGGGCTTCCCTCTGAATTTACTCCCTGTCTGGGCTTTGCTGCCCTAGTTGCAAATCCTTACCAGCTGCCATCTTTCCTCCTCTCCATACTGCAGATGTTGCTTGTTACATTTGTAGCTTTCATCAAGTATATCCTTGACCGCTGCCACTGTTCTGCTCTGCTCTATTATTTGGAGCTTAATTCCCATCAAGCCACGCTCACTTGCACCGTATTTACTTTCCCTATGCAATATGTATCTACCCAAAGACTGAACACCATTCCTCTCCAGACACCCAGCAGGGGAAGCTTCAGTATGTTTAGATAAGAGGGTCTTAAAGGTGGTAGTCTGCTTTGAACTTGAAGCTATCATTGCAGCAGATATCACATACCAAAGAATAGGGAGCTGATGGATATTATAAGGGCTGCCCTACAATCCTACAACCTCCCTGTTGAAATCTCCAATGAATCTAATCCACCAGCAGATTACACACTAGCCACCTGCCCATTAGAAGGCTGAAGCCATCATTCATAGTTGTATTATCCTCCCTCTCATAGTGATAGAAGGGGCTATTAATTAACTTCAGAGAATCTGGATCTCTGGAGAAAGAGAGTTGGTCAGGACCCAGGAGGGGTGATACCAAGAAGAGTCAGCTCAGCCAGGCACGGTGGCTCACACCTGTAATCCCAGCACTTTGGGAGGCCAAGACAGGCAGATCACCTGAGGCCAGGAGTTCGAGACTAGCCTGGCCAACAGAGCAAAACCCCATCTCCACTAAAAATAAAAAAATTAGCCGGCCATGGTGGTGCACGCCTGTAATCCCAGCTACTTGGGAGGCTGCAGCATGAGAATTGCTTGAACCCAGGAGGCGGAGGTTGCAGTGAGCCAAAATCATGCCACTGCACTCCAGACTGGGCGATAGAGTGAGACCTTGTCTCACACACACACAAAAAAAGAATCAGCTCCAGGAGACAGAGGTTTCTAGATTGAAGGAATCCCCAATGTAGCTAAAGGAAAGAAGTGAGCTTAAGCATGATCTTAAGCCCAGTAAACTTTCAGAATAGTTTTAAATTCATTTGTATTCACTCCAAGTAGACTCAAACTTTCAGAGAGAGTGCCTCGAGTTTAGTCCTCTGGAGCAGGGGAAGAACAAACGTCCCTACTAAGTTGAGCTGTTATGAGATAACACATGGAAAGTATCTAGAACAATTTCTAGCAAGAGTAAACACTCAAAAAGTTATTTTTACTATATTAAAATTGAATCTAGTCATTTTATTTCTCGCACATTCATAAAATTTATTCCCTAATGCAAGTTTTATTGAAGTTAAATGTATGCAAAGCAGATTAGAATTTTTTCTTGGAGGCGTAGGCACCATTGTGGCAAGAATTTTTAACCCTCCTCTATCATCTGCTGTTGTGAGAGCAAGAGCTTATTTTTACCATGTTACCATAGTCATTCTTGGGTAGAATGTATTCCTATTGAGATCACCATCATAACCCAAAGTCTCTAAGTTTCCTGGAAGAAATTACATCTCAAATGTCACCCAATCCTGCTGTAAACACAGGAGTGGGGAAAAGACATACGACAATGCTGGGAAGAAAAACACCTCAACAACAACACTTACCTTGAGATTATTTAATAGCAACATGAGGGTATTAATTCCCTTATTTTACTTGCTTTCTAGTGTTAAGTAAAACTGGAATGGCATTGGTCTTCACATCTTTCCTTCTACAATCACTAAACACTATCAAATATTTTTTAAGGCCACCTCTATGTACTGCTCATAGTCACAAACCTTCAGAGGCTTCAAAATGTTAAAATATATAAAATATATAAAAGCAGCTGCCTGGGATCCAGCAGACAGGCATTAAAAGTGACATTTGCAAACATCATTCTTTCACTCCCAGTTCACAGGCAATTTGACAAGAAGGAAATACAAGCCTTCACTCATTCCAGGGCAAACATTCTGAAACTAAATGATTTACATGGAAATAGGCAAAGGTTACATTCACATATTTCATAGCCTTCTCACCAACTTTAGTCAAACCTCTGAAGTTTACAGAAATCCTTAGCCTTTCTGTATCCTATATGAGTATATATGAGATAAGCATTTTGATAACTTTTGAGGTCATGAAGTTGGATCTCTGTATATGAGAGATTTACCCATTTACCCAAATATATATATCCCCAAATATATATATATCCCCCAAATATATATGTATATCCCCGAAATATATATATAATCCCAAGTGTATGTGTGTGTGTGTGTGTATATATATATATATATATATATATAAGAAATCATTTTAGATGTAGAAATTAGGAAAAATGAACTATCCAACAAATAATACCTTGAATGTCCTTTGATATAAATTATTACTAAATGCCAATTAATCAAGGATACTTGTCTTGGCAAAATCTCCCGCCATTGAAAACTGGGGTGTGGCATTTCTAAGGATAAAAAAAGCACAAGTTTCTACTCAAATCCCAGAATGACCAAGTGGAATGCATACTCAAATAGTACCTTGGGGTGGAACGATTGTGAGAATGAAAAACACACCTCTAAGAAAAGTATTAAGGTGACTTTGGGGAGAACTCAAAAATAAAAGGTTAATTTAATTCTCTATTACTTTGTCAGATCAGAATATGTACATTTGCTAAGGGAAGCTGTTTATGTTCAAGATACAGTTCTGGTTTCATAAATATGGAAGTGTCACTTGTCAGTTCAAAAGTCCCAGCATCAGTATGGTAACATCTTGATGTATGTACATTCAACACAGGGAGATGAATTAGATGTTGGCTAATTCACCCAAGGAAAAACAGATTTTGAGTTTACTTTTTTAGACATGACACTTTTAGGAAGTGACCTTAGATGAGACCCATTGCTTCAAATAAGGAATTTCTGAGCAATCAATCCCAAGATAGATGGCATCTGAGAACAATTGTGTCCATTGATACACACGCACAAATGACCTCACCACCATCTTCCACAGACTGGTCTGTGCCTCCAGGAATTCCTTTTTTTCCTTTTCTCAGGCACAAGTCTAAGCAATTTAAGGGAGCTACAGTCCAATAGTTTGTCTCCTATTTCCCCCCACCTTTTTTTTTTGATGGATAAAGAGCTGTAAACAAGAAGAATTCTTACCCCGTGGTGCTTCAGTTGGAATACATTTACAAAATTAACTTTGAAAAAAATTGGAGTTGATTAGTTATATTAGATATTCTGTCAACAAATCCAACTCATCCTAATCACTTATAATTAACACTGATGTCTGATGAGAGGTACACGTAAAAGTAGCAAGTCGACGTGCTAAACTGCTCCTCTAGGGGATTGGGTAAAGTCTGCTCATTATCTTCAACTTGGAAAAGAAGTGTATTTGCTTGCTTTGGCCAAACTGGCAAAAGAAACATATGCCCAGCCTCTAATGGATAGAAGGCTGTTTTGTGAACATTTAGCAAGCTTGGCAGGCAGGTTTTTGTTTTCTCCAGGAAAAGGATGTGAATTCTGGAATCCTGGCACTTTAGCAAAGTCAAATGCCAACCTAACCCATACTTTCCATTATGGTTTTTCAGCCCAAGAATATTAGAGAACATCTCTAAGCAAGGGCAGCAATAATTAAATTAACATCCTTGTATGGCCTAAAATAATCCACTGGATGATACAAATGAAGCAGAGCTGCTCATTGCATTATACCAGACACATTATCCAGATTGGCAAGAAGGGAGCTTCTGGGATGCTTTGCTCTTCACCAGCATGCACCCAGACCATCTAAGCAGACCGAACTCCCCACAACTCTTTCAACTTTCTCGGCAGGAATAAATGTTGCTTTTGCTCTAACTCATATTTGTCATTACTTTACAAAACAGATTTTTTTTTCTTTTAGTCACTGAATTCCTTGTAGTTCTGCTGCAAATAAGGGAGAGAAAGAGAATCTAGTATTATAATTAGCGTCTGTAGATTCATCAGGGCTTCAACCTTTCCTTCCAATCAGTCCTGTTACCCTCAGAACAGAGTTCTCTCTCACACTCGAATTTTCCATCTTTCCTTTTAAACGACTTAGTTTTCATCAGCCTGCAAACATGCAAATCTTTTCATTCTAAACTCACCTTCCTCAACTTTATTATCCACTTATTTCTTAATTCTTGGGATCGAATTTCCACCCTTTGTTCTACTAGAATTTCTCTCTCCACAACCCTGCCTCCCTGATCTAAAGACCCTGTCCTCATTCTTAGAGCCTTCTCTGGTGTATTGGACTGTGCTGATCATGCTTGCTTGACTGCCTCCTCCCTGAGTGCTAGCAACACTAATTCTCTGAATTTTCTCATCAACCTCTTGAGTTTATCTTCTTCTTCCTCTTAAATATAAATGTATCCGTAATGTGTCACAATAGCCCTTTGTCCTTCTTTCTCTTTTCTGACAATCTCTTTTATTTCTAAAGGTGATATTAAATACAGTAAGACATTCTTCTGCAAAGGGCTAACTTGTTTAAGTTTCCTTGTCCTTTGTTCCCTGCTTTCAAGGCCAGATTCCCTTACTCTCTGTGTTCCCTTGCCCTGGGAAACAACCTACCACTCGGTCTTTATCTATAGAGCCCACATTCCACATCTGCCACTCACTCTGTAAATTACCCCTCCCATCGCAATGCCCCCTCGACCCTGCCCGCCCTGCCAAAACTGTTTTCTCGCCAGTGTAACTGCATCCCTGCACTTCTCAAGTTAGCCAACCGGGTTCAGCTTAGATCGTGCAGTCCAACTCTAGCCAATGGAAACAGGACACAGCAGTAGGAGCCCAATGCATTAAAGATAAAGCCGCTGCTTTCCTTTGTTCAGAGTGCTCTTATGGTGACCAAACTGATGAGCAGCACCCTTCTGCAGAAGTAAACTTCGCCTTGCTAAGAAATCAACTATCAGAGTGTTCATTTCATTTGTGACTTCGAGCTTTATTTCTAACAGGTGACCACTAAAACAAATGCTAATTTGCATACTCCCTGGGGCCCATGGTGGAGCAGAGGCAGTAATGTCCAGAAGAGTTGATGTTACTTGACTATAACTAATATTAAAACATATTCTCATATTAAGCCAAACAAATATAAATATCCACTCGTATATTTAAGAGCTTTTCAGCTAATGGAATGTTTATCAGGCTCATTTGTAAAACAAAGTTAAGACACCAACACATATATATTGAATAATAAAATGAAAAAATGAATTCTTAGATGAAGCATAAACTTTCCAAGAAAATCTGCCTTTTACGCCCCGTCTCTCCCCTCCCCAAACAGCTCTTTCACATTTTCAGTATCTTCATGGGCAGTTCCATCTGCAGCTCTCATGGGAACCTCATCCTCCTGATTGAAAACTGACTTCTCATCTCCTCCCAAAGTTGTTTCTATTCACAGGGATCCTATCAGGAGTGCCACCAGTCTGATAGTGATAGTGACCCCATCTCAAAATCTTACTTACATTATCGTGACTCCTCACTCTGGTTGCTGCATCCAAGCAGTTGCCAAGCCTGCAAATTCATGACCACCCTTTTATCACTTTTCTTATCTTCATTCCTACCTTTGTTGCCCTTCTTCTAGTTCCTACCTCCCTACTTTGAGTATTGCAACAGCGTCCCAAATGATGCATCTCCTTTTCACCATCCCCATGTATGATACACACCTCTGCCATAGTCATCATTTTTACTCTCAAAAATTTCCTATGATTCACAAAATCAATTGCATCAGATGGAACTCCTTAGCCCAACACACAGTCTTCCCCAGAATAGTCATATCTTATGTTACCTTTCTCTGCTTTTATCCTCCAAAGTTCTTACATTCTCCCCAAAAATAAATAAATAAATGTTCCTTCAAGCCTTATGTCAACATTAGCGTTTTTCCTATGCATGGGGAAAAAAACAAAGTGAGGGTTTGCAGAGTTAACTGCACGAGCATCTCAACAGGCCAAGTTTAGTTCTTAAATCTATTGTGCCCTCCTTTACCAAAGAGGGTGTACGCTGCCAGCATGATGGTGTGTGTTAGGCAGGGGATGTCATCTGCTGCAGAGGCAGAGAGGTTTAATTTCACTTTAACTGTTCCTCTCTTCCCATGTACAGCACTGCTGCCAGTCCCTTGGGCCTATTGGATTTCCATGTATGTGTATTTCTTTGCTTCTATGTGATCTCAGCAGGGATAAATGAACCTAAGATATTAAAATGTAATTTGTTCAGATCTTTGCCTTCAGGGTGAGCACTAAGATGCTGCCATCAGCCAGAAAATTTGTGATCTAATTTAGAAGCAGTGAGCCATGCTGTCTTTTCTGAGAGGCTTCAGAAAGCTGCACTGGGTCCCCACTTTTCAATGGTTTTGTGAAAGATTTTCTTTCAAGCTGTAAACAATGTTGATTTTTTTTTCTCCACTTTACCATTCCAAGAAAGATTCACTTAGTAAAAGCAGGGAGGAGGAACTACACCTGCTAGCTGTCACTCTGTTGAAATGCCATATTATGCAAGTGACTTACTGTTAATCTCTCAGATTCTCCTCTATCCAAAACCCCACCCTGACCCATTTTGTTTACAGAGAAGAGTGACGTATTTATTTTTTTAAATGTCCTGCAGACTTATATGAAGACAGAACTAACCAGAATTGTAGAGAAACTTATCAACCAGTACTCCAACAAAAACACAAAGTGAAAGGAAAAAAAAGTCAAAGAAATAGATATAGTGATGTCCCTGGTCCCTAAAATGAAGGCAAGATGGCATGACTATGCACCTGACCCAGACTTTTGGGAGGAACTCTGTCCCTGACTCTTACAGATCGAGCTCTGTGCTCAGCAGTGAATTGGCTTAAGCAAATAATTCTTTTTTTCTTCTAAAAAAAAATAAATAAAATAAATAAATAAATAAATAAACGGGATGTATGTGCAGAACGTGCAGGTTTGTTACATAGGTATGCATGTGCCATGGTGGTTTGCTGCACCTATTGACCTGTCCTCTAGTTCCCTCCCTTCACCTCTCACCCTCCACCCCCCAACAGGCCCTGGTGTGTGTTGTTCCCCTCTCTGTGTCCATGTGTTCACATTGTTCAGCTCCCACTTATAAGTGAGAACATGGCGGTGTTTGGTTTTCTGTTCCTGTGTTAGTTTGCTGAGAATGATGGCTTCCAGCGTCATCCATGTCCCTGTAAAGGACATGATCTCATTCCTTGTTATGACAGCATAGCATTCCATGGTGTATATGTACCACATTTTCTTTATCCAGTCTATCATTGATGGGCACTTGGGTTGGTTCCATGTCTTTGCTATTGTAAATAGTGCTGCAATAACATACGTGTGACTGTGTCTTTTTTTTTTTTTTTTTTTTCTTTTGAGACGGAGTCTCGCTCTTTCGCCCAGGCCGGACTGCAGTGGTGCGATCTCGGCTCACTGCAAGCTCCGCCTCCCGGGTTCATGCCATTCTTCTGCCTCAGCCTCCTGAGTAGCTGGGACTACAGGCTCCCACCACTGCGCCCGACTAATTTTTTGTATTTTTAGTAGAGACGGGGTTTCACCGTGTTAGCCAGGATGGTCTCGATCTCCTGACCTCATGATTCGCCCACCTTGGCCTCCCAAAGTGCTGGGATTACAGGCGTGAGCCACGGCGCCTGGCCGCATGTGTCTTTATAGTAGAATGATTTATAATCTTTTGAGTATATACCCAGTAATGGGATTAGTCAGTCAAATGGTATTTCTGGTTCTAGATCCTTGAGGAATCGCCACACTGTCTTCCACAATGGTTGAACTAATTTACATTCTCACCAACGGTATAAAAGCGTTCCTATTTCTCCACAGCCTCTCCTTCATCTATTGTTTCCTGACTTTTTAATAATTGCCATTCTGCCTGGCATGAGATAGTATCTCCTCGTAGTTTTGATTTGCATTTCTCTGATTATCAGTGATGTTGAGCTTTCTTTTATATGTTTGTTGGCTGCATAAATGTCTTCTTTTGAGAAGTGTCTGTTCATATCCTTTGCCCACTTTTTGATGGCATTGTTTGTTTGTTTTTTTTTTCCTAGTAAATTTGTTTAAGTTCCTTGTAAATTCTGGATATCAGACTTTTTGCAGATAAGTAAATTGCAAAAATTTTCTCCCATTCTGTAGGTTGCCTGTTCACTCTGATGATAGTTTCTTTTTTAAGCAAAGAATTCTAAGTTGACAGTTTTCATCCTCTAAAAGATTTCTTACCAAAGTATCATTAGGTTAAAATCTTCAGTACCACCATTAAACCAAAATCAAAGAAAGATTTTGTTTTGCTTATAGATAAATTTATGAATTTTAGTTCTTCTCCTCTCAGCTAAAAACAGGTTGTTATTGTTAGTTGATTTGTTACTCATTTTTCTTTGATTTCTCAGAAAAAGAAAACCTAATGCTGGGCTACAAAAAGTATATATGAGGTAAAAATTCTAGACTTCTTTTTATCTCTGTGGCATAGTTAGGATAGAAGTAGAAGACACTGGACATGATTTTGCTTAAAAGAATTTAGCACACTGAACAGTTGGATTAAATCCAATTTAAGAAAGAATCAGCTATAGAGAAATGAGTTGCTGAACATCCTAGAAAGAATCTGAGAGGTTTAGCATCCTTTGGCGATGGAAAATTTCCTAATACTCTCCTCCAAGAAAACAGAAAAAGGGAAGGTTTTAACTTCATAAATGAAATTTAACTCAAGATGACTGCCATTTTATTTTTACCTGGCCTAATAGGCACATACCCAGAGAGACAAAGAAAGTAAATAAGAAATGTATCCACATTAACTTCAGAGTAATTTAATAGCAAAATGCTAGCCTAGCAGTTCAAACTCAAATGAAGTTGGCATTTCCTTTACTTATTTCTGACAATTTTTCAAAATACAGCTTCTCCCAAATTAGATGTAGGAGAACAGAAAGCACTAGACTTCTCAAGCCTTTAGCTTAAAAGCAACAGAGTCATAAGTTCATTGGTTGCTGCAGACACCAGTGGAATGTCTTTTGTAAATATCTATTGGCTGACAGCTTTTTAACACTGCAACTAAAAGGGATCTGAGATTTTTAAAATAAGATGTTACTTTGCAATGCAGAAGGTAAATCTGACAGAAAGCAAATAATATTCTCAGCAAATGCAGTAGTGCAATGGACTAGCAAACGTATTAGCAAGTTAAAAAAAAAAAAAGTGTTTGAGGGCCCAGGAGCTTCACCTTTAGTAAATGACGCAAGACATAGACATACCCTTTAAAATTATGTTCACCTTAAAACCTCAGGTTTCGTCCAACACTCAGTCTCAATTCCTTACTGCAAAAAAACAATGTGACTTGAAAGACACAGTAACGGCCCTACACTACAAAGTGACATGTTTTAACCCAACAACCTAACTTTAAAGAGGAGGATCATGGTAGGGATATTTTCAAAAGATCTTAAATCAGAGCTCGAAATATATGTATCTTTTCTTTCTAAATCCAGCATACTATAATGTTCTCCTTCCTTTAAAATAACAAAGATTTTGTGCAGAATAGCAGAACAACTTTGCAAGCTTGATTAAAAGGCATATCAATTTCTAGGAATAGGTTTTATTTTTCAATCACATTTTCCTCTTCAAAAACCTTTATTAGAGTCTCAACTCTGTGTTCTGACCACATAATTTAGCAGAATGCTGCACTTCCCTAAGCCTATTTTCATCATTCAGTCGATTGTTCATCATGAATATAAATATAATCCATAGGCTTCAACAAAATGTGGTATACTTTTAGGACTACCTTAAAATAAAAGTTGTATAAATTGTCACTGAAAATTACACAGCCACATTACCTGTATTTCAAATTGTACTGATTACGTCTTTCATATACCCAACCCATTCAACAGAGATAATTAGATACCATAGGAAGCTCTAACATTATAAAATCAAAGAACTTAAGTCTCATTGTAAGCTGTGCCAACCAGGTCTGTGTTCCTAATGTTTATAAGGCATGGATGCCACCTACTGGCAAGCCTTAAAGATTGCAACATCTGACAAAAAGCCCTGACTTCATCCTTGCAACCATGTCAAAGTGTTCTATAGCCGAAATGCACCCGTTGTTAGGTGTACAGCTTGCCACTCTGGCTGTTAATATTTTTGTAAGGAGACCACACCAAAATAGTTTTGGCTTTTGTCATTATATCTCACATTGTAAATTCATCATATATGTATATAAATACATATGTTTGTTCATATATGTTTGGTTCACATTTTTTTTTAGAGACTATCCTCCTCTACTAGAATGTAATCTCAAGACCAGCAACATTCTACTGAACCTAGAACAGCGCCTGGCACTTTGTGAATATTCATCGTATAGTTGAATAAAAGAATAAATGAGCAGAATAATAATACGGTTTTAAGATAATAACGTATATTGGCTAGTAGCCAAAATTTCAAAAACAAAAAGACGTGAATCGAAACTGTGGCTCCCTTTTCTGTCTTCTATGACTTGGATTTTTGCCATATTTCTTAATTTCTTTAAGCGTTAGATTGCTCATCTACCAAATAGGCATAACATCAAGGTAGTTCAGACAATTGAAAGCACAAATATTTATACAGTATTTGGCACAGAGTAAGTGCATAATACTAAATATGATGATAATTATTATTCAATTTCACAATCTTGGGAATATAAAGTAGTACAGCCATTATGGAAAATAGTATGAAGTTTTCTCAAAAAACTACAAATAGAACTACTATGTAATTCAACACTCTCACTGATGGGTATATACTTTTTAAAAATCTATATATCAAGGATGGGCACGGTGGCTCATGTCTGTAATCCCAGCACTTTGGGAGCCAAAGGTGGGCGGGTCACTTAAGTCCAGGAGTTCAAGACCAGCCTGGGCAATATGGCAAAATCCCATTTCTACAAAAAATACAAAAAATTAGCCAGGCATGGTGGTGCATGCCTGTAGTCCCACTTACTCAGGAGGCTGATGTGGGAGGGTTGATTGAGCCCGGGAGGCATAGGTTACAGTGAGCCATGATCACACCACTGCATTCCAGCCTGGGCAACAGAGCGAGACCCTGTCTCGAAAAAAAAAAATCAGTATATCAAAAATATATTTGCATTTTCACATTTATTGCAGCACTATTCACGATAACCAAAATACAGAATGACCCTAAGTGTCCATCAACAGATGAATGGATAAAGAAAATGTGGTGTACCCACATGTTCTCACTCATAAGTGGGAGTTGAACAATGAGAACACATGGACACAGGGAGGGGAACAGTACGTACTGGGGCTTGCCATGGGGTGGGAGACAAGGAGAGGGAGAGCATTAGGACAAATACCTAATGCATGTGGAGCTTAAAACCTAGATGACGGGTTGATAGGTGCAGCAAACCACCATGGCACATGTATACCTATGTAACAAAGCTGCACATTCTGCACATGCATCCCAGAACTTAAAGTAAAATAAAAAATAAAAATAAACAAATGAAAAAAGAAAAAGAAAATGTGGTATACATACATGGTGGAATACTATTCAATCATAAAAAGGAATGAAATTCTGTCATTTGTAGCAACATGGATAGAACTGGAGCTCATTACGCTAGGTGAAATAAGCTAAGAACAGAAAGATAAATATCACATGTTCTCACTTCTATGTGGGAGCTAAAAAAAGTGGATCTCATGGAGGTAGACAGGGTTATTACCAGAGGCTGGGGGAAGGAAAGGGAGTAGGGAATGAAGAGGAGTTGGCTAATGGGTATAAAAATACAGCTAAATAGAAAGAATAAGTGATAATATTTGATGGTACAGTAGGGAAATTATAGTTAACAATAATTTATTGTATATTTCAAAATAGCTAGAATTGTAATGTTCTCAACACAAAAAAAGATAAATGTTTGAGATGATGAATGTCTCCATTACCCTGATTTGCTCATTACATATTAGATACATGTATCAAAATATCACTTGTATCCCCAAAATACGTACGACTATGATATATCGGTTGACAAACACAATAAATAAATAAAGTTTACAAGCTAAACACAAATGAGTTTTCTCAGAAACTTAGAGACATTAAGGAGCTTTATTATCAGGATGCGTGTCGAGAGCTCTTCCTTCTCCATCATCCTTGTCCTCATCTCCCAGTCTACATCTAATTTACAAAATCCTCCAATTCCACTACTCAGCCATAAAAAATAATGAAATCCTGTCTTTTGCAGCAATGTGGATGGAACTGCAAGGGAAACAAGTTAAATCTTAAGGAAACAAGTTAAATACTTCATGTTCTTATTTATAAGTTGGAGGTAAACTACATGTACACATGAACATACAAAGTGGAATAGACATTGGAGACTCCAAACGGTTGGAGGGTTGAAGGGGAAAGAGGAATGAGAAATGACATATAATTTCTCTATTATATATAACAGAAATTACACTATTTGGGTGATGGTAACACTGAAAGTTCAGATTTTGCCACTACACAATATATCCATTTAATAAAATGCACCTGTATCCCTTAAATCTATAAAAATTTTAAAAAACCTAAATCCTGCAGTTCCACCAAGTACTGGCTCTGAGTTGTTGTCCATAAAGCTTCAGCATTCAGAGAGTAACAGGTCCTTGGGGTTGTTAGCAGTTGTGGTGTGATATTTGAGTCACTATTCTAAAAATCTCTAACCACACTCTGAAGCACTTGGATAGTTCAGACCTCTCTGGAGGGTTTTGCAAGGGTTTTAATTTATATTACAGCTGATATTACATTTTGTTGCCTGCCAGGGAACCATTTTGTACTTCCAGGAAAATATCTACCCACAAGTGTTTCTGTTAGAATATTAGGCAAGCAACAGAACACCCATTGAAACTGACTTACACATTAAAGAGTCCTACTGTCTCATGTAAAATGAAGTCCTTTGGTAGTTTTGTTGCTAATCTGGCAGCATAAAAATATCAAGAAAAGCCTATGTTCTTTTCTCGTCATGCTCTGCTATCCACATTGTTGTTTCATCTTTAGGCTGGCTCTTTCTGTGTCTTTAGAATGTTTGCAGTAGAAATCTGTACTCACAGTGTTCTCATTCACATTCAGTGGGAGGGAGACAGAATGGTTCCCAGAAAGATCCTAGAGGAGAAAGGAGGATCTTTCCTATAAAGCCCTGACAAACCATTTCTCTCAACTCATTGGTCAAAATACTAAAACACCTCTTTTCTTGAATGGGCTGACTCTTAAGATTAAACTCATTGGCTTAGAGTCTTAGAAGATCCATCCCTGGAGACAAATGAGGTCAGCTTCCTCTGAGCCCCATGGGCTGCATGAAGGAGGGGAGGAGACCTGAATGAAATCCACGTATGTTAAAAAGGACATAATAGAGGGAGGACAGCTAAAATCTCCTATGCTAATGAGTGCATATAAATATAGTTGTCTGGTCTGAGAAAACAAACATCAGTACATTGAATTGTTCCTGATTTTTCTTTTAAAAGTCCCTAAAATAACTTCTTAAGGGAATACTTTCTAACAGTCCACATACAAAGAATCCAAGCCGAGCACGGTGGCTCACGCCTGTAATCCCAACACTATGGGAGGCCTAGGCAGGCAGATCACCTGAGGTCAGGAAATCGAGACCAGCCTGGCCAACATGGCAAAACCCCGTCTCTACTAAAAGTACAAAAATGAGCCGGCCGTGGTGGTGCATGCCTGTAATCCCAGCTACTAAGGAGGCTGAGGCAGAAGAATTGCTTGAACCCAGGAGGCAGAGGTTTTGGTGAGCTGAGATTGTGCCACCGCACTGCAGCCTGGGCAACAAGAGAGAGACTCCATCTCAAAAAAAAAAAAAAAAGAATCCAATATGCTTCAACAGAAATGTTACATGCTTAGGTCTATATTAACCTAAAACTTTCACTAAACATGATACAAATTTAACAACAGGTAGGCCAGGCTGCGGTGGCTCACACCCGTAATCCCAGAACTCTGGGAAGCCCAGGCAGGAGGACTGCTTGAGCCCAGGAGTTTGAAGCTGCAGTGAGCTATGACCACACCTCTGAACTCCAGCCTGGGCAACACAGTAAGAGCCTGTCTCAAATATATATGTATATACACACATACATATATATATATATATATACACACACACACACATATATATACACATACATATATGTACACACACACACACATATATATACACGCACATATATTTATATGACAACAGGAACATACAGTAAAACTCTCTCAATGTCTATCGTTTCTCTGGGTCTCAGTTTCCCCACCTATTAAACACAAGACAAAATCAATGGGTTCAAAGACCTTTCCCAACTTTACATTTTTGTCTGTGAATCCATGTGCACCTACATCACCAAGTGAATACACATAACAATTTGCACATGTTTTTATTCATCATTATATATAATCTCCTATTATATAGACTTTACTAGGTAAAGAGCTGACGAAGACAAATATAAGGGTGAGGCAAGTTCCTGCCTTCCAGAGCCTTCACTGGGGAGAAAAGGCAGATATAAGAAAAAGTCGGAAAATAGGGCAGCAGCTGTGATAATTGGCAAGCCACATGTAGAGGAATGAAACTGGATCCTCATCTCTCACCTCATACAAAAGTCAACTCAAGATGGGTCAAAGACTTAAATCTAAGACCTAAGACTATAGACATCCTAGAAGATAACATTGGAAAAAAATCTTCTGGACATTGGCTTAGGCAAAGACTTCATGAGCAAGAACCCAAAAGCAAACACAAAAAAACAAAGATAAATAGATGGAACTTAATTAAACTAAAAAGTTTTTGCACAGCAAAAGAAATAAACAGCAGAGTAAACAGACAACTCACGGAGTGGGAGAAAATATTTGCAAACCATCTATCTGACAAAAAACTAATATCCAAAATCTACAAGGAACTCAAACAAATAAACAAGAAAAATAAAACAAATAATCCCATCAAAAAATGGGCTAAGGACATGAATAGACAATTCTTCAAAGAATATATACAAATGGACAACAAACTTATGAAAAAATGCACAACATTACTGATTATCAGGGAAATGCAAATCAAAACCACAATATGATACCGTAACCTTACTCCTACAAAAATGGCCATAATCAAAAAATAATAGACATTGGCATGGATGTGGTGAAAAGGGAGCACTTGGACACTGCTGGTAGTGATGTAAACTTGTACAACCACTATGGAAAACAGTATGGAGATTCCTTAAAGAACTAAAAGTAGAACTACAATTTGATCCAGCAACCCCACTGCTGGGTATCTACCCAGAGGAAAAGAAGTCATTGTATGAAAAAGACACTTGCACACGCATGTTTATAGCAGCACAATTCACAATTGCAAAAATATGGAAGCAGCCTAAATGCCCATCAATCAATGAGTGGATAAAGAAAATGTGGTATATATATGCCATGGAATACTACCCAACCATAAAAAGGAATGAAACAATGGCATTCACAGCAACCTGGATGGAGTTGGAGACCATTGTGCTAAGTAACTCAGAAATGGAAAGCCAAACATTGTATGTCCTCACTTATAAGTGGGAGCTAAGCTATAAGCATGCAAAGGCATAAGAATGATATAATGGACTCTCAGCTGGTGTGGTGGCTCATGCCTGTAATCCCAGCACTTTGGGAGGCTTAGTGGGGAGGATCACTTGAGGCCAGGAGTTTGAGACCAGCCTGGAAAACATTGTGAAACCCTGTCTACTAAAAATACAAAAAGTAGCCAGACATGGTGATGAACACCTGTAATCCCAGCTACTTGGGAGGCTGAGGCATGAAAATCTCTTGAACCTGGGAGGTGAAGGCAGCAGATTGCACCACTGCCCTCCAGCCTGGGTGTGACAGAATGAGACTCTGTCTCAAAACAAAAAACAAACCAACAAAAAGAATAATATAATGTTCCCCCCCAAAATTATTGAAATAATAAAATAAAATAAAAGACTTCCCAGAGCTTTAAAAAAAAGAAACAGCTGGGCTGGGTGGTTCACGCCTGTAATCCCAACACTGGGAGGCAGAGGGTAGGGGATCACCTGAGATCAAGACTTCGAGACCAGCCTGGTCAACATGACGAAACCCCGTCTCTACTAAAAATACAAAAATTAGTTGGATGTGATGGCACACGCCTGTACTCCCAGCTGTTAGGGAAGCTGAGGCAGGAGAATTGCTTGAACCTGGGAGGTGGAGGCTGCAGTGAGCCGAGATCACTCCACTGCATTCCAGCCCAGGTGACAGAGCGAGACTCCATCTCAAAAGAAAAGAAAAGAAAGAAAGAAACAGCACAGTTGCTAAGCAACCATAAAGTGGAACAGAGGCGTATTCCTGCAGTAAGGGTGAGGTTCTTCTATAGCTAGAAGAACATGTGTGGCTTAGAACAGGGATCCCCAAACCCCTGTACAGCAGGCCCAGGCCCTGTTAGGAACTGGCCTGTTAGGAACCGGGCCACACAGCAGGAGAGGAGCAGCAGGTGAGCCAGCCAGCCTTACCACCTGAGCTCCAACACCTGTCGGACCAGCAGTGGCATTAGATTCTCACAGGTGCGCGAACCCTACTGTGAACTGCACATGCGAGGGATTTTGGTTGCCCGCTCCTTATGAGAATCTAACTAATGCCTGATGATCTCAGGGGGAACAGTTTCATTCCAAAACCATCCCTTCCCCACAACCCACCCCCCATCCATGGAAAAAATTGTCTTCCATGAAGCCAGTCCCTGGTGCCCAAAAGTTTGGGGACTGCTGGTTTAAAAGATGAAACAGAATGAGGAAGGAGTGATTCAGGAATTGATTTAATTTGCTCATGGGACTGAGAAGACAAGATTGATTGGATGGTGGACAATGTTGATGGTGATGCTTGATGGTGTGATAGCTGCAAGTACCTGTTATTACCGAGCAAAAGGGGCTTGCTGCCTGATGCACTAGAAATGAATACTACGGTACTGGGTTTTTGAGAAAATAAAAGTTTTTATTGTAGGTCAACCAACAAGGAGACAAGAGTGCAGTTCAAATCTGTCTCTCCTTGCTGGCTCTAAGGCAGTCATTTCATTAGAAAAGTTTCAGGGGATGGGTTCTGAGATTACTAGGTGATGGTGGAAGGAAAGGAGAGGTCTAGAAAGTCCTCGGGCATGCACAGTTATCTCTTCATGCTACCTCGTGGAACACATGTGCAAATTCAGGGGGAATTAGTATGAAACATGGTGGAAATTCGGGCTGTGACGTCAGCAAGCTCATTCTGTACAGACTCGGGCTGGCCATATGGCTTCCAACTGATTTCAGCCAGTTTTTTTAAATCTCACAAGTAAAGGGAGTTTCAGCAGCGTTCCCTTAACGGCAATTCAACACGTGACCTACCAAGTGCCAGCACTTTAGCGGCAATATTTCATATAATCTTCACAGTAACTCTAGGAAACAGGTGTTATAATCTACACGTTACCCTCAACTCACTTTGCCCAAGGTAAATAATAATAATTAGTAGTAGTAGTAGTAGTAATGGTACTACTAGTAGTAAATCTGTGACTAAAACACAGTTCCCTGCAACTTCAAAAACCACACATACCTTTGTTCACCACACTACTCTGCATCTTTGAAATGTAGTGGCTTTTCAAAACATCCCAGTGAGCCTGAAAGTCAGGCTACACATCCGTTTATCCATGAGGGCCTACTTAGCAAAACAAAATGTTTATGGCAAGGCTACACCTTTTTTCATGCAAACGACAATAGCTTTATCGATCCAACAGAGGGGTTGGGGAAGGAGGTACTTTCACAAAGTAGATTATCTACTTATCAGAATTATGACAGTGAAAATGATAGGCCAGGTGTGGTGGCTCATGCCTGTAATCCCAGCACTTTAGGAGGCTGATGCATGCTGATCACTCGAGCCCAGGACACCGAGACCAGCCTGGACAACATGGTGAGACCCCCATCTCTACAAAAAATTAGCTGGACAGCGTAGTGTGACTGTGGTCCCAGCTATTCAGGAGGCTAAGGCAGGAGTATCGCTTGATCCCAGAGGGGTCGAGGCTGCAGGAAGCCATGTTCCTGTGCCACTGCACTCCAGCCTGGGTGACAGAGTAAGACCCTGTTTCAAAAAGAAAAAGAAAAAGAAAAAGATAGCATTACCTGTTAGCCAGGGGTCGAGGCTGCAGGAAGCCATGTTCCTGTGCCACTGCACTCCAGCCTGGGTGACAGAGTAAGACCCTGTTTCAAAAAGAAAAAGAAAAAGAAAAAGATAGCATTACCTGTTAGCCACTGAAATGTTAATATCTGGACATATTTGAGAAATAATAACACAGAGTCAGCTTTTAGAATTTTATTTTGTAATTGGATTGAGGGACTCTGTTGGAAAGTGAGAAAGTCCCTGGGTTACTTGCTATTCTGTGTGTGATCATACTGCTGAAAGAAAGAGATAGAGAGAGGCAGGGGAAACCTTGCTCATCTACACAGACACCACGCCTCCACTTCCATCACCTGTAAAGCAGCACTTCCATGGGATATTCAATTCAACCCAGCATATATTAGGAACTCTTATAACGGTTTCTGGGGCCCAGGCATACACCGGTCAGTGTCACCCCAGAGTATGACTATTATATGAAGTACACAAACTCCATCCTCTAGTCTGCCTTGTTCAAACCAAAATGAAGGTCCTGCCACTCTGCTGTAGTTCCCCAGCATACTCCCCAGGAAGTCATGTACCATGACTGCTGAACTTCCTTCACCAGGCACCATTCCCTCCCCTACAATTGTAAAAAAAAAAAAAAAAAAAGAAAAAGGAAAAAAAAAAGCCTTTTGATCTGTGACCTGCATTTAAAAACTGACATCTGGTGGTTAGGGTGGTAATTAGACATCATTTAAAAGTTATTTCTGCCCTGTTAACTGAGTTACTCTGTGATCAGATTATGGGATAATTTAGATGAATTCAGGCATATTGATTGTATAATCTATAATGTGTGTAATTAATAACTACCCCCTAAAAGCTCTGTGTGAGAACTTGTAAGGATTAGCATTAGGCAAAAAGTCAAGGCCTGAATGGCATTTTCTCCTCAATGCCTTTTATTAACTACATATAAAAGGGAAAGCTTTCAAAGGAGATGAAATCAAGATTAAATGCCAGAATTTATTGACATTGTTGCACAACTTACATCCCTAATGGCCGTAGACTGGTGTAACTTGGGAATTCTCTTGCCCTAGGTAATTGAGGTGTCATCTTCTTGGATTGCACATCTTTAAGGGAGGTGACTCTGGCTGCTGGCTTCTCTTTGATAGTTTTACCCATGATTCTCGAGTCACAAATGAGGCTAACCCAGCCAAGGGGGTTGCAATGATACAGGCTGGCCTGTATTTTTTTTTTTTTTTTTTTCTGAGACTAAGTTTTGCTCTTGTTCCCTAGGCTGGAGTGCAATGGCGCGATCTCGGCTCACTGCAACCTCTGCCTCCTGGGTTCAGGCAGTTCTTCTGCTTCAGCGCCCCTGAGTAGCTGGGATTACAGGCACCTGCCACCAAGCCTGGCTAATTTTTGTATTTTTAGTAGAGATGGGAGAGATGGGGTTTCACCATGTTGGCCAGGCTGGTCTAGAACTCCTGACCTCAGGTGATCCACCCGCCTCGGCCTCCCAAAGTGCTGGGATTACAGGTGTGAGCCACTGCGCCCAGCCATGCTGGTCTGTCTTGAAATGAGCTGATGCCAGCAGTGTAGTTAGAATAAGCTGTTTCTACTTATGCCCAAATAACAACAACAAAGGTTGTTTTACTTTGGTTGTGGTAAAAGTGACAAGGGTCAGATTTCCGTATTCTTGAATCTTATCCCACTGTTTACAGCCACACCAGGTCATCTAAAATATGCACGCATATACACACAAACATTATTTATTATTAACTAAAATATCTGCCCCAAACTCCTTTCTCTTCTTCTACCTTGTAAGCTGGGTGGAGCATCTGTGAGACAAAAGGACATCTTGATCTGTTCTGTAGGCAAACTTAAGACATTCATTCAATGGCTCCTTTGTCTTGGCTCACCTTGGTGTTACAAGGCCCTCAAAGAACCTGATGGCACCTGAACAGGAGGCATACCAAGAAGTGAAGACAGCAGACCTCGTTTAAAAGAAAGAGAAAGAGACGGCATTCACTCAAAGAGAAGGGTCTGCCTTCCCCATTGGTATATTCGAGGAAATGTGATCATGTTTCGTATTTACACATGGGCTGGTTGGGCACCTTCATCAATTTATCATCCTTTTTCTCCACCCATGAATGCACCCCTTGGTGGGATGGTGACTTAATGATAGCAGTTTGTATTTGTTGAGCTCAGCACTCTGCTACGTGTTCTACATGCACTGTTTTACGGTCAGGTAAGTGCCAACACAATCGTCAACTTACGGATAAGGAGCAGAATAATGGAAAGGTTCAGTAATCGATCCCAAATCCACAGCTGGGAGGTAGTAGAGCCAGGATGTGAACTGCCAGTCCTGTCTGACCCCCAAGCATGTGTCTGAACTCCTCAATTTCCCCCATCTAGCTATGTGTTTCCCAAAAAATCCCATTCCTCCTTGACATATGTCAGAGTTCTTCCTCCTTAGAGGTAAAATGGGGGAGAGATAAGGCATAAGGAAAAGAAAGACATTGACAACATGGAAAAAAAAAAAAAAAAAAGACCAGATCTTAAAAAGAAAAACTGGCCACGAGAAATTTTCATTGGTGAGAGAAGCCCAGAGATCTTTAAAATAAAGATGGCTACTCTTCCATTTTAAATTGTTTCCCATGCAGTGTTCTATTCTGAGATCTCCCTGCTGTATTAGTCAGCTAGAGCTGCCATAACAGATTACCACAGACTGAGTGGCTTAAACAACACAAATCTGGAGTCCAGAAGCCTAAGATCAAGGTGTTGGCAAGGTGGGTTTCTTCTGGGACCTCTCTCCTTGGCTTGGAGATGGCTTTTTCCTGGGTCTCCACATGTTCTTTTTCTCTGTGTGTCCATGTCCAAATCTCCCCTTCTTATAAGGACACATGTCATATTGAATTAGGGCCCATCTCAATTATTTCATTTAACTTTAATTACCTCTTTAAAGACCCTTATCTCTCAATGCGGTCTCATTCTGGGGTACTGAAGATTAAAACATAAACACATGAATTTGGGGTTAGGGGAATATGCAATTCAACTTCTAGCACCACCACCCACCCGCCCACACACATACACACACTTTATGCCAGACTTTCAGTAAAAATCTGCAAGATACACTGTCTTGGGTAAAAGAAATTGGTGGAAAATTAAAGACAAAGTTGTCTTCCATATATGGAATTAATGACAAAAATAGAAAAGGAAAAAAAATGGCCAGGAGGTGAGATGCAAACAGGGAATAAGAATTTAACAGAAGCAGGAAATCAAGGTTAGGAAAGCAAAGAAAAATGTGCCAGGAACAGTTTAACCCTACCCCCACCACAGAGATACTAGGATTCCCAACCAGATGTGGATTTGGCCTTGAGTGTATTTTGTTTTGTTTGTTGTGACTATTAAATGAATGATAAATCCTAAATCCTGGACATCTTTGGGTGACATGGTGATAACTGGTATGGCAATTTTTCAGTGAATTACCATTAAATCCCAGCCTATCTAATCACAGGTCATGCAACTCATTGCGGTAGAAATGTAGTCCAAATATTCATCTCTTGATTCCCAGCCCAGTTTACCATCCCTCATCATTAAAACAGAACTAGAGAGGATGACAAGGGCTAGAGGTGAAAACAACAGTGGGCCTCTCCTTGGATCCAAGGCAGCACAATGATTCAAAATCAAATGTGTGGCTGCCCAGGAGAGAAATTCAGGTGACTCACAGACGCTCTTTGACTCAGTCCTGTGTAATGGAATTTCAAAACAGGAATAACATTATTACACCTTCCAGCAATTCACAGCCAATATTTGCAATTAAAAATCACCGGGTTCTAGCCTTAAATAAGGCTGTTGAAGAACTTATGCTAATAAATGGCTCTCCTTCGCACTTACAAAATTATTCTAAGCCATTGGGAAAGGTCACTTCTGCTAACAGTGTACAAAAAAAAGATCTTCCCTTTGGTTCTAATTCTGGGTGAATGGCATGCCTGTGGGGCTGACTGACAGGACCCTGTGCCAGCATGGTGCCACATGCCAGCTGGTCAGTACAGCCAAGGAGCATACGTATGCTGGGCCCTGTATCAGCAGTCTCAGCTGGTCACTGACAAGGCAACCATGCTGAAGACATATTTTGCAATTTGGTCACACTAAAATTTGATTGCGTGTGTATGTGTGAGTCCATGTATGTTTAATGATATGAATCAATACAGTTTATTGGCAATTGTTTTTCAGACTGACAATAAGCAACACAAAAGCTCAAATAAATTGTTTCTCATCTCTTTGGAATCATGTGGAGCAAACAGGTGTAAAAAAGGAAAAGGAAAAACAGCCAAAAAAAGAGGACAGGTAAATGAGACATTTTACAGTACATTAAGGTGTGAGGCTGGCACTGCATTCTTACTAAAATACACACACACACAAATTGGGGCCTTATAGAGGAAAGAAAATAAATTTAATCTCCAGCTCGCCCAATGCAAATTCAAGGCATTCCATTCTTACTGTTCACTCCCAAAAGCTACAATCTGGCCAGTAGGACAAGAATTATGCAGGCATAAAAATATGGAGCAAAAATAAGGGAAGAAAATGGGTCCCTGAAAACCTTAAAGAAATGAAATATACTTTAAGAAATATTGGAGGGGTCTGGAAGCAGACACTGGAACAGCAACCAAATCAGTGTTCAGGTATCCAGGAAGCTGTTTGGGGTGGGAGGGAGTAAGGCTTACGAGGGCGGCCTGACCCCCAGGACGCCACGGGTCGAGTCGAGGAGTTAATGCAGGATGTTGCTGACCAGCAAGAACTTGCAGAGGAGATTTTAACAACGATTTCAAGACCTGCAGGGTCTGGAAGAGTTTGACAAGAATGAGCTCATAGCGGAATTAGAAGAACTCATCTCACTTCAAAGCCATAGGGCTGCATCACTGCTTCCTCTACAGAGTCTGCACAGGGGAGGGGAAAACTGGCCGGGGCAGGGGGCAGTAAGCAGAGCAGCAGATGCCTGCTGTTTATGATGTTGAATTATATAAAATAAACTGTATTTGCAAATCCAACATTTAGCTTCTGGGCTAGATATCATAACTTCACTGCTGAATCCTCAATGGAAAGAGCCACTTGTTTGCACTTGAAGGTGTCTGAAAATGTCATCTCTGTCCTTTTAAGACAGGCAACTTGTTCCACGTTTCTCTGTCAGACTTGTATGGTACTGGAAGAAAAGCCATTTTTTAAAAGTCATAGACCTTCCCTTGTCCTTAGCTGTAATAATACATCTGATTTTGGTTTCCTAAAGAGTTGTATTTCTCTTCAACCCTGTATGTACCTCTCTTGCCCACTCCTCATTCCCACTCCACTGGTCTTTCGGAGTTTGTGATTCTTATTTGAAATTGACAATATTCTCTTGAGAGCAAGTAAGATTGTTAGAATTAAATTGCAGCCATAGAGTTTTTAAATATAATTCTAAGGTCCTTGAGGCTGTTTGTAGTAACTGCTAGATAACTTGTTGGAAACATGTGCACACATTTGTATTCAAATGAAATTATAGTTTGCACTATCATCTATTAAATATCTTGATTAATTTTTTAAGAAAAGGAAAATATTGGAAAACCCCAAAAAGCAATTTTATTTTGTTTATTTATTTATTTATTTTGAGACGGAGTCTCGCTCTATTGCCCAGGCTGGAGTACAGTGGCTCAATCTCGGCTCACTGCAACCTCTGCCTCCCAGGTTCAGGTGATTCTCCTGCCTCAGCCTCCCGAGCAGCTGGGATTACAGACACATGCCACCATGCCTGGCTATTTTTTTTATTTTTGGTAAAGACAGGGTTTCACCATGTTGGCCAGGCTGGTCTTGAACTCCTTACCTCAAGTGATCTGCCTGCCTCAGCTTCCCAAAGTGCTGGGATTACAGGTATGAGCCACCATGCCTGGCCCAGATAGCAATTTTTAAAAACTTAGATGCATAATAGCAAAACGGAGAGTCATGTGGCTAATCAGCATGCTTCCATAAACACAAAGAATTCCAAAGATGATAATCCTGACACCAACATCATCAGTATTAAGGTTCTTCTAGTAATAAGGAATAAATACAAACTCTGGCTAGATTCAGAGAGATACGAGAGGAGAAAGGGGGAGAATGAATTTACTGGAAGGACACTGGAAGGAGTTCGTAAAGCTCTAGGGGCTTGAAGGGTAATTTCCTGTAGAGCATTGATTTTCAACCTTGATTACATAATAGAATCACACGGGTAACTGTAAAAAAAAAGAAAAAAGTAATGCACTGACTCCACTCAGACAAATTACATCAGAATCTCAAGGGGTAGGGCCCTTGAATAAGTATATTTTAAAAGCTTTCCAGCTGATTTTAATGCATAGCCAGGGATTGAGAACTACTCCTCTGGAATGTTAGAATTAACACCCCTCAATCTTTATGACTCCCTGGTCCAATGCTTTTAGCTCAAAATTCCAAAATTCCCAGGAGAGAGATGTAAGTGGCCCAGTTTACATTCATAGGATACCACTGAACAAATTTAGCCACTGCCAAGTAAACAAGGTCATATTGGACCAGACACAGCCGCTGGGAGTCCATGTCTGTGGGTCAGGGCAGGTTGAATTACTGTGAGCTGGGCAGCCACCCAGAAAGTGTCTATTACACCACCCATGGGTGTGATGGGAAGTTTCATGCTTAACCAGTACTCCCTTCTTCTCTGAGAACACACAGATAAAATGACAAGACAGAGTCCAGATTCCAGTAGGGCAGCCCAGGGTGACACCGAAGGGACTGCAGAGATGCTTCGTACACCCCAGCCAGTGAATGAATCCTCCTATGTTCATTCATTCAAACACCAATGTCACCTGGTAAAAGTTCTGGGTTAGAGATAGAAAAGAATGATTTGTAATTACTGTAACAAAGTGTAAGTCTCTGATCTGCTCACCTTGTAAATGTGCAAGAGCAGCTTAAGCAATAAAAGAAAAGCTCTTAAGTACATAAATCTTTCCTAGACGAGCTAGTTTATGCCAATGGTAATTTAACAGGCCGTCTTCTTCCCTAAGTAGTGTCAAGATAAACTTCAATCTGAATTTAGTTCTAACACAAAGTTGGAATTAAAGAAATTCAACCTAACTTTTTTAATGTAATAAATAAACAACTATTCCAGCTGTGACATAGATATTAAAGGGAAACACATTGCGTATGTAGAATAATTTACAAATCGAAAACAGTATATATACTTCAGAACACAAGCAAATGAGAAGTACCTGCAAAGCGTGCAGCACCAGGAGAAATCAAGGTGAGACAGCTGCTGCTTTCAAGACAGCCACCAGTTTGAATGGGTAACCAAACCTACACTCAAAGAGACAGTCAAGTATCTCAAGAGAGCATGCAATTCAGAGTCAGAATGAATGATTCATTGGTAAGGGCCACATGAGTACACCAAAATCCAGAGTAGTTTTGAATCATGAGCCCAGCCCTGGCCCCAGAGGTCTCTCACAGTAGACCATGGAATGGGCTGGTCAATCTCATTAACATCCCACTGGAATCCAAAACACACAAAAGCCTAGGGATCATGAAGGAAAAGCTGTATATTCATACTGCTTTCAGTGTGGTTCGGGAGAAAAGAGAGAAAACAGCAGAGCCCTGAAGTATCAGGTAAAGCATATAAGGGACTGTCACACAATACAGTCATCTTTGTTTGGATTCTTCCATAAGCAGAGCTTGAGACAAGGAATTTGAGTGCAAGTAATTTATTTGATAGGTGAAGGAAAACATGAGTAGGGGCATGGGGACCTGAGACCGGGAGGAGAAGACAGATAATATAGGATGCGTCATCAAGTGGGTTACCCCTATGAGCAATTGGATCTTTTTTTTATTTTTATTTTTTGTATTATACTTTAAGTTCTAGGGTACATATGCACAACGTGCAGGTTTGTTACATAGGTATACATGTGACTTGTTGGTGTGCTGCACCCATTAACTCGTCATTTACATTAGGTATATCTCCTAATGCTATCCCTCCCCCCTCCCCCCACTCCACCACAGGCCCCGGTGTGTGATGTTCCCCATCCTGTGTCCAAGTGTTCTCATTGTTCAATTCCTGCCTATGAGTGAGAACATGCGGTGTTTGGTTTTCTGTCCATGCAATAGTTGAGAAATTGGGTCTTAATGCTGCTAGGGAGAAAAATCTAGGTGAAGAACACACAGTCAGAATGATCCCACCCAGGGTGAGGGATCTAGGGTATGTATACACCAACAGCCATTAGTGATTGGTAGAGGGGTGCTGTAGGGGAAAACAGGAAGGTGTTAATAACCTGGCAATTTGGCCAGGCACGGAGCCTCACGCCTGTAATCCCAGCACTTTGGGAGGCCAAGGAGGGCAGATCACAAAGTCAAGAGACCATCCTAGCCAACATGGTGAAACCCCGTCTCTACTAAAAATACAAAAATCAGCTGGGTGTGGTGGCAGGCGCCTGTAGTCCCAGCTACTCAGGAGGCTGAGGCAGGAGAATCGCTTGAACCTGAGAGGTGGAGGTTGCAGTGAGCCGAGATCACGCCACTGCACTCCAGCCTGGTGACAGAGTGAGACTCCATCTCAAAAAATAATAATAATAATAACCTGGCAATTTAGGTCTGCTGAGCATATAGGTAGATTGGCTCCAGGAGCCAGGAAAAGCTTTCAGTGAATGGGAAGTGAGATTGGCAGTTGACTTCAGCTGGTCTATGATGAAATGGTAAGACTTGAATGGATAGGGTGAGGTCTAACAGCATTTGCTATGATTTCCCACAGTAGAAAGAGCACTAGATTTGACATGAGGATACCTATGTATGAGGCCAAGACCACTAATACCTAGTCCTGGGGATGGCGAGAGAAGCAGATGCAGATGATACATCCTTTACAAATCATAAAGTATAATATGCACACTAACTGTAATTATTAACTAAAAATTTTCAAAACTGAAGGATTATAGCTAGTATGTAGAAAAGGGAGTAGTCCCTAAAGTCACAGTCCTGTGTTCAAGTCCCAGTTCCACCCCTTCTTGACTCCAGGGCCTCATTTCAGTAACTTCACCTCTCCTTACTTATCAAATGAGGGCAATTAATAATACCTACTTCATAGTTCTATTAGGATTAAAAGCACATAAGCATGTAAACCATCTAGGACCATATCTAGCAAATGGTAAGTATCAACTTCATCACCCTTCTTATCATCGTTAAGTAGAAATGTTTGAATGTTACACATAAAGTGAATAGTAATGCAGTAAATTCTATCACAGTTAATTTCTATTGATCTATGTTAAAAGCTAGTGCACGCAATAACAATAAGTGGATGGATGGATGGATGATTGTAAGGCTAGAAGTAGAGACTGTAGAGAGAGTGGTTAAAAATAAAATACTCATTTTATGTTATTCTGTTTTCAGATCACCTAAAAGCAAATGTTCAATATTTTCTACATCGTCCTAGATGCTGGCTGGTAAGGGTTTAAATTACACTAGCAAACAAATACAACCAGGAGGGTACAGTGTCTGTGAAACTAAAACCAATTCCTATTACGGAAAATCATTTTTTATATGTCTGCTTCCCTGCTTTAGTAAACAGAACACAGAGAACATAATTGAATATTTGATGATTGAAAATCTTGCAGTGTCTGTGAGTTCTCATACTGAACATCAGTTCTCATCACACAAGCCTGTAGGTGTACTTGTGGGATGGCAACAGATTACACAGAAACTTTAATGGCCTTGAGAAGCACTCATAAGGCTTCTTTTTCTTTATCTTTATCCTTTAAGAAATAAATAAATATTTGATATCAGTTGGGTAAGGTTTTTGTTTGTAAATTTTTTCCATCTGATTAAGTTTAGGGGAATTTTGTTTGTCTACTGCTCTCTGAATAAGATGAGCTCTCTCTGCCTCTCTGCACACTGAGTCGGGGAAGTTGAGGGGGTCCTTTATCACCTTCCTGAGCACTGTGGGACTAGATACTTTCCTCTACTGGTCTAGACCTAGAGATAAGGTTAGTAAGCCCAGCTTCTCATCCTACAGTAGCATCTCCAGGCATTAATCTGGGGGACTCTTCCAGATGCATTCTGAGTTTTTCAGCAAAGAGTTGTTCATAAAGAGCCAGGCCCACCACCCACCACACATCTCAGCTCTCTCTGGTCTGGCCTCTCTTCCTGTTCTCAGCTCTGCCTATAAGGGCCTTTCCTAAAGTAATGAGGCATCCCAGGATGCACCTGCTCATGACCCGTCCTCTCTCTTCTTTTTTTCTTTTTTTTAATTGTTGTTTTCCTAAGACGGAGTCTTGCTCTGTCGCCCAGGCTGAAGCGCAGTGGCACAATCTCAGCTCACTGCAACCTCCACCTCCCGGGTTCAAGGAATTCTCCTGCCTCAGCCTCCTGAGTAGCTGGGACTACAGGCACCCATCACCACGCCCAGCTAATTTTTGTATTTTTAGTAGAGATGGGGTTTCACCATGTTGACCAGGCTGGTCTCGAACTCCTGACCTCGTGATCCACTCACCTCGGCCTCCCAGAGTGCTGTGATTACAGGCGTGAGCCACTGCTCCTGGCCCTGTCCTCTCCCTTATTATGCCAGCCACATTGAATCCCAGAAGTTATGCTCTGGACATGGGCCTCTCAATGGATGTCAGAGGGAAAAAGTCATGGGGGGAGGATGGAAGATCTAGGGAACATAGTATAATTATTACTGGTTCAGCAGATAATTGTCTTGCAAATAAAAGCCAGTTACCTGATTCATTGACTGGAGAGGTCTCAGAGTCCCAGGTTTAAAGGTGAACATTGACCTTAGTCACCGTTTTCTCGCTCTATAATATTCTGGTTCAGTGAGTGGAGGATATAAAGCCATAGAGTGCTTTTCAAAATCTAACCCCAACCATGTTTCAGTAAAAATACAGTCTGTATAGATTCAACTCTGTTTCCTCCTTGGTTTATAGCTTTTGTGCTAACATTTTTGTAGTCATTTGTGGCTATTTTCATAGGAAGTTTTGAGGAGCGTTATCAGGCATTGCTTTTTAATTACCATACCAACCCAGAAATACCAGAATGAGAAGACTGAAATTCCAGTTACAATAAAAACTGCACATAAAAGTCATCTAACCATTATCTGCAGATATCAAGAACGCAGTAAAATAGTGCTGGATTCTGTGCACTAAAGCTCATGCCCTTGGCTCCTGAGAAAGCCCTCAATGCAGAAACTAACAGTTGTCTAATCCAATAGCTGTGCTTCTTTTCCTCCTCAAACAGCTCAGTTTGTAGTTGGGTACATTATGGCCCAAAATAAAAGATCCATTTTTCATTATCCCCTGCTGCTGAGTGACCATGTGACTAAATCCTGGCCACTAAATTCTAGAAATGTTATATAGGACTTCAGGAAGTTTCCGTAAAAGTGAGGAAGTACACTCTTCTTCTTTCATAATTCCATTCTGCTGCTTGGAATGCAGATGTGGTGGCTGGAGCACCAGCAGCACCTTAAAACATGACGATGAAAGTTTCATGCCAGAGATAACAGAGCAGACAGCTGGAAGGAGCCTGGGTCACTGATAAATTTCTTGAGTCCCTATTCCAATCTTATATTTCTGATTAACAAACCACCTAAAATGTAGTGGCATAAAACAATAGCAATCATTTACTGTAATTCTCTCTCATAATTCCAAGTGTTGTCTAGGGAGCTCTTGCTCAGGGCTTCTCACATGGGGCTGGAGTCATCTGAAGACTTCCTCACTCACATATGCAGAGGTTAATGCTTATTATATGACTGGGATCTCAATTGCTGCTCTAAGTCGGAACACTTGGCTTCCCAATGTGGCCTGGACTTCCTCAGATGCCTTACAACATCTGCTTGTTTCTGATCTTGGAATCTAGCTGCCACTTAAAGCCCTTTGTGATCTGCTCTCCAAAGACAGGTTCAAGGATGAGGTCTCAGACTCACTTCTGGGAAAAGGGAGGACAGGGAATGGCAAGATCGTGGTTCAGGAAAAGCAGAAGATATTGTTACAGCCGTCTTTAAAACATAAAAATCTAGTCAGGCACGGTGGCTGACACCTGTAATCCTAGCACTTTGAGAGGCCAAGGTGGGCAGATCACCTGAGGTCAGGAGTTTGAGACCAGCCTGGCCAATATGGTGAAACCCTGTCTCTACTAAAAATACAAAAATTAGCCAGGCGTGGTGGCGTGCCTGTAATCCCAGCTATTCGGGAGGCTGAGGCAGGAGAATCGCTTGAATCTTGGAGGCAGAGGTTGCTGTGAGCCGAGATCGTGCCATTGCATTCCAGCCTGGGCAATAGAGTGAGACTCAGTCAAAAAACAAACAAACAAAAAAGGCCAGACACAGTGACTCATGCCTGTAATCCCAGCACTTTGGGAGGCCAACGTGGGCAGATGACAAGATCAGGAGTTCGAGACCAGCCTGGCCAACATAGTGAAACCCCGTCTCTACTGAAAGTAAAAAAATTAGCTGGACATGGTGGCTTTGGCGCACGCCTATAATCCCAGCTACTCAAGAGGCTGAGGCAGGAGAATCACTTGAACCCAGGAGGCAGAGGTTGTAGTGAGCCGAGATCATGCCACTGCACTCCAGCCTGGGCAAGAGAGCAAGACTCTGTCTCAAAACAAAAACAAAAACAAAAACAAAAAAACAAACCAAAAAAACACTTAAAATCTGTCAACACCCCACGCCAGCCCTAAATGCCTTACTTCCACATGTATCTTATGTGAGAAGCAAACATCCGTATTGTTTGAGTGGGTGTTACTATGGGTTTTTCTCTGATGTGCAGGCCAGCCTGATCCTGACTGATAGAGCTCCCGAGGCCATCGCTCATACTTGATCTGCATACACTTTACACACTACTCTAACCGGCTTGTTCCATCTGGAGGCTCCCCCCAAGGAAGATAATTGACAACGGAAGAGAAAGGGGGCGGGGCGAACGTTGTTACAATCAAGTCAGGCACACTCATAGCAACACCAACGGAGAAAAGAAATGGAAAAGTCATATACAGTCACCCACAGTATCAGAAGGCATAGCTGTCTCTATGTGGCCATTTCCTAAAAAGACAAGCAGCAGAACTATGTGAGTCAAAAAACCCTAGAGATTATAACTAACTAAGTACAGTAGAATTCAAGAATTAACAAGGCCCCTATAGTATTAAAAAGGCATTGAGTTTACTTATGGCAGCCTGATTAAAGATGATTTTTGTACATATTATTACTGAGGACAATCTCTGAGAAAAGATTTCCTTGTAGGTTTTTGAGACATGATTTCATATTCTTATAATTTTTCCTTAAAAGAATCCCTGAAAGATAATTTACTAATGCCAAATTCCATTTTTGAATTAAGTGAACAAATAAAAAAGACACAAAAGCAATCTTAATTCAGTCAGAGATGTTCAAATTAAGCTCAATCTGCACATTAATTTTGCGCCTGGAGGAGCTACTGCATAGCTGTCCCACGATGCCCTGGGGAGCACAGCAGCACCATTTTTCTGTGAAGAACCCTAGATCTCAGGGAAATATTCAAGAACGGAGCAGGGACTGTCCATAGGAAAGCCCACAGTCTACACAGAGTGCTCATCTCCACTTTCTGAGAAACTGGAGTTAATGTTGTTTCTTCTATCGTTTGTTGTTTTGTTTGATTTGGTTTTAAGAAGCTTTTTTTGTTTTGCTTTGTTTTAAGAAGTTTTTGCTTCTTAGGGTTCTAAAATGCCTTGGGATCAACCAATACTAAATTCAGTTTAGAAACTCTAAAGAAGAAAGAGTACTTCAGTCAACATTTTTCTCCTTCTTCCATCAACCCCAAAGAAAAAGAAACAAACGATTTAAGATATACATCTATTTCCTCACTAGCAGTGTTAAAAAAAAAAAGGACTTAACCCCTGAAATCATATAAGTCCTTCCCTTCTTGATTCTATTTGGCCTTACTAAAATTAAACCTCCATAGACATGTCAATCTGTTATTTCCACCAAACTTCAGAGTTTTCTATATTATATTCAGAAATGGGGTTCATAGTTACCAAAAAAAGACTCATTTTTTCATTATGGTCCCCCACACACTGTTCACATCCAAGCCACAAGGAATTGGTGGTACAGACACACACCACTCCATCCCCTGACTTTGCGCTATTTCCACCACCAGAAATGCACGTGCCTTGTTGCCAACTATTTTCCGCTGCAAGGCCCACATCAAATGCCTTCTTCTCTATGAAGTCGTTCCTTGCCTTCTAAATTAGAATTAACCTCCTCCTCCACTTTCAACAAATAAATACTTGAGTGCCTACTGAATGCTGGGCACTATTTTAGGGTCAAGGGAAACAACAGGGAGAAAACATGGCAACATGCACCCTTCTACTGGAAGAGATAAACATTAATCAAATAATCAATGAAAAAATGTAAAATTGTGATATATGCCATAAATGGGTGGCCATGGTGCTCTATGATAAAGGACATGTGATCAGCTATATGGTAAGTCAGAAACTGTAAAGGACCTGAAATTTTATCCAGCTCACAAGTTAACAAAATAGCCTGCCAATTTTACATACATATAACGACAGAAGATACAAGACTCCTGGGTCAGAAACATGGATACTTTGTTATACCAAAAACAGCAGCCAGGGCAGTCTCTTGTATAGCTCCTCCACCCCCCAATCTCCACAAGGCTGTGGATGAGGGACCAACGTTACCTGCTCATGCAGTAAGGTGCACCACAGGAGAAGAACCCTGAATTTTAGAAGATTGGCTCTTATAAGGCTGTTCATCTGCTCATACACCTCTCTGGAGAGAAAGAGAGAGCAATGTAAGCAAATCTCTGGGGAAGAGGAGGAAACGTCATCACTACTCTGGAATGTGAGCAAATGGCTCCAGGAAGGTATGTCTCTAAAAGTCTCTAGGAAAACACCATCTCTAGCTTCCAAGAGTATTTGCTATTCAAGCATGTCCTTTGCTCAGGAAGCTCAGATGAATGAGAAATGAGAGAAATCCAGAGAACTGTCTCCTCACATCATGAACATCTGAGAAATTTTCCCTAAGAAATAAAGTGTGTGCTGAAGAATAGGTAGGAATTCATGGGATTGGGGGGACTTGGGGGCAGTGCATCCAGGCAGAGAAATTAGCATGTGCAATGCCAGGAACAGGAGAAAGCATGGTGTTTTCAAGGAAGTGCTGCATGGCTGTAGCACACATCACTAAATCAATCTGAACAGACAGACAGGGACCAGGTCATGCAGGACCTTGCAGGTTCATATTAAGGATGTGATTACTTATTCCAAGGGCAATGAGTAGCTAAAGATTTGTTTTAAGCCAAGAAATGATATGACAAAACTTGTATTTCAACACAGCCACTCTCTATATTGCAAAGGATGGACTACAGTGGGATCAAACCTTGTATTCTGGCTTCCCACAGAGTCTTTAATAATGGTCGACTCTTTGAGCTTGCTTCTACCACATGCTAGTCGTTTCCTTGTACATCCCCCACCAACAATGCAGCCCAGCACCTCCAAATTTGTCATTGCAGAAGAGGCAAAATCCCACCTCCATTCTTACAGGGTCCTAGTTAGGCCTGAGAATTAAATTGTCATAAGACAGGTCAACAGAAGAAGAAGACACAGCTTTTTTATTTATTTATTTTAATTTTTAATTTTTATTTATTTATTTATTTATTTTGAGATGGAGCCTCACTCTGTCTCCCAGGCTGGAGTGCAATGGCGTAATCTTGGCTCACTGCAACCTCCGTCTCCCGGGTTCAAGCAATTCTCCTGCTTCAGCCTCCCAAGTAGCTGAGACCACAGGCATGCGCCACCATGCCTGGCTAATTTTTGTATTTTTAGTAGAGACATAGAGTTTCACCATGTTGGCCAGGGTGGGTCTTGAACTCCTGACCTCAGGTGATCTGCCTACCTCAGCCTCCCAAAGTGCTGGGATTACAGGCATAAGCCACCGCACCTGGCCAACAATTTTTATAAAACAGGTTTCACACTGCACAGGAGCACTCATAAGGAAATGAAGACCCAAAGAACCAGTTTGAGTCAAACATTTATATACAGAATGGGACAAAGACTAGTAAATTCTGAATATATGATAAGGCAAAAGAGCTTGAGCTAGAATAGTTAATTGGGTAGAGAAGTGACCAAGAAGATAAGGGTTAGTGTAAGAAAGTTTGTGTTGCATAGATGTCCTTCAGCCTCAAATTTTCCATCCTTGATTATTAGAATGCTATTTAATAGGGAGGACATCTTTCACAAGAGAGTTTCATCTCCTGCTTTTAAGAAACAAAAAAGAGGTCAGAATGGTCTTCTTGCACCTGCTGTTTTTCAAGTGCCTTTAATTCAAAATAGTCGATGTGCCAAAATTGTATATTTTTAACTCCTTCATCATTTATCGCTCACTTACATTGTGCAGAACAGCAATTTCAATCAAAACTATTTTCACCATTGAATCAGTAGTAAGAGAAGCCCCTACCTTCCTGTAGCTTCCATTTTAATGTGCTTTGATAGATGAACGTGGTTAATTTCAATTACAGTCTGCTAATCTTTCAACTTCTTTACTTAGGATACTGCAGTATGTCCACCATAGAAAAGACCCAGATAAAGATGATTTAGATTTGCCAGATGTTCAGCTGCTCTCGGAAATAGCTCCTGAATTCAGTAAAATCGGGGTGGCTTTGAATGAGGTCTGTGATCTGGCATTGGTGGCCTTATATTATATATATATTATATATATATATATAATGGCCTTATATATTATATATTATATATATAAAAAATATATATTATTAAAATATAATATATATTAATAATATGTATTATATATAAGGTCACCAATGTCAGATCACAGACCTCATTCAAAGCCACCCCGCTTAATATATAATATATATTATATATTTTTATATTAATTTTATATAATTAATAAATTTATATAATTTTATATAATTAATATATAAATTATAATAATATATTTTATATATAATATAAGGCCACATAATATATTATATATAATATATATTATATATAATATATTATATATAATGTATATTATTATATAAATATTATACTATATATTTATATAATATTTAATATATTATATATATTATATAATATATTAATATATTATATATAATATTTAATATATAATATAAATAATATAATATATAAATATTATATATTTATGTAATAATATATATTATACTACGCCAGGCATGGTGGCGCATGCCTGTGGTCTCAGCTACTTGGGAGGCTGAAGCAGGAGAATTGCTTGAACCCGGGAAGCGGAGGTTGCAGTGAGCCACGATTGTGCCATTGCACTCCAGCCTGGGCGACAGAGTGAGGCTCCATCTCAAAATAAAGACTGGAGGAACACAATGGGGTTAGAAGGGCAGACGATGCAATGGCTTCCAGTAACAACTTCTTTAGAAATAGCTGATTGGTTTTATATAGGAGATACTGTTAAAAGTGTTACCTTCTGCATTTTCCCCTTCACCACAAATTTAATAACTTTATTTTCACTGCAGCTCCATCAATTTTGGCTTGGATGTGCTATGATTCACTTCCCTAGAGCGTTTGCATAATATGTATCCCGCAGGTTTCATTTCTGTAAATCACTGCTTTGTGGGGGTATAAGGGGGGTGGATTCCAGGCGAGCTCCAGCCTTTGAGTAAGTTTTGAGACCAAAAGGAGATTGCATTTCCTGATTGCTAAGTTATCTCTGCTATTTACTGAGAAATTATTTTTCCCATAATACTTTCGTTTGTGTATTCGATAAAGTTAATATCTGTGAAATCAGTTGATTCTCACTGTGCTAAATTATACTGGAATAGACAGAAGATTGACTTCCTGGTATTGACAAGAGAGAACTCTCAATGTCTTTTGACTTATTATCTCTGGCAGTTGGAAAGGATTACAATAACACACAAAATTACTTTACAGGGTATGTTTAGAGAGCAAAGAAAATTAATGGAGAGATGGGTTCTTGGGGTATTTTTGTCTTTTGATGAAGATTCCTATTTCCTGTCAAACATTTCCTCTGACATGAACTAGCGGCACACAATGCAAATTGATTTATCCGCACCTAAAGAAATACCTGAGGTTTAATTGCCTCTGCAATATTTATGCTTACATAAATAATTCAATGGCAAATTAATCCAGCTTTCATAATTACCTCCCACAGAGGCACATGGCTCAGTCCCAAGGACTTAATTGCGGCTTGATGAAGGTATTTAGGTCACTACAACCAACAAGCCATATAGAAACGTTTTAAAGACATAAAGGAAAGAAATCCGTAGCTTTCAAGTCTAAGTAAGCTCTTAGGAAGAAATACAGTATTTGTGGTTGATCTTAAACGCTGTGGACTTCAGGAAACACTGCTCTATTCATGATGAACTTTCTAAACACACTTTGTCTTCAACATCATCCATGAGCATATAGCATATCAGGTGCTTAAATTTGCACTTGAGTGACATATTTGCCCTGACTTGGCATATCTCCCTCATAAACTAGTACAGCTATTTCTTCTTTGGTGTTTCATTCATCAAATTCAGCTGTCATACGTTGAGCCACTGGTCTACTTTCATTTTGCTCACTCTCCTTTAATTCTTCCCTGGGCCAAGGCTGTATTCCTGGACATAGCTTTCAGGCAGAGAAGAGGCCAGTTAGCTCAGCACCTGCACCTTATTGGATTTTACTAGCCAGATAACAACTAGATAACAACTTTCTCTTTCTTCCAATCTATGCTTCAAACTCAGGCGACTGCCACCCAGACCTCTAACAGCACCCATGTCTCTCTACAGCATGACTCTGCTCATATTAACTTATGATATAGCTGAGCACTTGGTCATGCACTAATCTGTATTGGCTTCTAATTGTATGTTTGTCTTGTCTCTCAGTTCCTCTCAGTCTTTTTTATTTCAGCCAACCCAGGTGTGTCTGTGTGAATCTGCAGGAGGGATTCATTTGTACTGAAGATTAAATAGCTAAACTGCAAAATGTTGGCAAGGCAGCAAGCTGAATCCTTTTAATTCTTGCTACTACAGTGAAAAGAAAGCAGAAAAACCCATCGCAATCTCCAGCATCCCACCCCAAACATAAGAAATATGCCTGACAAAAGAATTACTTTGATAAAGTCAAAGAGGTTTAAACCCTCTTATTTCTAGGACTATAGGAATTGAACTAAGTGGTAGATAGTAAAAGAAAGGAAGCCACATGGAAGATTCTTCTAGGTGTCAATCCATTTCCTGCTAAAACCAACAATAGCCTATCAGACCCCGACAGCCACAGGACAGAAGATAATTTCATTTACAGTAGGTGTTTTGCATACTGAATTTGTAGTAAGGAGAGTCGCACGTTCAAGAACTTGAGCAGAAAGTTCCACCTGGCTGATGGCTCCCACAATATTCTAGTGAAGAGAAATTCATGAGAAACACCAGCACTAACCAGGAGCCATACCTGTAAGTACTTTTTAAATCCTGTACAGATGGATATGGATATGGGTGTGTTGCTTAATAAACAACTTCACATTTTTCATTGTGTAGATTCACTCATTCTCAGTTCTTAAGTAAATGAGAACTTATTTAGGTGCACTTAACAAGCATCTACCTTGTTAAGTTTTCATGACAGGGTAGTCACCATACAGGTGCCTAGAATGAGCTGATGGATGAATAGACTGCCTAGTAAGTTCAATTCATAAACCGACATCAGTATGGCCCCAAATGAGAACACATAAGAGGGCTTTCACTCAAGCTTCTTTCTTCTCTGAGTCTACATTTCTTATCTGCATACTTTTCTCATATCCTGACCTTGAGGAGCACAGAAACTTTTCTTAGGTCCTCTCCCTTACCTCCCTATGTTATAGGCTGTTCCTAATACCTCTTGCAGATGACATTTTTGGGTAACTCTCTGCCTACATGGACTGACAGTCTGCATATCCTATCTGCATCCTCTGTCCGTTCCCTTAGTTTAGCTGAAACCCAGGAGCTATGTCCAGTATTTCTTCTTTATCCCCTACAGATATAAGCAAAGGGCAAATGTTCAATATGTATTTATTGCATTAAAGCTTACTGAATTCTAAGTTTATAAATGCATAATTGTCATGCTGTTCCCCTACCGATTACAATAAGGATGGCACCATGTTCAAGAAGCCGAAGAAGGGACCTGGAGCCAGCAAACAAGACATAGAGTTTATTGGGGGGACTTACACACAGGGCAGTTCAATGCCAGTAGCCTGGACAGGAGGACTACAATTGCTTATAAAAAAGCACGCAGTTTATATAGCATTTTCACTTAGCACTTTCCCCCAGCAAACTCCACCTGGCAATCTTCATTTAACCCAAAACAAATGGCCTCCGTGCCCTGTATGGTCTGTATTCCATGAGGTGGACCAGGGGTTCAGATATTCCTTACAGATAAGAAGTGAATCTCTGGGTTGGCCACTCCCAGATTCCTTAGCTCAGAACTCCAAATATACATTCTTCTTTGACCACAGGGTGACTCTCAGCTGCTTAAGTTATTGCTGTCAGGTACATCTATCATACAGGGTCATTCTCAGGGTATACTTCAGTTATTGCTGTCAGATGTGTCTGCCATACCTAAATATTTTCAGATATTAAAACGTAATAATTAAAACATGGATTATTAACCTGTGATCTGTAAGTGGATTTCACTGGAATTCCCCTTAAGCTGTATGAAAATTTTCATGCTGGGTACAAATGTTCATTTTTCTGGAAGGGGGATAATTAACTGTCATCAGCTTCTCAATAGGATCTACTACCAGAAATGAGAGGCCTACTACCAAAAAACACTGTAACATCTGCAGAAAGGCCAAGAGGTCTGATCTTTCTGTAAGTAGATTATGTTTCTGCAGACTCAACAATCCTCTTTGTTATATAAGACTCCTGTCAGGAAAGACAAAAGGGCATCAGTGTAGACCACAATTTCTTCAAAAGTAATATTTACAGGATTTGTTTATGTTGGAGAATCCACCCTAATGATTACACTTTTTTTTTTTTAAACAGGGTCTCACTTTGTCATCCAGGCTGTAGTACACTGGCACCAACATGGCTCCCCAAGCCTCAGCCTCAAAGGCTCAAGTAATTCTCCCATCTCAGCCTCCCAAGTAGCTAGAACTACAGGCACGTGCCACCACACCTGGCTAATTTTTGTGTTTCTTGTAGAGATGTGGTTTCGCCATGTTGCCCAGGCTGGTTCCGAACTCCTAAGCTCAAGTGATCTGCCCGCTTCAGCCTCCCAAAGTGCTGGGATTACAGGCATGAGCCATCAGGCCCAGCCGGTTACACCTTGATGGTCATGGGCCTAGCAAGATGCAACTACAGGAAAGAAGTGGAGTCTGTCTAAGAAAAGCATCTGGCAAAATTAGCTCCTGTCCAAAAAGCCAGAGTAAAGAGTCTCTTTTGCAGAAATATTTGAGAGTTTCATCAATTTTCCCAAGAGCCTGTCTTTATCCTTTACTATTCAAATCATTCTCTTTCAAGGGGCCTCTCATGCCACCATCAGAGCTGATTTTCTGTTCTTGTTAACTGGTCTAACTCTGCCAGATCCTCATTTCTCAATGATAAGACTCCCAGCATTGCTTACATGACATCCTGCATTTTGTGTAAGATTTGCAGTTTCATATTTCAATTTGCCTTGCGTTTGCATTGAAACATCAGATGTTGATACGCTGGGTGGGCTAGACACAAGGATTAAGCAGGAAGGGATGTCTAAGAGCAGATATTTTATAAGTAGTCAGTTAATGAGTTAATACTTTTATGCTGCTATATTCTAACAAATTTGTAACTGCTGTGACTTAGGTCATAAATATTCAGTTAATGAGGACCCCTCCTGTACATCAAAACATTAACAGCAGTGATCTCTGAGTAGTAGGATTATGGGTAACAAAAATAATAAGTGATATTAATTGTTTGCTATGAATGTTAAGCACTTTACAAGCATGACCTCATTCAATGGTCACAGAAACCCCCTGAGAGAGCTACGATTATTTTCCCTCTTTTTCTAATGAGGAACCTCAGGTTTAGAGAGGTTAAAAATACTTACCCAAGATCACATTGTTATGTGGCAGGGCAGGGATTTAACACAGCTTGTTTGACTTCAGAGCTCAGACCCTTAACCTCCCCACTTATTTGTATTTTCTTCTTTAATACAAAGAAAATTTATTACTAGTGCCATAAGGGGAAAAGTGGTTATTTCTTAAAACCACTGAGCACAACTACCATTTTGTATAGATTTTCAAAGTTATATTTCCCAATCTGTTCATGGTCCATTTGGTAAGTCCCACCTCCAAAGTTTATTTCTCTGGGCCTTTATTAGAACTGGTACTTAAATTTCTTTCTACAAAATAAATATTTTAGTCAAAGATTTTTAGCTACTAGCTTATCTCTGGCTGGAAGCCTGTGGCTTTTGTTGTTTTCAAATTTCCTCTTTTGGCAGGAATACCAACTCATCTCTTTCTCCTAAGCTCCTCAAAGCAGAGAGGTTACTTAGAAAGCTGAACTAGAGAGGAAGGGCCAGAAATTGTATTTTATCCTGCAGGGGACAGGAAAGGTTTGTATTTTTTCATTTGCAAATATTTGTTCATATTCTTTAATCATTCGTTCAGTAGATACTAAATATTATCTGTGTATATTTTTATTCATTTTACATGTTATTAATAGTCATGCTTTAACCATGTATATGAGGCTGCTAAAAAATATACGTAAGGAGCCTTGAGTAGCAAACAGGAGACTATAGGAACAGAAAAATTATGGGAGTGAGTGGAGGTGGGAAATCTTCAGACAGACTTTAGGAATGATAAGGAGATAATAGAAATAACATGGCCCTGAGGGGCAGACTGGTGAGGCCTTTACTCCCAGAAGCCCCTCAATATTTCCCTTTCCCACAACAGTGTTGGCAGCAGCTCTGTGTCAAGGGTGGTTGTGACCAGTACAAAGGGAGCTTGTCCAAGCCATGGCACCATCAACAATGGAACATCTTGACACATTAGACACTTGGTAGGCTGGATACCATTTGTCAAGAAGAGCAGCCAAATAGCAGACTCCCCAAGGCCTCACATGACCCCTTGTGATAGCAACATCAGGGCTTATTGGATACTTGTTAGATTTTTGCATTTTTTTCTCCAACCACCCAGCATATCAAAGAATGACATCCTGGACTAAATAAACTCATGGATGAAGATACTTCAAAAGATAAAGTAAAGAAATTCTTGATAGTGTGATATGAACTTAAAAGTACCCCAGGCTGGCAAAGTAGTACTGAGATATACTTACAGAGTGGGTCTGCTCTTTTCCATTGTTTTCCATTCTATCTTAGTTTAATTGATTTTTATGGAGCAGAAATTTGAGGGCTTTTGAATACAATTAAACCCATCAGCCTTGTTTATAATATTTTTCTATTGCTCTAACAATAAGTCACAGTCCTAAAGCATGCCCTGCGCTAAATATTAGGCAACAGACTAGAGGGTCTCATTCAATTCAACAAAGGCTCTAGCCCAGTTGCCCTTCACAATGTGTGTAACAATTCTTTTTCATGTCTTACAACTTTGTATCCTTTTTGTAACCTCACATCCTCTTTGTTTACAGTATATGGAATGACGCATGGATCTAAGTTTATGTATCGCCATACCAGTAATTAGTATACCTAAGAAAAGGGGTCTACAAACTATGGCTTGTGGATTTGGCCCACTGCCTATATTTATAAATAAAGTTTTATTGGAACACAGTTCACTCACTTGTTTCCATACTGTCTGTGGCTGGTTTCGCACTACAAAAGCAAAGCTGAGTAGGTGCAAAGTCAAAAATACTTACTATCTGGCCCTTTACATAAAGTTTGTCTACTCTTACCTAAAACCATTGATCACATAATTATTCCTTTATTATTTTATCTCATTTGTTGTTGCTACTGACTACATCAAGAGCCCTCCTTTTCAAGTCACATTAGTAAAAGTACCAGGAAATGTAAATAAAAATTATATATATATATATATGTGTGTGTGTGTGTGTGTGTGTGTGTGTGTGCTTGTGTGTGTGTGCATGCACGTGCTTCGGTGTATGTGTGCATGTATACATACATATATAGTGTATGTGTGTTTTAAAGTCAGCCAAACTTTTTCTTTACTGGCTTTTACTAGTATATTTTAGGTAAATTATATTACTTAAAATGTTAAAGCTTGTTCAAGTTGTAACTTAATAGTTGTGGTGATTTAATATCACTATGATGCACAAAAAGCAACTACGATACTCATCGCCATACAATAACAAGCATTTGTTTAGCTTATGCATCCACTGAGGATTGATCTAAGAGGAGCCAACTGGGACAGCTCTGGTCCATCAACCTCCTTCTGGGACCAGCAGGCTAGCCCAAGTGGGTTTTTTTCACTGTGATGGCAGAAACCCGCAAACTTTCCTAAGGCCTAGGCTCAGAACTGGTATAACATTTCTTTCGTCCTGTTGGCTAAAACAAGTCAAAGTCAGCCTAGATTCAAGAGGCAGGAAACTATACCACAAAGCGTCATAGCAAAAGGCAAGGCTGCAGGGAGGGATGAAGAGGAGTTGAGGTAAATGATGCAATCTACCACACAAGTGTATATACACAAACACATGCACAGAGTTATGTGTGGCTTAACAATGGAGAAATGTTCTAAGAAATGCATTGTTAGTCAATTTCATCATTATGTGAACATCATAATGTACTTACACAAACCTAGATGATACAGCCCACTACACAGCTAGGCTGTATGGAATAGCCTACTGCTCCTAGGCTACAGACCTGTACGACATGTTACCATACTGAATACTATGGGCAGTTGTAACACAGTGCTAACTTGCAACTAAATATATCTAAACATGGAAAAGGCACAGTAAAAATACAATATAAAAGATAAAATGTGGGCCGGGCATGGTGGCTCATTCCTGTAATCCCAGCACTTTGGGAGTCCAAGGCAGGTGGATCACCTGAGGTCAGGAGTTCAAGACCAGCCTAGCCAACATGGTGAAACCCCATCTCTACTAAAAATACAAACATTAGCCGGGCGTGGTAGCTGGCACCTGTAATCCCAGCTACTCGGGAGGCTGAAGAAGGAGAATCTTTTGAACCCAGGAGGCAGAGGTTGCAGTGAGCCAAGAGCGCGCCATTGCACTCTAGCCTGGGCAGCAAGAGCGAAACTCCATCTCAAAAAAAAAAAAAAAAAAAAATAGATAAAAGATGGTACACATGTATCGGGCACTCACCGTAAATGGAGTTGGCAGGAGTAGAAGTTGCTCTGCCTGAGTCAGTGAGGGGTGAAGAAATGGGAAGCCCTAGGACATCACTGCACACTACTGTAGACTTTATAAACACTCTACACTTAGGCTACACTAAATTTAATTTTAAAAATAGTTTTCGGCTGGGCACGGTAGCTCCCACCTGTAATCCCAGCACTTTGGGAGGCTGAGGCAGGCAGATCACCTGAGGTCGGGAGTTTGAGACCAGCCTGACCAACATGGAGAAACCCTACCTCTACTGAAAATACAAAATTAGCCAGGTGAGGTGGTACATGCCTGTAATCCCAGCTACTCGGGAGGCTGAGGCAGGAGAATCGCTTGAACCCGGGAGGCAGAGGTTGCGGAGAGCCGAGATCACACCATTGCATGCCAGCCTGGGCAACAAGAGCGAGACTCTGTCTCAAAAAAAAAAAAAAAAAAAAAAAAAAAAAAAAGTTTTCTTTCTTTAGAAATAAATTAACAATAGCATACTGTAACTTTATAAATTTTTTATTCTTTAAAGTTTTTGACTCTTTTATAATGACATTTAGCTTAAAACACACACATTGTATAGCTGCACAAAATTTTTTTTTCTTTATATACTTATTCTATAAGCTTTTTTATTTAAAAACTTTAAAATTGTCTTTTTTACTTTTTAAATGCTTTTGTTAAAAACAAAGACACAAATACACACATTAAATAAGACCTATGTAGGGTCAGAATCATCAATATCACTGTCTTCCACCTCCACATTTTGTCCCATTGGAAGGTCTTCGGGGTCAATAGCACCCATGGAGCTAAAATAAAATAAATAAAAACAAGGAGGTTGAATCAGGGTATCTGAATTACCCAATATCAAACAGTTTGGAAGGTGCAGAAGCAGAACTTGAATCCAAGTCTGCTATTTCCAAAGGCTTTTCTCTAGGCCACATTTGGATTATTAAGTTTATCTAATATCGTAGAAATACCTGGCTGCCTGCTAAAATTCAATTACTGTTATACACAGAATACAATTTTTGTCACCCAAGGGCCCTGGATTCAAAATTTCTTTGAACTTTGAATAGAAGTTCAAAAGAATTATTTCCACCAACAAAATGTGAGCAGAATGCCTTCTTCTGGAATGCTTCCTGAAGGAACTGCCTGAAGCTGTTTTACAGGCTTTTATAAGTAGAAGGAGTATACTCTAAAACAACAAAAGTATAAGATATTATAAATACAGGCCAGGCGCAGTGGCTCACGCCTGTAATCCCAGCATTTTGGGAGGCCGAGGCGGGTGGATCACGAGGTCAGGAGATCGAGACCATCCTGGCTAACACGGTGAAACCCCGTCTCTACTAAAAATACAAAAAATTAGCCAGGCATGGTGAATGGCGCCTGTAGTCCCAGCTACTCAGGAGGCTGAGGCAGAACGGCGTGAACCTGGGAGGCGGAGCTTGCAATGAGCCGAGATTGCGCCACTGCACTCCAGCCTGGGCCACAGAGCAAGACTCTACCTCAAAAAAAAAAAAAAAAAAAAAAGATATTATAAATACAGTAACATAGTTGTTTAGTATCATTATCAAGTGTCATGCACTATACATAATTGTATGTGCTACACTTTTATATGACTGGCAGTGCAGTCGGTTTTTAAAAAAATATTTACATTCTTATATAAATAGAGACAAGGCCTCACTATGTTGCCCAGGCTGGTCTCAAACTCCTGAGCTCGAGTGATCCTCCCGCCTTGGCCTCCCAAAGTGCTGGGATTATAGGTGTGAGCCATTGTGCCAGGCCATCGGTTGGTTTGTTTACACCAGCATCATCACAGATACTTGAGTAATGCATTATGCTGTGATGTTAGGACAGCTGTGATGTCACTAGGTGACAGGAATTTTTCAGCTCTATTATATCTTTTGGGACCACTATGTGCTTCATTGTTGACTGAAACATCATTATGCCACACATGACTGTATGCGTGTCTGTGTGTGTGTGTGTGTGTGTGTGTATTTGAACTTTAAAGCACATTTGCATTTTTACGTGCATTCCAACCTCACAAAAGTCCTAGGAATCAGATATCACCACTGTTGTCTTTTAAAAATGAGGAAGTTGGACAGGCACAGTAGCTCACATCTGAATCCCAGTGCTTTGAGAGGTTGAGGCAGGAGGATCACTTGAGGCCCGGAGTTCAAGACCAGCCTGAGCAACATAGCAAGACCCTGCCTCTGCCAAGAAACTTTTTTTAAATTAGCTGGGTGTTGTGCCACATGCCCATAGTCCTAGCTACTCAGGAGAGCTAGGCAGGAGGATTGCTTGAGCCCAGGAGTTCAAGGCCACAGTGAGCTATGATCATGCCACTGCACTCCAGCCTGGGTAATAGGGCGAGACCAAGACCCTGTCGCTAAAAAAAAATAATAAAATAAAATGAATAGAAATAAATTTAAAAAATAAAAATAAATAAAAACAAGGAGGTTAAGTCAGGATATCTGAATTACCCAAGGTCAAACAGTTTGGAACGTGCAGAAGCAGAACTTGAATCTAAATCTGTCTATTTCCAACGGCTTTTCTCTAGGCCATATTTGGATTATTAAATTGATCTAATGTGGTAGAAATGCCTATAAATGAAATTCACTCTCTATTGTAAACAGAATAGAATTTTTGCCACCCAGGGCCCCTTGAATAGAAGTTCAAAAGAATTACTTCCACCAATAAAATGTGAGCAGAATTGTATGCCATGTCCAGGCCACAGCTTTCTGGTGAAAGGCCTGACCCCTCCATTCTCTCTTTCCCCCTTGGCCAGGTTCAGCAAGAAGACAAGGCTGTCCAATGGACTCTCTGAGATAGTGAACATATTTTACATTTGCCCTATCTCATGTGGTATCCATTAGCCACATATGAACACTTGAAGCACAACTGAGGAATTGAGTTTTTAATATTATTTAACAATATAATTTAAATTAAAATGTAGTTACTGGCCAGGTGCAGTGGCTCACGCCTGTAATCCCAGTACTTTGGGAGGCCAAGGAGGTGGATCACCTGAGCTCAGGAGTTCCAGACAAGCCCAGCCAACATGGTGAAACCCCGTCTCTACTAAAAATACAAAATTGGCCGGGCGTGGTGGCACATCCCTGTAATCCCAGCTACTCAGGAGGTTGAGGCATGAGAATTGCCTGAACCAGGGAGGCGGAGGTTGCAGTGAGCCGAGATCACACCATTGCACTTCAGCCTGGGTGACAAGCGAAACTCCGTCTCAAAAAATAAATAAATAAATAAATAAGTTTTAAAAAATGTAGTTACTGTATTGGACACCGCAGCTGAATAGATGGTGGGGCTGCACAATGGAAGCCTAAGTCCCTGAATCATTAGAGGAGAGCAAACACTGTCCTATTATATATCCTTTATAAGTTTTTGGTGGATGGAGAGAGTCTATTTGGTTTTACAATTAACCTACTTTAATACCGCAAGTAAAGTAATCCTAATTAATTTAAATTTCACAAGGATTTCACCAAAAAGAGTATTTGGGGATGAGATTGAAAACGGTTGAGAAGGAATTGGAGCATGTAAATGTTCCCCGAATTGGTAGAACTGTTTGGCACAGGCCAAATACTGGCCAACACTTTCAGAAGCAAAAGAACGCATACCAAACAAACAGAAATTTTTGGCCGGCTGCGGTGGCTCACGCCTGCAATTCCAACAGTTTGGGAGGCCGAGGAGGGCAGATCACCTGAGGTCAGAAGTTCAAGACCAGCCTGACCAACATGGTGAAACCCCATATCTACTAAAAATACCAAAATTAGCTGGCATGGTGGCGCATGCCTGTAATCCCAGCTACTTTCGAGGCTGAGGCAGGAGAATTGCTTGAACCTAGGAGGCGGAAGTTGCAGTGAGATTGTGCCATTGCATTCCAGCCTGGGCAACAAGAGCAAAACTCCGTCTCAAAAAAAAAAAAAAAGAAAGAAAGAAACCTTTAATATTTAATATAGTTATAGTTTGATATTTCTATCATTTCCTTCTAACTATATTATAAATTAAACTCCCTTTTACTACAGAAATAATTTGCCTTTCTCACTGATACGTAAATTATCACTTTGAGGCAACCTGACATATAGTATACAACATAAAGGACCTTTTTATAAAACCCACCAGTTCCCTAGAGCAGTTGTACCTTTTATTGGTACGTATTGTAACAACCCAATACTTCTAATGAGTTGTGAAACCTGGCTGCCCTGCGCACTTTCAAAATAAATAGCAACGCTGGAGTAGCTCCCTGAACATCACCGCCATTCATCACTTGCAAGATAGTCACCACGGCCGGTGCCCTGCTTTACGGATGGGTTTCTGCCAGCGTCCTAGAATACATGCTTTTATTCTTCCAGTAGGGTGATGAAAGAAAACTTTGAGCATATACTCTTAATTGGCCATAAACATTGTAATTGTGAAGGCTGGGGAAATCTTGGCTCACTGCTCTCTCGCATACTGTCGCATGTAGGGATCAGTTGACAATGAAAAGAATATTTACACATTAAACCATCAGAAAACTGATTACTTTTTACCTCGTGTTTATTTTACAAATAGCTCTAAGTACCACCAGGAAAGGTCACCGTGATGGATATTAATGGCAGTGAGTCCTCATTGGTAAAGGGGCTGCTGATTTAATTACAGTCAAGGCCGTGACACAGGATGATCCAGAAATCTTTAATATGGTTATAGTTTGATATTTCTATCATTATCTACTCTCAGGTTTCTCTAGCACTTTTCTAGAAAGAACTTTTCACTCTCATCTGTGGAGACTGTGATTAGGAATCAGACAGAGTCGGTTTACACTGGGGGTCCTTTTATTACTAGCTGAGTGACCATGAGCAGGTTACCTCTCTGAACCTCAGTCTCTTCTTCCTTGTGAGGATTAAAGGGAATAGTGCAGACACAATGTGTAGTATGTACTAACTGCACATTGTGAGGATTCAATGCATGTAGCTGTTATCTATTTTCAGAGAGTTCTCCATCCTGCCCCTATCAAATGCCACGCCCTATAAGTACAGCCCTAAGTGTCATGTGGCAAACTTGGCCCCATTTCATTTCTAAAGCCTCAATCTTATTCAACTGAAAACAGCCTCCAACATAACTGAGAAACATGGACACATTTTTAAGAAGCAGATAAAAAAGCCACGCCAACAATTAATGTACACAGGTCACTCTAGCTATAAAATGGAGAGATGGGAGATTAGAAGATACACCAAACAGGGTAGTCAGACATCATTTTCTTTGGTACCTTGCATAGATCTTTCACTGCTTTCCTTACATGGGCTAATGCTTTAAATAATAAACTACATGTCCTCTTATCTTATAAAATAAAATTATTGTAACCATAGAATAGTAATTAATGCTGAGCCCTCCACCTTTATCCTATTTGTTACCTTGCATTTACGTGATTTGCATGCTTGTCTCATGCTTGTTACCTAGACGTTGGACATGGCTGAGACCCAAGTGACCTGGAGCTTCTTCCAGGTGGTCCAAATTCAGATTGGGACTTTCAAATAGTGAATACCATGTCCTTATCAAGGATCTGCCAAGATACTGGTGATCATAGAGGACAAATAACCTACGGATGTGCCCTTGTGCAGCCTCAACTCTCAACTTTCCTGCAAATCACACTCTCTCTCCTTGCTTATTTTTGGCTATTGTTTATGGTTACAAGAAAGTTATTTAAAGTAAGGGGATTATATAAGATGTTACCATAAAGATAGGGGCCTACTGTATAAAGCATTTTATAAAACATTTGTCCTATGAGCTATGTCTCAACAGCCCATTATGTTTGTCCCATGTATACTGATGCCAGCCAAGTCTTCTAAGCTCCTTCAATTGATCACTGTGTTAAGCTAGGGATTCTGAAAAGAACATTGTTTCTGAGGGAGTGGTACAGAAAAATGTAAAAGCATGTGTGGCAAACACAGTAAGCAGCCAACAAGTATTGGTGCTCCTTTTCTATAGTGTATTGTTTGTTTCTTTTTAAATTTTTTACCTTTATCTTCTGTTGGACTTGACCATAGTGTAGAGCTGTTAATGGAGCAGCCGTCCAACCAGGGAATACCTTTTGCCCAACCCCTCACATCTAGGTGGGGCCATGTGACATGTTCCTACTAAGGAAATGTGAGTAGAAAGGATATGTGTCACTTCCTGGCTGAGATGGTGAAAAAGATGGCATTGCTTTCTCCACACTCTCCTCTCTGGATGTCAATGCCCAGGGTAATACTGGAAACCACATATTGAACATGGTAGAGCTACGAAATGGAAGAAAAGAATTCTGAAGTCCTGAATCAATTCTCACAGGCGAGGAGACTGCCTTACTGGAAACACATTGAACTGGTTAGGGAATGAGAAAGAAACTGTATGTACTGCAGAAGCTGATGTTACCTCAATTAATAACATGTGTATTAACAATGAAAATGCACTCAAGTCTGGGCGTGATGGCTCACGCCTGTAATCCCAGCACTTTGGGAGGCTGAGGCGGGTGGATCACCTGAGGTCAGGAGTTCGAGACCAGTCTGGCCAACATGGTGAAACCCCGTCTCTACTAAAAAATACAAAAATTAGCCGAGCACAGTGGCAGGAACCTGTAATCCCAGCTACTCGGGAGGCTGAGGCAGGAGAATAGCTTGAACCTGGGAGGCAGAGGTTGCAGTGAGCTGAGATTGCACCATTGCACTCCAGCCTGGGAGACAAAGCAAGACTCCGTCTCAAAAAAAAAAAAAAAATGCACTCAATACTCTTTTATAACTGGCATCTGGCCATTGTAGTATACATAGCTAGAAGAAACAATAACTTTACTAAATTAAAATGTAGCTAGACCATGCCAGGCGTGGTGGCTCACGCCTGTAATCCCAGCACTTTGGGAGGCCAAGGCGGGCGGATCATGAGGTCAGGAGATCGAGACCACAGTGAAACCCCGTCTCTACTAAAAATACAAAAAATTAGCTGGGCGCAGTGGCGGGCGCCTGTAGTCCTAGCTACTCAGAAGGCTGAGGCAGGAGAATGGCGTGAACCTGGAAGGCAGAGGTTGCAGTGAGCCGAGATCCCGCCACTGCACTCCAGCCTGGGTGACAGAGCAAGACTCCGTCTCAAAAAAAAAAAAAAAAAAAAAAATGTAGCTAGTTCATACATGTCTGGTGAGAGTGTAAATTGGTAAAAGAAATTGTTCGCGAAACTCTAGTAAAGTCAAAACTTTGTATATGCTGTGTGACCCAACTGAGTATAATCCTATCAGAAATGTGTTCATATGTTCATCAAAAACATAAACTGGAATGTGATATATACACACAATGGAATATTATTCTGCCTTAAAAAGGAAGAAAATTCTGACATATGTTACATGGATGAAACTTGAGCACATTATGCTCAATGAAACAAAGCAATCACACACACAAAAATAAGTATTGTATGGTTGCATTTACATAAGGTAACTAGAGTAGTCAGATTCATGGAGATAGTAGAATGGTGATTGCCCAGGGCCAGAAGGCAAGAGGAATTGGCAGTTGTTGTTTGATGGGTATAACCTATTTATGTATAAGGAGTTGCTATCAGGAAGACATGAGTGAAATACTCATAAGCACCAAAGGGAGTTCTGGTCACATTAAAAAATAGCCCTGTTCTAGAAATCTAAGCAAGGGAAAATTCAAGCTAACAGGAATATCTTAAATTTGAATCATTCTTGGGCCAGGCGTGGTGGCTCACACCTGTAATCCTAGCACTTTGGGATGCTGAGGTGGGCAGATCACCTGAGGTCAAGAGTTCAAGACCAGCCCGGCCAACATGGTGAAACCCCGTCTCTACTAAAATACAAAAATTAGCAGGGCATGATGGTAGGTGCCTGTAATCCCAGCTACTTGGGAGGCTGAGATGGGAGAATCACTTGAACCTGGGAGACAGTGGTTGTAGCGATCCGAGATCTCACCACTGCACTCCAGCCTGCGCAGCTAAGCAAGACTCCATCTCAAAAAAAAAAAAAAAATTGAATCATTCTTTTGAAACCTGATCACTGCAGTCTTCTTTCAAAGGGGTGGTCAGAGAATTGGAACAATTAGAAATACAATTAGGAACTTTCTGACACTTAATGATTTTCTTTCACAATTACCACAATTAAAAATCAACAAAACACGTACTGGAATGTGCAGAGTAGCACAATTCAAAACAGCCACAAATTGGAAACTAATCAAATAGTTTCTTTAATAGTAAAATAGATAAATAAATTGTGGGCTACTCACCCAGTGGAATATTACACAACAGTAAGAAATGAATGATCTATGACATGCCACAATATGAATAAATCTTACAAAAACAATGTTAAGCAGAAGAAAGTAGACAAAAAAATACCATCTGATTCCATTATTATAAAGTACAAAAACAGGCAAGACTCTTCAATTTTGTTAGAAGTCAGGATAGTGGGTAACTTTGAGGTTTGGCTAATGAGTGAAAGAAAGCAGGGGTGGGACTGAAGGGCATCTCTGTATTGTTTCACTTAAAATTTATTTTATAATAGAAACTGTTAATATGTTTCTAAAACTTCCTATGTTCTTTAAAAGAAAAATCCTCATAGAGGCTGGGCACGGTGGCTCATGCCTGTAATCCCAGCACTTTGGGAGGCTGAGGTGGGCGAATCACGAGTTCAGGAGTTCGAGACCATCCTGGCCAACATGGTGAAAGCCCATCTCTACTAAAAATACAAAAAATTAGCCGGGCGTGGTGGCAGCTGCCTGTAATCCCAGCTACTCGGGAGGCTGAGGCAGGAGAATCGCTTGAACCCAGAAGGCGGAGGTTGCAGTGAGCCAAGATTGTGCCACTGCACTCCAGCCCGGGCAACAGAGTAAGACTCTGTCTCAAAAAAAATAAAATAAAATAAAAAACTCATAGAATAGAGGGAAAAGAAGTCAAAATGAGCACCCTTCTTGCCTGGGGACAGCGGAAACTCCAAAGCAGCTGAGACAAATGAATTTTGAATTTGTACGTGAATGATCAGCCTGAATCAGGACACCTTAGAATTCCTTGTTATTCAGTAAATGGCCCACTGTATACAGATTACCCACTTCCTCATCAAATTATCATTCATCTAGGAGTACCAACAAGAAATACAAGTTTAACAATTAAAATTCAATGGTAATTTCACACTCAACAATGCCTTGTGTTCATAATTTTAATATTAGATTTGATTGAATATTATTAAATACAGCCTATGCCTTCCAAAATGGGTTGCATGATGGATCTCAATGAACTCATTAGTAGCTCATGCAGTAGAGATCTTTCTAAATGTTAATGTTTAGCTGCCTTTGGCTCATTAATTAATTTAAAGATTGTATAATTATCACCGCTTTTGATTCAAGTACATCTACCACTTTTTATTATTGGATAATGCTCATTTGCATGTAAGCATAAAAAATTACATTATGTTATCCAAAGATAGGTAGCATAATACCAAATAATCATACAGGTTATGAATACATTTGGAAAGGAAAAAAGAAAAGTAAGAAGGGAATGTTCTTTTGAACACCTGAGGAATTGGTACCACTACAAATACTTGTCACTAAAACGAGAGTGATAAAACAAAAGCAGGGATAGGCAAGGGGTTGCCGTCAGGAGCACATGAGTAAAATACTCACAAGCACCAAAGGGAGGTCTGGTCACATTAAAAAAAACAGCCCTGTTCTAAAAATCTTAGCAAGGGAAAATCCAAGCTAACAGGAATACCTGAAATTTGAAGTCATTCTTTATAAATCTGATCACTGGAGTCTTCTTTCAAAGGGGTAGTCAGAAAATTAGACCAATTAGAAACACAATTAGAAACCTTTTGACACTTAATGATTTTTTTTCACAATAGGGTGAGGATTAAAGGGTACTCACCTAAAAAAAGGTGGTATGAGGTGAGTCTAGAATTCATTCCCGGTCACTGTCATCACACACTCAAGGAGATCTGGCAAATGGAGAAAAACTAATGTAACCACCCAGTGGGTTCACTGGCCCTATCTGGGCCAATTTATTAAGACAGAGGAATTGCAATAGAGAAAGAGTTTAATTCATGCAGAGCTGGCTGAATGGGAGACTGGAGTTTTACCATTACTCAAATAAGCCTCCCTTGAAAATTCAGAGGCTAGGGTTTTTCTTTTTTTGCTTCTTCTTCTTATTTTTGTTTTGTTTTTGTTGTTTGTTTGTTTGTTTTTTGAGACGAGGTCTCACTCTGGAGTGAGAGCACCCTGGCTGAAGTATAGTGGCATGATCATGGCTCACTGCAGCCTCAACTTCCCTGGGCTCAGGTGACCCTCCCACTTCAGCCTCCCAAGTGGCTGGGACTACAGCCACCACACCCAGCTAATTTTTAGTATTTTTGTAGAGATGGGGTATCACCATGTTGCCCAGGCTGATCTCAAACTCCTGGGCTCCAGTGACCCACCCACTTCAGCCTTGCTAGGATTACAGGTGTGAGCCACCAAGCCTGGCCTAGGATTTTCAAGGACATTTTGGCCAGCCACGGAATGGGTGCTGCTGGTTGGTTGGGGATGCAATCACAGGGATGTGAGTCCTCTGCTGGGTGGGGACACAGGACCAGTTGGCAGGTCTGGGTGGAGCCATTGGTCATCAGAAATGCAAAAACCCAAAAAGACATCTCAAAAGGCCAATCTTAGGTTCTACAATAGTGATGTTATCTGCAGGAGTAATTGGGAAAGTTGCAAATCTTATGACATTGACGCCTTAGCAGGATTCAAGCTCCACTCCTGCTCCCAACCTGGCTGGTAGTCTTTTATTAGCCTTACGAAGGCAGTTTAATTTGGGGGAAGTGCTATTATCATTTAAACTATAAATGTCTCCCAAAGTTAGCGTGGCCCAAGCCCAGGAATAATTAAACGCAGTTTGGAGGTTAAAGGCAAGATGGGGGTTTGTTAGATTAGATCTCTTTCACTATCATAATATTCTCATTGTTACAATTTTTGCAAAGGAAGTTTCACTATTGTCATATTCTCATACTTAAGAACAAAAGTAAGAATAAGGTGCTAGAGGCACTCAGAGGAAGAGGAGAAGTGAAACTGGGAATATTATAGATAGATAGACAGGCATGAGTGGGTCAGGCGAGGGCTCTCCCCCAATCCACTAGGAATGTAGGGGGATGGTTTGCAATGATCGCAGTGCCTCTCTAAAAACGGTAATTCAGCAGCAAGGGAGAGGCAATCTCCTGATCATCCACACCCGTTAACATTAAACGTGTGAATTGAATGCAGGCCCCAGGGAGAAGCAGTTTCTTGGGCATTCATGTTAAGAGACAAAATGGTGAAGTATGATGTTCTGGGGCACCCACCACCGGAAAAAGGAAAAAAGTCTCAGATGGGCATGTGTGTAACTGCCTAAGCACACTGCACATGCTCAGTTTCCTTACCAAAAATGTAAGGAACGCCTGCGCATGCGGGAAGCCCACCCTAGGAGAAGAACCAAGGGAAAGAAGCCAGCTTGTGAAGCCCTAGGATCAAGGTTAAAGGCCTCTTTTTTAATCTCTTCTCCTCTCTCTCGGACCTTCACGCACTGGCTTGGGTCTCTTCCAAGTGAATTTTCCTTTCTTTCCTGTTCTAAAGCCTTTTTAAATAAACCTCCACTCCTGCTCTGAAACTTGCCTCAGTCTCTTTTTCTGCCTTATGCCCCTCAGTCGAGTTCTTTCTTCTGAGGAGGCAAGGACTGAAATTGCTTCAGACCCACAGGGATACCCGCAGGATCTGTTCCACCTCTAACAGGAAGTGTTTTCATAGATCCCACTTACTTCCCTATGATTTCCTTACTGGGACATCTCCTTGCAAATAAGGACAGTATAGACATTTGTGAGAGGACTTTAACCAAAGAGAGAGCCAGCATATGCAGGATTTAAGTGATGTATTATTACTATTATTATTATTATTTTAAGATAGGGCCCAGACATGAGAATCATGGCAAGGGTGATTACAGGGGCTTTACCACTTCAACACTCTCTTTTACCCCAACACTCCCAAAGTCATGTCCAAGAATGATCACCAATTTTCTATAACTGTGGCAGTTGTCACTCAGGTAACATTACAAGAAAATTGTCCATGTCTTAATCAACTGAGACATCTAACTCTTTAGCACAGTAAAAAAACTAGCCTTGTGCAATCCAGAACAGTTTTCATGTGTTCAGTCAATGTAACATTTATACAGGAAGCCAGTAAGAGGTATCTTGAACTGGGAGAAAGATCAAGCTGCTGTAACAAAGAGTCCCCAAAATACAGTGACTTAAATAAGATAGAAAGTTCTGGCTTACAGAATAATATGGCCAGTATGAGCTGGAGGAACTTACACAGGTCAGGGACATAGCTTCTTTCTCATTGCTTCACCGTCCCCAAGGATGTTGTCCTCACCTACGTTGTTACAGCTAAATTGTCATGACATCCATATTACAGCCAAAATCCAGGGACAGATATTTGTCTTTTAATTAGGAAGTACCTCAGTGGTATACATAGTATACATATCAGTTTGGCTCTTTTCTTTTTCTTTTTTGAGACAGAGTCTTACTCTGTTGCCCGGCTGGAGAGCAGTGGCACAATCTTGGCTCACTGCAACCTCCACCCCCTGGGTTCAAGCAATCCTCCCACCTCAGCTTCTCAAGTAGCTGGGATTACAGGCATGTGCCACCACACCCAGCTAATCTTTTTTATTTTTTGTAGAGACAGGGTTTCTTCATGTTGCCCAGGCTGGTATCGAACTCCTGAGCTCAAGCAATCCACCCACCTCAGCCTCCCAAAGCACAGGGATTACGGGCCTCAGCCACTGAGCCTGGCCTGGCTCACTTCTTATTTGCCAAAATTTGTCATAAGTCCACATCCAGCAGGAAAGAAAGCTGGAGAATAAGCAATTTCCTAACACACACTGATCACTCAAATAACTGTACTGTGCATACCCTTTCTATCCCTCACACAGAACACATTCAACCTCTCCCCTAAAAAAGATAGCCCAGGGTCCTATCCAGCTATTGCACCCAACTTAAAGTCCAAAATATCTGGGCAATATGCAGCCACCTGCACCAAATCTGGATGTGTCTCCCAGTGAACAAGTCACCAGCCCATCCCCTCCCCGATTCTTCCCCTGCCTCCACTCGTCCCTGTACCCATATCTTCAATAAACATCGGTGGATGGGACTGGATACACACAGTAGAAATTCCTTCTCAGAAAACAGAAGAAACAAAATACGCATCAGCCGCTGGTCATTAGTGATGGAGTTTTGCCACCAGTCATTGCAAAGGGCCTTGCCCCATATGTGGAGTACTTTTCTTGGGGTTAGTATTTGGTTCTGGGTTCTGGGAGGAAGTTCCTTGTCTACTGTCACCTAAGACTGTGGCTTTACCTTGGAGTGGTTCTGCCTTGCCCCTTGTTCTCCGTGCCCTCATCTGAGTCTGAAAACATTCCTTCCTTATGCCTTCCTTCAGGGATGCCCAGCTCCTTTCACACTGCTTCCTACTAGTGCAGTTTTACAAGCCTGAGGATTGTATTAGGTTGAACAATAACAGATATGTGGTTTGCTTGGCAATAACATTTACCCAAATACGTGGTAGTTTCTGGTCTATTGGATTCAGGTCTGATTTAATGTGTCAATTACAACCCACAGTATCTTTACTGGTCATATTTCTTAAACTCTCCTTATTTTCTGGCTTCAGAGTTTAACCATCACTCTCTTCCCACTTCACAGGCAATTCCCTTGAGGCTATCTGACACAACAGGCTCAATCTGATCTTTGTTGCTGAATCTAACTCCCCGGTTTGATTGGGAATCTTTTGATGAGAGGACACTGAAGAACACTCTTAGAAACACCTTATCTCCCACCTTCGCGGGATTCAGAGTAGTTGAACCATGTGGTTCTCCTTTCTTCCAGCTATTCTTGCAAATTGGTCGGTTTTTGCCTGGGCTCATTTCTTTGTTATAATAACCCATGAAAAGCAGCAAAGAGCAGCCAACATACAAATATTCTGGCTTTTTGACTGCTTTCTCTAGGGCTCACAATCAGGTATGTGGCCTTCTTTCCAAGTAATTGCAGATGACAATTTTACCAAATATTGCCTTGACATTATAAGCTTCATCAGCTTTCCAATATCTGCAACATCTATTTTTTAATTGTCAATATCTCGAGCAATGCCACACAGGTAAGGTTTTTATAATGTTAGGTACCAATATCTATATTAGCTGGAATAATAATTACATTTCTAAAGCAAAAACACCAAAAATATATGACTTCAAAAAGATTCACTTTGGCAGGCGGATCACTTGGGGTCAGGAGTTTGAGACCAGCCTGGCCAACATGACGAAACTACGTCTCTACTAAAAATGCAAAAATTAGTCGGGTGTAGTAGCGCCGCCTGTAATCCTAGCTACTGGATTCTAGCCGAGATCATGCCACTGCACTTCAGCCTAAGCAACAGAGCAAGACTCAGTCTTTAAAAAAAAAAAAAAGGCCAGGTGCAGTGGCTTACACCTGTAATCCCAACACATTGAGAGGCTGAGGTGGGGGGCGGATCACCTGAGGTTAGGAGTTCAAGACCAGCCTGACCAACATGATGAAACGCCGTCACTACTAAAAATACAAAAATTAGCCGGGCATGATGACAGGTGCCTGTAATCCCAGCTACTCGGGAGGCTGAGGCGGGAGAATCACTTGAACCTGGGTGACAGAGGTTACAATGAGCCACGATTGCGCCATTGCACTCTGGCCTGGGCAACAGAGCCAGACTCCATCTCAAAAAAAAAAAAAAAAAAAAAAAAAGACTGACTTCTATTCCTCTCTCGTGTAGCAGCTTAGCAGGCCTAAGCTGGTGAGGTAGCTCTTTTCCAGGAGTTCATTCAAGAACCCCACATTCTTTGCATCTTATCGCTCTGCATTGTCCTTTATGGTGGAGCTGAGTGAACATAACACCAACATACCAACCTATGGGAAAATGGAGGAAAACAAAGTCCAGAAGTAGCAGCTTCTCTTTTAGCTAGAAAGTAGTTATCAATTATGTATCAACTTTGCCCATGTCCCATGGCTACTAAATTAGTGCCGTAATAGTAATGGGAGGAAAAGAGGAAATGCCAGAGAGTATTATTTGGGTACTGGTCCATCAGAAGGAGTTAGAAAAGCTGACTAAATCCTGTAAGAAAGCTGTAAACTCCGCCAATTGTATCTGTAATAACTTAGGGTAAAAAATATATATACATATATTAGCCCCATCCCTAAAATCACTCCAGGCTTCTTTAGGCCTAGAAATTTGGGTCCACTTCATTCCCACAGTAAGAAACGCTTCCCTTATTAGTCCCCACCTGTTACTATCCCAGAGTTTACCTCTTCCCATGATGATTAAGAGTGATAACTTCCACTTCCTTCAGTGAATTCAAAGTCACACCACAAAGGGCAGTCTGGACTCTATGGCCTCAACCAGACAAAGATAAAACTATGTTGTCACATTTCATAACGTCTGAGTTGTATTTTATCTTACATATGGTCATTTTGTTACAAAAACATTTTTTTTTGAGCCTCTGTCACCCAGGCTGGAGTGCAGTTGTGCAATCACTGCACCCTTGACTTCTCTGGCTCGGGTGATTCTCTCACCTCAGCCTCCCGAGTAGCTGGGACCACAGGCATGTACTACCACTCACAGCTAAATGTTGTAATCTTAGTAGAGACGGAGGTTCACCGTGTTGCCCAGGCTGGTTTAGAACGCTTGGGCTCAAGGGATCAGCCTGCCAAGGTGCTGGGATTATAAGTGTGAGCCACTGCACTTGGACATAAAATCATTTTATTAAGTAAACTCAATGTCAGACTCAGCTTATATTAATTTAAAAAACTGTAATGCGAAGGAAATCTCATTTACTCAGAATGTGGATGCTGCATCCTGTGAGACCAACTATTCAACATTTTAGTCAAACAATACTACTGTAGAACATGCTTTGTTTAGCTATTGAGCACTCAGCAAATAATCTCAGACTGTTCAAGTGGTTGCTGTGTGTTACTAATTTATCATACAGTATTTAATGAACATCTATCTTAAGCAACATGATAGCACAAACTTTTAACCTTCATCTCTATGCCAAATGAGAATATGGAATTCACACATGAAAAGATTCCCACCGTTTAGTGACATAAAAATATGCAGTACAGTTCAGTGCTGTCAGGTTTCTGATAAATTACTCAGCATTGGAGTGGTATAAAAGTGGCATTTGATCAGGTCCTTGAAGGATGAAGAGTATGGGTAAGCAGAGATGAGAGAAAATAGCCTTGAAAGTAGAAAAAGTGGCAGGTGAAAAAGACTGAGCAGCAAAACAGAATGAAACAAAACACCACATTGTGCCCTGGGACAGTCACTACTTCTGGTTAGCAGCAGAGAAGTTTCTGTGCTGGTGAGTAGTGGGAGATAGGAAAGCAGACAGGGCTAAGCTTTAGAGTGATTGTCCCTCTATTGAGGTGGAACTTTACCCTTCTGGCGATGAGATAAGAAAGGCAGAATGAGATAGAGAGACCAATTTGAAAACCACAAAGGAGATAACAGATTTTAGGCTGGGCATGGTGGCTCATTTCTGTAATCCTAGCCCCTTGGGAGGCCGAGGCAGGTGGATCACTTGAAGCCAGGAGTTTGAGACCAGCATGGGCCATATGGCAAAACTCTGTCTCTACTAAAAATTCAAAAAATTAATCGGGCATGGTGGTGTGCACCTGTAGTCCCAGCTACTTAGCAGGCTGCGGTGGGAGGCTCACCTGAGCCTGGGGAGGTTGAGGCTACAGTGAGCAGTGATGGCGCCACTGCACTCCAGACTGGGTGACAGAGTGAGACCCCAACTCGACGACAACAACAACAATAAAGACTTTAAATAAGCCTAGTGTATGTACAGTTTTACTACTCAAACTTAGAGGTTTACTTCTTTACACCTTCAGAATTTTTTTTTTTTTTTTTTTTGAGATGCAGTTTTGCTCTTGTCTCCCAGGGTGGAGCGCAGTGGCGTGATCTCAGCTCACTGCAATCTCTGCCTCCCGGGTTCAAGCGATTCTCCTGCCTCAGCCTCCTGAGTAGCTGGGATTACAGGCGCACACCCCCACACCCGGCTAATTTTTGTATTTTTAGTAGAGACGGGGTTTCACCACATTGGCCAGGCTGGTTTCGAACTCCTGACCTCTAGTGATCCACCTGCCTCGGCCTCCCAAAGTGCTGGGATTACAGGCATGAGCCACTGCGCCTGGCCTCAGAATTTTTTAATATAAAATTATTTCCCAAATGTCAGTTCTCCAATAAAAACAGGCTAATTTCCAACAGAAGGTTTTGTTTGCTTTTTTTCTAAGTGGCAGCTTGTTTGGGAAACTTTGGGATTTGGGCCTTGAAATATTAGGATGGTGTAAAAGTAATTGTGGTTTTGGCCATTACTTTTAATAAATGAGATGCACACACCACACCCCTTCTAGAAAACTGAGATGTCAATTTTTAAATATTGAAAGTTTGAGTCCACACATTTAAATTTCTCAGTTATTTAATAACTACTTCCCATGTGCCAAACACAATGCTAAAGCCTATTCTTATAATAAGAAGCTCTCTCCCTACGTTTTCAGAACTAACAGCAGAGAAAAAAAGACCTTGAAACAAGAAGTTTTTATGCAGTGCTATTAGTACTGGGTGCTGTCAAAATATGTAAGAAATGACCGGGTGCAGTGGCTCACTCCTACAGTCCCAGCAACTTGGGAGGCAGGGGTGGAAGAATTGCTTGAGGCCAGGAGTTTGAGACCAGCCTGGGCAACATAGTGTGCCTTGTCTCTAAAAAAATTTCTTTTTAAGAAATTAGCTGGGCGTGGTGGCATGCACCTGTATTTCCAGCTACTCAGGTGGCTGTGGAGAGAGGATCCGCTGAGCCCAGGAATTCAAGGCTGCACTGAGCTATGATTGAACCATTGCACTCCAGCCTGGGTGACAGAGTAAGAGTGAGATTCCATCTCTTTAAAACAATTTGTAGGAAAGGCACCCAACCCAAATTGAGAAGTCAGCAGAGGCTGCCTGAAGGAAGCTGTATTAGTTTTTTCTTTCTTTCTTTCTTTTTTTTTTTTTTTTTTTTTTTTTGGTGAGATGGAGTCTTGCTCTGTCCCAGGCTGGAGGGCAGTGGCACAATCTCAGCTCACTGCAACCCGGGATCAAGCAATTCTCCTGCCTTAGCCTCCCGAGTACCTGGGACTACAGGTGCATGCTACCACACCGGGCTAATTTTTGTATTTAGTAGAGACAGAGTTTCACCATGTTGACCAGGCTGGTCTCAAACTCCTGACCTTGATGATCCATCTGCCTTAGCCTCCCAAAGTGCTGGGATTACAGGAGTGAGCCACTGTGCCCAGCCAGAAGCTGTATTAGTTTTCTATCGCTGCTGTAACAAATGAACACAAACCTGATGGCTTAAAACAACAGAAATATATTATCTCATGCTTCTGAATGCTAGAAGTCCAAAGTCACTTTCACGGAGCTGAGATCAAGATGCCAACATGGCTGTACATCCTCTAGAGCAGCACTCCCCAACCTTTTTGCCACCAGGGACCAGGTTCCTGGAAGACAATTTCTCCACAGACTGGGGGTGGGGGGATGGTTTCAGGATGATTCAAGCACATTACATTTATTGAGCACTTGACTTCTATTGTTATTATATTGTAATATGTAATGAAATAATTACACAACTCACCATAATGTAGAATCAGTGGGAGCCCTGAGTTTGTTTTCCGGCAACTAGATGGTCCCATATGGTGATGGGAGACAGTGACAAATCATCAGGCATTAGATTCTCATAAGGAGTGTGTAAATCACATGCGCAGTTCACAATAAGGTTCGCCTCCTATGAGTATCTAATACTTCCGCTGATATGACAGGGGGCGGAGCTTAGGCCTTAATGCGAGCAATAGGAGCAGCTGTAAATACAGATGAAGCTTCACTCCCTGGCCCGCTGCTCACCTCCTGCTGTGTGGCCCTGGGGTTTGGGGACCCCTGCTCTAGAGGCCCCTGGGTAGAATCCGTTTCTTGTCTCTTCCAGCTTCTGGTAGCTGCTGCAATCCTTGGCTTGTGGCCACATCACTCCATTCTCTTTTTCTGTGGTCACATTGCCTTCTCCTCTTCTGTCTGCTCACATCTTCCTTGCCTCCCTTTTATAAGGGGATGTATGTGATGGCACTTTGGGCCCACCCAGGTAATGCAGGATAATCCTCTCATCTCAAGATCTTTAACTTTATCACATCTGCAAAGCCCTTGATTTTGTCATCTAAGGTTAACATTCATGGTTTTTGTTTGTTTGTTTGTTTGTTTGTTTTTTATTGAGACGGAGTCTCGCTCTGTCGCCCAGGCTGGAGTGCGGTGGCACAATCTTGGCTCACTGCAAGCTCCGCCTCCCGGGTTCATGCCATTCTCCTGCCTCAGCCTCCCAAGTAGCTGGGACTACAGGCGCCCACCACCACACCCGGCTAATTTTTTGTATTTTCAGTAGAGACGGGGTTTCACCGTGATAGGATGGTCTCGATCTCCTGACCTCGTGATCCACCCACCTCGGCCTCCCAAAGTGCTGGGATTACAGGTGTGAGCCACCACGCCAGGCCATTCATGGGTTTTAAGAGTTAAGATATGGATACTTTTGGGGGAGGCAATTTAACCTATCACAGAAGTTGCTTTTCAAGTAGGACTTCCAAGAAATTTAGGGGTTCGACTATGTGTTCTCTTTCTGTCTGAGTGTAGTCCTGGATAATTGGTTTGGACTAAGACATCCATATGCATAGAACACATAACAGATTAGGTGCATAATATGTCGAAACAAAATCTTTTTTTTGGCCGGGAGGGGTGGCTCACGCCTGTAATCCCAGCACTTTGGGAGGCCGAGGCGGGCGGATCACGAGGTCAGTAGATCGAGACCATCCTGGCTAACACGGTGAAACCCCGTCTCTACTGAAAATACAAAAAATTAGACGGACGAGCTGGTGGGCGCCTGTAGTCCCAGCTACTCGGGAGGCTGAGGCGGGGGAATGGCGTGAACCCCGCGGGGCGGAGCCTGCAGTGAGCTGAAATCGCTCCACTGCACTCCAGCCTGGGCGACAGCGAGATTCCGTCTCAAAAAAAAAAAAAAAAATCATTTTTTTTAACTGTAATGCCACGTAGACCACATAAAGAGAAAACCTATGGCCTCAAATTACTGGTTTAATCATGTGATTAGGCAGAACTGGCATGGAAGCACAATGAGGAAAGAGAATCATGATCTCAGTGGTTCCAGCCCATTAGCTGCTCCACCACATTCACCAGGCACTCACGCGCTCTGCCACCTCCCGGGGGACTCGATGATTTAATATTCGCCTCCACACAAACATGTCCTGAAAAATCTATTTTCTAGCCAAGCTTTTATAATAATGAGGCCTGACGCTGCCTCTTCCTTCAGATTTGAAGCTGTCCTCATCATTTTTCCCAGGCTCAGTAAATTTGCATCTTGTCTGTATAATGAGTTTACATACTTGTTTTTACTGCACAATCTGAATTCAGATCCATCTTTTTGACTTTTGATAAGAAACATGTTTGTCATCAATATATTTTGTTTCCACTAAATACAGGATTCACTGTGGCAAGTATCCAGGGCCATAATCAGCTGAAGTAGCAGCAAAGTGTTTAGGTTAGAATAGGAAAGTTGTAGAGTTTCATTAATATGCACATGAACACGATACAAGTGCCTCCCAAGGAAGTGATCGCCTCCAACAGCTGCCAGAGTGAGACTGCATGAACGAACAGACAAATGAAGGATGTTAAGTGATGATATTTTCTACAAAAAAAAACCCCAAGAATTTTATATGCTGCAATATTGAACTTGATAATTAAAAACAACAAAATGTGTAATTTAAAAAGAAATGTACTTCTAAGTGCATGTGAGTATTTATAGCTGTTTGCTTTGTCCTTTCTGGAAAATTGTAAAATAATAATGCCAGAAAAGAAAGTGTGGAAAAAGATACCATTTTCCCCAATACAAGTTAATATTATTCCATATCAGGGTTTGTAATGAGGGTGTTAATACTATTCCATATCAGGGTTTGTAATGAGGGTATTCTTTCACAGAAAAGGTAAATCAACCTATGCATATTCTTCGGTGACAGAAAGAAAGAACAGAGTTTTGCTTTGCTTCCCTCAGCTCCATTTTTTTTTTCTTAGACGAAGTCTCACTCTGTTGCCCATGCTGGAGTGCAATGGCACAATCTTGGCTCACCTTGGGAGGCACTTGCAATCTCTCCCTCCCGGGTTCAAGCAATTCTCCTGCCTTAGCCTCCAGAGTATCTGGGATTACAGGTGCCCACCACCACTCCTGGCTAACTTTTGAATTTTTAGTAGAGACGGGTTTCACTATGTTGGCCAGATTGGTCTTGAACTCCTGACCTCCAATGATCCACTTGCCTCAGTCTCCCAAAGTGCTAGGATTACAGGCATAAGCCACCGCACCCGGCCTCAGCTCCATTATTTTTAATACTCCAATTTGGATTCATGCTTTATCCAAATAGTTAAGTCTGGGGTGGAAACATTTAAAGGATCTTGGAGAAAGTAATAAGTGACGTAAGCAGAACAAAAATAAATGCTGGAGTAAAACTAATAGAATAATTATAACATCCTGTGATACATTCTAGGATTTGGATAAGCAAGGATGTGTTTTAATTGCTCATTTACTTAGGCCTATGTCCCTACACTCAGCAATGAATGGCACATAGTTTTGGCTGGATATTCTCTGGGAACATTTAGAGGCTTCCCCAAATTCTCTTCCAACCCCCATTGTTTTCTCACCATTCACCCTCTAAATGGGTTGTCAGCGTCAGCTGCATATTCATTGTTTCAGGGGAGAATTCTTTAGCCAAAAGTCTTAAACCCCTTACAGAATTTAGAGAGTTTGCTAAGGAAGTAAAAGGTAGAAAAGAAAGTTCAGTCTTAAGTATCTTCTGCTAGAGAAATGGAGGAATGATGGAGGAAGATGAGGACTTTCCCTCCAGATCTGCTGCAGACTTTTCTGGGCTTGAGGGGAAATGAGACAGGGACAAAGTTCTTTGGGAATAGGGAGCAGAGCCCTGCCCTGTTCTTCATTTATTTACTTTCCGCTGTTAAACTTTGGATAGGTTACTTACCCTCTCTTGGCTCAGTCTTTCCATCCATGGAAAAAAAAAAATGCTGCAATTGGGTTTAAATATTATCTATATATTCCCTCTCAATTCTAAAATTCTTCTGCCAAGATGATTGAAGATGATTAGAATATAACTTATCATCTTAACTTTCTCATCAAAATACTTCAAAATTTTTAGCATGAACTCTTCTTAGGTCTTTAAACTCACAATCTTGATGTCTCATTTAGGTTCACATCTCAAATATTTATGTAAAATCTATTTTTAATTTTATCCTTAGTGCATTGTCATTATTTTGTAATTTACTGTTCTCATTGTCTTAGTCAATGCCCAGAGAAGCTACTAATGGAAAATGGTTTGAAGTCCCAAAAGCAATTAGGTTAGCCTATCTTGATGATAACCATGATTCATCTTTTCTTCCATTATCAAAGTTTTTAGGAAGTTGGCTAAGTGACTTTAAGTAAGAGATAGCTTAGAGTAATAAAGGGAGACTGACAATGACATCCTGTGGATTTATGGGAACACACAATTCTACTGAATTTGCATAACAGTAACCCCTAGGAAATACAACCCAGTAAATCAATCAACTGATCCAAATTAATTAAATATCAGTTTCAAGAACAAAACCATTAGGTACTTTCATACATTTATTTTTTCTGAAAAGATACACAACATCATAATCCCAGAACTTTTGTTTTTCTCTAACAAATAACAATATTTAACATCTGCAGAGTGTGGTATGCCCCGTGTATAAATCTGGTTAATCCCCAGTGCAACCCTATGAAGTCAGTATTGCGGTTCTCACACCACAAATGAGGGTGGTTTCTGAGAAGTTAGGTGAAATGCACAAAGCTACCTTGACTCAAATCCAAATCCTCCTTCCTTTCTGCTTCATTCCTTCAGAGACCACTGCCCGGTAAATGGGTCAAAACATGCCCCACTGGTGCAGGTGTGAACGGCTGCTTTGAGCATACAGCAATTTCAGCCTCATAAAGATAGCAAAGACCCAACCTTGCTGACTCACATGAGTTGCCATGTTTAGTTTATTCATTTATCTGTTCTTTCCTTCACTGAACCTAAAAAGACTTAGTACAAACCCATGTGCCAGGTACCTTTTTATATATAAGTGATACAAAACTAGTCTAATTCGTTCATTCATCATTTATTCATTAATTCAAAAACCTGTGGCAGTGAGCCACAGCCCCTGGTCAGCCATGTGATCAGGAGGGTAAGCAACGGATACTGTATGGTATACTGTGTTGCCAGATGATTTTGCCCACCTATAAGCTAATGTATAAGTGTTCTGAGCATGTTTAAGGTAGGCTAGGCTATGATGTTTGGTAGGTTAGGTGTATCAAGTGCATTTTTTACTTAAGATATTTTCAACTTGCAGTGGGTTTATCCAGAGGTGGCCCCATCATAAGTTATGGAGCCCCTGTATTTGTAATGGATGTGGCATCCAAAGGCTTCATTTAAAGTATTTGCCTATAGACGTCACCTTCTTTATCAGCTTACTTCCTTAGTACAGAAGAATGACGCAAGGAATCCCAAATCATTCAGTTGAGATTTACCAAGATGTTTTCTACTTTCCCTCAGTTAAATTTGATATTCAAGAAATAATCTTTACTCTGAAGAACTCTAATTTCATTTTGGAACACAGTATTGAAAATGAAGCAACAACATTTCAGGCTATTTGTTTAAAATGCTGTCACTATCTGTCAAAAAGCAATTTTAGAGAATTTCTTTTAAGGGAAAGTAAAGCATTCGTAAAAATGTTATCAAGTCACAATATTAGACTTTAAGGGGGAGATTTTTAAGCAGTTTTAGATTAATTCTCCCTGGATCTTCCTGACAACTGTTTACTCCACCTAAAATGTGTCAAAACCAACTGATTACCAAATAATGTACATTTGGACTTACATTCTGCAGTTGAAGTTAAGTAAGTTTCATTTGTCATAGGATTGCTAAGAGGAATATTATTCTTACTCTTCATCAACACTGTTGAACATGGAAACAGTCTGTGAACTCAGCAGAAAAAATTACTTTCAGGTAAATTAAGTACAAAGTACCAGGTGTGAGTCCCATTCAACAAATTAAAGTGTTAAAGAAATAGAATTTTCTTTGATTTCTTAATAAAACTTAATTTCAGACTTTGAGCTACCCTTCAGGCTATCCTATTCCACTAGGTCAGATTTTACAAATGCTTTACTACTTTATGAGGTTTCCATTGCCCTTCTCCCTTGGGTGGTACCAGAGCTCCATGGCTGTTTTTGCCAGATAATCGTTTATTGGTGCAACCAGTTAGCACATCTTTCCTGAATTTATGGCCTTTTTAGGACTGCAGAGTCTCTGCTACTTCTAAGCTGTTCGTGAGACGTGAAATCTTTTGCTTAGCTGTAAAGTCCCATCTGACTAGACACAACTTACTGTCATTCCTCACAGTGGTGTCGCCTGGAAGCAGGAAACAGTCTTCTCTGATCTTGGAACCCACAACCTCTTTTAGTCTCTCTCTTCCCAAGTATTCCCCAGCCGTTGCCAGCAGACCTAATGTCTGAAGAAAATCTTCCTACCTTCATGTTACTTTGTCACATTCTTACCATGTCAAAAAAATCCACCAAGTCCTCCTAAGGACTTGAGTTTTTGAGTAGCAAAACTCAGAAAGACTTAGAGAATATTTCTGCTTTCTGCTCTGCCATATGCCTTTCCTAAGACAATGAAAACATTGCTAGCCAGAATGTAGTGAAGAAGTGGGTATAGCTTATTATCGCTTAATATTATCCAGCAATAACAATAGTTGCTTAATAGTTGTAGCAAGAGTGACTTCTAACCCTGGATTCTTCACTATGTCATCTTCTTTATTATTATTATTTGAGATGGAGTTTTGCTCCTGTTGTCCAGGCTGGAGTGCAGTGGCGTGATCTTGGCTCACTGCAACCTCCACCTCCCAGGTTCAGGCAATTCTCCTGCCTCAGTCTCCCAAATAACTGAGATTACAGACACGCACCACCATGCCCGGCTAATTTTGTATTTTTAGTAGAGTTGGGGTTTCACCATGTAGGCCAGGCTGGTTTCAAACTCCTGACCTCAGGCAATCCACCTGCCTCATCCTCTCAAAGTGCTGGGATTACAGGCGTGAGCCACCGCACCCTCCCAATATTTCATCTTCTTTAGCTATTGTAAAAAGAGATACAGTGAGGGTGTGGTAGGCAGAATTATGACCCCTCTACCTAAATATGTCCACATCCTAATCCTTGGAACCTGTGATTATGGTATGTGCAGACCTGCCCCAAAGCCCAAGGAAGCTGACAGGCTGAAGAAAGTGGCTGACAAATCTAGTTTCTTAGAAAGAAACATTTAATAGGGACTTATGAATAGAAGCGATATTTGTGTCTCAGGCAGTGGTGAGATAAGATGGTGGATCCCCATACCATTATCCCCCAGACTTATATAACATAAGGAAAGAGTGAGTTAGAAGGAATATGTAGGACAATGGAAATTAACTAACATCAAGGTTGTTTGATCTAAGGGCCTCATTTACATTAAGTATCTGCCCTTACACAAGGTACAGATACACTGGAAACCTTAGAGGCCTTCCTGGAAGTGGAGTTAATCAGAAGCCAACATGGATAATTAGCATCCCAGATGGAGTTGCTTTAGACTCCACAGTATACTACATGGCAAAGGGAAATACTAAGGTTGTTTGTCAACTGACCTTGAAATAGGCAGATTATCTTGGATTATCCAGGTAGGCCTAAGGTAAATAAAGGATCCTTTAAAAGTTAAGACAGAGGTAGTAGACAGAGGGAGAACCAGAAAGATGGCAGTGTGAGAAGGACTCAACTCAACTTTGGTAACTACGAACATAGAGACAGGAATGTGGGCAGCCTCTGGAAGTGGAAACAGCAAGGAAATGGACTCTCCCCTAGGGACTGGAGAAAGAAATACAGCTCTGCTGATTTTTCAGTCCAGCCTTGGATTTTCAGCTACAGAATATAATAAAAGGCCAAGCTTAAATTATATTTCGTCAATTAGTTGGCTTTGACATATTTAGCAAGAGTAAATAAGTCTGGTCTTGATTTTAGCCCAGTGTGAGCCATTTGGGTTTCTGAACTATAGAACAGTATGTATTTGGGTTATTTTAAGCCAATAAATTTGTGGTAATTTGTTACAGCAGTCATAGAAAATGAATACATGGGATATTGGGGAAACACTGCAAAATTTGTAGTGAGAACACCTGAGTTTCAGTCTCAGCATTTTCATGTATGAAATCTCCACTGCGGCTGCACCACTGCCTGAGAGAGTAGATTGTAAAAAAAAATGGACTGGCTCTGTCTTCTTCCAAGATTCCATTCTCCCACTGGTACCTCCACTTTTAGCAGAACTTACCAGGAATACAGATAACAAGAGAGTCTGAGAAACAGAAATTGCAAGCTCCCTGGCACAGCAGAGAGAGGAGGGTAGAGAGAGCAATGATGAAGATGAGAGAGCAGACAGAATCTGCAAGTATTAAGTTCAACAAATATTTAATGGTCCCTTCTCTGTAACAAATATTTTCCAAGTCTACTTTGTATTTATTCTCTTATGAATCTTGTAAGCATTATAATCCTAATTATTTTCAGATGAGGAAAATGAGAGAGGGCAAAAGATTTTGCCACAGCTACTAAGTGGCAGAGAAGTGGCAGTGGGCCAGGGCTTCTGGATCAATCCAACTTAAATATTCTTTCTCATACACCAATGGTTTTTTTATCATGAGTTAGTAATTTTGAAATGAGTCTGAGGATATAGAGGCAAAAAGGACTTACTTGTTGCATAGGATCTATGAATCCTAACTATGTATGTGCTGAACAAAAGGCCTTCATGAGGTAAAAAATGATAGAACTGAAAGGGGAAATAGACAAATCCAGACTTTTACTCAAACACGCCAACACTCCTCTCAGATTAATCAATAGCATAAGTAGATGGAAAATCAGCTAGGATGTCAGCCACTTGACCTAACTGACAGAACATTCCAAAGACAGGAGAATACACATTCTTACAAGTACATGTGGAATATTCACCAAGATACACTGCATTCTGGGTAATAAAACAAACCTCAGTAAAGTCAAAAGAACTGAATCCATACTAAGTATGTTCTCTAAACCCAACAAAATTAAGTGAAAGATCAAAAACTGAACTATCTGGAAAACAATCAAATATTTGGAAGTCAAACAATGCATTATGGCTGGGCATGGTGGCTCACGCCTGTAATCCTAGCAATTTAGGAGGCCAAGGGAGAGGATCTCTTAAGCCCAGGTGTTTAAGACCAGTCTGGGCAACATAGGGAGACCCTGCCTCTATTTTTTTTTAATTAAACAAAATTTTAAAAATAAAACTTTAAAAACGTTTTAAATTTTTCCATAGTTTATTGGGGTACAGGATGTGTTTGGTTACATGAGTAAGTTCTTTAGTGGTGATTTGTGAGATTTTGGTGCACCCATCACCTGAGCAGTATACACTGCACCCTATTTGTAGTCTTTTATCCCTCACCCCCATCCCACCCTTCCCCCCAAGACCCCAAAGTCCATTGTATCATTCTTATGCCTTTGCGTCCTCATAGCTTAGCTCCTATATATCAGTGAGAACATACGATGTTTGGTTTTCCATTCCTGAGTTACTTCACTGAGAATAATAGTCTCCAATCTCATCCAGGTTGCTGCAAATGCTATTAATTCATTCCTTTTTCATGGCTGAGTAGTATTCCATCATATATATATCATAATTGTTTTATCTGCTTGTTGATTGATGGGCATTTGGGTTGGTTCCATGATTTTGCATTTGGGAATTGTGCTGCTATAAAAATGTGTGTGCAAATGTCCTTTTCATATAATGACTTCTTTTCCTCTGGGTAGATACCCTGATTTGAGATTACTGGATCAAATGGTAGTTCTACTTTTAGTTCTTCAAGGGATCTCCACAGTGTTTTCCATAGTGGCTGTACCAGTTTACATTCCCACCAGCAGTGTAAGTGTTCCCTGATCACCACATCCACACCAACATCTACTGTTTTTTGATTTTTTTTATTATGGCCATTCTTGGAGGAGTAAGGTGGTATCACATTGTGGTTTTGATTTGCATTTCCCTGATCATTAGTGATGTTGAGCATTTTTTAATATGTTTGTTGGCCATTTGTATATCTTCTTTTGAGAATTGTCTATTCATGTCCTTAGCCCACTTTTCGATGGGATTGTTTTTTTCTTACTGATTTGTTTGAGTTCGCTGTAGATTCTGGATATTAGTCCCATGTCAGATGTATAAATTGAGAAGATTTTTCTCCCACTCTGTGGGTTGTCTGTTTACTAACTGTTCCTTTTGCCCTGCAAAAGCTCTTTAGTTTAATTAAGTCCCAGCTATTTATCTTTGTTTTTATTGCATTTGCTTTTGGGTCTTTGCTCATGAAATCCTTGCCTAAGCCAATGTCTAGAAGGGTTTTTCCAATGTTATCTTCTAGAATTTTTACAGTTTCAGGTCTTAGATTTAAGTCCTTAATCCATCTTGAGTTGTTTTTTGTATAAAGTGAGAGATGAGGATCCAGTTTCATTCTCCCACATGTGGCTAGCCAATTATCCCAGCACCATTTGTTGAAAAGGGTGTCCTTTCCCCACTTTACATTTTTGTTGGCTTTGTAAAGATCAGTTGGCTGTTAAGTATTTGGGTTTTATTTCTGGGTTCTCTATTCTGTTTCAATGGTCTATATGCCTATTTTTATACCAGTACCATTCTGTCTCTTTTTTTTAATTAAACAAAATTTTAAAAATTAAAAAAAAATAAAAATGTAAAAAAACCCCACATTACAAAAAGAGCCATTGGGCAAAAAGTTACGAAGAAAATTATAAAATATGTTTAAACTGAATGGAAATAAAAACACACCTTATCAATAGCTGTGTGATATAGCTAAAGCAGTCTTTGGAAGGAAATGTAGGCTGGGCATGATGGCTCACATCTGTAATCCCAGCACCTTGGGGGGCCGAGGCGGGCAGATCACCTGAGGTCAAGAGTTCAAGACCAGCCTGGCCAACATGGCATAACCCCATCTCTACTAAAAATACAAAAATTAGCCAGGTGTAGCAGCGCATGCCTGTAGTCCCAGCTACCCAGCAGGCTGAGGCATGAGAATTGCTTGAATACTCGGGAGGCTGAGACACAAGAATAGCTTGAACCCAGGAAGCGGAGGCTGCAGTGAGCTGAGATCACACCACTGCAATCCAGCCTGGGCAACAGAGGGAGATTCTGTCTCAAAAAAAAAGAAAAGAAAGAAAGAAAGGAAAGAAATGTATAGCATTAAAACAAACAAACAAACAAAAAGCCTCCAATCAAAGATTGAAGCTTGCACCTTAAGACACTAGAAAAAAATGCAAATGTAACCTAAAGCAAGCAGAAGAAATGAAATAATCAAGAGCAGAAACTTAATCAAACTGAAAATAGAAAACAATAGAGAAAATAACTCAAAACCTTTAAAAAATGCAATAAAATGGACAAATAAACCTCTAGCAGTCTGAAAAAATTTTTAAAGAGATGACACGAATTACCAATATTGGAAGGACACCATACCAATTTTGTATTGAAAAAGTAGCTATTAGACCCTAAAAACATTAAAAAGATAATATTGTTAATATTACAAATAACCTTAGCTCATAAATTCAAAAACTTGGGCAAATTGACAAATTCCTTCAAAGGCACAAACTACGAAAGAAGAATAGAAAACATGAATAATCTAAATTTTCTAAAGAAACAGATTCATGATTAAAAACATTCCAACAGAACAAAATCTAGGCTGAGATGGCTTCATTGGTGATTTCTCCCAAGTGGTTAAGGAAGAACTAATACCAATTACAGTACACACAAACCTCCAGAAGTTAAAATAGGACGGATCACTACCCAAGTCAGTTTATGAAGCCAGCCTTATCCTGATACCAAAGACATTACAAAGTAAATAAATAAAACTTCACATCATTCTTCATCAACCTGGAACAAAACATTAGCAAATTAACCCAGAAACATATAAAAATGACAGTACATAATGGGCAAGTGGGGTTTATCCCAGGAATATAAGCTTGGTTCCACTTTCAAAAATTAGTCAATATACTTCACTACATCAGCAGACTAAAGAAGAAAAACCATATGATCATCTCGATGCATGTAAGAAAAGCATTTATAATTCAACATTTATCTGTAATAAAATATTCAACAAACTAGAAACAATAGTTCCTCAACTTCACAAAAAGCATCTAGAGAAAACTTACAGGTAACATCATACGTTATGGTGAAAGAATGAATGCTCATCCTCCAGGATCAGAAAAAAATTTAAAGATGTCAGATCTGACTGTTCCCATTCAATATCATACTAGAAGTCCTATTCAGTACAATATGACAAAAAAAAGTATTTTAAATGGCATGCAGATTATAGAAAGAAATAAGACTATGTCTATCAACAGATGACATTATTATCTGTATAGAAACTTCCAGAGAAACCCCAAAAGAGCTATCAGAACAAATAAGTACATTTAGCAAGGCTGCAGAATAGAAGGTCAATATACAAAAATAAATTGGATTTCTATGTACCAGCAGTGAAAAACTAGAAACTGTAATTTTAGAACAACAGTATTGTCTATACAAAAAAATATAAAATATTTAAGTATAAATCTGACAAAGTAAGTGCAAAGGCAATTCAGTGGAGAAAGAATAGTCTTTTCAACAAATGGTGCTGGAAGAATTGGATATCCATGTGCAAAGAAATGAACTTTGAGCCATATCTTGCAACATATGCAAAAATTAACTCAAAATGAATCCCAGACCTAATAGTAAAACTGAAATCCATAAGTCACATAAGAGAAAACTTTTGTGAACTTTGGTTAGGCAAAATATTTTAGATATGACACCAAATGCTGATTGCTTTAAAAATGATAAATTGGACTTCACCAAAATTAAGCATGTCTGCTTTTTGAAAGACACCATTAAGGCTGGGCATGGTAACTCACACCTGTAACCCCAGCACCTTGGGAGGCCACAGCAGGAGGATTGCTTGAGGTCAGGAGTTCAAGATCAGCCTGGGCAATATAGCGAGACCTCAATTCTACAAAACATTACAAAATTAGCCAGGTGTAGTATCATGCACCTGTAGTCCCAGCTACTCAGGAGGTTGAGGCAGGAGGATAACTTGTGTGCAAGTGTTGCCTTCCAAGTTGCAGTGAGCTATGACCACCCTGCTGCACACCAGACTGGGTAACAGAGCAAGACCTTGTCTCTAAATAAAATAATTTTTTAAAACACCGTTAAAAAAAAAATCAGGCTGGGTGCAGTGACTCACACCTGTAATCCCAGCATTTTGGGAGGCTGAGGTGGGTGGATCACTTGAGGTCAGGGGTTTGAGACTAGCCTAGCCAATATGGTGAAACCCAATTTCTACCAAAAACACAAAAATTAGCCGGGCGTGGTGGCACCTGCCTATAGTCCCAGCTTCTTGGGAGGCTGAGGCAGAAAAATCACTTGAACCCAGGAGGTAGAGGTTGCAGTGAGCCGAGATCACACCACTGCACTTCAGCCTGAGCAACAGAGTGAGACTACATCTCAAAAAAAAAAAAAGTATCTGATAAAGGACTTGTATCCAGAATATATAAAGAACTATCAAAGCTCAATAAAAAGAAAAAAGAAAAAAATTCCAATTTAAAAATGTGCAAAAGTTCTGGACAGACACTGAACCATAGAAGATATATGGCTGGGAAGTAAATACATGAAAACTTAGTCAACTTTATTAATCATTAGGGAAATGCAAATTAAAACCACATTGAGATACCACTACACACCTATTAGAATGGACTAAAAAAACCTGACAATTACAAATGTTATTAAGGATGTGGAGCAACAGACTCTCATTAAATTTTGATGAGAATTAAAAAAAAGGTACAGCTACTTTGCCAGTTTGGCTGTTTCCTATAAAGTTAAACTTATATATACTATACAACCTCCCTCTCAATCCCATTCCTATGCATTTACCCAAGTAAACTGAAAACTTTTGGTTGCACAAAAACCTATGCATAAATGTTTATAGCCACTTTATCCATAACTGCCAAATACTGGAAATTACCAAAATGTTCAACAAGTAAATGGATAAATTGTGATATACCCATACAATGGAGAAGTAATTAGCAATAAGAATGAATATTGATTAATCTAACAAAATGAATGAATCATGAATCCATTTTAGAAATGGAAAAAAGCCAGATTTAAAAAGCTATACATTATTTCATTTATATGACAACATATAAAAGGCAAAACTATGTGGAAAATAGACCAATGATTGTTTGAGGGTTGAAAGAGTGGTGATGATTACAAAGTGGCTACACACAGGAATTTTTACAGTGATGGAACTATTGCTCTATGGCATTTTGGTGGTTGATATGTAAATGACTCTATGCATTTATCAAAACCCATCAAATTGTATACCACAAAGAGTAAATTTTACTACATGCAAATTAAGAAGTAATTCAACTAAAATGTCAGAATGAAATCCAGACTGAAGAATGAATTCAATTACATTACAATTACATGACATAGCCTCTTTGAAGAGGTGAGAAAGAAAAGGCACGAATCTAAGTAACTTAAGAAAATACTGGTTTGGAACTGGGTAATGAACAGAGGTTGTTAGAGTTTGGAGGGCTCAAATGACAGGAAGATGAGGGAAAGTTTGAAACTTCTTAGAGATTGGCTAAATAATTGTGACCAAAATGCAGATAGTGATATGGACAGTATCCAGACTGACAAGGTCTCAGATGGAAATCAGAAATTATTGGGAACTGGGGCAAAGGTCACACGTTATTCCTTAGCAAAGAACTTGGCTGCACTGTGCCCCCGCTCTAAGGATCTGTGGAAGTTGAAACTTCAGAGTGATGATTTAAGGTATCTGGTAGAAGAAATTTCTTAGCAGCAAAGTGTTCAAGTGTGGCCTGTTTGCTTCTAACAGCCTAACTCATATGTGGGAGCAAATAAATGATGAAAAGTGGGAATCTATATTTAGAAGGGAAGCAGAGCATAAAAGTTTGAAAGATTTGCAGCCTGGCCATATGGCAGAGAAAGAAAAATCTTTTTCAGCAGAGGAATTCAAGCAGGCTGTGGAGCAACCAGTTGTTAGTGATATCAGCATAAATAAAAGAGAGCCAAGTGCTAATTTCCAAGACAATGGGGAAAAGGCCCAAAGGCATTTCAGAGATCTCTCAGACAGCCCCTCCCATCATAGGCCCTGAGGGCTAGGAGGACTGAATGGTTTTCTTGGCCAGGCCCAGGATCCCCACTGCCATGTGTAGCCTCAGAACACTGCTTCCACATCCTGGCCACTCCAGCTCTAGCCTGCACTCAAAGAGGCCCAGATACAGCTCAGGACACCACTTCAGAGGGTGAAAGCCACAAACTTTAGCAGTTTTCACATAGTGTTAAGCCTGTAGGCACACAGACAGCAGGAGTGAGGGAGGCTTGGCACCTTTCCCCTAAATTTCAAAAATGTAAGGGAAAGGATGGATGTCCAGGCACAAGACTGCTGTAGGGTTGGAGCCCTCACAGAGAACCTCTACTAGGGTAGTGTGAGGAGGAAATGTGGGGTTGGAGTCTCCACACCAAGTGCCCACTAGAGTACTGCCTAGTGGAGCTGTGGGAAAGGGGCCACCATCCTCCAGCCCCTAGAAAGGTAGATCCACTGGCAGCTTTATCCTGTGCCTGGAAAAGCCTCAGGCACTCAACCTGTGATAGCAGCTGCAGGGTTCAACAAGGCCACAGAGGCTAAGCTGCTCAAGGCCTTGGGAGCCTACTTCTTGCACCAGTGTGCCTTGGAGTCAAACGAGGCTATTTTGGAGCTTTAAGATTTAGTGACTGCTTTGATAGGTTTTGAAGTTGCATGGTGACTGTAACACATTTTTTTTTTTTTTGGCCAATTTTCCCCTTTTGGAATGGGAATGTTTACCCAATGTCTATACCCCCATTGTATCTTGGGAGTAAATAAGTTATTACAGGGTCATAGGTGGAAGGAACTCATCTTCTTCAGATAAGACTTTGGACTTTGGAGTTAATGTTGAAATAAGTTAAGACTTTAGGGGACTGTTAAGAAGAGATTATTGTATTTTGTGATGTGAGAAAGACAGGAGATTTAAGGGGGCCAGAGGCAGAAGGAAATAGTTTGTATATTTGTCCCTGCCCAAATTTCACATTGAAATGTAATCCCCAATGTTGGTGGTAGGGCCTAGTGGGAAGTGTTTGTCTGATGGTGGCAGATCCATGATGAATGACTTGGTACCATTAATTTGGTGATGAGTTGTCTTTCTCACTTCACATATCCAGTTGTTTAAAAGTGTGGGGTCCCTCCCCCCAACCCCTGCCTTGCTCCTGCTTTCACAATGTGAAGTGCCTGCTCCCACTTCACTTTCCGCCATAAGTAAAAGCTCCTTGAGGCCTTCCCAGAAGCTAAGCAGATGCCAGAGCACCATGCTTCCTGTACAACCTGCAGAATCATGAGCCAATTAAAACTCTTTTCTTTATAAATTACCCAGTCTCAGATATTTCTTTATAGCAAGAATGGCCTACTACACAAAATTGGTATTGTATGAACTGTACTCCAGTTGGAGTAAATTTGTTTTTGACACAAGCGTAGGTTAGTAGCTCTGAAGCTATATTAAATGTATACTAGAGTTGAACAAATAATAAATTGTAGATAATGAGAGCCAGATTACAAGAAAGAAGTGACAGGTAAGCCAGGGGGGAAGGCTAGAATGAACTGTGTGGCACGGGATTAGTGTTCGCAATATCACAAGAATGCATATTTATGCAATACAGAAATAGAGATATGTGAGTATACATGGTGAAGTATACATACATATATGAGGGGACCTAGAAGCAATGATACCTTGGGAGCAATGAACACACCTAAAGCCCAGATCTTGGTTTCTAAATACTATTCTCCAATAAAAGAATCTAAGGTCTTTAAAGAAATGGTTTATCTATGACTGAGGCCTGGAAAATACTAGATGAGCCTGGAATATTTTGAAATGCCAGAAAGTAACAAAGTGCTTTTTAAAAAAGGACAGTGGCATGGTGAAAGGATACAGGAGTCAACCTGAAAGAATTCCCAATGGCTAAAGAAGTTACAATGTGAGCAACAAAATAAGTATCCTAACTTTATGACTGGATTCTAACCTCTAGAATAAAATAAATATCCATGACTCTATCCTGATAATTCAGTAAACAATTAGCCTTGCCTAATGAAAGTTTCACCCTTTGCCTCCAGCTCCCGGGAAGTACCCTCTTAGCCCTTGAATACCCTGCCCTATAAGAGTGTCTTTGTTTACCTGGAGGGGTTGGGACCTGGCAAATAATCTATGTTAAGGTGAATTGTGGTGGGCCACCTTAAGCCATTGGGTATCAGGCTCAATCTCTGACCTGAGGCTGGAAACGCATGCATATATGTGACCCAGCCCAAATGAAATGTGTACGCCAAGGCTTGGAAGAGCTTCCCTACTCGGCAGTACCATGCACGTTGCACACAATTGCTAGGAGGGGTAAGCACTGCCCACACAACTCCACTGGGAGAAGATAACTAGAAACTCTGCACTTAGTGTCTCTTGGCCTTTGCCCTTTGTGCCTCCTTCCTTGGGTGATTTTAATCTCTATCCTTTTGCTGTAATAAACCATAACCATGACTATAATGGCTTTGCTGAGTTCTGTACATACTTCTAGAGAAGTATTGATCTGGAGGGTAGTCTTGGAGACACCCGAGTTTGCAGTTGGTGTCAGAAGCGAGGGTGGCCTTGGGGATTCCCAGATTTTGCGTTGATATAAATGACTAAAAAAAATGAATGAGGGGATAAATCTTCCTTATGGAAGAATGACAAACAATAAATGTAAAGCCAGACAGAGAGGCTTACATTTGCAATCCCAGCATTTTCAGAGGCCAAGGTGGAAGAATCACTTGAGTCCAGGAGTTGGAGACCAGCCTAGCCTAAGCAACATAGGGAGACCATGGTGGTGCATGCCAGTAGTCCGAGCTACACAGGAGGCTGAGCCTGGAGGATTGTTTTGAGTCCAGGAGTTGGAGGCTACAGTGAGCTACAATTGCGCCCCTGCACTAAAACCTGGGCAACTGAGCAAAACCCTGCCTCTAAAAATGTAAAAGGGAAGAGGAAAATAATTATGATTAAAACTCCACAGTAATAATTGATGCTGGTAACATTCACTTATGAATGTGAAAATTAGAGGGCCATGCTTGAAGGAGAAACAGGTTATCCGCATAGCCTCAAAGTATCCTCCCAAAATATGTATTAATTACTGTGGTGGTTTTAACATACATCCATAGATTCTCTTCCCCTTAAGAGGTAGAGCTCAATTTCTCTCCCTTGAATATGGGCTGGAATTCAAAAATCACTTCTAATGAACAGAGGATGGAAAAACAGTAACTTTATAGTAGAGAAATCTTGCAGACACTACATTTGCCAAATGATCAAAGTCACCAATAATAAATCATGTTATCATGCACCCCCTGTAATGATGTGATGAGAAGGACATTTAAAGTCTGAGTCTTCCCCCAAACCCGTAACACCTGTCTGAACATGAGAAAACATCAGACAAACCTAACTTGAGGGACATTCTATAAAATACTTGACCAGACTTCTTCAAAATTGACAAGGACATAAAAAACAGAAGAGACTGAGAAAGTGTCACAAATGGAAAGAGACAAGGAAAACATAATGACCCCATGCAATGTGGTATTCTGCACTGGATCCTGGGACACAAAAAGGACATTGGTGAGAAGCTGGAAAAATCTGAATAAATTCTAGCTTTGTTAAAAAGTATTGCACCAATGTTACTTTCTTAGTTTTGATCAGTATACCAAATGTTATTACTACCAGGGGATTCTGGTTAAAGGACATAAGGGAACTTACTGTACTATCTTTGCAACTCTTTGAATAATTTTAGATTTATAATAGACATGCTTTTCTTAAGACTGATCATACCAAGTTGTTGAGGACACAGACCAACAAGAACTGTCATATACTGTTGCTTGAAAAATGTAAAACAGTATGTAGTACAACAACTTTAGAAAACAATTTGGCCACACTGGGCACAGTGGCTCACGCCTATAATACCAACACTTTAGGAGGAAGAGACAGAAGACTTGAGTCCAGAAGTTCTAGACAAGCCTGGGCAACATAGCAAGACCTCATCTCTACAGAAAAAAAAAAATTAGCTGGGTGTGGTGGCTCGTGCCTGTGGTCTCAGCTACTCAGGAGGCTGACGTGGGAGAAGCGCTTGAGCTGGGGAGGTAGAGGCTGCAGTGAGCCGCGACTGTGCCTTCACACTCAGCCTGGGTAAGGAAAAGACCATCTCCACCAAAAAAAAAAAGGAGTTGGCAAGTTTCTTCAGAAAATAAACATATATATAGTTTTTTACCCAAGAGAAATGAAAGCAAGCATGTCCTGTACACAAATAAGTCCTGTACATGAATCTTCACAGCAACATCATCAGTAAGGGCCCAAAAAGTAGGAACAATCCAAATGTTGATCAACAGGTTATTGGTTAGATGATTTACAGTACATCCACACAACAGAATATTCAGTAAATAGTAGTTCATTTCCAAAAGGAATGATGGATGAAACATGGATGAATCTCCAAAAATTACACTGAGTGAAAGAAGCCAGACTGTTCCCTCCCAGAAGAGTAAACTATGATTCTATTTTCATAAAGTTCTGGAAGACATAAACCCACCTATAGTGACAGAAAGCAAACCAGTGGTTGTCTGAGAACAGTGAGGCAGGACAGATGGGGTTGGGGCAGACGAATTCATTCCCAAAAGGCAACAGGAAACTTTTAAAGGTGACAGATATGTTTATTTGTGTAAATTTAAGGGGTAGAAGGGCAGTTTTGATGTGTGAATATATTTTGTAGTGAGAAAGTCTGGTGTTTTAGTGCAACAATCACCCAAACATTGTACACATGAAGTAATTAAGTAATTTCTCCTCTCTCACCCACCCCCAGCCTTCTAAGCCTCCCATGTCTATCACCCCACATTATGTGAAGGAATGCTAGGTGTGGCTGATTAATGCCAATTGTGATGATTGTAAGGCCTAGCTGGCTTGAGGTGGAGAATGCTACAATTTTTTTGATATCGTTCTGTGTTAGAGCACAGATTGCTGTAAATAAGGTAGTAATAGCCCCCAGACGTAATGTAAAGGTTTGGATTGATAGGTTATTTTCTATTAAAGGGTAGAAGTGGATGAGCAGGAAAACTCCTGCCACTATACTGCAGGAGTGGAGTAGGGCTGAGACGGGGGGTTGGGCCTTCTACGGCAGATGGGAGTCAGGGATGGAGGCCAAATTGAGTGGACTGTGAAGTAGCACCTAAGAATTCTGCTCAAAGCTAGATAAAAGATATGGTTTTGGCTGGGTGTGGTGGCTCATGCCTGTAATCCCAGCACTTTGGGAGGCCAAGGCGGGCAGATCACCTGAGGTCGGGAGTTCGAGACCAGCCTGACCAACATGGAGAAACCCCATCTCTACTAAAAATACAAAATTAGCCGGGCGTGGTGGTGAATGCCTGTAATCCCAGCTACTAGGGAGGCTGAGGCAGGAGAATTGCTTGAACCTGGGAGGTGGAGGTTGTAGTGAGCCAAGATCGCGCCACTGCACTCCAGCCTGGGCAATAAGAGGAAAACTCCGTCTCAAAAGTATCTTTTTTTTTTTTTTTGAGACGGAGTCTCACTCTGTCTCCAGGCTGGAGTGCAGTGGCGTGATCTCAGTTCACTGCAACCTCTAACTCCCTGGTTCAAGCGATTCTCCTGCCTCAGCTTCCCAAGTAGCTGGGACTACAGGCACCCGCCACCACGACCAGCTAATTTTTGTATTTAGGAGAGACAGGGTTTCACCATGTTGGCCAGGATGATCTCGATCTCCTGACCTCATGATCCACCCGCCTCGGCCTCCCAAAGTGCTGGGATTATAGGCGTGAACCACCGCGCCCGGCAAAGATATGTTCATTTTCTTAAGTGTAATTGTTTCACAGACAGATATGTTCATTAAGTGTGACTGTTTCACAGGCATATACATATGTCAAAACACATAAAATTGCACAATTTAAATGTGTACTTTATGTTAAAGCTCAATGAAGCTTTTTAAATAAATACATGGAAAACTATTTCAATATACTAAATGAAATCAAATCAAGTCACGCAAAAACATGTTTAGTACCATCTCTTTTATGTAAAAACACAACGTATTGGTTTGTTTATAAATGCATAGTAAAGTGTCTAGAACATTATGTAGTTGTATAGAACATTATGTGGCGAGAATGTCCTGGTGGGTCAGCTTTGGGATAGAGAGCATATCGATCAGTATTAGCTGGGTTATGCTACAATAACAACCCTAAAATCTCAGTGACGATGTAACAACGTTTTCCTTCTCACTTATGCTACCTGCTCCACCTGGGCTGTCTCTAGGATGCCCTATTTCTCATAGAAACGGCTTATTTGCCTAGATTTAGTAGCACCTAAGAATTCTGCTCAAAGCTAGAAAAAATTTACACCTGTAATTTTCTCTTACATGTGTGTGGACACATACACCCCAATTTTTTTACTTCGAAATTTTCTATAACAAACACATATTAATACCATAAGAAATAAGAATTATGCAGAACAAAAGGTCTATGCCAGAAAAACAATGGTCAAACACAAACAGAAAAGTAGGGTGCTATTCTGACCTTGACTAGTATTTTAAAATTGAAACCTAGTGAGAGAATTGAAACAGAAGCCAAAAGAAAATGTGAAATGCTATGCCTTTAAAACCTTGGTTCTTAACATCGATGGCGTTTCTGCTGTTTTTCTATAAATAATAGATTACAAAATGGATGTTTGGCACAGAGTTGCATTTAAAAGAGCATTTTCTAATTCTTGACAATACAAAAAAATACAAAAAACGATAGATGTTAAGGGCAAGATAAGATGTATTCTTGACAATACAAAAAAACAACTGATAGATGTTAAGGGCAAGAGGAAAAAAACTGCAGATAAAGTAATACAAGGGAACTGATTACACACACACACACACACACAACCATTATCACCCAGCTAGGCTGCATGCAAAAAACAATGACATATTTTAAGATGTCCCATCATAATAATTTAAAATTTTTAAGAACGGTTTGTTCAATAAACTACTTCTACATTCCCATCCATAATAGTACTGCTTTGTAAATCTAATTACAACAAATTGTTTTCAACAAATCACCCTGTCAAAAGTTTATTCTGGTATGTTTATAAAAGTAAAAATAGTAATAATCATCATACCATGTATAAAAAGCTAATTTATTCAGTCACTGTGCTGGATTTACATAATTGCTAATCCTTAAAACCATCTCAAAAGCAAGATATCTTACACAAATATTTTCTTACTCATAAGAAATTGATGTTCAGCTGTAAAGTAACTTGTTCAGGCTAACATCCCTAAGAAAAAAAGTGATGCTTTTTTTCACTACAGTATGCCACCTTCTCATTTTTACAATTTACTTTCCAAGAGTGCCTAATTATATGGTGTTTTATCATCCATCCCCTTGATAGCAACCTTCCCCCTTCTTGTCAACACCTCAAATTAATTAATCAAACATCTACAATTTTCCAGGCAGTGTGCTAGGCTCTGGGGACCCAGAGGTAAGTATGACAGTCTTTACCCCTCAGGAACTCAAATAAAGAGTAGCTAGCACAAGAAGCAATCTTATAAACAGAGCTGAGGGGGAAACGGGCACCTCGCTCAGATTGGAGGCAGAGACGGAAAGAAGTGGGCAAAGAATGGGAGGGTACTGGTCTGAGGCACTCACTTGATTGAGCGTGAGGCAAATGAAGAGGGGAGAAGGTACTCCAGGAAGAGGCAACTGCATGAATAAAAGGGAGAAGAAACCTTACAGGAGATTCACGAATTTCAAAGAATGTGGTTGAATGTGAAGAGGAGACAAAGCTTCCTCCACTATGAAAATTCACAATTCCTGTAAGACCACCCTGGTCCTCTGCCGCGTGGCCTCTATCTCACAGCATGCCTCAAACCAACTCAGCACCACAAAAATCTCAACTTTGAGCATCCTTAACTTTATAACCCTTTTGATAGGCCCTCCCATTGCAGCAGAGCTTCCGGTCTTACCCAGGAAGTCTACACGCCAGACATACTTAAGTTCAGACTTCAGCCAGCTGTGCTTGCCTTTGAGCTAGGCCACAGCTGGTTCCTTCTAGACATGGAAATCCTTCCAGACAGACAATAGAAACTTGAACTTACAAACGTTATGCATACCTATTCCAGGGATATCCTCACTGACTAGAGGTACTGCCCCCATCCCACAAAGTACTTAAGAGTACTCACTCTCTTGCAAAATGTCGACTGTTAAATGCTCCATAACTAGGATTCCTGCTAGTCTTGGTCACCGTTTAAGACATCCACTTCCCCATGGCTTGTAAGCAGTATTGGAGAAAAAAATCACAATGCTGCAAATTGGTGCCATTGTGTATTCATGGTTACTCACTTCAGCTGGGCCTGCAGTAGGGTCAACAAAATGTTACCGAAGACATACTCAGAGGCCAGGCACTGTGGCTCACACCTGTAATCCCAGCACTTTGGGAAGCTGAGGCGGGTGGATTGCTTGAGGTCAGGAATTTGAGACTAGCCTGGCCAACATGGTGAAACCCCATCTCTATTAAAATACAAAAATCAGCCGGGCGTGGTGGCGCGTGCCTGTAGTCCCAGCTACTGGGAAGGCTGAGGCAGGATAATTGCTTGAACCCAGGAGGCAGAAGTTGCAGTGAGCAGAGATTGCACCATTGCACTCCAGCCTGGGCGATACAGTGAGACTCCGAAAAACCAAAAAACAACAAAAAACAAAACAAAACAACAACAACAACAACAACAACAACAAAGACATACTCAGAATTATAAGCAAGCTCTTAGGAATTTAAAAAAAAAAACATGAACAAAGGCTTTACTGCATTTAGACAGCTTCAGAAGTGATCAATGCCTAGGCATATTCTGAGAAATTACTGAATTTCAAGGCCAAAGAATTCTTGGCAATCTAGGTATAAAAAAATTATGCGGAGGGAAAAGTTCTGTTGGGCTCAAACATCTCCACAGCAGCAGTGACTGGCAGAAGACAGCGGGGCAGCACAGCAGTGGCTCCCTAGTATTAGCGCGCATTAGCAACGTCTGGAGAGCGGGCATAAAGCGCGGATTTCGGCTCCTCACTCCGCCTACATTCTGCTTCAGTAGGTCTTGGGTAGAACACCACTGATTCTCCTGTTGGGAGTTATACTTTAGTACTAACCACCTGAGTTATAAGGGGAAGAAAATGTGACCCCGAAATAACACAGTTGTATCAAGTATTCATTTTTGTGTAAGGCAAGAAAAAAAGTCTCAAATATACAGGGATTCAAGGAAGGCAGCGCTCACTAGCCCTATTTGAAAATGAAGTCTGCTCAACCAAAGGACGGTTCCAAATGAAGAACTCGGGAATGAAGCAGCTGTGATCTCAAAGTCAGTGCTGAATTTACTGCAATATAAAACTGAGCATTAACAGTTGTGGCTACAGAACAACACAAGGGAATGGGACATTCTGCTCCTCACATGTCATCCTAGCATCCTCCACGACCAGGGAATGAAAACGGTTATACTTCACATGCATTGCTATGTGCTGGGCATGCGGCTAATAAATATATGCACTGTCTCATTTATTCTTCACAACATGAGGCAGGTAATTATGAATCTCCAGCAGAGTGGGTATCTCACCCAAGATCATCTGGTTAATTTGATCAGTTGGTCAGAGCCTTAGATATTGATAGTGACATTATTAATACGGGCAAGATTACTATCTTTCATGAGAACCCTTTAAAGCCATTTAATACTCTAGTATTTTCCCACCCCATGTCTGAATCAGTAAACTGTGTTCCCTCTGGGGACTTCTTCCTCTACTTTACCCCTAGTAGCAACTGTTATTTATGGTAGTTTTAAGATTTGTTGCTGGTCTCGCTGGTCTCAAGGAATTCAGGATAGATGTGGAGAAGAGAAAAGCAGAAGATCCTCTATTTTGACCTAGACCCCTAAGCTAGTTCTTCTCAAACTTCCATGTGCATACAATTCACGGGAGATCTTGTCAACGAAGCTTCTGATTAGGATCTTGGGTGAAACCTGGGATGGTTTCTAGAGTTTCCAGATGAAGCTAAATGGGCTACACTTTTGATTGGTAAAGCCCTAAATCCAAATCCAAACCAGCCTCTCTCTAGAGAGTTGAACGGGATGACAGGAGTGGCTCACGTAGCAAATTAACAAAGAAGTACTCTGATTAACATACTGTTTCTTTGGAAACTTCACAGGGATGAGGGTTTGAGGAGACGGATGGTGGCTGGCACAACATTCCAACATCTGCGTTGCTGACTTTCACAACAGTAATAGCAAAAATATGCCAATTGACTTTAAAAAGTAAAAATCAAAGCGAACCTCTTAAGAGGAAGCATGAAGTGCCTCATTTCTTTACCTTTCTTGGTTAAGAAACCAACGGACACTGCTTAATCACTGAAGATGTAAATACATACTACTTAAAATTGTAATAGTGACCACTAGAAGACAGACATAAAACATGTAATTACAAGTGTAATGTGGATCACAAAGAGGGTGTCCTGGGACATAGAGTGAAGGATCAAAACGCAACTGTTAGGTACCCCTTGCCATTTGCAAACACAGTACCTGGGATTAGGTTGAACCATTTGAAACTGTCAGTGTTTGGCAGTTTCTGGCTCAGAAAAAGTAATTTCAGATGCTTCAACCCAATTCTTTTTTTTTTTTTCTTTTTTGAGACGGAGTTTCGCTCTCGTTGCCCAGGCTGGGGGGCAATGGCGCGATATCGGCTTACCGCAACCTCCGCCCCCCCAGGTGCAAGCGATTCTCCTGCCTCAGCCTCCCGAGTAGCTGGGATTACAGGCATGCACCACCATGCCTGGCTAATTTTGTATTTTTAGTAGAGACAGGGTTTCTCCATGTTGGTCAGGCTGGTCTCGAACCCCCAACCTAAGGTGATCCACCCGCCTCAGCCTTGGATTATAGGCGTGAGCCACCGCGCCCAGCAGGCTTCAACCAAATTCTTTGTTACAGCACTTAATAAACTACCTTCCGTTGTAGTTACATATCACAAGAACAGAGCCTTTTTCTTGCTCACTACCATATATCCAGTGGCAGACACACTTCTTAGAAAACATTACTCAACAAATATTTGCTGAATTAAAAAAAAGAGTACTCAGGATTTTGAAAGGCAAAATGGGTGAAAATAGTCTTAAAATTTAAAAAGCCCTACAAAAAAATCCAAATGTCTGCTAATTTAGCAAACAGACCAGGAATCTGGCTTCCAGCAATATTAATATATGCTATTAAAAGTCTGGTAGTTCCATGAAGTTTATAATTGGATTTAGCCTGTACATTGTGCTCTACAGTAGAAAAATTTTCATCCATGTTTAACAAAATCTTCATCACATCATTAGTATTTAGTCATTAAATGCTAAAGAGCATAGGCTTAAAAATTTAGTTGTTTTCTGCTAACCCATAACCCAGATTGTTACTTACAGGTCTAGATTACTCTCTTTCCTGTACTACACTGAGTAAATATACAAAGCACTCTTCAATCTCCCTTCTACAAATTCTTAAATGGCTCCTTTTGAAATCATACCTTGTTAGTGCCAGAAAGTGGCTTGGAGGCAAAGTTTTTTTTTTTTTTTTTTTTTTTTTTTTGAGACAGTCTCGCTCTATCACCCAGGCTGGAGTGCAATGGTGCGATCTCGGCTCACTGCAACCTCCACCTCCCGAGTTCAAGCGATTCTCCTGACTCAGCCTCCTAAGAAGCTGGGATTACAGGCGTGCGCCACCATGCCGGGCTAATTTTTGTATTTTTAGTAGAGACGGGGTTTCACCATGTTGGTCAGGCTGGTCTCAAACTCTTGACCTTGTGATCCACCCGCCTCGGCTTCCCAAATTGCTGGGATTACAGGCGTGAGCCACCATGCCCGTCCAAGGGAGGCGAGTTTTAAAGAATCCTTGAAGTGTGTATTAAACGAGTGTACATCAGAATTGACTGTTCTATTTGTCCTGTAGATATGAATATTTTATTGCTCCATTGTAATAGTAAACGGTGAAAAAGTAAATTTACATTATAGGGGGCTAAATCTTGGTGTACAATAAAATCTTACCATTAGGAATAAAAATGTTTGGTAATATACAGTGTGCTTTATATAACCAGGCACCATTCTCTAAGGGCTTCAGATATATTAACTTTGTAATCTTCACAACCCATCAATGAGAAAAGTAACTATCATTATCCCCATTTTACAGACAAGGAAACCAAGACAGCAACTCCTTAGGCCAAGCAGCTGGTCTGGATTCATCCCAGGTAGTCAGTCAGGCAGAATTCATGCTCTTTAAACCATACAGTATATTCTACATCTACAGTATAGGGAAGTACTTGAATGTACTTAAGTGGATGGGACAATGGTCCCTGATGGTTTCTGTGAAAAAGTGAGTTTCTGAATTCAATGATTATGATCTCTTTTGTATTTTTTTTAAAGTAGGTATTGAAAATGCTTAGAAGGACATATGTCAAGTTGTTAACAGTGGATACCACTAAGGACTTGGTTGGGAGTTTGAAAATGAACATTTATTATTTATACCTTGTATTTAAATTTCTTTAACCAGCATGTGCTCTACAATAAATATACCACATGCTAGTGACAACCACCTCCCACATTATGACACAAAACCAAACAAGCATATGAAAAGCAGCACACATACCTTGTGCTACCATATTGGTCAATGGGTAGGACAAGGCATAAAAGATTCCAACGCACATTCCAAGTTAACCAACACTGTTTAAGAAGTAGAATGAACTTACCGCTAATTGACTCTTATCAGACTTCATTTACTTCAACACCAGATCTGTCCAACTTCAGTTTATTCCCACACACTAAAATATTTCAACCATTTCAGGTGGAAATATTAAAATCCATATTACATAGCTAATTTTTATGTCATATTAAACTTAACTTGAATTATTTGATGACTCTAGGCCATCCCAAATGGCAGCTCTTCATTCTGCTAGGAGTTTTAGCTATTCCTCCCTCTCTATGGGGAGCACTGTTCCTCATGGACCCAGGTTGGAAAATCAGATAATTGATCTGGTCCAGCAAGTGTACGTAAATTAAACCAATAAAAGCTTAGGGAAAAGGTCTTGTCTTGGCAGTGTGTAGATTCTTCAAAATCCCCTATATTGAATGTGAGAGATCCTGGAAGCTGATCCTGTTTTTAAATGTCTGATTTCAGACTGTGAAGTTCAATGTGACTAGATTTTTTAATGCAAGTCTATTTGAGGTGCTCAGGCAGTGCTTGTTTTCTCCACAGGAGCCCGGCCCAGTGGCAATCCAACCTATGCTTTACGGCTTTCTGACAGCACAACATCTCTTAAGGCAGCTCGTTCTGACATTAGATTAGTATGTCAGAAAGTTTGTTTTTTTTTTTTTTAAATAAGACTGTGATATCTTTTTCGGTATAGATTCCACCCCATTGGTCTTAGTTCTTAAAATATAAATTGTCTGCCCAATGGATCATACAAACCCAACAACCAAGAAACATTAGTAATTGTCTTCTGTACTTTACTAAACACTTTGTGTTTAATATATTTTAAATTGTAAAGAAATTACAAGGAACTCCTAAAAAAATTTAATACAAAAATATTACAAGTTAGGACAATTAAGCATTAAGATGACATTTAAGAAGCATGCAGAAAAAGTAGCATAGGGTTAACATTTCATTGATGACAAAGCACTTTGGTACAGCAGAGAAAAGCACCATAAAACTACCATCTAAAGTGTCTTTTCCTCCACTGTATTTTTTCAAATGAATATATTGGTAAAACAGTAAACTTTGATCTGATCTGCTACGGATTATACTAGGTAATAAATCTAATCCATTGTAAAGTGTTAACTATGAAATTAAAAATAATCCCTTCTATTACTGTTCAAATTAGTTTCAGCTTTCCCTCAAGCTTATAAGGATTCTAATCCTTAGGAGTCCAACCCTTTTTGGAAAAGTATACAATGCAGGATATTACTAATAATCTATGCCATGCAATAAAAGTTAACCCCTTGAAAATGAAAGCATGTCAGTTCTAGCAACTGCAGTGGCTTATTTCTAATAAAACATAAAACTATGCTTGAATTTATTTCTGTTTAAGGAAATAAACAGGAAAAATAGAAGACCTAGAGAGTGTAAATTCTTAAAAAAAAAAAAAAGAAAATATGCTCAATGATTCTTTTTAAAAAGTCTCTAACTCTAAAGGAGTTGGTATTAATTAAAACTAGAAGGTGTCTAGTTGTTTTTCTTATAAAGTTTGTAGTAACAACTAGCTAAGAGAGAAAATGATTCAACTATAATTGGCTTGTTGTGAAGCAAAAAAAGGTCACCGAGAAGTTGAGCCTCCTGCCCTAATCTTCAACACATCTACACATTGTTTTGTGCTCAACCGTGTGGCTAACCAAACAAATGTTATCTAAGGTCTCTTTTTCAGCTTCTGTGAAATAACGTCTTTTAAATACAATATTTATTTTTCAAAAGAATTAAAAATTACAATCCCTTAGCTGATTAGATGCTCTATTATACTTTAATAAAAATAGTAAATAACCCCTTCATTTAAAAAAATCTTATCTCCTGCAAGAAGTAATAAAAATAGTAAAATTTGTAATTTTATTATGGGCTTAAAGTATATATCTTGGGAAACAATACGTTTATGAAAAACAGTGGTTTGGGTTCTGATGGCAGTTATTAATCAGTAACACCAGTATGGGAGAGAATGAATGTGTTATAGGTTATGAAGGCTAACTTGGAAAAAAAGGTTTATTCTACAATAGAACACTGGAGAAGTAAAAGCAATTAAAATGTAAACAAACTGTAAACAAGAAATACCATCCCTCTCTCTTTACCTGACTAGTAAATAGTCTATATAAACTACATAGACATCAAAGGTTTTATATATGTACACAGCCAACATAATATCAAAATATATTTTATTCTGGACCTCTTTCAGATCTGATTCAAATTACAGTTGTCAAAGCAATACAATGCAAAGGGGAACTGCAACAACAACAACAACAAGAAATGTGCCTAGAAAGGATAAAAGGGTCACTGGGGACAAATCATTGTGATGTGGAACTAAAATACGTCGTAAGTGTAATTAACATGGTCCAGGACAGCACAGAACATCTACATCAGTCTTCCTTACACAATAATCATGAAAACTGAACAATGAAGTTCTTTAACATGTACAAAAACCTGTCATGGGCTGGTTTACACTTTTACAACAGTTTTAAAGTTAACTGGATAACTAAAGAAATGATGCAGACATTTTAATCCAGTGCTATAGGTAGGCTCACAGAATTAGACCCAAAGGATTTGTAAAAACAAAAATGGAAACAGTATAGCTACAATGTCAAAGTCAGGAAAGAAGAAAATTTACTTCCGTATTCAAGGATTACAGAGCTACAAATGCAGTCTGTGTGTTTTTGTTTGTAATGAGATGGATAAGTACATCAGACTAGATACAACATGCAGAATGTTTTCCTGAACTTATCCGGAAATTCCAAAGAAAACATCATGAAACAGCTTACAAAAAAAAAAAAAATATATGCCCTAGTTATTCACCCTGCTTCAACACTGTCAACGTAAAGGCAGAAATAAAGCAAGCTATCAATACCTCAGAACTACTGATATAAGACATCAAATTTCTAAATCAGTGTATTAAAAAAGTGAACACTTCCTCTTTCTTCTCTCTTCTACATTTAACTAGAATCATGTTTAAAAAAAACTGATATTAAATGTGACACTTCAGAGCTACTACTGGAAGGAGTAATTCATAACTTCCCTACCCTCCTTCCATCCCTGCTGATTCAGGAGAAGGGGGAAAAAACAAAGAAAACAAAACGAAAAACCAACCAGGGTCTCTTGTAGATTTGCTGCTATTCCACAAAATGTTGGCATTTGCTGCCATGCCACAATGTTGGTCCACTGAAATAGGATTTCTGCGGAAACTGTCAACAGTAGTAATTCACCATATGCAAGTACCATCCTTATCATGCGAGAATAATCACAGGTTCTGTAGAAATGTACAATGTACTTAAGATAATGAAAATTGTAGCGCTGCATTTGAGATTTATTTCTCTACTTAGCTAGTAAAACTTGTCATTTTTGCTCACTTAAGTATGATCATTTGTGATTCCTTTAAATAGCAAAAATGCACAGTCCTCTTTAGGCCTCTACTCAATAATAGTTTACATTACTCTTAACAAAATCATTCTACATAAACAGATAGCTCCTTAAAAATAGTACTCTCTCATTAAATCTAATTTGACAGAAAGAAGTTTAAGGGAAAAAGGAGTGCTTTGTAAGTGAAAAAGTACAAATCTTTGGCCTTTCTCTTGACATTTTCGTATGTCAAAAAGCAAAAAACCTTCATGTATTTCAATCTAGTGATTACTTTTTGCACCATAATTTGTTTTTTACACCACAAAAGGAGGCACTTTCAGTATCTGTAAAAGGTATTTAATCCTAAAACATACTTACCTAGAGAATAATTAAAACAGAATTCAATACAATCTAGTATCTATTAGGAAATTAAGAGTTATCACTTCTAAAAGTCATTTGAAAGTCAATGATGTTATCTGGTCAATGGCAGGAAATGGGAACTGGAACAAATATAAGAACTTATGGGATTTCCTACACGGAGACAAAAAAAGATATTCCTTTATGTTGTTTAAAAGTGGCAGCTGCTCTTTCTTTATTCCATTTTAATCAATGAGTATTGATTCAAGTTTTCCTTTCTATTTTTCCTTATGATAAGTTTCTTACAGTAGCTTATACAACAACAAATAGCATAGAAAAACTACTGGATTCAATTGATCATCAGGAATAAGTTCTCAGAAAAACACAGGCGGAAAAATAAGCAAGAATCCCAAATACAGAACTTTACAAGCTGTGAAACTTGGTCTCTTGCAATCATGTTACTGCTCAAATTAGAGACAATCTTATTGCTGTCTATTGGAGCAGCATCGTGGCACATCAGCAGGCAATGATGATGTTGAGAACAGCAGCAAAAATAAACAATCGTATGCTCATGAAGAACCCAAGCCTACAAAATGGATACCTTTCAGAAAAGTATATACTTAAAAGACCCAAGACGTCAGGATAATAAAGCTCTGTATTTATAATCTTTTATATGTCCTATTGTGGCTATTATGCTTAAGTAAAATAGCTAAAGAAAAAAAAGAAAAAAAAAACAGAAAAGATGACAATATCATAAAAATGTAGCTGTCTATTTTGGCAGCTATATTGCAGAATTTCTTGACTATCTTTTAATCAGCTGGGAAAAAGTCAATAACTGTATGCAAATGAATAAACTGTCCATATCAAAATACAAAAGTACTATCAATAATCACCTCTGACTTTCAGATTTAAATTCAGTGCAATTGACAAATGCATCACTAAAGGAAAATGCAGCTTAAAAGATACTCAAAACATTTGTGTCTATTCCTGGGAGCACATTTTAAAATTATTGCACAGATTTTTTTAATTTTTATTTATTTTTTTTAAACAATAACAGAGGTCAACCACAGATGTGGACCTCCAGCAATAAAAGCAGGAATTCAAGTGCCAGATACTCAGCATATTAGGTTTCCTACGTAAGTCACAGGGTAATATGTTCTAAATATCTCTAATGTGATCCAAAACCCTAAAAAGAGCTGGCACAAAACCATCGTGAATGACTGCCTCTCTTGATGTAAATTTTTAAAAATATTATTACAGTATCATAGTCCCCACTAACAACAACTGGGGTACATATAACAATGTATTGTGAAATTAAGTGTATTTATTCTCTTTACCAATAGCAAATGCTACCCTACCTTAGTAAAACCAAGACTTGCTTCAATCAATGCTGTTTTGTAAAAATAGCAAAGCAACGAATGCTGAAATCAATCAAAGCTGCATTACTTGGGTTAAATCAGTTTCTACTTAGAACACAGGTTAAAATTTTAGTACTAAAAGGCCTCAAAATAATTAGTGACAGAAATAGTGTTATTAATTTGCTAAGCTCAACAATAAGCAATTCCTTAATTAAAATCTTCGAGATATAAATTTGATGACTATTCTCTTCAGAAATGACATACCTGGATTATGTTAATCATGACAAGCCTTATTAGTCACACATATAAACATGGCCTCATGCAATCATTTGTCTGTATATGTTACTCTAAGTTGCATGAGCACAAGGTTTAATATCTATATCTTTAAGAAAATACTTGATATTATAAACAGAGTAAAAGACATGATATAGTAGTGATTACTAAAAAAAAAAAAATTAGCAGCTTAAATCTATCTATATTTGAAAAAACGTAGTCACAAGTACCACAAATGCAGAATCAGAGCAGCAGGAAGAAGGTTAGTGCAATTATACTTTCATTAAAAAAAATTCTGAATCACTGCTATTTAAAAACACCTTGAAGCAAGTCTTTTGTTTGAGATTGTTTTTTAAACTAAGGTAGCAAACATTTTGCCATGTAATGGCAGTGTTATATGCCGTTATCTTGCTTTGTATAAAGAAAACAACATGAGAGATTTTTAATACTGGAGTTTGGTTACATTACATATTTAAGCTTCTACACAGAATGATGGACACTTCGAGAAGCTAATCCTTATCCAGAAACATTTTAATCTCTTAAAAAACAAAGCAAAACAAACAAACAACAAAAAACCCAAAACTACGTTGCTCCTTTTCACAATAGTGCACATTTTTACCATAATTTAGTTATGGCTACAAAACATCAGAAGATTTTTTTTAATGTATCTTCTCTATGGTAATTAAAAAAAAAGTTGTGCCCTTCTAGTCTTTAATTGGCAGAAATATGTCCCAAAAAAGAAACTATTGCATTTAAGCCACATCACCAAAAAACAAAAAAGAAAAAAAAAAAAAAAAAGCAAAACAAAAAAACAAAACCAACAGAGCATAATACCCTTTTACTGATGTGTCTTACAGATTGACATGACCAAAGTCATAGGTTTTCATTTAATTTCCAATTCCCCCTTCCACAACATGCACCAACTGAATATATGCTCTGGGAGCCATAAAATGTACCAAACATCTACCTCTTCAAAAGAATGCATTAAAATATTTTAAAGAATTTTTTGTTTAAAAGGTGAAAAAAATATAAACAAGAAACTGATTCACTCCCTTACTTCATGCATCCATAATCTAAACCAAAAACGAAATTTTAAAGCAAGAACAAACTACTGCTGCAAGTTTTTGTAAGTCCATTTTCTCTGTACATACAAACTGCTCACTACTGAAGGGAAAAAAAGAATATAATCCATGGTGTCTGCTGATTCAAAGGGGAGAAACAAGGCTGTCATTTAGTATCCAAAAACTGGTACATGTATGTTCTGCTTTTATAATGTATATTTTTCTCTCTTCTGTTTTTCATATCCAAAACTTCTAAATGCTATTTTAGGGGCACAGCAGATTAGATTCCAGCACTTGGTGAACAGAATTCACAAGCTGTGACAAAACTCTGTCATCTTCAGGGTGCAATTTTGTTTATATACACTGTATGTATATATTTCTTTTAGATTTGGCTGTAGTGGACTGGCCATGGTTCAAGTGGGACTATAGCAGTACATGGGTCAGGGACAGTCATTTTGGCTATGTACACATTCATAGTCGGTCCATGGCTTCCAACTAGTAGCGCTATTTCCGAAGGTCTAATACACAAACCTGTAAGAAATTAAAATAATCAACCAGTGTATTCAGAATTTTATTGTACATTTTATGTTTAACTTTTCTATAGTACAATTTGAAATGTTTCTTAGTTCCAAGTTTATAAAATTGGTAAAGCATAATAATCATGGAAATGAGCACTTAACTGACAGAAATCAGACAGATCATTTAAGCAGATCAAGAGAACAACCATGAGCTCAAACTGTGGGGGAAGAACCACGGCTAGGATTTTTATACTCTCTGTTGATTAAAAAGGAGGGGGAAAATGCTCAAAACAGACCATTTCCTATCTATTGGACCCTAATGAAAGATATCACAGATTATATTCAGCTACAGCATCAGTAAATAGCTACCCTTTTCCCACCTTCTGGTGCTTCTACAGCTTTGGAAGCCATATTTGCATTGTTGTAAAGAGTTGGCTAACCTCATCCTGAAAATCTTTCAGTATCACACATTCCTCAACACAGGAACCAACTGCCTCTAGTTCTGCCTTCCCTGGGCCAAAAAAATTCTTCTGTGAAGAGGAGAAGGTAGAAATACACATTAAACATTTCAATCCTTCTCAGAATGTTCCTCTGGTATACCTAATTTCATAAATGAAGGTTCATATTAAAAATAACTGTCCATTTCTAGATTATAAGGTATTTGGTAAGGACAGCCTAAATTTTGTTTACATTATTTGAATCCAACGCACATGAAAAGTTTACAGCCTCAGGAAAAAAAAAAATCAGTATCATACCTTAAAATTTATTTTGAAAAAAACACTTTGGTATCACTAACAATAAGCTGCATTCTGATGTGAATACCCACCCACACCCTCTTTGGAAACACTTTACTATACTTACTGAACCATCTGATGCACTGGCTCCAACTTTGTCTCCTGCTGCATTCCAGCAAACTTCAAATATTCCACCTGTTCCCCTATAGCTGTGAACTAGAGCACCTGTCTAAAAGAATGAAAAACAAAATCTTAAAAATCGTAATACATATTATAATAAATCCAAATGCTGAAATAAAAATATTACATAGCTTTATTTCTAGCAATCAGAGGAGGGACTTAGCTTCAACTATAAAAATAAGTTCTGAAATTCTAGAAATGTAATATGATCCCTTTACAAAAAGATAATACCAGCCTGTTCTCAAAAGATTACTCACACACATATTCAGTTTCTCCAGTCTTGATAACCATTCTTGGCTAAGGTATCTGGTCTCTCTGACATAGCCAACAATAGCTAGAAGTAAACAGTCAGTCTATCACATGAAATAAGTTTTTGTTGTTGCTAAATGATACATGAGTCTAGCTAACATGTAGAGAAACAAAATAAATTCAGAATTTCTTTGACAAAACATCTTAAAGAGGAAGTATAACAAACTAGTAAAGATAATTCCAGTATAAATCTGTTATTCACTCTATATTTACTGACCAGTTCCTAAGCTAGGGGATTATAAAAGAAGCTAAAATAATGTATGTATGTTCCTTTTTTTTCTTTAGACAGGGTCTTGTTGTTACCCAGGATGGATGCAGCTGTGCAATCATAGCTCACTGCACCTTCTAACTCCTGGGCTAGAGTGATCCTCCCGCCTCCACCTCCTAAGTAGCTAGGATTACAAGTGCATGCCACCATGCCCAGCTGATTTTTAAAAAATTATTTGTAGAGACAAGGTCTCACCGTGTTGCCCAGGCTGGTCTTGAACTCCTGGCCTCAAGCAATCCACCCACCCTGGCCTCCCAAAATGTTGGGATTATAAGCATGCACCACAGTGCCCAGACAGATATGTACACTATTCTTGAAAGACGTTATATGTTTAAACAAAAAACACAGGCAGGAATACTAATAATGTAATCATTCATTAAGCTGAATCATAAATGTAACAACGTTATTTTATTATTCAGCTGCTACTGAAGAATTAAAACTCAATCCAAAAATATATTCTCCTATGAAACCAGTCAATATAACAGGACAAAGATCAGAGGTCCTGTTATGAAAACTGAAATATATGCTTCAGGTGTTCGGCCCTGACAAATCAGAAAAGTGACCTCTGCAGCTTTATGGTAACCTAAAGTCAAGCTAGAGGTGGCAGATCTACTTAAAAGCACATGGCAACAAACCATGCACCTTGAAAATACCTCCCATTCAGCCTATCCAAGATGACAAGCTGGAAGAATGTTTGACCGAGCTTTCCTCTTCAAATTTAGCCCAGTAATGTGGCACAAATCACAGATGCATTGGTACTGACACATTGCTACTGATTATCAGGCTGGGAAGGCTCAACTGTTTTGTTTACTTAAAATTTCTCATAATTTATGAGATTAAGTTCAAGTATAGTAGGCTTTGAGTATCTATAGTTAATGAGGAGAGAAAAAAGTAGAACCAACAAAATCTAGTTTGCTGAGATATAAAAAATAAAATCTACAGTCAACCTACAGACATTCAATCTACAGCCAACTTGGGGGTTAAAAAAACAAAACAACTTTCTTTTAAAAAGCACTTACCAATCTCTAAGCTTGAACTGGGCTATAACGAACCAAAACATTATGGGCAACAAGGCAGAGCTAAGACATTTAAAAAGGCCAATGGCTCAGATCATCGGCATCTACCTCAAATTTGTATGTATGCTGGCACAAGACTTCTACAATTTACTCATCAAATGCTTAGGCAACTCATCATACAAGAAAGGGGAAAACAAAAAACCTGGATGTATATACAACAATAGGATAATGATTTTCTCCTGCACTGAAAATTCACTGTTTTACTATTTTCAAAGTTTGAAAAAGTAAGACTTTTGGTACACAATAGTGAAAACAAAATAATATGAACAGTTGGTCAAATGCCCTTCAATGTCTTGTAGTATCTTCCATTAGCACTCTACAGTTCTATGCCCAAATTTCATTAAAATTGATTTTGTCACAATGGACTAAATGAGTTCACTGAAAATGTTCTAAATGTGAGCAACAACTAGTATATAAAAGGAATGTATTTTTTAAAAGAGGTCATTCATAGTAACATAAAAACCATAAGGCACCTCAAAACACATTAGGAAAAAAGATCCTTAGAGAAACTATAAAACTTTACCAAAGGAATAAAAGACAAATAAATGGAGGTATAACGTATTTATGGGTGATAAAACTCAATAACGATTTTCCCTAATTTCACCTATAAATTCAAGGCACTCATAAACAAAATCCAAAATTGTGTGCTCTGTTTTGGAAATATGGATGACTAAAGTGGCAAGAACAGAAAAACAGTTTTGAAGAATAACAACAAGAGGGATTTATAAAGTTAGAATTATTAAAACTATGCTATTGATTCAGATAAGGCAAATACGTAAATGGAATAAAAGAGAAGGTAATAAACAAACTGCATATACATGAACTAGGTATATGAAACCGGCATTATGAAAACAGAAAGGGGACAATGAATGGTGCTAAGACAACTGACTACCCAAATGGAAATATCTATACCTCACACCATATATAAAAATCAGTTCCAAAGGGGCTAAAAAAATAAATGTAAAGGAATAAAACTTAGATACTTCATGAAAAAATATCAGACCTCAGTGATATCTATAAGGAAAAATGTATTAAGCTATGAAAAAAAAAAAAAGCTATCAAAAAGGAAAGATCTAGCCGGGCACAGTGGCATGTGCCTGTAGACCCAGCTACACAGAATGCTGAGGTCAAAGGATCTCTTGAGCTGAGGAGTCCAGCCTGGGTAACACAGCAAGACCCTATCTCTAAAAATAATCAACTAATTTTAAAAAGAAAGATAAATACATCTAAACATTAACATTAAAAACTTTCATATGATCTGGGCGTGATGCCTCATGCCTGTAATCCCAGGAATACTTTGGAAGGCTGAGGCAAGTGGATCCCTTGAGCCTAGGGGGTTGAGGCCAGACTGGGCAACATGGCAAAACCCGGTCTCTACAGAAAAATACAAAAATTAGTGGGGTGTGGTGGCATGCAGCTGTGATCCCAGCTACTTGGAAGGCTGAGGTGGGAGGATTAGCTAAGCCCAGGAAGGCCAAGGCTGCAGTAAGCCTTGATCTGCCACTGCATTCCAGCCTAGGCGACATAGTGAGACTCTATCTCAAGACAAAACAAAACAACAACCAAAAAACCCCACAAAACTTCTACGTGATAAACACTCCACATGAAGAAAATAAAAAAGAAGGTACTGGGAGATCACTGGAATCCATATAACCAGGAAGGATTAGTACCCAGAATGCATAATGAACACTAATCAGTACAGAATATAAAACAATTGAAAAATTGTGGTGGTGGTGGTGAACTAAAATGCTAAAGTCCAACTGTATAATAACTATTTGAAAAGATATTTAAACTAATTGACAATCAAGAAAATGCAAATACAAAATGTTTCATATCCATGTAATTGGAAAAATGTTCACCAGTCTGATAACCTAAAGATAAAGGAAAATGGGAAATCCTAAATATTGTGATTAGAAATGTAAATGGGTGTATGCACGTTGAAGAGCAGTTAGGCACAAGCACGTAAATATACCGTATGGGCCATGACTTCCACTTACAGGATATGCTATGCACAGGTGTGTGTGTGTATGTGTGTGTGTGTGTATATATATATAGAGAGAGAGAGAGAGAGACAGACACACACAGAGAAGCGTTAGAGAAACTTTCATTCATGTGCACAAGAAAACGTGGATGGATGTTCCAGCAATGTTGTACATTTTTAAATCCCCCAATAGGAAAATAAATTTGAAAATTAATATATTCATATTATGAATATATTATTAATGAATATATTAATATATTCATATAATGCTCTGGAATAGTCTAAATAAATAATCATTCTAGAGGTACAAGTATTAATGTGATATTTCAAAGAAGTGGTAAAAAACACTAGCTTGAAAAGACATACAATAGAAGATTCACAACAGCATGATTAATTACAATTTTACCACAGAAAATAGTAGTATATATCATTTATCATGGGAATGACAGGCACTCTCTTCAGGATTGCTATAGCCTCTAGGAAGGAAGAGGAAAATGGAGGTGAACACTTTATCTGTATCTATAACATTTTATCAGGTAAAAATAGGAAGGAAGAGATTCACAACAGTGTGGCAACATGTTCTTATCAATTAAATCTGAGCAGTAGATATATGAGTGTTATATTATTTTCTGTTTGAAATGTATAATTATTAAAAGTGAAAATGAACAAATACTAACTTGAATATACATGGAAATGATATTATTTAGATTTAGATTCACTTTCATCAACTCTGTAACTGTTGTTCAGTTTTAAAAAGTTTAGTTGGGTGAGGCCGGGCATGGTGGCTCACACCTGTAATCCCAGCACTTTGGGAGGCCAAGGCGGGTGGATGACCTGAGGTCAGGAGTCTGGGACCAGCCTGGCCAACATGGTGAAACTCCATCTCTACTAAAAATACCAAAACTAGCCGGGTGTGGTGGCAGGCACCTATAATCCCAGCTACTCATGGGGCTGAGGCAGGAGAATCGCTTGAACCCAGGAGGTGGAGGTTGCAGTTAGCCGAGATCGTGCCATCGCACTCCAGCCTGGGGCACAAGAGCGAGACTTCATCTCAAAAAATAAAAATAAAAATGAAAAATAAAGTTTAGCTGGGTGTATGATTAGTGTCTTCCCACAAACACAAAGTTAAACTAAAATTTAGGAAAGAGTTTTTAAGGCATATATATCATAGTTACAGAATATATCCAACATAGGCATATATTCATAAAGACAGCAAATATGGGAGTAGAGGTAAGGAAGTAATAATAAAAATTAAAGCAGAACATTTTTACTTAATTTTTATTTTTTTTTTTTGAGACAGGGTCTCACTCTGTTGCCCGGGCTGGAGTGCCGTGGTGTGATCTTGGCTCACTACAACCTCCACTTCTGGGTTCAAGCAATTCTCCTGCCTCAGCCTCCCGAGTAGCTGAGACTACAGACATGTCACCACACCTGGCTAATTTTTGTATTTTTAGGAGAGATGGGGTTTCACCATGTTGACCAGCTGGTCTTGAACTCCTGACCTCAAGAGAACTGCCCGCCTTGGCCTCCCAAAGTGCTGGGATTACAGGCATGAGCCACCATGTGCAGCCTAAAATTTTATTAGAAGGCTCATGGTGGCTCATGCCTGTAATCCCAGCACTTTGGGAGGCTGAGGTGGGAGGATCCCTTGGGCCCAGGAGTTCAAGGCCAGCCCAGGCAACATAGAAAGATCCCGTTTCTATTTAAAGAAAAACAAAAATAAATATTAAAAAATTTTATTAAAATGTAATGTAAGATTCAGGCTTAATAATCATTTGTTCAACTAGCAAAAATCTGCAACCACATTACAAAGGGTTTAGTTTTTTAGTCTATAAAGAGCTGCTAGAAATCAAAGACAATGAATAACCCAGTTGAAAATAATGGAAAAAACATGATCAAACAGTTCACAGAAAAATTAACAAGTGTGCTTAAATATATAAAAAAAGATTCCTAATGTCATTCATAAGAAAATGCAAATTTAAAACTATGCTGAAATACCATTTATCACTAATGGATTGAACTGTGCGGTAAAATATTACTTTATATTGTCAGCAGTAGTGTAAAATGGAAGAAGCACAATGCTTTTATTCATAAAGAAGCTAGGAAGAAATAAAAACTAATAAAAATTGTTACCAGCAGGAGAGGAACAAAGTTTCTCAGTGTATACCTTTATACAAGGTTTGAGGTTTTTTCTGAACTGTATGCATGTATGAAGTAATTTAAAAATCTTCAAAGTAAGTGATGAAAATTAATTTGTGAAATGAACCATGGTGGCGGACACCTACACAAAGAGAAATACACCATAACAACTTATTATGTGTGCACTACAACCAACAAAGATCCGATAACTGAGAGGGGTGAGTTCAGTGACTGCTATTAAAAAAGTATAGTACATAGAGCAAAAAACTAAAACATTGAGAAGATTTAAAAAATTGAAAGCAACAGACTGTTTTCTCCACTTCTAAGAATCTCTGAAACACCATACATACTACCTGAAAAGGTAATGTAGTTGTAAGTTTCTTTCTCATAAATTATTGCATTCAGCCATAAAATCTGGTCCTTTGACTTTTACTGCTCACATATAGCTCCTTCGGAGACAACTATTTTGAAAAATAAAATCTGTCATTTATCTAAATAAATACATCTTAAACATTCACATCTGATATCTGCAAAACCGTTGGAAAAAAACAAAAGAATACAATAATAAATAATAAAACAAATGATCAAAATCCATTTCAAAATTCCAGTCTCCATAAAGATATAACTTCCATTAGTTTCTATCTTATTTTAAAACCAATAATTCAATTAATGCCACAAGAGGAATGACAACCAAATGGTGAGGCAGAGTGTATAGGCAAATGCTTCTACCTAAATTTAAGAGCACTTGACCATTTAAATAATGAAGACATACCTGCGTGTTCCAGATGTGTACACATTTGTCAAAAGAACCACTTGCCAGATACCTGCCATCAGGACTGAAAGCTACACTGTACACAGGCTCTTGGTGTTTTGTCAAGGTATGGATGCATATCCCTCGGTCTACATCCCATAACCTAACAGTAGAATCAAAGGATGCACTGAAAAAGGAAGGAAAGAAAGTTAATTTATAAGTAAGGAAATACTCCCCCAGCCTTGCTCCCACCCAACCTCCCATATTCAGCCAAATCTAATAGCCAAAATTCTTTATGAGAAGCAGACCGACTGGACTGTTAGGAAGAATATTCTGTGATCTTCAAGTCAGTGACAAGAAAATAATAAATAAATGAAATTTAGAAAGAAGAGCAAGTGTTCTAGAAATTAAAAGCTAAACAAGCGAAAAAAACAACTTAAAGGAATCTCCCAAGTCCAGGAGTAGAAAACGTAAATGTGCTCATTTACTGTATTCCTCTCTGTCTAAATAATCCCTCTTTCGCATGGTTTTGAACACCAAAGTGACCACATTTTTCCATTTATCTTTTTTTTTTCTAAAGATACTGAAGATTTTGCTATGCCTCAATTGCTTGGATTTTAATCAGTATTTGGTATCAGTCAATATTTGATTATTTCAATATAGAATATCATTATAACTTGAAACAATAATAAAACTCAGTGTTTAAAGATTCCCCTTAAGGAACCGACGTAAGTGCCCATCAGCTAACAAGTGGATAAAGAAAATGTGGTATACATACACCATGGAATACTACTTAGCCATAAAAAGAAATAAAATATTGTCCTTTGCAGTGACTTGGATAGAGCTGGAGGCCATCATGCTAAGTGAAATAACTCGGGAATGGAAAACCAAATATCATGTTCTGACTTGTAAGTGGGAGCTAAGCTATGAGGACACAAAGGTATAAGAATGATATAATGAACTTTGTGGACTGGAGGTGGGAGTGGGGAGAAGGCTGAGAAGAGAGGTGAGGAATAAAAGACTACACACTGGGTACACTACACTGCTTGCAAAACCAGTGCACAGAAATCAGCACTAAAGAATTTATTCTTGTAGCCAAAAACCACCTATACACCAAAAACTACTGAAATTGGAAAAAAAAAAAAAAAAGTTTCCACTTCATGAAATCTTCCCTAAACTTCTGTCATATCTATTGGAAGTCTGATTTGTAGAAGACTCATAAAAGGAAAAATGAAACAGAAGTATCACCTTGCTAACATAAGGTTGGCATTTGGATTATTAGTCCCTGGTCCTGTTGGACTCCATTTGATAGTATAAATTTCTTTATTATGTGCTTGCAAATCATGGACACAATTGTCTTGTTTCATACTCCATATCTAAACAAAAAAGAAAAATGTATACAATTATTTTTCCATACAATGAGTATATTTAAAATATTATTTTGACACTTAAAATATTATATGGACAGTCTAAAACATGAGTGATATAACCAGAATGATGATAGAATATTTACAAAGAAACTGAAATGCAATAGGATATATTTAATATTTACATCTCTGTTTAAAAAAAAAAGTTAGCTTTAAGCCCTTTAAAAATATTCACTATTACAAAGTTTGAAGACTGAATTAACTATAGTTGTTCTGAGATTAGTTAACGATCCTAAAATGTTGAAGGCACAGTTTTTACACTGTCCCTTAAGCAAAAGATCTACATAATAAACTGCTCTTAGAATTTTAGAATCAGGAAAATTTTACAATGGAGAACTGAAAATAAATAACCAACTTATAAATAATGAGGACTCACAGAGAACCGTAAAAAGTAGCATAGGAAATAAAGCTCAAATGAAAAGTAGGAAAAAAAAAAAGTAGAAAAAAGTAGTCAAAGTAGAGAATAAGCCTTTCCTGAGATGAAAATATGCCTGTGTGTATAGATTTCAAGTGACTATTATTTTTGAGCAAAAATTCATAGAAATCAACACGAAGAGTATTTCTGGGAAAAAAAAAATCACTCAATAAAGACATGGTAGGTCCTGCAGTTATCTCCTTAACACATACACATACAACATGCCAAACCCAAGGAGGGCCAACCAAGAAAAAAATCAGCTCAACTTTACATTTCCGTGACATAACCATTAAAAGATAATGAAGCATCAGAGTGTTTTTGGTGCCCTATGTATTTACAACCCCAAGTAAAATAAATCTGAACGACATGTTTTCAGAACTGATTTCATTAGACCTTTCTAATTCATAGAATTTGATACTGTTGGCCACTCTCAACTCTTACCTCCCTTGAAATAAGTTTCCTCTACATACTTTCTTTTTCCACTTTCTCAGTCACCTTCTCAGTTTCCTTTGGAAAGCTCATCCCTCTTGATTTGGTGATTGTTAGAGTTTCTAAGACTCACTTTTTTAGGTCCCCTCTTTTCTTACTCTGTACTACCTACACAGTTTTGTCCCTGCCCCAATTTTTTTTTTTTTTTTTTGGAGATGAAGTCTCACTCTCTTGCCCAGGCTGGAGTGCAGCACCACAATCTTGGCTCACTGCAACTCCGTCCCCCGGGTTCACGCAATTCTCCTGCCTCAGCCTCCAGAGTAGCTGGGATTATAGGCACCTGCCGCCACGCTCGGCTAAATTTGGTATATTTAGCAGAGATGGGGTTTCACCATGTTGACCAGCCTGGTCTTGAACTCCTGACCTCAAGTGAACTGCCCACGTCGGCCTCCCAAAGTGCTTTAATTATAGGCATGAGCTGTGGCAACATGGGGGCACTAGCTGTGGGTGTCTGCCTGCAGACCCTGACCCAGCAATGGATGAATAAAGTACACTAACACACAGATATCCTGTTTCGCCAGTCCAGCTGAGGGTGTCCGAGCCATTTACAGACTCCCTGGAGAGTTCTGTAAACAGTTGCGACCATGGCCCTATCCGCTAGTGAGACTCAAATTTATTCAGTAAGATTAATTCACAAAGGCTTGAGTCAACACCATTAGAGGGTAACTGACATTGTGGACTTCCCAAGTAAAAAGCACTTAAGCACCCATGGCACATCAAAGGTTAGTCTTAATATTATATGAGTAAACAAGCTAGCTAGGTAAACTACCCTGCCTTCCTTTATTACTAGTTTAATTTGTTTAACTAAAGGTAAAGGAACCAGGCCGCGTTCAGCCAGATCTATTACTGAAGTTACTTCTCAGTTTTCCAAGAAGATATGTGTCTATTTCTATAACTATCTCTAATATTTTTCCCACCAGCCTGATTGAACCCCAACAGTGAACCACCAGGCCTGGCCATGCCCAAGGATTTTAAAGACCACCTATCTGCTGAGAATTCCCAGTTTTTAATCTTGAGCTTACAGTTCTCTAAGCATCAGTCCCACCTATCTCCTCCATTCGCATGACTCAGCGTCACCTTCTCATTCCATCTGGCATTCCCTCTTCTCAGAAAACGGCCCATTACACATTATCCATCCATCCTAGTTTTTGCTTTAAAATCCTTTGTGACATTTAAACATTCTTAGGATGAAGAAAAGCTCTCTAACAATTTCTAGTTTTAACCTCTCTCCAGCTTCAACTCAATATGTGGCACAAGGCCCTCTGGACACTGCCCTTCTGTCATTTCCTCATATGTGTCACACACAGTTCCAGAAGAAGTTTTTTTCATGTTATAAGCATTAATACGTGTGCACATAAGGAAAAGCCAAAGATGAAAGCATTAAGAAGAGTATTAATACTAGCAATTTTGTAAGGGAGCCCAGACTTAAGAAGAACTGTCTAAAAACATAGCAGATACTTAAAGGAGAAAACCTCACAAGTTTCGCAAAGTTAAATTTAATCTGTTCATAGTAGCAGGAAAATCAGTTTTCCCTCATGATTTTCATATCTGTAACGGTCATCACATCTGCAGTCCTTGGTACTGCAAAGTCAAGGATAAAACTGTTTTCAGTAGAGGGTTAGCTGTTGCAGGAGAGGGCTCAAAGCTTCATTTATTTTGGAAATAAGTATTACGTTGTTCTTTATCTCCAAATGCTTTTTTCCCCAAATGAGGAATCTGGTGTGCTTAGGTGCGAGACAGCAGTTTTGCTTTTAGTCATACAACAAGAAAAACAGAGATCCATGTTGAGATGTGGATGTTGGTATGTCAACTAGGCTCGCTCACTGAGAGATTCTCTGCTATGTATCAGTTTCCCAGCAATGGTGATACATAGTCATACCACAGCAAAATCAAATTAATACAACGCAAAGAATTCCAATCAAATCCATGAATGCTACAAAGATTTTGAGTACTTATTAAGTCAAATCTTTACATATGCAAATAAACTTTAATTGCAAATAAACTTTAATTGCCTCAACATATGACTTTCTAATGGTGAAGACAATTTATAGCATGACCTTTCTTACTATTGGTGATGTCTAATTTTATCTGTCTTCTTGACTGAGTCACAGGGTACAGATATTTGGTGAGACATTATTTCCGGCTGTGTCTGAGGGTGTTCCCAGTTGAGACAGGCATTTAACTTAGCTGACTGAGAAAAGCAGACTGCCACCCTCCCCAATGGGCGGCGGGGGGGGCATCACTCAGTCCAGTGAGGCTCTAAACAGAACAAAACCGCCAAGGAAGCAAGAATTCTCTGCCTCAGCCTGACTGCTGAGTTGGTATATTGGTCTTCTGCTCTTGGACTGGGACTTACACCATTGGCACTCCTTCTCTGGCCCTGGAATGGAACCACACCTCCATCTTTCATGGGTCTCCAGCTTGTAGACAGCAGACTGTGGGACTTCTCAGCCTCTATAATCACGTGAGTCAATTTCTCACAGTAAATCTCTCATCCATCCATCCATCCATCCATCCATCCATCCATCTTCTTATTGGTTCTGTTTCTCTGGAGAGCCCTAACTAATAGGGTATCATATGTCTCATTGTATCACAAGCCATCATTTTAATATAATTTGCTACATTCAAATAGTTTTATGTATTTCAGAAAAGAAACTATAAAATTTAAAAAACAATGGTTAGCCATTTAAAATGTTGGAGTTTTCATGCAGGTACAAACACTCCATGTAAGACAGACATTCTAAATGGTCTTAAAATGGCCAGAGCAACCATACTGTGTGACACCGCCAACCCATTTCTCCCTACTAAGCAAATTACCTTTAAAGTCATGTCGTCAGAACAGGAGGCCAAGAGATTGCCAGTTGGGTCCCATTTGATAGCATTTACTTCATTCTAAAAATAATAGTAAATATTCACATTTTCATTGTATAGACTGGGTAGCTACTTGAATATTAAACATACATACTTTAAAACTATTCTGAAACATTACTTGTTAATCATGACCACTTTAATGTGGAAAAAAGGTTTCTTACCGTATGTCCTTGGAATGTTTTAATAGGTCTGTCTTGTCCTAATTTACAGACATGAATGCACATATCTGTACTACAAGAAGCAAAGGTGTTGTTGCTCTGCCAATCAACATCCAATGCTGGTGCTGCAAAGGAACAAAGGTTAGATTTGCTTTTATTCCACATGTACTAAAATCCAAGAGTTTTAGCTTTGAACCATTGTTGACTAATAAAATATACTAACAGGCACTTAAACATTTTACTTTATACTTTTTAAGATATTAAGAAAAAATTAAAATAAAAGTATCTATATACAACAATATTAACAAATTTCAATTTAGTTATTTCTAGGTGAGACAGACCCTAAGAGAAAGTACACTGGCCTAGTAACTGGGAGATGAAGGTTCCTGAGAGCTGGCTCTGTGGGTCTTGGGTTCTCTTTTATAAAATGATAAAATTAAATGTGATGATATCATGCTTTTCATTTCTAAAATCTGTGAGTGTTCAATGGACAAGAAGCCTCGGTTCTGTCACTGCATAATTAGTGGACACAAGCAAGTCACTTAACCTCTATGATATATCCTCTTTAGATAAGGGTAACATGCAAGTGTTACCCTCACACACAAGAGTGAGGATAACACACAAGTTGAGCACCCCAATCTGAAAATCCAAAATCCACAATGCTCCAAAATCTGCAACTTTTTGAATGCTAATATGATGCCACAAGTGGAAAATTCCACACATTAAATGCTTAATACAAACTTTACTTCATGCACAAAACTAGTAAAAATACTGTATAATGATGCCATCTGGCTATATTATAAGGTATATGTAAAACATAAATTAATTTCATGTTCAGACTTGGGTCCCATCCCCATGATATTGCCTTATGTATATGCAAATATTCCGAAATCAGAAAAAAAATAAAAATAAAAAATGCAACACAATCCTGGTCCCAAACACTTAGATAAGGGATACTAAACTTGTACTATCTTTATCCTTAGTACACATGGTGAAGACCAGGTGAGATCATGTGTGTGGAAGTACTCTGTCAATTACAAGAGTTAGACAAATGTTATGCTGAATAAGTATCATTCCCATTATCATCTACTCAACTAACAAATGGAATACGGCATATGATTTGCAAATAATTTTCTTCTAAGCAACTTTTGCCAAATACCTCTTAAAATCTGTTCTTGTCAAACACCTCTTAAAATCAAATGCCCCTTAAAATCAATGAATTTAAAAATCTCTGAAGCCCCAAAGCAGGCTGGCATTTAATACTTTGAGTTTAGCTCTGAAATTATTGAACATCCTTGTCTCCTGCTGCAAGGTGCAAAAGATCTCCGTAATTAGCAACACAGATTATGGTAATAATAGTGAGTAACTGGGTTAGGCAACAGAAGCATATCAAAGACTGCATTTAAAGCAGGGGTTGACAAACTATGGCACATAAGCCAAGAATGGCTTTTATAGTGCAATGGGGGAGGAGGGGATCAAAGGAAGACATACAAATGTGGAAAAATGAGATTTAAAGTTCAGTGTCCATAAATAAGAGTTTTATTGAAACCCAGACAAATGCATGAAGTTGCATATTACCTATGGCTGCTTTTTCACTACAAGGGCAGAGCTGATTAGTGGCAACTGAGATCTTATGGCCTACAATGTCTAAAATACTTTCAAGTCCTTTAGTGAAAGTTTGTCAACCCTAATTTAAAGAAAAAACTTAAAGGGGAAAAACAGGAGAGTTAAAGTTGAGCTGTGTGGCCAGGTGTGACTCAGCGCTTTGGTAGCAAAGGCAGGAGAACTGTTTGAGCCCAGGTGTTTGAGACCAGCCTGGGCAAGACAGTGGGACCTCATTTCTAAAAAATAAAAAATTAGCCAGGTGTAGTGGTCCATGCCTATAGTCCCAGCTACTTGGAAGGCTGAGGCAGGAGGACTGCTTGAGCTGGGGAGGCCGAGGCTGCAGTGAGCCGTGATTGCACCACTGCACTCCAGTCTGGGCAACAGAGTAAGACTACTATGTCTCAAAAAACAAAAACAAAAAGTTTAGCTATGTATACTAATTAGTAGAAATACAAAGCATTTAATAAAGGAGATTAGAGACGTCTGTGGAAAGGGAAAACAAAGCCACAAACTCCCTCATTGTGTATATCCAAGCATAATAGTAACTGGCTATGTTAAAAATGAAACATAAACAGGTGCTTAAGCAGTTAAACTTATCAGCCAAGAGATATGTCATGCGTAAGAACTTGTAACTATGGATAGGAGAAGTAAAAAGAATGGGAAAAGAAGATTTAAAGCATTTAGGACTCAGAAAGGAAATTTTAATCAGAACTATACTGAGATTTTTTTTTTTTAAAAGATAAAGTACAACAGGAAAGAGTGAAATTGATTTCACTGCCTGGCTAAAGACAAATCAGGTAAGCCCCAAATCTAAAAGTACTAAGTACTAAAGAACAAAGAAGCGAATTGTAGTAATATGACCAGACATTAAAATAATTAGTTTTGGGTATATTTCTACAATGAAAAACTAGGTATCAGGACACCACTTGGATAGAGTAAGCTCATAAAGGAAACAGACTGGAAAGAAAAGATTTAATGGGAACTTACTATGGAGGTTACATGAAATTTCAAATAACTATATTTTTAAAATATTTAATCCTCCCTCAATCAACCTTTTAACAAAGTGCCATATAAAATTATTAACATAAATTCACCTTTTATACAAAATTTCAAATTATGAGAATTCCCAACAAAGTAAACATAGTCAAAAATCACACCTCAGAGTTGTCAGGCTGAGTAAGTTGCAGGCTGTATTTTTATTCTAGTCATGAAGCAGCACTGCTTTAGCTGGTGTTTGCTCTTCCTGCCCATAAGCCTTTTTGCCTGTGCTGTGTCCAATTCCCAGCTGAGTGCTTCACTGCTAAGGGCTGCCAGGGACAAACTTCACAGAACTGCCTTGCTCTGCTGCTCTGTATCCAAGCTGGTGTTGTGTATGTTTTTGGGAAGGAGGGAGGGAGGAGAGATCTAAAGACCTAGCACCCTTGGTTCAATGTAAGAAAAACTTTGAGGTGCAAGCTCCCCTCTGCACCAGGCTGAGACTGGGCCTTTCTTCACCAGAATCACTTCCTTCCTTGGCTTCTTCCCTCCCCCCCATCCTGCTTCCCATATTTCTTCACTTATTTCTCCTAAGAGGTTTTCCACAATAAGTCACTTCACTCAAATGTTTGGCACAGGGCCTGCCTTTTGGAGAAACCCAACCTAAATCAACTAGTAAACAAAAATATGTGCCAACTTTATCCGCATGATGTGTGAACTCTGCCTCTACTTGTGTGTATCACCATTTCTGACAGCAATGTGGATGACTGTCCTGTTCATTTGGCAGTCAACTCTCATTCGTTCCTTACTGCACTCTGCCCTGCTAGGATGTGCAACCCAGGAGGGCTATTGTAAGTTATGTCCCGGGTTCCTGTGCCTAGTGGTTTCCAGATGGGTTCATACAATGTAAGACACTGTCAGGAGTTCAAAGTGAGGAGTCCAAAGTTAGGAGTAGTAAGAAGACAAGCACGACTGCCATCATTTCAGGCTGGGTGTCGAGCATTGCCAGGCAGCCTATCCTCTACAACCCAGTCCCCACTGGACAATCAGGTCCTGCCTTCTCCTCTAGAGTCTTAGACTTCCTTCAATTAGTCTCTTGGTTACCTCCTATTCCTTAGTTTTTCACTCTTCCCAACACCTCTGCAAATATTTCTTTGTATTAAATTCCCTTTATTGGAGTGTCTAGTTTACACGTCGTTTTCCTCCATGGAACCTAATTCAGTAACTACTGTGCACTTTCATTTTGACTGTGCACTTTCATTTTGACATTAAGTATTATCACTTAAAATACAATTCTAAAAATTTTAATTTTTTTGGTTAGTAATCTTTCTATTGTTAACAAGTGCAAAAAAATGGGGAAGGGAGGCCTGAAAAATCCAATTAGAAGACAGTTAAAGATACATTAAAGTGTTATTCACAAGGCCAAATATATGTCAGGATGTTCCAGAGGTGTTAATTTTATACAGGGCAGCCTGCAAAATGTTAGAGAGGAGGCTAAAATAAACAAAAAGTAGCATTAAAACAAACACGCTATTAGGTTCATAAAAGAAAAACAAAACCAAACTACATAACCAAATCAAGATTGTTGGGATGTAGGAAATGTTGCAACGTAGGTTGTGTGATTAACGCTTTTGTGATATGCCTGCCTCATAAAATACAGTGCTTATAGATTGATGTAATCAAAGAACACATACCTCCTTATTTTATATTTACTCTTAAAATGAGTCTTGATAGTACAAGTTCTTTAGAAAGAAATATCTAACATAAAAAAAAATTTTATGTACCTGACAAGTGAGAGAAGTGTGTTCACTAATACCCATCTCATTTTACACATAAGAGGCTATGAAAACTTAATTTTCCCAGTTAAATAATTTCTTAAAATCTTGGAGCTAAAGTTAACATTTTTGTCTGCTCCACCCCTCTTCTGATTTACTTTCATTAACCCATGTAGCCTCCATAATTTTAAAAGAGAAGGAATGAACCTATGAGCGAAGAAGGATGCATTTATTACTGACTTTATTTTTAAAAAAAAAAGCCTTTATTGACATATAATTCACATACCAATTCACCTGTTTAAAGCATACAATTCAATGGATTTCAGTATATTATTAACTTATAAAATCTCTAGTCAAATATAAAACTTTCTAACTTAATTTTGATTTCTCCTTTGGCCCATGAGTTATTTAGAAGTGTGGGTTCCTGAGTACTTGGGCTCTTCCAGAGAGCTTTCTAATACTGATTTCTAATTTAATTCCATTGTTGCTATAAATGTCATTTAGGTCAAGTTATCGGATAATCTTCAAATCGTTTATAGCCTTACTTCCCTCTTCCCATCTTCTCAGTCCATCAATTATTGAGAGAAGAATACTAAAGTCTTCAACAATTGGAAGCACAATAATTTCTATTTCCTTTGAAGTTCCATCAGTTTTTGCTTCATATGTTTTGAAACAGTGTTATTAAATGCATTATCATTTTAAAATGTTTTGTTGAATTGACTGTTTATCTTGTATTAATAACCTCCTTTTTCCCTGTAAATCTTCTGAGCTTTGAAATCTAGTTTGTCTTATATTAATGTAGCCATTTCAGCTGTCTCTTGCTGAAATGCATACTTATACACTTGAAATGTATAAATGTACACTTGATTAGTGATAGCATGGTATTTATTTTTACATCATTTTATTTTCAGCCTATTGATATTTTTGTATTTGAAGTATATTTTACATAGGCAGTATATAGTTGAGTCTTGCTTGTTGATTCAGTCTCACAATCTCTGCCTTTTAATATTTAGGCCATTTACACTTATTTTGCTTTGTCATATGGTTACATTTAAATTTACTGTACTTCTGTTTATCTCTTCTGTTCTTTCCCCTTTTTGTATTTCTACCTTCATTTGGATTAATTGGATATTTTTTATGATTACATTTTCTTCTCCTTTGATGGGTTCTTAACTGTAATTATTTTTAGTAGTGTTTTTGGATTTATAGTGCACACCTTTAACTTGTCACCATCTACCTTGAGGTGATAATTTTAAATGGGCTAAATAATCTTATTTTCTGCCCCTCTTCCCTCCCCTACCTTTTTACCTAAGATTCTAACTATGTAGGTATTAGTCTGCCCAAAGTTTTATCACAACTCACTGATGCTCTGTCACCACACCCTCTTTTCCAGTCTATGTTCTCTGCGTTTTTGGATAGATTCTATGCTGCCTCCAAGGTCATAAATCATTTCTTCCCGCAGCATCGAATCTGTGGTTTATCCTAACCAGTGCACTTTTCATCTCACATGTTGTTTAATAACATAACTTCATCTCTAGAAGTTTAATAACATATCTTCTGTGTCTCTACTTAGCTTTTTGAACATATGATATGGTTAATCTTTGAACAATGTGAGGGTTAGGAGCACCAACCCCCTGTGCAGTTGGAAATCTGCACATAGCTTTTGACTCCCCAAAATCTTACCAACTAATAGCCAGCTGCTGATTAGAAGACTTACTGATAACAGTTGAATAAGATATATTTTGTATATTGCAGGAATTAAAAATTATGCAGAATGAAGACAGACCAAAAAAGAGTATATACTGTATGATCCCAATCATACAATGTAATCTAATCTCTGGGGATGGGAGAGAGATATCACTAAGGGGCAAGAAGAAACGTCTGAAGGTAACAGATGTATTCATTATCCTGAGTGCGGTAATAGTTTCAATGGTGTATACATATGTCAAAATATATCAAATGGTTCAAGTAAAATACATACAGTTCATTTTATGTCAACTGTACCTCAATAAAATTGTCTTAAAAACAAAAGTATGGTAAGAAAGAATACGATGGGTAAACTGAAGCTTATTTATTCGTAAAAATACTTTGATACTATGTACCTCATCAGGTTGTAGTCAGGACTAAAGGGGACAGAAAGAGCACCATCTCCAACACAGAGTTGGTACTAATCATATGGTACCTAGCAATAGTACCATAAACATACTTACTTCAACTTTACATTACTCCTAGGATGTACGAGAAATTAGTATGATTAACAGCCAAGAAGCCTGAGAGAATTCTGAAAACTAGAAGCAAAGATGAAAAGGAAGCACAACAGGTGAACAAAAATGTATGTGTAAATGCTTATTAAGTGGTGAGCTTTAATCAAGTTGAATTGTTTAACGATGTTTGCAAACTTATTCAGATACTACAGAAAAATCATTTTGCACCTTATTTTGGCTTGTTTAGGCACACTAAACAGAGAATGAAAAAAAAGCAAAATGCCTGAAGTTGCAAATTTCCATTTTAAAGTTGATGCTGTGCCACTGGCTCGCTGTTTGTAAAAGGATGTCATCAAAGATTTGAGAATAACCAGGGTTATTTTAGTCAGTCTCCAAACTGAAATTTTTTCTAGCACAACAAAATCAAAGAGACAGCTAAATCAGGTAGTACTAAAACCACTGGGTATCTTGTTCCAGTTTAACATCATTTAGTTACTGCAGTCGGGAAACTCACTGAAAAGCGGCGCAAAGGTTCTAGGCTTAAACGGAGCGTGGGCACAAAAATATGGCTGGCTCTACTCAAGCTGAATGTCTGGGTGTGTGACTGTATATCATGAAGGACGGAGCACTATTTTCGAGGTCTGATTAATCAGATAAAAGTACCACATTGAGTATTTCTTAAAAGAGAAATCCATCTAAGCCACCAACATTCCAACAACATTGGGAAAGTCTATTTTTTACTTCCTGTAGACAAATACTCAGGTACCTGGATCCAAAATGAGAAAATGACAACAATACCTAAACTTATAGGAGTCTATACAGTATTTTCATGTATATCATTTAGCCTTATCCCATAACAAACAGGTATTATTATTATTATTATCCCTCATTTACAGACAGTGAAAAGGAGGCTCAGAAAGGTTAAGTGACTTGCTCAGTCTTAATAATGCTTCTTAAGTGGAGTGGAACTGACATTCAAACCTAGATTTTCTGATTCAAAAATCTATGTTCTTTCCATTAAATAATGCCACCTCTAATTGCACCAGGCTGCAAATGCTTTATGGTACATTTCACAGAAAACGTTTGATGATCCTCTGACAATTAAGAGTCTGAATGTCATGGAACATCAACTCTCCAAAGGACTAGTAACAAGACTGATACTTGATATTTCAACATTTAAAATAAATTATATGCTGTTAAAAGTTTAATTAGAAAAACAGAAGCAAGCTCCAGCTTTCACGTAAATTATAAGAAATTTACCTGAATGAAAAGGAAACTGTTGCTTGGCTTCACCAGTATGTGCGTCCCAAATAATTGTAGTCTGAGATTAAAAGGAAAAGAAAAATAAACTCATGGAAAGAAGTTTAACATACATGTGTAAAGTATATGCCTAACTGTATTACAGCAATATGAAATGTCAGAGTGGATTTAATTTTAAACACTTTATCCCAAATAGTACCACAAGGCTATATACTTTGGGAGAAAATGACTATTAAGCAGTTTGATTCTTCCCTGATGATTTTGCATTGGTCAACTTACTTCAAATAACAATTACTGGTAGTCTACAAAGGGCCAGGCATTATACTAGATTTTGCTTAAAAAACTCCATTGTAATAGTACATTTAATGTAAGACTCGTATAGATGTTTAGTAAGAGAGAAGTTCTTGGTTAACAACGTAATCAGTTCTCAATACTGAAAGATTCTGAAAGCTCCCATTTACCCAAAAAGGCAGCTTGAATTTTGGCAGTACTTAAAGCAAGAACCTAAAGTATTGTCTAGTGGCGGTGACTATTAACAGGACTCAGTCTCTCTCCTTCCCAGCCTACTTCACTTTTCTTCCCCTTTTGCCACTTTTTTTATTGCTCTCTGAATTTTATAAAGAGTGAACTAGCTTCTCTCCACTTCCCTGTTTGACACCACACTCAATTATTAGCATGCCCTTTCCTGGATTAAGATAATCTTAAACCTTTAGGAGGAAGAAGGTCCTATTTCCAACTCATCTATATTCACCAGCCGACTTAGACAAAGAAGGCTAGACAGATCCTGCATTTCATATTAGCTTCAATTAAGTACCAGGAGTTCGGCTAACAGACCAGCTCTAGAATTTCCCATGGATTCACTCCAGAGCCATATTCACTGGTGAGACTAACTAGAAATTGTAGAAGGGAAGCAAAAAGTGCAGGACGTATGACATTGTTTATGGTTCAAATTCCAGGTAAAATTAAAAGTGTTCACATAGATAAAAGGATAAGGACATTTTGGTAAGTAGATTCAGAAATGAGCTGATAGACCTAAGGAGTATTTCTAGCATAAATTCCTATGTGAATTTCCCAAATAGGAATGTTTATGTAATTGGCAGCTAAGACAAAATACTGCTTTCAATTAAGCTCTGTAATACATTTGCCTTTACAGAACTTAATGAGCTTTTACCTTGTCTACTCCAGCACTTAGGATGAAATTTCCTTTCTTATTCCATTTTAATGCAAATATAGGGCCTTTATGCTGCCCTAAGGTGCTAGCAAGGTTACCTAAAATGCAAAAGAAAAACATTAACATTATTTTAAATTTTCTATCTTTAGATCAACAACAAAGTAAAAAGGAAAATGCTTCATTTACCATCTTTAGTCCATATTCTGGCAAACCCATCATAGGAACCAGTTGCTAGAAGTGTACCTTCACTCTGCCAGAGAAAAACATTTCTTTAATTATATAATCTAGATACGGTATTTAATTGTTGTTAAAGTATTTCATGTTTAAATCCCAGGTACAGAAGAGAATGAAGACATTCTCTGCTTCAAAACTTGTCAGTTTTGCCTACTTGTGAGTGCCACTAAAGGCCTATGAAACCCTTCCACTGTGTGACACTAATGTTGTATGGGGGCCTTATATCCAAAGTTCAACAACTGACAGTGATTGCTCTGGACCAGGATCTACATCACCCCACCTCATGCATGCCAAAAGTATTCTCACAGACTCACACAACTAAGAATGAAGGTAGAGTGGTGGACTGGGAAGAACATCAAATTCATAGTCTTACAATGATTTATTAGAAGTAAAAAAGAAAAACTTTAAAATATGATTAGAAGGTTTTATATGGCCATTCCTCTAAATCCTTTACTGTCTAAAACGAAGTGTGTGGGTATGATCCAAACAATATCATTGTTTCGAATGATCAGATTCTTAAATACTTGAATGTTCCTTTCTATTATTAATCCCTTCCCACTATGAAATATTTGCCAATAAAAAGATCAACAAGGAAAAGAGCCAGAAAAGAGCACAGGCTGACTTTATAGTTAATGAAGTAAGTACAACTGCCTACTTTACCAGGAGGAAAAGTCCATATAAATTTCTCTCAACTTATATTCCCTTGCTGTGCACCTTGCCTCGATGAATTGTGTAATAAAAGGACAGATCTAACCTACTCTATGCAAACACAGAAGTTACAGATTATAGTAAACAGACTATTGCTAGAATCAGTAAACATTACTGGAGAATGAAATCCTGCATTACTTGACATATTATTGATGGTTTTTGGTAAGGGCATTCAAAACAAGATCACCTATTTCACATCTCTCAAGCCATTTAGCAGTATGGCTAAGTGACAAACAAAAACAAATGCTGGTTCTGGGAACTGCAGACTCAATTCTGCTGGGATGTGGCCATCCCTTAGGGCTCTGTCTCAAGAAGAAGGGGAGCCATGTTGAAGTCAACAGTAAAAGCTTATTTCCACATCCTACACAATGTCAAGTTTCCTCTAAACTATCAGTCCCTAAATGTTTTAGTTCATGAACTGCTCAACTAGGAAAATACTGTAAAGATGAGAAATCTCACAGGCTCTCTTGCTTTAGCCATGGAAAAGAATCATTAATCGAGGATAATGTTTTCCAAGTTCACCGTGAATAACACATTTTTTAAAAGCCCACACTTTTCAAAACTATAAAATGCAGTTCAGAACTACCAAGCTCAACAAACCAATATTCATTAACCATCCTTTTCAGTGTAAACTATAAATTTCATTAACATGGCCAGTGGACCAGGTAGCGTAAGAAAGCTGTAAGATATCTGAACTAAAATATAATAAGGGCCCATATTAAGAAAATAATTCTGTCTTGATCTTACAAGTAAATAATACTACAATGTGCTAAACCCCTTTGGAATTTTTAGAATTGTCATATGGAGGGGAAGAGTAAATATGCTGCTGGCAATTTTGGAAGAAAATGCTAAAAATACCTAGCTATGATTTCTGAAAAAACATTTCACAGAAACTGAGAACTTTAGTGGGGATAATCATTTTAAAGATAGATCTCATTCCCGGGGAAAAGAATTGGAAGATCCTTTAGAAAGTCCACAAAGGGTTGTTAAACAGAAGAGAAAAGAACATTCATTTGCTGAGCAAAGAACAACTATCTTGATATTCTTTGCAATGCTGAAATAATCTAAGAGTTTTGGGGGAGGGGCAGGGGGTAGCGGAGCGAGGTAAGAGATGTATTTAAAACTATAATGGTGAGAATTTATCAACAACGAAGTCAAAGTTTTTTGTAAGTCACAGTAGTCAAGTTGTCCTGAAAGATGTTGAATCATACACAGAATCAGAGAATTACAAGATTCCTACAGTGGGAATAAAATTCAGACGTTGTCTAGACTAATGATCCCTAAAAGGAAATTGGTAATAAAGTTCTACCAGTTCACAGAATACAGAGAAAAACAAGAACATGTTTTTTGCTACACAGAATTCTTTTATCCCCTAAGGACTCGGTTGTTATAGATTTAGTATGTTGTTTGTTATTATGGTAAGAATTTTCACCTATTATCTCAAATATTTAGGTACCATTTTCACACTTCTACTTGACATTTAAAGAAAATGAAGTACAGAGTAAAAAGTAACAATTTAACCAAGGATATGCTGTGGGATACACTGAAGAGCTGGATGTTGAACCTTGGTCTGACTAAGGCAAGTCTGTGTCCCACAGTGGGGGAGAGGGCTGGCAGGGGACGACTCCCGGTTTGTTGTTACTAGTTAATAAAACCCCAAATTCTGAACAAATAGACAAACCCTGCCGTGAGTATGAGGCTCTGAGGGTTAGGTATACTAGTAATTATATCCATCATGGATATAGTGATACTCACATTCCAATCTAGAGATGTGACATCCTTGTTGCTTGGAACATCTTGCCCTCCTTCTCGTATACAATGTCTAAGTACTAACTGTGTAGAGCCACTGGTGCTGTTCTCACTAAGATTCCATATTCTTGCTGTTGAGTCTCCAGACCTATAAAAGTATGCAATATATTTTAGATCCTCATGACATTCTCACGTATCAGAACAAGGCAACATATTTACATCTGAATATTAATAAGGCAAATAAAAACGACTATCACGAATTTTCATTTCCAGTATTTTTCCCATTCTACACGTTGGGACCCCCAAGCATTCTCGAAATAGTAAGTTTAATTAAAAATTCTACAATTACTTCATGAAGGAATAAAAAATTTACAGAGACAAAATGGCCACAACTAAGCAACAACAGAAAACCTGAATAATGCATATGTTTATAAAATGTTCAATAAGATATTTTTAAGTCATTTTAGTATCACTTTGAGAAACATACCCTGATGCTAGGAGATCACTAACAGGGTTCCAGGCACAGATAAAAACTTCAGATTCATGGCCCCGCAACACAACAGCTTTATTAGGAGGGATTTCAACATCCCCATCCACTTCCATCATATCAGTATGATTATCTGCATCGTGAAACACAAGTAAGCATTTCCAGTTAGGCAGTATTACAACATGGTGGATGGGTGATTTCTTAACTAGCAAATACCTTCCTTTATCGCACACAGTGTAACATTTTTCAATTATATCCAGTTAAGCTGAACATGACTACACAGTCTTAGTCACACAGAAAATAAATTCTTATCTTTAATTAAGTATTGACCACATACTTTTTTTTTAGAGGGGTGGGGGTGGGAGTGGGATGGGAGACTTTAAATGATTAGACCTAAACATGGATAAAACGATAAAATGGTTTGAATTAAATATAATGTCTATCAGTACTATTCTGAGTTTCTGCCAGTAGGGGTTGCTGATATCATTCATATAACATGAGTTGCCTTTTATCTCGATGTCAGAGCTCTATGGTTATTTGTTGATAACTAGTATTACAAATTTTATTTAGAAATCAAATGTAGATGTAAAAATTCATTTAACAATGGGAAAAGGGTTTCTAGATATTTTAAAAAGAAAATAAAAGTAAATCTAGCTTTTTGGAGCTTTAGGAATAAAAATCTGAATTGAACTGTGTGATACAAGTTAGGGAAACAAGTTGGTGCAAGTTAACAGATGAAATTATTTCAGCATAGAAGATGGGGCATTTCTTCTGAGAAAAAATTTTTAAAAATTCTTGTCTCCTGGGACCTTCCTGGGGGGTGGAGGGTGGGAGGAAGAGGAGGATCAGAAAAAATAACTATTGGGCACTAGGCTTAGTACCTGGGTGATGAAATAGTCTGTACAACAAACCCCTGTGATATGAGTTCATCTATATAACAAACCTGCACATGTACCCCGAATTAAAAGTTTAAAAAAATAAATAAATAAACCATGTAATTAAAAAAAAATTCTTGTCTGAGCTCACTTGCTATAGTATGTGCTCCATTCTCCTCCCCATTTGCTGTGTTTTCTCCATTTTTTGCAGATCCTTGTTGGCTGGCTGCAGCTGCGGCAGCTGCAGCAGCTGCTGCCTGTTGCTGTGCAAGCTTATCTCTATAAGCTTGTTGTCTTGTTTGTACTACATCAGGCATTACGGCATCTATCAGGGACAGAGACTCTATTGGTCGACCATCAAACAAGGTACCATCCTGGATTTGGAAAATTGTGAGAGAAGAAAAATCAAAGGCAATATTTAAAGTTATTTGTATTTATACAAAATCAGAAATGAAATGAAAATCTTCGTTCCTAAAAAAACATTTTTAGGAACTTTCTGAATTCATATAAGAAGTCCGGAGGGAATAAAGAAACTACAAGCAGCAACTGGAAATGACTGCTTACATTTTCCTTTTCATTTAATTCATACTATTATTACAGTATAGAGCTGTACAGATAGAGCTGAAATGAAAGAGATAATAAGATGTAGGCCGAGCTGATAAAAAGGCTTATTAATTAGATTCTGAAATTCTGTTAGTCAAAGCAACAAACAATATGGAATATAGTTCATATAATGATCAGAGGCCTGGTGCCCCATTATAGTAAATACATCTTTTAAAAAACTAAAAACTTTGAGCTGAAGAGTTTCTTGTGATTTGATTCAAATATTAAAGCAGAAACAGACTTCATGGGGCTATAGTGCTCTTGAATATTAGGGAGTTATTAAAATTTCCAAAGCTCTACTTATTGATATTAGGAAGTTCCTAATAAAGAGTTCTCCAAGTAAGCACAAGAAGAGACACAAACACAGAACAAGTCAGAAATACAAACAGTACAAATTAGCTGGGAACATGCATATGTGAAGTCTGGTTCACTTAAACTGGTAAACATGTACCAGTGACAATCTACAGTGTTATTGCAGGGTACTGTGAGCTGCAAAAACACAGCCTGTCTTTCTAAACTGTCCATTGTAATGTAATATTTCAGGAACAGGAGAAAGTATTTTAACTTATAAATAATTTTTAAGATACTAAACCCAACACAGATACACTGTGGAATAAGCGCCATGTCAAATTTACACACATTTTAAGAAAAAATTTAGTTTTGCGTTACTGGATGGTCACTCAAAGAGCTGAGGAAACAAACAAATCCATTTTAGTATATTATGTAATTTCTAATTCTAGTAATAATCATTGATACAGAAATCATAGATACTTCAGTTTAAAAATACTCGCAAAAGGGGAACATGTTAATCTCTGAAATAGAAGTAATGGGAAAAGCTCCTCACTATAGATAAAAATTTTAAACTAGGCTGGGCGTGGTGGCTCATGCCTGTAATTCCAGCACTTTGGGAGGCCGAGGTGGGCAGATTACCTGAGGTCAGGAGTCAAGACCAGCCTGGCCAACATGGGGAAACCCTGTCTCTACAAAAATTCAAAAATTAGCTGGGCATGGTGGTGGGTGCCTATAATCCCAGCTGCTAAGGAGGCAGAGGCAGGACAATCGCTTGAACCCAGGAGGCGGAGGTTGCAGTGAGCTGAGATTGTGCCACCACACTCCAGCCTGGGCAACAGAGCGAGATTCCGTCACACACAAAACAAAACAAAACAAAAAACAAAAACAACATTTTAAACTAGACCGGGGTTTACAACCTTTTTCTGTAAAAGAGTAGACAGTAAATATTAATTTAGGCTCTGCAGGCCATAAGGTCTCTGTCTCAACTACTATTATGCCATAAGTAGCCATGGACAATATGTAAATGCATGTGGCTATGTTCCAATCAAACTTTATTGAGAAAAACAGGGAGGAGCATTTGGCTAATGGGCCACAGTATGCTGACCCCTAAGCCAAACAAACTACTCACATGTAGTCCTTAGATAGGCAGTACCATCCAGAGTTGGCTTCAATTACAAACTGGTTTAAATTTGGGTATATTCAAATAACGTGAGAATTTACAATTTTCAGGCCAATAATTATGATCTTAGCATTCCACAGCACAATGCTGTTGTGTTAATAAAAATTCTTTATTAGTGTTTACTTACACAAACAGATTAAGGCAAACAAACTACAGATAATGGTCCTTACAACTAGGCGCCAACACCTTGCCGGTGCAACCTGACTACCACATTAGGGATGAACTGCCTGCACTTTTGTTAACCCTGTGAAGCTAAAGTCAGAATACTGAATAAGCAAGCAAGACAGCTGACTTAACGGCATATTTAAGATGAAAAAAATCAGTATTTGAAATAAGTCTTCCTTACCTCATTAATACTAACTTCTGCTTCTACATACTGTAGACCTTTCTGGATGATAGAAATCAATGCAGCGGGTGGGACGAGGGCACCATTTATATTGGACTGACTGATATGGCTTTCTATACCAAAGGTAAATGCTGAATGAGAAAATCCTAAAAACAAAAGAAAAGGCATGAGAATTTATTTTCCTAGTGGCAACATGCTAAATGACACAGAAAGAAAGATCACCATCATCTTTTCAAATCCCATCCTACCCATTTAAAATCCCAGACGAAGGTCGTGTGTGTGTGTGTGTGTGTGTGTGTGTGCGCGCGCGTGTGTGTGCATGTAAACATGTCAGCCTTTACATACTTTCTTTTTCTCTTAATGTACTCTTTAAAATTTCTAGTAAATACTTGATTATATAGCTTCAAATTTTCTAAAATGTCATGGTACACAACTTTTCTTAACAAAAAGCATCAAATGTAAAAGGTAAAACAAGTCTTTGGAAATCATATAATTAAATTGCTTCATTTAAATCAGGCCAAGACAGATTAAGGGACATTTAATATTTCTGTATTATATTTTAATATTTTTTACATCTAGAATTAAGGAACTTTATTTCAAATTTTCTTTCATCCCAGCCCAGTTCAAGTATTCAGCATCTCTCAAAAGTGGTACACATAATATGCTTTAAATAGGAATTCATTCATTCTGAATGATCTTCATTTACTTCATGTAATTGTTATCTACTACGTAGTTATAATTCAATAATGTCTGTAAAGCAATCTAGCACTCAGGTAAAATCTGAAGTATTTAAATTTCTACATATAAATTGTCAAACATCTGATAAATTCAGTATTTTGGAGCTCTTTGGAACTACTTAGGAAAACTAAAATAATAAAAATAAATTCAAATATTAAAAAATCATAACGGTTAAATCTCATTTTATGTATGAATTAAGTGCTTTAAAAATACCAATTCTTTGCCACTTAGTAATAACTCATCTATATGAAATATTTAAGAAATGAACAGCTAGCAAATGATTACCTGGTTTATAGGTCTCCATCAGCAATTACTTACTCTTAACTTGAAATACTTAAAACCAAAGCACTTACTTAATAAAAATCTCTTTATGTTGGCCTTGCTTTTTATTAATATCTAGTCAAAATTCAAAGGTAAAATTCTAAGAAGCTGATAAACCAAGGGTGGTTATTTTCTTTACTGAAATATTAATCACCATTTATCATTAAGTAGTAATTTCTATGAAGTATTTTAAACAATTCAATTAAATTGTACAAGTAATATAGAATATTAATAAACATTTATACTAAACAAAGGAAATAAATACAGGCTTATTTTGGGTCTTGGTTAAACTGATTTAATCTATATAGTATGTCTGTTGGCTAGCCTGTCTAGCCTAGTTTTTTAGTGTTTAGTAATGTCTTTTTTGGATTTTGTGCTTCCACTCTTATACTCCTTGTGGTACTTATAAACAGTCTAGTAGAAAATACTGTGGGCTCACAATTTCCTAGCATGTGGCTAGGAAAATTTGGTTATTTGATAGTCAGAGTACACCTAAGTTGATTTTCCTTGTAACCCCTTCCTTCTCTCTTTGGAACACCTAACTCATTATGCTCACAACATCTAACCCACAGTGGAAAAGGCAAGTGGAAAAATGTTACCTCTAAAACCTTGATTTTAGCCCCTGATTTTGCCCATAAGCAAGATCATAATTAAATGCATTTATAGTTTTCATAGTTTTCACCTTAATCTGGGCTCACAGAGATACCAATCGGGGGGCGGGGCGGGGGTGGGGGGGTGGGGGCGGAGAAGCACCGTTTTGAATTGTCCCTATCAGGAAGCCCACAACTATCTGAATATGAGTAGATTCCAGATCACCAAGGCAGAAAACAGAATAAGGATGAGGGAGGATGGGGAGAAACAATGAGAGACATAGCAGTAAAATCCTTAAGCAGTGAGGTTGGAGATTCCTGTTTTCAATTATATAACCCCTCCCTGAATAAATTCACAGTAAATCATCCATAGTAAAAACAGCCAAACGCCAAGCAGCTTAAGAGATTTAAGAAAACTTCAAGACAGAAGACATCATTTACAGAGGGCCTATACCATATGCTAGATACTGTGTACACACATATAATTTTATTATTTTATAATCTAATGGAAAATCACAACTAATAAATGAGAAAGTACAGATTCAAATTCATTCAGAGACTCTACTACTCCTCTTGAACAGTTAAAATATGGTCAAGGATAAAGCTAAGGGAGAGAGTGAGCTCCTGTTTCCTGATAGAAAGTAAAAGACTACATCACTGTTTTGTTTTCATCTCAGGGTCCTGGAAAGTGGTTGCACAGTGCATGAAACACTGAGCCATCTTATTGCCATATTTACTGCCAAGGTTTTGAAAGTGTCTTGACTTATGTAATGCTTATAAATTTGTTTGAAGTACATGATTTCTGTATACTTTATTCATGACTGCAATTTAAATAGTCAAAATTGTTAAATTTGGACCCTATTTAATTAGCTTATAGAGTTTAAGTTTAAAGTAATAATATGTCCAAGAATAGTCTAAGACTTGCAGGTGGAACTGTGCCAATTTCTGGCTGGAATGTTGCAGATATCCTGAATTTGTTCTGTCAGACCAGGAGAAAAACTATCACAGGTGCTTACATGCATCTCAAGGTACTGCAGATGTACTTAGGATGCTCTCAAATAGCAATGAAACATCCCTGAAGTAGTCATTAGCATTGTTTTGGCACTTCTCACTAATGTTTACCCTAGAGAAGTTCCAAACTTAAATGCTCTGCTTAAATGTTGAATTCAACTAGAATATTTTCTTTATTTCTAGCCATGGCATTACATAGCAGTTTAAAATTACTATGTTCAAAATCAATTTTCTTCTTCCCCTCCCTAAAACTACTTTTCCTTAGAAACTTCTGATCTCATTTCACTACACCTGAAAGTCATAGTCATCCTAACTCCCTCTTCTCTCTCGGTCCCTTGGCATTTGACAATTTACCAAATCCTACCATCCTACTCCAAATCCTACCACTCTACCATCTGTAGATGCTCATCACCTTACCTTTTCTGCCAGATCTGCGTTTAGTCCCCATTACCCTTTGCTATACACATTTCTTTCCCCTCCTCCTCAATTCAGTATATATGCCAAGCTACAGCTAGACTATTACTTGTAAAACAAAAAACTGAACATATCACTTCTTGCTTGAGAATTTTCAATGATCCCCTTGGCCTTCATAACAAAGGTCAAACGCCTAATTATGGCACACAGTTGTTTCTGTAATCTGGCTCTTCTGTCTCTCCAGTCTCATCTCAATACTACACACCCCGTCTCACTCCCATTACACAATAAATTCAAGTGGTGGCAAATTACATCTAACATCTTGAATATGCTGTGTTATACATCATGCCTCTGAGCCTTATGTCCTCCTTTGCTCTTTCTCCTATCTGAATGGAGGTGAAATCCTCTTTCACTACACCAGGGCTAACCAGTCTCTCCTACGCTGATCCTAGAATTTCTGTATGTGTGGCACTTACCACACTGGTTATCAACTGTGTGGCTATGGTTGTTTGCCTGTGTGTGACTACTAGACTGGGATCCTGACAAAAGGGTTTAAGTCTAGTAATCCTTTAATTCTGGGAAACTAGCACATTACCTGAGTCAACAAGTACTCAATAAACATTTTTTAAATTAGAATGCAATTATACTATAATGTATTTTGGCACATCAAAAAAATCTGTGACTCCAGAAAAAGCATATGACTTAAGTCTTCCTTGGAAAAATCTAAAACTTGAACTAGTTTTGTGCCAGAAGCTATTTCCATTTATCTGTAAATATATATATGCAGAAAAAGGCTTTTTCCAGGGACAGCTTTTGATTTATATAATAGGAGGCAAAAGAGACCACCTAAATCTGTTAGATGTTAAAATCCGGCATGACCATCTAAAATAGCATCCCTTCTTTCCAAGTGTAAGAGCAAATCTGATAGTACCTCTGTAATCAAGTACTCTAAACACTGACTAGGGTATTGAGACTCAGGGAGAAGAGAGACTCCAGAAAGAAATAAGACTGAAACACATGAAGTATATAGTCATTCAGTGACAGAGACGAGCAACGACAGCTGGCAGGGAGTGGGGTGGCACGCATGAAGATCACAAAACAGCCATTTTCTATAGATCGCTTGTTTCAGGAAGTGCTTTCTGTAAGGATGTTAGGGACTGTGTTCTCAAAGGGGAGTTAGTCATACAGAGCCTGCCAACTCTACCTTGCAAATAGGCAATACAAGAATAAGAAAATGGACTCTGAACACCATGATTATGGTACAGGATGACTAGATGAGACAAACTGGTAAAAAAGGCAAAGCTTAAATATGACCACAACATACTGCCCTAGTCTGAAACGAAAATCTGATTGATCCAAGGTCCTATATAAGCTTCAAGTCAGAAAAGCTCAGCAAATTATACTCATGTTCTCATCATCAAATGCTTTCTTGACTCCAACTCTGCCCTACAGATCCAGATTTTAGAAAAGGTAAATAGGATGGGGAAAAAATGACACAGGGGATCTTTGTTATTGAAGAGCTAGATCTAGTACTGATACACTAGCTATAAAATTTCGTGCCCTAATTTTGCCCTTAAAAATACATGTAACTATGAACATTTTATATAAATAATACTTTCTGAAATAATTTTAATAGCATCATAATATTCAGCCAGTAAATTATTCACGCCATAGCTGGACCTTCGAACTTTTCCAATGATCACTATTTTAAAAGAATATTACCTCAAATATCTATATGTATAGGCTTTTGCCATGTACAATGTGTGTTGTTTTTTTCTCCTTAGGATGGATTCCCTCAAAAGCTGAAGGGGATATAAGCATTTTAAAGAAGGTTTTCATCATTGCCAAATTGCTTTCCAAAAAGATTATTAATAATGCCAAAAGCAATTTCCATGTTTCCTTATACTCTCGCTATGCTGGCTAGTCCTAAAAAACATTGAACAAATTCTCTGTTTGGCAACTATTAAAGGACCATTGTCCCTTTGATAAGTGTGCTAGCAGGAATGTGTAATACGAATTTCCTGTGTCAGCAAAAAATGGTAATTCAGCTTACAAAAAGAGGAGAAAAACTTATTTGGGAAAAAAAAAGAATTGTAATTATCAGCATTTATGACAACTGCTTGCTGTTTATTGTCAATTAGTCATGGATACAACCATGTGTGTAAAATCAAGGTTATTCTGTATTTCATTTGATTATAAAACAAAACTATATACCTACTTGCACTTCTGTAGCTGGTCATCTACTGATAAAAACTAAAAGGCAGACTGAAGGCGGACATACCAGACGCTGAGCTCTCTTCACTGCAGTTCTTCATGACTAGAAGCACATTACTGATAACCACTTCAACCTGACTCCATCGAATACACTGGTAATGTCTGTTCATAAATGGCACTGGGCATAAGGTACATAGGAAGGAATGGCCCAGTTACCTTTATCTGAGTCAACAAAGAAACTGCACTGTAATATTCATTAGCCATTACAGACCTAATGTGAAACTGCTACAATGAAACAAAAAAATGAATGAATGAGCTATATGTTACATGGTAGTACAGGTCAGAGCTTTAATGTTATACATAAAGGTTAGTTTGTGCCTACTGTGATCACGTTTTCTAAATTAAAAAATAATAGTATATGGTTCTGACTTGTGATTTTACAAATATAACATTTGAAGTAATAATCATCTCAAAAAACAAATGGTATGGTACAAGGCCTGTATTTCTAAGGAGATGGAAAATCCCATTGAAAAAGTTAGGGGGAAAAAATGGAGGGAGGGAGGGTGCAAGAGAGATAAGGAGATCCTTCATAAACCAAACTCTTGAAGCCTACATGTATTATCCTTCTTATATATCATCCTGGTTAATATTGTCAACTTGATTGGATTGAAGGATACAAAGTATTGTTCCTGGATATAATTGTGAGAGTATGCCAAAGGAGATTAACATTTGAGTCAGTGGACTAGAAGAGGTAGATCCACCCTCAATCTGGGTGGGAACCGCCTAATCAGCTGCCAGCACAGCTAGGATAAAGCAGGCAGAAGAACATAGAAAAGACTAGATTTGCTGAGTCTTCCAGCCTTCATCTTTCTCTCGTGCTGGATGCTTCCTGCCCTCGAACATCAGATTCCAAGTTCTTCAGCTTTTGGACTCTTGGACTTACACCAGTGGTTTACCAGGGGTTCTCGGGCCTTTGGCCACAGATGGAAAGCTGCACTGTTGGCTTCCCGCCTTTTGAGGTTTTGGGACTTGGACTGATCCACCAGTGGCTTCCTTGCCCCTCAACTTGCAGACAGCCTATTGTGGGTCTTTACTTTGTGATTGTGTGAGTCAATTCCCCCTAATAAGCTCCTTTTCATATATACATATATCCTATTAGTTACGTCCCTCAAGAGAACCCTAATACAGATTTTATATATTTCCTTCTTATATATCACCTTTCTTAAAAATGGAGACAGTATGCAACATCGGTTATTTTTAAATAAATTTTTAAAAAGTAATAATATTCAGAATCACTATCTAGAAAGTTACTCATTTTAGTAACAAGGACATTTTGATTTTGCAATTCCAGTTAAGTCGTTCAATTATAAGATGCAACTGTTTCATAGCTTCCAACAGTCAAGTACAATATAAATGGAGAAGTTACAGAGCTCTTAGACATGTAATAGTTAAACCTAGTATCAAGAATTCTTTCCCTAAAGCAAATATACAACTGAAGCTGGATAAAATGACATCTTCTTATAGAAAACAGGTTGTCTTATAAGAAAACCAGGTGTCAGAAAGTTCAAAAATAACTGCCAGAAACTATTCAAACCACAACTGCAAATAACTAAAGAAGTCAATGGTGACGCAAAAGGTGGGGGAGAGATTAAAAAGGTCCAAACCAGCTTAGTGCCTCTAAAATTAACACTGTATCAGGTTCTACTATATGCAACTTGGCATGTACCACTAAGTATTTATCTGCATATGGTTGCTAGATAAGTTATTAGGGCAATGAAATTAATGCCCCTGGGCAAACACTAATTAAAGGAACAATACTTTTGAATCAAGTTAATCGTTACTTACAGTATTATATATTAAATACGCTCAGTTTTCAAGTCATCTCTAAAGAGAAAAAAATCATTTTATTCCCTAGGAAATATTTGTTGAATAGGGAAGTCCACTTCATAAAAAGGCAGAATGGTGAGGACCAAAGTAATTTGCGTAGGGTGAACTTTCTAGTGATAAAATTGCAAAAAATAAAAGTTACAATAGTTAATAAAAACCCTACAATAAATATATTTTTCTTTAATTAGTTTTGATGAGTCTGAGGGATGGCTTATTTAAAACAGAGATGTCCATCAAATATTTGAGGCTGAATATCACAATGTAAATCCCTTCTCCACAGCAACGTATTTTATAGGTGAGAAAAATGAATCTGAGAATTTATGTAATTTTGGAGGTGGGAAACTTTCAACAGATAGTATCTTATAGTATTGACAACAGTAAAAAATATTTAAGCCTAAAACAATTTAAGTGATTTTCCCCCTGCAGATAGATAACACAGTCAACACTGAACAATATGCAGAGAACAAATGTTAAAAGTTCTTACATAAAAAAAGTATTACTAAACCACATATTTATCAAAACATAAAAACTTTCATAATGTGTTTTTGGACAGTCTTTGATAATGAGACAGGCCAGGCGGAAATTTTAGTTTTGCTTTTTGGAAGTCTTCACAAACCAGTCCTTTGAATGTCCCTGCACAAATACTTCCTTTGCCACGATGTTCCTTTTCTGCTGTCTCCTAATCCAATTCAGTGCTCTATTGCAGGGAAAGCAGCAGTATAAAGATTCCAGTTTCTTCGGTATTACTTTAGATCTTTCAAGAAACATAGTTATAACCTAAGAGTAATTTATATCGCATTTCTTAGATACTGAATGACTAATTCTCAATAAGTATCATTTGTAGGTTGTGGTGATAAATATGATGAATCCCCAAAACAACCCAGACATTACTGTACTTGGTGATTCTGAATTAGGACCTATTGCAAAAGTAGCCACATTTAAGTATAATTGGAGATCAGAACCAAAAAAAAGCTTTGGAATAAGTGGCAAGTGCCCAGATCTAAAGCTACTATGGGCATTTGTTATGAGTGAGATTCTGAGTTCTATCTGAACCCTGTCCTGAGTTCACAGAACTATAACATTCTCAAACTCTCTTCCATATCCTATTTCTGGATGCAATTTCAAATAAATATCTCATGGCACCCTTTAAGACATAAAAACGCCTCATTATTTCTGCTATCTCATTATTCCGCCTGACCCACAAACACAAATATACACTTTCAGTGGCAGCCCCTCTTTAGGATATGCTCTCATAGCCCAAACCTCAGCAGATGTACATGTATTCCATGTTTTCTACTTTATCTTGAATACTCAGCATAATTTTTCTGTCAAGATATTGTGAATATGCTAAATGCTTGCCAATTGTCTTGTCAAGTTCTAATTGTCCTACAACTAATATAGACCAGTGGCTTTCAAACTTTATTAAGCCAAAAGAATCACCTGGGGCATTTGTAAAATGCAGATTCCCAGGCCCCACTCAGTGTGACTCTGATGCAGGTAGTCAGAGGCTCAAACTTCAGAATTCTTAACATAAGCAGTTCTTAAATTTATGGCAAGTTGCAGTCCTGGGAAAACTGCCATAAGTCAAAATGTCATCAGTTGAGTCTGATCTTTCCCTATAAATCATAATGTAAACAGGAAGTTACAATTTTTACCAAGGGACTGATTTTCACATTTTTAGAGATGTGATTTAGCATCACCACTACACTGTAAAGTCTAAAACTTTCTAAAGAATACACAAAGGACACCTAAGAACATACTAAACAATTATGGAGAACTTGATATATCAGTCTACCATACAAATTTTTTTTTAATTCTTGGTTTATTTTTATTTCAACATAAAACACCTTAAAACATGGAATTTTGAAGGGTTTTTTCTCTAAGAAGAAAAGCAAGTTTAAGAAGACTTTTGGGCCGGGTGTAATGCCTGTAATCCCAGCACTTTGGGAAGCCAAGGCGGGCGGATCACCTAAGGTCGGGAGTTTGGGATCAGCCTGACCAACATGGAGAAATGCCAACTCTACTAAAAATACAAAATTAGCCAGGCATGGTGGTGCATGCCTAGAATCCCAGCTACTTGGGAGGCTGAGGCAGGAGAATCGCTTGAACCCGCCGCCGAGATCACGCCACTGCACTCCAGCCTGAGCAACAAGAGCAAAACTCCGTCTCAAAAAACAAACAAACAAAAAAACCCACAACTTTTGATAATATTTAATCTACTCGTTCAGAAATTAACCGAGAATATTATTTTACTGCTCCTTTTTACTGTTTTCTTACAGTAACATCAAGTATCAATTTGTGGACTTTTGTTTAGAAAAAGAAAAATATTACTGCTCTCATTAACACCACTGAACGACAAGGTAGTGCTGAGCTATTCAACTGTTTCTAACTTCCAAAAGCAGTAATTTTATATGGCTCAACCTAAATAGTTGTCTTTACCATACACCAACAAGCCTTTACAATATATTTCCCATCTACTGATCCTTCACAATGGTTTTTGCTCCAGTGTCCAAAAGTCTCAAAGCTCTGGCTTAAAAGGTGATTAAATTTAAAAGCAGAAAGAAGAGTTTGCTTTAACCCAACAAATTTTTTCCATTTGGGTTGAAAGTGCTACACAACTTTCAAACACAAGTATTTGAAATTGTTAAACTTGTTTACAAGTTACATACGTAACAATCACTAGTCACTACTTTTTCACTTTATTAATCATTTTATCTTATTCAAAACATTCTTTAGATCTGCCTTCAGTACCAGTCTACCAGTTTAAACAAAGAAAACAAAACAAGAGCTATTAACTTCAAAGCTTCATTATAAATTATTCTCTGTGGGCTTGGATACTAATCTCTCTTTCCCTCCCTGTCCTTCTGGACATCACTTTCACAGCTGTTACACCTCAGAGAGGGGCAGTGATGGTGCTTGGGAATAGAAAACCCCTACCCCCAAAAAATGCTCAGCACTGAAGAACAGCTGGGAACATCTCAGCAAGCAACAGGCTCTCAGACCGAAAGCCATGTTTGTATTCCTTGCATAGGAAAGGACAACTAACTATGCCATACAAGAAGAATGATTCAAGTCTCAAAACCATAAACTGGGGGCTCAATATTCTACAAGCTTAGACCTCTACTTTATCCTTCCATCCTCCCTCACACTTGACTACCAAAATTATCTTTTTTATGGGGCACCTCACCTTACTGCTAAAACATTACAGTAACTTTAAGGTATAATTTCTAAAATTCAATCTCTAGACCATGACATTTAAAATCACCAAATGCTTTCATTTTTTAGTAGCAATCGGCATTTCCATTGCAATTAATCTTTCTCACCATCCTATACCTCCACCCATACCCAACCATGTTCCCTCTTCTACTTTTAAATTTTTGCTTAATCCATCCACATTTCCCCTTGCAGTATTCCTTCTGTTTTATCTATCAATAAAACTTGGAAGATCACTGATTGATTTAATATTAGTTGCAAATGGCTTTCAATGATTTCTATTTATAATTACTCCCATTACAATAATAACAATTCAGATCAAGGATACACTTAATTCAAATAATAATTTTGAAAGCATTCTAGGAAAATACTGTTAATTTAATTTCCAAAATACTAACTACAATTAGGACCAACAACATTTAATTGAGAATTCTGGATATACATTATCAAACTGATGGTGGCTAAAAGTTTTTATGTTCCTACTACATATGCAATAATCTCACCTCATAACAGATTATAAAAATGGTCTTTGAACAACGAAAGCCAAACTGTTACAAATAATTGCCTTGTTTGCAACATATTTGAAAGAGTCAGAGAGTTAAACCATGCAGTAAAACATAGCTTTAAAATGGCAGTCCAGACATTAAGAAAACATACAAAGTTCAACGGTTTGGACTGATACAAATTTCAAATGCATAAAAGATTATTTTGAGAATATTAAAATAATTTGAGGCCTATTTACTTTATAAAAGTACTCACCTGACTCTTGCAAGTATCTATATACCAAGAAGTTGACCTCATCACTGCTTATACTCATCTTTATTCCCACTTAAACCATGAGGTCACAACACAGGATATAACCCTAAAAATAAAACAAAGTTAATTATTTTCTCAGTAAAATATTTTTAAACAAGATGTAAACAATGTTGTAAAAACCATTTGATTTTATTAAATGATGTAAAACGAAGGTTCTACATTGCCTAATAATAAAACCTGACAAAGTTGCTTCCAATAGTTAGGAAAATGATTATACAACCAAAACATGGCTGGTGTTATTTTTCTTCAAAGTAACATACTGGCAAAAATAAAACAAAATTTTTTAGAGGGCTTTAGCATAATATTTTAATGATTTTATCAAATAGCATAAAATGTTGCTCACTTTTTCTCCTTAACTGTAAAAAGAAGTAAATTTTAAAAATAAAAAATATTAGTTATTTGCAAGAAGGCTGATTTAGTTAAAAAAGAATATCAGTTACTTGGGAAAAGACCATTGGGTGGGGTAGAACCATGAGTTATCCACTCCAGTTTTATCTATGAAACTTGGCAGGATATGAAGTCTCTATTTTCTCACCATCTCATCTGTAATGTTCAAGTCTCAAAAAGCTCTAGGTATGTATGAGATAGGCTGGAATACAGTTCCCAAAACTCAAATGATGCTTTCTTACTGGACATACTTAAACCTTAACACGAAGTGGGGGAAAAAAGAAAACTGAGGCATGACTCAAATATATCTAATTATACTTATTTGTCCTCATGTCACAGAAATGACTGAAAGGAGAGGTCAGGAAACTTTTATATAAAGAGCCAAACAATAAATATTTCAGGCTTTATCAGCCATACAGCCTGTTACAATTACTCAATTCTGCTGTGTGGTGCAAAAGCAGCAACACACAATATGTAAACAAACGAGTGTGGCTGTGTTCCAATAAACTCAACTTATGGACACTGAAATTTGAATTTCATAATATCATTGTATCATAAAGTATTATTCTTCTGATTTTTTTTTCCTAAGCACTTATAAAAATGTAAAGACCTTTCTTTGCTTGTGATTCTTATAAAAGGAAAGCGAGCTAGATTTGGTCCACAGAGTGTAGTTTGCCAATTCCTCTTTAAAAATGATATATTCACATCTATTCAGCATAAAGAAATATCTAACGTGGAACTATGCTGGTTGTCCTGCCACATCATGGATTTCTTTATGATACAGTTAGCAGATTTTTTAAAAAAATCAAAAATTAACAAGCATTTGAGTAGGCTACCAGGTGACAAACTGCTACTGCCCTACATTGAGGACAAAGTGGTGACTAAGTACCACCCATCAAGCTTGTCATAGGGAGAAAGACAAATGGGAGGCAATGACAATTTTCTAGTGGACACACACAGAAGAAGCCCTAACTAAAGTTAGCAGTCTAGGAACACATTTAGAAGGAGTGTCCTTGGTATTCAGACTAAAGGAGGGGCACGAAAACAAGGGTGCTTGGGGAAGGGAGGGAGTGAACAGAAGCATCCCATGAGCTGCAGCAGGTGTGGAAGGAATGAGTGAGGACAGAGACGAGTAAGGCTTGAAATGCAGGCAGAAACTATATTCAGGAGGACCTTCAAGGCAGCACTAAGAGAAAACAAATCCATTAAACAGTTTCAGGAAGAGCAGGGAAAAGCACAGACTATAAAGAAGCTAGATTGGAGTAAGAGGAATTAGGGAGCCAAATTAGGAAAATATTGCAGTAACTCAGGAGAAGACTAAATCCTGGACTGTCACAGAGGAACACTGGGGTTCCAAAAATATTTAGAAGGTAGACTCAATGGTAACTGACTGGATGCATAGTTGAGGCATAGTTGAGGAAAAGGAAAGAATCAAAGGTTTCTCTCTGGACAACTGAACGGTTGGTACTGTCAATTACTGAGATGGGAAACCACAGAGGAAGAGTGACAATTACAATATCTTCATCTAAAGAAAAGGTACCCTCTTCACCAAAAAAATTAATTCAAAGAGTACAATTAACTTTATATAACCTGAATGTTTATTACATGCTTAATGGAATAAGTCAAATACTCTTTTGAGGATACTGGCCCAGGGCACTGGTCTAGATGTACTATAGTACACTAGATGGTAAATGTTCTGGCAGGACACCTTCCTCAACTTTAGCCTAACCACCAGTAAGGTGCGGTATTGTGCTCGGCACACATAGCAGGCACAGTCAATTCTGAAGGCATGCTAAATTGAATGACTTTAAAAACAAAACATCCAACCCCATCCATGATAAAATTATAAGAAATTAAATCATAATTTGATCAATCATGAATATGTTTGTCACGGGGAACAATTAGCAACTATTTTATTTTTAGGATTTCCCAAAATGAGATGGGCTAGGTGGAATCCAACTGAGACAGACTGACAAAGAAACAGTAAATTTTCTTTTCCCCTAATATCATTCAGTCCAAAACTTGGATGAAAGTATCCAACCTGCAAAGGTTTTTCACAATGCTCATTCTGATTAGCAAAGGCCATCAATTTCCCAGCTGAAACTAGTAACAAGTGATGCTTCCAGCACCACCTAATGCATTCCAGGGCAAAGAAAAATACAAATCAAAATGATATAAATTATTGCTTTTAAAAATTCCTGCAATAAATATATATTGCTGGTATATTTTTAAGTCATAATAAAAAATACCAAATAAGAGCAGGAAAGTTATCTGTCCAAACTGCTATAAACTGATTATTTAATTGATCATAGTGCTATATTAGTTCCCGGCAATTAAGTTTTTTTTTTAAAGGAAAAAGACCTTGAAAGGCTTACTTCTAAAACAACTTAAAAGCCTATGTGCCAAAGAGTGAAATTAGAGAAAATGCCACTACTTCATGAGTGGACTTAATAAGGCTTTGCAGAACTTAGAACTTGTCCATTATGGTTTATTTATATAGCCAAATGAACGCTCTAGGATGTGATGTAGTCTTCCCCTGCCCGCATGAGTACTAAATACTAGGAATCAGATCTCAAAGAGTACACAAGAAGACTTACCACTATAGTTCCTCCATTCTGGTATCTTTTAGAACAACTGTCTTTAAACTAGGTCACAAAACAGCACTGAGACACTCATCCAGTCTTTACACTTCACCACCCAGGTATCAGGCCTGATGAAGAGTATATCATGCATAAATGAAGTCCTGCCCTCAAAGAGCTTATGGCTTATTAAATAAACAGGATATTCAAAATAGACACTTCCTAAATTCACAAAGGATTTATTTGTATATTCTACCTGATCATATTTACTCATTCTTAAATATTAACTGAGATCCTCCCAAAAATTAGATCTTTGTAACTTTCCTCCTCTCAGAAATCACTTGTATACTCATAAAAGCTTTTATTTAAAATTCCAATCACTTATAGGCAATCAACTACTTAATTCAAACCATAGCTATATTAATGTAGCCAAAAGCAAATCCAAAATTAGTCTTAATATTTAGCCAATTGGTGGCTATATTCAAAAGTTCGCTTAATATTGTAAATGTTCACCATGAAATATCATTTTACTGCATAACTTTGTAGCCAATAATTCAGCAAATATTACAAAAACACAGGACTAGTGAGGCAATCCAGCTACGACTATTCAGTGAGCTGAATATGTACAGCATTTTCAGCATCACAAAACTCAGTTCAGCATATACTCGCTGGACAACTACTGCTCCAAATATTTAATCCTCTCCTAGTTCTCCTACACATCAAAGTACTACTTTAAATGTCACCCTCAATCAAGACAGACAGCATATTCTTTTCTGATTCCATTCTTGAAGCCAGGGCCCAACTGTGATCCTCGATTACATAATTTTAAATCTAGATGACTGAAAAAAACAGTGAAAGAGTTATGGACACAAAGAAAGAAATAAGATTATCTTCTTAAATCTCCTAGCTATAGCACATTTTTAAGAGATCTGGACACTCTTTGCATGATCTAAAGTCAAATGTGTAATCGAAATTACTTTATCTTACAAACATAACTTAGTCCAAAACTAAAGTATAATTATAACTTAGATGTGACGAACTTAAATTACTTTTCCTTCTCTCTTTCATTGGAATCCAGAGCTCGGATGTAAATTAAAAATAACATCTTGGATGGCCTATATGATTTTAGACAAGTGATGCAAATTTTCTGGGTCTCTGTGTCATCTATAAAATGAGAAAATGGAATCAGACAGTCTCCTCTACTTCTAAACTTCAAAGACGTGAGTCAGTATATGTCACAGAGTTGTATATAGGAACCTTGCAAGCTACCTGAGAGTATGAGGTCATAAAGCAATTTTTAAGAAAGCATTTTTATAGGCCTAAAAAATGTATTAGAAGACCAAAATCAGGGTCAGATCTCAGACAGACATCTCCAGGAATCAGGAAAAGGGAAAACAATAAGCTCATCTCATTAAGAAATATTTCAGTACCTACTGCACATGATGTTTATTAAGACTTATCAACCTTTATAAACACCAACATATAAAGACATAAAAAAAACAGTACACCAGCTGGGCATGGTGGCTTACACTTATAATCCCAGCACTTTGGGAGGCCAAGGCAGGCAGATCACCTGAGGTCAGGAGTTTGACACCAGCCTGATCAACATGGTGAAACCCCATCTCTACAAAAAAAAATACAAAAAAATTACCCAGGCATGGTGGCGCAGGCCTGTAATCTCAGCTACTCGGGAGGCTGAAGAATGAGAATTGCTTGAACCCGGGAGGTGGAGGTTACAGTGAGCCGAGATCGCACCACTGCAGTCCAGCCTGGGCAACAGAGGAAAACTCTGACGAAAGAAAAGAAAGAAAGGAAAGGAAAGAAAGGAAGGAAAGGAAGGAAAAGGAAGGAAAGGAAGGAAGGAAGGAAGGAAGGAAGGAAGGAAGGAAGGAAGGAAGGAAGGAAGGAAGGAAAAACAACACACCAAATCAATTATTCATTAGTTAACTGAGACTTCTAGTATCAAACTGGTTTCAACTGTGATCTAAGCCAGGGATCTGCAAACTACAGCCTGTATGTCAAATTCAACCTGTCACCTATATTTGTATAGCCCACAGGTAAGAATGGTTTTCACAAAATGCTTTTTTAAAAAACAGAATATTTGTTGTTTATTTGATGATAGGGAACACTGACTCATAATCTCAATTAAGCAATTTTTTAAAAGTCTCAGCAAAGCTCTTGAGGCTTGAAAGCAGTAAACTAGCATCCATTATATGATGAGTCACTTTGATTTAAGTCCAAGAGTCATTAGCTACAAATTTATTTCTTTTTATACCCAAAAGACCTCTGATGAGCTGCCTCATTGCCCACAGACATTGACTTCAACTTCCTAAATGTATAAAAGTGATTATTTACACAGATTATAACTAAGATCCTTCTAAAACATAAAAATACATATCCTAGGAAATAATAAATATGTATGGAATAACTGAATAAATTACAGTCAAGGTATATCAACAGGGGAACAAAGAAGGACAAGAAATGAAAATGCTAAGAGATAAGAAGATAGGTCATACTTCTGGTACATATTTTCAATAACTAAGCAGTAATCAGTCACAGAACTTAAGGTAAAGCAATGTCAGTCTGGCAAAGAATTAGAAAGTCAGACACGAAAAATAAAAATTGGCCAGGTGCGGTGGCTCACATCTGTAATCCTAGCACTTTGGGGGGCCGAGGCGGGTGGATCACCTGAGGTCAGGAGTTCAGGGCCAGCCTGGCCAACGTGGCGAAACCCCATCTCTACTAAAATACAAAAATTAGCCAGCATGAGGCAGGTGCCTGTAATCCCAGTTACTCAGGACGCTGAGATGGGAGAATCGCTTGAACCCAGGAGACGGTAGCTGCAGTGAGCTGAGATTGCACCACTGCACTCCAGCCTGGGCAGCTAAGCAAGACTCCGTCTCAAAAAAAAAATAAATAAATAAATAAAAATAAACTAAAATCAAGATCTGTCAAAATCTGTCTGACTAGCATAAAATACTGAGTGTGTCTGAATAGGAATCTGTATTACAATAGAAAGCTAATGAGACTTTATCAACTAAAACTAACTACTTATTCTAGCTTTGGAACAGACATGTTCTGAGAATCTGTTTTTTTTTTTTTTTTTGAGACAGAGTTTTGCTCTGTTGCCCAGGCTAGAGTGTGGTGGTGCGATCTCGGCTCACTGCAAGCTCCGCCTCCCAGGTTCACGCCATTCTACTGCCTTAGCCTCCCGAGCAGCTGGGACTATAGGCACCCGCCACCGTGCCCGGCTAATTTTTTGTATTTTCAGTAGAGACGGGGTTTCATCTAAGAATCTCAAAGAGTGGAACACATGCTAAAGCTTTACAAGGACAGTTAATCACCTGAATAGATAGGAACTCTGCTTAAAACTCAAATATTATAGGAAGAACAAAGAGAAAAGGAGGCCAGGGTAATAAATACTACCCACAGTAATGTTTATGAAACACTGTATTAGAAGAAGATGTGGTTATTCCTTGGTTCCTCATGAGGGAAAAAAATCCTACGTAACTCAGACTAGTAAGTAAATCAAAACTTGTGTCCATGGATTGGTTATACTCAGTCAATTCTCTGGAAGGGCTAGAGTAAAAATGTCCAAAAGATTGTTCAGGAAGCAGAAATATGTGATTGATAACAGCCCAAGTATCAAAGTATAGTTTTAAAAAAAAACTGTGAAGAGATCAACATCCATCCCCCACAGGGCAATAAATGCTCGCTCAAATCGAGTGAAGACGATGCAAACTAAATTTAGTACTCAGCTAATAGATTGACACATACAGATGTGCACTCACACACAACCCAGCTACTAGTAAACCCAGAAGAAAAAGGGAAAAGTATATGGAGTAAAGATAACTGACATAAATTGGAGAAGGCTTCCAACTTTTATTGAAAACTAGGAGAAATCCACCATGAAAGTCTCATAGGTCAATTTCACAGGATGAGAGAAAACAGTTGGCAGTACTGTCATATAAAATGTACTATTTAAAAAACAGGCAAACAAAAAAGCCCCCAGGGCACATGGGCTGGGGAGAAGAGAAGTACATCACTCCATAACCACACTGAGGCCCTACCGTGTACATTCCTTATATGTGCCCTACCCAGTCAAGTTACAGATTCTAACTGCAAAGTTAACTCTTAATATTTCTTAATAGAATAGTACCTTCTTAGAAGATTCTTTCTTAAAAGACACACAGCAATGTACTTCACTGTTAAGGCTGTTCAAGGTGTTCAAAACTTAAAATCAGATACGGTATTCTATTATACTAATGACAAAATGTGATCAACTTTTTATTTAGCATAGTAATTGGGATCCGTAGACCCCTGGAGTTCCCAAGACTTTTTAAGGGAACTGTGAGGTCAAAATTACTTTTATGGTATTACTAAGATATTACTTGCATTTTTCACTCCATTGGCATTTGCACCAATGTTACAAAGCGATAGTGGGTAAAACTGCTCACACCTTAGTATTACGAATCAAGACCTGATGGTATTACTAGTAGTCATTGTATTTTTTCACCACTATGCACTCAAAAAAAAAAAAAAAATTCCCTGAAGAATATCCTTGAATGAAACAGAAAAGGTGATATTATGAAAATCTTAAATGTTCAAATACACATCTTTTTAATATGCTGTGTGTGTAACAAAGTGCTAAGTAACAGAGTTACTTCCGTTGCATACTAAAATGATGGTTGTCTCAAAAAACAGGACTGCAATGGTTTGAATTGCAAGTTACACTAGCCACTTTTTTCATGGAACAGCGTTTATACTTCAAAGAAGAAATGACAATATAGTTATTCAGACTGGGGATTTGGCAGACATTTTCCTGCAAATGAATGAAATGGCCAGGCGCAGTGGCTCACGCCTGTAATCCCAACACTTTGAGAAGCCGAGGCGGGTGGATCACTTGAGGTCAGGAGTTCGAGACCAGCCTGGCCAACATGGCGAAACCCTGTCTCTATTAAAAATACAAAAATTAGCCAGGTGTGGTGGCATGCACCTGTAATCTCAGCTACTTGGGGGGTTGGGGCAGGAGAATCGCTTGAACCCAGGAGGTGGAGGTTGCAGTGAGCCAAGACAGGACCACTGCACTCCAACCTGGGTGACAAAGAGAGAGTTTGATTTCAAAAAAAGAAAAAAAATACATTAGTAAGTAATACAAAATTTCCATTTTAATATCTGATACATTTAATATTGATAACTATAACCCACATAAACAAAAGCTCTTTGAGATCATCAATAAATTAAGATTGTAACAAGATCCTAAGACCAAAATGTTTGAGACCTATTGAGTCCCTCATGGCAATATTGGTGACAAATATTTTTGTCAAAGAGTTTCTCTGGAAAAACTGGAAAACAGGCTCCTTAGCCCACAGTACTGGTCATATTTTAACACAACCTAAATCTTTAGTTTGGTTTCTGTTGTGTTCATGTTGGAATACATATTGATAAGTTTATACTTAATAAACAAAAAAGGTACTTAAAAGCCATAAATATCAGAGTATCAAAGCTCTAGTTTTGATATAACACATGGCATCTACTAACTCTAAAACATATTGGAGGAATGAAAATTATAAATTTTCTGAGACTACACTTCTATAAATGGACTTCTATTTGGAAAGATTCAATCATTTTACTTAAATTTAGTTTTTCTATCATGCATGTAACAAATGTTTTACTGAGTACTACACTACACGCCTGCCACTGTTCTAGGCCCTTAACACTGTAGCAATATAGAAATCCATTAATATAAAGGAACAATACAGTGAAGAGTGGGCTTCATAGCCAAACTTACCCCATTTGCTACCAAACTTTAGTAGAAGGTGTAGCGGAGTGTGGAAGCTGCAGTAAAGGCGCACTGCTCCCGCAACACACTGTCTTTCCTTCTGGTGGGATTCAGCACGTTTTTGTTTGTTTTGCCCAGACTCATCACTTGTATTGTAGAAGGTGCCAAAGGGTTGCAATCCCTTTCCTTCTAACCAAAACTTGAAACTAGTCTCTCTCTTGCAGCATTTATTTCCCAAGAAAACCCATTCAGGACTCCAAACATGGGGTAGCGTTCTTTACCACATACACAGCAACAAAGAATGCAGGTCTTTGGTACTGGAGAATTGATTCATTACATACTCAACCTGTTTGCTACATAAGGAATAAAGGGAGCAGGGCTAGCTGGGCAAAAAATCTGAAATTCTTTATAGCCAGATTTCCAAGTTATACCTGGTACAGTTTCCATACCCATCCCTGTGTACCTTGAGGATACGTAAGAAAGAACAGAGGAGATGTAGGGAGTGAAAGAGCTAGAGAATAGAGAGGCATATGTGTTTAATAATGCCAAGAAACTAGTCTACACTCACACTGCTATTCCTGACTGCATCAATAATTGCTGTGGATATATTAGAAGATATTCAAGCATAAGATAGGGTTTTCCTTCTTTCCAAAGTCCTTGCGTATGAGCCATGATCAACCTCTTTACCAACAGGAAGCCTAAGCCTAGGGAAAAATGTGAGTAAGCACAGCTCTCCCTACGCTTCTATCAACGCTTTCCCTAGATCAACCTTTTTCTTACCAACCACCTCAAAATCGGGCACTATTTCACTAATTAACCTCTCTGCCTTGACAACTTCCTCATCCCCACCTTCTCGTGAGCCTGAAATCTGATCCCCGGCATTCTAACATCAACGGAGCCCACTGCCCTTTTCAAACAGACTTATATTCCAAGTTTTCTATGCTACCTCCCCAACCCTCACCGCCACCAAGTATATTTCGTTCCTTAAAGCCAGGTAGGTGACAGGCTGAACAACCTAATATAACAAAATGTTAATGAATAATATCTTAATGTTTTGCTTTCCAAGGAACTTACTTATATCACAATAAAGACATAAATACATTTTAACTCAATCTTTCTCAAACTTGAGTAATATTAAGTACCTTAATATTTCTGAAACATGTGAAGGTGAACACCATGCACAACACGGTTTAGGAATTTGTGGTTTATCCATTCTGGTAATCTGTACAAAATGTAATGATGTAAGACAACAGCCCCAAAGACCACAAAGTACTCTCAAAATCCACATGTCCTTCTGCATCAGTTTCCCAGCGCTACTGTGATAGCTACAACAAACTGGGCCACTTAAAATTACAACAGAAACTAATTGTCTCATAGTTCTATGGCTAGAAGCCTGAAGTGAACTGTGTTGGCAGTGCCACGATCCCTCCAACGGAAAAGAGAGTCGTTCTATCCATCTTCCAGCTTCGGTAGCACCCGGCATTCCTTGGCTTGTAGCGGCAAAATTAGTCTCTGCCTCCATTTTCACATGGCCACCTTGCTTTGTGTCTGAGTCTTTACGTGGCATTCTCCTCTTTGTGTGTTGTCTGTGTCCAAATTTCCCTCTTTTTATAAAAACACCAGTCATACTGGAATAGGGCCCATGCCAATAACGTCATCTTAACTTGATTTACAAAGATCTTATTTCCATTCCAAATAAGTCACATTCACAGGTACTGGGAGTTGGCACCTCAACATATCTTTGTGGGGACACAATTCATAATATCTTCTAGCTTTCAAAACTTCCCTACTAATCAGTATAGTGTGGTTCAATACAGATTTCCATCTTAGAAAGAACTAACTCAAGTATATTTCACTTTTTCAGGCTGAAAAAGTAACAGATTTGAAGGTATGTTTCCCAATCTAAATAGACAGACCCCTCTCCTCCTGCCATCTACTTAGCAGTTAGACTACTCATTACACAATAAAGGTTAAAAAATAAGCTAGCCTCAAGCTAATTTCTTCCTGCCTTGGCTGCCAAACTTCTATTTAAAGGTGCTTTCTAGCAAAGTTCTAAATTAGCGTGACAATAAAGTACCATAAACTAAGAGGCTTAGAACAACAGAAATTTATTGTCTTATAGAAGTCCAAAATCAAGGTGTTCACAGGGCCGCATTCCCTCTGAAGGTGTGCTAAGGAGGGGTCTGTTCCAGGCCTCTCTCCTAGCTTCCTTGGTGTCTTAGTCCATTTGGGGCTACCGGAAAAAAAACAAAAAAACAAAATACAACAAAAAATACCTTAGACGGAAGTTTTTTCTCACAGTTCTGGAGGCTGTGAAGCCCAAGATCAAGGTGCCAGCAGATACAGTGCCTAGTGAAGGCTCTCTGCTTCATAAATGGTGCCTTCTGGCCATGTCCTCCTCATACTGTTTAAGGAGCCTGGGGGTTCCCTTCAACTTCTTTTATAAGGTCACAATTCTATTCACTGAGGGCAAAGCCCTTATGTCTTAAGCACTTCCAAAAAAGCCACCTCTTAATACCACTGCAATGGAGATCAGGTTTCAACATAAATTTTGGAGGGACAAATTCGGACCATAGAGCTTGGCTTGTAGACACATCACTCTAGTCACTTTGCCATGTTCTCCCTGTGTCTTCACACTGTTCTCCCTCTGTATGTGCCCAAATTTTCTCTTTTTTATAAGGACTCCAATCATAAGGTATTACGATCTACCTAAATGATCCCATTTTAACTTAAGTATCTCTATAAGGACCCTATTTCCAAGTAAGATTACATTCTGAGGTACTGGAGGTTAGGACTCCAACTTACGAATTTAGGAGGATACAATTCAATCTATAACAGTCACACTAAGCTGAGAAAGCCTGGGAAGACAAATACAGATTCCATCATTTGCCCCTTCCATGCTGTAGAAGACAGGTACAGACAAGGGTAACAAAAGCCTTTTCTTCTTACCTTCAGTCATCTGTCCACCTTGGTTATCAGAGAATCCCCTTAAAACAAAAAACAAAACTAACCCTAATAATGGTAACTATGATGGCATCAACACATGGGAAGAATCAATTTAAGTGGCTGTAGAGGTTGAATGTATTACTGGTTCAGAATTTAAGCATTCTTTTTTCCTGAAATAGAGTTATTCATCCCCATCCCAGCAACTTGGACCTTGGCTATGTGACCTAATTTGGCCAGTGGAATTCCAGATGATGTGATACACACTATATCCAATCACAAGATTTAAGAGACATTACAAGTGTCTGCCAGCTCTCTTGCTCAACGAGCATGTCCTATATGGGGTCTACTTCAACAGCTTGGCTATCCAAATGAGCAGACAACTGGAAGAGAGCCACAGTCAACCCACCTTATCTACATACAAAATGAATGAGAAAGAACATTTTAGTATTGTAAACCAGTAAAACTGTCTACTAACAAAGAACACTAACACACCTTACAACAGTACTTTCGCTGCATACATCTCTAGGGAATATAATCTAAGAACTAAAAAGAACCACAAAGAAATTTTAAACTGCTTTTGGTAGTCTTATAATAATAGTTTTATTAGTATTATTAACTTGAAACTTTTTATAAATATAGAGCAGGTAAGAAACTATGTTAAATCCATCATAAAAGAAAATTTTCAGAAGGGAAAAATACTTATTTACTTTAGATCTCACCTGAAAATGAGGGGCTTTTGGTGAGATGGAGTCCTTGAGGAAAAGGGAAAATAACTTATATTCACATAATACAAATGAAGCTTTAAAAATCTACACGTTCTAAAATGTATCCAACACCTCTTACAGCCACGTCTCTCTTTCTACAGTACCTATCACCTGTATTATTACGACAGCCTAAGAGTCTCCTAAGTTCTCCATTCTATGGTTCCAAAGTACCTATCTAGCCATATGGTACCACCTTTATATGCACTTTACTCTTCAAGTGAGTATGCTGGTATCATTCTAACATGTCCCACAAATTTCCACTTTTCTGCTTTTAGTTCTGTTTCAACTGCACTTGTTGAAATTTGTCTATTCTTCTTCAAATATTATCTCTTTATGATACCTATTCAAATATCAACATTAAAGATGTCTGGCTACTTTCCTCCTGTACCCCTAAGTGCAGTTTTATTGCTCTTCTCAAAACTGGACAACAGTAAAAAGATTATTGACCAGAAGTCAGAACGTTGACATTTTCTTTTTGATGCTACTGGCTTTTGACATTAAGGCATTACATCAAGTCATTTTAACTTCCCGGAGCCCCAGTTTCTTCAACTGTGAAAGAGAATAAAACCTAATCTATACACCTCACAGGTGGGAATGCATGGAAAAGCCATTTATAACCCACTAAGTGTTAACATTATTATGATGTCACCTTTTAATATGCATATTTTTTCAACCACTACCAAATTATAAGCATTTAAAAAGCAGTCTGTCATGATCTGGTTTCTCTTCAGAATGAATAAATCTTTTGCCTGTTTTAACAAAACAAATCAGCAGCCTGTATCTTATAAGGCACCTAAAACATTATTCAAATATATTTTTAAACTTTCATAAATAATAAAACATAGCTCTCATGCTCCAGCATATAAAATATAATTCGGCTGAGTGCATGGTTCACACTTGTCATTCCATCACTTTGGGGGGCAGAGGCGGGAGGATCACTTGAGCCCTGGGCAACATAGGGAGACCCAGGATCTACAAAAAAAAAAAAATTTTGGTTTTAATTAGCCAGGTATGGTGGCATGAACCTGTAGTCCCAGCTACTTGGGAGGCTGAGGTGGGAGGATCACTTGGGCCCAGGAGTTTGAGGCTGTAGTGAGCTATGATTATACCACCACTGCACTCCAGCTGGGGCGAAAGAGTGAGACCCCCATCTCAAAAAAAAAAAAATAAAGTATAATTCAAGCAGTATTTACATACAGTTTTGCCTTGATTAAAATAAAACAATATCGGCTGGGTGCGGTGGCTCACGTCTGTAATCCCAAACCTTTGGGAGGCCAAGGCGGACAGATCACGAGGTCAGGAGATTGAGACCATCCTGGCTAACACGGTGAAACCCCGTCTCTACTACAAAAAAAATACAAAAAATTAGCCGAGCATGGTGGCGGGCGCCTGTAGTCCCAGCTACTCGGGAGGCTGAGGCAGGAGAATCGCGTGAACCCGGGAGGCAGAGCTTGCAGTGAGCTGAGATTGCACCACTGCACTCCAGCCTGGGCAACGGAGTGAGACTCCGTCTCAAAAGAAAAAAAAAACTGCTAGGGACTTCTCAAAAGGACACAGAAGCCAATTTGAGTACCGATACAGAAAACAATGCAATAACCTAAAACATAAATCTGTGTAAATCCATGCATTCGTAGCATAGGCTATTTTAATGGCAGTTACATCACACTGTTGGCTGATTATTTCTTGGGATGTCGGTATTTCACAAAAAAAATGTCGGCCGGGTGCGGTGGCTCACACCTGTAATCCCAGCACTTTGGAAGGCCGAGGTGGGTGGATCCCGAGGTCAGGAGATCAAGACCATCCTGGCTAACACGGTGAAACCCCGTCTCCACTAAAAAAATACAAAAAATTAGTTGGGCGTGGTGGCAGGCGCCTGTAGTCCCAGCTACTCGGGAGGCTGAAGCAGGAGAATGTCGTGAACTCGGGAGGTGGAGCTTGCAGTGAGCCAAGATCACGACACTGCACTCCAGCCTGGGCGACAGAGCAAGACTCCATTTAAAAAAAAAAAAAAAAATTTGTATCTAGTATTATAGCTGCTTAGATCTTATCCACACTCTTGGACTTATTTGTAATTTTTTTAATCTAAATGTAACACTCTACAAATAATTCCTGTTATAAATTTTAATCGACTGTTGCTACAGTGCGTGATAAAGTGGCAGTCATCATTGGTAAGAAATCCTCTGAAAGTTTAACTCTTAAAAATAATAGTCAAACGTCAAGAAGAGGTAGCAGTAAAATAAAAAAGTGTCACAAGTAATTGGGTCTATATAATCAATTAAAATAAATATGGGTAGAAAAGGAAAATAAGAGTTAGACAAGAATGAGGACTAGTAACTAATGAGGGTAGCAAATCACTTTATGTGTTCATTTAAAAAAAAAAAAAAAAGCTCACCCTGTATGTGATGTTGCTGAGTTCCATAAAGACAAATATCAGGCCGCATGATGTAATAGAAAGAGTCCTGGACTGAGTCAGGAGACCTCTGTTCTAGTCCAAGGCCTCAGTTTCCTCATCTGTAAAATGAGGGTACTGAATTAGATAATCTGAAAGGGCTCCTCTAGCTTTAACACTGAGTGATCCTAAAGATGAATTTAGGAAGAATCAATCAAATGTAAGATTTCTGTTAACAGTAAGGTTTAACTGTTAACACTGGAAACAGCAGTAGGGAACAAGGTTGAAAATAATTTTCATAAGGACATAATTATGTCCTCAATAAAAAGGACATACACAAAATTTTAAATTGCAAAAAGCAATTGCTTTCTAACTTTTAACTGCTAGAAAGGTTTTTAGAATATATCAGCCTTAGTAACATTATCAGGCTTTATCATTAACATCTAAGCTGAATTAGTAATGAGTAACCCAAATTATGGCCCGAAAAGACCTATTCACCTTTGGCCAGACTGCCCAAGTAAATCTAGAAAATAGTACACCTTTGGGCTAGTACTTACTTTAAGTGATAAAGTGCCCATAACTGCCCCTGATGAAATAACTGAACAAAGAATAAAATGACAAGAAAAATGATTAGAGTAAATTAAACTATTTAAATTTAACATGCAATAAAACAATAAGTATGCTTGTGATATCCTTCTGTGTTAATGAGCATATTTTCCCTACTCATAATACTTTTTTCTGGTTCTCTCAAAATAGAAATCTGGCTTCTCCTTCTGACAATAAAGCTAACTGAAAGAAAAAATATATATTTTTTTTCAGTGACACACAGAAACATTTTTTTAAAAGAGTGTCTCCATGTTTAAGTTTTCTATACTGAAAGAAATCAAACATCTATCAGTAACAATAGGTCCTGGTACCTCAAAAACTGTGGTTTTCTAACTAAATTACCTAAATACAATTAACTGCCTGGTTCTAGCAAATCCTCCAGGGTCTGACAAACTTAACAACTAGCTTTAAGTTCAAAGATCAGCTGATGTTCTACTTTATATTTATTTGTTCCTTTATACTTCATTGCTTATGTTGATGCTAAGGTTCTTACCTGGCAGACTTAACACTTCAAGGATATGAGAACCAGTAAACGTATCTCTACAATCAAGAAAATCTTAGAAATCAACTTTTAAAGGATGTAAAGATATGATGAAACATTCATATGGAAAAAGCTTGTTTTTAAAAGTTTTTCTTAAATGCAAATTACCTAAAGTGATTATAAAATAACTTGACACACATGCAAGTCCACTACTTAGTCATTTGAACATTTCACCTTGGCAATACATAGTATCTCCTAATACGACATTCAGAATCATTAATAAGATTTCTCTCTTGTTCTTGGCCAGTCTTAAGATGGATGTAATATCAATGTGTCTCTGTGATAGAAATCTTTGAAACAAAACTTTCATTTACATGAAATTTATTTTTCATTTTGATTCTGGTATTATGATGGCAAATAACAGAAATCACATGGATATACAGATAACTCTTTAGGGTTCTATTTTGATCATGAGCTGTTTTCAGCAATTTTATCCATCTATCTTACCTTGTCCATCATTTTTTTCAGAGACTTAAACATTCAGATATTTAATAACAGGTGGGTTGTGGTGGCTCACACCTTTAATACCAGCACTCTGGGAGGCTGAGAGAGAAGAATCATTTGAGCCCAGGAGTTCTACACCAGCCTGGGCAACATAACAAGACCTAATCTCTACAAAGAGTTTTAAATATTAGTGCATGCCTGTAGTCCTAACTACTCAGGAGGGTGGGGTGGGAGGACCACTTGAAACCAGGAGGTCTCTGAGGCTGCAGTATGCCGTGACTGCGCTGCATGCACTCCAGCCTGACTAGATAAGGCAAGACCCTGACTTCAAAAAAAAAAAAAAAAAGATATTTAATAATGAAAATACAACTACTAATTATAAGATACAATTAATAGTATTGTCTTTAGTCAGTATAATTACAGTATTGTATATATAATATACAATATAAAATTTAAGTCTAACTGAACTATTGTTTCTGTTTGGGTAAAATATTCTCCTCTAGGAAGACACTGGTACTAAAATTAGAAGTTAAGGAGAATTTGATGTTTAAATAACTAGCTGGTACACAGTGTGAAACCCCCTTGATTGTTCACCACTAAATTTCTATCTGGAAGGCATGAACACACACTTGCAATTCTACCATCTCCAAAGTCAGCATACAACACAATTTTCTCTAAGACCAAAATGCCTTTTTTAGGTATCAGTAATATAGAATTCTTACAACAAAATGGCTAGAGCTACGCACAACATAGCACTTTTACTTTGAGAAAGTTATAATATATACAAATGGTGATTTAAACAAAAAAATTATTGCAGTATATTTGGAGTGATAAAAAGACAAAAGACCAAAAAAGAAGTCCAAATTTTTGGTTGCTAGAAAAATATCAAACCCTTATAACATCAAGTAATTTCATGTTATGTTCTAAAATGAATTTAAAATTGAGGTACTTCAAAAAAAAATACCAGAGAGAAAAATGAAATAAATTTAAAAATCTTATATCTTGTAATTACAAATTATATTTTGATACTAATATTTACTTTTCTCTCATCCCCACTCACAATTTAATCTGATACATATATTTAAAAATTGAGCCTATCAGAATAACTATCAGATTAACTTTCCTAACAGCAAATTAAGAGAGGCCAGAAAATGAACTGGTATTTGTAACAGTTATGCGTAACACTAGATGTTACAGCACTGAATTTTAATACAACTATACTTGTCTCTCAAAACTTTATGAAAGAACCATAAAATCCTGTCACAGTGGCTTTTTAATCCAACAACTCCCTAACAGACTATTACTAAATTTCTAAGATAGAGATTATATATATATATATATATATATATATATGAATATGAGACGGAGTCTTGCTGTGTTGCCCAGGCTGACGGGCAGTGGCACCATCTGGGCTCACTGCAAGCTCCACCTCCCAGGTTCACGCCATTCTCCTGCCTCAGCCTCTGGAGTAGCTGGGACTACAGGCGACCACCACCACATCTGGCTAATTTTTTCTGTATCTTTTAGTAGAGACGTGGTTTCAACGTGTTAGCCAGGATGGTCTCGATCTCCTGACCTCGTGATCCATCCGTCTCGGCCTCCAAAGAGATATTTTAAAATAAATTCTAATCAATCCAATCTCGCTAATAATTCCACAATAAAAATCATACAGCATTTTTTTTTGAAAAATAAATACAACACACTGAAAAAAGTGTCCTAAGCCATAATCCATAAATGACTATTGGTCAATTAAGAGAGTGGAAACAAACTCTTAATAATTTCCTCCCATAGCATTTTCAAAAACCTGTTCGAAATTACCAATTCCATGAATTCCATCTCCCATTAATCATACTTGAATCTGAGCACAGTCTAATTATGTATCCATCCCCTCCAAATGTCTGTATTAGAAATGACCTTAGTCTTTGCTACATCATTTTGAAACGATCAAGTTAGTATGTATGTTTTGTCTTCTTGCTTTTATTTATTCATATTTCTCTATCTTTCTGCATCATAAGCAGGTCACAGCTTAATGCACAGGCAGAAAAATGTTACCGATAAGCTCTTTAAACTATTTTCAAATTTAAAGAAATCAATTTTGATGAATGCCATAAAAAAACAACATATTAACAGGAATCTGACTTCGAGAAATATCATTCACTGGTCTCTATTTTATCTTAACATTTTACTATGAAAATTTTCAAACATATAGAAAAAAAATGAATATCCACATAGCTACCACCTACAATTTAAAATTAACATTTCCTCATATTTGTTGTTAATACATCTATTCAAAGAACTTGCAGTCATCAGTATACTTCTGTAAATACTGCAACTTGCCCATCAAGTAATGGTTTTTTTTTGTTTTTGTTTTTGTTTTTTTAAAGGAAAAACTTGGCCAAGCATGGTGGCTCACGCCTGTAATCCCAGCACTCTGGGAAGCTGAGGCGGGTGGATCACGAGGTCAGGAGTTCGAGATCAGCCTGGCCAACATGATGAAACCCCATCTCTACTAAAAATACAAAAATTAGCTGGGCGTGGTGGCGGGCACCTGTAATCCCGGCTACTTGGGAGGCTGAGGCAGGAGAATCATTTGAACCCAGGAGGCGGAGGCTGCAGTGAGCCCAGATTGCCCCACTGCACTCCAGCCTGGGAGACAGGGCGAGACTCCGTCTCAAAAAAAAAAAAAAAGAAAAAAGAAAAGAAAAGAAAAAACTTACACAAAATACAACGGACATATACTGGCTATATCATTCAGTAAGTTTTAACAAACGTATGTACCTGAGTAACGTAAATCCCTAACAGAATACAGAACATTGCCAATGCCTTAGAAAGCTGCCATATGCACTTCCCCACTTAATCCCTGTCCTCACCACTCATTCCTACCACCTACCAACCTCTTCTTCTTTCCCTTTCATAACTTCGTTTTGGCTGTCCCACCCCACATGCACAATAGATGAGGTCTGTCTGGTTTTAGGATATATGTAGAATCACATATGATGGCTTGTTTTGTGAAGACTAATTCAGTCAGCATAATGTTTCAGAGATTAATCCAAGTTGCTGCAGACATCGATGCCTTGGTTCCTTCCTATTGCTTAGGAGTATTCCATTGTACACATACAGCAACTTGATAATCCTTTTTCTTGGTTTATAGATACTTGAACTGTTACCAGTTTGGGGGTCAACCCCATATTTTAGGAGAGTTTATAAACCACATTTGGTACTCCACCTCTATGGGTATCTTCTTCCTGGATTTCCTCCTTTCCTGTGCTGGACCCCATTACTCTGCAGTGCAATGTTAGTTCTGAACAATTCTCTAATTCCTCTGCCAACGGGAACCTGTCCTCAGGCAAAGATCCGTCAATAACAGGAAACTCCAATGCCATTCTCTTAAGAATCCAATCCGGTCTGACTTCTGAAACAGGTTTGTTCTATGGTGTCCTCATAATGTTTGTTTTTCATATGTTGTCCAGAAATTGTAGTTACTATTTGTGGGAGGATTTGTTCCATAGCAGCCACTACTCCATTTGTGGAATTATAACTCTCTACTATTCTTCTGAGCACACTTGTTCAACACTGTAATTGGCCTACTTTTTTGGTGTTCCCCCCAACTTTCACCAGCTAGATTGAGCCAGTTTCTTTCAATCAAAAAATCGAAACTAAATCAGAAAAAACGAGGCCTCCAGGAACTGAAAAGCATAAGAATAAATCCCTAAGAGAGAGCTGAAGTGGATCCTGCAATTCTTCCTATGAACCAACACAAGTTCCAAATTCATCCCAAGATGTGCATGTGGAACATACCCAAAGAAGCACTACAAAGGTCTTGAGAACTGAAGACACAAATCACCTTCAGGTTCCATACTAACTCCTGAGAGGCTCAATCAGGAAGCAGACTCATAGTAGCTTAGCAAAGACTTTGAAAACTGAACTGACATTGGAACCACTGCCCATGGGTGCCACAGAACTTGGGAGTCTGAGCCTATCAATGTTAATTGCTTGCTTTCATTTAAAAACAACATTCTCCAGGAATGGTACAGATGAAGAAAATCTGATCATTCTCAAAGGAAAAGACAATAACAGATATTAATCCTGAGATGATCCAGGTGTCAGAATTCTCAAAGATGCCCATGAAGGGACAGGAAACACAAGTTCTCAGAAGTAGACACGATAAAAAAAAGTTTTCAAATGAAAACTTTATGACTGAAAAAATATGGGAAAAAATTCTAAGACAATAGGATGTATAGGAAAATGATAGCAAACACTATGATCTTCCTGAATAAGAGATTACATATAGATGACAATAAAATTCTGTTTTAATAAAAGAAAATTTTCCCAAAATAACAAATATCTTTAGCTCTCAAAAGTAATGAAAAAATCTAGAGACCTGTCATCAAGGTGCTTTCAATCCTATTATTCTATGGGTGCCTGAGGTCCACCAAAAACTCTCACGATTCACCTCTACACAATCTGTGTTACACAAAATTTAAAAGAATGCTGGAGTGCAAATGAGATAATGGTTCAATTCTTGGTTCTGTAACTATGACAAAGTATATGATATGGAATCACTTCTCTAAACATTAGTTCTTCATTTGTAAAATGAGAACTAAACAAGAGAACTTACTTAGCTTTGTAACACAGTCCCAATATCTAATTTTAGGAACCCTCAGAAAGTCATTCCAGTCTCCCCAGATATTAGCACTAGCCAAGTCCACACACGTAAGTTTTAAATTATCTAGTAGCCACATGAAAAAGTTAAAAAGAAACAGGCAGAATTTATTCTAATAATAATATTTTATGTAACCCAATGTATCTGGAATATTATTTCTTATAATCAATAGTTTAAAATTGAGATATTTTACTTTAAAAAATTAAGTCTTCAAAATCCAGCATGCATTTTACATTTACAGCACATCTCAATTCTGACTAGTCTTATGTCCAAGTGTTCAACAGCTACGTATTTCTAGTGGTTACCATACTGGGTAAGTCTAAATACAGACATGAAACGGTGGGGGAGGGGAGCCAATAGAAAAGAAGGGCCAAGGTGTCTCAATATGGGTAGTCTGTCTTACATACATACATACACAAGCTGTATGTTCAGGGGGTAATGAAAGTGTCTGCTCTGTTACATGACATGGGGTTGGAGCAACGGAAGTCTCTTTTCTGAAATAAATTTTCATCTCTCTACTATAATTAGAGCCCACAATTTTTTTTTAAGAAAAATAATGGTTTTCTCACCAATGAAACAGATATTAACAACTTTACATGGTTATAACAATATTTAAGTAAGATAACTACTCTCTATCACGGAACATATACAGTTGACCCTTGTACAAAGCAGGAGTTAGGGTTTTATCAACCCACCCAATCAAAAATCCACATATAACTTCCGACTTCCCAAAAACCTAACTACTAACAACCTAGTTATGACCAGAAGTCTTACTAGTAACATAAACACACACACCTTACATGTTGTAGCTATTAGATGTTGTATTCTTACAATAAAAGAAGCTAGAGAAAAGGTTATTTAAAAAATCATATGGAAAATATATTTACCATTCATTAAATGGAAGTGAATCATCCTGAAGGTCCTCATCCTCTTCACAAGGCTGAGGAGAAGTTGGTTTTGCTGTCTGAGGGGTGGGAGAGGTAGAAGAGGTGGAAGGACAGACAGGCAGAAAGGCAGGCATACTAGATGCAACTGTACTTTTAAAAAAACCAAGTAGAAGTGAACCCACATAGTCCACACCTGTGTTGTTCAAGGGTCAACTATACTAACCCTTCCATTTTGGGGTTGATTTTTACTTACTTTTTTATTTAAAAAAAAAATTAAACTAATCAAAATGGTTTTTGGCATTTTTCTCTTACATGTTTAAAGTACCTCTATGTAATCTGTTCTATAATCATAAGCCCTTAGGCTCTAAGTCACTTTTTTAAAAAATATCAGGTTGTAATAAACTCAAAATGATCCCAATAAACATCTGACAGGAAATGAAGGCCTAACATATAGAGGGTTGTGAATTAAGAACTTTAGCATTCCAACCTTTTTGTTTTAAAAACTCTCCTTACAGGTGCTAGTAAATCATAGAAAAAGAGAGAAAATAGGCATGGTGAAGGATTTCTGTTTCTATGAACCAGGAATAAATCAAAAGATATAACTAAAATTAACTGGCTTAAGAAAAAGGACAGAAGTTGAAGAAGCAAACAAACAGAACCTGTATGAAACTAGAAGTTCCTGTCCTTTACACACTAACTTTAGCATGTTAATTTCTGTCTCAAGCAAAATTTTTTTTTTTTAAATCATGCAATCTTATCCACTGGACGGATGGATGAATGAAAGGAAAAAAGAATGGGGGGCGGGGAGTCTTCAAATGGCTTCAATACACCATTGAAGTAAGAAATGGCCTTCAGTTTCCAATTTTATGGCTATATGGGACCATGCTGTCCAACCCCAAATAGTCAAAATCTAGTAAGACCAAATTTAATATAGTACACCCAAAGAAAATTAGGAAAACTTAAAAATAAGCCAGATAATATTCAGTGATAGGACACCTTTTGTTTTAACATTACCGTGTTAAACATCTATCCCTCTATTGTGGGTATATGTCCTTGCTCTCACACTACTCTGTGTTTCTCGAGGTAAGACAGCTAGTATTTTATTCCTGAATAGTGCCTACACTGAGAATTTATAGAAAGGACAGCAAAATTATTTGAAACATGAAAAATGTTTTAAAATGAAAATAGTAATTCACCATAACAAGTTCTATCACAGTTAATATAAATTGAGCACCCCAATCTAAAAATTCAAAATCCAGAATGTTCCAAAATCTGCAGTTTTTGGAGCAGTGACATAACGCCATGAGCAGAAGATTCCACACTTGATCTCATATGACAAGTCACAGTCAAAACTCTGGTTCATGCACAAAATTATTTAAAATACTGTATAAAACTGCCCTCAGGCTATATATATATAAGGAGTATATGAAACATAAATGAACTTCGTGTTTAGACTTGGATCCTATCCCCAAGATATCTCATTATAGATATGCAAATATTCCGAAATCCAAGTAAATATGAAATCTGAAATACTCTGGTCCTAAGTATTTTGGATAACCAATGCTCAACCTGTGTAAAGATTAAATCCATGTAAGAAGCCAAGCTTTCTCTGCCTTTCACGTGATACTACAGTCTTTCACAGCTTCCATTTTAGGCTCAGTTATTTCAGCCTCTAATGACAAAGATACAAGGAATCAGTTAAATATAACTCCAATTTGTGTGTGCTCTGCTTTTCTTCATTTGTTTAAAAAAAAAAAAAAGAAAAGAAAAGCCTAGAGACTAAGAGGTGTTCAATGTAACCCTCTTACTGTTGATTTGGGAATCAGCTCTCCAGAGGCATACATTCTCAACCAAATGAAAATGGTTCACACAATATCATGCGACAATGTCCTTCTTTCTTCACATTTAATAATACCAGTTCCTAATCATGATGGTAAAAGATTAAAAATGAAAGTAACAATGAACTTTCCTACAGTAAATAGAACAAATTAATTTATGGATGCTACATTTATAAGTAGGTAATAATCATTGACTCCTCGCTATGTACCACACTCTTTCTCGGCAGCGACCTGTTGGCAGGGTCACAACTCCTTGGGGTCTTGTCTTCAGTCTGGCAAGTCATAACTTCTTTCAGTTTTTTAAGAATAATCAAGTTCTGAGAGAAGATATGTTAACAAAATACAGCAGGGTGGTTTATGAGTAAAAGAGGTGATTTACTAATTACACTGAGAAATGTACCTGTCAGTAGACCAGAATATTCATCAATGCAGAAGAGGCCAGCAGGGCCCAGCCCACATTCCCTCATCACTCAACTTTCCCAAGCAGCTGGGTAGCTTTTTACTGCAAAGCACCCTGAGGCCAAACAGCAGGTCAGGAGCTGCTGCCCTGCCCTCCGCAAAGCCTAACTGCCTAACTCCCAGACTAAGGAATGGGGGTTAGTGGACAAATTACCCGAGGTTCCTTGCCCCTTAGGTGGAAAAAGAGACATGTTCTACACTGTTCCCGAGGATGCCACATGATTTGAGTCCAACTGAACAAAAAAATTAGTCTTTCAGGCAGTCGGTATCAGCCTCCTTTTCCCTTTCTGGCTTCTCCACAGGAACTTTCTAGATCCACCTCTCCAATAAAGGGTTATAATCAAGGGTCTGGTTCCTCAAGAATCAAACCTAAGAGAACTGCTCAGCATCATTCTATTCTTTGTGGAAGAGTCCTGTTGTTAAACCAAATTAATTTTTAGAAGTTGTGGGATGACTATACAAACAGAACAAGAGGAAATAGAAGGGCTCAGGGGATTGATCGACACAGTTGGTAGACTTTTCTGGAAAATAAGAATCTATCTGTGGAACAGTTCAAAGAAAAAGATATGCAAACAGTTCTAAAATAAACTAGCAAACAGTTATAAAATAAATGAAAAGATGCAAATTAGAACCATAGTGAAATACTATTTCTCACCTATCAGATTAAAAGACATATATGTATCAAAAAAGACATCATATATACTGTCTGCTAATGGGGAAAGAGGGAACCTCGTATATTGCTGAAAGGAACATAAGATGGCATAATGCTTTACAGAAGGAAATCTGGCAAATTGACATGCACATTTCATGCTCCTATCTAAAAACTTCCACTCTTGAAACAGCTATCTGTGTAATGGAGTAGAATGCAGCTGTAAAACAATGAATAAAGACTATCTCTATGTCCTGCTATGAAGTGATCTCCAGAATATTTAAGAATACCCATGGATTTGTTTACATTTGAGCAAGATAAACCAAAAATAGTTTGATTTTTAAAACTTGGTTACTTACAAAAGGAGGAAGTAAGAATGTATCTCACTTTGAAGTGATATAAATGTTTCCTATGATTATAAAACAAAATAAAAACAAATATTTTTAAATTCTAAATACTAAAAATAAAATGAAACAAATTGGCCTGGACCCAGCATAGTGGCTCAGGCCTGTAATCCCAGCACTTTGGCAGGCTGAGGCCAGGAGGAGTGCTTGAGCCCAGGAGTTCAAGACCAGCCTGGTCAACACAGGGAGACACTGTCTCTACTAAAAAAAAAAAAAAAAAAAAATCAGCTGGGTGCAGTGGCTCACATCCGTAATCAAGACACTTTGGGAGGCTGAGGCAGGTGGATCACGAGGTCAGGAGACAGAGACCATCCTGGACAACATGGTCTCTCTTAAAAATGCAAAAATTAGCTGGGCATGGTGGCACGCACCTGTAGTTCCAGTTGCCCAGGAGGCCAAGGCAAGAGAATCACTTGAAGAATTGAGGCGGAGGTTGCAGTGAGCCAAGATCACGCCACTGCACTCCAGCTGGGCGACAGAGCGAGACTCCGTCTCGAAATAAAATAAAATAGAAGTTAAAACAATTAGCCAGGCATGGTGGCATGCACCTGTGGTCCCAGCTACTTTGGGAGGCTGAGGTGGGAGAATCGATTGAGCCCAGAAGGTCGGGGCTGCAGTGAATCATGATCAGGCCACTGCAATCCTACCTGGGTGACTGAGTGACACCCTGCTGAAAAGAAGAAAAGAAAGAAAAAGAAAAGAGGGAGAGGGGAAGGGAAGAAGAAAAGGGAAATGGGAGCAGGAATTGGGGAGATAGGGGAGGGGAGGGACAAGCTGACCCAACTATATATCAAATTGGAGGTGGGCAGGGGGGCAGATTACACATGAGGACTTACTTTAAAACGTAATACTTAGCTGTAATCCCACTGAGACGTGGACAAAAAGAGAAAAATGAAAACAACAGTCACTACTCATACTGGTTAAATATACATTTATAAATATAAAAATACGTATAATTTTATATTATGTTTATTTTCTACATTTACATGTACTTAAAGTACTTATAAAGTACATGTACTTTATATGTCATTTATACTCTACTTTTGTTTAATACATTATTTTCTATTATGTTTACATATTAACTATTGCATATTATATAACATAAATATATAAATATTCTTTTTCACTAAAAGGAATCAGGACTTTAGAGACATAGCTGATCTGAGGACCAATGAAGGACATGTACAAGATGAGCTTTGGCCAACATGTTGTTTTGTCAGAAAGCAAGGAAGCTACCAGAGAGACAATACTAGAGTCATGTCAGAAAAGACTCAGAAGTCAACTTGAAAAGGCTCTTTTGGCCAAGGGAATGACATCAATAAGAATACAAACTACAGTCAATAAAACATATCAAATGCCTAAATCCACACGCTCACAATAACTCAAAAAAATCCTCACTTGTTACCTAGAAAGGTATTCAAGAATACTAGAAAGGCTTCCAGGAAACAACTCAGTACTTTGAAAACTGGTAAATAAAAGAAAGAATCATGCATTTCATATGCCTTTCCTGTGCAATCTGTGCCACAAAGTAACGAAATATCTGTTGGGGAAAGTTTCTCTTTATAGAAATGTTACACATAATAAAAGCTTGATATAATTGAATATGAACATTCTCATTGCCCTCATGGAAATAATGGTTCTAGGAATGATCATCAATGTCGCCTACTGTCAGGAATAAAAAACAAACATTGGGTGCTTCCTTATGCAAGCATACAGTAAGTGTCCTTTATCTAAAACGATTGGGACTACAAGTGTTTCAGATTTTGAAATATCTGCAGTATAACGGTTTAGCGCTCCCATTGTGAAAATGTGAAATCCAAAATGCTCCAATGAGTATTTCCTTTGAGTGTCGTGTTAGTGCTCAAAAAATTTCAGATGTTGGAGCATTTCAGATTAGAGGTATTCCATCTATACTTAGCACCACCTGTGAAATATTCTGCCACCCCAACCTCCCAAAATAATAAAGGAAAAAACCTAAATTAAGATTAGATTAATCTTAATTCATTAGATGAAGCCTTTAGCTATAACCACCAATTTACAGAAAATATAAGGAAAAGATGAACATTATACTACAGGAATCCAATTAATAAAATACAGAATGTAGAAAACTTCACAGGACAAATAAAAGGGAAAAAATAGGTAGAAGCATAACTATACACAGTAACCAAACATAATGTATAAGTTTTGTTGATTCTGTAAAAACATATTAGGAGCAGTTCAGAAAAATTGAAGCTAAGTAGATAGTTGGTAGTGTAAAGAAATTATTGTCAGCACCTCACATCCATTAAGATGGGCACTAGCAAACAAACAGCAAATGTTGTCCAGTGTGTAGAACCCTGTTGCACTATTGGTAGAAATGTAAAATAGTGCTGCTGCTCTGGAAAGAGTACAGAAGTTTTTCAAGGAAAAAAAAAAACCTAGAATTACCATATGATCCAGCAATCCCTCTTCTGAGATCCCAAAAAGAATTCCAGTTCTAAAAAGAGTTGAAATCAAGATGTCAAAGAGATTTGCACATCCATGTTCAAAGCAGGACTATTCATAACAGCCAAGAGGTGGAAGCAACCCAAATGTCTACCAACAGATGAATGGATAAAGAATATGTGGTATGACTTCTATTCAACATAGTACTTACTGGAAGTCCTAGCCAGAGCAATCAGACAAGAAAAGACATCAAGGGCATCCAAATCGGTAAAGAGGAAGGCAAACTGTTGCTGTTTGCTGATAATATAATTGTATACCTAGAAAACCCTAAAAACTCCTCCAAAAAGTTCCTAGAAGTGATAAATGAATTCAGCGAAGTTTCCAGATACAAAATTAATTTACACAAATCTAACTCTTCTATACATCAACAGCAACCAAGTGGAGAATCAAACCAAGAACTCAAACCCTTTTACAGCTATTGTAGTAGCTGCAAAAATAAAATAAAATACTTAGGAATATACCTAACCAAGGAGATGAAAGACCTCTACAAGGAAAACTACAAAACACTGCTGAAAGAAATCATAGATGACACAAACAAATGGAAACACATCCTGTGTTCATGGATGGGTAGAATCAATATTGTGAAAATGACCACACTGCCAAAAGCAATCTACAAATTCAGTGCAATTCCCATCAAAATACTACATCATTCTTCACAGAAGTACAAAAAACAGTCCTAAATTTCTATGGTATCAAAGAAGAGCCCACATAGCCAAAGCAAGACTAAGCCAAAAGAACCAATCTGGAGTCATCACATTACCTGATCTCAAACTATACTATAAGGCCATAGTCACCAAAACAGCATGATACTGGTATAAAAATAGGCACATAGGCCAATGGAACAGAACAGAGAACCCAGAAATAAAGCCAAATATTTACAGCCAACTGATCTTCGACAAAGCTAACAAAAACATAAAGTGGGGATAGAACACCCTATTCAACAAATGGTGCTGGGAGAATTGGCAAGCCATATGTAGAAGAAGGAAACTGTATCCTCATCTCTCACCTTATACAAAAATCAACTCAAGATGGATCAAAGAGTTGAATCTAACACCTGAAACCATAAGAATTCCAGAAGATAACATTGGGAAAACCCTTCTAGACACTAGCTTGGGCAACGACTTCATGACCAAGAACCCCAAAGCAAATGCAACAAAAACAAAGATAAATTAAGATGGGACTTAATTATTAACTAAAAAGCTTCTTCATAGCAAAAGGAACAATCAGCAGAGTAAACAGACAACCCACAGAGTGAGAGAAAATCTCCACTATCTATACATCCAACAAAGGACTAATATTCACAATCTACAAGGAACTCAAACAAAGCAGCAAGAAAAAAACAAATAATCCTATAAAAAAGTGGGCTAAGGACATGAATAGACAATTCTCAAAAGATATACAAATGACCAACAAACATGAAAAAAATACTCAGTATCACTAAAAATAAGAGAAATGCAAATCAAAACCACAATGTGATGCCACCTTACTCCTGCAAGAATGGCTGTAATCAAAAAATGAAAAAATAATAGATGTTGGTGTGGATGTGGTGAAAAGGGAACACTTACACTGCTGGTGGGAATGTAAACTAGTACAACCATTATGGAAATCAATGTGGAGATTCCTTAAAGAACTAACAGTAGAACTACCATTTGATCCAGTAATCCCACTACTGGGTATCTACCCAGAGAAAAAGAAGTCATTATATGAAACAGATCCTTGTACACGCATGTTTATAGCAGCACAATTTGCAACTGCAAAACTATGGAACCAGCCCATCAGTCAACAAGTGGATAAAGAAATTGTGGTATGTGTATATACACCATGGAATACTATTCAGTCACAAAAAGGAATGGATAATGGCATTCATAGCACCCTGGATGGAATGAGAGACCATTATTCTAAGTGAAGTAACTCAGGAATGGAAAACCATAACGTTGCATGTTCTCACTCATAAGTGAGAGCGAAGCTATGAGGAGGATGCAATAGCATAAGAATATACAATGGACCTTGTGGACTAGGGGGAAAGGGTGGGGGATGGAGAGGGATGAAAGACTACACACTGGGTACAGTGTACACTGCACAGGTGATGAGTGCACCAAAATCTCAGAAATCACCACTAAAGAACTTATCCATGTAAGCAACCACCACCTATTCCCCCAAAAACCGACTGAAATAAAAAAAGAATAAAAAAATAAAGAAAATGCGTTATATACATACAATGGAATCTCATTCTGCCTTAAAAAAAAAACAAGGAAATAATGTCACAGGCTACAATACAGATGAATCATCACGAGATTATGTTAAAAAGCAGCCAATCTCAAAAAGACAAATAGTATATGGTGCTACCTATATGAGGTATCTAGCAAACTCAGAAACAGAAATAAAAGGTTGTTGCCAGAGGACGGGCTAGGGGGAGAGGGGGGTGTTGGGAACTCGCAGGCGGGTAGGAGAGGGCGGGTGCTGTTTAATGGGTATACGGTTTTGGTTTTGTAGTGAGCCCAGATCACACCACTGCACTTCAGCCTGGGCAACAGGGTAGATTGTCTCAAAAAATAATAAATAAAAAGTCAAAATAATAATATACACCTGCTGGCCAATGGGTCCTACTAATGCAATATGAGATAATTACAAAAAAGTATTTATGAAACATTTTATACAGGAAAGCAGCTATAAATCATGATTAAAGGTGCAATTAGATTTTTTTTTTTTTTGAGATGGTGTCTCACTTGTCACCCAGACTGGAGTGCAGTGGCTTACTGCAACCTCTGCCTCCCAGGTTCAAGGGATTCTCTTGCCTCAGCCTCCCAAGTAGCTGAGATTACAGGTGTGCGCCACCACGCCTGGCTAATTTTTGTATTTTTAGTAGAGATGGGGTTTCACCATGTTGGCCAGGCTGGTCTCGAATTCCTGATCTCACAAGTGATCCGCCTGCCTCGGCCTCCCCAAAGTGCTGGGATTATAGGCATGAGGCACTGCACCCTGCCGTAAAGTGCAATTAGATTTAAAATTACTTGTGTCTAGGTAAAAGAAGAGTGAAGGCAAAAAAGGATGTTATGAATCCCTCATATTATTTTAACAAGAACAATGTTCAGTAAGGGGAAGAAAAATGTTTGAGGAGATGGATATCCCACTTATCCTAACTTGATCATTTTATATTTATACAAGTATCAAAATATCACATGTACCCTAAAATAAGTACAACTACTATATACCAACCTTTTAAATTTTAAGAGAAAAAAACACTGTTGAGGGTAGGTAGGGAGGTAGTAGAGGTAACTGTATATAATCCCACTAAGCACTCTGGCATTTTCAGAGAAAATAAATATGACATACTACACAGCACAGGTTCAACCCAGATTATTATTGCATTTCTGAGGGTCATGGGAAAACCATACCATTTTGAACCAATACCTACAAATTTACTAGCACATCTGTGCAAATATATAGAAATGGCTTCAGTGTCCTTAGCTAGACTGTAAGCAAGTTTGCTGTAATCTTGGTCTCCTTCATCTCTAACACACACTAACATACATACATACACACACACACACACACTTAAATTTCTGTGATCATGACATTAAAATGATTTCAGAGATTTTCAACAAAACTGACAAACATGTTTGGGATGATCTAATTTAAAATATAGTCTATGAGCGGTTATAAAAACAGTCTATATGAGTAACACATAAAAATTTTTCACTTAAGGATAGGCATTTGTAAGAGATAGGTAGCTTCATGACACCTGTATCTCAGATACCCAACTGGTTTGACTGCCAAGGGAGACGTGCCACAAATACTAAGGATCCGACAACAAAGAAGAGTAACAGGTTTCAAATGTGAACTTCATTTGAACAAAAACTTCATGTGAACAAAAAGCCAAGAGCAGATACTCCAAATACCAAAGTTGATTTACCATGAATCTGTTTCTTTCATGAGAAACTCTAGTACTCCCTGGGAAACAGCAGATCTAGTGGTTAATGAGTTGCCAGAGCAATCTAAAGACCCCAGCAAGTGCTTTATAAATTAACAAAAACCATGCCATCCTTTGTGCTAGGTAAAGCTTGGCTTGGGGGGTGGGGACATCTTATTTTCTTCAACATCTCCTATCAACCCGAGAGAGAAAAGAGAAAGGAGAGAGGAGGAGAGGAAAGGGAAGAGGGTGAGCAGGATGCAGAGGAGGAGAACAGGAAAAGGAGGAGGTCAACCTTTTTTCCCCAATAGGAATTCAGAAGAGTTTAAACAGAGAAAATCCTCCTATCAACATACTGAAAAAAATCCATCTCTAATAGGAATTATTTCTGGGAATATTTTCACAAATATCTTAACCACTTATTCTGGTTCTTAACTTTTAATAGTTTTTCTTTCAGACTGATACATCATTTCCCACCAAATTCTATAAACCTCAATCAGTTTTTATGCCTCCCTAATTTAGTAAAACTAAAATTGTTGGTAATGAACTACAGAAAATATTTATAAATGTAAGATGTTATTATTTGATTCTTTAAAAAAGTAAAAATTCATTTATCTTCTATTTATTTATCCCCAAAATACACAACAATATTATTTCGGTAAGAAATTTTTTTTAAGAGAGAATCACTCTGACTTCCAGTTAACAATGATAAGCACTTGACATACAGCTAGAATAAACCTTAGAAAGTCCAATTCCATCACCTAAGTTTTATAAGAGTACTGCCAAAAGTCAAAGATTCATAGTATATTCAGGAAATAAAGCAAATGCCAGCTCCCACAGAGTCCACTAGTCTTTCTGCTATATCACATGATTGCCATTTATATTCTACAGTGAAAGGCTTCTTAAAAATCTTTTTAAGTAGATAAGAATGACTCTCCTTAAAATGATTAATTATAACAGGTAGAATCCTAGCCATTTAAATGCACATAACTAAAAAATATTAGGATAAATGCAATACACAAAAACAATCTATTTCAGTGAAATTATGGACAAAAATAGAAGAGCAAAATGCCACTGTTGCATTTTTAACAAGAAAATACTATTCACAAAATTTAGTTCATTTGACAAAACACAAGACCATCACGATATAACAATATTTTTCATCCTGATGACCGTAGCTAAGACGTTTTTAAAACTACAGAACACAGAAATCCTCAGCTGGATGCGGTGGCTCACACCTGTAATCCCAGCACTTTGGGAAGCTCAGGTGGGCGGATCACCTGCGGTCAGGGGTTCGAGACCAGCCTGGCCAACATGGTGAAATCCTGTCTCTTACTAAAAATACAAAAAATTAGCTGGGCGTGGTGGCGCATGCCTGTAATCCCAGCTACCTGGGTGGCTGAGGCAGGACAATCGCTTTAACCTGGGAGGCGGAGGAGGTTGCAGTGAGCGGAGATCACGCCATTGCACTCCAGCCTGGCCAACAAGAACGAAACTCCGTCTCAAAAAAACATAAAAAGAAAAGAAAATAGAAATTTTCAAAAGTAGCAATTTTTCCTTTACAAAATATTCAAAAGTTATTTTTAAATACTTTAAACTACATATATTTAAAAAGAATAAAAAATTTAAAAAAAAAACACTTACTTAGCTTGGGAACACATGTATTTTGTCAAATTGTGAGAAACTTTCAAAATTCTCAAAAGATTCTAAAAACAAGAGAATAAGAAACACTGACATTGGGAGTTGGAGAGTCTTACCATTGGCAGTGCATTGATGTGGGGATGTGCAACTGAATATCCGGTCACCGCCAATCACAAGTTGCTGTTGTTGATGCTGAGGAAAAGGAAAGTAAAGTATTCAATGTGCCCTAAAACAAATTCAGTTTAAAAGATTTTCCATACCAAATGTTACATGTTTGAAATATTCTTTAAGGTCCCCACCAGTGAATTTCTTTCTCCCCCAAGTAATTGTTATCATAAACAACAGCAGCAACTTTTGAGTGCTTAATACTTGGCAAGTCTTTAGAACGTTCATAAGAGGTTGGCACAGTGAACAAAATGAGACTCAAAGAGATTCATCTGCACACAAGTGGTCTCACCACCAGGCAACTCAACTCATGTAAATATTATTGCATTACGGTCCAATTAGTATGTTCATAATCTATAATCATGGGCCACCAAGAATGGCATAAACTTGCATTCTATATTGTTTAATAATAAAGAGAAATATATCATTGGTTTAGAAACAATTTCAATCAAAACTTATTAACTCTGTTCTCTTTAAACTTTATAGGGCTTATCCAGTTTTCTCAATTGCTAAGTCAGGGCACCTTATATTCCACAAACCGTTTGTGTAAATATAAAAGTTAAACTTTGCAGCCAGGCGCGGTGGCTCACGCCTGTAATCCCAGCACTTTGGGAGGCCGAAGCAGGCGGATCACCTGAGGTCAGGAATTCGAGATCAGCCTGGCCAACATGGAGACACCCTGTCTCTACTAAAAATACAAAAATCAGCTGGGCGTGGTGGCGGGCACCTGTAATCCCAGCTACTTGGGAGGCTGAGGCAAGAGAATCCCTTGAACCCAGGAGGCAGAGGTTGCAGTGAGCCGAGACCGCACCACTGCACTCCAGCCTGGGGTACAACAGCGAGACTTTGTCTCAACAACAACAACAACAAAAAAGTTATACTTCACATACCATGTCAGAGGAGACTCTTAGTTGGAACACTGACCAGTACAGTTTCCACCACGGAGTACAGTTTTCTAAAGAGTAAAATCAAGCTGACACCACAGAAAGGAGTTTACTACTATATATGGGAGGTTTAGCTCCTACACCAATTAGGTGAAGTAAGAAGATAACTAAGTAAATGATGATTATGCCACATACACTATCCCACCAATCCCTGGTGCTTCAAAACAGGGCGTGGGCGTGAGCCCCCAAGGTTTGTTGCCTAGAGGCACTTATGAGCTACTCGGTAGGTCCTTTCTAGCACAGACTGAGGAAATGTTCTTTACACATCATGACTAGATACCACTAGGCTCTGTTTACCTCAAGGTCATTTGTTATGAATGTCAATTATTTCAGTATAAAGTTTTTGTCACTTTTTGAGCTAAAGTTATATAGGGCTACTTGTTATCTAAAAATCAATGGAGCATTTTTGTCACAAAACTTTTTGGCATACATGCATTCAATTTATTTATAAATAATTAACATGTACTACTAAATAATGTGTATTTTAAAACACATACAAGAAGTCAGGCACAGAGACTCATGCCTGTAATCCCAGCACTTCGGGAAGCCGAGGCGGGCCGCTTGAGCTCAGGAGTTCGAGACCAGCCTGGGCAGCATGGTGAAATCCCATCACTACCAAATATACAAAAAATCAGCCAGGCATGGTGGCGCATGGCTGTGGTCCTAGCTACTCGGGAGCCTGGGGCACGAGGGTCACTTGAGCCTGGGAGGCAGAGGTTGCAGTGAGCTGAGATGGCCATGCCACTGCATTTCAGTCTGTGTGATAGAGACTCTGTCTCAAACAAACAAGAAAAACTCCCAACATAAGTAAAAGATAGATAAATTATTTATTTACAGTGCTATAATATTTTTGTTCATAACATTCTACATTCTTAATGTCTTAATGATAGTTTTACATCATTAACTAGTATCTAAAGGTACAACTTAATTGTAGAGCAAAGCTCATCAACACCAACAGTGAATAATGTACTTTTTTTTTTTTTGAGACGGAGTCTCACTCTGTCACCCAGGCTGAAGTGCCATGGCACAATCTCAGCTCACTGCAACCTCCACCTCCTGAGTTCAAGTGGTTCTCCTGGTCTCAGCCTCCTGAGTAGCTGGCACTACAGGTACAAGCCACCACGCCTGGCCAATTTTGGTATTTTTAGTAGAGACGGGGTTTCACTATGTTGGCCAGACTGGTCTCGAACTCCTGACCTCAAGTGATCCACACGTCTCCAACTCCCAAAGTGCTGGGATTACAGGGGTGAGCCACTGTGCTGGGCCAAATAATCTACATTTCAAACATCTTTCTTGATAATCCCTAATTTTTTTCAGACATCTATAAAATGATTAGATAATAGCAAGTGAAGAGTTCGTTCTTGTAGTTTAAGTATTGGCTCTGCTATTTTCTTTTTCTTTGGTTTTTTTTTTCTTTGAGACGGAGTCTCGCTGTTGCCCAGGCTGGAGTGCAATGGCGCGACCTCAGCTCACCACAACCTCCACCTCCCAGGCTCAAGTGATTCTCCTGCCTCAGCCTCCCGAGTAACTGGGACTACCGGCACGCGCCACTACACCTGGCTAATTCTGTATTTTTTAGTAGAGACGGGGGTCTCTCCATGTTGGTCAGGCTGGTCCCGAACTCCCAACCTCGGGTGATCTGCCCGCCTCAGCCTCCCAAACTGCTGGGATTACAGGCGTGAGCCACCATGCCCAGCCATGACAATCGCTATTTTTTTTTCAGACATTTGTTAAATGATTAGATCATAGCAAGTGAAGAGTTCACTCTTGTAGTTTAAGTACTGGCTCCGCCATTGGCTTGTTTCTTAACTATTTTGGTTTTAGATGCAATTTTTTTTTTTTGCAAGATTAAGTCATGAGCCTGTTTTGGTGAGGCTTGGTTAAAACTGGGTAATAAAATCTACAAATCTATGTAATTAAACACAAGTGAATACATGCTGTGTTTTAATTGTGTCCCTCAAATTTCATGTGTTGGAGACTTAATCCCCAAATTCATATGTTGATGACATTTGGAGGTGGGGCCTTTGAGAGGAATTAGTATTAAGATAAAGTCATCAGGGTGTAGCCCCCATGATGGGACTGGCCACTTTATAAGAAGAGCAAAAGGGACCTGAGCTGACTCGCTCTTGCCTTCTTGCCATGTGATGCCCTCCAACATGTTATAAAGCAGTAAGAAGGCCCTTCCCACAGGCGGCCCCTCAAGCCTGGACTTTCTAGCCTCTGGAACTATAAGAAATCAATTTATTTTATTCATAAATTACCCAGTCTATGGTATTCTGTTATAACAACAGAAAATGGACTAAGACAAATAAACTTACAATACTAAGCTGAAATAATAGCAATTCCAGGAAACAGAACGAATGAATGAATGTATCACCGGTGCTTTGCGGAACCTCCACTTTTTCCTCCAAATAGCATTATGTACAATATGTTCTACATGACTCTCTTATACTAGAACCAAATGAGGGTACAAATTTGAACCCCTGTATTAACCATTAGAATTTTTTTTTTTACTTTGAAATGAACATAAATAAATGAACATAGAAACTAATAAGATATGGTACACATATAACACACAAACTTACATACATCTACCTTTATAGAATGCTAAATCAGATCATTCTTCCAGTTTCTTTTTCTAACTTTTCGGTCATCAGTGAGTCTCTCATCACCCTCATAGATGTATCTAATCTCAGTTTTCACTAATTACCTTTTCTCTACCTTTGTCTTCATTCATTCATTTAACTTTTCCTATTAATACTACAAGTCGTTAAGGAGAAAGACCACAATAGTGATTTAATAGTTGATGACATGGTTAAAAAGTATTTGATTCTAGGATTTGAAGGGTGAATAAATATGTGAAAAATGGTATACCAACTGCACCTGCAAATTAATCTGGAAAATTTCTAGAAACATACGCAGGACCATATTTTTTTATTTCTTAGATGTTTTCCTAGTCAACTCATTTACCTATGTCCTAGCCATCATGCAATGCATTTATAAAGCACACCACGTAATTAAAATAAACATCTGAATTTTAAAAGATATAGTGATATACTTTACAAAGGAATTACAAAACTTAAGGTGCATTTAAGATAGTCTGACAATGTATATTGAAACTATTGAAACTATTTGTATTAAAGGAATTCAAGTCCAAAACATGTGTGTCCCGTCTATCTGCATTTCTACTTTTACTCAACATTCTCTACTCTCACCACAGCAGATCACTGTGTGCAGTGTTATCTGCACTCTTTGGCTGCCCTGACATTCCTCATTCCTTACCAGAAATGTCCTTCTGACTACGGTTCTGCTCACAAATCTTCCTATCCCTCCTCCAAAGATCAGGCCCAATCAGCTTCCTCCATTAATTATCCACCCCACCATCCAGAGAGAGAAATGAGCCCCAGCTTAACATATCTCCCTTTCCACAACCGCATAGTGCCTTATTCTTCTATCATACCTCTCTGATCAAATTTCTAGAGACCCAGGACTGATTTAATCATCTTGCTGTTCCCTAACAGAACTAAGAATAATGCCTTGAACATACATGATTCTTAAGATATATATGCTGATAAAATGTTAGTGTCTAGATATAGAGAAATAGATATAAACATATTTGAAAATAAAATGCAGTAGACACTGAATTACTGAACAAATAAATCACACTGGGAAGGAAAAACTCACCAGTGGATTGTTACTTTGAAAATGCTTGAGAGAACCTGGTTATATACCAGTAACTTTAACACCACTTCCAGAAGGTGACCAATAAAGGTGGATCTTCCATCATTAACAAGAAACTCAAGAAGTACATGATCAATCACATTATTAGTGTAAAAACTATCACCTCCTTTGTGTACTACATAAACTAAATATATTTACTTCTTGTAATAAAATAAATGGCTGTAAGGTTTGTGTTTTGTCTCCAAACAAAAAGCTTTGCTTCCAAAAATGTATTTCAGAGCATTTTATCTAAAGTAAACGAAGTATTAATTTTAGATAAGGCTTACAGCATAGAAAGACACTGTTGACTTAGCAGACATCTTCTAAGATCTGCCACCTACACACAATTAGGAAGTTTTTTTAACATGGAAAAATTCTAAAGAAAAGCAAATGATATATTTTGACTGTTCTTCAAAAATACTACATTGCAGTCTCTAGAAGTAAATTTATTTAATTTATAGATAACTTTGAAAAGCTAATGGACATTATGGGCCCTTTTCCTAGACAAAGGTACAAACACAATAAAAACTTATTATTTAAGGTAGCAACACACTCTAATCTAGAACCTAGTGGTCAGTAACAAGTTCAAGGAAGTATATCTGGTATCCTTAAAAAATAAAATTATTTTGTTTTAATGTACAGAATTTGGGAAAGTCACCCCATGAATTAAGAGAAAAATATAATCCCAGCACTTTGGAAGGCCAAGGCAGGGAGATCACTTGAGGTCAGAAGGTTAAGACCAGCCTGGCAAACATGGAGAAACCTCATCTCTAATGAAAATACAAAAATTAGCCAGGTATGGTGGCAGATGCCTGTAATCCCAGCTACTCGGGAGGCTGAGGCAGGAGAATCACTTGAACCCAGGAGGCAGAGGTTGCAGTGAGCTGAGATCACATCACTGCATTCCAGCCTGGGTGACAGAGCGAGACTCGGTCTCCAAAAAAAAAAAAAAGAGAGAGAGAGAAATATATAAGAATTCTACCAGAATTGACCCTGCTTAGAAAGATTTTTATTAAATTAACTCCCAGGAAAAGTCACAGAAAAAGTTCAAATTAAATTGCTTAGCACATGATTGAAAGCACAATTAAGAAAGAAACAAAAACAGTATTACCTCCTAATGGAACAATTAAATATATACATATTTGTAAATCAGAGTTTCAACTGAATCTTCTTAATCCGTTTTACAAAAAGGAATGTTAGTATGTTATCTCCAACAACATACTACGCATACGTCAAAGCCTCTAAGCATTACATCCTCCACTGTCCTCACCCGATCCTCATTTCCCATGGAATTACACATACAGATAATATTCTAGACAGCCAGAAGGTAAGGCAGGTGAAAAGCAGAAGGAGCTATAACAGCAGGGATATCTTAAGTGACTCTGAGATCAGACTCACTGTCAGATCACGCACAGCTTTGCAATTACTGCCTATGTTTTCATTTCCCATTGTTACTTAAGCGATTAGGGGAAAAATGATTCAAAAGTTATCTGACACCAATTTTTAAAAATAAGCTATTCTCAAGACCACATACTCACATAAAAAGAAAACAATTTAAACATGCACTGGTGTCTAATCACCTAATTACTACCTTAGTTGAATTAGTTTCACTGGTAACATCACATGTCATTGAATTTTATGTTAAGATTATACAAAAATAAACTATTGTGCAAGAATAAAACAAAAAACTCTCAAGTATTTCTAAATTTTTCTGTCACAGGGTAAGCAATGCAATTAAAGACAACAGCACAAACTCTCTTACAATGACCCACAGAGTTCTTAAAATTAAAGGTTGGTTTGAACAGTTTCTAATGCTAACATAAGTCAAGTGTATTACTTAGGCACTAACGCCTATGCATCAAAAGCTTCCGGTTCACAAACCTTCAGTGATAGGGATTTTGAACATGAGAAAAAGCTTACACTCCAAATTTACGGATACTTGAAAACTAATATAAAAATGTATCTATGATTTTAAGTTATTTTTTCTTTAAAGTGAGTAGAGCATTAATGTGTAACTATAACTGTTTTCCCCAAAATGTTATTAAATTAATGGTGTAACTTACAGTGCCTTTGAAATACGACAGATATGACACTGTTTTCTTGTTTACATAAAGTTTGATAGCTGCTAAACCCTTTGTTAAAAAAGCAGTTTGGAAGAAAGAAACAAGTGTGGGGGGCCGAAGGAGGGGTGGACCAGTAGAAACAGCAACGAAGATCTAAGAAATAATATGAAGGGGGGATATCAAGCTTTGTTGCCTAAGACCACACAGGTGGGTACACTGGCACTTAAGTTAGAAAAGAAAACTGACATTCCTACATCTTAATAGATTTCTCACTCTTCCTAAGGTTTGAATATCTGATTCAAGGTATTAAGAATCTGAATAGCTAATTAGGCTACAACACACAAATCATTCAGTTGAACACATTTCCAATAGAAATGAGAATGGCTCTGCCAAGAAGACTGTCTTTGATTAGCTCTGTCCTACAGAAATGCCCCAGATTAGAACCTAACTATGACGTGGTGAGCCCCTCACTCAGATGTAATTGGTCTAGGGTAGGATCTACATCACTTGCATTTAAAATCCTCCCCACCCACCCCGTGTCAGTGTGTGGGTGTGTGTGTGCATGTGTGTGATTCCAATGGGGACTGAGAACCACTGGGTGGGGGTGGGAAGGGAAGGGACAGGATGGAGAATTTTACTAGTCAGGTCTAATTATTAACCTAAGGCAGGAGAGTCGCTTCTTTCAAATACTAAATTGCAAAGTGAGAGGTGTTCAGAACTAGAGGGAGAAATATGTTAATACTACATCGGACTAAATTAAGTGGTTTATTAATCTAATTTTAAGATTAATGATGACAAACAAAAGATAAACTCAATCTGTCTCCCAAAAATGAACAGAAAAGTAAGGACAATGATAATGAAGACACCATAAACAGAAAGGGGCCTAAAAAGACTTCAAAACATAATAACAAAAAAAAGAAGAAAATGCATAAAAAACACATAAAGCCCAAATGAGCCTCAGCTATGTGTGACAAAATTTTAAGTAGTAGGCAGAAGTTATAGAAAGGTATTTTTTTCCTATTCAATATAAAGGGAAACCATCGCGCAAATCAATGACAATGTTCAAACAAAATCTGGATATGTGATTCATCAAGGAAGTTCTAGTGGGCACTTAGGCAAATGAGCTGAAGTTTGTTCTACGTGCGCCCCATCCCTTTCTAACTTAGCACTCAAGTGTATTATCAGCGCCAGCACTAGCTTCTGCAGTACCTTTGTGCAAATTAGACTCTAGCAAAATAAATTACAAAAAGGAAGCCACGTGGTATCGGAGGTTAAGAGCCTGGAATTGTGGAGCCACACAGGTGGGTTTGGACTCCCTGGCTCTGACTCTTAGTAACTAGATAACCTCTCTCAGTGCCTTCGCTTTTTCATCTGTAAAATAAGTTAGGAGAGTGGAATAAAAAGTGCTAATCAGTGCCTAGCATAGTAATAAGACATAATGCATATTAAATAACAGAAATAAATTGTTATAAAGGAAGCTCCTTCCTCTGTGAAGACAGTCCGCTAACAGGGAAACAGCTTGGCCTGGATTTCAGTGCCCACTTTTCCCTTGGCTGTGTACCTCTGTGCAGGACACAAACTGCCCATTCAGATTCTGCCGTCCTGTGTGCTACTAAGGCTATTGAATCCAGGTACATTATGTCTTTTAGTGAATTAACACAACAGCATTACTACTAAAAAAAAAAATTATCATTTATAAAACTTTTTAATTACAACAGATTTGGAATATGCCCACAGTAGTCATCCTGACTAGCATAACCTCACAGTGATAATGAACACCTTCTAAATGAAGCAGTTCTTCAAACACTCTTCACAACTAAACAGCTTCAATTTTTACTTTGTAATAGAATGCAATAGGCCTCTTTAAAAAAAAAATTAAGAATATGTCAGCGGATAATTACTAAACTGAAAACTGTCATTCTGAAGTGCTTTGGACACACAAAAAATATACACACTTACATTAAACTAGATATTAGGTTCAGAATTCTGAAATGTTATGTTTCTATTTATCCACTACTGATGAACTCAAAGAGTCGCTCTTATGTGTCCTTACAGAAAACATTTCCTTACAGATTCACGTGAAAAAAAGTTTTCAAATTGGTTTCTTTAATTTCATATTTTGAAAGTTGGCATAATCTAGACAGTATCAGCAAATGCTTTTCCTTCAGTAAATTAAAACAAATATTTCATTTAACTACCACATTCCAATCAAAATAGCTGCCAGAAATACATTCATTTATGAAATCAAGGTTGTATGGGGGTTTTTTTAGTGGAATATTCTTAATTCTGGAGAATGCCAAGTTCTCATCCGGTGTTGGTTTGCCAAAATGCTTTCAATTTAACTTGTTCACCAAACTTAAAATGATACATTCGAACCAGCAAACACAAGCTGTGTTATCTGCCTGACCCATTCAAGGAGCCACTTCTGGTTCACACACACATAGATACACCATCCGGGGATCATGAAACGAAACTACCTTTCTTAAGATCTCATATATTATATATATTTCAATACAGAAAACTCCTCTCTGTGCCCAGCACCCAAGTTACGATAATAAAACACCAACTGAGATTATCTGAATACAACTACTCCATCTTACTTCTCAGTCATTGGCACGCAATGGTCTAAGGCAAACTATGGCCAGTTAGCAGATATTTTTTTATTTTGCAGGCCATTTGGTCTCTGTCACTACTACTCAACTCTGCTATTATACAGCAAAGTAGCCACAGACAATACATTAAAAAATGAATGGGCATTACTCTTTCTAATAAAACTTTATTCAAAAAAAAAAAAGATAACACACCAGATATGGTCCACAGGTCATAGTTTGTTGACTCTGAAGCAATTCCCAGAACCATCCAAATTTCTACAGATCCAGGATAAAGCAAAGAAGCTTTTAGGTTAAATGAGGTAAACATTTTTTTAAATCAAATAAATTAACAGACCAAGCAAAAACACTTACTATTTAAACACTGCCTACTAAAAATATATAACCATTCTATGAAAAGGAAATTTTCTAAGGAATTCAAACATAGTATCTTATGTGGCCCTATATATAATAATGAAGTTCATTAAGAAAATTATAAGTATTAAACTTCAACATTCCTCTGCCATCTTTAGAAACTTAAAAGACAGTGGGGGTAAGAATGGAAAGAATAAGGCTTTCTGTTCTGTTTAAAAACTCAGCTCTTTCACATCATATCCATACAACTGTAAGCAAGCCCTCAGTGTCTTCATCTATATAGTGTATTAGACAGCTTGATAACAAGTATGAACATAGTGTTTGGCTTATTGTAAAGAAAATAAACTAGGATTTATAATCCTATTGAATGCCTAAAGGCATTTTCGCACAGAAGTAATACTAATATCAGTTAATTATAACTGCATGTATAGTTTAAAAGGGAGCAAAAAGGTTAAAAATAGTATAGTATTAAAAGAACAAAAAGAATCAACTCCCTAAGCAAAAAAATTGTTTGAATTATGAATTTCCATGAGTTTAAAAAATACTAATGGTATTTTTATTAATGCAAACAACAAAGAAACAGACAATAAAGACACTGGGCTAGCTGAGACTGGTCCTGGAAATGCGTCCTCTTTGCCAGAGCAAATAGAAGGAAGGAAGAAACAGAAAACACTGGCCATAAGTTGTGGCAATACTAGCTAATGTTCACCAAGCAGCGATGAGAAGAAATGTTATGCCCATCTTAAAAATTAACAGAAAATGAGCTTGCATTTTAGCTTTTTGATGGGATAAGGATATCTGGATACCAAAAATCACTTCTATAATAGAGATGAAAATGTTATTGTCAAACATGTTTTCTTTTCACATTTTCTAACAATCCTAAATCATAATCTAATTCACAGATAAATATGGGGAAAAAACAAGTAAATTGTATATTTGTAATTAATTTTTAAAAACAAGTTAATATATAAACAAAATTACATTTAAAATTGTCAATTTCATACCTTTTCCCAATTTTTTAATTGAACATAAACTGAATATGAAAGCAACCAAACATTCAATCAGAAACAAAGAACCTGCACACTAAATGAACTCTCTCCATTAGAAATGCATTAGTTACTCAAGAAAATACAAACTATCAAGCAAGTCCCCTTTAAGAGAATAGGAAGAAATGTAATTTAAAGCCTATGTTTACCTCCAAGACTAAACAGAAGGTTGTTTTGTTTTTGTATTTTGGGATGATTGTAAGATTTGTCCTGCAGTAGACAACAGAACTATGGGAAGAAAGAAGAGGTGGGGAAAGAAAGGAAGAAGGAAGAAAAAACAAATTGTAATTAACCTTTCTACTAGAGATTGTTAACATTAAAAGTTAGCCCTTTACATCGAGTTACTATTAATTCACCCACTGGGGACAAAACTTACTAAAATACATCAGTAAATAAAACACAGATCCCTGCTCTCTCACAGTTTAAATTCCAGCAGAATTTTGATTAATAAGTAATGTTACAATCATAAATGCTATGAAAAAAGAAAAAGTCCAAGCAGGGTAAAGGGATTCAGAAGTTGGGGGGAAGAGAGGTGAAAGAGGAACCCCTGGGTTGCAATATTAAAGTAGGATGGTCAGAGCCAGAGTTGGTTTGTATTTCAATTGAGAGACAGCAAGATACTCAGGAAGCTTCCTGTATGCTCGATGTTCTGTGTACAGACAATGATGTATGAAGACGTGCCTTATATCTTGGTGTTGTCCGCTTACTACTGGAAGGCATACCTAGAACACTTCCTTATTCACAAAATACGTCATTTATGTTTTAGTTACTCTAATTTTTTCTCTGCAGTATCGATTTGTGCCTGATGCCTCCTATATATTGTGAAGCTACAACTCCTAGGAGACCTATCAGGCATTATAATTGACATGTTGTATATGCAGGCCATGATAAAAGCTATGAAATGCTAAAGAGAAGATGTGCCAAATCAAAGAAATTCTTAACTGTAACCCAGAGTCTATTCAGTCAAAATATTTTCAGACACACATTCTTACAAAATTAACATCAAAGAACTTCAAAGTTTTTCCAAGACACATGATACAGAAAAACAGAAAAATGTCACTAAAATAGAATGTCTAATGACTTAAGCCCTTCTACAGTTTAGGCAACAATTTGTAAATATCCAGCAAAGCTTACAATGTATCTAGGGCTATACACCCACCATTACGAATTTAAAATACCTGACTAGGGAAAAATAACAAAACACAAACCAGAACTTCTTTGCTTAAGAACACCTGGTCTTGGTTTTGTGGTTTTTTTTTCCCTACTGTGTTCACTATTCTTCAGCAGAAGACAAAGAGGAGGCAAAGGATAAATGTCTGTGAAAATGCATAAAGCTAGAACTATGAAGACACTAAGCTGAATTTTTTCAATACCTTCTATTGTAAATGCACAGGAATAAATGACAGTATGTCTGTGACTTATGCCTACTATTGTACCTAAAACACAATTCTAGATATGAATAAGAATTAAATGAGATGAGAGGAAGGAGTGGTCAGAACTTAATGAGAACGGGGGGGATATTTTGGGAAGCAGATAAGTGTGAGAACAAAAATCTTACCTCCTCTTCATGAGAGAAAAGAAGCCGGAAATTGTCTAAGGAATACTTCTTCTAGATAGGGTCCAGAAGAGGAAAATATCTTTCAAACAAAGAGGAAAAAAATGTGTTGTGTATGATTTTCACCCCCTTGATCTCACGTCAAGCAAATCAACAGTTGAAAGGAACTGCTCTAACAACTCAGACTCAACTAGACAAATTCACAAAACCTAAGTAGGCCACACCTGGCATGTGTTTACAGAGAAAGCTACAGGACAGGACAGGCTAGCAGGGCAGTATCACGCCAGGCACACAACAGGAGGACATGCAATCCAGGAGCTATTGTCTTTGCACCTCTCCCTACTATCATCACCATCACCATATCATTATTCAGGTAGGTATGCAAAGGGCAAAGAATCCACAAACGATACAAAAGTTACCCTGGGTTAGACACACCTGAGTTCCACTGAGAAACCACTATGATTGATTTTTTTTTTTTTTTTTTAAAGACAGAGCCTTTCTCTGTTGCCCAGACTGGAGTGCAGTGGCGCTATCTCGGCTCACTGCAACCTCTGCCTCCTGGGTTCAAGCGATTCACCTGCCTCAGCCTCCCGAGTAGCTGGGACTACAGGTGCATGCCACCATGCCAGGCTAATTTGGGTATTTTTAGTAGAGACAAAATAGCTGGGAGGATCGGTTGAGCCTGGGTTTCACCATGCTGGCCAGGCTGGTCTTGAACTCCTGACCTCAAGTTATTTGCCCATCTAGGCCACCCTAACTGCTGAGATTACAGGCTTCAGCCACTGCGCCAGGCCCACTATCATCTTATAAGCATCTCCTGGACATATCTTCCAGGGCACCCAATCCACGAAGGATATGCTGTTTTAAGAATGCATCACACCTTCCCAAACCAGGTGCAGTTCACGTGTCAGGAATCTCTTTGCCATACCCTATATGGTGGCTGTTAATATTGACATTTCACTTTAGATTTCAGATGAGTCAGAGCTAAACATTAAACCAAGGTCATTTATTCACAGAAAGAGAAACGGTTTAGGGAACCTTTTACAATGCACCTGGGTCCTCATCCCAACTCTGCCTGTAGGGTGCCAGTGGTCTTAGGCCTACAACTTAAGCCTCTTAAGACTCACCACCAACAAGCAATGACTGGGTTTATTGGATTGACTGCTAAGATCCTTTGAAGCCTTTTAAAAAATAAGAACTAGGCCCTGAAACGAAGAAGAAAATATCTCCTGCCTTCTAAGAAATAAGACAACAAAGATATAAAATCAAATATATATATATATATATATATATATATATATATTTTTTTTTTTTTTTTTTGTGAGGGGCTCTGACTCTGTTGCCGAGGCTGAAGTACAGTGGCACCACCTCGGCTCACTAAAACCTGCGTCTCCCGGGTTCAAGCAATTCTCCCACCTCAGCTTCCCAAGTAGCTGGGATTACAGGCGTCTGCCACTACGCTCAGCTAATTTTTGTATTTTTAGTAGAGGTGGGGTTTTGACACGTTGGCCAGGCTGGTCTAGAACTCCTAACCCCAGGTGATCCACCCACCTCAGCCTCCAAAAGTGCTGGGATTACAGGCACGAGCCACGGCCCCCGGCCTAAAGTATCATTTAAATAGCATGGAAAACTTGTTTTGATCATAGGACAGTTAAAGAAAAGCTGTCTCATTCAATCCCCTTTGTTTTATGCATACAGATTGAGATCGGAAATGGTTAAACATTCTTATCAGAGGTGATAAAATGAGTATTAAACTCTACATTGCTGGCACACTCAGTATCATTTAAATCTGACTATTTTGTACAGTACATAATATTGTCCGTTTTAAAAACAAGTAATTAGGTGCCCGGCCAAATTTCTACTTTTCAAGAAAAAGAAAAGTATGAGAACACTTTTTTGTGAAAGCCCTCAAAGACCTGCTGGGTGCGGTGGCTCACACCTGTAATCCCAACACTTTGGGAGGCTGAGGCGGGCGGATCACGAAGTCAGGAGTTCGAAACCAGCCTGGCCAACATGGTGAAACCCCGTCTCTACTAAAAATACAAAAATTAGTCGGGCGTGGTACCATGTGCCTGGAGTCGCAGCTACTCGGGAGGCTGAGGCAGGAGAATCGCTTGAATCTGAAAGGCGGAGGGAGGCAGAGGTTGCTGTGAGCAGAGATCGTGGCACTGCACTCCGATGAAGCAAGACTGTCTCAAAACACACACACACACACACACGGAATAGAATAGAGAGAACCCAAAAGTAAATCTACACATTTACAGTCAACTAATTTTTGACAAAGGTGCCAAGAACACACAGTGGGGAGAGAACAGTGTCTTCAATAAATGGTTTTGGGGAAACAGAATGAATATTCACATGTAGAAAAATGAAAGTAGACCCTTATCTTTCACCATATACAAAAATTAAACAAAAAAAATGGATTAAAGACTTAAGCATAAGACTCAAAACTAGAAAATTACTAAAAGAAAACTCAAGAGGAACACTTCCTGACAGCAATCTGGGCAAGGATTTTCTTTGGATAGGACCTCAAAAAGTACAAGCAACGAAAGCAAAAATAGACAAATGGGATTACATAAAACCAAAACCTTCTGCACAGCAAAGAAAGCAATAAACAGAGAAAAACAATAACCTACAGGAGAAAATATTTGCAAATTATGTATCTGACAAATAATATCTAAAAGAACTTAAGACAACTCAATAACAAAAAATCAAATAACCTAATATTTAAAATCGGCAAAATGGCCAGGCACAGTGGCTCATGCCTGTAATCTTAACATTTTAGAAGGTGAAGGCTGGAGAATCGCTTTAGGCCAGGAGTTTGTGACTAGCCTGGGCAACATATGGAGACCCCATCTCTATAAACAATTTAAAAATTAAATAAAAATAAATAAATGGCAAAAGACCTGAATAGACATTTCTCAAAAGACATGCAAATATCAACGGGTTTATGAAAGAATGTTCGACATCACTAATCATCAGGAAAATCAAAACCACAATGAAATATTATCTCACCCCAGTCAGTATGAACATTATCAAAAAGACAAAAGACAACAAGTGCTGCTGAGAATATGGAGAAAAGAGAATCCTTAACACACTGTTGGTGGCCATTACTGAAAATAATATGAAGGTTTCTAAAAAAAAATTTAAAACAGAAATAACCACCATATGATCCAGCAATCCCACTACTGGGTAAATGTTGGTCAAAGGATACATAATTACAGTTAGACAAAAAGAATAAACTTCAAGAGATCAATTATACAGCAATTTGACTAAAGTTAAAAATGGCATATTCTTGAAAAATGTAGAGTAGATGTTATGTGCTCTTACCACAAAATGGTAACTATGGGGTAATGCATTTATTAATTCACTAGATTCAACCATTCCTCTCTCTATATGTATACATACATCATATATATACATACACATCATATATATATACATCTCATATATATAATCATATATATATACACACATCATATATATGGATACATATATATGATATATGATATATATATGATAGGGTCTTGCTTTGTTGCCCAGGCTAGAGTACAGCAGTGTTATCATAGCTCACTGCAGCCTTGACCTCCACCTCCCCAACCCCAAGTTCAAAAGATCCTCTTGACTCAGCCTCCCAAGTAGCTGCCCAGCAAGACCAGCTAATTTTTAACTTTTTGTAGAGACGGGCCCTCACACTGTTGTCCAGGCTAGTCTTGAACTCCTGGGCTCAAGAGATCCTCCTGCCTTGGCCTCCTGAAGTGCTGGGATTACGGCATGAGCCACCACACCCAGCCAATATATGTATTTCAAAAGATTTGTGTTGCACATGACAAAAACATAATGTCGTATGTCACTTTTTTAAAATTAAAAAGAAAAAAAAAAAAGTTTGGCCAGATACGGTAGCTCACACCTCTAATCCCAGTGGTTTGGGACGCTGAGATGGGAAGATCGCTTAAGCCCAGGAGTTCGAGACAAGTCTGGGCAACACAGCAAGACCCCATCTCTATAAAAAAAATGTTAAAAATTAGCTGGGCAGGGTGGCATGCACTTGTAGTCCCAGCTACTTGGGAGGCTGAGGCAGGAGGACCCCTTGAGCCCAGGAGTTTGAGGTTGCAGTGAGCCATGATGACAGCTCTACACTCCAGCTTGGGCAACAGAGTAAGACCTTGTCACTTTGGGGAAAAAAATAATAATAATAATAATAATGATTTTTAATTAAAGTATCACTGTAAGGAGGAGTGAGGCGGTCTACATCCATATTGTCTTACTGCCACAGTGCCATGGGCAGGATGGACTCCATACAGTAAGGATCTTGGGCCCCCACCAGAGTACAGTGTAATGCCATCAACCAGTAAGTACACTTTTTAACCATCTACCTGACCCAGCTTCCAATTACTTTTGACCTATAGTATTTCATACAACTAACTACTTCCTGCAATACTATATGGATGTAACTGTTAAAAAAACTGATGATACTTTTAAAAATCAGGAACTTCACCTGATGGAGTCAGGTCAAATTTACTTAATAACATAATCAGTATTTATAAGAGAGACTGAAATTTTAAAATACATCATTTTTCTCCTTTTGGAAGTTTACCAAAAAGTCTTGGAAGGCACAAAAACACTAGTCATTATCATAGTCATATTGTGCTGCTTACTGCTATTCACTACCCAACCCAAAAGCCTGAGGGTCACACCCCTTTGCTCTGCCTCCTTTGTCCACCACAACCGCAAAATTTGGTCAATTCTTCCCCAAATCTCTCTATGCTGCCTACTGACCCCCCTTCAATCACACTATCCGTACGCCTCATTCCACTCTTTCCCCGCAACTTTGAGGTCTACAGCCCAAATTGTTTTTAATGCATCCCAAAATTTATAATTGAACATCATTGGATATCTAAAATTTAAGCTTTTGATTTTTTTAGTTTTGAAGCAAGAAGTAGTAATGGGTTTCTTTGTTGAGGCACTGCTTAATTAACTATTCATTTAACAACTCTTCAGATGCCTTCAGCCTCCTTGCTAACATAATTCTAATTTTCTTCAAAGCAGCAACAGGCCCAGATAAATACTTGCTTTCCTAACCTTTCTTGCAGCCAGAGGCAGCCATATTGATCAGTTCTGGCTGGTAAGGCCTCAGAAGTCCGCTAGGGAAGGAATGAGGAGGCCAGGGGAAGCTTTTGCTTTAATGAAAATAAAGAACAGGTGCAGCACTTCTTCCTGCTTAAATATGATGCCTCCTGCAGCAGTAGCCATTTTCCAACCCAGGCAATAAACCTGATGGAATTCATCACACTAAGGGCAATGGAATTTTGAAAAACAGTACCTTCCTGTCTCACAATTTGTTTAAAATGGTATTTTACTTACTTGAAACCAACTAGACATCATCATTCTCCCCCCAACCCATGTCACACAATGCATTGCAAATTTTCTATGTATAAATTTAATTCATCTCCCACCCCAAACTTGTTCCTCTTCTCGTATTTCCTACCTTGGTGGATGGCGCCACTTTCACCCAACTTGTCACCCAAACTAGAGATATGGCTCCTTCTCCTCCCTCATTTCCTGTAAGTAAGCACTAAGCACCATGACCTTCTATTTCTAGGATGCAACTTGACATGTGTATGTTTTTAGTTTCCCAAACTCCTCTTACATTAGCAGACTTTGGAAATGCTGTATCCTCTGGCTAAATTTTAGATCACTCACATCCTACTAACCATTGTGGATATCCATTTTACATGCCTGTCTCCCTTCACTAGAAGGTATGTATCTTGAAAGATGCCTTATCCAGCTTTGTAACTTGAATGCCGAGAACATATGGGATAGAATAAGAACTACAATAATACTGTTACTCTACCTTCCACTGAGAATCAAACAACAAGCTGGTTATTTAACCTCTCTAAACCTCAGTTTTCTCATCAGTAAAACAAGATTGTAATGGTATCTTCTCTCAGAGGAAAGTTATGTTAACTAAATGAGATAATGCATTATCAAGCACGTAATAGTACCTGGGAAATAAAAAGCACTTAATAAATGGTAGCTGTTGCTATTTTTCCTAGATTTTCTATATGATGGGAAACACTGAACTGTCCTTTACCAGAAGTACAAGATTTGCTGAAATAAACTGTCAATCCACCCAGTCTGAAAGTCCAGAATGCTTTATTTTCTGTGCTTAGGAACATTATGCAGTTTATCTTATAAAAACAACATGACCCGGTTTCTAAACACACTGCTATTGGCATTCCGAAAATGGGGTAACGATTCTAGAATAAATACTGAATATAAATGAGAAGGGAGAAAAAAGAATTTGCAGGAGTGGGTCAAGATTATGGCTTTGAAGAAATGATGCCCATTTTTAACTAACATCACAACCAATAATCTATAGTGGGTACTGGATTAATCAAATCTCCACTATTTAAACAAACATCAGTCTAGTATTATTATTCCTGTTCCCTGTCTTCCAAATAGTAGCTGCGAAGCAATGAAACTATTGCCTAGAATAGCAACACTGAATTCCTGGGAAAGATATTTTCAGCAACAGCAAATAATGGGTAAATTTAATAAGGCTTCCATTAAAGCCTGCTCCATAATTACACAGTATTTTAAAATAGTACCTTTATTTTGGTATTGAAAGTCATGCAGATTGCTGAATTATCTGCACAGTCTAAAATTTCCCTTTTAGATATGACATCAAAATAATGTTAAAACAGTCATAGAAAATACCAGTTTCCCATTCAGCGTAGTTCCTTATAGGCAGCATAAGCTCTCGGGTCTCCCAGATTGTTTGCTACACAGGGAAATCTAATGTGCTCTATAAATTCTATTAATATGCATCTTTTCTAGTGCAGTAATGAAAATGTTAACACTTTGATTCAGTCTTGACTTCAAATTCCACTAGTACAGTGACTAATCTTCTAATTTGAAAGAATTCAACAAATCTTACTTAGAGCTTTAATAAACTCTACTTCTATGCCACTGATTGGGAGAAATATAAAGTAAAACTGGCGATTTCTTTCCAAGGGCAAAGAAGCAGTATTAAAGAGCAGAATGGGTTCAATGGGAAGGAAAAAAGGTGAATGTCAACCAATAACCACTGAACATTCTGACCCCCTCAATTTGCTATTTTTATACTATGCAAGGTAGTAAGAAATCAGAAACCAGGAGTCTATCGTAGGTAGTAAGAAATCAGAAACCAGGAATCTAGGGCCAATGGCCATTTATAAATCTTTTATAGGTAGTATACGAATTGTGACTTTCTTTCTTTACCTCACCTACCATTTTATCCACTCTTCTCAGCCAGAGACTCAGGACATATTAGTAGAAAGCTCAAGCAATGACTACCCACATTCTAAGAAACTAGTTCTATTCCATGCGAATATAGAAGTTCCAGATCCCAGAGTCTGTTATTTCAAAATCACTCGATCTTTTCAAAGTCTCTAAAGAGTTCTTGAACATTCATTCATTCATTAACTCATTTAAGAGCCTATTTAAGGACAAGCACTGTGAACAAACAACTATACGTCTTTCATGCCCTCATCGCTGAGTAGCTTTAACATTGAGCCTAATGACTCAAAATGACCTAATGAGGCCCTTTTCTCATCAAAGCTAAAAGTGTGACCACGGTATTTTTATCCAAAGGCATGACTAGATTCCTGAAAACTTAAAATGCAGCTTCTTATACTCACCCTTTCACTGATCAAAACAAAGCCCACAACGGAAGGAAGAAGAAAGGAAATAAAAAGACAGACATTAGGAAGACTTTAAAGAGAATCCATTTGTGAATTCCCTTCTTTATGAGGCTTAGTTGCATGTAATGCTGTCAAATATCATAGTTCTTCATTCATTTAATAACTAGTTACTGAATGTGTACTATTTGCCATGCTTCATTTCAGATGCTAAGAACAACAGTCAAGAAACCACCCTGAAGTTTGTATTTTAATGGGGGAGTAGAGACAAAATGAATACATTATAATATATGGCAAGTGTCGTATTTTGTCAGTTTCTCAAACTGAACTTTTATAAAATCAAGAGATACGATTTAGCATTGTAACCATTCAGGCATATTGCCTGCAAACCAGACAGCAACTCCACATAATAACTCAAGAAAAATGGGACCTATAGAAAGTATAAGCTCATAAAAACAAAGAAAAACCTGGATAATCAGGTTTTTTTTGTTTTTTGTTTTTGAGACGGAGTTTCACTCTTGTACCCCAGGCTGGAGTGCAGTGGCATGATCTCGGTTCACTGTAACCTCCGCCTCCTACGTTCAAGCACTTCTCCTGCCTCAGCATCACGGGTAGCTGGGATTACAGGCACCTGCCACCACACCCGGCTACTATTTGTATTTTTAGTAGAGATGGGGTTTCACCATGTTGGCCGGGCTGGTCTCCAAACTCCTGACCTCAGGTGATCCACCCACCTCAGCCTCCCAAAGTGCTGGGATTACAGGCGTGAGCCACCGCACCTGGCTGATAATCAGGTTTTAAAAGAAAAGAAACCACAGCAGTTCCACGGGTGAAGAATATTTACACCCTACCCAATTTGATCCTGGAACCTTTTCCACAACTTGTCATAAAATATGGTCCCATCTCTTTTATTTTTCCAATCGATGGCTGGATTCCTATATAATTAGGGCTTCTTTTGATTTTGTTTAGATAAGTAAATAGACATGAATGGTTAGGGGAAGGGGTGTTTTGAATCCTGAGGCAGAGAAACCTACATAGAATGGTTATTCATATACTGTCTTTGTTTCTTAACTGTCCCGCAACAGAAATTGTTGAAATTTGCTGAACAAACAGTGACCATTCACTACATTGTGATACACTGCTGGTCCAGATCCCAGTCTAGGCAACAACACCAATTACCAATTTTGCAGATTATTTTAGATTATACTTCTGTGACCATTTAATGTTCCTCCATGATCAACTGGCATACTTGCGTGGCTAGAAGCTCCAGAATCAACCACACGACACGAAGAAACATTCCAAAGAATCCTTGGTCCTGTGTATTGAATTAGTGCTCTATACCAACCTCACCCATTTTCTACATGGTCATTTTATTGTAATGCAACCACTGCCCTTGGTATTAGTTACTTCAAATTTCAGGGAGAAAGAGTTGGGATATCCTCCTTTTTGCTAACAGAAAGCCCTTGGGGACTCGCTCATCTAAAAATACTGCGTAAGGTGAATCTAGTTATACTCCAGCAGGTGTCTCACCAACCTTTATTTAAATAAGAGGGCCATTTTCCAACTGCATCATCTCTAAACAGCAAACATAACTATATAGAGCCTACTTCTGGAGCACAGAATTGATAACCTTAACTTCTCATTACTTTCCAACATGCACTCCTCCCTGTGATAGTATAGGTCTTTACCTCCAGTTATGCCTTCTTTAATTCGGCATTCCTGTTCTAATGGCTTTCCCTTTTCCTCTTCTCCTATCTAGAGGCTGTCTACCTTTCAAGATGCAGATGACCTCCTTCCTGATGAAAGCTTTCTCTTACTACTCTGTCTTACCAGGATGTTTCTAAAGAATGCTGATAACATACCAGTCATTTTATAGTGTTAGAGAACAAGGTCTAGACAGGTTAAATAACTTACCCCAAATCATACAACCAGCTAATGGCAAAGGCTGGACTACAACCCAGACCTTCAAACTCTAATTCCCAAGAGTCTTCTAACTTCCTCACTCTAACATTATTTCCCACACTAATCTGACTACGTTCCCTTACACTTAAGATTTTCCAGTGGATACTCTACACCTAGATATTTTATCCAAAGTCAATCCATCCTTAAAATCAAAGGTCACGTGCAATCTTTTCCACTCAAACTTCCTTTTCGCAGCTTTAACTCACTGATTTTCCTCTTTCCCAAATTTACTTTTTTTATTTTTAGACTAGTCGAGTGCAATAGTGAAAAGGGGGGCAACAGAATAGAACAAGTTCGATCTGTTACTGACTACATAATCAATTGAGTTAACTCACTACCTTCGGACCAGCTCAAATTTACAGTATTTTAATCACTATCACATAGTGTAGCATCTTTGTACTTCATGTTGTCTCATTTACTCCTAACAACTTGAAAAGACAGGAATTTACTGGTCATATTTTATACATGGCCCTAAAATGTTAACCAATTTGCTTAAATTTATACAATTATTATACAGCTACACAAAAGAGCTGAGATTTAAAGCTGTGTCACTAATCCAAAGTCTACATTCTTTAAATACTGCATACTACAATTCCTTTCTAAGAGCCAGGACTCAGGACTCCTGATTCTTGGTCCAGAATTAGTTCCATTATAACCTACGGCTTGTCATAGAATTCTAACATTTTCATTCCTATAAAATCACAGTTAAACATAATCCAAATCTTGTCCTCAGGAAACAAACATAAACTGAGGAATGTTCTTTAAAACTATCGATGTCATAAAAGACAGAATGGCTGAGGAACTATGCCAGATTAAAGTCTCAAGAAATGTGACAACTAAATTCAACATATGCAGATAACTGTTGAAGCTAACAGGATACGGTAATTCATTATTCTTTTATTATTTTCAAATTTGTCATAATAAAAATTTAAAAATAAAGTCCATTGAGAAATCTTGCTGGATGTCAATCTTTTTCTTCCCTTCCATAGCCTATCCATAGCCTATCTCCTCTAGAAATAAGTCCCAATTTGACTTCACACGCATCTTTCTTTCAAACATTAGCCTCCCTTCCAAACAATGTGCAATTTTTTTAGCCAGACTAAATTCATGCAGATTATAAATTACATGCATTAACGTTCTCTTTAAATACTAAACTCCCTGAGGGAAAAGGTCTTATCTGGTAATTAACATAAATTTTGTAGTCTAAAAGGATTAAGTAACATCTTTCATCATTGGCTCTGAGCTCCGCCTCTTTTTGGCACATGGGAAATGAAACTCACAATCCCATCGAGGCTGTTCCTTGTGAGGTTTACAGAAGGCAAGCCTGTTTCCATTAAGGCTACCTTCATGTCTGACACGTTTAGATACTGCAAGTGGTTTAGAATGTTCTTAGCTAAAGATTTAAAAAAAAAAATCCATGAAACTTCCAACTAATAAAAAGAGCCATTAATTACTGGAAACCTAGAATTACTAGAAGTCCTAGAGAGAATGGGATTGAAAGAATCACAATGCAAGAGCAACCCTCATCCCAATCCTACAAATAAATACATTTAGGATGATCCCAGCATTCCAATTAACTGATGTGAAGGTGAAACCATGAAGTGTTGAAATCTAAAGTATTAATAAGCAACGTTTTATTCTATTAATTAAAAGTACATTAATCAATAATTTCTACAATGTTGATTAATTCACCAAAATGCTGCTTCTGAGCATTACTGTCAAATTTACTTATTACTTAAGACTGTGTTTACTAAATGGAATACATTGTTAGGTACTATAGAGTACCTAACAATTAAAATATTCCCTCCTCCTCTAATACATAACTTATATAAGACAGATAAAAAAAAAAAAAAACACTGTAAGCCTGTGTCAAAGCATCTAGGAATTCAGTTAAGAATGTCACGCCTGATTGGGGTCATAGAAGAGGTGATGTAATAGAACTAAGAGAAGAGCATCAAGAAGTTCAGCATGTACCCTGAAAATTGCAAAGTAATGACCGAAATCCCTTAACATTATCATGAGATCTGCCTCTAACACAGATGTCAAATTTTACTCTATACCTCTTGTGCACTTGAAGAAAGATATCTGACCTAAAATACTGCAAGTCCACCAACAACTGAAGCCACATTGTTGGAAATTCAGTTTTACTGGGCTAGCTTTCATAATGTTATTAAAGTCGAGTGTGAGGAAAAGCAGAGTTCTTGGATCAATGGCTTCTAGCAGATAGGGCTAAATAAGGCAGTTGCAAAGAGCAACAGGTTCTTTAAACAGTGGAGATAGCTGCAAATCAAAGCACAGAAGATCACATAAGTGCAGAAAAGACTCATGATTAAATATTAGTCGTTTCAGGCTCATCCACAAATACCAAACAATGAGCATCAACAGTATCTTTATCTTCCAACTCCAACAGTGTTTTAATAATGTGGCTTATTACAGTTGAATGTGGAGGTACTTTTTAGCACAATGAATCCCTCTCTAAATTCAAGTAATAGAACTGTTAAACATTATGAAAAAAGTCAGCCACAGAAAACCAAACATCATGAGCAATATTCTCCCCACATTTTGTCTTGTGTCGCACACATGTGTCTTGTATCTTTTAATTGAGAGGAGGGGAAATAGAAGTCTTTTGCTAACTCCTATAAGAAATCTGCAGAGAAACCTGTGAACAGCAGCAATCTTTAAGTGGTCCATTCAAAAACAGACAAAAAGAAAATCTTGATTAGTATATTGTAATAGTTTTTTTAAAAATGTACAGTAACTTCAAGAGAGAACTCATATCATACTAAAAACAGTATTTACCTTCCTAATCATAAAGTACATACATTAACAAAAGTTTAAAATTCAAGCCTTAAAAAGTTATATAACATCTTCATATTAATTGATTTACATCACTCATTGAGCATACCTACACCAACATCACTGATAAGAAGCTTTCATTTGGAGCCAATTATTTCCAACCAAAGAGATTCAGACTATGCTCAAATCTTTAACAGAGAAAACCCCTACAATTGGGCAAACAAGATAAATATTTTAAACATGGAAGAGGCTAAGCTCAAAAAGGTTTTCCTATTTAAAAGATTATTCCAAAAATCTCACTTCAAAGAAAAAAGATACCTAATTTTCTCATGCTTCCAATTCTGCTTTAATATTTTACTTTGAAGTTTCAGAGCATTATAGCTAAAAGATTCTCAAAATATTCTGACTGAAAACCAGGTGACTGAATTCATTCATTTGCCTCAATCAGATTATATAATCAGATTTTTCCAAACCTTAAAACATATGATTCAAACATACCCATCAAAAAGTACAAATACGCACTAGTACATTTTCTCCTGAGTACATTTTGAACAATCTACTCAAGTGGATCATTTACAAAATAAGAACATAATTCCCTGAATCAGTAAATTTTATTTTCATGAAAGGATGACAAAGAAATTCCATTTACACTATCACGATTTACATTTTCCTACAATTCATGCAGCTTTCTTCAATTCACAATCTACAAACCACAACAATGCACAAATTTGATGTTAGAGGATACTTTAATGTTTAGTTCTCATCTCAACAGTCACTGTTGCTAGTGTCTCTCATTCTCACTCTTCACTGTTACTTAAAGAACAAAGAACTAAAGAAGCCAGAAAGAACTAGATCAAGCGATGAGACCAATTTTCAGGGTAAGGCATAATAACATTAGCTAATCAAAAACTGGAGTATTTCTATCATTTAATCCTGCAAGACAATACCTCCTGTTTTCCCTCACTTTCCTTCCAATAACTTGACAGAAGTCTGGGGAAGGATGGATCCCAAGCAGAAAACCTTCACAAATGTGAAAGAAAATGGAAATCCTAGCATAGTCACATGACTAACTAGAAATCCCAGAACTCTGTCAACAACCTTTGTTTTCAATGCAGAAATCATTTCTGTACTTTTAATGACCCATCATTCAACCTCACTTGAGCTCCTCCAATAATTGGCACTACTTTACCAAGTTATTAGACAGTTCTATTAGTAATTATTTGAAAAATCATTCTTCTCTATGATTCAAATATGTCTAACTATTAACTATTTCTTACGTGCTATAGGGCTAAATAAACAAACTCCTCAGCTTTAAATGAAAATCTTCAGCTACTGGAAGGCCTTTCTCCCATTCTCTCATTCTCATTTAAAAAATGTGTGACCTATCAATTTCAAAAACCTATTCCAGTTTCTCCTTAAAGACTCCTAAAAGGGAACACAGTGCTTAACTCACGGCATCTTTTTCTTCAATACTTAATAAGTTTATTCTCTTAATTGACAATGCAATGAGAATAGTAAAACTCAAAATCTCAACTGCTAGTAAGATCTAGAAAGTCTAGATAAAAATTCATAAAAATCTGTCACTGTAACTGAGGCTGACAAATGGTGTTACGACAACTGAACAGCTAAATGCAAAAGAAATGAATTTAGAACCCTACTTCACACCATATAAAAAATTATCACAAACTGGGTTATAGAACTAAGAGCTAAAACTCTGAAACACTTAGAAGAAAACATACAGGTCAATCTTTATGACCTTGGATTAGGCAATGGTTTCATAGATATGCCACCAAGAGTACAAGAAACAAAAGAAAAAAACAATAAACTGAGATCATAGAAATGTAAAACATTTTCATTTCAAAAGACAACATCAAGAAAGTGAAAACCCACAGAACAGGACAAAAGTTGTGTAAATCATATCACAGATATGAATCATAACATTTGCATCCAGAATATATGAAATACTACAACTCAATAAAAGACAAGCCAATTTTGAAATCTGAACAGATACCCCAAAGAGTAAAATACAAACGGCCAATAAGCATATGAAAATACGCTCAACATCACCAGCTATCAGGAGAAATGCAGAACAAAATCACAATGAGGTGCCATTAGGATGGCAATCAACAAAAAAACAGTGATAAGGGTTGACAAGGATATGAGAAAGATGAGAAACTGAAACCCTCATTCACTGCTGGTGGAAATGCAAAATGCTGCAGTCCTTTGGAAAACAGTCTGGCCGTTCCTCAATTATTAGCATTTAATTAGAAATAATGAATTAACAGGATTTTAAAAAACATTTAGTATAAAACTGACAAGTGTCTTTTTTATTTCACAAGAATGAAAAATATACATCAGGACATGTTTCATATATGAATATATATATAACCAACGACTACAATAACTCATTTTTAAATTCTAGGAGGCAATAAAACAGCCAGTATACTTGACGTGCCATGGAGAAGTGCTGGCAATTTTCTTTATGATTCACTAAGACAATTAAAATAGCTCATTTATTTATTCAATTTCCAAGTTTTCAAATTTCCAAGTAAAAAAATTACCCTCCAAACTGACAAAGATTTTATATTTCAAATAGTAAGCTAAGGAATGACTTTTAATCAAATTATGGAATGGGCTATTAATCATTATTAGCCAATACAGTTGATACAGATACCACATTTCTTTTGTTTTTAATTTTTTGGAGTACACAGTAGGTGTATATATTTATGAAGTACACAAGACATTTTGATACAGGCATGCAGTGCGTAATAAAAAATATGAAACACTTTGTAAAACTGTGTGTCATCCTTGTGCAGGGGACATGCTAATCTTTGTATCATTCCAATTTTAACATATGTGCTGCCAAAGTGAGCATCAGTTACCGCATTTTTAAAAAGGTAGTCATTAAGTAGAAGTGGCTCTGTCAAAATAAGACCTGTTAAAGCACAGGGTGCTGAATCCCACACCACTTTCTGACTCAACGGCTAGATATGGGATTCAGCCAAGAATCTGCATTTCCAACAAGTTAGCAGGAGATGTTGATGCTGCCAAGGATCACACTTTGAGAACTACAATACTATGCTGAATCATCTAACACAACAATATTCTTTTTAAGACCAAAAAATGGTAATATTAATAATCCAATCATTTGTTAAACATCGGTTATGTAATAAAATTAAGATACATCAGAGAAGCTTTAAATCATCAGGACTTTCCCAGTGTTGTTTGCTCCAATTAGTACATCTTCTACTAATATGTCCATAAGATGCCTTTCAAGTCCTACATCCATGAAGCCTTCTGATTCCTCCAGCTAGAAATAACTGCTTATTCCTTTGAACCTAAGTCATCACTTGTAACACCCATAAAATACTGCCAACTTGTATTACTTGTTCAGCTATTCACATTCAAGACTTTCTCACCTACTAAACTAAGTTCCATGGTAGCCTACTAACAAGCATTTTCATATCCCTCAGAATTCTTGGCACTGGCTCTCCATAAATATTCAATAAATATGTCTTTAGCAAATAATTAAAATCAATATATCCTTGATTTCATCCCCCATTTTCAGCCAAAAAAAAAAAAAGGGCACAAGTCAAGCTTTTACAGAGAAATGCCCAAATCAAATCCTTTTCAAGTGACTGTACATAATGTACGGTTGTAATATTTAACCATCTAAGTTTAGGCTTAAGGAATAAGAGCATTAGAATGGCAGTTTTAGCAAAACCCAGTTTCAGCAAAAACAACATTCAGTTGGTGAACTAACCTACAGTTCTCTTCTCATAAAATGCGTTCAACAATACAAAAGTTTGATTGTTTTAAAGAGTAATCTGCCACAGATTATAATCAATGTGGAACCTGCTGCCCAAGTATAATTCTTTCCATAATGTATTATTACATTAAAAAACCCTTTGTGTTATTCTATGTATCTCAACATACTGCCACCTGACCTACATACAGAAGCTCAACTTGTATATCTAGTTCCCAAGTCCCTTGAGTCATTTCTTTTATGGTATCTCTAACATCATATAAAACAGCACAGAATTGCAACATCTTAAAAGTGTTTAAAATTATCTGTAATTCTCAGTATCATTAAAAATTCTTCTACGATATAACTCCTTCTACTATCCTTTCATCTGTCTGCCCTTTATAGAGTGTGAAGAAAAAAAGAACACAGGGGACCTAATGTTATTTATCTCCAAAACCTAAAAACACAGTATCTGGTATAGCAGGTGCTCAAGAAACACTTTGGATTGCAATCATTGTTGTTACTTGCTATCTTGTATACTATTCTTCACACAGCTCATTAGACTACTAGTATCAACATCTGGCAATTTAGGGAAGACCTGAGATCTATAACAGCTGCAGATCAAGTCCTAAGTACAAGAAAAGGGTATCAAACATGCAGTTCTATTTAATCTTCAATGGACCTGAAAGTTAGAAGAGACAAGGAAGAATTCACTGTCTGAAACACTATTGAGTCACTTTAAGGAGTTTGGGAGGTTTTTTGTTTAAACATATACCGGCAGTTCACATTTTGGATGGTAGTGTGGGAATGTAAAAATCACCAAGATTTGAAACTGAACAAGGTGATCTTAATCAGTGTGAATTGTTCCATTACTTTAAAAACTTGGTCAAGATATTAAAAACATTTACTATCAGTTATCAACGTATAATCAAAACATTGTAAAACGGGCCGGGCGCAGTGGCTCACGCCTGTAATCCCAGCACTTTGGGAGTCCGAAGCAAGCAGATCACTTGAGGTCAGGAGTTCGAGACCAGCCTGGCCAACATGGTGAAACCCCCATCTCTACTAAAATGCAAAAATTAGTTGGGCGTGGTGGTGCACACCTATAGTCCTGGCTACTCGGGAGGCTGAGGCAGGAGAATCACCTAGACCCAGGAGGTGGAGGCTGCAGTAAGCCAAGATCACACCACTGCACTTCAGCCTGGGTGACAGAACAAGACTCCGTCTCAGGAAAAAAAGACAAAAAAAAAATCATTCTTTTAGTACACTGTAATTTAAAACATTAGAACCGATGTGAACTGTTTTATTTCTTGGTAAATGGCTTATTGAGAACTTTGAATAGCAACTTTTGTTCTCATATAACTTATGACACAGAGAGCAAGCATCTTTTCTGCTTTTTTGGAGACAGGGTCTTTCTCTGTCATCCAGGCTGGAGTGCAGTGGCACAAACACAGCTCCCTGCAGCCTGGATCTCTCAAGCTCACGCGATCATCTCACCTCAGTCCCCCAAGTAGCTAGGACAACAGATGCATCCCACCACGCCTGGTTAATTTTTGTATTTTTAGTAGAGATGGGGTTTTGCCATGTTGCCCAGGCTGATTGAGAACTCCTGAGCTCAAGCAATCTGCCCCCGTCGTCCTCCGAAAGTGCTGGGATTACAGGCGTGAGCCACCGTGCCCAGCCTGAGCCACCAAACTTGGCCACTTATGACACAGAGCAAATATCTTTTCTATTTCTTGGGGAAATTTCTTGGGGCATTTTCACACAACTCTCTAAAGCTTCTAACATTTTATCCTTGAATGTTGAATGTCATGAAATATCTCTGATAGAGTTCCTTTATTGTGAAGTTTTTGGCCAGTGACACTTCCTATGAGGCCATCGTCTTTTTCATCACAGCCACTTTCCTCATTTATGTCCATAAATTCACCTTCACTAAGTTTCTCCAGCTGCAGATTCTCGCAACACTCTCCCCATCAGCTATTTCTTCTATAACTCCACTTACACGTGATTCAAATTTCATGTTCAGCACGGTCATTTTTAGAGGTGGTTTTTGCACTTTAATCTTTGATGACATTAAAGTGTAATCTAAGGGCTATGGGATGCTCAAAAGACAGTAGGCCCACAGGAAAAAAACAAGTAATTGAGAAAAAAGGTAAATGGCCACAAAAAATTGTATTATACTTTTTTTAAAAATCCTTTATGGCAAGAACTATCATATGCAAAATCAAAAGCAGGACTAGATGAAGAAAACAATTACAACTCATATCTGAGACAATCAGCTTCCTTTACATGTAACGAGATCCAGAAGAAAATGATTCCCTACTCAAGGATACAGAATGTAAACAGCTTACAGAAAATAAAAATTTTAAAGCTTAAAACATTAAAAAGTGCTCAACCTCCTTGCAAGAGAAATGCAAATTAAGATTTCACTGAGAACTTCTGATACGATTTGGATGAATCTCAGTAAAATAAATCTCTTATAATGCTGAGAAAAACAAGCCATAAACAAGAGCACACACTGTATGTTTATATGAAACACAAGAATAATGAATAGATACTTTAAGTCAGGATAATGGTTACCTTTCCAGAGGCTGGGGATAGAGTAATGACTGGTATAGTGGTTACACAGGTTTGTCCAATTTGTGAACTTCACCATCTGTAGTCTGTACCTTTTAATGTATTCTGCATATCATAATGAAAAGCATATCTTAAAAAAAAAGTACAAGATACCGTTCTTTATCCACCAGTTTGGCAAAGATAAGAAGTTTTATAACACTCTATAGTGTTATAACACACACTGGTGGTAGAAATATCAATAACTACAACCTCCATGAAGACAACCTGGCAGTGAAATTTAAAAATGCACATATCCAGCAGGGTGCAGTGGCTCACGCCTGTAATCCCAGCACTTTGGGAGGCCGAGGCAGGCAGATCACCTGAGGACAGGAGTTTAAGACCAGCCTGGCCAACACGCCAAACCCGTGTCTGTACTAAAAATACAACAATTAGCTGGGCGTAGTGGCGTGCGCCTGTAGTCCAAGCTACTCAGGAGATGGAGGCTGGAGAATCGCTTGAACCCAGGAGGCGGAGGTTGCAGTGAGCCGAGATCACGCCACTGCACTCCAGCCTGGGCGACAGACTGAGACTCCATCTCAAAAAAAAAAAAAAGAAAGAAAGAAAAAGAATAAATAAATACAATAAAAATGCACATATCCTTTGACCGTGAAATTCTACTGTGGGGAACTTATTCATCAAAACGTTTGCACACATGCAAAATAACTTATATACAATGTTATTCATTGCTGCATTATAAAAAGAAACAACCAATTCTCCATCAACAGGGGCCTGGTAAAATTATAATAAAGTATTATTCAGTCAAAAACAACAACAACAACAAAAACAAAACAAGAAACTCTTCAGATATCGATTTGGGAATGATCACCAGGAAAGACAGTTAGGCAATAAAAGCAGTGCATATAATATTCTACAACGTTTTTGGGAAATACATTGGGAGACAGCATATTACGTACTTTTCTGTATATAGTAACATCATCTCTGGAAGGACACATAAAAAACTAATAATACCCGTCACTCCAGAGAGGTGAACCAAGTGGCTAGGGGACAGATGTGGAAAGGTTTTTTGCTGTATACACTTTTGTACTTTTTAAATTTTGAACCATATAAAATGCTCAAGTGTTCAAAACAAGTTAACAAGTTAAAAAAATAATTACCTGAAAGGGAGGCAAAAACAGACCTGTAAAGAGATTATCAAAGCCCAGACTAAAACAATTGTTAACTCCTCAGAAAAGGTCCATCTAGAAATGTTTTGAAAGAAAAGGCCACCATATTTGGGGTTTAGAGGTACTGTGAAATTGGTTAAATTACTGAGCCGGACACAGAGGCTTGCACCTATAGTCCCAGCTGCTTGGGAGGCTGAGGTTAAGAGGATTGTTTGAGACAAGGGAGTTAGAGACCAGTCTGGGCAACATAGCAAGACCCTGTCTCTAAAATAAAAAATTTTAAAACGTACTGAGGCTTATCACGCAGTCAGTAGCACAATGGCAACAGAAACTAGGTTTCAGAGAATATATTGAGAACTTCTTCAGCAAATCGGGAATCCATGTCAAGCACAATGGCAACAGAAACTAGGTTTCAGAGAATATATTGAGAACTTCTTCAGCAAATCGGGAATCCATGTCAAGCGTAGGAGACACTTCAAAGAGAACATACTGAATGCCTAACTCTTCATTCAAAGACACATAGCAACACACACAAAAAAAGTCAAAAGCTATTTGCCTAATCATAAAGACCCTTAAGAGAGAGTCCAGGAAAAATAAAGAAATAGCAAGATGGGAAAGAGAATCACACTCACTTTTACACCCATTCCTTAACACTCACTGCCTCCTGAGCTCAATACTGCATAAAGTGCCTGGTCTTCCAAAGATACTTATTCCCACACCTAAAAGTTGAGAAAACAAAAAAAAACTAAATTAAAAAAACACATTGTCATTCTGAATATCTTTTTTTTTTTTTTTTTTGAGACAGAGTCTCACTCCGTTGCCCAGGCTGGAGTGCAGTGGCGTGATCTCGGCTCACTGCAAGCTCCGCTTCTCAGGTTCAAGTGATTCTCCCGCCTCAGCCTCCCAAATTACAGGCATGTACCACCATGCCCGGCTAATTTTTGTATTCTCAGTAGAGACAGGGTTTCACCATGTTGGCCAGGCTGGTCTTGAACTCCTGGCCTCGAGTGATCCACTCTCCTTGGTCTCCCAAAGTGCTAGGATCACAGGCGTGAGCCACCATACCCGGCCCTGAATATCCTTTGTCAAATCTTAAAACACATTAACGAATTCATCACATCTTCCAATAAAGACAAGATTCCTGCTCTACTGGCATTTACATTCTAGTGGAAGTTTAAAAAAAAAAAAAAAAAAGGAAACACAAAGCACTCTGATTGTTAACCCCAGAAGGCTGGAACTGTCCTGTGTACATTCCTGAAATAAGAGAGGTAATGGCATGGCACTGATACCTGGTCAAAGTACCAAACATACTGATTAATAATGTTGCTCTGAAACCATGAATCCCAAGAGCTATGGCCTGTCTGTACCGGCTTGTCAGCATTGTTTACTGTTAACAGTGAGACTGATGGTTTGCACCTGGTTTTCGTGAGCCCCTTGAGGTTTCTGCCATTAAGGCTGGTTATGTAGCAAAAATATGCCTATGTGGCCAGCAGGAATATAAGCCCCACTGAGATTCCACTATGGGATCCCTGGTTCCAAGGTGTTCTCTGCGCACATCAGTGATCCTGATCCAAGAAAGAAAGATATCCATATGGCCCTACAGAAGGGGGACAATTGAACCTCACACTTAGCTCCTTCAGGTCCACTGATGGGAGGCACCCTTTGCTTGTGATGTGCAACCTAACTTGAAAGCACTTGCTTTAAGTATCGTTTTTCAGCAATAAACCACAGATTGATGAGCACTGTTACTTTGGATCATGTGACTTTTCTTTAGCAATCAAACCTTGTCCAACTGCCACTGTTAACAGAGATGGGGGGAAAGAAAGGTTAACAGATTGTAATAACAGTGGTTAAAAAAATAAAACCGAATGATACGATAGTGGAAAGTCATAGAGACAAAATGGGATTAGAGAACATGGCCAGGAAAGGAGATGGGGAACATGAAATGAGGTACAAATGACAAGAATCCAACAAAGTGACAACCAGGGATAGGCTCTAAGGAAAGAACAAGTTTGATTCCCACAAAAGTAAGGGTGGCTACAGAGTGGCAAGCAATAAACAAATGGCAGGAAATTAAATCAGAGGCAGGCAGGGGCAGATCACAGAGAGCCTTATGAATTCAGATTTCCACCCAATAGCTTTCTTACTGTTCTTGATGCCTGTAACTGCTCACACCGCCCTTCACCCTCACCTCAACAATACATATACTACCCTCCAGAATGAATGCTCTGAGATAAATACAATCATATAATTTCACTACTTAAAATAAATGAATCGGCCAGGTGCGGTGGCTCACGCCTGGAATCCCAGCACTTTCAGAAGCCAAGGCAGGAGGATTACCTGTCAGGAGTTTGAGACCAGCCTGGCCAGCATGGCCAAACCCCATCTCTACTAAAAATACAAAAAACTAGCCGGGCATGGTGGCGCACATCTGTAATCCCAGCTACTCAGGAGGCTGAGGCACAAGAATAGCTTGAACCTGGGAGGCAGAGGCTGCAGTGAGCTAAGATTGCGCCACTGCACTCCAGCCTGGGCAACAAGAGCAAAACTCTGTCTCAAAAAATAAAAAATAAATAAATAAAATAAATAAACGAATCCACAATCCTTGGATTGACATTATCTGTATTTACCACCCCCTGACAATATGGCATAGTTTCAAGATATACATCCTGAGCTTTCATTGCACATTGCATCAAAGTTCTGCTCACTTTTTACACCAGGTGTGTGCCCAATAAACACAATCTATACTAGGCATGATTAACAGTCATACATATCTTCTCTCTGGAGTTGGACTATAATAATACACTCATATGCAGACACACAGAAGTAACACTACATGTTATTCTACATAATAATATACGCATACATGCACAGAAGTAACACTCTATGCACTAGGTGTGGTGGCTCACACCTGTAATGCCAACACTTTGAGAGGCGGAGGCAGATGGATCATTTGAGGTCAGGAGTTCGAGACCAGCCTGGCCAACATGGTGAAACCCCATCTCTGCTAAAAATACAAAAATTAGCTGGGCATGGTGGCACACACCTGTAAGCCCAGCCACTCGGGAGGGTGAAACAGAGGTTGCAGTGAGCCAAGATCGCGCCACTGCACACCAACCTGGGCGAAAGAGTGAGACTCCTATCTCAAAAAAAAAAAAAAAAAAAGTAACACTCCATGTTAACACTATATATTGGACGTCTGTTGTTTTTAGTCTTCCGCTTTTGCTTTAGAGAAACTACACAGCTTCTTCTGCACAGTCTTGGGGTTTTCAATCACAGTGCCCTTTTCTTCCCCGGGCAAAGGACTGGAACATAACTCCAGCTAGGCAAATCAGACAGTCTCCTAGATACGTGAATGTAAAGAGAGAGAAATTATACAGGAAAATAATTCAAACTGATTCTTAACCACTGCCAAGTCAGCCCACTGTGATGTCTACAACCTAGATTCTTTATTCCTGTTTTTGTTAATTCAATGAACTTCCCCATCTTTCCCGTTTTTTGCTTCAGATAACTAGACTGATTCTGTTGCTTGCAAACAAAAAACCTGGAGTCAAGGAACCAAGAGTATGAAAGAGGTCACCACAAGTCACATAGCAACAAGCAGGAACCATAAATCAGAGGAAAGCCTGGTCTATTGGGAGCAGAGAGAAAGAGAGAAAACAGAATTATGGCAGAACACTAGACTTGGAAGCCTAGTACTGTTGCTACTAAGGGGAATACATGATAATTCAGTCCCTAAGAATGTGTTACATTCTATAACACATGCCAATTATCCATGAAGCCAGAAAGTGAAAACAATCAGTTATAGGCAAAACAGTACTACAATTTCCTGAAACACTTGGCTTTGCAGCTTTAAGATAATTCCGGTCTTTCCCCCTTATGTTTCCTTAAAGAAATACCCCATTTAGCTGGTGGTAATTTAAGAGACTCTGTTCCTTAAAATTTTTAAATACGGAATACATCTGTAATTTCCCTACCCTGACTGCCTCCTCTAAGTTACAATACCTCTTACATACTCTACTAACATCCACCTCACCCTGTATGGCAGTTATATCTATACGTCTCTAGTAATAACATGTTGTCTCTCTAAAAGCAAGAATAAAGTTGAATCTCAGAGCCTACTTAATAAACTAACGGGTATACAGTAAAAATAATGATGGATAATAAAAGCCTTCCAATTATTAAATATCTGTATCACTCCTGGCACTGCAAGGCTGTGTGTGTGTGTGTGTGTGTCTGTGTGTGTGTCTGTGTGTGTGTGTTTTGAGACGGCGTCTTGCTCTGTCACTCAGGCTGGAGTGCAGTGCTGTCACTCAGGCTGGAGTGCAATGATGCCATCTCTGCTCACTGCAACCTCTGTCTCCAGGTTCAAGAGATTCTCCTGCCTCAGCCTCCCGAGTAGCTGGGGTTACAGGTGCACACCACCACGTCCGACTAATTTTTGTATTTTTAGTAGAGATGGGGTTTCGCCACGTTGGCCAGACTGGTTTCAAACTCCTGACCTCAGGTAATCCACCCACCTCGGCCTCCAAAAGTGCTGGGATTACAGGTGTGAGCCACCGCACAAGGCCGCACTCTGTGTGTGTGTGTGTGTGTGTGTGTGTATACATATATATATATATATATATATATATATATATATATATATATATGTATGTATTTTTTTTTTAAGAGACGGAGTCTTGCTCTGTCGCCCAGGCTGGAGTACAGTCGTGCAATCTCGGCTCACTGCAAGCTCCGCCAGCCGGGTTCACACCATTCTCCTGCCTCAGCCTCCCGAGTAGCTGGGACTACAGGCGCCCGCCACCACGCCTGGCTAATTTTTGTATTTTTAGTAGAGACGGCGTTTCACCATGTTAGCCAGGATGGTCTCGATCTCCTGACCTCGTGATCCGCCCGCCTCGGCCTCCCAAAGTGCTGGTATTACAGGCGTGAGCCACCGCACCTGGCCCACTTTGTATATATTTCCAGTGATCACAACCAAGCTAACAAGATATTATTTCCAGCTTACAGCTGCAAAAATAAGCAACTGTAATGAAATCACTGACATCTTCCAACAAAGACAAGATTCCTGCTCTACTGGCATTTACATTCTGGTGGAAGGCTGTTTTTTTTTTAAACCATGTAAATAAAAAGCACTCTGGAGGTTAATCCCAGAGGGCTGGAATTGGCCTTCTCGGATTAACCCCAGAGTGCTTTTTATTCCTTCCCAATGAGGAAATTACCTAAAACTGTTAAGCCAGACGAACCAAGATCTACTGGAATCCAAATCTCTCCATCTTCCCTTTACTCCAATAGATCAGTATCTAAAATCAGGGGTTTTCAAACTGCAGGTCACAATCAGTTTGTGGATCGTAAAATAAATTTAGTGAGCCATATCCTTTTTTAATGAATTTAATACGAGTGCATCACATGAAAGGCAAATATTGCTTCATGAAACTAATTTCAGTTTTATATACACACATGTATAAGGCAGAGATAGGTACCTGTGAATCACAGTCCAAAAGTCCAAAAGCCATAGACAAAAGCACTGTCTGTTGTATGCACTGACATACCTCTCAATTTTTTTTTTCCTCTTATTGCCCAGGCTGGAGTGCAAAAGTACGGATCTCGGCTCACTGCAACCTCCGTCTCCCGGATTCAAGTGATTCTCCTGCCTCAGCCTCCCAAGTAGCCTCCAAGTGGCAAGCAGGCGCCAGCCACTACACCCAGCTAATTTCTGTACTTTTAGTAGAGACAGGGTTTCACCACGTTGGCCAGACTGGTCTTGAACTCCTGACCTCAAGTGATCCACCCGCCTAGGCCTCCCAAAGTGCTGGGATCGTGGGCATGAGCCACCACGCCTGGCCATCCTCTCAATTTTTAATCAAAATCCTGATGTTTAAAACATTGGAGTAGTAAAAATCTATCATAATGTCCTACATTATCAAAAATAGATAAACAGGGTTTAAAAGGCGTCACATGAAAAGGCATTTGGGGCATAAGTACCATATTTCTCCCCTGCTGAAGTGTGCCCTAAAACTACAGTGTACAACCATAATACGGCGAAGAAGAAAAAATGAACTGGCTGGTCCTGTCTTTTACTCTCTTCCCCCAGGGCTTTTACTAAATCATTTTCAAAAATGTTTCCCTGCTTTACTATGCTTCACTAAAGACAATTACTCAATATTATGAGTTTTCTGACCGTTGTCATGAGTGATTAGATAAATATCCTCCAATATATACGGTCTCTCAAAAAAGATGACCTCACTCACACGTATAACCTTATATACAGAAAAAGCACTCAGCAAGTGACGGCAAGCAATATGACAATGACTATGCATGCTTACTTCTATAACAGGCCATAAGCCCAGAAAACAGCTTTAAGCATTATGGCATACATTAAAATTAAAATGTTATGGGGGGGGAAAGATGACTGATTAATTCTTCTAAGGCACTATATACTAAAGAAGTAATGTACCTTAGAGAAAGACATGGCCCGGCATGGCATGGTGGCTTGCGCCTGTAATCCCAGCACTTTGGGAGGCCAAGACGGGGGATTGCTTGAGCCCAGGAATTCGAGACCAGCCTGGGCAACATGGCAAAACCTCATCTTTACAAAAAATACAAAAATCGTCAGGGCGTGGTGGTGTGTGCCTGTAGTCCCGGTTACTCGGGAGGCTGAGGCAGGAAGATCAACTGATTAAGCCCATGAGGTTGAGGCAGTGAGCTGTGCTCATACCACCACACTCCACTGGGTAACAGAACTCGAGACTCTGTCTCAAAATAAATACATGAATTAGTTAATTAATTAAAAATAAAATCAAACATTTTTTAAGAAGAGAGGCATGTCTGGGAACATTTACAGTCATAAATTAGCCAATTACAGTTCAAGGCAGACAAATGTATCTACTGCTCCTCCTTCCCAAGGCCCCACGCAAAATGAAGGGAAAAGATTTAAATTAAAATGAAATAAAAGGCCAGGGTCCTCGGCTCAGGCCTGTCATCCCAGCACTTTGGGAGGCTGAGACAGGTGGACTACTTGAGTCCAGGAGTTTGAGAACAGCCTGGGCAACATGGCAAAACCCCGACTCTACAGAAAAAAATAAAAATTAGCCATGAATGGTGGTGGTACCTGTACTCCTAGCTACTAGGGAGGCTAAGGTGGAAGGATCAACTGAGCCTGTGAGGTTGGGGCTGCAGTGAGCTGTGATCATACCACTGTACTCCAAACTGCATGACAGAGCAAGACCCTGTCTCAAAGATAAAATGAAACAACAGCACTGTTGCAAAGCGAGTAGATGTCACTGGATGATGATAAATTCTAAAGAATTTTGATCAGGTTGAAAGTAAAACAGACTGACAAAAAAACCCACGTTTAAGACATGAAAGGCTTTTCAAGGCCACACTAGAGAAGTTCCAAGTTATATACTAATCACAACTACAAGAAGGAAACAATGATGGTACTTCATCAGGGCACTGCATTACCCACATTCTGGACAGATGACCCCATCCTCTGACCCTGTGAACAGAGATGCTGATTGGTGGCAGCTTAAAGGTAAGGATAAAGCCAGAAAAGGAATCTCTATAAAAGGTGGGCATTCGCTGGGTGCAATGGCAAACACCTGCAATTTCGGCATTTTGAGAGGCCGAGGTGGGAGAACTGATTGAGCCCAGGAGTGTGAGGCCAGCCTGGGCAACATGGTATGACTCCATCTCCATAAAAAGTAAAAATTAGTTGGGGTGGTGGCACACTCCTGTGATCCCAGCTACTTGGGAGGCTGAGGTGAGAGGATCACTTGAGCCTCGAGGTTGAGGCTGGAGTGAGCCATGATCACATCACTGTACTCCCAGCCTGGGTGACAGAGCAAGACCCTGTCTGGGAGAAAAAAAAAGGGAGAGGGGGAAAGTGGGCATTGTTGCCAGGTAAGGCTTTCTGTGAGAGTAGCCAGGTTGGAGAGAGCAGTACAGCACAAAGATGAAGGCAACACTAGACCTCTAATGCTGAAAGAGAAATAAAAGGGGCTGGAAGCAAAAAGGGAGAAAAAGGAGGGAAAGAGGAAGGGATCTCTCACCATTTGAGTGAAATATACCAAAGCACTGCTCCTTGGAAGTACTGAAGACACCACAGTAACCCAAGAGAGCAGGGTACCATGTGCCTGCTGACTCCTCACCCATACTCCCTAGAAGGAGTACTGCTGGTCCATACCTGACCCCATTTCACAGAACCTGTCACCAAAACTACTATTCAAGAGAGAAGCCTCATAGAAAAAGAACCAATATACATACTGCAACAGAAACATACTTTAACTAACAATACTAACCAAGATGCACCAAAAATTTGCCAAAACCTAATAGTATAAAAGGTGCAAGAGGAACATACAGAAATCAGCGAACAGACAAACATATTTTAATTCTCATTAATATCCTCATAGGGACTCAAAAAACACACTGCAAGATTAAAAAACAAAATACGCCACATTTAAGAAAAAAACAAATAGCAATGGCTATTAAAAATTAGTAAAGCACTGGCCGGGTGTGGTGGCTCATGCCTGCAATCCCAGCACTTTGGGAGGCCGAGGCAGGCAGATCAGCTGAGGTCAGAAGTTCGAGACCAGCCTGGCCAACGTGGTGAAACCCTGTCTCTACTAAAAGAAAAAAGAGACAATACAAAAATTAGCTGAGAGTGCTGGCGCGCGCCTGTAGCTGCAGCTACTTGGGCGGCTGAGGCAGGAGAATCGCTTGAACTCAGGAAGTAGAGGTTGCAGTGAGCTGAGATCACACCACTGTACTCCAGCCTGGGTGACAAAGCAAGACTCCATCTCGGGGGGAAAAAAAAAAATTAAAGCATAAAAATCTCAACTGTGTAATAAAATGGGACATAACTAAACACCAAATTCATTTGCCTAGAATATAAACGTTTCCCAGAAAGTAAAGCAAAAAAACCCAAAAATATAGTTAAAAAAAAAAAGAAAAAGAAAATTTGACAATCTAGAGAGTCCAACATTTACTTACAACGTAAGACATGCAAAAGTGGAGAACAGAGAGAGATGGAAGGGGCAAGTTAAACTTTCCAAGAGCTGAAGAATGATTCAGTTGTCAAACTGAAAACACTCAACAGAGTAACATTAAAAACAAATTAAAAATACCTGTAGTAACTGGAGTCTCACCAGTAAAATTTCAGAATGCCAAGAAAGCTTCCAGAACAAAACCAGGATCACCTTAACACTCATCTTCTAATCAGAAGTAACAGGTGCTAGAAGACAATATAGCAGTGTCCACCAAGTTCTACAAGAAAAATACCTTGAAACAGCCAGGTGCGGTGGCTCACGCCTGCAATCCCAGCACTTTGGGAGGCCAAGGTGGACAGATCACCAGGTCAGGAGTTCGAGACCAGCCTGGCCAATATGATGAAACCACGTCTCTATTAAAAATACAAAAATTAGCTGGGCGTGGTGGCACACACCTGTAGTCCCAGGCACTCGGGAGGCTGAGGCAGAAGAATCGCTTGAACCCGGAGGCGGAAGTTGCAGTGAGCCAAGATGGAGCCACTGCACTCCAGCCTGGGTGACGGAGTGAGACTCCAACTCAAAAAAAGAAAAAAGTACCTTGAACGTATATTCCTATAACCCAAAGCTTCCCCAAATGCATGCTACCAACAGGTTACCAGGTGAGCAGCCAGAGGCCTTTGCTACAAGCAGTCTCATCCACCACACAAAGATTACCATTTTCTATCAATTTACGACATGAAAAAGCTTGAAAGCACTGCTGTCAAGTCAGATTTGCCACTGAGTCAAAATAAAGGCATTTTCAGACATTCAAGAACTGAAATTTTACTTATATGAAAAAACTGAAAAGGTAAAGTGGCAAAACAACAAAGAAAACACAACACGACCTGGAAGAAACAGTGGCAGCTGAGTATGAACCAGAAGTAACAAGTGAAAAAGAAAACAACAGTATACCCTTGTCACTGACAGTGGGAGATTCTCCTTTAATAACAAGTTAAATGACAGTATTATTTCCTTCCTCATAAATATAAGTAAATAATAGTCATAACAGTAATTGTTTTTCAATTTTAAAAATCATCCTACAGGAAAAAAGGAGGTTCAAAATCACGTAGTTGCAAACTCTAATCCTAGCTTGTCCAACCTGCATAAACATTCTTAAAACATTATGAGATTTTTTTGCGATTTTGTTTTCTAGCTCATCACCTATCATTAGTGTATATTATATATGGCCCAAGACAATTCTTCTTCTTCCATTGTGGCCCAGGGAAGCCAAATGACTGGACACCCCTGCTCTAATCCTTATCTTGTAAAAATAATAATATATTTAACTGGAAAAAGAAAATGTAAGGAAGAATAAATGCACTAATTTTCTCAAAGCTTTCAAATGAAATATGTCCCATAGTTAATACTGACTCTTTAGTATAATTTATCATTTAAAATAAAGCAAGCAAGAAATAAACAACTATTAACAGTGGCTGCCTCTAGAAAGCTTGGGGATGGGGGAAAAAGATCTTAGTTTTCTTCGTATCATTCTATCCTATTTGGAGATTCTGCTGCATGCATGCATTACTTTTAAATAATTTAAAAACTGATTTTGATTTCTAAAAAGTTATGGTAAGTCAGAATACCAGGTAGAAGTTAAGTAAGTCAGAATACCAAGTAGAAGTTAAGAACAAAATATATTTGTATTTACATGAATAATATTCACAATGCATTAGGTTATCAACAGAACAGTATGCATATGATCTCAAGTGTTATTAAACTACATATAAATCGTATTAAATATTTTTCACATATTTTTATATGCACCTGAAAGTGCATAAAAACACATTTGCAAGGTTACATATCGAAGTCTTAACAACAGCTGTATTTGGTGAATAGAATGAGCTCAAACTAAGAACTTTCAACATATCACTTTACAGTGTACATCTGTTCCATCTGGTTGGTTCACTCATTTTTACAATGTGTATGTATCGCATATAAAAGATAAACTGTTAGTGGACCAAAACAAAGCAGGATCTCAAAAGAGATACTTGTACACCCGTGTTCACAGCAGCACTATTCACAATAGCCGAAAGTCGGGAGCAACCAAAGTGTCCATCAACAGATAAACAAAACATGGTCTATATATACAGTGAAACATTAACCTTAAAAAGCAAGGAAATTCTGACACATGCTACAACATAGATGACTGTGAGGACGTTATGCTAAGTATATTAAGGTAGTTCATAAAAAGACAAACACTACATGATTCCACTTACATAAGGTACCTATAATACTCAAATTCATAAAGACAGAAAATAAGAATAGTGATTGCCAGTGGCTAGAGGCGAGAGGAATGAGAAGAAGTTGCTTAATGGGCACAGAGTTTCAGTTTTGCAGGATGAATACTGGAGACTGATTGTAGTGCAGGGTAGACAAGAGACAAAATTCAGGCTTAGCCCAGGAGGCTTCTTGGCTTCACCCAGGAAAGAATTCAGGGTGAACCAGTGGTGTTTGACAGCAATTTTAGTGGAAGCAGCAGCAGAAGTACTGCTCCTTGCAGAGCAGGGCTCCCCCATTAGCAGTATGACCAGAGGGCCAGCTCAGGAGCAGTTCTGTAGTCACATTTATACCTACTCTTAATTACACCTACTCTTAATTACACGCAAACTAAGGAACAGGTTCTGCAGAAATTTCTAGAAGTGGGGTAACGTCTAGGTTGTTGTCACGGAAAGGGACAGAAACTTTCAGGTGTTGCCATGGCAATGATAAACTAACATGACACTGGTGGGCATGTCTTTATGGAGAAGTGTTTTCATCTCTTCCCTGCTTCAGCTAGTCTTCACCTGGTGCAAAGTCCAAGCCCCAACTCTGGAGTCAAGTCCCGTCTCCTACCTCAGTAGGAATTTACTTAACACTATTGAACTATACATTTTTTAACAGTTAATATAGTAAATTTTTATGTCTATTTACGATTAAAATAAGTAAATTTAAGAAGCAAGTGAAATAAAAATTTAAAATAATAAATTTACAATAATAAATTAGTGGCATCAAGGGAAATACAGTCAATCCTCACCAATTCATGGATTTCACATTTATGAATTTGCCTGCTTGCACCAAAATTAATACTTGCAGCACTTTTGCAATCATATGTGGACATGCACAAAATGATGAAAAATTTGAGGTGCCCATTGTACACTTACCCACCTGAAGACAAAAAAAAGACAGCATTCTGCCTTGTTTCAGCCATCATATGGCAAACAAATGTCCTTTGGGTGGTCTATTTAGTGCCACGTTTTTGCATGTTTGTGCTTTCTGTTGGTCATTTCACTATTTAAAATAGCACTTGATCACTATGCTTAGGGCTATCTAGTATTGCTAAGTACAAAAAGGCTGCAGAGAAAATATGTGTGGGAAATAAGCTTTGTTCATATGAGTTTTAGTGCTGTTGACTCTAAATGCAATATTAATCAATCAACAATATATATTAGGAAGTTATCTTTAAACAGAAACACACAGTTACTATTGATCAGCTGACAAAAATGTTATGACCGAGGCCTACAGGAACCTAACCCTGCATATTCCCGTAGGAGCGATGCTCAGTATTTGCTAAGTCAGTGTTCAAGGCAACTATAAAGAACATAACTACAGTGAATGACAAAAATCAACTGTATCTACAAGTCAAAAAAAAAAGGGAAGGAATATTATAGGCAAAGATATTAATTTATGTCAACCACTTTAATGTGATTTTAAAACTTGTAAATGCTGTAAGTTTTTTACAGTACGTGAAGTGATGATGGGGCAGGGGGATATTTATTCCTAAATTTAAAATATTTATCAGCTAACCTTTGAAATTAAACTTTTTGTTATGTGTGAAAAGCACCTGGCTCAGTGCCTGTGCAAGTGAAAATTCAGTAAAATACTAGATTATATTTATCTCATTAAATTATTGTAACTACCATGTGAAGTAGGTAAATGAGCAAACTTTCAAGGTGATGGGAATCTGAGAATATTATCCAATTGTTTAGGTTTCAATTCAGTGAGGGTACAGCTAATTATATAAGATGGGTCTCTGATAGTTCATTCAGGCTCTAACAGAATTAAATTATCAACTGTGGTCATCTGCAATGAAGTGACTAAAGAAAACAACGCTTTGGGGAACAAGTGAGACTGGTAGAAATCTATGAAGGTCATGCCACAGATATACGAGGACAGTGGAGTGGGGATGACTGCTTCTAACAGTGTTGGAGTTAAGAAAGTGACATATTCAGGCCGGGCATGGTGGCTCATGCCTGTAATCCCAGCACTTTGGGAGGCAGGCGGATCACCTGAGGTAGGGAGTTTAAGACCAGCCTGACCAACATGGAGAAACCCCGTCTCTACTAAAAATACAAAATTAGCTGGGCATGGTGCTATATGCCTGTAATCCCAGCTACTCAGGAGGCTGGGGCACGAAAATCGCTTGAACCCCGGGAGGCGGAGGTTGGAGTGAGCTGAGATCACACCACTGCACTCCAGCCTGGGAAACAAGAGCAAAACTCCGTCTCAAAAAAAAACACAAAGTGACATATTCACAGCATAAATTTTTGACTCATGGCACTGACAAAGAAAGAGGCAGTTACTAAGTACAACATTAAAGAATCGTTCTCCATCTTAAGCCAAGGTTAGAAAACGTTTTTCTGTAAAGGGCCAGATAGTAATTCTTCCAAGGCCAAAGGTCTCTGTTGCAACTACTCAACTGTGTAGTTGTGAAGTGAAAGCAGCCATAACCTGGCCGGGCGCGGTGGCTCACGCCTGTAATCCCAGCACTTTGGGAGGCCAAGGCGGGTGGATCATGAGGTCAGGAGATCGAGACCATCCTGGCTAGCACAGTGAAACCCCATCTCTACTTTAGAAAAAAAAAAATTGGCTGGGTGTGGTAGCGGGTGCCTGTAGTTCCAGCTACTCAGAGGCTGAGGCAGGAGAATGGCGTGAACCCAGGAGGCGGAGCTTGCAGTGCGCCGAGATTGCACCACTGCACTCCAGCCTGGGCGACAGAGGGAGACTCCGTCCCAAAAAAAAAGAAAAAAAGAAAAAGAAAGCAGCCATAACCTACACATAAATTAATCAATGTGGCTGTATTTCAATAAAACTTTACACATGAAAATTTGAATTTCATGTAATTTTTAACTTGTCACAAAATAATATCATTCTTTTTTGATCTTCTTTATTCAATTATTTTAAATTATGGAAAACATTTTTAACTTGTGGATCACAAAAAAACAGGCTGGCCACATTTGGCCTGCAGACTGCAGTTTGCCAACCCCTGCTCTAAAGCTTTAAAACCAAAACTCAAATGCACAGGCTGATTTTGTTGACTGTTTAATTATAACTTCAAGTGGTACCAGGCAAGCTTAACGAACAGGAACCTAGTGGTTATCAAACTGGTTTGTCTGCAGGAACCTTGGAAAGTCCCTAAAACCGTAACATAAAGACATTCCACTATAATCCTATGTGATCTACACCAGAGGTATGAAAACTACAACCGGAGGCAAATCTGACCCACTGTGTTTTAGTAAATAAAGTTTTAATTGAACAGAAAAGCTCATTTATGTACTATTTATGGCTGCTTTAGCACTACAATGGCAGCACTGCATTGTTTTTTTCAGTGACTGTATATCTGGCTCCCTATAGAAAAAGTCTGCTAACTCCTAACCTGGGTAAACAAATATGTATGGAATACAGAGACCTGACAAGGGGGACATAAGCCACCAAGATAGAAAAATAACAGCCTCTCAAAGTTCGCAGACCCTCTAGAATAAAGGCAGTAAGGCAAGGTATCCTTTAGACAAAGCTCTATAATTACATCACAAGTACTGTGATTTCCCTCTTGGCTTTCCACAAAGATCAACAGCCCCTTACTAAGGTAACCATGTACTTGAAAAGTGAAACACCCAGACCTTTCTGGGACTATAAAAGCTAACTCTTAAATCTCTAAAAGACCCAGATAGCACCAATGTGGCACATTTGTCAGAAAGAGGAATGACAGTGGTCAAATAATAAAGTTTTGGTCAAAAGTCCATTTATCAGAGTAGATTAACCCTCCCAATTTATTGGTTATCTTCTCCAGGTGTTGAACATATAGTTGCAAAGGGCAGTCTTAGTTTTCCAACAGACAAAATTCCCATACTGATGCCATGACAGGTGGAGTTGCAGGGTAGTTTTTATCAGGAAGTCTGATGGAGATCCCAGGAGCTCTCCCTCCAAACAAAAGTAATTTGCATTCCTGAAAGAATTGTCAAAGAACTGAAAGATGCAAGGATTGCAATTCCTAGCAGGTACCTACTTAATACAACTGTCTGGCTAATACAGAAAACAAATATTTTTAGAGGATGACTGTGTTTTAATCTTAATGACTACAAGGAAGAGCTGGTATTCATATGTGATCTGCTTAGTTCAGTACCTGATATGCAGCTATCATTCTGGCAAAGGTTTCTCTATCTCTACAAACAGAATTTCAGAAGCAATTTGCTTTCATTTGGCTTGTACAGCAGTACATCTTCACTATACTGCCTCAGGTTAAGTCAGTTTTCTGGCTTTCATATGATATGCTTTGTTTGTTTTGAGATGGGAGTTTTGCTCTTGTTGCCCACGCTGGAGTGCAATGGCGTGATCTCGGCTCACTGCAACCTTTGCCTCCCGGGTTCAAGTGATTCTCCTGCCTCAGGCTCCCGAGTAGCTGGGACTACAGGCATCCGTCACCATGCCCAGGTAATTTTTTGTATTTTTAGTAGAGATGGGGGTTTCACCATGTTGGCCAGGCTGGTCTCGAACCCAGGAGGCGGAGGTTGTGGTAAGCCAAGATCACGCCACTGCACTCCAGCCTGGGCAGCTGAGCGAGACTCCATCTCAAAAAAAAAAAAAAAAAAGTTGTATTCACTACTACTTTTACCAAGATCATCAGAAAAATTCTAAATAACAGGAAGCTATCAAGCTCACAGTATCTAATAATTTTCCAAAACCCAAACTATCACGTGAAATCTCAGATTTTATCACTGGCAACAAATACCGTCCGTTGTTTTCCTTAAAGTAAAAGCTCACTTTGTTTGAGAAAATATCTCTAAAATGCTCATGTCAGAATCACCATAGTGAGTCACTGTTTCAAGCGAAAATTAAAGAAGGCTGGTTCTGCTCATAACTCAAATAATGCCCAAGAGTTTTCCCTCTGAAACCATCATACTTTTGCATTCACAAGTATTTTATGAACATTTCCCATTTCATCACAAAGACCATTAAAATGATTCAGATTCAGATCATGATTTTTTTAGATTAATACTTTTTACTGCTTCATCAAGGAGATTCCTAAGACTTTTTTTTTTTTTTTAAGAGATGTAGTCTTACTCTATCACCCAGCCTGGAGTGCAATGGCGTGATTTTGGCTCACTGCAGCCTCAACCTCCTGGACTCAAGGGATCACCACAGCTCAGCCTCCTAAGTAGCTGGGACTACAGGCACGCATCACCATGCCCAGCTAACATTTTTGGTTTTTTTATAGAGACGAGGTCTCCCTATGTTGCCCAGGCTGGTCTCAAACTCCTGTGCTCAAGCAATTCTCCTGCCTCAGCCTCTCAAAGTGCTGGGATTACAGGGATGAGCCACGATGCCCGACCAAGTAAAACTTCGTTTACTATAAATATGTGGTGATGGTGCTGCAGAACATAGTTTGAAGAAACTGCACTGATTTTTTCCTAACCAGCAAGTTTTCCAAAACATCACTTTTGAGCCAAAGTGCAAATGTCAACACAGTGAAAGAAAGTACTTATGATTATTAAATTAGTTTTACTCTGAAAGGGTCTTGGGTTCAACAGACAGCGCAAAATGTATTTCTCATTTTTGTTGTCAGCTACAGGTTGGCTACAGGCATCTTCTTCATTCTGGAATCTAGCAAAAGAAATAGTCTTTATCTGGCCCATTTTTCTTGGGGCTGAGGAAAATTAGCAAAAATCATTCATGCAATGGCTCCTAATAAGGCTTCAGCTTAGACATGACAAATAATCACTTCTACTCATCTTCCAGTGGCCAAATCAAGTTCCATGGCCATTCCTGATGTCCACAGGAACAAGGAAGTACTCCTCCCACAAATAGGAGGTCCTGTAGGGAGAAGCCAGTAAAGAAGGGAAGCAACTGTTTTTGAATAATGTGATCTACTATAAGCAACAATTAACTCTTGAGTTCCTCTCACCTCCACACCAAACAGTACCACATTTCACAGGGGACACAGAGCTACCTGGTAGCAATATGGTAACACCCAGAATCTTTCCACCATTAAGAAAGTTATCTCTGTGAAACAGACACTTAGCTTTTGTCAACAACCTTACTTATTCTGGCTACCATGGAAACAAGTCCGTTATTTTATAATTTTTTTGTTCTGAATGAAGAATCAATTTTAGGATCTAAATAACCAACTCACCAATTTAGAATATAACACAAACTTTTTATAAATTGTAGATTTTTTAGATGACAGCTAGTTAAGGATGTTGAAAGTTTAAGTACAAAAGGAGGTATACATGCTGATAGGGGACAGTTAAGTATTTACTGTTGTGGACATCTATCAAGTTTGAAAAGACTTTTTAATTTGTGGATATTTCCACGTTCTGAAATCTACTTACTATCTAAACTAGAAATTAGAATTTAAAATTCCCAGCTTCTCTTATGGCTAAAGACATGGCATACTCTTTGATCTCAAAAATAAACCTCTCAGGCACAGTGGCTCACGCCTGTAATGCCAGCACTTTGGGAGGCTGAGGTGGGTGGATAACGAGGTCAGGAGTTCGAGACCAGCCTGACCAATATGGTGAAACCCCATCTCTACTAAAAATACAAAAAATTAGCCGAGCATGGTGCCGCATGCCTGTAATTGAACCTACTCAGGAGGCTGAGGCAGGAGAATCACTTGAACCCAGGAGGGGGAGATTGCAGTGAGCCGAGATCACACTCCAGCCTGAGCAACAGAATAAGACTCGAGAAAAAAATAAAAATAATAAAAATTGGCTGGGTGCGATGGCTCACGCCTGTAATCCCTGCACTTTGGGAGGCCGGGTGGATCACCTGAGGTCAGGAGTTTGAGACCAGCCTGGCAAACATGGAGAAACCCTGCCTCTACTAAAAATGCAAAATTAGCTGGTTGTGGTGGTGCGTGCCTGTGATCCCAGCTACTCGGGAGGCTAAGGCAGGAGAATGACTTGAACCCAGGAGGCAGAGGTTGTGGTGAGCCGAGATCACGCCATTGCACTCCAGCCTGGACAAAGAAGAGCAAAACTCCCTCAAAAAAAAAGAAAAGAAAAGAAAAGAAAAAACTCCAGGAGACTTTGCTTTGCTTTAGAAGTAAGCAATGAGCAGAGCTTCCATTTCTTGCTCAGTCCCAAGACGGCAGACATATTTGGCTTTTGATGATGGCAACAGCCAATGCTAGCCATTTCCCGGTGATTGCAATGCGGAGTACCTGTCAATGGAACAGCACCAGAGGCAACAACAGTAGCATCTGCAATCAAACTGAGTGTCTAGTATTTAGTGTTCAGTATCCCTGGCTTTCTCAAATCTAGTTCTGCAGCATGGTTTCAGGCAATGTTCCCAGAAGCTTGGACTTAAATCTATATCTCTAGCACTCCCCCAATGACTCTGTGAACCACCTAATATTCAATATTCCCTACTCTAATTACAGAAGCCAGGGTAAGTTCTGTTGCTTATAATGAAGAATATATTTTATAATACTTATTCTCATTTTACATATAAGAAAACTGGGGTTTAAAATGGCTAATTTACTAATAGGCCACCTAGATTTTAAAGCTTTTTAACTAATTTTGTATTATACTAATTCTACAATTAATCACTTCAATAGTACAAGCAAGCAACTGAAACAAAACTCATCACCATTGCTCTGAAACAGGAGTTGACAAATGACAGCCCGTGGGCCAAATCCTACCTGCTTTCGTATGGCCCATAAGCTAAGAATAATTTTTACATTTCTAAATGGTTGGGGGGGCCGGAGGGGGACACAACGCGACTGTGAAAATCATACAAACTTCAATGTATCATAAATAAAACATTACTGGAACACAGCCGTGCTTATTCATTTACATACTATCCATGGCTGCTTCCTAACAGCAGACTTCAGTACATGCCTAAAATATTTATTATCTAACCCTTAATCCTTTACATAAACAGTGTGCTGACCTCTGCTCTAAAATTATTCTAATATAACTAAGGAAACGTCAATTTAAATAAATCTTAAAGTGGGTATTAATATATTTGTTATCCCAGATTATCTACTTTGAGAACATGCCATATGTAGCATACTATACAATTTATTCAATATTTAAACCACAAAGTCCCGTTTTTTCTCTTATCTGATTCCAAACAAGAGTATCAAACTAGAATTTAGTGTCAAAAAGGGTTGTTTTCAGAACAATCAAGATGTTGTCAACCAAGAGCCAAATGCACCTTCTTAATTGTCTTCCCCAGAAACTGAAAAGCCCGGTAGTAAGGAAGATTTTTTTAAATTAACAAACTGGCCTTAGAGAGACATATGGAATGGTATTCAAGAATACAACAGAGGAGCAAACAGTGTGGTGTCAAAGAAGTTGATATTTGAACAGAGTACAGAGTCCTCAATTCCTTAAAACTCGGCAAAATAAGCCAGACAACAGGAATGTGCAGCTACTATGAAATGCTCCAAGCAGGATGGATGCCTTCATGCATGCCAAATCCAGAGACCAAAAGCTATCAGGTCACTAAAACTGAAAACTGACCAGTGTCTAATCCTTTCCTCCTCTTTCAGCAACTACAGACTGAGTTACCTAGGAAAACAAAACAAAATACGATGTCTCTTTGAAGTCCTCAGATTCAGGTACTGTTTTTCCATGTCACATAGTTTGATGTTGTAGAATGTTTCTTACCATTTCTTGGTAGTATTCCCAGCTCTACCTGACTAACCTCAACTCCCAAAATGACCTTGTGTGTGGAAAAATATGTCCTGTGTAGGCCTCTGTTTAGGTGCCATGCAGCTGAGCAGGCTCTAACAGAAAGTAATTATCTAAGGACGCTGACATAATTCCAGTTAAGGTAAGCCTGGAAGGTAATAGAGTGAGGTATTAATAAGGAGAAACAGTCACAAAGCTTTTTATTTTACCTTCATTTAAAAAGTAAGACACAAACTGGAACATGTGAGAATCTGAGATCGGACCTCACTGTATTGGAAGGTGAGTTGTTCAAAACTTAAAACATTCTTTCTTACAAATAAGGTTATAACTATACATAATATACTTGTTTCTGAGGTAGCTCAGAAAAGCCAGTAATAATAAAAACACATAGAATCACAGAATCAGACACTTTAAACATGCTGTTCAACTCCTTTATTTTATAGATAGCACCGCTGTGGTGAAGAGAAAGTTGAGTCACTTGTGAAGGGCCACAGTGGTATATAAAAGCAAAGCTGGGAAGAAAGCCAAATCTGTGACTGAGAGCCACACATTTTTCACATTGAACCACCTCTCCTGATGAAGTATTTTTCAAGTATTTATGTTTCAGTATAGCTTAACATTACCAGTGTGTATCAAAAGCAGTATTAAAAACAGTTGCATTTGATTTTCTTAGTTGATGATGGGGGTCCCCAACCCCCGGCTGCAGCTGTGGGCACCAGTCCACGGCAGTGGGGCCAGCATTACCACCTGAGTTCCATCTCCTATCAGATCAGCTACAGCATTAGATTCTCACAGGAGCGTGAACCCTATTGTGAACTGCACATTTGAGGGACTTAGACTGTACGCTCCTTATGAGAATCTAACTAATGCCTGATGAAACCACCCGCCTACCCTCTGTCCGTGGAAAAACTGTCTTCCATAAAACTGGTCCCTGGTGCCAAAAAGGTTGGGGACCACTGGTTTACACAATAAAATGAAAAACAGGCTGAGTGTGAAATCAGCTGTCCTCCAGAACACCTGAGGCATATGCTCTGTCTCAGCCACTGTGAAATATCAGACTAATTTTTCATCACCCAAGGATAAAAAGAATTTTCCCAGACGGGCACGGTGGCTCACACCTGTAATCCCAGCCCAAGGCAGCAGATCACCTGAGTTCAGAAGTTTGAGACCAACCTGGCCACCACGGTGAAACCCTGTCTCTACTAAAAATACAAAAATCAGCCGGGCGTGGTGGCAGGCACCCGTAATCCCAGCTACTCAGGAGGCTGAGGCAGGAGAATCACTTGAACCTGGGAGGTGGAAGTTGCAGTGAGCCAAGATAGCGCCATCGCACTCCAGCCTGGGGCACAAGAGCAAGAAACTGTACTCTTTTGTCCTAAATACTACTACTGAATACAATTTGTTCCAAGTTGATTCAAATGGGTAACAGTATGAGTGAATGAGAAATAAATTAACTATGATTATAGCAAATTAGAAGTTTAGATTATTCAGCCTGGCTATGTTGAAAACTTCTTCCAAAGATGCTCCCAGCTGTCACCCTTCTTTTTCAGTCCACGGAACCTTTTAAGTTGCTACATTCACTTTAGATTATGCTTTTTACTTTTCACTCCCAGATCTATCTTCTCATTAATTTCCCCAGAGCCAAGTACTTGACTAATTCAAGGCCCACCTTTTTTTTCAACAGTCTTCCTATTGTTGCCCAGGCTGGAGTGCAATGGCGCGATCTCAGCTCACTGCAACGTCCGCCTCCTGGGTTTAAACTGGGATTACAGGCACCCACCACCACGCCCGGCTAATTTTTGTATTTTTAGTAGAGATGGGGTTTCGCCATTTTGGCCAGGCTTGTCTTGAACTGCTGACCTCGTGATCTGCCCGCCTCGGCCTCCCAAAATGCTGGGATTACAGGCGTGAGCGTGAGCCATGGTGCCCGGCCGCCCTACCCTTTTTCTTAGCTTTTTGCAGAAAGCTGTCATCTGTATTTCCTCACTATTCAAGTCATGTTGGTCCTAGGTTCTATATATCTCTATATATTATTTTCTATATAGATTTCTCTAACCATCATTCTTAGAGCCATCTCAGAATTTGATAGCCCATTTACTTTGTTCTTGATTATCCCTAATTACCTTATTATTGCTTCTATCTCCCTTTGCTCTTTTTCCATTTTCCACACACCTTTCCTAAAAGCCTGCTTAGATCTTCGCAATTCTGGCTCACATTCCTATTAAGCTGGTGCTACCCAACAGAACCACACTGTTTGTGGATCACTTGAGGTCAGGAGTTGGAGAACAGCCTGACGAACATGGTGAGACTCCATCTCTACTAAAAATAAAAAAACTAGCTGGGCGTGGTGGCGTGCACCTGTAATCCCAGCTACTGGGAAGGCTGAGGCACGAGAATCGCCCGGGAAGTGGAGGTTGCAGTGAGCCAAAATTGCACCACTGCACTCTAGCCTGGGCAACAGAGTGAAATAGTGTCTCAAAAATAAAATAAAATAAAATAAAGTGTTGAAGTAAAAAGATTAACACATAATTCTATACTCAGTGAATATATCCTTGAAAATGAAGGGGGAAACAAAGACTCTACCAAACTAAAAGTAGATAGAATTTCTCACCAAGAGACCTGACTAGAAGAAGTGTTAAAGGAAGTTATTCAGCAGAAAGAAAACAGCAGATACAAGTGGAAAACCTCGATCTTCCCAAAGGCATGTGGAGTGCCCAAACTAGTAAATACGCATGCACATATAAGACTTTTCATTTCAAAAGTTCCTCTAAATGAGTAATTAACTGTTTAAAGTAAAAATAATATCCAGTGTTTACAGCATATAAAATGCACAGCAAAAATAGTACATAAAAGGGAGAAATAGATGTATGCTATTATAAAAAATCTAACACTATATGTGAAATGCAATAATTTTACTTGAACATAGACTGTAAAAAGTATGCAATAAAGGCCAGGCGCGGTGGCTCACGACCGTAATCCCAGCACTTTGGGAGGCCGGGGCGGGTGAATCACCTGACGTCAGGAGTTTGAGACCAGCCTGGCAGACATGATGAAACCCCTACTAAAAAAATTAGCTGGGCGTGGTGGCACGCGCCTGTAATCCCAGCTACTCAGGAGGTTGAGGCAGGAGAATCACTTGAACCCGGGAGGCGGAGGTTGCAGTGAGCCAAGATCGCGCCACTGCACTCCAGCCTGGGCAACAAGAGCAAAACTCCATCTCAAAAAAAAAAAAAAAAAAAAGTATGGAACAAGTGAACTGCAGGGTAGCCACTAAAGAGGTATGGCTAATAAGACAATAGTAGAAATAATATAGAGTGCTAATAATTACTAAATCAAGGCGCCAAGAAAAAAAAAGAACAGATAAGACAAAAAACAAATATGGTATAAATTCAACCACATTAATAATTATGTTAAATGCAAATTATCTAAATCCCATTATCAGCCTGAATTTAAAAACAAACAAAAATCCAACTATATCCTGTTTAAAAGAATCCCATGTTAACTATGAAAACAGATGATAAATAAAAAATGGAAAATATATCTCATGACAAAATTAAGCATAAGGAAGCTCTAAGTATAATCTGATTATTAATACATTAATATCAAACAAGGTACTCTAGAGCAAGGACTAAGAGGAACATTTCTTAATGATAAAGTGGTTAATCCATCAAGATAACATAAAAATTCTAAATGTGTGTACCTAACACCTTAATTTGGAAATCTGTAATCTAGAAATTGACAAACTTTTTTTTTTTTAAGAAGGAGTTTTGCTCTTGTTGCCCAGACTGGAGTACAATGGTACAATCTCAGCTCACTGCAACTTGTACCTCCCAGGTTCAAGAGATTCTCCAGCCTCAGCTTCCCGAGTAGCTGGGATTACAGACGCCCACCACCATGCCCAGCTAATTTTTGTTTTTTTAGTAGAAACGGGGTTTCGCCATGTTGGCCAGGCTGGTCTCAAACTACTAACTTCATGATCTGCCCGCCTCAGCCTCCCGGAGTGCTAAGATTACAGGCATGAGCCACCGCGCCCGGCCGACAGAACTTTTTAAAAAGAAATCATATTTAGAGTTGGAGATTAACACCCTTCTCTCTGTAAATAATAAAACTAAAAATTAATAACACAGAAGATCTAAACACTTGACAAACTGGACTCGTATTTACAGAAAACATCCGATAAAAATAATACAAAATACTGAAGTGCAAATAAAACATTAACAAAAGAGATCACACACAGAGAACAAAACAGATGCAAATCTAAAAGATTTAAATCACAGAGTATTTTCTCTGGCTACAAAGAAAAGTCCCATACAAAGTTACCAAATATTTGAAATCAGATAAACATATTCCTAAAGTAAACAAAGGCTCAAAGAAGAAATCACAATGAAAATTAAAAATCATTCTGAAGTATATGAAAAGAGAAGAGCGTACCAAAAATAGTAAAATGCAGCTAAAGCAACACCTTAAGGGCACTATTTCACAAACAAAACGAATTTGAGATCACTGATCTAAGTTTAAGAAGCTAGAAAAAGGGCAAATTAAACAAAGAAAGCGCTAATATCAATGCAACAGAAAACAGACACACAACACTGAAAAAGCAGTGAAACTAAACTGTCTTTTGAACAAATCAATAAAACTGATACCTCTCACTAAACTGATCAAGATTTGTATTGTGAATTATGAAAAATAAAAAAACATAGCCACAGACTCCACATTAATTGAAAGAATATTAAGCTAATAATTTCTTTAAGAAATAAAACTCCTTTGAAAGACATGAGTTACCAAAAATGACTCAAGATTTTTTTGATCTATGTTGTTCTGTATCTATGAAAGAAATTTAATTTGGGAAACAAAAGGTGTATGAATTTAAAAGAATAAATAAATAGTCATTGTCTATAAATAATGTGAATACATAAGGAAAGCTGATCTTAAAGGATACTAAGGACTTTCAAAAGGAGAAAGATAGTTTTTTTCTTTTTTCCAAGAAATGGTACGAAAACAACTGAATAGTCACATAGAAAAAAAAATGAACTTCAACTTTTACCTCATACCATACACAAAAATTATATCAGTTTTGGTCGGCTGCAGTGGCTCATGCCTGTAATCCGTGCACTCCGGGAAGAGGGCGGATCCCCTGAGGTCAGGAGTTCGAGACCAGCCTGACCAACATGGAGAAACCCCATCTCTACTAAAATTACAGAATTAGCCAGGCGTGGTGGCACATGCCTGTAATCCCAGCTACTCGGGAGGCTGAGGCACAGGAATCACTTGAACCCGAGAGGTGAAGGTTGTGGTGAGCCGAGACTGCACCATTGCACTCCAGCCTGGGCAACAAGAGTGAAACTCCATCTCAAAATAAAAAAAGTAAACCATTTTTTAATCTAAAAGCTAACACTCTAAAACTTCTAAATAGAAATACAGGATAAACTTTCTTAGAACAAAAAAAAACAGAAACCATTAAAAAAAAAAAACCTAGAATTCATGAAAACGTGAAACTTCTACTCTACCAAAAAAAAAAAAAAAAAAAAAGGCACGAAAGGAATGAAAAATCAAGACATATAGGCCAGGCATGGTGGCTCACGCCTGTAATCTAAGCACTTTGGGAGGCCAAGAAGGGCGGATCTGACATCAGGAGTTTGAGACCAGCCTGGCCAACATGGCAAAACCCCCGTCTCTACTGAAAACACAAAAATTATCCAGGTGTGGTGGCGGGCGCCTGTAATCCCAGCTACTCGGGAGGCTGAGGCAGGAGAATCCCTTGAACCCAGGAGGCAGAGGTTGCAGTGAGCCAAGAACACGCCATTGCAGCCTAGGGACAGAGTGAGACTCCATCTCAAAAAAAAAAAATTATATATATACATACACACACACACACACACACACACACACACTTATATATATATACACACACATACATTTATATATATATATATAAAATTCTGACAAAACACTTGTGTCTGGAATATAAAAAAGAATGCCACAACAATTACATGAGGACATATGACCCAAATTTTCAAAGGAGCAAAATATTTGAACAGTTCACAAAAAGATGTATGAATGTCCTCAGAAGTAAAAACTAAAACACAAGGAGATACTAGTTTCTATATACTACTATACACTAGAATATAGCTCAAAGCTGGAAGCAACACAAATATCCATCAACTGGGAATGGACAAAAAATTGTGCTACATCCGCACAACAAAATGACAATTCAAGGAGGGACAAGTCAAGCACAAAATACACAGTGTATGTATCACTTTCTACTCTTGCTAGATGATGAATTACCACAAACGTAGTAGCTTAAAACAACACAAATTTGTTAATTTGTAGTTCTGTAAGTTACAAGTCTGACACAGGTCTCACTGGGCTAAAATGAAGGTGTAAACAGGTGTAATCATTCCTCTCTGGGCCAGGCACAGTGTCTCACACCTGTAATCCCACTTTGGGAGGCTGAGGTAAGAGGACTGCTTGAGCCCATGAGGTCAAAGCTGGAGTGAGCTGTGATTGTGTCACTGTACTCCAGCCTAAGTAGCAGAATGAGACTCTATCTCAAAAAACAAAAAGAAAAAAAAATTTCCTCTCCGGAGGCTCCTAAAGCAGATTAGTTTCTTTTGACTTTTCTAGACTCTGGAGGCACCAGCATTCCCTTGGCTCAGGGCCTCGTCCTCCATCTTCCAAGCCAAGAAATGTGTGCATCTGACCATTCTTCAGCAGTCATTAGTCCTATCACCCTCTCACTACAGATTTTAAGGATCTGTATGATGAGATTAGACTTGCTGGCATGATTTAGTATATAATACTATAAAATTCTGAATTTAACATAAAGAAATAGCACATTTGTACTCAATTCAGAACACTCTGGGTTATAAGTGACCTTGCTGGTTTAAATGAGGATTACCTTGGCATCACTCTCTGCATCAAGGCTCTTAATCACATGTGTAAAATGCCTTTGCCATGGAAGGTTAAATACCCACAGGTTCTGGGAATTAGAGTATGGATGTCTTAGAGGGATCTTTATTCTCCCTACCACAAAATGGAATGGAATTCCATTCATATGAAATTTCTCAAGAAGCAAAACTAACCTGCAGTGTTAGAAAGCAAATTAGCCGTTTCCTGGGATGGGCGTGCCAAAGGGGACTAACTGCAATTGGGAACAAGGGAACTTTTCCAGTTTTATACGTGATCTTCGTCTTAAATTGTGGTAGTTGCACAGGTATATACATTTGTATATTATTCAAATACACCTCAAATGAATGCATTTTATCATATGTAAAGTACAGCTCAATGAAGTTTGTTTGAAGATCATAAATACTATCCTCGTTAAGTGTTTTATTTTAGTTGTTTCCCCCCACCCCCAAGGCTAATAGGTTTGCTCATAGGTAGGTTGGAAAACTGTGAGGCTATCTCATATATCTTAAGGTCCCACCACGGTAGTTTTCAATAAAACAATCTACATGAAGAACTGGATAGTTTTTATAACATTATTTCTAAAAAATAAAAAGTAAAACAAAAACAAAAACAAAAAAAACCCTGCTGCAAATTCCACTGTAAATATAGGATTTGTTTCTTTTCTTTTTTTTTTTTTTTTTTAAGACAGTCTTGCTCAGTCGCCCAGGCTGGAGTGCAGTGGCACAATCTTGGCTCACTGCAACCTCTACCCTCCTGGGTTCAAGCCATTCTCCTGCCTCAGCCTCCCCAGTAGCTGGGATTACAGGTGCGAACCACTATGCCCAGCTAATTTTTGTATTTTTAGTAGACACGGAGTTTCACCATGTTGGCCAGGCTGGTCTCGAACTCCTGACCTCATGATCCGCCCGCCTCGGCCTCCCAATGTGCTGGGATTACCGGCGTGAACCACCACGTCCGGCCAATATAGGAATTTAAAACAAGACTACAACTGACAGAAGAGCCATTCATCCCTATGGTATACTCCTAAATTTCATATTATATATTAGACCCTGAAAATCCTGTTGCTATGGTGTTGCTCCCAGGAGACATTTCAGCAGCAGTAACCAGGAAGAGCTAAGAAGCTGACAGACCTGCATATAGATATGATTAGAAAATCATCTGTGGCGCTTTAGGGATTCTGTTTGAGCACCTCTAGATTAAAGAAAATTGGACACTACTAACAGCCCTAAGGCTATATAAACCCAAGAAATTAACCTAACCTCCCCAGCCCCTCAAGTAATATTAAAGAGATATCATTCTTCTATAAACAATATAAATCAAGAAGAGAAACATCCATCCTGCGGGCCACATTAAACTACTAAGGCCACTAAATGGACGTATTTTCCCACCTCCAAAACTAAGCTATAATAAATACAATATGGTCTCTAAAATTATTAGCATTCAAAGAGCCTCAATGTAGAGATACCCTATTAAAAGTTTTAATTCTCCTAAAATGTAAAAAGAACAAGAAGAATTTTTTATTTTTAATTCCTGCAGTGGTAAAGACAGTTTTTACTTATGTGGAACTCAGCTGGATTTTCTCAATGGGTAAAAAAAAAAAGAGAGAAATCAGTTTCTACCATAGGTTTAAAAAGCTGAGGCTGATTCTCCTGCTGCTGAGGAAAGTAAATAGCTCACTTCCAATACTGAAAGAAGTAGCTACTTGAAATTATATCAATTCTCTAATGCTAAAAAGATTACCTTAAAAATGGTAAGGAAATTACCACTTATACCACAACTGGAGTATACATTTTATAAAATAAGGGCCCTCTATTTTAAAATAAAGTACATTCAATGCTGTTGTGAGAACTGTATGATTTATTTAAAAGAAATACTATAGAAAAGTCAATATATATAATTTATACACATATAAATGACAAGCTTGATCAAAATAACTACTTGAAAAACCAAGACACAAAATTCTCATCACATTTTCAGCAGCATGAGTTTTTATATCCATTCTCTCTTCTTTCTTAAAATAAGCACCAAATTTATAGCACCCCTTTGAAGCACTAAAGATATGTCAGTGTGCAAAAATCAGGTAGGAAAAGAAAAAAGTCATCCAAGTAAATAATTATAATCAGCGTTAAGTGTTACAAAGTACCAGCTCCTACGAAAGTCCTAAATAAGTAATGTCCCTGCTGCCACCTGATGCACAGGGCTTAGTAAAGACTAATGATGGCCACTGTTTCCAAGTGAAGCGATGCTGGCCCCTGAGTTTCAAGACACTAGTTTTGCATCTTCATAAGGATGCTACGTTTTTGCAGTAAAATTTAGGATGTCTATTTGTTTAAAAATTTTTTAAGCTATATTAATAGGTCAAGGTCGTTAATACCACCACATTAATGCATTTAACCTCATAGTTTAATTTAACTTAATATAAAGTAGTGGTGAAGAGCAAGGCTAGACAGCTAGATTTGCATGTAACCCTGAGCACATTACTTAATCCAATAAAGAGTGGGGAAAATGGAGCAAGAGGGAACAAAATAATAGTACTTTCTCAAGAAGCTCAAATAACAAGTAAATTGAAGAGCTGTTGGAGGCCTTGTTTAGCTGCTTTGCAAACCATGTAAGTAGAAGTATCTGGTAGGGCGCAGTGGCTCAGTCCTGTAATCCCAGCACTTTGGGAGGACGTCATGGTAGTGCATCATGACGTCAGGAGATCTAGGCCATCCTGGCTACCACGATGAAACCCCATCTCTACTAAAAATACAAAAAATTAGCTGGGCGTGGTGACAGGCGCCTGTAGTCCCAGCTATTCAGGAGGCCAAGGCAGGAGAATGGCGCGAACCCGGGAGACTGAGCTTGCAGTGAGCCAAGATTGCGCCACTGCACTCCAGCCTGGGCGACAGAGCGAGACTCTGTCTCAAAAAAAAAAAAAAAAGTATCCAATTGGCAGCGAGAAAGAAGAATCAAATAATGTCCAGAACAATCTTCACTGAGTCCATAGTTCCCATTCTGCTTCCAATTCCAGGATATATTACTTGCACTGGGTTTGATGGGATACTTCCCAATGAATTCTTTTTCTTCAAGCTCTCGATTATTTTTTATTATTTGAAACTCAGTCCTAAATCATAAAACATGTTTATAAAGAGCTAAAACATTCTAGCCCAGGCGTGGTGGTTCACACCTGTAATCCACACACTTTGGGAGACTGAGGAGGGTGGATCACCTGAGGTCAGGAGTTCGAGACCAGCCTGGCCAACATGGTGACACCACATCGCTACTAAAAATACAAAAGTTAGCCAAGCATGGTAGTGCATACCTGAGGTCCCAGCTCCTTGGGAGGCTGAGATGCGAGGACTGCTTGAGCCCAGAGGACGGAGGTTGTAGTGAGCCGAGAACACGCCACTGCACTCGAGCCTGGGTGACAGAGTGAAACTCTGTCTCAAAAAAAAAAAAAATAAAGATCTAAAACATTCTCTAGAAATGTAAAAAAATTTATATCAAGTACTAAAACAAAGCCAGTTAATCTTAGATACACAAATGTACACAAACACACCTAGGTTTGTTGTGTTTCCGTTTTGGAAATTTGGTAAATGCTTAACAGCATAATTTTCCATTTGTTATAGTCTAATTTGTTTTCCTGTTTCTCTGACTGTTTTGCCTATCATCTTAGATAACCCCTGTGCCAGTCCTTGACTCCTTGCTTTCCCATGTGTTTCTTTTAGCTAGTTTACATGCTACCCCTTAAGTTCTCTTTTCCCCAAAACCCTGACTGAAAAAAAGACTTCTACAAGCAGTCAGCAAACAGGTTATTTCCCACACATATCTCACATTTTTATTTACATTATGAGCCAGTTAGGTTAATTACACTTTTCAGTGACTCAAATGCAAGTAAAAGATTCTGAACTCAGCACTAATAATGTCAAACCCTACATAAAAGGCACTAATTGGCCAGGCGCGGTGGCTCACGCCTGTAATCCTAGCACTTTGGGAGGCTGAAGCGGGTGGATCACCTGAGGTCAGGAGTTTGAGACCAGCCTGGCCAACTTGGTGAAACCCCATCTCTGCAAAAAAATATAAAAATTAGCCAGGCATGATGGTGGATGCCTATAATCCCAGCTACTCGGGAGGCTGATGCAGGAGGATCGCTTGAACCAGGGAGGTAGAGGTTGCAGTGAGCCAAGATCATGCCACTGAACTCCAGCTTGGGTGACAGAGTGAGACTCTGACTCAAAAAAAAAAAAAAAATCTAAGACCCATCACCCAGTTAAGAATCATATATCAACAATAAGCACATGAAAATATTCTCAACATCATTTGTCACCAAGGAAATTCAAATTATAACCACAATGAGACACCACACACTCCCACTCAAATAGCTGAAACTAAAAAAGAACTAAAAATATTAAGTGTTGACAAAAACACAGAGCAACTAGAACTTACAAACACTGCTAGTGAAAGAGCAGACTGGCACAATCACTTTGAGGAATGGTTATAGCAGTTTCTAAAGTTAAACATATATCTACATCCTATTATCAATTTCATTTCTAATACACCAAAAAGATGTTAAGTGCTTTAGAATGTTCACAGCAGTTTTATTCAGAATAGCGCAATGTTGAAAACGCCACATATCTGTCCAAAGAGTAAAATAGATAGTAGTATTACACTTATGCGTGTGTATCAATGAAAAAGAAACTACTGCTTGATACAATAAATGATGAAGCACAGATTTACATGACCAGTCTCTAGTGAACACAGGTCAATACAGTGGTTACCTTTGGTGGGCAAGATACTGACTGGAAGAATGGACAAGGGAGCCTGCCTGCCGGAAGGCATGAAATGTTCCATGTCTCAATTTTGTTGGTAGTTACAAGGGTGGATAATATGTTTTAATTTTAAAAAATCATAGGCACAACTAATTTATGGTAACAGAAATTAGAAAACTGATTGTCTAAGATGGAGAGAAGGAAAAACAAAATGGGGCCTGAGGAAATTTTCTGAGTGATGGAAATGTTCTAAATCTTGACTGGGGTGGGTTACATGGTCAGTTTTACATGAGCTGTTAAAACTCATCAAAACAGTACACTTAACATCTGTTCATTTTATTGAAAGTAAATCATACCTCAACTAAAAGAAAGTTTACTGAGTTATACATCTACAAGTGTATACTTTGCCTTATGTAAATTACAGCACAATAAAAAATGGAAGTGCCCAAAATAAAAGTCCGCTAAGAAGAAATGACTTAAATATACAAAAAGATGCTCGATCTTATTCAAAATAAAAAAGAAATCAGAAAGACACTAAAGTAATATCTTCACTAGCAGATTATCAAAGAGCAAAACATTTGGTAACACTATGTTGGCAAGAACATGGGCAGAGACACATTGAGAGCAGGAATGTAAACCGGTACAGCCTCTGTGAAGTCAGTCTGGCAGTCACTACCCTAATTATTTACAAATGCACGTATCCTTTGACCCAGCAATTCCAATTATTTATTTATCATACAGATATCCTTTTATGCATAGGGAATGATCTATGTACCAAGGTTATTCACTCAACATTGCCACAGCCACAGACTGAGGCAACCTGAATATCCATCAATGAAGGGACCGGTTAAACTATGGAGTACCAATACAGTAAAATGTCTTGCAGCCATTTAAAAGAAAAAAAAGAGGCCGGGCGTGGTGGCTCACGCTTGTAATCCCAGCACTTTGGGAGGCCAAGGCGGGCAGATCACTTGAGGTCAGGAGTTCGAGACCAGCCCTGCCAACATGAGGAAACCCCGTCTCTACTCAAAATACAAAAAAATTAGCCAGGCATGGTGGCGGGCACCTGTAATCCCAGCTACTCAGGAGGCTGAGGCAGAAGAATCACATGAAACCAGGAGGTGCAAGCTGCAGTGAGCCAAGATCATGCCATTACCATCCAGCCTGGGCAACAAGAGCAAAAACTCCGTCTGAAAAAAAAAAAAGAAAGCTCTTTGTGTAGATGTGAGAAGATGTAAAATATATAAGGTAAAAACAGCAAAACACATCAAAGTGACTAGTACCCTAATATTTGTATTTAAAACAATACTGGGGAGAGGGTGTAAAGTATACACTTAATTACTTTTATATATATAAAATATCTGGAAGGATACAAAGAAAACTGATGACAGTGGTTAGCTCTAGGAAAGTAACTTGGTAGGGGTAGGGGTAGGGGAGAGAATACTTATGAATTTTGAACAACGTGAATATATTACCTAGCCAACAAATCTTTTCTGAAGCAGTAATCAGCTTCAATTCATATGTATCACTTTCTATACACATAGATATACACATAAATACGCAAAATGTATCAATAGTTTAGATTTATGTTATTACAATTAAACAGTAAAAACTCAGTACTTCTGCCCAAGCACAAAAAAGAATATATACCTTTACTCACCTCAAATATATTCCCAATACGTTCCTGAAAAGGAAATATTTTTCTTCAACCAGAGAATTATTAGCAACAATCAACAATAGAGAAAGCCCAGCAGATTATACGCCCTTCTTAACACCAACCGTGCACACGCATACGCTCAGCAACATACCGTAAAACAACTAACATAACATTTCAAAATTCTTGTTCCAGAGCTGAGTAAAATTCATTATTGTGGCTTGGTTAGGACTCCCTGACTTGACATTAAAAACTGTTCATGTTTACAACTACCACAATGTTTGCTATCCGAGTATTCCCTCCTGCAAAGACCTTCAAATGGCCCCTAAATTGTTAAAACTTGGAATGGCTTAATTTACACATCACTCCCTATTTTCAATTTTTTTTTTTTTTTTGAAATGTGGAGTCTTGCCTGTCGCCCAGGCTGGAGTGCAATGGCGCAATGTTGGCTCACTACAACCTCCATCTCCCGGGTTGAAGCGATTCTCCTGCCTTAGCCTCCCGAGTAGCTGGGATTACAAGCGCCTGCCACCATACCTGGCTAATTTTTGTATTTTCAGTAGAGATGGGGTTTCCCCATCTTGGCCACGCTGGTCTCAAACTCCTAACCTCATGATCCACCCGCCTCGGCCTTCCAAAGTGCTGGGATTACAGGCGTGAGCCACTGCGCCCAGCCTACTTCTAAATTTTTGAAGAAACAAATTGAAAAAGATTATACAAATAAATGGAAAGATGTCTCATGTTCACGAACTGAAAGAATATTGTTAAAATGTCCATACTACCCAAAGTTATCTGCAGAGTCAATGAAATCTCTATCAAAATTTCAATGACATTTTTCACATCTTCTGGAGCTGGGCTGAATAGAGATTATGAACTACAAGACTATGGTATCCCTAAAAATTTCAAATACTCTACAGCATTGTAGGAAAAATTGTATATTTACTTTAAAATATTTTTAAACATATGTTCGAGTTTGTTGAAGTTTTAATTTTTTTTTTTACCGTGGCAAAGAAATGTATGATAGTACTACATTTTACTTAACCTTAATGCCTTCCTTCTTTCTCGTATCTAAAAATTTGTTATGGGTTCTAGCTAACACAATAAGAAAAGGTAAAGAATGGGAAGGAAGAAATAAAACTATCTTTGTTCACAGATGACATGATTGTCTACACAGAAAATCTGAAAGAACTGACAAAAAAAACTCCAGGAACTAATAAGCAATTACAGTAAGCTTGCAGGATACAAGGTTAGTATACAAAAGTCAATCGCTTCCCAATTTGAAGTGAAAAACACAAAACCATTTATATTACTCAGGCACAAATCTAACAATATGGATAAGATCTATATGAAGAAAGTCTGATGAAATAAATCAAAGAACTAAATAAATGGAGAAATACTCCATTTCCTTGGATAGAAGACTCAATACTGTCAAGATGTCATTTCTTCCCAACTTGATCTACAAATTCAACACAATCTCAATCAAAATCCCAGCAAATTTTGTGGATATCAACAAACTTAAGTCTTAAGTTTATATGAAGTTTTTTTGAAGGAGAGAACAAAGTGAAAGGATTTGCCCTACTTGACCTCAAGACTTCCTAAAAAGCTACAGTTATCAAGACAATATGGTATTAGTGAAAGAACAAATAGATCAGTGGAACAAAATAGCCCAGAATACATCTGTACATAGAAAACTGATCTCTGACAAAGTAACAAAGACAATACAATGGAGCAAAGACAGTCTATTCAACAAAGAGTGCTGGAACAACTAAACATCCATATGCAAAAAACCAGTCTAGACTCAGCCCTCACACTCTTCACAAAAACTAACTCAAAATAGATCACAGAGCCAGGTTCAGTGGCTCACACCTGTAATCCCACCACTTTGGGAGGCTGAGTAAGATGATCACTTGAGGCCAGGAGTTCAAGACCAGCCTAGGCAACATGGCAAAAGCGTTATCTCCACAAAAAATTAGCTGGACATGGTGGTATGCCCCTGTAGACCCACCTACTCAGGAGGCTGAGGTGGGAGGATTGCTTGAGCCTGGGAGGCGGAGGTTGCAGGAAGCCAAGATAACCTCACTGCACTCCAGCCTGGGCAACAGAGCCACACCCTGTCCAAAAAAATGGATCATAGGCCAGGCACAGTGGGTCACACCTGTAATCCCAGCACTCTGGGAGGCCAAGGCAGGTGGATTGGCTGAGCTCAGGAGTTTGAGACCAGCTTGGGCAACATGGTGAAACTCCCATCTCTAAAAATAATAACAATAACAATGATAATGAGATAAATAAAATACAATAAAGGAAAAATACATTAAAAACTCACCAATAGGGAAACATACAACCCTATTTTAAAAATAGGCCAAGAATATTAAACAGAGACCTTATTCAAAGAACACATACGTATGTAAATATGCATGTGAAAAGATGTTCCACATCATATACTGATATGGTTTGGCTTTGTGTTCCCATTCAAATCTCATCTTCTAATCCCCAGGTGCTGAGGGAAGGGCCTCATGGGAGGTGAATGGATCATGCAGCTTCCCCCATGCTGTTCTGATAATAGTGAGTTCTCTGATGGTTTTATATGGGGCTCTTCCTACTTCTCTTCCTTCACACTCTCTTGCTTGCTGCCATGTTAGAAGTGCCTGCTTCCCCTTCTGCCATGATTGTAAGTTTCCTGAGGCCTCCCCAGCCATGCAGAACTGTGAGTCAACTAAAACTCTTTTCTATATAAATTACCTGGTTTGGGGCTGTTCTCTATAGCAGTGTGAGAATGGACTTACTACATACACCATTAGGGGATTGCAAATTTAAACAATAATGAAATATCACTACACACCTATTAGAATGGTCAAAACCTGGAACACTGAAAACACCAAATGCTGGTGAAGATGTGGAGCAAGAGGACTCTCATTCATTGCTGGTGCAATCACAAAATGGTACCGCCACTTTGGGAGACAGTTTAACACTTTCTTACTAAAACTAAACATACTCTTACCATATGATCCAGCAAACATTTCCTTGGTATCTACCCAACAAGTTTAAATCTTGTGTCCACACAAAAACCGGTACGTGGATGTTTATAATAGCTTTATCCATAATTGCCAAAACTTGGAAGTAATGGAGACGCCCTTCAGTAGGTCAAAGTTGATAAACTTGGTACATGCAGACAATGGATTATTATTCTACACTAAAAAGAAATGAGCTATCAAACCATGAAAGGACATGGAGGAATCTTAAATACATATTACTACATGAAAGAAGTCAATCTAAAAAGGCTACATACTACATGATTCCAGTTATGTGACATTCTGGAAAAGGCAAAATTATGGAGGCAGCCAGAAGGTTGCCAGGAAGTGGGGGAAGGGATGAATAGGTGAAGCACAAAAAATGTTTAGGGCAGTGAAAATCCTCTCTATTATAAGGCAAGATGCAAATGTCATTATACATTTGGTCGAACACGCAGAACGTACAACACCAAGAGTGAACCCTAATGTAAACTATGGACTTTGGGTGATAATGATGTCAACTTAGGTTCATCAACTGTAACCAACGTACCACTCTGGTGCAGGATGTTGGTAACTGGGGACACGAGGCAGAGGGTATGGAAAACCTCTGTGTCTTTCTCTCAATTTTATTGTGAACCTAAAACTGCTCTTTAAAAATTAAGTCTCTTAGGCTGGGCGCAGTGGTTCATGCCTGTAATCCCAGCACTCTGGGAGGCCAAGGCAGGCGGATCACCTAAGGTTGGGAGTTCGAGACCAGCCTGACTAACATGGAAAAACCCCATCTCTACTAAAAATACAAAAATTAGCCAGGCGTAGTGGTATATGCCTGTAATCCCAGCTAGCTACTCGGGAGGCTGAGACTCTTGAACATGAGAGGTGGAGGCTGCAGTGAGTCGAGATCATGCCATTGCACTACAGCCTGGGCAACAAGAGCGAAACACTGTTTCAAAAAAAACAACAAAAAAAATAAGTATCTTAAAAAAGTGTTGTTATAGGACAAAAACTCCAATACAAGTTTTATAACTACTACTCTGGACTTTCAAATAATAAATGGGAAACAACCAAAAACTTTCAGCATCTTTTCAGTTAAGCTAAATTCTTCCATGTAATGAGATAAATATATAAACAATATACATTAGGCCATGTTATATAACAGAAACTAGGATTCTGTCACAGGTAAATTAAAAATAACTTATGAATCCTCTTCTAATTAAAGTGTTCATTTAGGTACACAAAATTCTAAGAAATACATTACTACTTGAAGTTAAAAAGAATCAACATGGAAGAAAACACGGAAATAAACCTTTTTTTTTTTTTTTGAGACGAAGTTTCACTCTTGTTGCCCAGATTGGAGTGCAGTGGTGCAATCTCGGCTCACTGCAACCTCCGCCTCCCGCATTCAAGCGATTCTCCTGCCTCAGCCTTCTGAGTAGCTGGGATTACAGGCACCCGACACCATACCCAGCTAATTTTTTTATTTTTAGTAGAGGCGGGGTTTCACCATATTAGCCAGGCTGGTCTTGAACTCCTGACCTGAGGTGATCCACCCACCTGGGCCTCCCAAAGTGCTGGGATTACAGGGGTGAGCTACCACGTCCGGCCATGAACCGTTTTCTAAAGGCTCCAAATACAATGTATTTCACAATCAGTTGTTACTGCTTCACTTGGTGTTCATGAAAGGATGTGAACATAATGAACATACTGAACTTTTCTCTCTCTACAAACTTGTATACATTTAATGCTATAATAAACATATACTTTACAAAATATTTGTATTAAAATAAAAATTCAATCATTTCTGAATTACATTTACTTATTAAGCCTAAAAGCTGCATTATTTGATTTACAATTATTTAAAGTATTCACTTCATTGAAATCTTCAGCCATTTTATGGTTTTCCATAATAGGAAAATACAGATTTGGAGAGGGGGAAACAAATGTTGACTTACCCTGTCTTTGCCTTACCAATCCAACTACCCTCTAGTCAGTCATCTTAGACTAAGTGATTAACTTTTTTTTTCTTATTATTTTAGGATTCTTGAATCCCTAAAGCTTGACCACATATTTACAAAAATGAAAACTCCACATATTTACAAAAATGAAAACTCAGTTGTTAAGGTGGTAATAGTAATTACATTTTATCATTTTCTTAATGTTGTTCATTAATCAATAGCGATAAAGTGGGAATTTATCACTTCGATATGTTCCAACATTAGTGAAGACCAAATTCCATGGATACCAATTTCTTTAGATTTTAAATCTAGAATTTATACCTTTTGTAATCATTAGCCTAAAGGAGAAATAAGTTATAATCACCTTGCAGCCACAAAAGTGGATAAATCTTTGAATTTTACAATTATCTCTCTTTTTAAAAAGCACTATTTCATTATGTTAAGATTCACAGTTATAAAAACAATCAGATTGACATTTCAGTTACTATCACAAGGGTTCCAGGAAGACACTAAAGAGTCAAAGCTAAGAAAAGCATGATCATGGCAGATACATGGAATAAGAAACTATTCAAAATAATGCTACCATATTAGAACATTTTGCAAACTATGCACTACATGTATATTCAGGCAATGCTACTACAAAACCACTGTTATAACTGAAGCTTAATAGAGAAATGACAAAGACTTCCAGTAATGGAGTGGTACAACTTTTCCAAAGGTAATACACAAGACAAACTGCACCCATACCCATATAACTGTTTCCAAACACTAATCCCTCACTCTTTCTTCACTGGTCAAAACAGTCAGCAGCTCTAAAAGATGTAAATGAGATGAAGACCAAAAGTTAAGGAGCACTGCCAACAAAAAGATCAGGAGATGAAGAGTTCCACAATGACCACTTACTTAAATCCTTCCCCCTAATTCACTCCCTTTATCCCACCCAGTGGCTCTAAAATACTCCTTATTGATCAGCAGTATCAGCATCACCTGGGAAACTGCTGAAAATGCACATTCTCAGGTCCTAGCCTAGGACCTGCTGAATCAGAAATTGGGGGGCAGGGTTGAGCAGTCTGTGTTTTAACAAGCCCTCCAGGTGATTCTGATGCACACAAATCTGAGAACCACTATTCCACTGTTCCACTGTTCCTAGTTAAGACTTTCACTTCTCACCTCTATCATGACAATAGCCTCCTGAATCCCAATGCATTCTCCAAGGTGCTGCCAGGGTTATCTGATTACACTGCAGCCCCACTCAAATTCCTTCACTAGGTCCCTCAACTTTCCAAAGCTTTGGCTTATCCACAAGCCTCTCATGACCTGGGATCCTGTCATCACTACCTCCAACTCCCACACCAACCGTCCCACACAAAAACACTTACCTGTAGACCTAACTCATAAATTACTATCCCTGGCGGTCTTTCCACTAATATTCCTCTTTTTGGAATGTCCTTCTTCCCCCACCCCTCCACAACTCCATATCTAGCAAATCTTTCAAGATTTGCTCTACACTCCACCTGGCCCAACACTGGGTTAATAACCCTTCCCAGGTGCTCCTAAAAACAGCCTGTATTATGCTTACCTGGCTCTTATTTCCTGTTGACGTGGCACAGTGCCTGGAGCATAATAGGCACTCAATGATAGAATCGGGTGGGGAGAAAAAGGTCTTTCTCACATTTATATTCTAAAGTCCTTGAGATCAATGGTTTTTGTTGTTGTTGTTTTGGGACAGGGTCTCACTGTGTCACTCACTGCAGTCTCCACTTCCCCAGCTCAAGCAATCTTCCTGCCTCTGCCCACCAAGTACCTGGGAATACAGGCATGCACCACCATGCCCAGCTAGTTTTTGTATTTTTTGTTGAGACGAGGTCTCGCCATGTTGCCCAAGCTGGTCTCAAACTCCTGAGCTCAAGCTATCCACCCACCTCAGCCTCCCAAAGTGCTGGGATTGCAGGCATGAGCCACCGTGCCAATGATCATGTCTTACCTGTCCCTGGATCCCCAGTTCTAACAATGCTGGCATGTAGCAAACACCTTTTTGAAGCCCACTGAGTGAATAACTGTGGTTCAAAAGCCTTAAGAAAAAACTATTATACAATCACGTTCAAGCCAATACTGATACCTTATAAAATCCAGGCGCGGTGGCTCACGCCTGTAATCCCAGCACTTTGGAAGGCCGAGGCGAGCGGATCACCTGAGGTCAGGTGTTTAAGACACACCTGACCAATATGGAGAAACCCCATCTCTACTCAAAATACTAAATTAGCCAGGTGTGGTGGCACATGCCTGTAATCCCAGCTACTCGGGAGACTGAGGCAGGAGAATTGCTTGGACCCAGGAGGCAGAGGTTGCAATGAGCTGAGATCGCACCATTGCACTACAGCCTGAGCAACAAGAGTGAAACTCTGTCTCAATAAATAAATACATACATACACACATAAAATCCATATGAAGACACTACCTCCTGAATTAGAAGTGTGCTGTTGGCCGGGCGCACTGGCTCACACCTGTAATCCTAGCACTCTGGGAGGCCGAGGCAGGTGGATCACGAGATCAGTAGATCGAGACCATCCTGGCTAACACGGTGAAACCCCATCTCTACTAAAAATACAAAAAAAAATTAACCAGGTGTGGTGTGGTGGCGGGCGCCTGTAGTCCCAGCTACTCGGGAGGCTGAGGCAGGAGAATGGTGTGAACCCGGGAGGCGGAGCTTGCAGTAAGCCAAGATCGCCCCACTGCACTCCAGCCTGGGCAACAGAGCCAGACTCCGTCTCAAAAAAAAAAAAAAAAAAAAAAAAAGTTTGCTGTGATTCCGAAAAAAGAAATCCAGGGCTTTTTGGAGAAATGGCTGACTCTAGGGCTAGAAAAGAAAAATACCAGAAGAGTTTGGAGCAAATTGTTATGTCAGAAAGTAAGAAACTGCTTAAAAAATCAAAGGACAGAGCATGTTGAAAGGGCACAGGAGGCCAGCCTGAAAGAGGTGCCAGTGGCAAAAGGTGGAACAACTGTAGCAGCAAATCAAGTAGTGGTAACATTAAATTATAACCCAAAGAATGGCCAGATGCGGTGGCTCACGCCTGTAATCCCAGCACTTTGGGAGGCCAAGGCAGGCGGATAGGTCAGGAGATTGAGACCATCCTGGCTAACATGGTGAAACCCCGTCTCTACTAAAAATACAAAAAATTAGCTGGGCATGGTGGCACGCACCTGTAATCCCAACTACTTGGGAGGCTGAAGCAGGAAAATCACTTGAACCCGGGAGGCAGAGGCTGCAGTGAGCCAAGATTGCGCCACTGCGCTCCAGCTCGGGAGACAAAGCAAAACTCCCACCTCAAAAAAAAAAAAAAAAAAATTATAACCCTTATAACCCAAAGAACAAAAATATCCACAAGTCCACACTGACATAAGTCATGGAATGAGTGAATAAATAAGTAAATATACAGGAGAAAAGGAACAAATCTCCTGTAAAGAAAAAAAACCCAATTAATGCATGTAAAAAGGAATAAGGGAACTAGAAAAATCACACCATTAGAAAACCACAGTCATCGGCCAGATGCAGTGGCTCATGCCTCTAATCCCAGCATTTTGGGAGGCCAAGGCAGGAGGATCGCATGAGCCCAGGATCGGAAGGTTAGTGAGCCATAATCGTACCACTACACTCCTGCCTGAGTGACAAGGCAAGACCCTCATCTCAAGAAAGAGAGAAGAGAGAGAGAGAGAAAGAGAGAGAGAGAGAAGGGAGGGGAGGGGAGGGGAGAGGGGAGGGGAGGAGAGGGAAGAGAAGAGCCAAGCCGAGCCAAGCCAAGCCAAGCCATAGTAAGTATTGCTCCAGATGAGATCCACTGATGAATGCTAAAATTATTGGACAAAACTTTCAAGGAAAAAAATGGCTATCTGCACAGCCTCAAAGCATCTCCCCAAAGTATTTCTTAATTACCACAGTGGTTTTAACATATTTCTTTGGCCAGGCGCGGTGGCTCATGCCTGTAATCCCAGCACTTTGGGAGGCCAAGAAGGGCAGATCACCTGAGGTCAGGAGTTCAAGACCAGCCTGAACAACAAGGAGAAACCTCGTATCTACTAAACACAAACAAACAAAAAATACAAAATTAGCCGGGCGTGGTGATGCATGCCTGTAATCCCAGCTACTCCGCAGTCTGAGGCAGGAGAATCGCTTGAACCTGGGAGGCGGGGGCTGCAGTGAGCCGAGATCGTGCCACTGCACTCCAGCCTGGGAAACAAGAGCAAAACTCCATCTCAAACAAAACAAAACAAAACAAAACACCATATTTCTTAATTACCGTGGTGATTTTAACATATGTCCACAAATTTTCCATGCTTTTCCCTCTAGTACGTAGAACTTAACATCCCTTTGCCTTGCATGAGGGCTAGATTAGTAGACTCACTTCTAATGAGCAGGTTGAGAAGCGAAAAACAGTAATTTCAGAGCGAAGGAACTTGGCACACATTACCTTAACCAAGAGACAAGATTAACATCACCAAGATTAAAATATACCAATAAGTGTCCCCTGTTTGATATGATGTGATGAGACAGGCACATCAACTCTATGGTATTGTACCCATAACCTCAGTCTAATCATTACAAATATCAGACAAACCAGTACTCTTCAAAATTGTCCAGGTCATGAAAAAGGGGAAAGACTGAGAAACTGTCACAGGTCAGAGGAGACTAAGGAGAAAACTAAATGCAACATGAGAACCTGGATTGGCTATTGGAACAGAAAAAAAGACATTCGTGGAAAAAACCGGAGAAATCCAAATAAAACCTATAGTTTAGTATTATACCAATGTTCATTTCTTAGGTTTGATAAATACACCATGGTTAGGTAAGACTGTAATACTGAGGAAGCAGTGTGAGGGTACACTGGAACTTTGTACTAACTTTGCAACTTTCTGTAAATCTAAAATTATTTCAAAAGTTAATATTTTTAAATTATAATCAGTTATACATTTAATCCAGATTAACACTCCAATGTTATCAAAGAAATTCTAATGACTTTTATATTAATGTAAAATCTTTAGAAGTGTTGTCAAAATATATGAAAAAGGGACTAATCCGAAATTCAAAAATTACACCCACTAGCAACTTCATGAACTACTTATACCAATCGATTTTTCACGTGACTATTCTCAAATAAGCATCTAATTTATTTATCCCTTGGTTAAGGTTATTATGATGACAGGCCGGGTGCGGTGGCTCACGCCTGTACTCCCAGCACTTTTGGAGGCCAAGGCGGATCACGAGGTCAGGAAATGGAGACCATCCTGGCTAACCAGTGAAACCCCGTCTGTAGTAAAAATACAAAAAAATTAGCCGGCCGGAGTGGCAAGCACCTGTAGTCCCAGCTACTGGGGAGGCTGAGGCAGAAGAATGGCGTGAACCCAGGAGGCAGAGCTTGCAGTGAGCTGAGATAGTGCCACTGCACTCCGGCCTGGGTGACAGAGCGAGACTCCATCTCAAAAAAAAAAAAAAAAAAAAAAGGTTATGATGATGACAAAGGATTCCTCATTCTCAATAGCAACTTCCCATAACACACCCTCCTGCTTTAGCTTTTGTCCATTAGCTATTCAGAAGCAAATTAATTCCCCATCCCAACAAACTCCCAATCTTCATACTCCTGTTCCCCAGAAAAAGAGGAGCAGTAGCAAGCCAGAAAGGAGACCCGGATGCTTAGCTCTTTTCAATACCACTCTCTTATGAATCTCCAATTGCATTTTTTGCAGAATTCAGAAACATGAACTAGTTTGCAATACTCCAAGAATTACTGGTGTCATTCACACCTATTACACTACTACCAGCTCAACTTTCTCCCCTGTCCAGAGCTAAGGCCCTTCCCTCCCAAATCCTCATCTCATCCTTCACACACTACACATCCAAGGTTGAAACATAATCCTGCCGTTCCGTTTAAAATCCTTCACTAGTTCCTATTACGGTCAGAAGAATGTCCTTAGGCACAGCAAAGAAGTCACTTTATGATATGAGCCCTGCTTACCAATTTCCAGCTCCTTCTCATCATTTACCAACTTAAAAACTGTACGCTAGACATAAACAAAACTGTTTGCCAGAAAAGACCAAACTGTTTGGCATCTTTATTCCCTGACACCTGCCTTCTTCTCATGTCTTATTTTTTATGGTAAATTATTTTAATGTACACTGGTTCTCAATTAGCACTTAATATAAGCAGCTCCTGAAACTTATTTTAGTATTTAGAAGATTATAAATGTGAATAACATTGTATTGTACTACTTAACAAACACAGTTTTAGTACACAATTTCCAAGACAAAGCAAAATAAAAGCTTAGCTGCTGAAGAATTGGCTTTGACATTCAGGAATCATACCATGAAAATAAAGATATTAAAGGAAAAAAAATCATTCTCAAAAATGTGTTTGGTGATATTATTTTAATTCTCTCTTCCATGAAACAGAATGTAACAAATGCACCTGAACTCACAAGTTTAATGAATAAAATAGAAGTTTCCTCTTCAGATATCTAAAAAATATTTTGAGACTAATGTATTCAAAATTGAGAACGTGCCTGGAAAACGCAAATGTTTTAAGAAAAACCAGTGCAGGCAGAGATCAGTATTGTACACACTCCCTGTAATTTGGGTGAACACACTTAATTTTTTAAATTATATATGCAATCATAGGGTTAAAGAACATTAGGTCCAGAAAAAACCTCTCAGAGATTCAACATAACGTGTTAAGGATGAAGCAACTGAAATCCAGAAACAAATATCTTAAGTCACAAAAGGCTTATTCTACATGGCAACCCATTTACTTATTTTGGTGACCTAATGAAGCATTAAAATAATAAGTTATTCAGGCCAGGCGCGGTGGCTCATGCCTGTAATCCTAGCACTTTGGGAGGCCGAGGCGTGCGGATCTCGAGGTCAGGAGATCGAGACCATCCTGACTAACACGGTGAAACCCCATCTCTACTAAAAATACAAAAATTAGCCGGGCGTGGTGGTGGGCGCCTGTAGTCCCAGCTACTCAGGAGGCTGAGGCAGGAGAATGGCGGGTGAACCCAGGAGACAGAGCTTGCAGTGAGCCCACATAGCGCCACTGCACTCCAGCCTGGGCAACAGAGCGAGACTCTGTCTCTAAAAAAAAAAAAAAATTAATTAAAATAAACAAATAAATAAATTTGCAGCACTGATATCTGGGGGAAAATTTAAAAAGTAAAATAAATAAAAATCAATAAAATAATAAGTTGTTCAGAATATGTAACTTGTTAATTTTCTTGTTTTTTGTTTTTGAGATGGAGTCTGGCTCTGTCGCCCAGGCTGGAATGCAGTGGTGCGATCTCGGCTCACTGCAACACCTCCGCCCCCTGGGCTCAAGCGATTCTCCTGCCTCAGCCTCCCGAGTAGCTGCGATTACAGGCTTGCGCCACCATGCCTGGCTAATTTTTGTATTTTTAATAGAGACGGAATTTCACCATGTTGGCCAGGCTGGTCTCGAACTCCTGACCTCAGATGATCCACCCACCTCGGCCTCCCAAAGTACTGGGAATACATGTGTGAGCCACTGGTTAATTTTCTTAAATGCTAATATTATTTAAATGTTTGATTATGGCTGGGCAAGCTGGCTCACACCTGTAATCCCAGCACTTTGGGAGGCCAAGGCAGGTGAATCACCTGAGGTCAGGAGTTCGAGACCAGCCCGGCCAACATGGAGAAACCCTCATCTCTATTAAAAACACAAAAAATTAGCCAGGCGTGATGGCGCATGCCTGTAATCCCACCTATTCAGGAGGCTGAGGCAGCAAAGTCACTTGAACACGGGAGGCAGAGGTTGCAGTGAGCCAAGATTGCGCCACTGCACTCCAGCCTGGGCAGAAGAAAAACTCTGTCTCAAAAAAGAAATTTAAAAATTAGCTGGCTATGGTGGGGCACGTCTGTAGTCCCAGCTACTGACGAGGCTGAGGTGGGAGGATTCCTTGAGCCCAGGAGGTCAAGGCTGCAGGAGGCAGTGATCGCACCACTTTACTCCAGCTTGGGCAACAAAGGGAAGCCATCTCAATTTTTTGAAAAAGGAAAATAGCAGGGCTGTTGACAGAGATTACTGGTAGCATCCAAATGGGTCTGGTTCCGGTTGCTCCTAAATCCCAGCTGACTCAATGCTCTTCCCAATCAATCAGTCCACTTTTGGATTCCATATGCCAATGCCAATGAATACCCTTTTTAACTTAAGCCAAAAGTTTGCATGAAGTTTCTATCATATAACTAAAGGAGTTCTGACCCATGCACTTTGGGAGTCCAAAGCAGGCGGATCACGAGGTCAGGAGTCCGAGACCAGCCTGACCAACACGGTGAAACCCCATCTCTACTAAAAATACAAAAATTAACCGGGTGTGGTGGCGTGCGCCCGTTATCCCAGCTACTCAGGAGGCTGAAGAAGGAGAATCACTCGAACCCAGGAGGCAGAGGTTGCAGTGAACCGAGATTGCGCCACTGCACTCCAGCCTAGGCGACAGAGCAAGACTCCATCTCAAAAAAAATAAAAATAAAAATAAAACATTAACTTCTCATTTATGATTATCATCAGTACAAAGCACATTTTCAGATTGGTCCATCAATTATCCATTTACCCGTTTTTTCTATTATTTGACTCGATTGCCATCTTTAAGTATGGCACTCACATATGTCCCTGGGCTTCCAAATTTCAACATTTAGTAAAACCTCTTCTGACCCTCCCCTAAATGCTAACCTTTTAATAAATTATTTCCAGTACTCTAATTATAAGGATGAACCAATTTAAGACTACCAGCTAATCATGAAAACATACCTAAGACAACAATCCACTCAACTATTTATTACGAACCTGCTAGGTCCTGTTCTAGGTAGCTGCAGACAGAATGACACATAAAATAGAGCCCCTCCCTGTTCTCATGCAGTTTAAATTCTGGAGGGACGTTTAAAAAAAAAAACAATGATCAAAGTTACTTCAGAGAGACAAAACTGCAACGTGGAGAATAAGGGTCTGATGGCTGAAAACTGCCGCGGGTGGGCAGTAATTTCAGTGTAACCTCTCTGAGGTGTTGGCATTGGAACTGAGAGGGAATGACATAAAAGAATCAGCTATATAACAATCTCAGGGCAGAGTATGAGGCAAAGAACAAAGTAATTAAGACGCTGAGACAGGAATAAGCTTGTTCAGTGGGTGTGGAGCTGGAATGGCTGGGCACGGTGAACAAGGTGAAACAAGATAAGGTTTGTGAGGTGGCCAGGGGCCAGATCGCACAGCAGAGTTTGGGGAGGAGGGACCCTCATAGGCTAAGATGTTTGAACTTTATACTGAGTGTGATCAAAAACCCTTAAAGGAAGGGGAAAGAGAAGAAAATGACATTTACTGGGCATCTAATATAGTACCAGATTTTAAAAATAAGTATAAATGTTTCTTCTGTGCACTCTATAAAACAATATAAGCATTCCCGGAAAACTTGACTTTACACAGTCACATGCTAAAAGTAACAAGCACTTTATGAGAAAAAAAAAGGAAGACCATCCCTATGCCACTTTGTAACCAAAATATTAACAAAGGCAATGTGAATAAAAATACAAATAAAAATGTTTAATATTAAGTTCCTAATAAAGATACAACTTTCAGGTGAAGGAAGCACACTAAGCAGGTAATTCCAGCACTTTGGGATGCCCAGGCAGGCGGATCACCTGAGGTCAGGAGTTCGAGACCAGCTTGACCAACATGGAGAAGCCCTAATTATACAGGAATCCAGCGATCTATTGGAAAAATAAAGGAGATGGGACCATATTTTAAGACAAGTTGTGGAAAAGGTTCCAGGATCAAACTGGGTAGGGTATAAATATTCTTCACCCATGGAACTGCTGTGGTTTCTTTTCTTTTATAACCTGATTATCAGTCAGGCGCAGTGGTTCACGCCTGTAACCCCAGCACTTTGGGAGGCCGAGGCTGGTGGATCACCTGAGATCAGGAGATCGAGACCATCCTGGCTAACACGGTGAAACCCCGTTCTACTAAAAATACAAAAATTAGCCGGGTGTGGTGGCGGGTGCCTGTAATCCCACCTACTCGGGAGGCGGAGGCAAGAGAATTGCTTGAAGCCGGGAGGTGGCAATTGCAGTGAGCCAAGATCACGCCATTGCACTCCAGCCTGGGCAACAAGAGCGAAACTACGTCTCAAAAAAAAAAAAAAAAAAAAAAAAGATACTTGGGGCTGTGAAGAGATGGGGGAGAATCGCACAACAACCCCCTCCAAAAACTTCAAAGACTAAAAACATGGCCAAACTAGGCCAACAGGAAGAATTCACAAGTGGCCACCATGGCTTGTTTCATTCAGCTCTTAGTGTACTTTGAGCTCGACTATTGTTACCTGATGCAAAACATGAATATGCTGGGGAAAATCACGTATGAACCAGAGCAATCTCCTTGTTGTACTGACATAATTCTCGTATTTACCAATTACATATGAGCCTATTCCGGATACAGACACACGCTGGAGCACAACCAAGTATTCTTTTAACTTACGGTATCTGTTTTATTCTAACTAAATTCTTAAGAGATAAGTCATGGCATTTTGCAAATATGGGAACTGAAGCTCAAGAGAGGCAGGTAAAATGTATCCAAAGTTTCTCCCAGGAGTGAAGCTAAAGGTTGCAGAAGTTATTCCTAAACCCAACCTCAAAGTTGCAACTACTCTTGGGAGGGCTTCAAACCAAGACCTTTAAATTCTACCATGTGCATTCACCATATTTATCAAAGACCATTAGCATGCTGTTATGGTTCCTGTCATTACCAGTTCTCACTTGTAACAAGTCACTTCTATGTTGATTTGTCAGAACAAAGGAGCCAACCAACCGATATATCTACTAGCAAAATACACATGAATCATCTGGAAGAAAACGCAAGAAAGGCAAATGAGGCTAGATAAAATGAGGCAGCTAGATTCACCAGCATATCTGACACAAAAAAGGGAACAAACCAAGTAGAGAAGCAACAAATTAAAAAACATACCCACTACAGGCTGGGTGCAGTCGCTCATGCCTGTAATCCCAGCACTTTGGGAGGCCAAGGCAGGCAATCATGAGGTCAGGAGATCGAGACCATCCTGGCCAACATGGTGAAACCCTATCTCTACTAAAATACAAAAAATTAGCCAGGCATGGTGGCACGTGCCTGTAATCCCAGCTACTTGGGAGGCTGGGGCAGGAGAATTGCCTGAATCCGGGAGGCGTGGGTTGCAGTGAGCTGAGATCGTGTCACTGCACTCCAGCCTGGTGACGGAGCAAGACTCCGTCTCAAAAAAAAAAAAAAAAAAAAAAGCATACCCACTACAAGAAACAGAGCCCAGAGATACAAAAGATTAAAGTACCTACTTTAATCTACAGACAAGTAAACAAAGGGTAAAAAAGGGAAAAGCCCATAAATACGTTCATTCCCCCCCCCCCCATTTAATAGTACCTTGTCTGTTTTAACAACATTCAGAGGAAAACAAAAATGTTACTCATTTAAATATTACTCTCCTTGGAGTTTTTTTAATCTGCTGACGACTTTTTTAAACTTTTATTTTTAAATATTTTTTAGAATATCACTAAAATACTGTTGCAATCATTTTAAGTTCAAAGTTTTAAAACCGAAAATCCTATATTCTCTGACAGTAAATTCTGGTTTCTAGAAAGTAGCTCAAAAACAAATGCGTCATCCTCTACTTTGGAAGGTTCCAAATGATAACAGAATCAAATCTACCAAGACCCCTCATCCCAACCAAATGTCTCTAAATACCAAGATCTCAGATTACCCTGGAATTTTTTTTTTTTTGAGACGGAGATTTGCTCTTGTCACCCAGGCTGGAGTGCAATGACATGATCTCAGCTCCCTGCAACCTCTGCCTCCTGGGTTCAAGGGATTCTCCTGCCTCAGCCTCTGGAGTAGCTACGATTACAGGCCACCACGCCCTGCTAGTTTTTTGTATTTTTAGTAAAGACGGGGGTTTCACCATGTTGGTCAGGCTGGTCTTGAACTCCTGACCTCAGGTGATCCACCCACCTCGGCCTACCACCAAGTACTAGGATTAGAGGCGTGACCCATGGCACTGGACCCCAGACCCGCTATCCTGGATATTTTCATCAGTGAGCTAGAAGTAGAGGATGTTGCCTCAGCTCACTCTGACAACTCGGTGTTGCCATCACCTACTCCCATTTCTTCCAACTCTGAACCTCCTCTATTCTCCAACTCTGTCTTGTCGCAACTCATTGTCATTAAATGAAAATCTGAACTGGCGCAGGTGTAATCTCAGCACTCTGGGAGGCCACGGTGGGTGGATCGCTTGAGGCCAGGTGTTCCAGACCAGCCTGGCCAACACGGTGAAACCCCATCTCTACTAGTAATACAAAAATTAGCCAGGTGTGGTGGCACACGCCTATAATCCCAGCTACTCAGGAGGCTGAGGCATGAGAATCACCTGAACCCGGGAGGTGGAGGTTACAGTAAGCCAAGAGCATGCCACCACACTCCAGCCTGAGTGACAGAGCCAGACTCCGTCTTAAAAAAAAAAAAAAAGAACGCCTCTGCCAGCCTACACTCAACAGTAGAAAACACGGGAAAATACAAGATGTCCCCATGCTAGATTGTGATAGATTCCATGCTAGCAGATCAGGAGAGGAGGAGGTCGGAAGAACCAATCTGGGCCACAGAATCACTTGTGCAACTGGTTTAAAGAGACAAAGGACACAGAGTATACACATCCTTTGACCTCTGAGGGAAAACCACAGTCAAAGAGAAGGGCAGCAGTAGATGTATGGACTGGGTATGCAAGACCATGAATCAGAAAAAAAGCCAGGCAAGAATCATATGCCAGTATCAGGTAAACGTAAGGGTTCAAGTTAGGAAAAAAAAAAAAAAACACACACATGATGAAGGGTCTAAAGAGACTGCAGAATACATAAATATCAGGAAGAAGTGGGCAAGCCCAAATAACACCCCAATTCAGGTTTAACTGCTACGGTCAGGCCAAGGTCTTTGAATCTTTTACCCACATTTTGAGTATATTCCTTGTTTCCCCTAGCAAGTTCTACACTGTTTTCAAGCCAAAAGGATTCTGCAGATGACAAAAACCAAAGAGCAGGGTGCCAGGTTATCAAGCAGACCCTCAAAATTCTTACAGCACAGCCAGTCCCAGTGGCTCATGCCTATTGTAATCCCAGCAGTTTGGGAAGCTACAGCAGGTGGATCACTTGAGCCCAGGAGTTCAAGACCAGCCTGGGCAACATAGTGAGACCCCCATCTCTACCAAAAAACACAAAAATTAGCCGGGAATGGTGGCGTAGTAGTCCCAGATACTCAAGAGGCTGAGGTGATAGGACCACCTGAGCCCGGGGAGTTCAGGGCTGCAGTGAGCCATGACCGTGCCACTGCCCTCCAGCCTGGGTGACAGAGTAAGATCCTGTCTCAGAAAAAGAAGAAAACTCTGACAGCAGGAACACAGTAAGTTCTAAGGACAATTAATTTGTGAAACTGGATGTATCTCCTTTCCAGTTTTGTATATGTGAATCACTCACAAAAGCAACAAGAGTCTACTGTACTAGCAAACGTATACCTCAGTCAGAGCCTCATAGGATTCAACTCAACAATGGAAAGGCTAAAGAGTGCCAGGCACTGTACCAGATGCTGAGGGTCAAGATGGGTGAGAGAGACCTGTTTTCAAGGAAGGATCTCTGCCTAGTGAGATGAGGCAACAAATAACTCTCAATCAAGGAGAGGCCTGTGCTAGAAACACATGACTAGTGGTCATCATTGGCAAGGATGTTAATTTAAGACTGTCACGGAAAGAAGCCTAATGCTTAATCTTCAATCAAATAGTGTAACTTCATGCAGGCAACATGTTATGGCATGTAAATTTTTTTAAAACAATATAATTATCCAAACTTCTTCTCTAATGGGATATAAGAAACTTTATATAATGGTCATTCTTCTAAGTACTGTCCTTTATGAGAAGCATTCAGGGTTCCTAAGCTACAGCTGTTCAGATTTTCCCTCCAAAACTCTTAAATTTACATTTAAGAGCAATCAAAATTCCTTATCATTTGTATCTTACTTCTTATGTATGCCTTACAAAATTGAGGCACCATAACTTCAGAATCCTCATACAGCTTCAGAATACAACCTAAAGACATTAGCACCAATAAATGTAACTCATCCATGCTCTGTCATTCAGAACGTCGACGTTTCTGAGTACTGACTCTAAATCCATAAAAGTAGAAAAGTACAATTCTATACTCCTTTGAACGAGTATTTTCTAAATTCACTGAATAAAATTAAGTAATAAAATTCATTTAGGTTTATAAAAGCATGTTTTTAAATGAAGAGTACAGAAAATGTGTGTGCATAAGTTCCTGATAACCCTTCAGTTATTTCTGCATGTATACATACCCTGTGTTGTGCCATATGGATTTTTAGTGAGAATCCATGTTAACGTTTGTGTAAAATTTAACATATATATTTGAAGTGACTGATAAAGCAGTTGTCAGTTGTCAACCAGAGCAGTGTTGCCTGGAGAAAAGTAGGGATTCCACTCCGGAAAGCAAAAATTTTTTTGAGACGGAGTTTCACTCCTTCACCCAGGCTGGAGTGCAGTGGTGCGATTTTGGCTCACTGCAACCTCCGCCTCCCGGGTTCAAGTGATTCTCCTGCCTCAGCCTCCGCAGCTGGGATTACAGGCACCCGCCACTACACCTTGCGAATTTTTTCCTCAAACTCCTGACCTCAGGTGATCCACCCACCTCAGCCTCCCAAAGTGCTGGGATTACAGGCATGAGCCACTGCGCCCGACCAAAAAACTTTATTTTTAAGAAAGGTACAATCTTCTTTTTCTTGAAACATCTAATCGGCCGGGCATGGTGGCTCACGCCTGTAATCCCAGCACTTCGGGAGGCCAAGGCAAGGTGGATCACCTGAAGTCAGGAGCTCGAGACCAGCTCTTCACCACAGTAACATACTGAGAGTTCACTGCCAAAAATGAGACAAAGACTCTCCTACCTAGTCTCCTGTTACTGCTGAGAAGAGGGCCATGACAGTGCCCTCAAAGGAAGGCTAGTGTCAAAGTCACAGTGCAGCACAATTCTGTGCACCAAAACAGGTGCTCCCTTTCTCTGAGGTTGCTCCAGTTGAAGTTGAAAATGAGCACAACTAGAAGGCAAGCCCCTTTACTGGTAAACTAAATAGCCAACAAAAAGCTGCAAGTGACACAATTGCAAATGACACCAACTGCAACCAAAAATAGCATTAAAATCTAATATATCTGTCACCTTGACATCAATAACACATACATCTAAGTTTGTAAGTCATGACAGGATCGGTGCAGTATCAGAAGCCATAGTTCCACAAATCCCATTGTGCCAAATACTATAATTATTAAAGTCAACCACTATGAGAACCCCAATATTCACCTAATGTCCAAACCCTTGGCAAAGCAATACCTTTGAAATAAGACAAAATGTAGTACTTCTGGACAACCAAAACCTCCTAAAGTTTGCACTAAATTATTTTCTAAGTATCAAGCTTGGATAGGATTCAAAATTCACCAGTTGGCCAGGTGCGGTGGCTCACGCCTGTAATCTCAGCACTTTGGGAGGCAGAGGCCAGTGGATCACCTTAGGTCAGGAGTTCAAGACCAGCTTGTCCAACATGGTGAAATCCCGTCTCTACTAAAAATACAAAATTAGCCAGGTATGGTGGCACATGCCTGTAGTCCCAGCTACTCAGGAGGCTGAGACAGGAGAATCACTTGAACCCTGGAGGCAGAGGCTGCAGTAAGCCGATCGCACCACTGCACTCCAGCCTGGATGAGACAGAGCAAGACTGTGGCTCAAAAAAAAAAAAAAATCATCACTGATTCACCACTGGTCTAAGGACCCAGTCATGAAACAGAAACAACACTTGTTAATCATACCACTACTCTAATTCTGCCAACAAGTCTGAAAAATGAAAATAAGTGTTTACAGAAATATACAGTTACAGCTCTTTAAGAACTGACTGAAAAGCACAGGAGAAATTAACATCATTTTCCCCCTTCTTTTGACCATCCTATCCAAATCCAAAGAAATAAAGTTTTTAAAAGCTTAACCACATGCCTCGATTTTTCAATTTTTTTTTCAAAATGGTAATAAGAACATCAACAGTTCAAAAGGTTACACATGAAAATAAGTCTCTCTGACATCTGACTACATAATCTACCTACCCCAACAGCATTGTTATCAGTCTCTTCCACAGCTTTCTAGAGTCACTCTAAGCACACACAACAAGCATATATAAATACACACATACTCATACACACTGTATTGCATGTGTCCTCCTTTCCAGTCTTCTACCCCTTAAGTTAAAATAGCAGCCAACCGGCCAGGGGCAGTGGCTCACGCCAGTAATTCCAGCACTTTGGGAGGCCGAGGAGGATGGATCACTTGAGGTCAGGATTTCAAGACCAGCCTGGCCAACATGGCGAAACCCCATTTCTACTTAAGTACAAAAAAATTAGCCAAGCATGGTGGCATGAGCCTGTCCCAGCTACTCAGGAGCCTGAGGCAGGGGCATCACTTGGACCCAGGAAGCGGAGGTCACTGTGAGCCAAGATCAACGCCATTGCACTCCAGTCTGGGTCACAGAATGAGACTGTTTCCAAAAAAAAAAAACCAGTATTTTCTGACCCTTTGTCTTTTCATTTAAAAGTATCTTTGAGAAGGTCCCTTATTAACAAAAAAATCAAACACCAAATCTAAATAAATATATAAAAGAAGCATTGGCTGGGCACAGCAGCTCACACCAATAATCCCAACACTTTGGGAGGCAGGAGGACTGCTTGAGTCCAGGAATTCGAGACCAGCCTGAGCAACATAGTGAGATCCTCTCTCTACAAAAAATTAAAAATAAAAAAATTGGCTGGGCATGGTGCTGCTCGTCTGTAGTCCTACCTACTCAGGAGGCTGAGGTAGGAGGACTGCTTAAGCCCAGGAGTTGGAGGGTAAAGTGAGCCATGTTCACACCACTGCACTCCAGCCCAGGTGACAGAGCAAGACCCTGCCTCAAATAAATAAATAAATAAATATAAGTAAATAAAGGAACACTTCACATCTCTCACCAGGTGTCAAAACTAGTGACCTCTGCCAGCAGGACACAAGGAAGTCCAAGGTCAAAGATGTATTCCCATGATACACCTGGGGTTTTTTTGCACAAGAACACAATACAATAACAGTCTGCACTCCTAACCCCAGTCTGTAATTTTACAAATGTATATCCGTTACTAAAGAGGACAGAGAACAGTAATTTAAAGAAAACCCATCATTTTACTAGGGGAAAAATCTTAAGCATGTATATTACATTGTTATATGAATGAGTGCCAAAGAGCACTGCTACAGCTACAAATCGTATCCTAAAATCCTTATTTTTTATAAGTTCTGCCCCATAAAAAGGTAATTGCAGAAAAAGAAAAGATAAATTCATTATCTATTCTCATTACCTTATTTCAGAAACCCAAAGTAGATGAGTCAATTGCCTTATACTGTGAGTTAATGACATATGATAGCCACTAAACAGAAATGTAGCAACATTAGTATACACTCTTCCCAATTAGCCTGTTGAAATTAAAGGAAGAGAATAAAACATCTCTCCCTAACCCATAAACTGTGTTCTATTCACAGTTGAAGGTAACCACTAAAATATGTTATTACTATACCCCATCTGGCAAGGTGTTTGCTTATGCTCATGTCACATACTTTCCAGACTATTACTCTATGAAAGGCTGTAGATTTTTAGTACTTAAATACTCTAAAAAAAATTTCCATATAGATCCCCGTCAAAACTCATAAAATTGAAATCATGGCCAGTCGTGGTGTCTCACACCTGTAATCCCAGCACTTTGGGAGCCTGAGGCTGGCAGATCACTTAAAAGTCAGGAGTTCGGCCAGGCGTGGTGGCTCACGCCTGTAATTCCAGCACTTTGGGAGGCCGAGGCGGGCGGATCACAAGGTCAGGAGATCGAGACCATCCCGGCTAACAGGATGAAACCCCGTCTCTCCTAAAAACACAAAAAAATTAGCCGGGCGTGGTGGCGGGCCCCTGCAGTCCCAGCTACTCAGGAGGCTGAGGCAGGAGAATGGCATGAACCCGGGAGGCGGAGTGTGCCATGAGCCGAGATCGTGCCACTGTACTCCAGCCTGGGCAACAGAGCAAGACTCTGTCTCAAAAAAAAAAAAAAGTCAGGAGTTCGAGACCAACCTGGCCAACATGGCAAAACCCTATCTCTACTAAAAATACAAAAATTAGCCATGTGTGGTGGCGGGCGCCTGCAATCCCAGCTGCTCGGGAGACTGAGGCAGGGAGAATCGCTTGAACCCGGGAGGCAGAGGTTGCAGTGAACCAAGATTGTGCTATTGCACTCCAGTCTGGACAACAGAGACTCTATCTCAAAAAAAAAAAAAAAAAAGAATCCTAGGATCTTAATAAAGGAATTGAAGTATCGAGTATACTCATTCAAGTATTTGCACAAATAAGAGAACTTCAGGTAACATTTCATCTGATCATCTTAATAGACATTTATAGAAGCTAAGTGATTTACTCATGTAACCATGGCTTTACAAAGAATTGGTTTAAAAATACTTGTTTGCTTAATATTAGACCCATGTTAAAATGCTACCCCATTCAAGCAGATGCAAACTAAGAACAAAAAACAAAAGCATCCACTCAAAAACTGAGTCACTGAATGTCTCTTTACAATGTCCCGCTCTCCACTGTGCTGAAAAAGACACAATGAGAAGAAAAGAGAAACACAAAAGGTTATCAGGAAAAAAAGCACTTATTGATTCCACATCCGATCTCAGACAAAATACCGAAGATATCAAATAGACTGACACCTAGTTTATTAAAAAGTTAAAAAAAAATCCACCATTTTAAGGTAATTAAAATTTTTAAACATTTAAAAAGAAAAAAAAAAAAGCTTGAGAGTCCAGAGTACAATTTCCTTTTTTTTTTTTTTTTTTTTTTTTGAGATGGAGTCTCGCTCTATTGCCCAGGCAGGAATACAGTGGCACGATCTCAGCTCATGGCAACCTCCACCTCCCAGGTTCAGGCTAACAGGTAGCTGGGATTACAGGCACATGCCACCACACCCGGCTAATTTCTGTATTTTTAGTAGAGACGGGGTTTTACCATGTTGGTCAGGCTGGTCTCGAACTCCTGACCTCGTGATCCACCCACCTCGGCCTCCCAAAGTGCTGGGATTACAGGCATCAGCCACCGTGCCCGGCCCAGAGAATACAATTTCATATAAAAAAGAATTACTGTCCAGGCACAGTGGCTCACACCTGTAATCCCACCAGCACTTTGGGAGGCCAAGGTGGGCAGATCACCTGAGGTCAGAGGTTCAAACCAGCCTGGCCAACATGGCGAAACTCCATCTCTACTAAAAATACAAAATTAGGTAGGTGTGGTGGCACATGCCTGTAATCCCAGCTACTCAGAAGGCTGAGGCAGGAGAACTGCTTGAACCTGGGAGGTGGAGGGTGCAGTGAGCCAAAATTGCGCCATTGCACTCCAGCCTGGGCAACAAGAGCAAACCTCCGTCAAAAAAAAGAAATTACTCTATTAAGATACCGTAATGACCATCTCTGACCCTTGCAGCCCAGAGTTTTGTTTTTTTAAATTCTACCTCCTGAAACCTTCAATAAAGGGGAAAATAGGTGGCAAACTTCACAGTTTAAATGTTCAACAGGTATTCCTCCTCCCTCATCCCTCAAACCTATTCATTTCACATAAATCTCCTGAATCTGGGTACTCTATGTTTACCAAAATGTATTAACCTTTCAGCATGATCCTTACAGTCCACACTAATTCTGAGTTACAAATCTAAGCTCTCAGAAAGCAGAGCTTTCAATCTAACTCATTTTGTTTGATTCAAAATCATGCTGAAAAGCTTACATTCTATACATAAATATTAAAAATTTTGGGCGGGTGCGGTGGCTCACGCCTGTAATCCCAGCACTTGGGGAGGCCGAGGCGGGTGGATCACGAGGTCAGGGGTTCAAGACCAGCCTGGCCAACATAACGAAACCCTATCTCTACTAAAAATACAAAAAAATTAGCCGGGCATGGTGGCACGTTCCTGTAGTCCCAGCTACTCAGGAGGCTGAGGCAGTAGAATCGCTTGAACCCAGGAGGTGGAGATTGCAGTGAGCCAAGATCATGCCACTGCACTCCAGCTTAGGCAACAGAATGAGTCTTTGTCTCAAAATAAAAATAAGAAATAACAATTTCAGGCCAGGTGTGGTGGCTCACGCCTATAATCCCAGCACTCTGGGAAGCCGAGGTGGGCAGATAACAAGGCCCAGAGGTTCAAGACCAGCCTGGCCAACAAGGTGATATCCCATCTCTACTAAAAATACAAAAATTAGCTGGGCGTGGTGGTACACGCCTGTTAGTCCCAGCAATTTGGGAGGCCAAGGTGGGTGGATCACCTGAAGTCAAGAGTTCAAGACCAGCCTAGCCAACATGGTGAAACCCCATCTCTACTAAAATTACAAAAAAATTAGCCAGGCGTGGTGGCCAGCACCTGTAATCCCAGCTACTTGGGAGGCTAAGGCAGGAGAATCGCTTGAACCCAGGGGGCGGAGGTTGCAGTGAGCGGAGATCACATCCAGCCAGTCTGGGAGACAGAGCAAGACTCCATCTCAAAAAAAAAAAAAAAAGAAGGATGTAACACCAAATTAGTTGCCTTTATAGTCAATTACCCTGGTTGGCTGGAACTAATACAGCACAGTCTTACCATAAAAATTTACTGAAGGGAGATGGTTAAGAGACATTCTTCTGGTAGATAAAACTCACTTACATTGTATAATACATATATCCTATACTGAATGTTAATAAATTAATAGTAATGGCTCAAATGAAACTCCAGTGCAGTCAGAATGCTGTAAAACAGTGAGATCTAAAAACACTATCTTAACTTAGGTACACTACTAAGGAAATAATGAAGAAAAAACCTAACAGATTAAGAAAATAAAGTTCTAGCTGGGCGTGTAAGCGGACACCTGTAATCCCAGCTACTGGGGAGGCTGAAGCAGGAAAATCGCTTGAACCCAGGAGACGGAGGTTTCAGTGAGCCAAGCATGTGCCATTGCACTCCAGCCCGGGCAACAAGAGTGAAACTCCATCTCAAAAAAAAAAAAAAAAAAAAAAAAAAAAAGAGTCCAAAATCTTAAGCATCATTATACCTAACTACCTGACACATATATAACCAGATAAAGTCAACTTACTGTGACACAATTCCTAACTAGACTAGGTTTTCCCCCAGTACTGTGGCTACTATTCCAGAATTAAAAGGGCAAAACCATCCATTTTCTTTTTTTGTGTATGTGACGGAGTTGATGCTCTTGTTGACCAGGCTGGAGTGCAGTGGCGCAATCTCAGTTCACTGCAGCCTCCGCCTCCCGGGTTGAAGCTATTCTCCTGCCTCAGCCTCCTGAGTAGCTAGGATTATAGGCGTGTGCCACCACTCCCAGCTAATTTTTTGTATTTTTAGTAGAGCTAAACATTTTATCATGTTAGCCAGGCTGGTCTCAAACTCCTGACCTCAGGTGATCCCCCTGCCTGGGCCTCCCAAAGTGCAGAGATTACAGGCGTGGGCCACCGTACCCAGTCAAAACCATCCATTTTCATCTAAGAAACTAACAAATTTTTCTTCCTTTGCAACTCTGGCAGCACTAAAATTTAAATGAACAGTTAAATGTGACTATAGCACACCTAAATCTTTAAGGTCTAACTCAAAAAGAAGATGCTGCCACATTACAGTGGAACAGGGCTGTCACTGCTCCCATTTTAACACAGGCCCTCACAATCCATTTTAACATGAAAATGGTATTAAGAACTCTGCCAAATGCTGGAAGGAAAAAGGTCCATCCGTTCAAGAAACATCGTAGTTGGGGCAACAAAACAATAAACAGTTATGGGATTTGTGATCTTCATTAAGTGCAATGGAATCTCAGAGAAGAAATATCCTGAGTCAGGATGGCCAGAAAAGGATTCATGGAAGAAGGGGGACTGAAACTAGGCTATAAGAAGGACAAAGGGAACAACAGCATGCACAAAAGCAAAGTAGTGAGTATGGCAAAAACTACCGTATTTGAGAGGCCGGCAAGAATCCCAACTAAGAGTGAGAAATAAAGCTGAATAGGTAGAATGGAACCTTCTTAAAAGCCAGACTGAAGCATACAAATTCAATCCAGTTGGCAAAGAGAATCCATTATGGGTTCTCCAGCAGGGGAACTGACAAGATGAAACCAGTACTTTAAATAAATTACACTGTCAGTAGTTACAGAAGATAAAATGAATAAGAAAGGTTGCTCAGGGCAACCAAATAAAAACTTAATAATCCAGACCTACAACCATTCATTCATTGAGAAGACAGACTGCTAGGTAACAACACTGGCCTAGAATTCACACAAACTGGGCCTAAATTCCTGCTCTGTCCCCTACTACCTGAGCCTCAATTTTCTCACTGTTAAATTCAGGCATCAGCACTCAGACTGTCACAGTACTTGTCAAAGCACCTGTATAGTCCTGATACATAGAACTTTTGACTATTAGCAAAGTGAACACTAGTGCTAAATTAAGTATGGTTAAAAATGGGAAGTGAACATAAGATAAGGCTCATAGAGGAACTGAACTTCTAAGGACAACTATCTAGACAGCATCTGATAATACGGAAAAGAATACACAGATAAAAAGTGGTCAGGAAAAATAAAATAAAACCACCTACCCAAAGTAATCACTACAGCCTAAAAGGCAGACCCTAGGTTCTGCTGGACCCAAACCTTGAAAGAGTTCCCTTTGTATTTAAAGAGTTTGCCTGGCACGGTGGCTCATGCCTGTAATCCCAGCACTTTGGGAGGCCGAGACGGGCGGTCAGGAGTTCGAGACCAGCCTGACCAACATGGTGAAACCCCATCTCTACTAAAGATACAAGAAATTAGCCAGGCAAGTGACAGGCGCCTGTAATCCCAGCTACTTGGGAGGCTGAGGTAGGGGAATCGCTTGAACCCGGGAGGCAGAGGTTGCAGTGAGCCGAGATCGCACCATTGCACTCCAGCATGGGTGACAGAGCAAGACTCTGTCTCAAAAAAAAAAAAAAAAGAGTTGAAGCTGGGCGCGGTGGCTCACGCCTGTAATCCCAGCACTTTGGGAGGCCAAAGCGGGCAGATCACAAGGTCAAGAGATGGAGACCACATGGTGAAACCCCGTCTCTACTAAAAATACAAAAATTAGCTGGGCGTGGTGGCGCATGCCTATAATCCCAGCTAGGAGGCTGAGGCAGGAGAATCGCTTGAACCCAGGAGGCGCGAGGTTGCAGTAAGAGGAGATCGCGCCATTGCACTCCAACCTGCACTCCAACCTGGGCAACAAACAAAGTGAGACTTTATCTCAAAAAAAAAAAAAAAAGAAAGAAAGTAAGTTGAAAAATGTTTCAAATGGTGCAAGTAGGCTTAAGAAGTCCAACCCAGATGACAGAATAGCAACAAAGGCATGCAAAAAAGATCCACCACCGTACCTACACCAATCATGTAAATTATTCATAGTATATGTAAGCCTTAAACCACAACTTTTTAAGAGTAAAAAAAACCAAGCTAAGTTTACTTCAAATGGGTTACTTAGGAAATGGAGCTATCAAATCCTTCCTATGACATTATGCCCCTACTAAAATAAATAACAAGCAAATAAAATGTAATACAAAGAAACAAACTTCAAAAATCAAACCTATCAGGAGCAACTTACACTTACAGGATGCTTAGAATGTCAACCATTGTTCTAAGTACCTCTCACACACTAACTGGATCTTCTTAACTCTATGAAAGTTGACTGTCCCCTTACACTGATGAAGAAACAAACACATTAGGGCCAGGCGCAATGTGGCTCATGCCTATAATCCCAGCCCTTTGGGAGGCCGAGGCAGGCACGTTACCTGAGGTCAGGAGTTCGAGACCAGCCTGGCCAACATGCTGAAACCCCATCTCTACTAAAAACACAAAAATTAGCCGGGAGTGGTGGCAAGCACCTGTAATCCCAGCTACTTGGGAGGCTGAGGCAGGAGAATCACTTGAACCCAGGAGGCGGAGGTTGCAGTGAGCCGAGATCGCGCCACTGCACTCCAGCCTGGGCAACAGAGCGAAACTCCGTCTCAAAAAAATAAAATAAAATAAAATTTTAAAAAATAAATAAAACGTATGAGGAGCTACTACCCCAACATCACAGCTAGTAAAGGATAGAGCCTGAGTTTGAACTCACTTTAACCACTATGCTACAACACAAAGACTTCAATGATTTTTCTTACACAAATTTTTTGTTTGTTTGTTTTTGAGAGGGTGTCTCCCTCTATCGCCCAGGCTGGAGTGCAATGGCGCGATCTTGGCTCACTGCAACCTCCACCTCCTGGGTTCAAGCGATTCTCCCACCTCAGCCTCCCGAGTAGCTGGGACTACAGGTACCCGCCACCACGCCCAGCTAATTTGTGTATTTTTAGTAGAGACGGGGATTCACCATGCTGGCCAAGATGGTCTCAATCTCTTGACCTCGTGATCCGCCCGCCTTGGCCTTCCAAAGTGCTTGGATTACAGGCGTGAGCCACTGCACCCAGCAAGACTGCATCTTATTAAATGGTGCTAGGGAATTCAGCACAATGATATGAGTTCTATCAATTTCATTTACCCATGTAATCACTCGACCCATTTAGTACAGACGCTCAACTATAGATCATAAACTTGATTAGAAACACAAGTTTTTGGAAGGATGATCTACACGGATCAAGACTAACAAAACAGCTGGGAAAATTCCGCAGATTCAGTCATCTAAGACAGACCCAGGTTTGAATCCTAGTGTTCATTTAATAATTTTGTGGCCTTGAACAAGGGAATTAACTTCTTTGCATCTCTGTTTCATCATCCACAAAAAAAGCCCAACACTATCTACCTCATAGGATTAGCCTAGGGTATAAACAGCATAGAAAGCACCTCACACCTCCTAGAGCATAGCCCGGAGCACCTAGTCCCTCTCCTCTGGCTCTATGGTTACAGGGCAATTAATTGCACTCTTACCGAATCCAATCCCAGAGGGGTAAACAGCCAAATCTCTCCAGCATCAGCGCTCTCAGAGTCTTTTCTTTTTAACTTCAAGTTTCTATTGGTGGCAGAGCAGGAGATACCACCTTCGTGGTACCTAAACTGAACGATACTCAACAATTCTTTACTACACAGCTCTAGGGTCCTAGCCCTCCTCTACTACCAGAATGTCTGAGCATAAAGTATAAATGTCTCGTGTTAGCTGCTTTCCTTTTTTGCATTTCAGTGACTTATACTGTAAATGTTATTTGTGAAATGAGTCCAATTCACATGCACTAGAAAAATACAAGTTCTAGTGAATACCAATGTTTCTGCCATGCCTCTCCCCTGACTTCCTACCATTCACATTCTTCTTTATTCTTTTTATATAAATGACACCAAAAATTGAACAAACCCAACAAATTATTTCAACCAACTTCATCAAAATGTGTCAAGTCAGGAATTCTTTATAATAGTACTGCTACAAGTTGTACTAGGGAGATTCCTTTGTCAGCTACTCGTCTGACAAGGTTGTATATATACTGCACTGATAGATTTAATCAACAAGTTGATGTTCAAAAGGTCTATTAATACATTTCCTTTTATCAGTACCCCTTATATTTATATTACCTTCTGTTAGCTTGAAAGGCTCCTAGAACACAGGAAGCAGTTACCTCTAATTCTTTCGGGAGACTGGTGTCATGGTAATCATGCAAAACCTTTAATTAGGTGTCGAGAATACAAATATCAAAAAGATTCTTAGACATACGTATTAAAATGCTTAACACTTCTTTGAAGCAACCAATGCAAAAATATCATCTCTGCAAGGGGTCACTCCATTTACCACCAGTGTCTCCCACATTAATACCCAAAGCTGGTATACGTTAAAAGAAAAATGTCATAAACTGACGGTGAGCTTTGCAACAATTTTTATGCCATTAACATGTCACTTTATTAAGTTCCTTAGCAATAAGAAAAACTTTTCCCAGGCACGTAGTTTTCGTCCCCCATACAGTTTAGTATTTTGTCCTGTAGGTCGGATTCCAACAACTCAAACGTCAAAAAAAATAGTAGTTATTTATGAATTTAATGATTGCGATTACATACATCTCAGTGCAGGATAGGGTTGAAAAAAAAAATCATATTCCAAACAAGAAAACCTGGATTTAAGAGCAAGAAGCCTAATCACACATCACACGCCTAACTGCTCTCAGGCATACTTTCTTCCTGCAGCCCCTCCCCCACAGGTAAATGCTAACTATTTCTAGAACTCTCAACTATTTGGGAAGCTTGCCATCAACTCCCATGATACCACCCAACCCACACCATGTTTTCGGGGAGACAAAGGTGCCCTACTTCCCCAGACTATAAACTATTAAAATGGTGAGAACATACAATCCCAGGAAGTCGGCATTACTAAAATACATCAATGTAGCATGGGTCTTATTTTAACAAAAATGAAAATGAATCACACTGGAAAACCCAAACAGTCACTCATTGTATCTTCAACGTGTAATCGAAATTATTTATTCCAAGTTATTTCAGGTAAGTAGATGAACACACCACGAGGGCCTTATTATCCAAACTGGTGAAGAAGCCTTTAGGAAAAACGGAGGGGGAAGATCACTTAATTATATGAGGTGGGGGGTAGAGCAACCATTCAGTCTTAAAATTCAAACTAAAAATAACCTGGCATTTTCACCCCCCACATTTTATTAACAAGCTTGTTTAGATCAGCATACGGTTCCTGTTTGGAAAACAAGAAAGTGAATAGTAAACTTTCCTAAGTCAACTGTAAATCACATAGGTACTAAAACTCTTCACCCCTGGTGCCTGCACAGTCCAAGATTTCAAGTAAACTCCAGACACTGAGAACACCTAATTTTTAACTAGTTTCCAACATTTCTCATTTGTAATCACCAAATTATCTTAGAGACACTTAGATAACCTAACAAAGAGAGCATTTTTTAAAAGCCACAACCCAAATTTTACATGAAATACACCATTTTCACAACCTAAATTTAATCCCGGTTGCCACTGCGAAGTGATGCCTGTTTCAGCAAATTAAGAACTTCCAAAAATACTGAACACGTTAACACATGCATGGCTTCCCTCGAGCTGCCATTTAAGATTAATATTCCACTTAAATAAAAGTCTGCTTCTGTTCAAAAAATTAAATCGGTTGCAAAGAGGAAGTTACCGAGAAACCACCCTCACAACGTGGCCTTTACACTGTCAGAAAATAACGTGACTCTGTGCCACCCAAAACTTACCAGGAAGCTGGCAATAACTTTGCCAATTCTACACTCCTGAACCCAACTTCAAAGAGCCTCCACCAAATACCTCCTTAAGACGATAAAAAGCACTAAGTTACAAATAAACACGTCCCGGAGCAAGGCCCGGCTGCCGCGCGCCCCTCCCCCGGCCGGCGCCCCCGCCCCGGACGCGCGGCCCCAACAGCCGCCCGCAGCCCCCAGCACGCCGGCCGGGGTCGCCGCGCCCGGGCCGGGGACGCGCCCGGGGAGGGGAGATTTCCATTGCCGCCCGAGGTTTCACAAAATAGCATGCACCGAAAAGCTCCTTCTCCTCTGCTAAAAATAGGCTATAAAGGAGTCGGCCTCATGATGGCTCCTTGATTCAATTTGCTGCAAATCCTTTCCTGAAAGCCTCCCCCCCCAAACACACACGCACAAAAAGGGGGTGTAAATGCACGAAGGGAGGAAGAGGGGGAGAAGGCCGAGGTGCACATTTTCGGGGACAACATAATTAGGGTGAGGATCCCCCGAGACCGGGAAAGGGTAGGGGGGTGGGCAGGCACGTGAGCATTTCAAAGAAACCTGAGAGAGGAAAACGGGGGGATGGGGGCGCCCCAAGTGCCCTCCCTGCCTTCCCTTCCCCCACGCAAGCCCAGTTCCCCCAAGGGCCAAGTTGAAAAATGCATGTTCCACTCGCGCCCATCCCCCCGCGGCCCAGCGCCCCCGGCCGCCTCTGGCCCGCGCCCCCCGCCCAGGCCCCCGGCCGCCCCCACTCCAGGGTCCGGCCCCCAGCGCTTACCTGGAAACGGTGGCCTCCAACGCCGCTCCCCCCTCCCGGGAATGGAGGCACAAGGAAATTCCCCTCCTCGCCGCCGCCGCCACCGCCTCCAACCACCCCCAAAATAACCCCTCCGGGGGGTGAGAGGCAATTATAACCCCAGCGAGCGGAGGGCGCGGGGGATGGGCGCCGGGCGGGCGGGGGCGGGGAGCGCGGCGCGGGTCCCCAGGTGGCGAGCGGAGGTGCTCCCGCCGCGGGGGGAGGGGCGGGGGCGCACGCGGCCGGCGGCGGGGGGAGGCGGCGCGCGGGGGAAGGGCGCGAGCGGGGAGAGGAATTGAGGCAGAAGGTAAAAGCTGTTACTAAGGGAAAGAGCCAAACGGTTCGGAGCAGCCAACGGCTCAGACACTCAACACTGGGGAGAGAGGAATGGGGACCAGCCAGGCACAAATGAGCTCGCGAGGCCCGCGGCGGCGGCGGCGGCGGCGGCCGCGCAGCAAAACAAACCCGAGCGGCCTGCGCCGGGCGGGCGGGCGAGCGGGCGGGCGGGCGCGCGGGGGAGGGGCCGGCGGGGGAGGGGCGCCGCGGACGCCGGGAGGCGGCGGCGGCGCGGCGGGGGGGCTCCAGCGGCCGCGCTCCTCTCCTTCCCGGCCCGCTCTGGCGGCACTGGGGGCTGGGCTGTGCGGCGCATTCTTTTAAAAATCAGGCGAGCCCCGCGGGCACTCGAAGGCGCCTCGGGGCCCCGGGCCGCCCGCCCCGCCCCCACCGCCGCGGGCCGGCCTGGGTGTGCTCGGGTGTGGGCCGCTGGGCCCGAGACGGGTGGGGGCGGGGAGGCCCGCGCGGTGGCCGGGGTGGAGCCGCCGGCGAAGTTTCCCCAAGGACGCCGCGGGCTCCCGCGTGTCCGGGGGGCGGCCCGGCGGCGTTGGGGGCTGGGCGCACACGCGGCGGGCATGTGGGGGAGTGCGGCGCGGCATCATATGGACATTTGTTTGTGAAAATCTCTGTGAACACCTTTGTGTGCGTAAATACATATGGTTCTCCGAAGCGTACCTGGAAAGGTGCTTTATCTGTAATAAGCGACTTTCAAAATGTGATCCAGAGCACGGGATCTGGAGAGAAAACACGCACACAAGAAAAGGTTTTTGATACTAAACACAAAGCTGTAATTGAAGTATTTATGCCCAAATGTACTGTGAATCAAGCATATGGTGGTATTTATCATCTGGTGGGTCTGTTTGAAAGGTTTGCTCGATCAGTTCTTATTTCACAAAAATAAAATAATGTAACTAAATGTTTACTAAATATATACCTGCACAGTGGCATCCACAGTAGAAGTTTATCCACTTTGTGTACTTTTTGCATGTGTGAAGCACAGCAAGGCGGTTTATAAAGTATAACTTAGATGAGTGATAATGTGGCAGTATGGTTGAGGGAGGGTTGTTTTTAAAGAAGGGAGGCACCTCACAGGTTTTAAAGCAAATGGGGTGGTAATCTTTCTAAGACTTTCAGAAAGATGGGGTAGGGTGCTTTTTAGAGCTTTGTATAAGCTCAGGACTGGAGAAGCAGCCACCCTTTTACATTAAGATACGACTTGAAACCTTTTTGTTATTTCGCTTATTACTGCCTTCAAAGCAAAATAATGTTTGCAGCTTTCTTAAAGGTGAAGGGTTCTGTTTTCCTACTTTCATCAGAATATTTGAAAATAGATGTAGTGATCACTTTAAAGCAACCATCATTTCCTCTCAATATCAGAAACCTGAAGTTTTGCGACACACACACACACACACACACACACACACACACACACACACTACTCGTAACTTGCACCAGTCTGGACTCCTGGTGGCCTAATAAGTTCAGTAATTAGACAGGTGCTTTCTTGGCCAAGGTCAATGTCTCTTTCCCCCCTGAGCCCTTGCTTGGGGGAGCTGCCAGAGGCCTTTCCTGAATGACCTAGTGGGGCAGGGAGCAGGAAAACCATCAGAGGAAAGGGAGTGGGATTGGAAACTCCCTTCCAACCACCAGAGAGTTCAAAGCATATTAGTGGTGTGTCCTTAGAGCTATTTTCATGTATGAAAGTGGGAATGTTGGATTAAACAATGTCACCCGATGGGAATTTAGATAACTGCAGGTTTCCAAAACACTATGCAGAGTGTACAGGGAAACCGCACAAAGCAAGTTTTGCATTTCAATAGGATTCTAAAGCTGAGGCTTGTTTACCTCAGAACTAACACCTTTCAGAAGACTTTATTTCAGAATTGAAAAGAGTATATAGTATCTTCCTTTTTTTTTTTTTGAGTTGATAAATGACGTAGATATCACTAAACATACCCTGTCTTCAGTAAGTAAACTATCTCGGTGGAGCCACTCAATGAAACATATCTATTGGCTTAGATTATTTTTTAAGTTTCATATTGTGCCACCACGGGCGGGTCCTCTCCATACAGCAGTGACTGTAAAATCAAACCCCACTTTCAGTGAGTGAGGACTTCTCAACCATACCATTCTTAAAGCGTCATATTCAAAGCTGCCCACCCCACCCCTTCTCCTTCCCCTAAATGACTTCTATCCCTTATTCCACAAGGGAGGAGACACCCTCCTTCAGGTTCATAGGATCAGGTCTTCCAGCCTGAAGTTCTTATACCCTACACCAAGCTGCCTCCTAAAGTTGTTCAGTGTTAGTTGAGCCTCCTCACAATGATAATAATCCATGCATTTGTTTATATCCCTGTAGTTTACAAGACATTTCTGTGCGTAAATGACTGCATTTAAATATGAAGATCATCGAGGCTGGGGACTTACAAATCCGTTGCAGTAAAATGTACTTTACTCACCACTGTTGGATCATACTAATTGAAGAGAGAGGAGAGAGCAGGAGTACATTTTTTTTTTTTAGGTGGAGTTTCGCTCTTGTCGCCCAGGCTAGAGTGCAATGGCGGAATGTCGGCTCACTGCAACCTCTGCCTCCCAGGTTCAAGCGATTCTCCTGTCTCAGCCTCCCGAGTAGTTGGGATTACAGGCATGCACCACCACGCCTGGCTAATTTTGTATTTTTAGTAGAGATGGGGTTTCTCCATGTTGGTCAGGCTCGTCTCAAACTCCCGACCTCAAGTCATCTGCCTGCCTCAGCCTCCCAAAGTGTTGGGATTACAGGCGTGAGCCACTGTGCCCGGCAGCCTGGAGTGTTTTTAAACAAACAAACAAAAATAGGGGCACCCAAATGTGGAAAGGCCTTGATTCTTCCAGCAAAGGGGGTTTTAAATCAGATCATATTTTGATCCCTTTGATTTTTATATTCTGGAAACTATCTGAAACAACAGTGTGGCTTCAATGTTAAATACTCAGAGAAATAAACCATCACTCAAAGGTCATATGTATTGTCGCCTCGCCCTCTAGCTGTCCCAACATATCCAGCATAAAGGATCAGGGCTGCACCAAAATACAAGCAATGATTAGACTCACTGGGTGAGGAAAGGACAAAGAAGGAACTATTGTTACTAATATTCAGTACTTTGTCCTAATCTAACACTCCCATTACACTTTGAATTAAATGTTAATGTGTTTCTAGAAAGGAGATATTACTGTATTACTAAGAAATTGTAAAGCAAAGGAACACATTAAGTTCTCCGCTGGGTGTGGTGGTTCACGCCTGTAATCCTAGCATTTTGGGAGGCTGAGGTGGGCAGATCACTTGAGGTCGGGAGTTCAAGACCAGCCTGGCCAACATGGTGAAACCTCGTCTGTACTAAAAATACAAAATATTAGTCGGGCGTGGTGGCGGGTGCCTGTAATCGCAGCTACTTGGGAGGCTGAGGCAGGAGAATCGCTTGAACCCTGGAGGCGGAGGTTGCAGTGAGCCGAGATAGTGCCACTGCACTCCAGCCTAGGCGACAGAGTGAGACTCCGTCTCAAAAAAAAAAAGTTCTCTCTTGAATTTTCTAGCTAATTACTCAATGAAGAGAAACCTCATACCAGTAACTGTTATCAGAAGTTACTATATATTGTAAAATGGCTAAACAAATCCTGACTTGTTTTGCCGGGTGCAGTGGCTCACACCTGTAATCCCAGCACTTTGGGAGGCCGAGGCGGGCGGATCACGAGGTCGGGAGTTCGAGACCAGCCTGACCAACATGGTGAAACCCCGTCTCTACTAAAAATTCAAAAATTAGCTGAGCGTGGTGGCACATGCCTGTAATCCTAGCTACTCAGGAGGCTGAGGCAGAAGAATGGCTTGAAACCGAGAGGGGGAGGTTGCAGTGAGCCGAGATCTTGCCATTGCACTCCAGCCTGGGCGGGTGACAGAGTGAGATTACATCTCAAAAAAAAAAAAAAAAAAAAAACAAATCCTGACTTGTTTTATTTCAGTAATATTTTTCCGAGAGGAGTGTGGCATGGCAAGATAGCCTACACATTTGCAACTTTCATCGCTAAAGACATGGAACATTTTAAATTGAAACTGCTTCAATCCCAGGACTACAGGGTCTCATTACTATATATATTTTTAAATCATCATGATGTTTTAAATTGTTTACATTAGCTCATCTACATAAAGTATTCAAAACAAACTTAATTGTATAAAAAAGACATTTGATACCAAAAATATTCTCCTAGTGCTATAACTCATTTTATATTCTTTACTCACCCTGGAATTCAGTGGCTTTACGTCTGTAGCGTTTACCCCCAGGCGTCTTGCTGATACTCTGTGATGTTTCCGTTTCATTTTGACTTACCTTGTGCAATTCTTTGTGGTTCTTCCGAGATGAGGCACATGCCAACCACACATCTCAAGATGTCAGTACACAAGCTGCTTTTCTCCTTCAGTGCATAGCGTGTTGCTTGTGACCTTTCCTCATCAGTGTGAACCTTGTCACAGTTTTCCATGCTTCTATGACCCAATTTCATTACAACAATAAACTTTACTTGAGAGTCTTCATTTAAATTGCAAAAGAAACATACAACTATCTTACAAGTATTTATGCCTCTCAGATAATGAAAATAGCAGGTTGTATCCTGCGATTGTGATTCAGTCAAAACAGAAAACCAACCACACACACAGCATGTTGCTGTACAATCACTTACTTATACTGACCAGCCACATACTTTCTCAGGGAAGCACTCAAGGCCTAGTATTATATTGATGGTTTTGCTATTCATTCAATGTTTATTGAATGTTTAGTGTGCCAGGCACTGTCTCAGTAAACCAAAAACAGCCCCTACTCTTCACAGGGCTTACATCCCACGTTGGGTGAGGGTTGGGAGTACACACAGACTTTCAAAAAATATGTCTGTATTAGGCTATTGTTTGACCACTGTTAAAAAAAAAAAAAGGAATATAAAAATGGCTTAAACAAGATGAAAGCGTATTATCTTATGTGACTGTCATTCTGGAGTAAGATGTCAAAGACCTAGATTGTTCTATCTCAACATATATCTTCCATCCACTGGTCTAAAATGGTTTTTCTTGCTCCTGCCATCATTTTCAAATTCCAGCCATTGGAAAAGAAAACAGAAGAAATAGAGGGCTAGGCCTTTCCTTTCAGGACACATCCTGGCAGTTGCATTTATCACTTCCTCTAATATTCCATTAACCAGTGCTTGGTCTTATGACCACACCTAGCTTCTAGGAAGGTAGGTAAAAGACAACCAAGCTTAAATAAAATAAAGTGGGATAATGGGTATATATGTTATTTTATTGTATTGTGTTTTAGGCAGAGTCTTTTTGTCACCCAGACTCTAGTGCAGTGGTATTTGTGTCCAAAATTGGTGGGTTCTTGGTCCCGCTGACTTCAAGAATGAAGTCGTGGACCCTCACGGTGAGTGTTACGGTTCTTAAAGGTGGTGTGTCCAGAGTTTGTTCCTTCTGATGTTCAGACATGTTTGGAGTTTTTTCCTTCTGGTGGGTTCGTGGTCTCCTTGGCCTCAGAAGTGAAGCTGCAGACCTTCGTGGTGAGTGTTACAGCTCATAAAGGTAGTGCAGACCCAAACAGTGAGCAGCAGCAAGATTTACTGCAAAGAGCTAAAGAACAAAGCTTCCACAGTATGGAAGGGGACCCAAACAGGTTGCCACTGCTGGCTCCGGCAGCCTACTTTTATTCCCTCATCTGGCCCCACCCATAGCCTGCTGATTGGTCCATTTTATAGAGAGCTGATTGGTCTGTTTTACAGAGCGCTGATTGGTCCGTTTTGACAGGGTGCTGATTGGTGTGTTTACAATCCCTGAGCTAGACACAAAAGTTCTCCAAGTCCCCACTAGATTAGCTAGACATGGAGCACTGATTGGTGCATTTACAAGCCTTGAGCTAGACACAGGGTGCTGATTGCTGTGTTTACAAACCTTGAGCTAGACACAGAGTGCTGATTGGTATATTTACAATCCTTTAGCTAGACATAAAGGTTCTCCAAGTCCCCACTAGATTAGCTAGATACAGAGTGCCAATTGGTTCATTTACAAACCTTGAGCTAGACACAGAGTGCTGATTGGTGTATTTACAATCCCTTAGCTAGACATAAAGGTTCTCCAAGTCCCCACTAGATTAGCTAGACATAGATCACTGATTGGTGCATTTACAAACCTTGAGCTAGACACAGGGTGCTGATTGGTGTGTTTACAAACCTCGAGCTAGACACAGAGTGCTGATTGGTGCATTTACAATCCTCCAGCTAGACATGAAAGTTCTCCAAGTCCCCATCTGACTCAGGAGCCCAGCTGGCTTCACCTAGTGGATCCAGTGCTGGGGCCGCGGGTGGCGCTGCCTGCCAGTCCCACGCTGCGTGCCTGCACTTCTCAGCCTTTGGGCAGTTGATGGGACCGGGCGCCGCAGAGCAGGGGGCGGCACCCGTCTTGGAGGCTTGGGCCACACGGGAGCCCATTGCTAGGGGGCTCAGGCATGGCGGGCTGCAGGTCTCGAGCCCTGCCCCACAGGGAGGCGGCTGAGCGCCGGTGAGAATTCAAGCATGGCGGGCCGGCAGTGCTGGGGTCCTGGCGCACCCTCTGCAGCTGCTGGCCCGGGTGCTAAACCTCTCACTGCCCAGGCCAGTGGCGCCGGCGGACGGCTCTGAGTGCGGGGCCGCCAAGCCCATGCCCACCCAGAACTCACGCTAGCCCGTGGCCCCGCCCACTTGGAACTCACGCTGGTCCACGAGCGCTGTGCACAGACAGCCCCGGTTCCCGCTCGTCCCTCTCTCTCTACAGCTCCCGGCAAGCAGAGGGAGCCGGCTCCGGCCTCAGCCAGCCCAGAGAGGGGCTCCCACAGTGCAGCAGCGGACTAAAGGGGTCCTCGAGCGTGGCCAGAGTGGGCGCGGAGGCCAAGGAGGCGCTGAGAGCGAGCGAGGGCTGCGAGGGCTGCCAGCACACTGTCACCTCTCAGTATGATCATAGCTCATTGTAAACTTAAACTCCTGGCCTCACTGACCCTCCCACCTCAGCTTCCCAAAGTGCTAGGATTACAGGCATGAGCCACCACATCCAGCCAGTATATATTATTTTAGATATGGGGTTTAGAGAAGGCTGCTCAGTTAAGATGACATGTGAGCAAAAAACTAAAGGAAGTAGCAGAGTGAGTATGCCACTATCAGAAAAAGGAATGTTCTGGGCAGAAGGAATATTATGTACAAAAGAATAATATAACAAATATGCTATATTCTAAGAATAAAAATGATGTCAGTTAATTGGCATGAAGTAAGAAAGGAGTGGCAGGAGACGGGGACAGGGACCAGATGTGAAGGACTTTTTTCTTCTCATGTCATAGAAAGACACCAGGAGGCGCCGGGCGCGGTGGCTCACGCCTATAATCCCAGCACTTTGAGAGGCCCAGACAGGCGGATCACGAGGTCAGGAGATGGAGACCATCCTGGCTAACACAGTGAAACCCTGTCTCTACTAAAAATAAAAAAAATTAGCCGGGCATGGTGGCGGGTGCCTGTAGTCCCAGCTACTTGGGAGGCTGAGGCAGGAGAATGGCGTGAACCCGGGAGGCGGAGCTTGCAGTGAGCCGAGATGGTGCCACTGCACTCCAGCATGGGTGACAGAGCGAGACTCCGTCCCAAAAAAAAAAAAAAAAAGAAAGCCACCAGGAGGCTTTGAGCAAAGAAGTGACTTGAACCACCTTCCATTTTAAAGGACCAGCGGAGGCTAGGTGTGGTGGCTCACGCCTGTAATCCCAACACTTTTAAAAGCTTAAGTGGGGGCCGTTCGAGGTGGCTCATGCCAGTAATAATCCCAGCACTTTGGGAGGCTAAGGCAGGTGATCACCTGAGATCAGGAGTTCGAGACCAGCCTGGCCAACATGGTGAAACCCCATCTCTACTAATAATACAAAAAAATTAGCTGGGCATCATGGCACACGTTTGTAACCCCAGCTACTCAGAAGGCTGAGGCAGGAGAATCACCTGAAGCCGGGAGGCAGAAGTTGCAGTGAGCCGAGATCACGCCATTGCACTCCAGCCTGGGTGACAAGAGCGAAACTCCATCTCAAAAACAAAAACAACAAAAAAATTATTCCAAGATTTTAGACCAAACAAGTAGAAGAATGGAGTTGCCATTTACTGAGATGGGAACGGCTAGAAGAAGACCTAGTTTATGAGGGAACTATCAAGAGTTCTGTTTTAGCATTTGGTGTGCCTATTATACATCCTCATGATGATGTTGAATAGGTAGCCAGATATATAAATCTGATGTTCAGAGGTGCAACTGGAACTGGAGATATAACTTTGAGACTCATAGTAAAGCAATGATATTTGAAATCATGGACCTAGATGCAATCACCTAGAGAGTAAATATAAGTAAAAAAGCATTGAGTTCTCTGTCACCTCAATTGTCTCCTACCTCAAATGTTTTCTTTCCAATGCTCTTCTGCTCTTGATGTAGTGAAAAGCCTAAACATATGAAATCATGGGTCAGCATTAGGTGACTTTTTCTAACCATAAGGATATTGATGGAAACCATAGATAATGTTAATTGCTACCATTTATTAAGCATGTTATCAACTCTTTTCAAGGTATGTTAACATGTAATTGTCTCTGATTTTCTCAACAACCTGAAAAGGTAATGCCTCAGTCAATTTGGACTGCTATAACAAAAATACCATAGACTCGGTGGCTTAAACAACAAACACTTGGCCGGGCGCGGTGGCTTACATCTGTAATCCCAGCACTTTGGGAGGCTGAGGCGGACAGATCACCTGAGGTCAGGAGTTTGAGACCAGCCTGGCCAACATGGCGAAACCCCATCTCTACTAAAAATACGAAAATCAGCTGGGTGTGGTGGCGCATGCCCGTAATCCCAGCTACTCGGGAGGCTGAGGCAGGAGAACCAATGAGCCGAGATTGCGCCATTGCACTCTAGCCTGGGCAACAAGAGCAAAACTCCGTCTCAAACAAACAAACAAACAAAACACTTATTTCTTACAGTTCTGGAATTTGGGAAGTCTGATAGCAAAGTGCCAGCATGATCAAGTTATGGTGAGGGCCTCTTCCTGGGTGCTGCTGACCATCTTCTTGCTGTGTGTAAGTGGTGTAAAACAGTAAGACAGGAAGCAAGCTCTCTCCTGTCTCTTGTTACAAGATTACTAATCCCATCATGTAGGCTGTGACCTAATTACCTTCTGAAGGCCCCACCTCCTAATACCATACCATTTAGGGCTAGTGTTTCCATATATGAATTCTGGAGAAACACAAACATGTTGTCCATAACAGGTAAATAATATTATTATCTCTATTTGATTTATGAAGAAACTGAAGTAATAAGACCATATAGTTTGTCTAAGGTCATGCTGCAAATGGCAAAACAAGGATTTGAACTCAAGGCCAAGTGCAGTATCTGCTTTTCCAATGAATAAAACTAAGCAGATCAAGGCAGGAAAATTCAAGTGTTTGCTAAAAAGTACTTCAGTGAATGAGAAGAGCAGAGAAATGCAAAGTGGAAAAAAGGAGAAACTGCTTGAGGAGAAGAACCACATCTTAATCACATTTATGTGACCCACATATTTTAGGCTAGAATCTAGAAAAATGTTTGCTGAATGCAGGCGTAATTACGATCAATCTGTTGGATTCCATCTGTTGCATGCTTTGGTACTGTTAGTGTATCTACTGATTACAAAAGGAAGACCTTTGTCTCACTCACTCCCTACCCCTCTCACCATCCACCATCACCACCCGTGCTGCCTCATGGCAATTTAGGTATAGGGTGTTCTTTTTTTTTTTTTTGAGATGGAGTTTCGCTCTTGTCACCCAGGATGGAGTGCAGTGGCATGATCTCGGCTCACTGCAACCTCCGACCCCTGGGTTCAAGCAAGTCTCCTACCTCAGCCTCCTGAGTAGCTGAGATTACAGATGCCCACCACCACACCCAGCTAATATTTGTATTTTAGTAGAGAAGAGATTTCACCATGTTGGCCAGGCTGGTCTCAAACTCCTGACCTCAGGTGATCCACCCGCCTCAGCCTCCCAACATGCTGGGATTACAGGGGTGAGCCACTGTGCCCGGCCCGGGTATAGGATATTCTGTGTGTGTGGGCGGGTTGGGGTTGGGGGGAGTCTCACTCTGTCGCCCAGGCTGGAGTACAGTGGCATTATCTCGCATCACTGCAACTTCAACCTTCTGGGTTCAAGCGATTCTCCTGCCTCAGCCTCCTGAGTAGCTGGGACTATAGGCACACACCATCACCCCCGGCTAATTTTTTTGTATTTTTGGTAGAGACAGGGTTTCACCATGTTGGCCAGGCTGGTCTTGAACTCCTGACCTCAGGTGATCCACCCACCTCGGCCTCCCAAAGTGCTGGGATTACAGGTGTGAGCCACTGCACCCGGCCAGTATAGGGTATTCTTGAAGACAGGTTTTGTGGGCAAAGAAGACAATGTATAGTAATTCCATTTCATTTATTACAAATTTGAAAACCTACTTTTCCTTTGAGCTTTGAAATTCAGGTTACAAATCTAACTCTGTTTTTTAAGAGAATGTTTACAATTTGGTTAATTAAATTTCCTTGAATTATTAAACTACATTAATTCATTTAATGTATTCAGTCTTTTTAAAATACTTCAGTTGCTCAACAAAGAATCACAAGTAGTTAAGTAATGCTTATAAATATGATAAATTATAAAATATGAATCAAGTTCTCTTGAACATTACAAAAATGTTTACAGATTTAATAAAATTCTCATATATTTTCACTTAAAATCATGAATCTGAATTAATTACAGTTTTCACTTAGGTGTTTTAAACTGGTTTCACAAGGATAACTTGTTAGAAATCCTAAAATGTCGAATTACGTAAAAGATTACAAATAGTTAAAATACCAAATACAAATATGCACAAGTATTTCTAAACATAAATGAAAACAATAGTGGCCACACACAGTGACTCACGCCTATAATCCTAGCACTTTGAGAGGCCAAGGCGGGCAGATCACTTGAGGCCAGGAGTTCAAGACCAGCCTGGGCAACATGGCGAAATCCCATCTCTACAAAAAAATACTAAAATTAACTGGCTGTGGTGGTGCATGCCTGTAGTCCCAGCTACCGGGGAGCCTGAGGTGGGAGGTTCGCCGGAGCTGGGAGGTGGAGGTTGTAGTGAGCCATGTTTGCGCCACTGCACTCCAGCCTGGCTGCAGAGAGACCCTGTTTCACAAATAAACAAATGAATAAGTAAATACAATAAGACGATGGGTTTGATTTGTTTTATCGCTTTGACTTTATGCTCTCCTAAGGCTAAAAAAAACCTAATGCCTTAAATAAACAATTCTACTGGCCCAGGTGAGCTGAGTTGCTGTCTTAGTCAGTTGGGAGTGCTATCACAAAATACATAAACTAGGTGACTTCTACACAACAGAAATTTATTTCTTCTAGTTCTGGAGGCTGTGAGGTCAAAGATCAAGGCACTGGCAGATTCGGTGTCTGGTCAGGGCCTACTTCCTGGTTAATAGATGGCACCTTTCTGCTGTGTCCTCACATGATAAAAGGGGCAAACACACTCCCTCGTGCCTCTTTTATGAAGGCACTAATCACATTCATGAGAGCTCCCAAAAGAGCTCCAAGTCTTAATATCGTCACCTTGGGGATTAGTATTTCAACATATGGATTTTGGGAGGCCACACACATTCAGATTATAGCAGACACCTCTCCAGTGGACTGAGTAGCTTATTGACCTGAGTGGTTCTGGCTGGAGATGCAGACATCAGGGCGGTTTTTCTCAAAGCTGCTAAGATGTGCTGAACACTCCTTATGCCAGCCAATGGGAACACTAAGGTCCTGCCTTCAAATGGGATGGTCTTGCTACAATTCAAGTCCACAGATTCAGGTTGCACCACTTGGAAATGATATGAACTTGCACCCCTCCTACCAGATTGCTGAGACACATGACTGAGCTCAATTTGTATAGTACTCCGTTTTAGCCTGAATCTTTGAATTGTTTTCCTCCTGATGGTGCTTCAATTCATATAGAAATTAACTGTATATTGCTCATGTTTGTGGCTGGCTCTGTAGTTCCAACCACCCCCACCCCACCCCCAATATTGTTATAGCTACTAGAAAGTAAGCCAAATGCACTTTCTGAGATTGTCCCAAATATCTGTTGGTCAGGTAACAGCCATTATAACAACTATCATTTCCTTATGTCAGCATTTCCCAAACTGTATTCCGCTCATAATGGGCACGTAGTCTGTGCTTCTGGAAGTAAAGAGTTCCAACATTAAGGATGTTTGGGAAATGTGACGTTTTTATTTTCCTTGTTGTTGTTGTTTTTTGGGACAAAGTTTTCCTCTTGTCACCCAGGCTGGCCTGCAGTGGTGCGATATTGGCTCACTGCAACCTCCGCCTCCTGGGTTCAAGCAATTCTCCTGCCTCAGCCTCCTGTGTAGCTGAGATTACAGGCCACAACACCCAGGGATTGTGCACCACGACATCCTGCTAATAAATGTTAAATTCACCTTCTAGAGGTCTGCATTGCTTTTTAGCATATAAAATACTGAAAAATCTTGCATTGTAAAAATCTTATCAGCCATGAGGCTGTGGCGGGAGAATCGCTTGAACTCTGGAGGGGGTGGTTGCAGTGAGCTGAGATCGCGCCATTGCACTCCAGCCTGGTCAACAAGAGTGAAACTCCGTCTCAAAAAAAATAAAAAAATAAAAACAATCTTATCAGCCTATTGAACACTTCTTAAAGACATAACTTTTGGCCAGGCGCGGTGGCTCATGCCTGTAATCCCAGCACTTTGAGAGGCCGAGGTGGGTGGATCACCTGAGGTCAGGAGTTCGAGACCAACCTGACCAACCTGGCAAAACCCCGTCTCTACTGAAAAATACAAAACTTAGCTGGGCACGGTGGCAGGCGCCTGTGATCCCAGCTACTCGGGAGGCTGAGACATGAGAATAGCTTGAACCCAGGAGGCGGAGGTTGCAGTGAGCTGAATCGCGCCACTGCACTCCAGCCTGGGCAACAGAGTGAGACTCTGTCTCAAAAAAAATAAAAGACATACCTTTCAAGATCATGCAAAGTTTGCTTTCTGTGGAACACAGTTTGGTAAATTGTGTCTCTATTTGGTAAAATGTTTTTATTTTATTGCTTGATCTTTTGTTTTTAATTTTTTGTAAGATCAAAGCTTGGATATGCAACCAAATGGACTTTTTTTTTTTTTGGTTTTGAGAAAGGGTCTCATTCTATAACTCGGGATGGAACTCAGTGCCGTGATCTCGGCTCACTGCAACCTCTGCCTTCTGGGCTCAAGCAACTCTCCCACTTCAGCCTCCCAAGTAGCTGGGACTACAGGCATGCACCATCACACTCATGTAATTTTTGTATTTTTTTGTAGAGATGGGATCTTGCTATGTTGCCCAGGCTGGTCTCGAACTCCTGTGCTCAAACGATCTCCCCACCTCGGCCCCTTAAACTGCTGGAATTACAGACATGAGCCACCATGCCCAGCTGGACTTTCTGGTAGTTCCCTCCCACTAAACTTGTCCTACCTAGCCATAGGCAGCCCTTCCCTCCCAGGGAAACTGCTTATCAAGGGGCAGAGGACAAGAGAAAGTATGTGTCCTGAGGCAAGGCTCCTTCAAAAAGAGAGGGAAAGTCGCTGAGCACTTGTACTCACTCACGTCCTTCCTATAATCTTGTAAATCACTTGTTCTCTGAGGAAAGGGGGAACCTGCAAAGACTACAGAAAGCTCCTCCTAGGGCATAAGAGCTTTCTCTTTGCTATGGTTTGAATATGGTTTGTCCACACCAGAACTGATGTTTATAAATTTGATCCACAATGGGTTGCGTTGGGAGGTGGTGTCTAGTGGGAGGTGCTTGGCTCTTGGGGGTGGATTCCTCATGAATGGCTCTGTGTTGTTCTCTGGGCCGTGAGTGAGTTTTTGCTCTCTCGAGACTGGTTTAGTTCTTGGGGGAATGGATTAGTTCTCACTAATAAAAGAACAGGTTTTTATAGAGAAAGATGTCCGTCAGGGTTTTACTTCTTCCCCTGTGTCCACTTCCCTTTGACCTTTCTCCACGTTATGATGCAGCATGAAAGCCCTCAACAGCAGATGCTGGCACCATGCTTCTTGAATTTCCCAGCCTGCAGAATCCTGAGCTAAATTAACCTCTTTTCTTTATAAATTACCCAGTTTCCGGTGTTCTGTTACAGCAACACAAAACAAGTACACTCCCCTTTATAGATAGCCTTCTAATATTGTGAGTCTTCATTGAGCAACAAACTAGGAAGACAGTGCGTGCCAGTACTGAGTTAATTATTGCCACTGAACAAAACAAACTTTATTTTATGCATATTTAGCAATAGGTGTAACAGCCACAGGGATAGATTATAGGCCAGAGAAACTGGGTTTTAGACACAGCTCTACCTTCACTGTTGTATGTTCTCAGACAGGCATCAAATGGCTGAGAAACGCAGTTTCCTTACTGATAAAATTGGCCCCACATTAACAACAAATTTCCAGAGTGGATAGTCAAAATACTTATTGACCAGTTCTATATGCCTTGCAACCAATCAGAACAGAGAGCAGAGGGTACACCACACCCAACCATACAGCAAATTGGCAGCCTCCCAGTTCATTTCCCTCACTCAGTCAACATTTGCAGTTGCCTGCCATGTGACGTCTATGTACCGGGGCTGTTGCATGTGTCAAATTAAATGTTTGTGAAAGCAGATCATAACCTCCATACAAAAGCAAGGTGTTTTTAGTCATTATTCTCTGTAGGAAGACACAAAGAGTAAGGGAAGTGGAAGCCTCTCATAACATTTCACCTGTTTCAGTTTTGCCTACCCTATTGGGTGGCCTGGCCTCAGTTTGAGAGCTCACCTCCCCTTGAGCTATATAACAGCCTAAGGACATGGAGAGCTGGGCCAAGACCAGCCAGGATACAGCTTAACCTCAAACCCTCAAACAATAGTGAGAGCTAGCACTGTCTTGAGTACTTACTATGTGTTAGGCCTTGTTCAAAATAATTTCATGCAGATTAACTCATGTAAACCTCACCACAGCCTGAAGTAGGGACTGTTTTTTTTTGTTTTTTTGTTTTTTTTTGAGACAGAGTTTTGCTCTTGTTGCCCAGGCTGGAGTACAATGACGCGATCTCGGCTCACCACAACCTCTGCCTCCCAGGTGCAAGCAATTCTCCTGCCTCAGCCTCCCGAGTAGCTGGGATTACAGGTATGCACCACCACGCCCAGCTAATTTCATATTTTTAGTACAGACAGGGGTTTCTCCGTGTTGGTCAGGCTGGTCTCGAACTCTCGACCTCAGGTGACTCGCCCACCTCAGCCTCCCAAAGTGCAGGGATTACAGGCGTGAGCCACTGCACCAGGCCATGAAGTAAGGACTACTATTATCTCCTTTCCACAGATGAGGAAACCCAACACACATGGATTAAACGACCAAGGTTCCTTAGCTAGTAAATGTCAGAGGTGGATTTTTATCTAGGTAGATGAGGTCATGCCTTTAACTACCACTCTATACTACAAACAGATCCAAGCCTGGCAAGGGAGAAAGAAAACTGTTGAAGGGCTGGCATCCAGAGAGCATTATGGGTCACGAAGGTGAGCCCAGAGTTCTTATAAATCCTCTCTTAGGACCATAGGTGTCATAACCCAAAGGGGTTAACCCAAGGAGCAGACCTCTCCAGTGCTTTTGCAGAGGGTACACAAGAGTGTCCAGAAGCCCCTGGTTGATGGGAACCCCTTCCCCTAGGCGCTGAGAACTGGAATACCCACTGCCTGGGTGGCTGGGGAAGGGCATCTCTGTTCCCTGGCCCCTTAGTCAGGGGAAAGTGAGGAGGGGAAAAGGAGAAGAACCAGAACAGCGGCTCCTCTCTCTAGTTGGGAAAAAGCAGTCAATTCAATGGGTTTGCCTTTGGGTAGGAGGATTAACTCTAATTATGGAGTATATAAACCAGGAGCTGAGGGCTGGGGCGGGCTCCTTTCTAGAGAGCATGAAGAAGGGTTAAAGAGGAGTAAGGCAGAGAAAGGGAGGTGTGAGGGCTCAGAAGCTGGCGCCAGCAAACTTTTACTGTAAAGGGCCAGATGGTAACTATTTGAAGCTCTGTAGGCCACGTTCTCTGTTGTCTCCCTCTTCCCCCTCCCCCAACCATTTAAAAACGTATGAATTATTCGGAGCTCTGGCTTCAGTTGGATTTGGCCTATGGGTTCGAGTTACTGATTTTCTAACCTGAAGAAATAATCTGTCAACCTCCCCATTTTACCTGAGTCTGATCCTGCCCTCCCTTGCAGTGCTGGCCATTTAACTTGAAGTAGGGCCTCCCAAGCAATGAGAGAGGCATTCAGATGAGGAAAGGGGCATAACGTTCTGACTGTGGTGAGGCTTCATGAAATTTCAGGTATGTTCCACTGAGGTACTTTAGGACTAACACTGTTTGGCGACCTGAAGGTTTGCTCTGGGGATTTTTATGCCACACATAGCTGCATGCATGAGCAACTCTGCAAGAATTATGTTTCATGCCACATTCCATTTGGGAACTTATGCCCAAGACAATATTGCAGAGCAATGAAACCCAGCATTACTGTATTCCAGGAAAATGGAGTAGCAACCTTTCTCTCTTAGTAGCCAAAAATGGAATATCTCAATGTCTTCAGGAAGAGCTTGCCCTCAGTAAGAAGAGTTTTACCTGTTGGTAAACCTGACTCTCAGATAAAATGCCATCTTTACAGAGCCTGGCTTTGCAATAAGAATACACAGTTGTAAAACCGGGCGTGGTGGCTCACTTCTGTAATCTCAGTACTTTGGGAGGTCAGGCGGGCGGATCACCTGAGGTCAGGAGTTCAAGACCAGCCTGGCCAAAGTCTTCTCTTCCTACCTTAAATTTGAGCTACTAAGCGCTAAAGCTATTCTTAAATAACAAAAAGAAATGGCTTGAAGGCCAGGAGGTGAGAGGAAGGGAGGGAACTTATAAAACACTTCTTTACCTAAGAATTGATAGAAAGCCATGACTTCCAAATACTTATTAGAACTTTGCAATACATTTAGGCTGGGTGCAGTGGCTCATGCCTATAATCCCAGCACTTTGGGAGGCTGAGGTGGGTGGATCACCTGAGGTCAGGAGTTCAAGACCTGCCTGACCAACATGGAGAAACCCCGTCTCTACTAAAAATACAAAAATTAGCCCAGCATGGTGGCGCACGCCTGTAATCCCATAATCCCAGCTACTTGGGAGGCCGAGGCAGGAGAATCACTTGAACCCGGGAGGGAGAGGTTGCTGTGAGCCGATATTGACCATTGCACCCTAGCCTGGGCAACAAGAGCAAAACTCTCTCAAAAAAAAAAAAAAAAAGAACTTTACAATACATTTAATGTGAGTTAACGTGTCAGGCTACTTGTAATGGAATACAGGGGAAGGTTATTGGTGTAAGGCAAAGGACAAAAGAGTGTTCTTTTTTTTTTTTGACACAGAGTTTCACTCTTGTTGCCCAGGCTGGAGTGCAACAGTGCGATCTCGGCTCACTGCAACCTCCGCCTCCCGGGTTCAAGCGATTCTCCTGCCTCAGCCTCCCGAGTAGCTGGGATTACAGGTATGTGCCACCACGCCCGGCTAGTTTTGTATTTTTAGTAGAGACGGGGTTTCTCCATGTTGGTCAGGCTGGTCTCAAACTCCTGACCTCAGGTGATCTGCCTGCCTCGGCCTCCCAAAGTGCTGGGATTACAGGCATGAGCCACCGCGCTCAGTCAACAAAAGAGTTTTCAACAGGAACATGATATTTGGGAAGAAAAAATAAGAGGGGAGACGGGCTGAGAAAAGCTGCAAGTGGGGAAGCTTTGGTCCCCATGGCCTAGAGGCCTGAAGTGGGCCACTGGCCAGGCAGAAAAGGCGTGGAAACGATTTCACCTGTTTCACAATTGTCTAGAGCCGGCCTGAAGGCATCTTGGGGAAGCACCCACTGAGCTCACTGCACTGGCCCTTTCCTGGGGAAGCTCAGGGAGAGCTCCCTGATAAGGGCTCCTGTGTCGAACAAGGTATGTGACTTCAAAAGGTAGTAAGAGAGTTGTCCCACAATAAATTTTAGTATTATGTTCTGTGGAGGTTGTAAATTATAAATAATTTTCTACTTTTAGTAGTCTAGGTAAGTAAATACCTGGAAGCTTTGACATGAATTTCATCTTAGAGATCTTTTTAAATTCTATGAATTGATTAAAATATGCATATTTGCAAATTAGACCTAGGAACAGTATCTGTCATCTCCAAAACCTCCTAACTACTCTCCTACCTACTTGCTGGCTTTTCTCCAAAACATTTGCACAAAACAACTTTTAGAAACCTCCAGTGCTGGCCAGGCATGGTGGCTCATGTCTGTAATCCCAGCACTTTGGGATGTCAAGGTGGGTGGATCACCGGAGCTCAGGAGTTCGAGACCAGCCTGGCCAATATGGCGAAACCCTGTCTATACTAAAATTAAAAAAAAAAATTAGCCAGGCATGGTGGCGGGCACCTGTATTCCCAGCTACTTGGGAGGCTTAGGCAGGAGAATTGCTTGAACCCTCGAGGTGGAGGTTGTGGTGAGACAAGATCACACCACTGCACTCGGCAACAAGAGCAAGAATCCATCTCAGAAAAAAACAAACAAGCAAACAAAAAAAACCCTCCAATGCCTTGCCAGGCAGGGTGGCTCATGCCTGTAATCCTAGCACTTTGGGAGGTTGAGATGGGCAGATCCCTTGACTCTAGGATTTCCAGACCAGCCTGGGCAACATGGTGAAACCCCATCTCTATAAAAAATACAAAAATTAGGCCGGGTCCGGTGGCTCACGCCTGTAATTCCAGCACTTTGGGAGAATGAGGTGGGTAGATCACGAGGTCAGGAGTTCGAGACCAGCCTGACCAACGTGGTGAAACCCTGTCTCTACTAAAAATACAAAAATTAGCCGGGCATGTTGGCGCATGCCTGTAGCCCCAGCTACTCGGGAGGCTGAGGCTAGAGAATCACTTGAACCCGGGAAACAGAGGTTGCAATGAGCTCAGATCACATCACTGCACTCCAATCTGGGTGACAGAGTGAGAAACAAAACAAAACAAACCCCACAAAAATTAGCCCAGTATGGTGGTAGATGCCTGTAGTCCCAGCTACTTGGGAGGCTGAGGTGACAGGATGGCTTGGGCCCAGGAGGTCGAGGCTGCAGTGAGCCGTGATAGAGCCACTGCAGTCTTACCTGGGCAAAAGAGAGAAACCCTGTCTCAAAAGGGAAAAAAAGATAGAGTTTTAAGATAATAATTTTATATATATATATATATATATATATATATATATATATATGGTTTTTTTTTTTGAGACGCAGTCTTGCTCTATCGCCCAGGCTGGAGTGCAGTGGTACAATCTTGGCTCACTGCAACCTCCGCCTCCTGGGTTCAAGCGATTCTCCTGCCTTAGCCTCCCGAGTAGCCGGGACTACAGGTGCTCGCCACCACATCAAGCTAATTTTTGAAATTTTTTTTTTTTTTTTTTTTTTGAGACAGAGTCTTGCTCTGTCGCCCAGGCTGGAGTGCAGTGGCACAATCTCTGCTCACTGCAACCACCGCCTCCCGGGTTCAAGCAATTCTCCTGTCTCAGCCTCCCCAGCAGCTGGGACTACAGGTGTCTGCCACCACGCCCAGCTATTTTTTGTATTTTTAGTAGAGACGGGGTTTCACCATATTGGTCAGGCTGGTCTCGAACTCCTGACCTCAGGTGATCCACCTGCCTCAGCCTCCCAAAGTGCTGGGATTACAGGCGTGAGCCACTGCACCCGGCTGTATTTTTTTTTTTTTTTTACTAGAGAAGGGGTTTCACCATATTGGCCAGGCTGGTCTCAAACTCCTGACCTTGTGATCCACTCGCCTCGGCCTCCCAAAGTGCTGGGATTACAGGTGGGAGCCACCAGGCCCAGCCCAAGATAAAAATAATATTTTAAAGAGCTTTTAAGCTGAAAGCAGAGCATTTATTTGCCAGGGGTATGAGTTCTACCATTGGGTGTAGCTTGGTAGAAACGTTGAGAAGTGCTTTAAAAAGAGGATTATAAAACACATCCTAAATATGGAAGGATTCCTTTTTTTTTTTCTTTTGAGACAGAGTCTCTATCACTGAGGCTGGAGTGCAGTGGCATTGTGTCAGCTCACTGCAACCTCTGTCTTCTGAGTTCAAGCAATTCTCCTGCCTCAGCCTCCCAAGTAGCTGGGATTACAGGTGCCCACCACCGCACCCAGCTAGTTTTTATATTTTAGTAGAGACGGGGTTTCACCATGTTGGCCAGGTTGGTCTTGAACTCCTGACCTCAGGTGATCCACCCACCTTGGCCTCCCAAAGTCCTGAGCCACCATGCCTGGCCTTTTTTTTTTTTTTTTTTTTTTTTTTTTTTTTGGACAAGCTCTTGCTTTGTTGCCCAGGCTGGAGTGCAGTTGCAAAATCTCGGCTCACTGCGACCTCCACCTCCCAGGTTCAAGCAATTCTCCTGCCTCAGCCTTCTGAGTAGCTGGGACTATAGGCGGGCACCACCACGCCCAGCTAGTTTTGTATTTTTAGTAGAGGCGGGGTTTGTCTATATTGGCCAGGCTGGTCTCGAACACCTAACCTCAAGCGATCCGCCGGCCTTGGCCTCCCAAAGTGTTTGGATTACAGGTGTGAGCCACTGTGCCCGGCCTAGGGTTCCTTTTACTATAATTCTTTTTATTTTAATTTTATTTTTATTATTTATTTATTTATTTTGAGACGGAGTCTCACTCTGTCACCAGGCTGGAGTGCAGTGGCGCAATCTCGGCTCACTGCAGCCTCCGCCTCCCGGGTTCAAGCGATTCTCCTGCCTCATCCTCCCAAGTAGCTGGAGCTACAGGCGCACGCCACCACACCCAGCTAATTTTTGTATTTTTAGTAGAGACGGGGTTTCACCATGTTGGCCAGGATGGTCTTGATCTCTTGACCTTGTGATCCACCTGCCTCGGCCTTTCAAAGTGCTGGGATTACAGGCGTGAGCCACTGCACCCGGCCTATGATGATTTTTTTATTTTTTTATTTTATTTTTTTTTTTTGAGACGGAGTCTCCCTCTTTCACCCGGGCCGGACTGCAGGGGCGTGATCTCGGCTCACTGCAAGCTCCGCCTCCCGGGTTCACGTCATTCTCCTGCCTCAGCCCCCCGAGTAGCTGGGACTACAGGCGCCCGCCACCTGAGCCCGGCTAATTGTATTTTTAGTAGAGACGGGGTTTCACCGTGTTAGCCAGGATAGTCTCGATCTCCTGACCTCGTGATCCGCCTGCCTCGGCCTCCCAAAGTGCTGGGATTACAGGCGTGAGCCACCGCGCCCGGCCTGATGATTTTTTAAAATGTGAGATTAGAATATTAGTAATAAGTAAGATCCATCTCCGCACCCTAGCAATTTCTTTAGCCTAAATTAACACGTGGTAAAACATTGTTTTCTTTTCTTTCTTTTTTGTCTTTTTTTTCTTGAGACAGAGTCTCACTGTGTCACTCAGGCTGGAGTGCAGAGGCGCAATCATGGCTCACTGCAGCCTCTACCTCCCCAGGCTCAGGTGATCCTCCCACCTCAGCCTCCCAAATAGCTGGGACTACAGGTGCATGCCACCAAGCCTGGTGAATTTTTTTTTTTTTTTTTTTTTTTGTAGAGGCAGAGTTTCTCCATGTTGCCAAGGTTGGTCTCAAACTCCTGAGCTCAAGTGATCTTCCTGCCTTGGCCTCCCAAAGTGCTGGAATTAGAGGTGTGAGCCCCTGTACCTGGTCAAAACATTGTTTTGTACAGTGAATAGTCTTGACTTAAAAATATATATACCTATATTCTGGATTTATAGAGGAAATATTTGAGCTAGTGAAGTGTTAAGGAAAGTCCAGTACTGTATTGGCAGAGAGAGGTCAGGCTTGCATTTGATAAACACCTCAAATGAGCTTCATTTGATCTAAACGAGGCACATAATAGCGTATAAGCAAATGTTAACAAAAGGTCCACTATAACCAAAAAGTTTAATAAATCATATTTTATTACTTTTCACAGAAATATGCCAGAGAAATTTGAAAATTTATTTGCCAAGAAAAGTAGGAATAGTATTTAGGGCTCTGGCCAGCTTTGGATTTGAATTCAAGTTTTTGACCTAAAAGCTTCTCAAAACTTGTGTTTTGCCGGGCATAGTGGCTCATGCCTGTAATCCCAGCACTTTGGGAGGCCAAGGCAGGCAGATCACCTGAGGTCAGGAGTTTGAGAGCAGCCTGGCCAACATGGTGAAACCCCATCTCTGCTAAAAATACAAAAATTAGCTTGGCATGGTGGTGGGTGCCTGTAATCCCAGCTACATGGGAAGCTGAGGCCGGAGAATTGCCTGGGAGGCAGAGGTTGCAGTGAACTGAAATCGTGCCGACTGTACTCCAGCCTGGGCAACAGAGTGACACTCCTTCTCAAAAAAACAAACAAACAGAAAACTCTTGTGTTTTAAAGAAAATGCTGATATCTGGAATAGATACTAATCAACAGTACACACACACACACACACACACACATACACACAGGAGGGAGAAAAATAAAAATGTAGGATACAGGTTAGGGATTCATTTCTTTTATGTGGAGAGTGTTTTCTTCAACCATAGTTTTGTGATTCAGCATTCATAAAATAAATCGTTTACAATTTGGGCGAAATAACATCAGGTTCCTGCAGGGCTATAGAAAATGACTTGTGGGGGCTAATATGAAATAAGGGTTGAAACAGTACACAGCCTTTGTTCTATTCCAAGGGGTTGACAGTCTTTAGAAGGTTCACGAACCACTGTTTATGACTCACTCGCTTCCACCTACACTTCCTCTCCACGTTCTTCACATCACTAGGGCTTGTTGTATTATCCTAGTTTTTGAAATCCATTGCTTCCCACAGTTCTCCAATCAAATGCCTTCTCTGTGGGGACCTCGAGAAAGATACACTAAGGTATGGTGAACCAGGTCATTCTTCACCCAAAATGACCTAGTTCTCCTAAGTGACTAATTTCTTGGTCGTCACTGAGGTACCAATCCCTTCTGCTGGCCTTGTGTGCCCGATCCTCCCCTGCTCTCAGTTACCTCAAAGCAAGCTTCCAGCTTGTTGCAGGCTGTTTTCTCTCCTCCAAACAATCAGGGCCTAACAGGATTTGAAACTTGTTTTGGTTGTTCCCAATCTAAATATTTCCTCAAATCTATCCAGCAGTACTTACTCCATCCAGTTACATTTCATCCTAAGCCCCTAGTAGGGAGGCCGGGCCACCTTCCTGCCTTCCTTCTGCCTAGATTCCCTGATCACAGCATTCCTGTTGCCCTTCCATTCAGGAAGGACATGGACAGAGGGTGGTCAGAAGCCCTGTCCTATATCCTAACCAGAGGGCTGAAGCCTACCTCTGAACTGGATCCTGCCAACCTATTTTCCTGGAGGCAGAACTCTGTGTCACCTCTTCCAGTGCAGATAACTGAACAGTCCTACTTTCTCTGGCCTGTACTTCCCCACTTATTCTCCCTGCACCTGGCCTTCCCCCTTCCTCTTCTAGACTTTCCCTGAATTTGTAGTTCCTCTGTTTGAGCCTCAGGTCTGATTTTCAGCCCTAATCAGAATCCCTTGTCTGTGTCTGCTTTGACCAGAGAGGTTGCAAGTTTCCTACTAACCCTTCCTTCATTCACGTCCTGTCATTCTGGCTAACAAAAATTAGCTGGGTGTGGGGGTGCACGCCAGCCAAGCTTCTTGACACACATGTACATGCTCGTGTGTGCACACTCCTGCACGTGCACCCTTACAGAGGAAGTATTCAGATCGCTTTTTGCACAGCTAGGGTATGCAGATTCCTCTTTTTTTTTTTTTGAGACGGAGTTTTGCTCTTGCCCAGGCTGGAGTGCAATGGCACGATCTTGGCTCACTGCAACCTCCGCCTCCCGGGTTCAAGCGATTCTCCTGCCTCAACCTCCTGAGTAGCTGGGATTACAGGTGCCCACCACCACTCCCGGCTAATTTTTTTGTATTTTTAGTAGAGATGGGGTTTCACCATGTTGGCCAGGCTGATCTTGAACTCCTGATCTCAGGTGATCCACCCACCTTGGCCTCCCAAAGTGCTGGGATTACAGGTGTGAGCCACTGCTTCTGGCCTTTGGATTCCTTTTCTACTAACAGAAAACCCTGGCATCCATGGAATAATAATGGGGAATAGTAACAGCAATTTTATCTTCATAGGGAGACTGCTTCAGAGAGGGTATAAAAAGCTGGGGAGCCAACGGTAGACTTGCCTTCCACCATTATAGAGCTCTCCCAACTCTACGACTTCCTGACTACTACCCATCTCAAATCATATTAACACTGGACAACTCTACTACCAAGTGTGTATGATGCCACTTCCTCTGAGCAGGAAAGGAACCTACTCTCTGCCCTTTTTCTTCCTCATTTGACTGCCTTCCCCATCAGCACCCACCTAGGCTCCCACACTTCTCCCTCCTCCCAGGGTAGTTCCTAGTAGTAATTCAAGCGACTGGCTCCAGTGCCTTCTAGCATTTACTAGGTAGCATTCCTAAATGCCACCTTCTTGGGAAGAATCTTCCAGCAGACACTAAGGCTTATTAGACACTGAAATGAGTTATGGAAGAAGGTTTAGATTCTCACTCCCTGGAGATCTTTAAAAGCAAGAATGGATTCTCATCTGTCTGGGATGATTATGTGGGATATTCCTGGTAGGCCAGGGAATAGACCTGCTCATCACCAACAAATAATTTATTAAACTCCTGGGCATTCATGATACTGTACTACATTCCACGTATATTAAAAGATAATTTTAAAAACACAGCCCCTACTCTCAAAGAAGTTTTTTTACTAATGAAACAAAAGGTTTGTATGGTGTACAAATAATATATAATGAAGGACAACAGTGCTTTAAGTTCTTGAAGCATGTAGTTTTCTTATTTTCTTTCTCTTACACTCTTTAGTTTGGGCTGGGAGCTATGCAGAGCAAGATTTTCAGTGAACAAGATTTTCTTGCTCATATTTTCTTGCTCAGGAGGTTGTGAATGATGCAAAATGTGAACATATCGGAAGAATTAAGAGGGAAAGAAAGCACAAAGTGGTCTCAGTTCTGGCATGCAGAAGGCAAGAGGCTGATGGGCTTGATCTCAAAGGATCCTTCACTTTTTCGCACCCTGGGATTCTAGTTCAGGCAGTAATTAGGATCAAGAGGGATTATAAGGAGGTGTGAAGAGTACAAATTATTAAATATTTTTCCCATCAGAGCCATAAAATATTATTGGCCAGGGGTCTATTTGAGGCCAGATTTTTTTTTTTTTTTTTTTGAGATGGAGCTTTGTTTGCTCTTGTTGCCCAGGCCGGAGTGCAATGGCACCATCTCAGCTCACAACCTCCACCTCCCGGGTTCAAGCAATTCTCCTGTCTCAGCCTCCCAAGTAGTGGGGATTACAGACATGTGCCACCACACCCGGCTAATTTTGTATTTTTAGTAGAGATGGGTTTTCTCCATGTTGGTCAGGCTGGTCTCGACTTCCCCGACCTCAGGTTATCTGCCCACCCAGGCCTCCCAAACTGCTAGGATTACAGGTGTGAGCCACCATGCCAGGCCGAGGCCAGATTTTTGATCGACAAATAAGGTTATGCTCTTTGAGGGCCAGAAGAATTATATCAGTGCTCACTGGTCGAGAAGTGTGCAAGCATAGCTAGTACTTGATTACACTCCATCCCACTCCCTTTAGCAAAACACAGATGCTATGGCCCTGCTCTCTGTAGTCTTAGATCTATGCGTTCAGAATGTACGAAAGGGCTGGGCGTGGTGGCTCACACCTGTAATCACAGCATTTTGGGAGGCCGAGGTGGGTAGATCACCCGAGGTCGGGAGTTCGAGACCAGCCTGACCAACATGGAGAAACCGCCTCTCTACTAAAAATACAAAATTAGCCAGGCGTAGTGGCGCATGCCTGTAATCCCAGCTACTTGGGAGGCTGAGGCAGGAGAATTGCTTGAACCTGAGAGGTGGAGGTTGCAGTGAGCCGAGATCATGCCATTGCGTTCCAACCTGGGCAACAAGAGCAAAACTCCATCTCAAAAAAAGAAAAGAAAAGAAAAGAATGTACAGAAGCTGGGCGCAGCAGCTCAAACCTGTAATCCCAGCACTTTGGGAGGCCGAGGCGGGTGGATCACCTGCAGTCAGTAGTTCGAGACCAGCCTGACCAACATGATGAAACCCTAAAAATACAAAAAAATAGCTGGGTGTGGTGGTGCATGCCTGTAATCCCAGCTACTGGGGAGGCTGAGGCAGAGAATTGCTTGAACCTAGGAGGCGGAGGTTGCAGTTGAGCTGAGATCATGCCACTGCACTCCAGCCTGGGCAACAGAGTGAGACTCCGTCTCAAAAAAAAAAGGTACAGAGCCCATAAGGGCCAAGCTGAGGTTACATTTATACATTAATTCCCATACACCTATAAGAAGAAAGTCTTTTTGTAGGCTACCTCCTTCGTCCTTCTTATTTATGAGAGCAGGGCCCTAGAGAGCCTCAGGCAACACAGCCAGGTCCTTTGTGCCCATTCTGTGTGGACTGATTAGAACCAGGTACACCTTCCTCCTCTTGGACCAGAAGTCAAGTCTTGGCCAGAGGGAGCTGGCTAGATCCCAGTCCCATTACAACCTTCATCATGCTACTTATTCTGGGTCCACCCCAACAGCAAGGCAGCCCTGTAGGTAACAAGAGAATTTTGAAGAATTCTATATACATGTGTCTCTGTACAAAGCAAATAACTGATTAAAGATGTGTTATGAGTTTCTCAAAATTTTCTGTGTAGGGAGAGATGTGAATGGACCAAATTTCATCATTATTTACTTCTAAACATGTTTGGTTTTTTGTTTTGTTTTGTTTTTTGTTTTTTGCCACTGAAAGGAAAGCATGGACACCTTTCAGGAAAGCAAGTGTTGTATACAATAAAAGCTGTTATAATATAATCTTCATGTTCAGTTTATTGGATATTTTCACCATCCAGAAATATACAGGAAATAGGGTGTGGTTAACTATGTGGTTCTTTCAGTGCAATGAACTTCTTTGACTAAAACTACCTCCTGGGCTGCTGCCTCAAGTACCAGAGGCAGTGAACTTCTGAAGACTTAATTCCTAGACCACTCCCATCTTGTGACCTCATTGGCTTTATTATTTTTAACTAAAACATATGAGTTGAATTTAAATAGGTAAATGTGGATTTGAAATTTAATATTCCAATAATTCAGTCAAGAATTAACTAACAGGCCGGGCACGGTGGCTCATGCCTGTAATCCCAGCGCTTTGGGAGGCTGAGGCGGGCAGATCACGAGGTCAGGAGTTCGAAACCAGCCTGGCCAACATGGTGAAACCCTGTCTCTACCAAAAATACAAAAATTAGCTGGGCGTGGTGGTGCATGCCTGTAATCCCAGCTACGCGGGAGGCTGAGCCAGGAGAATGGCTTGAACCCAGGAGGTGGAGGTTGCAGTGAGCCGAGATCGTTCCACTGCACTCCAGCCTGGGTGACAGAGCAAGACTCTGTCTCAAAAAAAAAAAAAAGAATTTACTATAGGGAAGAAAGTAGATGTTTAACATATATAAATATATGTTTAACATATATAAATATATATGTTTAACATATATAAATATATGTTTAACATATATAAATATATATGTTTAACATATATTCACTCAAATTGAATATATATGTATTCATATGTATATGTCAAAACTTATCAGTATATAATTGATAAAGTCTTCAGTTTTATTTAGTTTTAAATAACCATTTTAATCTATTGTGTAACTTATTAAATGTTTCAAGAAAAACTCTTATATAATAATTGTATCTACTTAACATTTTAAACTACTAGGTCAGGCACAGTGGCTCATGTCTGTAAGCTCAGCATTTTGGGAGGCCAAAGCTGGAGGATCGCTTGAGCCCAGGAGTTTGACACCAGCCTGGGCAACTTAGGGAGACCCCTGTCTCAACCAAAAATTTAAAAATTAGATGGGCATGGTGACGTGCGTCTGTAGTTCCAGCTATTTAGGTGGGAGAATTGAGCCACTGCACTCCAGCCTGGGTGACAGCAAGACCCTGTCTCAAAAATGAAACAAAACAAAAACCAAAAAACAGTTTAAGCTTTTTTTTTTTTTTGAGACGGAGTCTCGCTTTGTCGCCCAGGCTGAAGGGCAATGGCACAATCTCGCCTCACCACAAACTCCGCCTCCTGGGTTCAAGCAATTCTCCTGCCTCAGCCTCCTGAGTAGCTGGGACTACAGGCGCACGCCACCATGCCCGGCTTATTTTTGTATTTTTAGTAGAGACAGGGTTTCACCATGTTGGCCAGGCTGGTCTTGAAATCCTGACCTTGTGATCCACCCTCCTCGGCCTCCCAAAGTGCTGGTATTATAGGCGTGAGCCACCGTGCCCAGCCAACATTTTAAGCTTCTAAACACATTGTACAACTAAGTTACTTTCAACATTAAAGAGTTGATCTATTTTTAAAAATATATAACTTAGGATGGTAAGATACAATTTTTTTACACATCCTGTCATTAAACAGTTGTATTTTAAGTGACGATTTTCTGAAGTTCCTGACAGTTCAGGAGATTTTAAATATAGAAGGGATGGTGATGGTAAGCCTTTCATTCAATTAATTGATTCTCCTACAAAGTTTAGCAGATATTCTCAATTTCAAAGATGAAACCAATTTTATTCCTTTGCAGTCAGCTGTTAACAGTTGCCCATTTTAGGAGACAAATACATACAAATGAACTCTTGGTGTTCTTGAGTACATATGGGAGAAGCAGAACAAAGCAAAGTTCCCTTTTTGCCTTACCAGGTGGATTCAATAATCCAAGAAGAATGGGACTGGAGCTGATTTCCTCATGAGCTGTGAGTCTTTGAGCAATTTACATAACTAGTCTAAACATTTAATCTCTTTGTTTGTTAACTGAAGGTAATATCTTCCTTGCAGAGTATTTGTAAATATTATAAATATTATATAAATTATGAATCATATTGTTTTTCACAGTAGATGTTCAATAAATGGTAGCTGGGTACCTGAGTGCTTATCTCATTTTCCTCCCTCCACAGATGATAAATTCCTTGTGAGAATTACAGCCCCTGGTAGTAGTGATCAACAAATATTTGTTGAGTTGAAAATGTCGCTTTTTAAAGGCTTTTAAAATAATCTTTCCTGTAGAATTTTAGACCTTTGCAAATGACTTATTTTTCCCTTCAACTTATTTTATTTATTTATTTTTTGAGTTAGAGTCTTGCTCTGTCACCCAGGCTGGAGTGCAGTGGCACAATCTCGGCTCACTGCAACCTCCGCCTCCAGAGTGAAAGCAATTCTCCTGTCTCAGCCTCCCGAGTAGCTGGGATTACAGGTGCGCACCACTGTGCCGGGCTAATTTTTGTATTTTTAGTAGAGATGGGGTTTCACCATGTTGGCCAGGCTGGTCTCGAACTCCTGACCTCAGGTGACCCACCTGCCTCAGTCTCTCAAAATTACTGGCATTACCAGCATAAGCCACTGCGCCCTTCCCCTTCGACTTCTTAAAATCTAATTTCCTGGTATCTAAAAGCACATTTGACATCATTGGCTACCGCAAAATCTAAAGTGACCTGGACACTTTCTCCTCAGACCCAAAATCCATTTTACAACTAGCTTCTCTTTTTCTGGCTAGACTTAAATTCAAAGTAGCAGTTATCCCGGTTGTTTCTTCTACTGTGTAAGAGATTAAATTGTCAGAAAAAGAAGTTACTAATTAATCAGATGCTTTGCTTTTTGCCACCGGGAAACCTCCAACAGATGCCCTGATGGCTGAAGCCCCATTTATTTATTTATTTTATTTTTGTTTGAGAGAGGATCTCACTCTTATCCAGGCTGGAGTGCAGTGGCGCAATCATGGCTCACTGCAGCCTCGAACTCCTGGATTCAGGTGATTCTCCCGCCTCAACCCTGAGTAGCTGGGACTACAGGCTCACACCACAACTCCTGGGTAATTTTTGTATTTTTTTGTAGAGCTGGCATTTCACCACGTTGCCCATGCTGGTCTCAAAGCCCTGGGCTCAAGCAATCTGCCCATCTTGGCATCCCAAAGTGCTGGGATTACAGGTGTGAGCCAGCACACCTGGCCGGAAAACAAATTTTTTAAATGACTTTTAAAAATAGAGTTGCTTTGTTGTTGCTCTTCTTCCTCCTACTTCTAGCAATGTATATTTACAATATTAGGATAATGTCTTTCTTGACTCTTCCTTTGTACTGTTGCCTTCAATCTTACCTGATTGCTGTGGTTAGAAAGGCACTATACCTACTTTCAAACTGGGAATAAGGCATAGGGTGCTGCCAGTCACATCACTTTTTTTTGTTGTTGTTGTTTTTGAGACAGAGTCTTGCTCTTGTTGCCCAGATTGGAGCACAATGGTGCAATCTCAGCTCACTGCAACCGCTGCTGGCTTGGGCAGCCTGCTTTTATTCCCTTATCTGGCCCCACCCACATCCTGCTGATTGGTCCATTTTACAGAGAGCTGATTGGTCCGTTTTACAGAGAGTTGATTGGTCCGTTTTGACAGGGTGCTGATTGGTGCATTTACAATCCCTGAGCTACACACAGAGTGCTGATTGGTGCATTTACAAAGCTAGACATAAAAGTTCTCCAAATCCCCACTAGATTAGCTAGACACAGAGCACTGATTGGTGCATTTACCAACCTTCAGCTAGACACAGAGTGCTGATTGATGCGTTTACAAGTTTACAATTCCTGAGCTAGACACAGAGTTCTGATTGGTGCATCCACGAACCACCCCCCCCCCCCCCCCCCCCCCGAGCTAGACACAGAGTGCTGATTGGTGCGTTTACAATCCTCCAGCTAGGCACAAAAGTTGTCCAAGTCCCCACCAGATTAGCTAGATACAGAGTGCTGATTGGTGCATCCATGAACCCCAAGCTAGACACAGAGTGCTGATTGGTGCATTTACAATCCTCCAACTACACATAAAAGTTCTCCAAGTCCCCACTGGACTCAAGAGCCCACCTGGCTTCCCCTAGTGGATCCTGTGCTGGGGCCGCAGGCGGAGCTGCCCGCCAATCCTGTGCTGTGGGCCCGCACTCCTCAGCCCTTGGGCCGTGGATGGGACCAGTGCCACAAGCAGGGGGCAGCACCTGTTAGGGAGGCTTGGGCCTCTCGGGAGCCCACCGCAGGGAGGTGGTTGAGGCCTGGCAAGAATTCGAGTGTGGCCCGGGTGGGCCAGCAGTGCTGGGGGACCTGGCGCCTCCTCCCAGATGCTGGCCCCAGTGCTAAGCCCCTCACTGCCGCTCCGAGTGCGGGGCCCACCCAGCCCACGCCCACCCGGAACTCACGCTGGCCCAGGTTCCTGCCCACGCCTCTACCTCCACACCTCCCCACAAGCAGAGGGAGCCGGCTCCAGCCCCGGCCAGCCCAGAGAGGGGCTCCCACAGTGCAGTGGCAGGCTGAAGGGCTCCTCAAGCGCAGCCAGAATGGGCGCCAAGGCCGAGGAGGCACCGAGAGCGAGCGAGGGCTGCCAGCACACTGCCACCTCTCACTATTATTATTATTATTTTTTTTTCTTGAGACAGAGTCTTGCTCTGTCATGCAGGCTGGAGTGCAGTGGCCTGATTTCAGCTCACCGCAAACTTTGCATCCCGGGTTCAAGCGAATCTTACGCCTCAGCCTCTTGAGTAGCTGGGATTACAGATGCATGCCACCATGCCTGGCTAATTTTTCTATTTTTAGTAGAGATGGGGTTTCGCTGTGCTGGCCAGTCTGGTCTCGAACTCCTGACCTCAAGTGACCCGTAGGACACTATTTTAAACAGAGCTGTATTAACACATTCTTTCCTTCCGATGTTGCTCCACCTCTTCCCTGTCTACATTCTCATGTTCTTTCTCTTAAGTATTCCACTCACAATGTTGTTTTCAAAATATTCTACTCCAGGAAAATACCTCTATCTACGTTTTTTCTCTGTCTCTATGGTTTTGTTAAAAAGTACTCTTCATCTTTTATAAATCTGTCCCAATTCGGCTTTGACCCTATCTCTCCCTTTACTTTCCTAACTCTCAATTTCTTTCTTTCTTTTTTTTTTTTTGAGACAGAGTCTTACTCTGTTGCCCAGGCTGGAGTGCAGTGGTGTGATCTCGGCTCACTGCAACCTCTGCCTCCTGTCCTAACCCTAAATTTCTAATATTAGTCATTTTATTTTTTGTTTCCAAGTTTTACTTTATGACTTCAGATACATCAATTGGATTCTTATAAAACATTATCATCTTGCTACAGAAGTCATATGATCTCACTGAACATTTACAAGAAAAATTCTCAAGCTCCTGTGTTTACATGTGACCACATTGATTCTATACAATCCTTTTTGGAAGAGGGGAGTGTTGTGTTATAAATAGCACACAGAGACATGACAGACAATTAGAGGCATTGAACAGGATGGGTTGTTGTGCCAAAGGGGTTACGCAAGGCACAGAATACAAAGAAAATATGCTGTGAATGTTGAGAAGAAGATTGGGTTTGAAAGCTAACAACAACAACAACCACCACCAAAAAAAAAAAAAACATAAAAAAAACAGAAATAACTCCATGAAGATGAAGATGGCATTATAGCATTTTTCTTCCCTGCACTTACCTTCTTTTTTTTTTTTTTTAGAGACAAGATCTCACTGTCACTCAAGTTGGAGTGCAGTGGTACAATCATAGCTCACTGTAACCTTGAACTCCTGGGCTCAAGCGACCCTCCCACCTCAGCCTCCCAAGTAGGTAGGACTCTAAGCATGTGCCATCATATCCCACTAATTTTTTTTTTTTTTTTTTTAGAGACAGGGTCTCACCATTTTCCCAGGTCGATCTCAAACTCCTAGACTGAAGCCCTGCACTTACCTCCTAACACACTCTATACTAGAAGGTAAGCTCCATAATGCAGGGATTTTTTGTTATTGTTTTGCCGTTTAACTTCTAAATCCTCAGCAGGGCCTGGTGCAGAGTAGCTCCTCAATAAATACTTGTTGATTGAAGAGCATGTGAATGAATGAATGAGTGAATGCAGGAAATGGTAAGATCAGCATGACCGAAGCCGTGTTCCAGTGGGGCTGGAGTAGAAAATGGAGTTCGTTGTAAGAATGTTGGAGTGCGACAAAGGAGTTTGTAGCTTTACTTTAGACAATGGGCAAGAGGGGAACCTGATGAATTCCTCGGGTCACCTTACCTCATTTCCATACTTAGTGTAATTACTCCAAAGAAGTTGGAAAGGAGATAAAAATGCAGAAGCAGACCTGGGTTCTTTATCAGGAAAGGATTATTTGCTGATGGAGCTGATTGGAGAGGCCGTGAGATGTGATTGAGCCAGCTCTGCATAGCTGGCTTGCTGCTCCCCAGGAGACTGAAGTTGGAGCCACAGATCAGTCAGAGAATGTGGCCACTGATAGACATTAGAATATTCTAGGGACAAGTTTCTTTTTCTGGACCTAGGGGCCGTATCTCTCACGTATGCCCATTGGTCTCCACTCTTAGGACTTTTTTTTTTTTGAGATGGAGTCTCACTCTGTCGCCCTGGCTAGAGTGCAATGATTCGATCTTGGCTCACTGCAACCTCTGCCTCCCGGGTTCACACAATTCTCCTGCCTCAGACTCCCGAGTAGCTGGGATTACAGGCACCCACCACCACGCCTGGCTAATTTTTACATTTTTAGTAGAGACAGGGTTTCACTATGTTGGCCAGGCTGGTCTTGAACTCCTGATGCCTGCCTCAGCCTCCCAAAGTGTTGGGATTACAGGTGTGAGCCACCGCACCCAGCTTTACCACTTTTACTCTAATCTTCATAGCCTCTCACTGGTGGATTCCTAAAATTATCTCTTAAAAGATTTCTCTACTTCATCTCTACTTCCTCTTTTTTTCCACTGCGACACCACACAAACACAAAATCTATTCTCTCACTGTCCTAAAGGACTGCTTTTAATGTTGTAATTTTCCTGCTTTAGGGTCATAATAGATCTCTAGTAAATATCTATCTAATCTATTCCATCTATAGGTTTAGCTTTCTCTCCCTTCCTTCCCCCTTTCTCCAACTCTCTTTAACCAATAATCAGTCTTCTTTATACATATTTAATGTTTCTATTGTAGTCAAACAGAGCTACTCTTATTGATTTGTTAATACACAAGTGAGCCAGATATTGTCTATTGGCATCTAGCACTTTTTACAGTCTTCTATCTCCCCTGTTTTGCAGGGGCTGGAAATCTGGGAACATGTCTCATACTCCCTTGCCAGCACAGTTTCAGACATAGCTTGAGTTCTGCCAATCAGATATACTGGTGAGAGATTTGGAAGGCAGAAGAGAGATGGCAACCACCATTGGCTTTTTCCTTTGTTACTGGTGATGGGCAGCCCTTGAAGTCAGCAGAGTCTCCAGCAGCCTCCGGATGCTAGGAAGCACCCGGTCAAATTTCTACTTATTAAGAAAAAGAGGGCCAGGCTCGGTAGCTCACACCTGTAATCCCAGCACTTTGGGAGGCCAAGGCGGGGGGATCACGAGGTCAAGAGATCGAGACCATCCTGACCAACATGGTGAAACCCCGTCTCTTCTAAAAATACAAAAATTATCCAGGCGTGGTGGTGTGTGCCTGTAATCCTAGCTACTTTGGAGGCTGGGCAGGAGAATTGCTTGAACCTGGGAGGCGGAGGTTGCAGTGAGCCGAGATCACACCACTGCACTCCAGCCCAGGTGACACAGTGAGACTCCGTCTCAAAAAAAAAAAAAAAGCCCTCAAAGACCTAAATATCTTGATATCCCTGTGAATGTATTTTTTAATCTAATTATCTGGAAAATCTTGTCTATTTTACATTTTAGGTGTGTAGAGTAGAATCATCATTAAAAGATATTTTTAAAATGTTCCCAAGTATATCCATGTAAAGAATCCAGTGTCCCTCTTTAATTTCCCCATTCAGATCAATATCTATTAAAGTAACACATTTGATATTTCTATAATATTTAATATAATACCAAATGAGAAAAACAGAAAAGTAACATTACACTAATATGATTTAAAGAGCATTTAATTATCTAATATAATTATCTCTTAAGCCCCAATTATAATATATTATTATCCTTACCAAAAAGCCAACTGTCTTGAGTCATAGCTAAAAGTGGTAGCATTATAAAAGAAAAAACATTTGATCTGATAGCCAACTACCTATTTACTATTTAAAAACACTTTAGGCTGGGTACGGTGGCTTATGCCTCTAATCCCTGCACTTTGGGAGACCAAGGCGGGTGGATCACTTGAGGTCAGGAGTTCGAGACCAGCCTGATCAACATGGTGAAACTCCATCTCTACTAAAAATACAAAATTAGCTGGGTGTAGTGGCAGGCACCTGTAATCCCAGCTACTCAAGAGGCTGAGGCAGAAGAATTGCTTGAATCCTAGAGGGGGTTGCAATGACCGCACCACTGCACTCCAGCCTTATTGACAGAGTGAGACCCTATCTCAAAAAAAAAAAAATTAAAATTAAACCCTAAAAACACCTTAATGTCCTCTGAGTTTCTGCACTATTCCTTCCAATGTCAAATAAAGATAAAGGAGAATGTCAAGGCATACAAATGTATTAATGATAGCTGAGTTCTACTCTGACTTATTTGCTCCTTCTGTATCTTCCCTGGTGAGCAATATCTGGCACATCCTTACACAAAGCCATCTTGCTTCCTAGCCCACTACATTATGCCAGTGTTACTTTTACTGCATTATTGTTATGGTTGATAACACTTTTTTTCTTCTTTTTTTTTTTCTTTTTTTTTTGAGATGGAGTTTCGCTCTTGTTGCCCAGGCTGGAGTGCAATGGTGCAGTCTTGGCTCACCACAACTTCTGCCTCCCAAGTTCAAGCGATTCTCCTGCTTAAACCTCCCGAGTACCTGGGATTACAGGCACGCGCCACTACGCCTGGCTAATTTTTGTATTTTTAGTAGAGACTGGGTTTTGCTGTGTTGGTCAGGCTGGTCTCGAACTCCCAACCTCAGATGATCTGCCTGCCTCGGCCTGTGAAAGTGCTGGGACTACAGGCATGAGTCACCGTGCCCAGCCCCAACAATTTTTGTTGGTAACATTTTGGATCTTTTTTATTTTTTCTTTTTTTTGAGACGAGGTCTTGCTCTGTCGCCCAGACTGCAGTGCAGTGGCGTGATCTCGGCTCACTGCAAGCTCCGCCTCCCGGGTTCACGCCATTCTCCTGCCTCAGCCTCCCGAGTAGCTGGCATCACAGGCGCCCGCCACCGTGCCCGGCCAACATTTTGGATCTTTTAAACCTTAAGTATTTAATGTTTTATAGGTCGATTCTTGTCTTTTTTTCTTTTCTTTTTTTTTTTTTTTTTTTTGAGACAGGATCTCATTCTGTCACCCAGGCTAAAGTGAAGTGGTGCAATCATGGCTCACTGCAGCCTCAATCTCCTGGGCTCAAGCGATCCTTCCACCTTGGCCTCCTGAGTAGCTGGGACTACAGGCGCACACTATCATGCCAGACTAATTTTTATTTTTAAATTTTTGGTAGAGATGAGGTCTCACTGTGTTGCCCAGGCTGGTCTCAAACTCCTGAGCTCAAGTGGTCTGCCTGCCTCAGCCTCCCAAAGTATTGAGATTACAGGCATGAGCCACTGTGTTTGGACTATAGGTTGATTCTAAAAGATGAAAAGTAATAAACAGCACTTAAGTTATCATGACTATGTAAATATTATTCACTGCAGAGATAAACAATGTGATGTATTTCCTGCTCTATTGTTCCAATATGACAACACTGGTAATAGTCAAAGAATGAATACAATGAATTCTCCCTGTTCCAATCTACCAAATGCTCAAAATCATGGCACATTTAAAAATATTAGCATCGCACCTTTTCTCACGGAGTTTTGTTTTTGTTTTTCCTGAAATTTTAATTACATTCCTCTCATTCTTTTTTACTGCTTTGTGTAAGAGTCTATGGCATAGATGCTCTATAATTTAGTTCACACTCCACTATTGTTGAGCATTTAGGCTGGTTTTTCATTTTTTCCTACTATGAATGATGCTTCAATGAATATCCTGCCCGTACATTTTTGTGTACATACAAATTTCTGTAAGATAAAAAGCTAGAGCTGGGTTGAAGAGAATATGCATTTTAAGAACCACTGACAAATAGCCCTCAGAAAGAGGCACTGCCATCTATATTCTCACCATCACTGTAAGGGAAGGTCTATTTTTTTTTTTTTCTTTGAGACAAGAGTCCCGCTCTGTCACCCAGGCTGGAGTACAGTGGCGCGATCTCGGCTCACTGCAACCTCCGCCTCCTGGGTTCAAGCGATTCTCCCTGCCTCAGCCTCCCGAGTAGCTGGGACTATAGGTGTGCGCCACCACTCTGGCTAATTTTTGTATTTTTAGTAGAGACTGGGTTTCACTATGTTGGCCAGGCTGGTCTCGTACTTCTGACCTCGTGATCCACCTGCCTCGGCCTCCCAAAGTGCTGGGATTACAGGTGTGAGCCACCATGCCGGGCCTGGTATAATTCTGTATAGTGTTTCTTAGACTCCTATTAATCATTTTGATTTTTGCCATCTATCTCATCGCTGTTTTAATTTTTTTTTCTTATTACTGAGGTAAAAAATCTCTTTGTAAGCTAATTGGCCTTTGGTATTTCCTCTGCAGAGCATTGATTTTTGGGGTTTTTTTGTTGTTGTTGTTCTTTTCTTTTCTTTTTTTTTTTTTTTTTGAGATGGAGTCTCGCACTGTCGCCCAGGCTGGAGTGCAATGGCGCGATCTTGGCTCACTGAAACCTCTGCCTCCTGGATTCAAGCGATTCTCCTGCCTCAGCCTCCCAAATAGCTGGGATTACAGGCACCCACAACTACGCCCGGCTAATTTTTGCATTTCTAGTAGAGATGGGGTTTCACCATGTTGGCCAGGCTGGTCTCAAACTCACAACCTCAAGTGATCCGCCCGCCTCAACCTCCCAAAATGTTGGGATTACAGGCGTGAGCCACCATGCCCTGCCTTTTTTGGTCTTTTTTAATGTTTAGGGTTCCTTATGTATTGTGAACATTAATTCTTTTTTGTGTTGAACAAGTTGTAAATATATTCTCCCAGTATATCAATTGTCTTTCAACTTCGTGGTGTCTTCTGTCAAAGAGAAGCTTTAATATTCATATAGTGAAAAAATCACTCTTTTAGGCCAGGCACAGTGGCTCACGCCTGTAATCCCAGCACTTGCGGAGGCCGAGGCAGGCGGATCATGAGGTCAGGAGTTCAAGACCAGCCTGACCAACATGGTGAAACCCTGTCTCTACTAAAAATAGAAAAATTAGCTGGGCATGGTGGCCTGCACCTGTAATCCCAGCTACTGTGGAGGCTGAGGCGGGAGAATTACTTGAACCCGGGAGGTGGAGCTTGCAGTGAGCCAAGATGGCGCCACTGCATCCAGCCTGGGCAACAGAGTGAGACTCCATCTCAAAAAAAAAAAAAAATCACTCTTTTTTTCCCTATAGGTTTTATACTTTGTGTTGCTTAAGATGGGCTTCCCTAGCCTAAGGTTAATAATCATGCTTTTCTCTGTGTTAGAAAATACCTTTATAGGTTTCTTTTTATATTTGGCTCTTTACCCCATCTAAAATGTTTTGTTTGTACATGATGAGGTAATTTTCTTCATTCTGTATGTGTGTATGACAAACTACAAATTCTCCAGCTCATGAGCAGAAAGGTGGTATGGTAACAACTTTTCCCTGCAATTCTTTTTTTTTTTCCTTTTTTGAGACAGAGTCTCACTCTGTCGTTCAGGCTGGAGTGCAGTGGCATGATCTCGGCTCACTGTAACCTCTACCTCCTGGGTTCAAGCGATTCTCCTGACTCAGCCTTCCAAATAGCTGGAATTACAAGCACACGCCACTAATGCCTGGCTAATTTTTGTATTTTTAGTCGAGATGGGGTTTCACCATGTTGGCCAAGCTGGTCTTGAACTCCTGACCTCAAGCGATCTACCCATCTTGGCCTCCTGAAGTGCTGGGATTCCAGGCGTGAGCCACTGCACCCAGCTTTCCCTGCACATTTTAAATTATCCCTCCCTCTCCTCTCTCTTTGTCTCCTACACTGAAGGCAACACTGGTCAATGTGTGACACACTTCAATAGGCCTTTCTAATGTTATGAATAATCCCAGCACCTACGAAATATCCATTTCTCTCTTTCTGTAGAAGCCACCATTAGGGCTTACCCATGTCTAGTTCTCCTCTCATCCTAGGGCACATGGAAGACTGCACTTCTCAGATCCCATGCTTAGTTAGTTGTGACTAATTCTGGCCAGTAACTTCTGAGAGGAAACAGTGCATCATTGACATATCATTTCAGGCTGAGGAGTGGAGCCCCACCTGATCTTACAGTTTCTTTTCTGAACTCTTGCCTTGGGACAATGGCGCCTGTGTATCAAGACACTGTAAGGAGGGCAGGTGACCTGCTGACCTGCTCAGATGACTTGGTGTAAGTGAGAAATAAACTCTTTTGTGCTAAGCCACCAACATATTTTGCTTGTTTGTTACCATATCAGAAGGCAAATGAGTAAAGTATGACACTATTTCCCAGTCAACCTTGATTCTGCTATTTTATTTTTTGGTCGACAGTTTACAAACTTTAATCCTTTATCATTTGAAACAAGTCATTAGCAAAGTATCTTGCAACTGATCTGAGAAATACCAATATCATTTATCCATTATTTAGCGATGTTAATTGTGCATAAACCCAGAACCAGGCTCTGTGAATAAGACGTGAGTACGAGAGACCTGGCCTGTCTCCTCATGGAACTTGGCAGGGATCTCACAGAGAAGGCTGTGCAGGGAGTGGTTAAGGGTGTGGCTTTGGAGTCAGATGCTCTACATTTGAATCTTGGCTCTGCCTCTTACTGGCTGAGTAAATTTAGGCAAGTCAATTAACCTCTCAGTGCTTCATTTCCTAATCAATACAATTAAGAGTACATGAGGTGATGCATGTGAAATATTTACCACGGGGCTTGACAAGCAATAAGCACTAAACAAGTGCTAGTTATTATCACTATTGCAACCACGGGACTAGAATACACCCAGGTGTGTTAGGGGTAGATAGAACTATACTCCAAAAACATAAAGCCAATGTTACCGCATCACAGTCCCAGCCTAGTAATTCACCTCATGCTTCAGCATGGTATCCTCACCATTAGAAAACTAGCAAAATAGTTCTAAGGCAGTAAGAAGCAGGTATTATAAAAAGCACCTTGTGCTGTCATTCCTCTCTCTCTCTCTCTCTCTCTCTCTCTCTCTCTATATATATATATATATATATATATATTTTTTTTTTTTTTTTTTTGAGGTGGAGTCTTGCTCTGTTGTCCAGGCTGGAGTGCAGTGGCAGGATCTCAGCTCACTGCAACCTCTGCTCCCAGGTTCAAGCGATTCTCCTGCCTCAGCCTCCCAAGTGGCTGGGATTACAGGCATGCACCACCACGCCCATCTGGCTTTTGTATTTTTAGTAGAGACGGGGTTTCACCATGTTGGCCATGCTGGTCTCGAACTCCTGAACTCAGGTGATCTGCCTGTCTCGGCCTCTCAAAGTTCTGGGATTACAGGCATGAGCCACTGCGCCTGGCCCATTCCTATATTTTTAATGTTTTAACTTTTAGTATTCCAGGGCTCTGACTTAATGAAAGATATTCTATTTTTAGATAGCCTTTAAAAAATGACATCTAGATCATGGCCTCTGAAATTCTTAGTATGTGTGTATATATATATATATTTGAGACGGAGTCTCGCTCTGTCACCCAGGCTGGAGTGCCGTGGTGTGATCTCGGCTCACTGCAACCTCCACCCCCTGGGTTCAAGCAAGTCTCTTGCCTCAGCCTCCCAAGTAGCTGGGATTACAGGTGCCCGCTACCACACCCAGCTAATTTTTGTATTTTTAGTGGAGATGGGCTTTCGCCCTGTTGGCCAGGCTGGTCTCGAACTCCTGACCTCAGGTCATCCACTTGCCTCGGCCTCCCAAAGTGCTGGGATTACAGGCGTGAGCCACCATGCCCGGCCAGTATATGAATATAATAAGAACTTTGTATATTTAGTTTGGGGCTAAATATTGCATATATACGTATGTACTTAAACTCGTATAGATATACACATATCTAAATGGAGCACTTTCTATAGAGAGAGCCAGATTTGTTTTGAACCCTGAACTTTACATGTTGCTGTTACCCAAGATCACAGAACTAGTCAGTAGCAGAGACAAGATTAGAATCATAAAATGAGCAAATGTTCTTTCCATCACAACCCTGTCTCATAGAAGAAATAACCACCTTTGACTTACTAGGGCTGCAGTCAAATTGGAAAATATAGTAATATATTGCACAGGCACACATTTTTATTGCTAGACCGTATAACCTTATCTTCAATGGAGGTTTCAATATTTTCTCAGTAATTACAAACCACTTCCTTTGTGTACCACTATAGCTAAATTATTAATAAGCACAGTAGACAGCAAGATCTTTGGTAGAGCTGTAGATCTAATATTGGGTCAATTACAGAATCTCACTCCTTTCCTCTTACAAAAAACTGTTATACCTTTTTATTATTGTATCCCTTTGTACCATGTCCTCTGAAACCACTAATCAAATCCCTAAGGGAAAGAAAAATGAACATGTATTATGATATTCACATTTATATGCTAGGAAGAGTCTTCACATAAGCACAGACATTCAACAAATACACCGTCAATTCAAATATAGACATGGTGCATAATTTTATTTCAGCTTTATGAAACCCTCAAGAGCTCACAGAAAAGCATGTAAAGCATGTAACCTTCTCATCATCTTTATTCTTGTTTGGGTTGGTATTTGGTTCAACAAAGAATCAATGAACTGTAACAAATTGCCAAAACCAAAAAAACCTCTGGTTTTATATGTGAATGTGTTGTGTGTATGAGTTGATTATTTGTTGTGAAAATATGTGAAATATGATTAGAAAACTTTTGAAAAAATTCCTATGATCTCAATTACCCAGAGAAACCCACTGTCAATATTTTGATGTATATACTTCAGAAATTTTTTCTCTGTGTGTATATGTAATGTGACTATATTTTCATGCTAAAAGTGTACATCTGTATCATCATTCTTAAAGGCTACATATTTTTCCTTTGTATCATAACTATGTACTATAATTTATATATTCAATATCCTATTGTTGGTCAATTAAGTTGTTTCCAATTTTCACTACCATAAATACCCCAGTGGAATTGCTGAGTCAGATTCTTCAGAATAGGCTATCAGGACTATTCAAGGTAAAGGCATGTAAGTAGGTCCTCTGTATTTCTTATTTTTTAAATTATTTATTTATTTATTTATTTTGAGACGGGGTCTCGCTCTGTCGCCCAGGCTGGAGTGCAGTGGCACAATCTTGGCTCACTGAAATCTCTGCCTCCCAGGTTCAAGCCATTCTCCTGCCTCAGCCTCCTGAGTAGCTGGGACTACAGGCGCCCGCCGCCACGCCCGGCTAATTTTTGTATTTTTAGTAGAGACGGGGTTTCACCATGTTGGCCAAGATGGTATCGATCTCTTGACCTCGTGATCCACTTCCCTCAGCTTCTCAAAGTGCTGGGATTGCAGGCGTGAGCCACCGCCCGCATCAGGTCCTCTGTTTCTTAGTGTTCAGCCCGTGGACCCTTCATTCCTCTCTCCCTCGAGTATGGTCATGTTGAAGGAACATGGATAAGGGAATCCACGGCATATGGATACTTGGATTCCAACCTCAATTCTGATTACTAATTAATTTTGTGAAAGCCATTTCCGGTCATTTGCCCTGTAGAGTGGAAGAACTGAACTAAAATGGAGGTGCAACAGGTCAGATGATCATCAGAATTACCAGAGAAATTTCATATATGTTCCTGGGTCATGACTTACAACTTTTGAATCTAAATCTCCTCAGTAGCACTTGAGACTCTGCATTTTCAAAAACTCACTGAGTGCTTCCAAATGCATTTCAGGTGGGGACCCACTAACCCCGGTTGCACCAAGGCCTCTCCTGCTGGAGCTCATTCATCTTTTATGCTCCCTTCTCCATTCGCCTAAATCCCCTATAGTCTTCCCTGCGGTCCAGGAAGGTTGTGTTTAATAGTACAGGAAAAACCGTGCTCATGCCTGTAATCCCAGCACTTTGGGAGGCTGAGGCGGGTGGATCACAAGGTCAGGAGTTCAAGATCAGCCTGACCAACATGATGAAAACCCTTCTTTACTAAAATGAAAATACAAAAGTTAGCTGGGCGTGGTGGTGCATGCCTGTAATCTCAGCTACTCAAGAGGCTGAGGCAGGAGAATTGCTTGAACCCGGGAGGCAGAGGTTGCAGTGAGCCAAGATCGCGCCACTGCACTCCAGCCTGGGTGACAGAGAGAGACTCAGTCTAAAAAAAAAAAAAAAAGTACAGGAAAAACATTCAAAAACAATACATTAATTAAAAACAAAACTCTTGGCCAGGAGCGGTGGCTCACGCCTGTAATCCCAGCACTTTGGGAGGCCAAGGCGGATGGATCACCTGAGGTCAGGAGTTCAGACTAGCCTGGCCAACATGGTGAAACCCTCTCTCTATTAAAAATACAAAAAAATTAGCCGGGCATGGTGGCGCATGATTGTAATCCCTGCTACTTGGGAGGCTGAGGCAGGAGAATCGCTTGAACCCAAGAGGCAGAGGTTGCAGTGAGCGGAGAGTGCGCCATTGCACTCCAGCCCAGGCAACAAGAGTGAAACTCCATCTCAAAAACCCCAAACTCTTGCCTGTAATCCCAGCACTTTGGGAGGCTGAGGCGGGCGGATCACCTGAGATCAGGAGTTTAAGACCAGCCTGGCCAACGTGGTGAAACCCCCTCTCTACTAAAAATACAAAAAAATTAGCAGGGCATCGTGGGGCATGCTGTAATCCCAGCTAATCAGGAGGCTGAGGCAGGAGAATCGCTTGAACCTGGGAGGCAGGGGCTGCAGTGAGCCGAGATGCTGCCACGGCACTCCAGCCTGGGCAACAGAGCAAGACTGTCCCCAAAAAATAAATAAATAAATACAAACTCTTGAACCATTTTTAAGAAGCAATTAAAACCAAGATAATAAAATAGTCTTTCTGCTACTTGTTGATTTACCTGTCGTCCAATTTAATAAAGTGTTGGTTTTAAAAATTACATTTTATTCTTTTTCAAAGTCTGATTGAAATGTTTCTTGTTGTTCAAGCAGATGCCACAGGACAAATGGCAAATAAGCTGCCTAGATTACAATTGAAAAGTTCAAAGTAACTTGCAGTTCCTAAAATCTATGATTTTATTTCAGATAGTCTTATAGATGTTAGAAAAATGCACACACAATTGGCAGGTCTAACTCTCTATGGGGAACATACTAACATAAAAGGCTTATTAAAATGCAGCTGTTTTTTGGAAAGTGACATATAATACACTGATTCAAAGGTACAGCCAGTCAACCAATACTAATTTAGAACACAAGGTTTATCTAAGATCTCTGCTTTCGAGTGTCAGTTCAGTGGAGCTAGGCTTAGAAAGCATATGTAGTATTTTCATTTTATATTCTTAAATAAGTGCAGATAAGATATTCCTAACTCTCTTCAGTTCCTTATTAGCCTTTTTTTTTTTTCTTTTTTGAGATGGAGTCTCATTCTGTAGCCCAGGCTGGAGTGCAATGGTGTGATCTCGGCTCACTGCAACTTCCACCTCCCGGGTTTCAAGTGATTCTCCTGCCTCAGCCTCCCAAGTAGCTGGGATTACAGGTGTGCACCACCATTGCCTGGCTAATTTTTTATTTTCAGTGGAGACAGGGTTTCGCCATGTTGGCCAGGCTGGTCTCAAACTCTTGGCCTCAAGTGATCCACCCGCCTCAGCCTCCTAAAGTATTGGGATTACAGGCCTGAGCCACCACGCCCGGCCCCTTATTAATCTTTACAACTCCATGGAAAAAGACTAAAGTCAGTGATTCAGAGTGGAAACTTAGAATCTATGCCTAATTTTAAAAATAAATAGTAATGGAATTTAATTTTCTTTATGGCTATCATAAATTGAAGATTATATCTTTTTTTTTTTTTTTGAGACAGAGTCTCACTCTGTCGCCAGGCTGGAGTGCAGTGGCGTGATCTTGGCTCACCGCAACCTCTGCCCTCCTGGGTTCAAGTGATTCTCCTGCCTCAGCCTCCCGAGTATCTGGGACTACAGGTGCGTGCCACCATGCCCGGCTAATTTTTGTATTTTTAGTAGAGACGGGGTTTCACCATGTTGGCCAGGATGGTCTCAATTTCTTGACCTCATGATCCACCGGCCTTGGCCTCCCAGAGTGCTGGGATTACAGGCATGAGCCACCACGCCCGGCCAGATTATACCTATTAATGCTTAAAGGACAAAAGGAGACAACAAGGATTTGAGACCAGAAAACATATTACCTTAAGTGAAACAAGCTTTATTATTTCAATTTATCAATTAAGACATGTTTAATCATGAGATTCTAACAAAAATCTGAGCCCTTGATTCAGAGATCATACTACCATGATAATATCTGCATTTTCAGTGGATACTTAACAATGTAAATGAATTAACACTTTCTATCAAATATCAGCCCTGTAATGGATGATTATTCTTACACAGTATTCTCTTCTGCACTCTCATTCTAATTTGTATCATCTGATGCAATAAACTCTTTGGCCCAGAATTAGTAATACAATAAAATCAAGCCATTTTAGAAGGCTCTTAAGGTGCTGAGTTGTTTTCTAGGTTGTACTTTACTTAAAACGTGATATTCCAGAACAGAGGTGCCAAAGGTTGCTGTTGCTGAGAGTCATTTATCTATAGCCTCAATAACAAAGCTAGTGTTAGATATGAAATCATTCATAATACTTCTCAGCAAAGAAAGTATACTCGAGGGCTCCAATTTAAGCCCTTATAGCAAAAAGAAACCGAAACCTAGAATTGGAATTGTCTTGATAGCCTCAATTTACTATTTGAGGGGTTGGAGTGGAAGAGATAGGATTTAATTCTCTTTCCACAGGGAAAGAGAAAACTGTCATGAAGTTAAAAAGTCATAGACCAAAAGTTCTTCCCCTTTCGTGAGGGGAAACTACCGTAATTCCCCCAAAGTGCAGAGACCTTCCTTCTCAAGTGAATGGAGCAGACAGAAACCATGCCAGCTTTGTTCCTTTCTCCTGGAATCCTAGGGGTGTGGAAGAAGTGGTGTGGTAGTAATTGTGTGGTTTTTTTTTTTTTGGTATGTCTTTGAGAAAAGGACCCTTGAAATATAGTGAGTCAGCCAGGCATGGTGGCTCACGCCTGTAATCCCAGCACTTTGGGAGGCCAAGGCAGGAGGATCACTTGAGGTCAGGAGTTTGAGACCAGCCTAGCCAACATGGTGAACCCCGTCTTTACTAAAAATACAAAAATTAGCTGGGTTTGGTGGCACGTGCCTGTAATCCCAGCTCTGTCTAGGTTCAGTCCTCCTGGGTTAAAGTGATTCTCCTGCCTCAGCCTCCACAGCAGCTGCGATTACAGGTGCCCATCACCGTGCCCGGCTAATTTTTGTACTTTTAGTAGAGACAGGGTTCACCATGTTGGCTAGGCTGGTCTCGAACTCCTGACCTCAAGTGATCCTCCTGCCTTGGCCTCCCAAAGTGCTGGGATTACAGGCGTGAGCCACCATGCCCAGTCTTTTGTTTCTTTTGAGACAGGGTCTCACTCTGTTGTCCAGGCTGGAGTGCAGTGGCACAATCATAGCTCACTGCAGCCTCGGCCTCTCGGGCTCAGGTGATTCTTCCACCTAGCCTCTCAAGCAGCTAGGACAACAGGCATACATCACTACGCCAGCTAATTTTTTTTTATTTTTTGTACAGATGAGGTTTTGCCATGAGTGCTCAAGCAATCTACCTGCCTTAGCCTCCCAAAGTGGTGGGATTACAGGCATAAGCCACCATGTCCAGCCCAAAGCTAGTTTTAAATACGTAGTAATACCACTCATCGAGCTGCTTGGTGATGAAGCCCCATTAAAATGACTCCTAGGCTCCAATTTAAACTCAGATAACAGAGAAACCTCAGATTGGAATTAGGGGAGGTGGAAGCTCTGCTCTGTGCAGTCACTTAAGAGACCTTCTTTCCGAAGTCTTTGCAATACCCAGGAAGTCAGAGCCCTCCAGCACAGCCTCAGATAAGGGACAAAAGAGAGTGGATGTAGAAAGCACACCTGTCAACTGCCATGGCCCACAAGTGCCTCCCATCGCCCTGCTCACAACGCACTGGAGAGAGAGCTCTCTATGGTCCCTTCCTAGATTCAAGGCACATGGGCTATGCAAGCCAGCAGTGTGCCCAGGAGGGCAAGAACATGGCAAATGGGAAGCAGCTAGCCAATCTCAGAAATTCTCAGTAAATATTTGTTAGATTAAATGAACTACTTCTTATGTATTATTATAATTTTTTTTTTGAGACAGAGTCGTGCTTTGTCGCCCAGGCTGGAGTGCAATGGCACAATCTCCGCTCACCACAACCTCCGCTTCCTGGGTTCAAGCGATTCTCCTGCCTCAGCCTCCCAAGTAGCTGGGATCACAGGCATGTGCCACTACACCTGGCTAATTTTTTTGTATTTTTAGTAGAGATGGTGTTTCACCATGTTGGCCAGGCTGGTCTCGAACTCCTGACCTTGTGAACCGCCTGCCTTGGCCTCCCAAATTACTGGGATTACAGGCGTGAGCCACCGGGCCTGGCCCTAAATGAACTACTTCTTTCTGACTTCTGTATATTGAAATGAATCATCCTAGACCTTACACTTAGACCTTGCTAAAGCTGTGGTAATAGCTCCCTGTTTATAGCTCCCGGAAAACATCTGTATGTAACAAGAAAGTCTTGGTGACACAATTCCTTAACCCAAGACAATGGATTGAGGATGGTGAGAAGGGAGTAGACCTGACCTATACCCTCTGAAGTGGCATTTATATATGCAGTACTTGACTATTGTGACTACTAATATATTTTTACCTCTCCGGGAACAGCAACTCCCATGAAGTGTGTATTATTTATTTAACACTTATGTAGCGCTTGTCCTCTTGCAGGAAATCTTCAAAGCATTTTACTAATGTGAAATGGTTGAATTCTCATAAGCCTATGAGGCACCGTTTAGCTCCATATTGTAGTCGGGAAAACTGAGGCACAGAGAAAACAGGAAACTGCCTAAGAATAATAGCTCATAAACAATGGGGCAGAGTTTCAAAACCAGAGAGTTGGGTTCCAAAGACTGAGCTCGTAACCACCATACCATGCTATCTGTCCTCATGTAAGCCTCTCCCTCTCTTTTGCCACGCTTGAGTTTGCACTCCGGGATATCATATACACAAGTACGGGTTTGGCTAACATTTTTATAGAGCCACTGCTCTTTCATATTGTTTCTAGTTGGCAGTTACAAATAGAAATGGAGCCTGATGGCCAGGCACGTTGGCTCACACTTGCAATCTCAGCACTATGGGAGGCCAAGGTGGGCAGATTACTTGAGGTCAGGAGTTCGAGACCAGCCTGGGCAATATGGTGAAGCCCCGTCTCTACTAAAAATACAAAAATTAGCTGGGAGTAGTGGTGCATGCCTGTAATCCCAGCTACTTGGGAGGCTGAGGCAGGAGGATGGCTTGAACCCGAGAGGCAGAGGTTGCAGTGAGCCGAGATTGTGCCACTGCCCTCCAGCCTGGGCGACAGAGCAAGACACCATGTCAAAAAAGAAAGACAGAAAGAAAGAAAGAAAGAAAGAAGGAGAGAACGAGAGAAAGAAAGGAAAAAAGGAAGAAAGAAAGAAAGAGAAATGGAGCCTTATAAACATACATTTCAGGCTCAACAATCAAATTCCAGAAATCGGCCGGGCGCGGTTGCTCACGCCTGTAATCCTAGCATTTTGGGAGGCCGAGACTGTAGATCGCCTGAGGTCAGGAGTTTGAGACCAGCCTGGCCAACATAGTGAAACTTCATCTCTACTAAAAATACAAAAAAATAGCTGGGCGTGTTGTCGGGCACCTGTAATCCCAGCTACTTGGGAGGCTGAGGCAGGAGAATTGCTTGAACCCGGGAGGCGGAGGTTGCCATGAGCTGAGATCGCGCCACTGCACTCCAGCCTGGGCAACAAGAGTGAAACACCGTCTCAAAAAAAAAAAATTCCGGAAATTCTTAATACATTTCCCAATTCATGTTATGTCATCAGACTTAAACAATGAAGAGAATTCCAGGCTCTAAGAACAAGCCTTTTATCCTTACCTTACAAATTATATTTCATTCATTCATTTATTCATTTTATTCAACCAATATTTATTAAATCCCCTCATAAGCCATAAGAGACAATTGTGAGCAAAATAGACGTTGTCCATCCTGTCATGAGCCTTGTGGCCATACTTGAATCAAATATGCTTACAAATGCACAGAAAATTACGACTGTAAAAGTTCTGTGAAAAAGTGTAATCATATAAATTTGCATGATGGGGAATGCAAATAAGTCTGAAGAGGCTTACTTCCCTAAAAATGTGACATTTGAGTAGGAGTTAAATAAGTTGAGGGAGGCATGAGAAGGGAAGACTATTTCAAGCAAAAGAAATAACCTTTGTAAAGGTTCTTCAAAAGGAAGAAGATAGTAGTTTGGAAGGAATTGAAGAAAGACAAATGTGAGAGGCAGTCAGTGAGCACAGGAGAGGGAGGCATAGGAAGATTAGGGTCCCAAGGGGGTTCTCAGGTCACAGTGAGGACTTTGGTGTTTTTCCAAGAGCGGTGGAAATCCAATGAAAGATTTTAAGTGGGAGGGGCCAGGCGCAGTGGCTCACGCCTGTAATCCCAGCACTTTGGGAGGCCCAGGCGGGCAGATCACGAGGTCAGGAGTTGGAGACCAGCTGGCCAACATAGCGAAACCCCGTCTCTACTTAAAATACATAGCGAAACCCCGTCTCTACTTAAAATACAAAAATTAGCCATGCGCGGTGGCTTACGCCTGTAATCCTAGCACTTTGTGAGGCCGAGGCGGGCAGATCACGAGGTCAGGATATCGAGACCATCCTGGCTAACACGGTGAAACCCCGTCTCTACTAAAAATACAAAAAAATTAGCCGGGCGTGGTGATGGGCGCCTATAGTCCCAGCTACTTGGGAGGCTGAGGCAGGAGAATGGCGTGAACCCGGGAGGCGGAGCTTGCAGTGAGCGGAGATCGTGCCACTGCACTCCAGCCTGGGCAACAGAGCGAGACTCTGTCTCAAAAAAAAAAAAAATTAGCTTGGTGTGGTGGCGCGTGCCTGTAGTCCCAGCTACTCGGGAGGCTGAGGCAAAAGAATCGCTTGAACCCGGGAGGCGGAGATTGTGGTGAGCCAAGATCGCGCCACTGAACTCCAGCCTGGGCAACAGAGCGAGATTCTGTCTCAAAAAAAAAAAAAAAAAGGCCAGGCACAGTGGCTCACACCTATAATCCCAGCACTTTGGGAGGCCAAGGCGAGCTGATCACCTGAGGTCGGAAGTTCAAGACCAGCCTGGCCAACATGGCAAAATCCCGTCTCCACCAAAAATACAAAAATCAGCTGGGCGTGGTGGCGGGAGCCTGTAATCTCAGCTACTCGGGAGGCTGAGGCAGGAGAATTGCTTGAACCCAGGAGGCGAAGGTTGTGGTGAGCCAAGATGGCACCATTGCACTCCAGCCTGGGCAGCAAGAGCGAAACTCCGTCCCTGCCCGCCCCACACGCCCCCCCCCCACCCCCCCCACAAAAAAGAAGAAGAATTTAAGCGACGTGATCCTTTGCATTTTAGAAAGATCTTTCTGGCATTCAGATTTCAGGGGTACATAGTGGAAACAGGTAGATGAGTTAAGAGGCCAGTGCAATGGTCCGTACATACTTACATTTATGCAACTGGCCACTGAAAGTATGTGTGAAGTTGTCCTTACCAATCCCCCTTGAAACTCAAGATACAATAAGAAATTTTCCATACTGACTTGTATTTTGCTTGTTTCAGCATGGATGGCCCATCTTTCCTTGGAAAAGACACCTTTAGGACTCCAAGTGTAAGAAGGCATTTTGCGGGTATATCTTCTTTTCCCATTATAATTTAAGATTGATAACATGGAAGCAGCAGGTCTTATAGAGGGCATCCAGATAACTGGATAATAAAAAATTGAAAGGTTATATAAATAGATCATTGACTATAATAAATATTTATAGTACCCATGAGTGAAAGGAAAAAGCATATAAAGAACCATCAGTGAAATGAGAGATGATTCTAGAGTTCTTTCTTTGGGGATAAGGGTACTATTTTTTGGGAGGGAGGCTGGGCTCTGGCCATATAATCTGGAATATTTTCTTTTTGAAACTCATGTAATAGTTCAAGAATATTATTCTAGGATGGGTATGAGGTGGCCCTTCGGTCAGAGATACTTGTTCCTGCCTTATTGATTATCCATCCTTAAGGCATTGACCTTAGTAAGTTTTTGTTTGTTTGTTTGTTTGTTTGTTTTGGCAGAGTCTTGCTCTGTCACCCAGGCTGGAGTGCAGTGGCACGATCTCGGCTCACTGCAACCTCCTGGGTTCAAGCGATTCTCCTGCCTCAGCCTCCCGAGTAGCTGAGATTACAGGCGCGTGCCACCACACCTGGCTGATTTTTGTATTTTTAGTAGAAACGGGGTTTTGCCATGTTGGTCAGGCTGATCTCAAAGTCCTGAGCTTGGGTAATCTACCCGCCCCGGCCTCCCGAAGTGCTGGGATTACAGGCATGAGCCACCGTGCCCGGCCTACTTTAGTAAGGTTTATAATGGTTAACTAGCCAGCAGGAAGGAAAATTGGAGAAGTAAAGATCAAACCTGCTTCCTTTAATAGCACAACCCACAGGTTGTCCGTGTTGCTTCTGCTCACACCTCATTAGCCAGTATTTAGTCACATAACCAAGAGAGACTGGAAAATCTAGTCTGTTACTGGAGAAGTGGAAAACGGATGCTGAGGCTGGGCTGGGCACAGTGGCTCACGTCCATAATCCCAGCACTTTGGGAGGACAAGGCAGGAAGATCCCTTGAGCCCAGGAGTTCAAGCCCGTCCTGGGCAACATAGGGAGACCTCACCTCTATTTAAAAAATTTGAAATTTGCTGAACATGGTGGCTCATGCCGGTAGTCCTAGCTGCTCAGGAGGCTGATGCTGGAGGATTGTTTCAGCCCAGGAGCTTGAGGCCACATGGAGCTATGATTGTGCTATTGCACTCCAGCCTAGGTGACAGAGTGAGCACTTGTCAAACACACACACACACACACACACACACACACGAAAAAATAGAAAAAGAAATTAGATATTGGGAACAGACAGACAGCATTCTCACCCACAGAGCTGAGGTTAAATGAGGCTACATTTATAGAGCTTACTGCCTATTAAGAAAAAAGACATTAAACAAATAATATAAATCATAGCTGTATAATACAATTACTTTAATTATAAGTAAAAGCACAGGTGCTATTAGGGTCACTAACAAAGGAGTCAAACCTAATCTGATGGAGCGATGGGAATGGGAGTGGGGGTCCGTGGAATACTTTTCTGTGAAAATAACGTCAAGACTAAGACCTGAAGGAAGATGAAGAATGAGCTAGAAGAGAATCTTTTGCAGAGGGAATCAGAATGGACTATGGTACATTCTAGGGACTCAGAGACCATAACCCTGAGAGAAAGGGTGGAGGAGGAAGGGCTCACGTGTAACTAGAAGTAGCTGGTGGGAAAAAAGATTGACTGGAGCTGAGTGTGGAAAATAAATTCCTTGAGGAGTTAATGATGCAATTTGCCTGACAAAAAGATCATCCAGCTGCAAAGTGGAGAAAGTATGCACTGAGACAAGACCAGAAGCAGAGAGATCAGGTGGCAGTAAACCAAGTGGAGATGGAAAGATTTTCTATGTCTGAAAATATCTTTATTCTGCCATCATAAGTAAATGCTGCTTAGACTTGATTCAAAATTTTAGACTTCAGTCAGGTACAGTGGAGAATGCCTGTAGTCGCAGCTACTCGGTAGGCTGAGTAAGGGGATCGCTTGAGCCCAGAAGTTTGAGGCCAGTCTGGGCAAAGCAGCAAGACGATCTCTAAAAATAAAAAAGAAAAGAAAAAAAATTAGACTTCAAATCGTGTTTTTTTGGTCTCAAAATACTGAAGACATTGCTTATCTTCTGATAATCAATGTTGTCAATGTAAAATCTGATTCCAGTCAAATCCTTGTTCCTTTGTAGACTGTGTCTAGAATTTTCTGGTTTTCCTGAGGATCTTGAAATTTCACCAGCATTTCTGTTGGCTAAAAAAATTTTTTTTCCAGCGGGCGCTGTGGCTCACGCCTGTAATCCCAGCACTTTGGGAAGCCGAGGCAGGCCGATCACCTGGGGTCAGGAGTTGGAGACCAGCCTGGCCGACACGGTGAAACCCCGTCTCTATTAAAAATACAAAAATTAGCTGAGTGGGGTGGTGCGCTCCTGTAATTCCAGCTGCTTGGGAGGCTGAGGCAGGAGAATCATTTGAACCCAGGTGGTGGAGATTGCAGTGAGCCAAGATCGCGCCGCTGCACTCCAGCCTGGGCGACAGAAAAAGACTCCATCTCATAAAAAAAAAAATTTGTTATTTCATTTGTTCTGCTTTATCTGCAGCCAGTGGTACTTGGAGTGTGAAGCTCACTGACTTTCTTCAATTCTGGGAAATTGTACTTTTCTTCTAAAAAATTCCCTATTATTTATTTCTGTTTCCTCTTTCTAGAGCTCCTATTAACTCCTTTCTAGAGTTCCATATTAATGGAATCTTTTTGATAATCTGAAGTATTCAACTGTTCTGTAATACTTGATATTGCTAATCAAGTATTCTTTTTTGGCTAAGAAACATTACTTTGGATATTTTAGTTAACTAATTTGATCTCCTACTGAGTCCATTCTATATTTATCCCACCTATTGAATTTCAGAGACACATTTTTTTTCACTTGTAACATGAGAGTTTTATTTTAAACAAATCAGCTTTATAGAGGTATAATGTGCACACAGTAAAATAGTCATATTTTAAGTACATAGTTAGATGGATTTTGACACGTGTATATGCCCATATAACTACCACTCTGAACAAGATATAGGACATTTTATCAAATCCAAAGTTTCCTTGTGCCTTGGTGCAATCAATCCTCCTCCATCTTCCAAACATTTATTACTACAGATTAGCTTTACATTTTCTAGGACTTTGTATAAGTAGATCATATCATATGTAGTCTTTTGCGTCTTGCTTTTTTGCTAACCATACAACCATACTATCTGTGTGAATCATCCGTGCTATTGCATATAGCAGTAGCTTGTTCCTTTTTTTTTTTTTTTTTTTGAGACAGAGTTTCGCTCTTGTTGCCCAGGCTGGAGTGCAATGATGCAATCTCGGCTCACTGCACCTCCACCTCCCAGGTGGAGGCTAGTTTGTTCCTTTTTATTTCTGAGTAGTATTTCATTATATGGATATACCACAATTTGCTGATCACCTTACCAGTTGATGGACATTAACACTTGTTATTATTAGGCTTTTAAATTTTGGCCATTTTAGCTACCCTGAGCACATTGCCCATGGGTTAGCCCTGCTCCACAAGGGGCAGTTAAGGAAAAAATTAAAAAAAAAATTGAACCAGCTGGGCATGGTGGCTCACGCCTGTAATCCCAGCACTTCAGGAGGCCAAGGCAGGTGGATCACCTGAGGTCGGGAGTTTGAGACCAGCCTGACCAACATGGTGAAACCCCGTCTCTACTAGAAATACAAAAATTAGCCAGTGTAGTGGTGCACGCCTGTAATCCCAGCTACTTGGGAAGCCAAGGCAGGAGAATTGCTTGAACCTGGGAGGTGGAAGTTGCAGTGAACTGAGATAGCACCATTGCACTCTGGCCTGAGCAAAGACAGCGAAACTCCATCTCAAAACAAACAAAAAAAATTGACCATTTTAGTGGGCATGTATTTCATTATGATTTAAAAATGCATTTCTCTAATATGTAATGATGTCACACATATGCCCAGGTGCTTTGAGGTCATTCACACATTTTCCTGTTTGCCTGTTCAAATATTTTGCCCATTCTCAAATTGAATTATTTCTCTTCTTTTTATTGATTTGTAAAGATCCTGATTGCAAGTCCTATATTTGTGTTGCAAATAGTTTTTCCCTGTCTGTGGCTTCACTTTTATAGTGTTTTTGTTTGCTAGTTTTTGTGTTTTTTGAAAAAGTAGTACCTTCTAAAAAATAGAAAAATTCAATTTTGATGAAGTACAATTTATAATTTTTTAATGGTTAGTGCTTTTTTTTTTTTTTTTTGACAGAGTCTCGCTCTTTGCCCAGGCTGGAGTGCAGTGGCCTGATCTCGGCTCACTGCAAGCTCTGCCTCCGGGTTCACGCCATTCTCCTGCCTCAGCCTCCTAAGTAGCTGGGACTACAGGTGCCCACCACCACGCTTGGCTAATTTTTTATATTTTTAGTAGAGATGGGGTTTCACTGTGTTAGCCAAGATGGTCTGGATCTCCTGACCTCGTGATCCACCCGCCTTGGCCTCTCAAAGTGCTAGGATTACAGGTATGAGCCACCTTGCCCAGCTGGTTAGTGCTTTTTGTGTATTATGTGAGAAAATATTCAAGGTTCTTTTTCCGCAGTTGTTTGGAGATGTGGATATTCAGTTCTTTCAGCAATTTTGTTGAAAAGACAAACTGACCTTTCTCTTTTGAATTACTTTAGCACCTTTGTAAAAAAATGAACTGACTATATATTTGTGGGCCTATTTCTGGACTTCTCATTTTGATTCATTAATCCCATATGCCCATCTTTACACCAATATTAGACTTTTGCTTTGTAGTCTTTTTGTTTGTTTGTTTTTGTTTGAGACGGAGTTTTGCTTTTTGTCACCCAGGCTGGAATGCAGGGCGTAATGTGATCTCTGCTCACTGCAACCTCTGCCTCCTGGGTTCAAGTGATTCTCCTGCCTCAGCCTCTCAAGTAGCTGGAATTACAGGCGCATACCACCATGCCCAGCTAATTTTTTGTTTTTAGTAGAGATGGGGTTTCACCACGTTGGTCAGGCTGGTCTCGAGCTCCTGACCTCAACTGATCTGCCCACCTCAGCCTCCCAAAGTGCTGGGATTACAGGTGTGAGCCACCACACCCAGCTACTTTTGCTTTGTAGTAGATCTTGAAATCAGGTGGTATTAGTCCTCTAATTTTTTTGTTTTTGAAAATGACTATTTTCTGGCGATACTTGGTCTTTAGCATTTTAGTATAAATTTAAAAATCAGCTTGTCAATTTATGCAAAAACATCTTCTCAGGTTTTGATTGAGATTGCTCTAAATCTATAAGTAACTTTGGGGAGAATTAACATCATATCAATATTTAATCTTGCAAGTCATGAACATGGTGTACCTCTCCGTTTATTTAGGATTTCTCTAATCCCCTTTCAGCAATGTTTTATAGTTTTCAGTATATAGGTCTTACAAATACTTTTAGGTTTTCTTTCTTTCTTTTTTTTTTTTTTTTTGAGACGGAGTCTCGCTCTGTCGCCCAAGCTGGAGTGCAGGGGCACAATCTCGGCTCACTGCAAGCTCCACCTCCCATGTTCACGTCATTCTCTTGCCTCAGTCTCCCGAGTAGCTGGGACTACAGGCACCCGCCACCACACCTGGCTAATTTTTTGTATTTTTTGTAGAGATGGGGTTTCACCGTGTTAGCCAGGATGGTCTCGATCTCCTGACCTCATGATCCACCCGCCTCGGCCTCCCAAAGTGCTGGGATTACAGGCATGAACCACCAGGCCCGGCCGACACTTTTAAGTATTTTATGTGTTTTGGTGCCATTTGAAATGGTTTTATTTACTTTTTATTTTCTAATTACTTGTTGCTAGTATGTATAAATACATATGAATTTAGTATATCAACCTGTATTTTGCTACTTTGCCAAATTAACTTATGAGTTCTATTAATTAAAAAAAAATTCCTTCAGATTTCCTAAATACCTGATTGTGTCATCTGCAAATAGGCAGTTTTACCTACTCCTTTTCAATCCATATGCTTTTTTATTTTCTTCGCCTTATTTTATTACCAAGCTAGAACCCCCAGTACACTGTTGACTAGAAATTTCAGAATTGTCATCTTAGCCTTCTTTACAAACCTGGAGAGAACAATACATCTTTTATCATTAAGTTTAATATGTTACCTGAGGGCTTTTACAAATGTTCTCATCAAATTTATGAAGTTACCTTCTCTTCCCAGTTTACTGAATTATTATTTTGAAATCATGAATAGGTATTGAATTTTGTCAGTTCTTATTTTACATCTATTGATAGGATCATAGTTTTCCTCCTATGTTCTACAACCTGATTTTCAATTTTTAAATATTGTATTCATTGTATAAATGTCACTTGTATTTCTTTGCAATTTTGAAATGTACTTCTTAGCTATAGGTTTTGTGTTTATATTCATAAGGAATATTGTTTTCTTTTTGAGTAATATTTTATCATGTTTATCAGGTTTTGGTATCATGGTAATGCTTATAAAATGAGTGGGAGGATTGAATAAGAGTAATGTTTATAAGATGAGATTTGTGTAAGATTAGCATTATTTCTTCCTTAAGTGTTTGATAGAATTCACCAGTAACGTCATTTGGACTCAGAGTTCTGTTTGTGGGAAGGTTTTGTGTTACAAATTAAATTTCTTTAATAGATAAAAGGTGTATTCAGCTTTTTTCTATCTTCCTGTATCGGTTTTGGCAGTTTGTTTTCTTCAAGGAATTTTTCCATTTCCTCTAGGTTGTCAAATTTGTAGGCATACTGATTCTCGCAGTATTCTGTTATTATCCTTTAAATGTCTGTAGGATTTGTAGTAATGTCCAATCTTTCATTTCCAATGTCAAAACCTGTCTCCTCTCTTCCCTCTCCTCCCCTCTCTCTCTAGTCCATTCATGAGTTCATTACTTTTTTTGTTTGTTTGTTTAAGATGAGTCTTGCTCTGTCACCCAGGCTGGAGTGCAGTGGTGTGATCTTGGCTCACTGCAACCTCTGCCTCCCGGGTTCAAGCAATTCTCTGCCTCAGCCTCCCGAGTGGCTGGGATCACAGGTGCCCACCACCACGCCCGGCTAATTTTTTTGTATTTTTAGTAGAGACGGGGTTTCACCATCTTGGCCAGGCTGGTCTTGAACTCCTGACCTTGTGATCCACCTGCCTCGGCCTCCCAAAGTGCTGGGATTACAGGCATGAGCCACCGTGCCCGGCGAGTTCATTACTTTTACTGATTTCTTTAAATTCCAGCTTTTGGTTTTGTGGATTTTAAAAAAATATTTTTCTGTTTTCTAGTTCATTGATATCTGTTCTTATCTTTATTTTTTGAGGCGGAGTTTCCCTCTTGGTGCCCAGGCTGGAGTGCAATGGCGTGATCTCAGCTCACCACAACCTCTGCCTCCCGGGTTCAAGTGATTCTCCTGCCTCAGCCTCCTGAGTAGCTGGGATTACAGGCATGTGCCACCACGCCTGGCTAATTTTATATTTTTAGTAGAAACAGGGTTTCTCCATGTTGGTCAGGCTGGTCTTGAACTCCTGACCTCAGGTGATCCGCCTGCCTTGGCCTCCCAAAGTGCTGGGATTACAGGTGTCAGCCACTGCACCTGGCCTCTCTCTCTCTTTTTTTTCAGAGGTGGTATCTTGCCCTATCACCCAGGCTTGAGTGCAGTGGCACAATCATAGCTCACTGCCGCTTTGACCTCCTGGGCTTAAGTGTCCTCATGCCTCGGCCTACTGAGTAGCTAGGACTACAGGGATGTGCCACCATGGCTGGCTAATTTTCCCTTTTTTTTTTTTTTTAGAGACAGGGTCTTGTATGTTGCCTAGGTTGGTCTCGAACTCCTGGCCTCAAGTAATCCTCCCCCGTTAGCCTCCTAAAGTACTGGGATTACAGGCATGAGCTACTGCGCTTGACTTATTTTCTCTCTTTTAAGTTTCATTTCGTCTTCTTTTTTTAGCTTCATAAGGTGGAATATTGGATTATTGTTCTAAAGCCTCACTTTTTAATATACTTAAAGCTGTATATTTCTCCTTTGTCATTCATTTTACTTTATTTTATTTATTTATTTTTGGTTTTTTGTAGAGATGGGGTTACCCAGGCTGGTCTCAAACTCTGGGCCTTAAACGATCCTCCCACTTCAACCTCCCAAAGTTGTGGGATTACAGGCGTGAGCTACCGCACCTGGCTCCTACTCACTGATTTAGCTACATCCTAAACAGTTTTATATACTACGCTTTTATTATAATTCAGTTTAAATACCTCTCGATTTTCCCTTGCAATTTCTTATTTGACTCCTAAATTATCTGGAAGTATGTTATTTAATTTGCAAATATTTGGGAATATTCCACATATGTTTTTTGTTGTTATTTTATAGTTTAATTCCATTGTGGTCAGAGAACATACTTTGTGTGATTTCATTCCTTTTAACATTTATTGAGATGTGTCTTGTGACCCAGTATAGGCTCTTTTGTGGTGAACAAACCAGAAGCCCTTATAAAGAATGCCTGTTCTACAGTTGTTGGGTATAATGTTCAACTTTGTCACGGTGATTAATTCTGTTGTTCAAGTCTTCTCTGTCTTTACTATATACTTACCCTTTATCATTACTTACTTCCTACTTGTTGCATCACAAGTGAGCTGGAAGTGTTGACACTGACTATAATTGTGGATTTATGAGATGCATACACATTTAATTTTATGTCTTCTTTATGTATATGAATTAACTCTATGTCATTATGAAATTTCCTCCCTCCCTCTCTCCCTTCCTTTCTTTCTTGACAGAGTTTCACTCTTGTTGCTCAGGCTGGAGTGCAATGGCATGATCTCAGCTCACTGCAACCTCCGCCAGGTTCAAGCGATTCTCCTGCCTCAGCCTCCCGAGTAGCTGCGACTATAGGCAGTCACCACCATGCCCTGATACTTTTTTTTTTTTTGTATTTAGTAGAGACGGGGTTTTACCACGTTAGTCAGGCTGGTCTCAAACTCCTAACCTCAGATGATCCACTTGCCTCTGCCTTGAAATTTATTTCTTTATCTCTGATAATATTTCTGTCTGAAATTTACTTCGTGTAACATAAAAATAGCCATTCTCATTTTTGTATGTTTAGTATTTGCATATTTATCACGTTCCAATTTTTTACTTTTAATCTCTCTGCTTGATATACTGAAACATTTATGTAAGTAATTGTAATCAATACTTTTTACAAATGTTTATCAATACTTTTTATAAAAGTATTGATAAGATACATTTTATTTAAAAAATACCAACTTCCTTCTTGTTTTCTATTTATACCATTGGTTTTTAATTCCTTTTTTCCTCTTTTTCTCCTTGTGAATTAATTAAGGATATTTTAGTTTTCCATTTAATATTCTCTGCTGGCTTATTGTCTTTTTTTTCTTTTGTAAAGTTTGTTTTAATGTTTGCCATATTCATCTTCAACTTCTCACAATCATCCTTTATTCTTTATTTATTTTTTGAGACGGAGTCTCACTCACTTTGTTGCCCAGGCTGGAGCACAATGGTGTGATCTTGGCTTGCTGCAACCTCCGCCTCCTGGTTTCAAGCAATTCTCTTGCCTCAGCCTCCCTAGTAGCTGGGATTATAGGCGTGCACCACTACTTTCGCCTAGGTTTTGTGTTTTTAGTAGAGACGGGGTTTCACCCTGTTGGCCAGGCCGCTCTTGAACTCCTGACCTCCAGTGATTCACCTGCCTTGGCCTTTTCTTCTTCTTATGTTCTTCCTTGTATTATATATAATGGCTTTGTAATGTGTCAACTTGGCTAGGTGGAATTGTTTTCCAGAAATTCCTTCCTTTTGTGTTTCTGGTTATGTGGAACATAAGAGATATTTGGAGTGAGGTTTGGAAGGGAGAAGTTAAGCAGCAGCCATACTGCTTTTATTTTCAGGAGGTCATGCAAAGACACCAGGTGTAGTTGCAGCTCATACATGTTGTCACTTATCTGCTGGCTTACCTTGTTGGACTGGGCCAACAGACAGGCATTCAATGCCCTACTTCCTTTACCCCTGGTCCTCTTTTCAGTTTCTCTGACTCTTGGTCAACTATGTGTTTAGGTCCCTGACAAAGGGTGCCACTTTTTTTTTTTTTTTTGTGATGAACTCTTTTTGCCCAGGCTGGAGTGCAATGGCGCGATCTCGGCTCACCACAACCTCCACCTCCCAGGTTAAAGCAATTCTCCTGCCTCAGCTTCCCGAGTTGCTGGGATTACAGGTATGTGCCGCCATGCCCGGCTAATTTTGTATTTCTAATAGAGACAGGGTTTCTCCATGTTGGTTAGGCTGGTCTCGAACTCCCGACCTCAAGTGATCCACCCTCCTCAGCCTCCCAAAGTGCCTGGATTACAGTTGTGAGCCACCATGCCTGGCCCGGGTGCCAACTTCTTTTGCAGAAAACTCTTCATTAACTTTGGAGGTGCAGAGTGACTGGTCTAACTTCTAGTTCATCTAGATTGTAATTGTGAGTTCCAATTAGTCTTTACTCCCCACACCCCAGTATTTTTTTTCCAATGGCTTTCCTGCAGACTTCAAGTTCCAGTGCCAGACATAAAGACAACAGCCTTAGAGGATTATTTAGCTAGCTGCCCATAATACTTAAGGTTATTTCCCTAAAATAAAGTGTAAGCTTCAAAATGTGTATTAGTTATCTACTGCTGGATAACAAATTAGATCAAAACTTAGTGGCTGAAAACAATAGACTTTTTTTTTTTTTTGGAGATGGAGTCTTGCTTTGTTGCCCAGGATGGAGTGCATTGGTACAATCACAGCTCACTGCGGCCTTGAACTCCTAGGCTCAAGGGATCCTCACGCTTCAGCTTCCTGAGTAGCTGGGAGTACAGGTGCCTGCCACTCTGCCTGGCTAATTTTAACAATTTTTTGTAGAGATGGGGTCTTGCCACCTTTCCCAGTCTGGTCTCAAACTCCTGGGCTTAAGCAATCCTCCTGCCTCAGCCTCCCAAACTGCTGGGATTACAGGCCTGAGCCACTGTGCCCAGCCACAATAGACATTTTTTAAAAAATCACAGTTTCTATGGGGTTGGGAAATTGCAAGTGGCTTAACTGAGCATTTGTACCTTGGGGCCTATCATGAGATTTCAGTCAAGATTGCAGTCATCGGCTGGGCGTGGTGGCTCACGCTTGTAATCCCAACACTTTGGGAGGCCGAGGCAGGTGGATCACGAGGTCAGGAGATCAAGACCATCCTGGCCATCATGGTGAAACCCCGTCTCTACTAAAAAAATACAAAAAAATTAGCCGGGCGTGGTGGTGGGCACCTGTAGTCCCAGCTACTCAAGAGGCTGAGGCCGGAGAATGGCGTGAACCTGGGAGGCGGAGCTTGCAGTGAGCTGAGATCGCGCCTCTGCACTCCAGCCTGGGCCACAGAGCGAGACTCCTTTGTTTCAAAAAAAAAAAAAAAGATTGTAGTCATCTGAAGGCTTTATTGCGGCTGGAAAAATTGCTTCTGAGTCGCTCAACTCACATGGCTGGCAAAATGGGGCCCATTATTGGTGAAAGGACTTAGTTCTTCTCCACAGGGATTACTCTACATAGCTAACTGAGTGTCCTCATGATATGGTGACAGCCTTCACCTTTAACAAGTATTTCAAAGAGAAAGCTAGAAACCATAGTGGTTTTTGCTTGTTGTTTATTTGTTTGTTTTTTGAGACAGGGTCTCTCTCTTGCACTCCACTTCAGGCTGGAGTGCAGTGGTGCGATCATAGTTCACTGTAGTCTCGATCTCCTGGGCTCAAGTGATCCTCTCACCTCAGCCTCCAGAGTATTTGGGACTACAGCTGTGTGCCACCATACCCAGCTAATTTTTAAAATCTTTGTTTTTAGTGAGATGAGGTATTGCTATGTTGCCCATGCTGGTCTCGAACTCCTGAGCTTCTGCCTTGGCCTCCCAAAGTACTAGGATTACAAGTGTGAACCACAGCACCTGGCCTAGTATCTCAAAGTTTTATCCTAGAGATGAGTGCCTGATTTATCTGCTCTCCTTTTTCCTTCTCTTCCTTTCCTCACTGTGGAGGTCTGGAGTCACTTCAGTCCCCTTCTTTCTCTAGCTCAACACTCATTACACTTAGACTCCAGGCAGCTTGTTCACTTTGGGAACTGAGGGAGAAAGCAGCAGTAGCTGCCCTTTACTAATTGTAGTAGGAAAAACTCTGACTCACATGGCTTATCGAAAACTCACAATTTAATGAATTACTCTGACAATTATGTTAAAGCTCCTCTACTTTTCATTTTTGTTGCCTCTGAGCTTAGAGCATACCTGGAATGGTTCTTTCTTGGGCAGGATGGAGTCTTGCTCTGTCGCCCAGGCCGGAGTGCAGTGGTGTGATCCCGGCTCACTGCAACCTCCACCTCCCAGGTTCAAGTGATTCTTCTGCCTTGCCTCCTGAGTAGCTGGGACTACAGGCACACACCACCATGCCCAGCTAATTTTTATACTTTTTTAGTAGAGATGGGGTTTCACCTTGTTGGCCAGGCTGGTCTCAAACTCCTGACCTCAAGTGATCCACCTGCCTTGGACTCCCAAAGTGCTAGGATTACAGGGTTGAGCCACCACACCTGGCCTATGTCTCTTATTTTTACAGTGGAGGTATACTCTTATTTGATTTTCCAGAATTCAATTAGATTATAGGGTAAAAATAAAAAAAAACAAGTTTTAAAATATGGCAGATGATTTTGCCTGTCAATCAACTCAGTGAGCTTTGTCCCAGAATGAGCATGTGCCTCTTGTAGTAAAAGCATTCTCCACATTTAGTGTGACAATAATGACTAAAGATAAAGATTTGTTTCTATAGCATGGCTTCTAAACATAAGCTAAGCATTTCATCAGGTGTTTAATCAAAGAAATATCAGTCTGTTCCAATGTTGAGGAAAAATCAGTTGTGCTGGATGCTTATGGCATGTGGCCTTATTCCCAAGAACTCTTCAAGGATATTTATTTATTTATTTTTGAGACATAGTCTCGCTCTGTTGCCCCGGCTGGAGTGCAGTGGTGCAATCTTGGCTTACCGCCACCTCCACCTCTGGGTTCAAGCAATTCTCCTGCCTCAGCCTCCTAAGTAGCTGGGATTACAGGCATGTGTCACCGCACCTAGCAAATTTTTGTATTTTTAGTAGAGACGGGGTTTCGCCTTGTTGTCCATACTAGTCTCAAACCCCTGACCTCAAGTGATCTGCCCACCTCAGCCTCCCAAAGTGTTGGGATTACAGGCATGAGCCACCACGCCCGGCCTATTCATTTGTTTTTAAAAATAGGTAATTGTGAAGTTTTCATAAAGATGATTGTGTTAGTTGGAAGACAGTGAAGTGTGCCAGGTAAATAACACAAATACCTTGAATGGAAATAGAAAAGATATAAGTTGCTACATCCAGACATCTATGTGGAGCAAAAGGCACAGCAGCAATCTCCCTGTTGGAGGGGACACTCACCTGGCTGCCCTCTCCCACAGAGGTGTCTTGCTGCTGGTGGTACCACCTGTTGATGGATAGAACTCTTTTTTTTTTTTTTTTTTTTTTGAGATTAAGTCTCGTCCTTGTCCCCCAAGCTAGAATGCAATGGCGCGATCTCGGCTCACTGCAACCTCCGCCTCCCGGGTTCAAGCGATTCTCCTGCCTCAGCCTGGGACTACAGGTGTCGTGCCACCATGCCCGGCTAATTTTTGTATTTTTAGTAGAGACAGGGTTTCACCATGTTGGCCAGGCTGGTCTTGAACTCCTGACCTCAGGTGATCCCCTCTCCTTGGCCTACCAAAGTGCTGGGATTACAGACATGAGCCACCGCTCCTGACCGATAGAAATTTTGAGGGTCCTTAAGAGCTCTTCTTGCCATTCTCTCAGAGGCTTTACTGCTTCTTGATCACTTTCAACTGTCCTGGATCCTTTGGTTACATTTCTAATGGTCACCAGATGCAAACTAACTCGTGACCACCCCAGCACATTCCTGAATGCTTACTCTCCGAAGAGGAGAATTGGAGATCAATTGCCCAGGGTTGTTTTTCCAGGTGTACTAACCCCCTAGCAGCCCCAGCTGGGCCTCCTGAAACTATTCCCAATGTAATACATGCAGAATGTACAACATTTTAAATGTACAAAAGAGCGCAGGGAAAATAAATACCTTAGTGCAAATTATAAACAATTTTTGCTTGTAAAATACAAATTCACTGAAATACTCTTCTGTTTCTGCTGTAGACTGGGTGGGTTTTTTGTTTTGTTTTGTTTTTAGTTATTGGCTATTTCCCTTTAATTTCACATCACTTTGTTTCTTCCTCAAATTTCTGGTCAGATGATGGTACATTTTTGTTTTTTTTTAAGCACAATTACCCTTACAAGATTACCCTTTATAAGAGAAATTTTTTTTCTTTTCTTTTCTTTTCTTTCTTTCTATCTCTTTCTTTTTCTTTCTCTCTCTCTCTTTTTTTTTTTTGAGACAAGGTTTCACTCTATTAATTTGGCTGGAGTGTAATCACGAAATCATGGCTCACTGCAGCCTCGACCTCCCTGGACTCAGGTGATCCTCCCACTTCAGCCTCTCCAGTAGCTGGGACTACAGGCACTTGCCACCATGCCTGGCTACTTTTTGTATATTTTGTAGAGACAGGGTTTTGCTATGTGGCCCAGGCTGGTCTTGAACTCCTGGGCTCAAGCAATCCACCTGCCTTGGCCTCCCAAAGTGCTGGGATTACAGACGTGAGCCACTGCGCCAGGCCAAGGGAAAATGTAAACTCTTTTTTTTTTTTTTTGGTAGGCTAAAGGGATTTGGGAGAGAAAGAATAGAAAGGTATATGTGTTTGGTCTGACACCTTGATCTAAACTTCATGTGCGTCTTTGGTTTTGCTGTTTTTGGTGTCTGGACTCCTAGTTTTTGGCTGTAGCACAAAGACTTTGGCTTGGGTTTCCCTCTCCATCTCTCCTTGCTTTTACTATTTCTGTTGGAATTCCTGCACTGGCTATCATCTCCGAACCTAATTTCTCTTCTTGGTATCGTGTTTAAAGTTGTTACTGACCTGTCCAATCCCCCAGGACTGGAGAGAGGAGCTGGGCAAGGCCTCTGCATGGCTCGTGGCGGTGGTAGCTGCCTCGAGAGCCCCCACTTGTCCCCCTCTCCCTTGCTCTCATCTGCGGCCACACAGTCTCCTTTCAGTGCCGTGAACTAAAACGTATGCCCGGTTTTGCTTCACAGGCTTTTTACATGCTTTCCTCTATGTCTAGAGCAGCCTCTTTTATACATTCTAACAGTTATTGCTTAGTCATGCTTTCCTCTATGTTTAGAGCAGCCTCTTTCATACATTCTAACACTTAGTTATTGCTTAGCCATTTTCAGGTCTCAGTTCTAATACCACATCCTCAAGAAGCTCTTCCCTGACTCCCTACATAATCCAGATCCCAGAGCATGTAGCATGTTTCTCAGGGAACTCATTACAGTTTGTAGTTATATTTATTTACATTATAGTTTAATTAATGCATGTCTTTTCTGAGACTACTAGACTCACAGTTATGTCCAAAGGATCATGTCTGTTTTGCTCATTACAATATCAGCTACTAGCACAGTGCCCATATGAATTGCTGAATGAGGAAGTAAAGTGCCAGTAAGTCTTCAATAATGTGGTTTCAATGAAGACATTGGAATGATAAATGAAACTGATCTTTAATTCTTCTTGGATTTCTGACATTAATAGTATTATAGGACAGATGCTTATATTTATAGCATAGAACAATACACATATAGCTATATATATCACAAAATGATTTATATTTACAGCACAGAAATTAGATTATGACAATTTTAATACACAACAACTTATAGATTTCTTAAAGTATAAATTTTGTCCTAGTAATACATATGTATATGTGTGTGTATATATATATACATATATATACACATATATATACATATATATATACACATATATATGTACACACACATTATATATATATACACACACATTATATATATATATACACATATATATATATATACACACACATATATATATATATATATTTTTTTTTTCTTGAGATGGAGTCTCACTCTGTCACCAGGCCGGAGTGCAGTGGCACAATCTCGGCTCACTGTAACCTCCGCCTCCCGGGTTCAAGCGATTTTCCTGCCTCAGCCTCCCAAGTAGCTGGGACTACAGGCGCACACCACCACGCCCAGCTAATTTTTGTATTTTTTTTTTAATAGAGACGGTGTTTCATCATGTTGGCCAGGATCTCTTGACCTCGTGATCCACCCACCTCAGCCTCCCAAAGTGCTGGGATTACAGGCGTGAGCCACCATGCCTGGCCGTGTGTATATATTTTTAAGACACAGTCTCACTTTGTCACCCAGGCTAGAGTGCAGTGGCTCATTGCAGCCTCAACTTCCCAGGCATAAGCAATCCTCTCACCTCAGCCTCCCAAGTAGCTGGGGCCACAGGTGTGTACCACCACCCCCGGCTAATTAAAAAAAGAAAAATTTTTTTTTTTTTGAGACCGAGTCCTGCTCTGTCACCCAGGCTGGAGTGCAGGGATCTCGGCTCACTGCAAACTCCACCTCCTGGGTTCACGCCATTCTCCTGCCTCAGCCTCACAGTAGCTGGGACTACAGGCGACCGCCACCACACCTGGCTAATTTTTTTTTTTTTGTATGTTTAGTAGAGACGGGGTTTCACCGTGTTAGCCAGAATGGTCTTGATCTCCTGACCTCGTGATCTGCCTGCCTTGGCCTCCCAAAGTGCTGGGATTACAGGTGTGAGCCACTGCGCCTGGCCAGAAAATTTTTTTTTTAGAGATGGGGTCTCACTATGTTGCCTAGGCTGGTCTTGAACTCCTGAGCTCAAATGATCCTCCTGTCTCAGCCTTTCAAAGTGCTGGGATTACAGGCATGAGGCACCCTGTCTGGCCTATTATTTTATTTAACAACCTCAACTCATATATAAGTCAGTGAATCCCTTTGTAAAAACATTATGAGATACTTTGTTTCCATTTTGTAGGCTTCATTAACAACACATAACATCAGTGTAAGTCATGATTCTTTAGGCAACAAGCATATGGCTACATTAAGTCAACTATTATTGATATAATAGATTCTATAAATTTAAATTAATCTGGATTTGCTTTATAAATATGTAGAATAGAACATTTCCTCCTGTGTTGTAGGCACAACATAGCAAACATGATCCATCTATATATCAGGTTGGTGCAAAAGTAATTTGCCATTAAAAGTTTTAACAGAGGCAGTGTCCTGCTATGTTGCCCAGGCTGGTCTCAAACTCCTGGCCCCAAGCAATCCTCCCATCTTGGCCTCCCAAAGTGCTGAGATTACAGGTGTGAGCCACTGCACTCAGCCTATATTGTTAAATAATTTTGTAATACTAAAAATCCTAAGTTATGTTGGTTAAGGTTTTTAGTTAAAAACAAGTAAGTCGGCCTGGCGCAGTGGCTCACGCCTGTAATCCCAGCACTCTGGGAGGCCGAGGTGGGTGGATCTCGAGGTCAGGAGATCAAGACCATCCTGGTTAACACGGTGTAACCCCGTCTCTACTAAAAATACAAAAAATTAGCTGGGAGAGGTGGCGGGCGCCTGTAGTCCCAGATACTCGGGAGGCTGAGGCAGGAGAATGGCGTGAACCCAGGAGGCACAGCTTGCAGTGAGCCGAGATCGTGCCACTGCACTCGAGCCTGGGCGACAGAGCGAGACTCCGTCTCAAAAAAAACAAAAAACAAAACAAAAACAAACAAACAAGTCGGCTGGGCGTGGTGGCTCACACCGTAATCCCAGCACTTTGGGAGGCCGAGGTGGGTGGATAACAAGGTCAGGAGTTCGAGACCAGCCTGACCAACATGGTGAAACCCTGTCTCTACTAAAAATACAAAAATTAGCCAGGCGTGGTGGCAGATGTCTGTAATCCCAACTACTCAGGAGGCTGAGGCAGGAGAATCACTTGAACCCAGGAGGCAGAGGTTGCAGTGAGCCGAGATCACACCACTGCACTCCAGCCTGGGTGACACAGCAAGAGTCCATCTCAAAAAACAAAAACAAAAACAAGTAAGTCTATTCTCACTAATTTAAGAGCAAATGGTAGTAAGTAAATCATATTATTAAGGTGACTGTAAGGCTCATCTGTTTAGTACAGTCCTGGTTTACCCTTGAAATTTTTAATAGCAGGCTGATGCAGTGGCTCATGCCTGTAATCCCAGCACTTTGGGAGGCCGAGGCAGGATGATCATTTGAGGTCATGCCAGGTGTGGTGGCATGCACCTGTAATCCTAGCTACCTGGGAGGCTGAGGTGGGACAAACACTTGTGCTCAGGAGTTCGAGGTTACGGTGAGCTGTGATTGTGCCACTGTACTCCAGCCTGGGTGACAGAGCAAGATTCTGTCTCTAAATTAAAAAAAAAAAATTATTCTATGGCCACACTGTGTGTCAAAGGATATGAAATAAAAATTTTATTAGTGGGCCATTCAGGAAATAGTGAGAAATGTCACTCCTATTTTCACTTCTTAGTGCCTAAGAAGTGCTCACTTGTTTTGGCCGTGGAAGAGAAAATACCACATATTGGTGGTTGTTTTAGAGCATATACTGTATTCTACAGGATGGTGTCTGAACTTTCTAAGATATTTCCCAATAGGCACCAAAACTAAATCTTCAGTAGGTCACTTCACTGTTTTATGAAGCCAACTGCTTCTGGTTAGAAATCTTAGTGCATCCTAAATGCTTCAACTCATTGTCCTAATCATTTTGCTATTCAGTAAGATCCCTGGTCAGAAGCAATGTTATGTAATTACAGTGACAGTGAGTAAAGCACTTGGTAAGTCTACAGATGGTGTTTCTGGGAGAAGCTTGGTAGACCAGGTAGACAAATGCATATCTAAAATATATTGATTTCAGCAGGGCTTGGTGGCTCACATGACGGAGTTTGGCTCTTGTTGCCCAGGCTGGAGTGCAATGGCACGATCTCGGCTCACCGCAACCTCCACCTCTCCAGTTCAAGTGACTCTCCTGCCTCAGCCTCTCAAGTAGCTGGGATTACAGGCGCAAAACACGACACCCAGCTAATTTTGCATTCTTAGTAGAGATGGGGTTTCTCCATGTTGGTCAGGCTGGTCTCGAACTCCCGACCTTAGGTGATCCGCCTGCCTCAACTTCCCAAAGTACTGCGATTAAAGGTGTGAGCCACCATGCCCGGCCCCTATATGAAGTCTTTTATCCCTCACCCACCTCCCAACCTCTGCATTCTGAGTCTCCAAAGTCCATTACACCACTCTGTATGTCTTTGCATACCTATAGCTTAGCTCCAACTTATAAGTGAGAACATACGGTATTTGGTTTTCCATTCCTGAGCTAGTTCACTTAGAATAGTGGCCTCCAGCTCCATTCAAATTGTTACAAAATACTTTATTATTATTATTTTTTATGGCTGAATAGTATTCCATGGTGTATACATACCACATTTTTTTTTTATCTGTTCATTGGTCTTGTCTAACCATCTATTGAAAATCTTTCGCACAACGCCAATCTATATGGGTCTTTACATGGGACACAACTATTCTTCAACTCTAGACTTAGGCTGAGGGGTTTTTGCTCCAGTTCTCTTTATCACCAATCCTCCAATCTTATTACTCCCAAGTCCCTAACTATCCAGTGACATTATTAGCTATTGGCTACAAATTAATGTTGACCTGCAACTCATCTTTCTTTCCAGATAAATGGATTGTGAGATGTACTATTTTAAGTTATGCCCATTGGGAATATTTATTTTTCTACACTGACCACCAGGTCACCCCTGAGTGGGACTGGCATGCTATGGCAGTGCACTTCTGCAAGTGGGGTTATTGAGCTACATTAAAAAGTGACAAAGAAATGCTGCTACATAATGTGGATGTAGAAAAATACTTCTATAGACGGGTGCGTGGCTCACGCCTGTAATCCCAGCACTTTGGGAGGCCAAGGTGGGTGGATCACGAGGTCATGAGATCGAGATCATCCTGGCTAATGCGGTGACACCCCATCTCTACTAAAAATACAAAAAATTGGCCGGGCTTGGTGGCATGCGCCTGTAGTCCCAGCTACTCGGGAGGCTGAGGCAAGAGAATCTCTTGAACCTGGGAGGTGGAGGTTACAGTGAGCCAAGATTGCACCACTGCACTCCAGCCTGGGAGACAGAGCAAGATTCTAAAAAAAAAAAAAAAAAGTCTCAAAAAAAAAAAAAAAAAGAAAGAAAGAAAGATAAGAAAGAAAAAGAAAAATACTTCTACAACACAGAGGTTCCTGTAGGGTGCTTCTTAGTATTGCCATGTGCTATGGAGTCAACAGTAAATTAAACTGGAATGTTTTTCTTCTCAGTCACCTGATCACAGGTATCTCTCTCTCTTATTTTTTTTTTGAGATGGAGTTTCACTTTGTCACCCAGGCTGGAGTGCAATGGCACGATCTTGGCTCACTGCAACCTCTGTCTCCCAGGTTCAAGCAATTCTCCTGCTTCAGCCTCCCGAGTAGCTGGGATTACAGGTCCCTGCCACCATGCCCAGCTAATTTTTGTATTTTTGGTAGAGACAGGGTTTCATCATGTTGGTCAGGCTGGTCTTGAACTCCTGACCTTAGGTGATCCACCCACGTCGGCCTCCCAAACTACTGGGTTTACAGGCTTAGCAATCTAAATGTTAATTTCATCCTACAAAATACCATCACAGGCCGGGTGTGGTGGCTCATGCCTGTAATCCCAGCACTTTGGGAGGCCGAGGCGGGCGGATCACCTGAGGTCAGGAGTTCAATACCAGCCTGGCCAACATGGCAAAACCCCGTCTCTACTAAAAATACAAAAATTTAGCTGGGCGTGGTGGCAGGTGCCTGTAATCCCAGCTACTTGGGAGGCTTAGGCAGGAGAATTGCTGGAACCTGGGAGGCAGATGTTGCAGTGAGCTGAGATGGTGCCACTGCACTCCAGCCTGGGCAAGACAGAGTGAAACTCCGTCTCAAAAACAAAAAACAAAAACAAAAACAAAAAAACCCATCACAGCAACATCTAGACTAGCATTTGACCACGTATTTTGGAACTGTAGCCTAGCCAATGACATATCACATTAACCATCCCACTGTCTTTTTGTTCTCGTAACAGTTAGAAGCGTCCAGCTTAATCTTCCACATGCCTTCTTATTCTTGTCTCTTGTATAACTATGATTATTTGGTCCCTGAAACGCTTGTCTTTGATAGGCTCCTCATTCCACACGGCCAAGTGATCATTTAGGTAACTCACTCTCCCTTGCTGCCGTGGTCTGGATCCTCGCTGCCTTTTAGCCTGACCACATCACATAAGCATTTCTTGAAAGGTCTGTTGCCCATCACCACATCTGCTATTAACTACTATATTGCTCAAGGCTCTTGTTTTCTTTTTTTTTTTTTTTTTTTTTTTTGAGACGGAGTCTTGCTCTGTCGCCCAGGCTGGAGTGCAGTGGCGCGATCTCGGCTCACTGCAAGCTCCGCCTCCCGGGTTCACGCCATTCTCCTGCCTCACCCTCCCCAGTAGCTGGGACTACAGGCGCCCGCCACCACGCCTGGCTAATTTTTTGTATTTTTGGTGGAGATGGGGTTTCACTGTGTTAGCCAGAATGATCTTGATTTCCTGACCTCGTGATCTGCCCGCCTCGGCCTCCCAAGGTGCTGGGATTACAGGCGTGAGCCACCGCGCCTCATACCTCGTTTTCAAATAACAGAGTTCACCCTGGCTAATTGTAGCTGAAATAAATTGAATAAAAGATGTTAGGTAGTTGAAGGGATCATTGAGAAGGCTGGAGTAAATGGCTAAGTCTCAATAAAGTCGAGAGCCATACCAAAGCACTACCCTAATGAGAGAGTTGCCACCATTGCTGCCAGTTCCAGACCATGCAGCAGAACTGGCCTGATGAGAAAATTCCTGGGTGCCAGTCCCAAGGGCAGAGGTCTGAAAGTGCATTGCTTATGACATGTATATATAGAAGGATGGAACAGCAACAGTGCATCTGTTTTTATTCTAGTTTGAAGGAATTGCCATCCTCAAGTGTTGAATATCTAACTTCAAAACAGTGGTGACAGTGTGTCCGAAATTGGTGGGTTCTTGGTCTCACTGACTTCAAGAATGAAGCTGCGGACTCTCGCGGTGAGTGTTACCGCTCTTAAGGTGGCGTGTTTGGAGTTTGTTCCTTCTGATGTTCGGATGTGTTCGGAGTTTTTTCCTTCTGGTGTTCCCGCCCGGTTTGTGGTCTCTCTGGCTCAGGAGTGAAGCTGCAGACCTTCGCAGTGAGTGTTACAACTCTTAAGGCGGCGCGTCTGGAGTTGTTCGTTCCTCCCGGTGGGCTTGTGGTCTCGGTGGCTTCAGAAGTGAAGCTGCAGACCTTTACGGTGGGCGTTACAGCTCATAAAAGCAGCGTGGACCCAAAAAGTGAGCAGTAGCAAGATTTATTACAAGGAGCGAAAGAACAAAGCTTCCACAATGTGGAAGGGGACCTGAGCAAGTTGCTACTTCTGGCTCGGGCAGCCTGCTTTTATTCTCTTATCTGGCCCCACCCATGTCCTGCTGATTGGTAGAGCCCAGTGGTCTGTTTTGACAGGGCGCTGATTGGTGCCTTTACAATCACTGAGCTAGAGACAAAGGTTCTCCACCTCCCCATCAGATCAGTTAGATACAGAGTATGGACACAAAGGTTCTCCAAGGCCCCACCAGAGCAGCTAGATACAGTGTCGATTGGTGCATTCACAAACCCTGAGCTAGACACAGGGTGCTGATTGGTGTGTTTACAAACCTTGAGCTAGATACAGAGTGCTGATTGGTGTATTTACAATCCCTGAGCTAGACATAAAGGTTCTCCAAGACCCCACCAGAGTAGTTAGATATGGAGTGTCGATTAGTGCATTCACAAACCCTGAGCTAGACACAGGGTGCCGATTGGTGTGTTCACAAACCTTGAGCTAGATACAGAGTGCCGATTGGTGCATTCACAATCCCTGAGCAAGACATAAAGGTTCTCCACGTCCCCACCAGACTCAGGAGCCCAGCTGGCTTCACCCAGTGGATCCTGCACCGGGGCTGCAGGTGGAGCTGCCTGCCAGTCCCGGTGCCGTGGGCCCACACTCCTCAGCCCTTGTGTGGTCGATGGGACTGGGCGCTGTGGAGCAGGGGGTGGCGCTCGTCGGGGAGGCTCGGGCCGCACAGGAGCCCATAGAGGGGGTGGGAGGCTCAGGCATGGCGGACTGCAGGTCCCGAGCCCTGCCCCGCGGGAAGGCAGCTAAGGCCCGGTGAGAAATCAAGCACAGTGCCGGTGGGCTGGCGCTGCTGGGGGACCCAGTACACCCTCCGCAGCCGCTGGCCCGGATGCTAAGCCCCTCACTGCCCGGGCCGGCAGGGCCGGCCGGCTGCTCTGAGTGCGGGCCCGCCAAGCCCCCGCCCACCCGGAACTCCAGCTGGCCCGCAAGCGCCGCGCGCAGCCCCGGTTCAGGCTCGCGCCTCTCCCTCCATACCTCCCTGCAAGCTGAGGGAGCAGGCTCCGGCCTTGGCCAGCCCAGAAAGGGGATCCCACAATGCAGCGGTGGGCTGAAGTGTTCCTCAAGTGCCGCCAAAGTGGGAGCCCAGGCAGAGGAGGCGCCGAGAGCGAGCGAGGGCTGTGAGGACTGCCAGCACGCTGTCACCTCTCAACACTGCGGTGCTGATAATGACACTTCCTGATAATTAGGTAAGAATCTGGCCATTGCCACCCTCTTCAGGGCTGTGAATTTAACATAATCATGATAATTTCAAGCAACAAAATGCTCTAGGTTGTTGGGGTAGGAAGGATTTTGAGATGGTCTCTAGGATTCTGTCCCCTGATACACGTGCCCTGTAAAACCCCATTCTCTGGAGTGTGAGTGCGAACAGTGACTATGATGGAATCATCGTTGGTGATTCCACAGACCTCCACGATGAGGTTACTAATTGGTTCACCTTTACTTTATCACAAGGGAGATGGTCCTGGGAGGACCTGGCTTAATCAAATGAGCTCTTTAAAAGAAGGCAGGCTGGGCGTGGTGGCTCATGCCTGTAATCCCAGCACTTTGGGAGGCCAAGGTGGGTGGATCACCCGAGGCCAGGAGTTGGAGACCAGCCTAGCCAACATGGTGAAACCCTGTCTCTACTAAAAATACAAAAATTATCCGGGCGTGGTGGCGTGTACCTGTAATCCCAGCTACTCGGGAGGCTGAGGCAGGAGAATCGGTTTAACCCAGGAGGCAGAGGTTGCAGTGAGCCGAGATCGTGCCACTGCACTCCAGCCTGGGTGACAGTGGGACACTCCGTCTCAGAAAAAAAAAGGAAGGTGAAGCATCAGTGAACTCTCCTGCTGGCTTGAAGACAAGCCAACTACCAGGTTGTTAGTGAAGGCGGGCGCATGGCTGGAACCTGCGGGTGATCTCAAGAACTTGAGGGCACACCCTGGCCAACAGCCAGCCAGAAAATGAGGACTGCAGTCCTATATTGCAAGGAACTTAACTTTTACCAACCCAGGAGTTTCTACTGCTTTCTTTGTTAAGTTAAAACCCATTCACCTGAGTGAGCAATACTACCTATATACATGTGTCTGAGCACAAGAATTCGTCATTAAAAAAGAATCAAAATACTTTATGTACTTATTGTCCATTTTCAAAGAAAAAAATCAGTGCATGTCTCCTTTTCTATGTCCAAATTAATTTTATTGAAATAAATGGTGAGTGGATGGTAGCATTTAGTGCTTTTCCTTTCTTAGTAACTGAATCTTATTTTTGAATAATTGATCTGATTCGCCAACAGATGATTTAATTTCAGATACTGTTTGAAAATACCTAGTGGCTGTAGAACAGAATGTTTAACCATGCTTTGTAGACCTATCCCAATTTTTAAGCTTCTAGATGTTGAAAACCTTTATAGCCTCTGCTGCTATTTATCTAATCACTTACAATTCAGAAATTTCATTTGGCTGTAAGAGAAGGCAGAAAAACAGAATTTTATTTATTTATTTTTGTTTTTATTTTTTTATTTTTTATTTTTTATTATACTTTAAGTTCTAGGGTACATATGCACAACGTGCAGGTTTGTTACATATGTATACATGTGCCATGTTGGTGTGCTGCACCCATTAACTCATCATTTACATTAGGTATATCTCCTAATGCTATCCCTCCCCCCTTCCCCCACTCCATGACAGGCCCCGGTGTGTGATGTTCCCCTTCCTGTGTCCATGTGTTCTCATTGTTCAATTTCCACATATGAGTGAGAACATGCGGTGTTTGGTTTTTTGTCCTTGCGATAGGAAAAACATAATTTTAAAGAAATTAAGACTTTTAGGCTGGACGCGGTGGCTCACGCCTGTAATCCCAGCACTTTGGAAGGCCGAGGCGGGCGGATCACCTGAGGTCAGGAGTTCGAGCCCAGCCTAGCCAGCATGGTAAAACCCCATCTCTACTAAAAATACAAAAATTAGCCGGGCATGGTAGCACACGCCTGTAATTCCAGCTACTCGGGAGGCTGAGGCAGGAGAATCGCTTGAACCCAAGGGGCGGAGGTTGCAGTGAGCTGAGATCGCGCCATTGCACTCCAGCCTGGGGGACAAGAGCGAGACTTCATCTCAAAAAAAAAAAAAAAAAAATTAAGACATATTTTCTTCCTATTATGTGATGTCTGGAGCTAGGCCTTTCAGGGCTGGCATGGTGGCTCCCAATCCAGGCTCCTTCTCTGCTTCCCCTCAGCCATCCTTAGTGTATGTTTATTGCCTCATGAGCACAAGCTCCCTGCACCACCTCTGCCATCATGTCCACGCTCAAAGACAGAAGAGAAAGGGCAATGGAAAATATTTGTTAGCTGAGAGTATACTTCTTTTAAAAAGATTTCCTAAAAGTCCCACCCAATGGCATCCACTTATATTTCATTTTATCTGGCATGGGAGATTGCTAAGAAATTTAGTTAACATCTTTGTTTCTTTTTGTTTGTTTGTTTTGTTTTGAGACAGAGTCTCACTCTGTCACCCAGGCTGGAGTGCAATGGTGCGATGTCAGCTCACTGCAACCTCCGTCTCCTGGGTGCAAGTGATTTTCCCGCCTCAGCCTCCGGAGTAGCTGGGGTTACAGGCACCTGCCATCATGCCCTGCTAATTTTTGCATTTTTAGTAGAGACAGGGTTTCACCATGTTGGCCAGGTTGGTCTTGAACTCCTGACCTCAGGTGATCCACGCGCCTCAGCCCCACAAAGTGTTGCTATTACAGGCGTGAGCCACAGCACCCACACCCCACCCACATCTTTGTTTTGTTTTGTTTTTAATCACTTTGCTATCCCAAAGTAGAAGAAAGTGAGGATAGAGAAAATTATAAATCTTGGCCACATATAGCATAGACAAAAAATGATATTACTTAAAAAAGAGAAGCTATACAGGCTCTTTAACCTTGAATTGACAAGCAAAACTATTCCAACATTTCAATGGTAGATTTAGCTACCATAAAACAATATGACAATGCAACACAATCGTTTGACACTAAAATGTTATAAAAATCTTTGAAATTATTTAAACAGAGAGTACACCTAAATTCCATTAGTAGAGTTCTCTCCTAACTAAAATGGTTAAAATCCAATGAACCTTTTTTTGGGTTATTTGTTAACTATAATTTGCATTAAGTACATATTTTGAAAGATAAGTATTTAAAACTCATTTTTCCTAAAACAAAGATTGATATTAGTACTTCAGTTTTTTGTTTTTTTGTTTTGTTTTGTTTTGTTTTGGAAATGGAGTCTCGCTCTGTCACCCAGGCTAGAGTGCAATGGCACGATCTTGGCTCATTGGAACCTCCGCCTCCTGGGTTCAAGCGATTCTCCTGCCTCAGCCTCCCAAGTAGCTGGAATTATAGGCGCTGGCCACCACGCCCGGCTAATTTTTTGTATTATTATTATTTATTTTATTTTTTGTGATGAAGTTTTGCTCTTGTTGCCCAGGCTGGAGTGGAATGGCGTGATCTTGGCTCACTGCAAGCTCTGCATTCTGGATTCAAGTGATTCTCCTGCCTCAGCCTCCCGAGTAGCTGGGATTACAGGCGTGAGCTACCATGCCCAGCTAATTTTGTATTTGTAGTAGAGACAGGGTTTCTCCATGTTGGTCAGGCTGGTCTCGAACTCCTGACCTCAGGTGATCCACCAGCCTCGGCCTCCCAAAGTGCTGGGATTACAGGCTTGAGCCACCATGCCTGGCCCAGATAGTTTTGCCCACTAAAGAAGCAGGTTAGTTTCAGAGGAGTACAATTTTAGGTGGGAGAAAACTGATAAGTGAACACGCTTCATCAACAACTATCATTCAGCACACCATCAACAAAGAATCTCTAGAAGATGGCATTTTTTATGCTAACCAAAATATATTTACTCTACTTACAAGTATGTAAAATATATTTGTGCTTTTGTTTCCTTATCTGTAAAATGAGAAAAATAATTATACCTACCTTAACTCAAACTTCTGAGTTAATATGGGAAAATCATGTAGAATGTTGTATGGTATATAGCAAATGTTCTATGAGTTTACTATTGTTTGTTATTTAAGCAAATCAGAAAATAGAGTTAATAATATCTGTTCTTTGGATGAAGTTAGTATAGGGTTGTCAAATGGAGATTTATTCTTCCTGGTGAGGGTGAAGAATGATGGCTTGAAATTAAATTCCTGCCTCCCTGTGTTTTTGTTGGGTATGATAAGATTGTTTCACTTTTATTCACTGGAGGAGGACCTTAGGATTATTAGAGAGGATCCAGGGAGGGAGGTACATTCACTGAGTCCATAGCGACTAGCTTTCATGACCTGGACCCTCCATTTCCTCTATGTATTTGTAAAGCTTCTTTTATCCTTGTTGGATATAAGTTTTCTGCCTGTAAGTTTCAAGCCAGCAGATTACCTGATGAACCTATTAAAAAGAAAGAAAGCATTGTTTCCAGAAAATGTTTTGTACTCTTGAGCTCCCAGGCTAAGCTAAGTCAGCTGCTGAGGTAGACGTTGACAGATCACTGGACAGTGTTACCTTAACAGAAGAAAAATTAGTAGCTATTTTAAACAAGAAAACTACAAAAAGACATGGGCTATAATGTCAGATTTCATAATCTTTAGAAAGGTTGAAGAAAGCACCGTGGTTAGAGCCCTGGGTCCAAGCCCCAGCTCTGCCTCTTACTGGTTGTGTCTCCTGCAAGGACCCTGGCATCCATGAGGATGGTCACTGTATTTAACTGGGTTCCACCTAAGTGTCTGTAGCAGAGAGTGCCAAAATACATTGGCTTTAAAAAAGTAGATGCTTGGCCAGGTGCGGTGGCTCATGTCTGTAATCCCAGCACTTTGGGAGGCTGAGGCGGGCGGATCACCTGAGGTCAGGAGTTCGAGACCATCCTGGCCAACATGGTGAAACCCCCGTGTCTACTAAAAATACAAAATTAACCTGGTGTGGTGGTCGGCGTCTGTAATCCCAACTACTTGGGAGGCTGAGGCAGGAGAATCACTTGAACCCGGGAGGCAGAGGTTGCAGTGAGCCAAGATCACGCCATTGCACTCCATCCTGGGCAACAAGAGTGAAACTCCGTCTCAAAAAAAAAAAAAGGCCGGGCGTGGTGGCTCATGCCTGTAATCCCAGCACTTTGGGAGGCCGAGGCAGGCAGATCATGAGGTCAGGAGCTCGAGACCATCCTGGCTAACATGGTGAAACCTGGTCTCTACTAACAATACAAAAAAATTAGCCAGGCGTGGTGGCACATGCCTGTAGTCCCAGCTACTCGGGAGGCTGAGGCAGGAGAATGGCTTGAACCCGGGAGGTGGAAGTTGCAGTGAGCTGAGATCGCTCCACTGCACTCCAGCCTGGGCATCAGAGCGAGACTCCATCTCAAAAAAATAAAAAAAAATGTAGACGCTTGTTTCTTTCTCCGTAGACGTCCGGAAATAGGTAGTTCATCTCTGTTTTTGTTTTGTTTTGTTTTGTTTCGTTTTTTGAGATGGAGTCTTGCTCTGTCGCCCAGGCTGGAGGGCAGTGGCATGATCTCGGCTCACTGCAGCCGCTGCCTCCTGGGTTCCAGAGTTCTCCTGCTGCCCAGGCTGGAGTGCAGTGGAGCAATCTCGGCTCACTGCAACTTCCACCTCCCGGGTTCAAGCCATTCTCCTGCCTCAGCCTCCCGAGTAGCTGGGACTACAGGCACCCGCCACCATGTCCGGCTAATTTTGTATTCAGCCTCTCGAGTAGCTGGGACTACAGGCACACGTCACCACACCTGGCTAATTTTTTTGTATTTTTAGTAGAGACGGGATTTCACCATGTTGGCCAGGCTGATCTCGAATTTCTGACCTCAGGTGATCCACCCGCTTTGGCCTCCCAAAGTGCTAGGATTATAGGCATTAGCCACCACGCCTGGCTATCTCTGGGTTTAAGATGCCTACTTTTGTTCTGCCCATCTCAGCCAGCAGGAAGGAAGTAAAGGGTCAGGCATACACAATCTTTGTAAGGGCAAAACTGACAAAAAGGGCACCTATCACCTTCTCACATTTCATGGCTAGAACTTAGTCACATGGCCACCTCTGGCTGCAGGTGTGGCTAGATAAAGCAGTGGTCTTTAGTTAGGAAGCCATGGCCTCAGTGGAAACTCTATGTCTGTGGAAGGGGAGATCAGATACTGAAAGATAACTGGCCATATGCCTTGTCTTGGGAGAACTTGGAGTATTTGGAATATTTCACAGTACTTGGAAGAAGATAACATGAAAATCCAGTAGAAAGAGCACAGGACTAGAGGCCAGGCATGGTGGCTCATGCCTGTAATCCCAGCACTTTGGGAGGCCGAGGCAGGTGGATCACCTGAGGTCAGGAGTTCGAGACCAGCCTGACCCATATGGTGAAACCCCATCTCTACTAAAAATACAAAAAATAAGCTGGGCATGGTGGCACACACCTGTAATCCCAGCTACTTGAGAGACTGGGGCAGGGTAATTGCTTGAACCCAGGAGGCGAAGGTTGCGCCATTGCACTCTAGCCTGGGTGACAGGGTGAGACTCCATCTCAAAAAAAAAAAAAAATATATATATATATATATATGTATATATATATAGGTGTATATATATATATGTATATATATATGTGTATATATATGTATATATATATACGTATATATGTATATATATGTATATATATATACGTATATATATGTATATATATGTATATATATGTATATATATATGTATGTGTGTGTGTGTATATATATATATATATATATATATATATATATAATCCCCTTTCCTTGTACTCTGGAAACAATCAAATTCAGCATATAGATATATATTCCCACTAATTGTCCTCCAATCTTCAGTACAGTCTGTTCATAAAGTAGTCTTGTGTTACTAATATGTAGGGAACTAGCGGATGAGGTGATGTTGAGAGGCCTGGTGTTCTTTGTGACTCCATCTTTTGATGCTGTCATCACCAGCAACAGCATTATTCCAAAGAAAAGTGTGGTTCTATTTTTCCACGACAAGCAAAAAGGCAACCAGAAACCAAGTCAAAGTTGACTTGGAGTCAAGGTCAGTGAGGAGACAGGTTATAGCCAGATGGTCTCTAGGAAGGAAATGAGCCTTGTGTTTTCAAAGATAAATATTTAATTACTTACCTTTCCTATAACAAAGTGTGTGTGTTGGTGGAGGGGTGGGTGCAAACCTCATTTGTAAGTGGGAAGGGAACTCAAGCTGTTTTATGTAAATATCAAAGGAAAGGCTGATCCCAGCAGACTAGAAGGTTGGGATGCTTCCAGGGAGGCAGGTAAACAAGCCACGACGGTAAGTTTAGAGTGGGTAAGTGAGTGAACTATGAATGTAGCTGATCCTTGAGTCCAGGCTGCGTTGGGAGGCTAGGAATGGGGTGTTGGATAAAGTACACTTACAATTTGGGAAGGAATCAAGGACTTGGAGTAGACCCTTTCAGAAAAGAGCAAGTAGCTTGGGTGCCTGAGCAGAAGTGGACGGTCAGGAACTGGTGGTCAGTGAGAGAGCAGAGATCAACATCTTAAAGCCACATTCCTACTGAAGCAAGTCAAGCGCGACTTTACAGAGTGACACACCTTTACAAACTTGTGGGCTGAAAAAGGAATGGAATTTTTTTTTCCCCTTTATACCAGACATTTCTGGATTATGAAGAGAGGAAACTTAGATCTTCTCTACCTTTAAAACCAATAAATAAATAAATAAAATAAAAATAAAAGAAAGAAGATCTCTGGCTTTACAGGTGATGAATGGTCCACCTAGTTATACTCTTGACTTTCCCTGTAAAAGAACATCGTTAGCCCATTCCATCCAGCAAGTGTTTCCCAAACTTCACTGGTCAAAAGCATTACCTGGGTTTCATCCCAAGCCATTTGAATCAGAACTGCAAAGAAGGGAATCTAAGAATCAGCACCTTTAGGCTGGGCGCGGTGGCTCACGTCTGTAATCTCAGCGCTTTGGGAGGCCTAGGTGGGCGGATCACCTGAGGTTGGGAGTTGGAGACCAGCCTGTCCAACATGGAGAAACCTTGTCTCTACTAAAAATACAAAATTAGCTGGGCATGGTAGCGGGTGCCTGTAATCCCAGCTACTCGGGAGGCTGAGGCAGGAGAATCACTTGAACCCGAGAGGCAGAGGTTGCAGTGAGCTGAGATTGCGCCATTGCACTCCAGCCTGGGCAACAAGAGCAAAATTCCGTCTCAAAAAAAAAAAAAAAGGATCAGCATCTTTAACAAGGGTTCCTGTGCACTTTTTTGACCAGGGACATTTGGGAAATATGATGTTCTCTAAGCAGTGGTGGTCACGTTACTGCTGGGGTGGTTCTGTATGCCCAGAGCAGATGTACTGCCGAGTGTGGTGGCTCATGCCTGTAATCCCAGCACTTTGGGAGACCGAGGCGGGCAGATTACCTGAGGTCTGGAGTTCGAGACCAACCTGACCAAAATGGTGAAACCCCATCTCTACTAAAAATATAAAATTAGCCGGGCATGGTGGCACATGCCTGTAATCCCAGCTACTCGGTAGGCTGAGGCAGAAGAATCGCTTGAACCCGGGAGACAGAGGTTGCGGTGAGCCAAGATCGCACCATTGCACTCCAGCCTGTGCAAAAAGAGCAAAACTCTGTCTCAACAAAAACAAAACAAAACAAAACAACAAAAAAAAGAGAGCAGATGTACTTAAAACTTAGGACAGGATGTAAGAGGAGAAGGGAAATTAAAGTTAAGCTGAGATAAGGAACAGAAATTCAAAGAGCAGCAAACCACGTTTGTGGATTTCTAAGTTCTTTATCTTAGTCATTTTGCTCTCTGGGCCTCTGTTTCCTTATCTGTAAAATGATGGGGTTAATCTACTTTTAGGGCCCTGGTGGGTGTCTCCAGGACCATTCTGAAGGGGAGAGCCTGTCTTAGTCTGTTTGTGTTGCTATAGAAGAATAACTGGCTGGATATGGTGGCTCATGCCTGTAATTCCAGCACTTTGGGAGGCTGAGGTGGGCGGATCACCTGAGGTCAGGAGTTTGACCCCAGCCTGGCCAACATGGTGAAACCCTGTCTCTACTAAAAATACAAAAATTAGCTGGGTGTGGTGGCATGAGCCTGTAATCCCAGCTCCTTGGGAGGCTGAGGCAGGAGAATTGCTTGAACCCAGGAGGCGGAGGTTTCAGTGAGCCAAGATCGCACCACTGCACTCCAGCCTGGGCAACGGAGTGAGATTCCATCTCCAAAAAAATAAAAATTACAAAGAAAGGAATAACTGAGACTGGGTAATAGGTAAAGAAAAGAGGTTTATTTGGCTCACAGTTCTGCAGACTATATAAGAAGCATGGTGCCAGTATCTGCTTCTGGTGAGGGCCTCAGACTGCTGCTACTCGTGACCAAAGGCTAAGGGGAAACAGTGTGTGCAGAGGTCACATGGCGAGAGAGGAAATGAGAGTGGGGGAGGTGCCAGGTTCTTTTTAACAACCAGCTCTCACAGGAACACAGAATAAGAACACACCATTTATCCCCCACTCCACCCAAGAAAGGGCATCAATCTATTAATGAGAGATCTACCCCCATGACCTAAACACCTCCCATTAGGCCCCACGTCCAAAATTGGGGATAAGATTTCAAAATGATCATTGGAGGGGACAAACATCCAAACTATAGCAGGCTCCCTCAGGCTTATCACAATCTCCTCTTCAGCCAAAGCAAATCCGCTTAGATTTGCTTTGTTGATTGGGCTTCTATGTCAGTACCATTTTTTTGAATTTAGAAAACTACTGCTCTAAATGATTTTAAAGGTCTTTACAGCTCTAGGATACTAAGTGTGTCTTCAGCAGCAATGCCAACAACAGAGATCATTAGCACAGAAAAAGAGCACCAAGAGGAACCTTAGGACGCAGGCTACATTTTGAGACCTAGTTTTAAATATTGACTCCTGCTGTTCAAGCCTGCTGGCTTCCTTGTTGTGGGCTGACATTCAAGTGGAGAAGAAATAATTGTGGTATTTCCATGAATATAGCAGCTTAACTTAAAGACACAAAATCAACCCCAAAGGTTGTTTGTCATTGTGTAGACAAAATAATAACTGGTTAATTGCCTGAATTTTCTTCCTGTTCACTGGTTGTTTTGGTATCAAGTATCTATAGCCAAATGTAAGTTCTGTTGAGTGACTTGGCATAAGACCAGCTGTGCATTCAAAAGCAGGTGTAGCCAGCAACAAGCCAGGTGCCTGGTGGGAGAGCCTGCCAGGAGTTGAGAGATGGCACTTCCCCTATGTAGGCAGTGCATGTTATGCTATATCTTTAGAAATAAGCATCTGTTTACAAATGAATATAACCTTTGCCTGCTTACTCACCTTTCAATCTAGGGAAAAGGACTGCTATAGGCCTGTGTGGCAAAACTTGGGTTCAAGTCCAGCTCTGTGCTTATTGCGTACTTTGGACAAATCACCTATCTTATCTAAACTGGGAGACAATAATATCTACTTTGCAGCACTGCTGTGAAGATTAAATAAGATAATGTATGTGAAAGCATTTTGTAAATAGCACGAAGTCTTAAAAATGTAAAGATACATTTATGATAATGAATAACGGCACCATATTCAAGCAAACAACATTAGGAAGAAAACACTATTACATTCACAAACTATACAAATGCTTTTATGTATAATCAGACAATAAATAATATGTTTATTAACATATCCATGTATTCATTCATTCACTCATTCCTGACTACATAGCAGTAGTCCCTGGGGGAGATAAGAAGTCAGTTAAGGGAAAATAGTTAGACAAAAGATACATTTAGGATTTGATGATCAAGCAGTTCAATGTCTATTGAGCCAGTACTATGTTCCAGGAGCCAGGTTCCTTCCCTGGGGGAGCACACATCTCCAGTGGAGGGGCTTATAGTCACAGAGGGAAGATAATGGCTCAGTGAAGTCTGATGAATCCAGAGGATATCCAGAGTTCACCCCCAGCTTGGCAAATGGATGCTGACTGAACACTGATTTGATCTCAAGGCAACTTTCCAGAATGTTCGTTGCTCTCCCCATTCTCATTCAATTGCACTCATCATGTCCTGCCTGGATGCTCAGGACTCTCCCAAATGCACTGAATGAACTGCAAGGTACCTGGGCTAAGCCCAGTTTAGCCTTTCAGAGTAGAATGACTAGACTTGTGGACAACTAGACTAGTAGACTAGTAGAGAGATGGTCCTCAGAGCCTCCCTAACATAGTACTGAAGGAAAAGCCTTTTTTTTTTTTGAGACCGAGTCTCACTCTTGTTGCCCAGGCTGGAGTGCAGTGGCGCGATCTCGGCTCACTGCAACCTCCGCCTCCCGGATTTAAGTGATTCTCCTGCCTCATCCTCCCAAGTAGCTGGGATTACAGGCGCCTGCCACCACGCCTGGCTAATTTTGCATTTTTAGTAGAGACGGGGTTTCGATATATTGGTTAGGCTAGTCTCGAACTCCTGACCTCAGGTGATCCACCCACCTTGGTCTCCCAAAGTGCTGGGATTACAGGTGTTAGCCACTGCACCGGCTTTTTTTTTTTTTTTTTTTTTTTTTTGAGAGGGAGTCTTGCTCTGTTGCTTAGGCTGGAGTGCAGTGGCGCAATCTTGGCTCACTGCAACCTCCGCCTCCCGGGTTCAAGCGATTTTCCTGCCTCAGCCTCCTGAGTAGCTGGGATTACTGACGCGCATCACCACGCCCAGCTAATTTTTGTATTTTTGGTAAAGACGGAGTTTCACCATGTTGGCCAGGCTGGTCTCAAACTCCTGACCTCAAGTGATCCGCCCGCCTCAACCTCCCAAAGTGCTGGGATTACAGGCGTGAGCCACCGCGCCCAGTTAGGAAAAGACTTTTTAAGTAAAAAATAAAAATCATTGTGCCTCCTTTGAACATGTTCTTTTCACATTGTAGTAGCCAACACAAATGATTTAGCATATACATATATGATTTATGTTGAGAAAATATGCAAGATGAAGTAGCTTTAAGCAGCAGAGATAAAGGAATCTGGGCTGCCTGTTAGTCACCATACCCTTTGGTTTACCTGTATAATATTGCACCATGCTGCAGAAGGCATTCATCTCCCATATGCGGATCATTTAGGTCAGTGCTCATGGTTAATTCCAAACTTGCTCCTCTCGCTTTTACTTAAATAAATAAAAACAAATTTAAGATTGGCCATGTACTCCCCTACAGAAGGCTGAAAGTGGATGGTAACTACAGCTTTCCAGTCTAAGTGAAACCCTTGCCTTTGATCTCCCTCACTTCTCTCAGAAAATGGTAACAAAGAAGATTAAAGTTTTTCCCCCGTTGAGTGCTCCTCCTCCCTCCCACCCTTCCCTCTTTCTGAAGGGCTCTTAGGTCAGACAAGAGCATTGCATATATTTTGCAATCCAAAGACATCAAGCAGGGATAAAGGGCGTGGTTTCCTGCTCGGGGAAGAAGCCTCTGCCAGCGGCCTCCCCTCTGAGCCTCAGTAAGACGCTCCTTGACCTGCCCTGACTTTCTCCGTGCCTTTGACATTGATTAGTTCCAGGAACTCCTGTTGGGGGAGCCACCTGGTGTGCATTTTTCCTCTGCCTGTCAGAAAGACTTTCAGGCACCATGTGACTTTGAAGTGGGTGCCTTGTGGCCTGTTACAGAGATTCCTCAGAGAAAGACTGTGTCCTCTTCCACAGCCTGGTGGCGGGCAAATGTCTTCTTGCTTTGGATACTGTTTTGCCCAGGCCGGTGGTGACATCTGTGCCTTCTTTCATGATGTCTTGTAATCTCAATTTGTTTATTTATCTAGCTGTTTTACTCAGCTTTTGAATATGCACAAAATGTGTATTTCCTTTACTGTTCTTTAACATTATAACATTAGTGTAACACATGCTTTCTACTCTCTTTAAAATTATTTATTTATTTATTTAATTTTTGAGACAGAGTCTCGTTCTGTCGCCCAGGCTGGAGTGCTGTGGCACAGTCTCAGCTCACTGCAACCTCTACCTCCTGGGTTCAAGCGATTCTCCTGCCTCAGCCTCCCGAGTAGCTGGGATTACAGGCATGTGCCACCACGCCAGGCTAATTTTTTTGTATTTTTAGTAGAGACAGGGTTTCACCATATTGGCCAGGCTAGTCTCAAACTCCTGACCTTGTGATCTGCCCTCCTCGGCCTCCCAAAGTGTTGGGATTACGGGCGTGAACCACCACACCCTGCCTAAAATTCTTTTTTAATAGGCAAGGTTGTATAGACTTACAGTTGCATAAAGGTTATATGGAAAACTAACTTTTGGAACTTATTTAGATTATGTATTTCTGGTTTTTTTTTTTTTTTTTTTTTTGAGACAGAGTTTTGCTCTGTCAACCAGGCTGGAGTACAGTGGTGCGATCTCGACTCACCACAACCTCTGCCTCCTGGGTTCAAGTGATTCTCCTGCCTCAGTCTCCTGAGTAGCTGGGATTACAGGCATCAGCTACCATGCCCGGCTAATTTTTGTATTTTTAGTAGAAACGGGGTTTCACCATGTTGATCAGACTGGTCTCAAACTCCCGACCTCAGGTGATCCACCTGTCTTGGCCTCCCAAATTGCTGGGATTACAGGTGTGAGTCACCGTGCCCAGCCTAGATTATGTATTTCTTATGACTAAACGCCATTATAAATTAGCGATCTTATAATAAGTCTCATAATCATTCTAAGACTAAGGTTATCCTGAACAAACTATGGTTATCTCCACCCCCAATACCGTAATCATAATGACAACTACAGCATTCACCTAATGCCTAGCAGTTTTAAAAGTACTTTCCTATAAATTACCCATTTTGTTCTTTATACCAGTATCAATGTCATTTTACAGACAGAAAATCAAGACTTAGAGAAGATAAGAGATTTGCCCAGGATCACTCAAGGGTTACATGAAGGAGCCAGGATTTGAAGTCAGGTTTCTTACTGTAGAGCCACAGGGCCTGCCCGGGATGTACATACATCTCTCTAAGAGTCATGGGATCTGGCCACAAGTGGCAATAAATTTACAGGAATAGGCATCCAGGCACCGTGATTTGGTCATTATTTTGCTGCCTATCACTATGTGATCCTCTGTAAATCTCTGAACTCATCTAGGCCTCAGGTTACTCATCTCAAATAGCAACAGCCTGAACAAGGTTAGTAGTGTTTGTCAACAGGGATGACTCCATGCAGGTATTTCAAAGATTCTGCACATGCCTGACTGATTTCATAGAGGTGGAGGCTGACCTTTGACCACAGCAATCTTTTTTTTTTTTTTTTTGATAGGGTTTCTCTCTGTCCCCCATGCTACAGGGCAGTGATGTGATCAGCTCACTGTAACCTCAAATTTCTGGGCTCAAGGAGTCCTCCTGCCTCAGTCTCCAGAGTAGCTGGGACTACAGGCTTGTGCCACCATGCCCAGCTAATTTAAAATTTCTTTTTTGTAGAAACAGGGTCATGTTTTGTTGCCCAGGCTGGTCCCAAACTCCTGGTCTTAAGTGATCCTCCTGTCTCAGCTTCCCAAAATGCTGGGATTATAGGCGTGAGCCACCCTGCCTGGCAACAATCATTTTTAACTCTTATTTTCGATTTTCAATATTTTCAAATTCCTAAATATTTAGAGTTCATCTAAATATTATCTTAGTTCAAATGTTACAAATATGAACTCAAAACATATTGTAGGAGAAACCTATTAGGCAGAACCAGTACAAAGATGTTGAAAACTACTTATTTTTTATTTATTTATTTTTTTTGAGACAAAGTCTTGCTCTATCACCCAGGCTGGAGTGCAGTGGCACACTCCATTCACTGCAAACTCTGCCTCCCGAATTCAAATGATTCTTGTGTGTCAGTCTCCTGAGTAGTTCGGGTTACAGGCATGTGGCACCACGCCCAGCTAGCTAATTTTTGTGTTTTTTTAGTAGAGATAGGGATTCACTATGTTGGCCAGACTGGTCTCAAACTCCTGACCTCAGGTGATCTGCCCGCCTCGGCCTCCCAAAGTGCTGGGATTACAGGCGTGAGCCACCGTGCCTGGCCTGAAAATTAGTTTTGCAATCGTCGCCCACTTTGGAATAAAACGAGACTGGAGTTGGAAATGGGAAGATTTTTACATCTTTACAGAGCGTTGTCAGTGTGCTGTTAGTACCCTTTACCCTTGAAGCAGGGAAAAGGGGGTGCTTTTTCTTACCCTATGACCAGTGAAAAGGGCTTCTCCTGACCACTTATAGTACTTGATTTGTGTCCCCTGCGCATGTGAGGGGAATGAGTGGACCAGTATCTGACTGACTCCGGCTTAAGAGATCTGGAGCAGGAGGCTGTAGACGTGGCCTGGAGGACTGTAATTGAGGAAGTAACTGTACTGCCTTTGTATGAAAGGCCAAAGGGGCATGTTTCTGTGGACCAGATACAAACTAAGAAAGAGAAAGAGCTAGCCTGGGGGGTTGCCTTAGATTCTACTTCAGAGAGCTACCTAGGAGAGCAAGGAGACCTCAGTAGAGAAAGGCTGGAGGAGCCGGGCATGTTGGCTCACACCTGTAATCCCAGCACTAATGGCTGGGCGCGGTGGCTCATGCCTGTAATCCCAGCACTTTGGGAGGCCAAGGTGGGCGGATCACCTGAGGTCGGGAGTTCAAGACCAGCCTGACCAACATGTAGAAACCCCGTCTCTACTAAAAATACAAAATTAGCCAGGCGTGGTGGCACATGCTTGTAATCCCAGCTACTTGGGAGGCTGAGTCAGGAGAATCGCTTGAACCTGGGAGGCAGAGGTTGCGGTGAGCTGAGATCGCGCCATTGCACTCCAGCCTAGGCAACAAGAGCGAAACTCCATCTCAAAAAAAAAAATCCTAGCACTTTGGGAGGCTGAGGCAGGTGGATCACCTGAGGTCAGGAGTTCGAGACCAGCTTGGCCAACATGATGAGACCTTGTCTCTACTAAAAATACAAAATTAGCTGGGTGTGGTGGCACATGCCTGTAATCCCAGCTACTCAGGAGGCAAGGCTAGAGAATCACTTGAACCCGGGAGGCGGAGGTTGCGGTGATGTGAGATTGTGCCACAGCACTCCAGCCTGGGCGACAAGAGTGAAACTCTGTCTCAAAAAAAAAAAAGGTCAGGAGTTTGAGAAAAGTCGGAGGTAGGGACTGATGGAAGACTCAGTCACCCATCTTGAAGGCATCCACTTACGAAAGGAAAGTCATAGAAGTGAGAGTCTCCCAAGAACCCATGAGAGAAAGAGTTATCTTCCAAAAGACCATCCTGATGGCTAAATAGTAGAAAGGAGAGGTTTATTGGGGACATCAGTTTGTAAACCAGGAGGAGACAGTTTCTGGCATGTACCAAAGACACACTCTAGGCCAGGTGCAGTGGCTCATGCTAGTAATCCCAGCACTTTGGGAGGCCGAGGTGGGTGGATGGCTTGAGCCCAGGAGTTTGAGACCAGCCTGGGCAACATGGCAAAACCCCATCTTTACAAAAAATGCAAAACTTACCTGGGTGTGGTGGCGTAGCCTGTAGGATGCTGAGGTGGGAAGTTGGCTTGAGTTTGGGAGGCAGAGGTTGCAGTGAGCTAAAGTCACACCACTGCACTCTGGACTGGGTGACAGAGCAAGGCCCTGTATCAAAAAATAATAATAAAATAATAGAGAATAAGAATAAAGCAACCCAAAGCTCCTTTCCCTTTCTCATTGCTGGAGCTTAGCCTGAGGCAGTGCTAACTGGGGAGCAGAGAAGCATAAATTTTGAAAGGAGCTGAGAGTTTTCATTCCAATGGACTCATTGGATTAATAACTGAACTGAAACTGAGGGAATACAGTGGGCAAAGGACTTTCCTCTTTTCTTTTTCTTTTTTTTTTGAGATGGAGTTTCGCTCTTGTTACCCAGGCTGGAGTGCAATGGCACGATCTTAGCTCACCACAACCTCTGCATCCCGGGTGCAAGCGATTCTCCTGCCTTAGCCTCCCAAGTAGCTGGGATTACATGCGCACGCCACCACACCCAGCTGATTTTTATATTTTTAGTAGATAGGGGTGTCTCCATGTTGGTCAGGTTGGTCTCGAACTCCTGACCTCAGGTGATCCGCCTACCTTGGCCTCCTAAAGTGCTGGGATTACAGGCGTGAGCTACCGCGGCCAGCCGTCCTTTTTTCTTCTTTAGATCTAAAAGGAACCAGAAAAGGCTGGCACTAAATTCCATCCAAAGACACATAGCAGCCTCAGAGAATGGGCATGCAGGGACAGAAGGGAGACATAGATGAAGATTTTTTCTGCTGTGTTTCATGGGTCCTGAATATTTAATATAATGGTTACATGTATACACACACAAAAAAAATGCTATTTTTCTTTGTTACAAATAAGTTGATTTTAGGCCAGGCGCAATGGCTCACGCCTGTAATCCCAGCACTTTGGGAGGCTGAGAAGGGCAGATCATGAGGTCAGGATTTCGAGACCAGCCTGGCCAATATGGTGAAACCCCGTCTCTACTAAAAATACAAAAATTAGCTGGATATGGTGGCATGAGCCTGTAATCCCAGCTACTTGGGAGGCTGAGGCAGGAGAATCGCTTGAACCCGGGAGGCAGAGGTTGCAGTGAGCCAAGATTTGCCAGGACTGTGCCACTGCACTCCACCCAGTGAGACTCTGTCTCAAAGAAAAAAAAAGCAAACAAAAAACTAAATAAGTTGATTTGACAGTGTTCCTCAATTTCAAAAGCTTGAAAACCACTAGAACTTGACAATGTCAAAAGCTACTTCCAACACTGACATCAATACCAGTAATTACAGAGTGGAAGAAAAGGTGGCCGAATGTTATTCCCCCTGCCCTTCACCACTGTGTTCATAGCCGTTTAGATCTTATGGCATGAAATTAAAGGAACTGAAATTGTTTCCTTCATCACAAAAAGATGGCAAATCTTTGATCCTGGTCACCCTTATCTGCCCATCCCCCCACCCCTAGACAATGGTAAATCTTACGTGGATTGGAGGAGAGTAGAAGAGAAAATAAAGAAAATGGGTGGAGGGGATAACAAAAATGAGGTTAAGCAGTAGAAAAGGAAAGAGGAAGCATTGAAAAAGGTTACTGTGGGCACGGAGCGGCTTTCCTTATTGGAAGGAGGAAAGGGAAATAGAGCCTGCTGAGGAAGGACCGGCCACTGCTTCAAGTACTGGCTGTGGCAGTGCCACTTTCCACTTGAACGAGGCTGCACACAATTACAGACGCATCTTCCAGCTTTTTTTTTTTTTTTTCTTTTTGAGACGGAGTCTTGCTCTGTCGCCCAGGCTGAGTGAAGTGCAGTGGTGCAATCTCGGCTCACTGCAACCTCTACCTCCCGGGTTCAAGCAATTTTCTGCCTCAGCATCCCGAGTAGCTGGGATTACAGGTGCCTGCTACCATGCCTGGCTAAATTCTGTATTTTTAGTAGAGACGGGGTTTCACCATCTTGGCCAGGCTGGTCTTGAACTCCTGACCTAGTGATCCATCCAGCTCGGCCTCTCAAAGTGGTGGGATTACAGGCATAAGCCACCGCACCTGGCCATCTTCCCGCTTTGTACTAATGCCTTGGTACTCACCAACCACCCCTTCTCACGGGGACTCTGACTTCCTCCTTGAGGTCTCACCCATGCCCCCTCCCCAAGGCCTGTCTCTCAGCCAGCCGGACAATGTGTCACAGGGTTACCTACAGCCACGGGCTATGACTTGGTGCATATTATCACAGTACCTACCCTATTTGCTGCCAAATCATTTAAAACAGTGTATATTGGCCAGGTGCCATGGCTCACGCCTGTAATCTCAGCACTTTGGGAGGCCAAGGCGGATGGATCACCTGAGGTCAGGAGTTCGAGACCAGCCAGGCCAACATGGTGAAACCATGTTTTATATAAAAATATAAAAATTAGCCAGGCGAGGTGGTGGGTGCCTGTAATCCCAGCTACTTGGGAGGCTGAGGCAGGAGGTGGAGGTTGCAGTGAGCCAAGATCACACCACTGCACTCCAGCCTGGGTGACAGAGTGAGACTCCATCTCAAAACAACAACAACAACAAACAAACAAACAACAACAACAACAAACAAAACAGTGTATATTAAAGAAAACGGATATATTATGGTGTAGAATGTTGGAATCCAACTGGAGACTTGGAAATGTTGAGTATTTGGCTGCTACAGACTTAGTTCACTCAGGGTTATTAATTCACCCTGCTCTGCTATTAGAGGTATTTTTTCCCCCAGGAAATGATTGAGGAAATTGGACTCACCTTCTGAGAAGTACCTATATTGGGCACTAGATTAGCAAAAGTATTAGCAAAAAACCAAAGATGTGGCACTTTATTTATTTATTATTTATTTATTTATTTTTTTCTGAGATGGTGTCTCGCTCTGTTGGCTAGGCTGGAGTGCAATGGTGTAATCTCAGCTCACTGCAGCCTCTGCCTCACGGGTTCAAGCAATTCTCCTACCTCAGCCTCCCGAGTAGCTGGGATTATAGGCACACCACCATGCCTGGCTAAGTTTTGTATTTTTAGTAGAGACGGGGTTTCATCATGTTGGCCAGGCTGGTCTCGAACTCCTGACCTCAGGTGATCCACTCTCCTCGGCCTACCAAAGCGCTGGGATTACAGGCATGAGCCACCACACCTGGCCGACATGACATTTTAATGACGGAAATGAAGGCGGTTTGATGGGAGGTGGAAGAGCTCTTTAGGTGGTAGGTGAAGTGACTCTGCCAACTGACAGAGCCACCTCTGTTTGACAATGTCTATGTGAGCCAGGTCCTAAAAATAGGAAGCACTCAATGAGCATTTTTTAGATCAGCTTTTCCCAAAGTCTATTTCATGGAATACTCTCATTAAATGCTGCAAACAAGAAGGGTTCTATGGTCAGATAAGTCTGGGAGACACTTTAACTTCCTCTTGGAGATTCGCAAAGTACAAAGGTGTTAAAGGCTCTAAGAAATCATACAACAAAACAAACAAATTTGTCTGGCTCAGTGTTGCCCAAGCATAGTGAGTGTATCCCTTTAAAAAACATATAACTCTTCTTTTTGTAACTCAATTGTAATACCCCAGAATTAGTATTCTAGGGAACACACCAAGGGAGCCACCATCCTAGATAGTATCATAGACCAGAAGTTACCATTCCTCACCCAAGGCCCCTTTTGTTGTATTCCCCCACAACCTTTCTTATTGTTTTTGAGATGAAGTCTTGCTCTGTCGCCCAGACTGGAATGCAGTGGTGTGGTCTCGGCTCACTGCAACCTCCACCTCCTGGGTTCAAGCAATTTTCCTGCCTCAGCCTCCCCAGTAGCTAGGATTACAGGCGCATGCCACCACGCCTGGTTAATTTTTGTATTTTTAATAGAGACGGGGTTTCACCATGTTGGCCAGGTTGGTCTCGAATTCCTGACCTCGTGATCTGGCCCCCCTCGGCCTCCCAAAGTGCTGGGATTACAGGCATGAGCCACTGTACCCAGCCTGTTCTCCCCTTTTTTCTCATGTTTTGAACATCTTTTCCTAGCAAATAGAAACATATTTATCTCATTCACAGAGATATGTAAACATAGCAATGGATAGGCAATATTCACTGCCACAGGTTCCTTAATTTCAGCTGTTCACCCCTGTGCTTCCCTGCAGGTCAATTCTACTATGGGTATTGTTTGGATATTACCACCTGATAACAGTCTGATCCACAAGTTTCACCAGAGCAATGCCAGGGGTATCATCAACAGCCAATTAGAACTTGGGCAACATGAGCTAGTCAGCTGGAAGACTGAATTGATCTAATTTTAGCACAAAGCAAAGAAATATGATGTTACGGTTAACTTGTGTAAATAGATATATGGTGCAAGTACAATTGTCGTTAGAGTTTTTTTGTTTGTTTGTTTGTTTTTGAGATGGAGTCTTGCTTTGTCGCCCAGGCTGGAGTGCAATGGCGCGATCTCGGCTCACTGCAACCTCCACCTCCAGGGTTCAAGCAGTTCTCTGTCTCAGCCTCCCGAGTAGCTGGGATTACAGGTGACTGCCACCACGGCCAGCTAATTTTTTGTATTTTTAGTAGAGACGGGGTTTCACCATGTCAGCCAGGCTGGTCTTGAACTACTGACCTTGTGATCCACCCACCTCGGCCTCCCAAAGTGCCAGGATTACAGGCGTGAGCCACTGCGGCCAGCTAGAGATTTTAAAATGCTAAAAATAACCCTAGAATGTCTTGCCCACTTCACAGATCCCTCAGAGTCCAGGCATTAGGGGTGGGAAAGTGCCACAGTAGGCTATTCTACAAATGGTATTCTTGTGCCTATATAACATGCATTGATTCTGTAGTCAAGTTTCTATTAATCTAAAGGAGACTGGGTAACTCTCAAGATTTCAAAAAAAGTGATATTACAGAAAGTATGAAAAAGTAAGAAAATTATAAAGCATGGCAAACCCTTTGGTCTTTAAGCAGAAATTTTTATTTTCAGTCAGTTGAATGTAAGGGCTTCAGAAGGATCGTCGATGAATCATGTTGTATAGGTGACAAAGCAATCCTGCGTTCATTATCTCACTTCCTTCTCCCAGGAATCAGGTGATGTCTCATTAGTACACAATCTGAGCACTGAAGAGCGTCACATTCTATAATTTTTAGGAACTTTTTGTTGTAGATGTTAGAAACCCAACATAAACTACCTTATGTAAGAAGGGCAACTGATTGGAAGGATTCTAGTATTTTCTTTTTTTTTTCTCTTTGAGACGGAGTTTCGCTCTTGTTGCCCAGGCTGGAGTGCAATGGCGCTATCTTGGCTCACTGCAACCTCCGCCTCCCGGATTCAAGCGATTCTCCTGCCTCAGCCTCCCTAGTACCTGGGATTACAGGCGCCTGCCACCACGTCCAGCTAATTTTGTATTTTTACTAGAGATGGGGTTTCTCCATGTTGGTCAGGCTGGTCTGGAACTACTGACCTCAGGTGATCTGCCCGCCTTGGCCTCCCAAAGTGCTGGGATTACAGGCACGAGCCATGGCACCCAACCGATTCCAGTATTTTCTTTTGATCTGTTTTTTGTTTTTTAAATAGAATTCTAGGAATAATTGAATAATCAAGACACAGGAAGAGCAGAGATGCAGCTGGGTTCTGAATGCTGAAAGCCAGACACTAGAAGGTTGTCAGGATTCTTCTCATCTCATGTTCCCCTCTGAATGTTGGCTTCACTCTCTCATTTCAGAGTGGCTTTCTTCTCTTAGTGGAGGACATGCTTGCCAGGAGCATGTGAGTTCATATCTATTAATAAATGTGGAGCCAGTGAAGAGAGATTAGTTCAGCTTGCTCGTCATCCCTAGGCTATGAGCCACAAAGCAGGACTGTGGCCCAGCTTAAGTCCAGTGCTAACCTGTGGGTGAATGAACAATGACCGGGGAACAGGGCCCTAAGGTATGTGTAAAGTGACTCCTGTGGTAAAAATGTACCTGAGTGGGAGTTGTGAGAGTCGGGGTGGGGAAGAAATACATTCTTAGAAAAGACGTGTTAGGCAGGTAATTCTATAGGTATGCACTCCATATTTATGCATTCTGGATGGACATATTGTGCATATATTATGGAGGCCTGTCAGCAGAACCCCAAGTCCATGCTAGCTGAATTTATGCTCAACTATATGAGGAGAGTAATTACTTTGTTTTTTCTTTCTTTGAGATGGGGTCTCACTCTGTCACCCAGGCTGGAGTACAATGGCTCAATCTCAGCTCACTGCAACCTCCACCTCTGGGGTTCAAGTGATTTTCCTGCCTCAGCCTCCAAAGTAGCTGGGATTACAGGCATGAGCCACCATGCCCGGCTAATTTTTTGTGTTTAGTAGAGACGGGGTTTCACCATGTTGGCCAGGCTGGTCTCGAACTCCTGACCTCAGGTGATCCACTCACCTCGGCCTCCCAAAGTACTGGCATTACAGGCGTGAGCCACTGTGCACGGCTACATATTAATGGAAACTCCACAGGTCAGTACCTCCAAATCTTCCCCATCTCACATCAAGAATGGCACAGGTTTGTTCTTCAGCTCCTTTTTTAAGGGTAAGACTGGTTAGAAAAGGTCTATAAGGAAATAACTCATGACCTGGAGGAAGAGGAGACATTGTTGTGCCTGGACTATTTCCTTATAAGACAATTGACAATGAGATAAGGATGAGGGCTTGGGCTGGACTTCAAACTCCCACGACCTAGCCGGTTACCTTCCCAGGAAGGTGTATCTGCAGATGTCTCAACTCCTCCTCCAGGAGGGAGGGAGAGTAAATAAAGGTGTGGGAAAGAAAAGCAACAACTCTAGGAATTAAAAGGAGGAATTAGTTGGTAGGAATTGTTTGGTTCCCAGGTAGGTGTTGGGTGTAGCCAGGCCTCCACACCTACACATTAACACACTGATAGGCAACTATAGAACCAGATATCACTTCTTTAGGAATTTGGTGACTTGGGCTGTTTCAATTTTCTCTAATCATGTCCTTTTACTTTTTTTTTTTTTTCTGAGATGGAGTTTTGCTCTTGTTGCCCAGGCTGGTGTGCAATGGCACGATCTTAGCTCACTGCAACCTCTGCCTCCCGGGTTCAAGCGATTCCCCTGCCTCAGCCTCCTGAGTAGCTGGGATTACAGGCATGCACCACCACGCTTGGCTAATTTTGTACTTTTAGTAGAGACAGGGTTTCTCTGTGTTGGTCAGGCTGGTCTCAAACTCCCTACCTCAGTTTATCCATCAGCCTCGGCCTCCCAAAGTGCTGGGATTACAGGTGTGAGCCACCACGCCCGGCCAGAGCATTTTTAAGCTCACAGCAAAATTGAGAGAAAGGTACAGAGATTTTCCATATACTCCCTTCCCATACACATGCATAGCCTCGTCCATTATCAACATCCCCTACCATAGTGGAACAGTAGTTCCCGTCGACGGACCTGCATTGACACACTGTTGTTACCCAAAGTTCACAGTTGCATATGAGGGTGTTGTACATTCTATGGGATTGGAGAAATGCATGACATGCCTTGAATTATTGAACATTATTGAATTATACAGATTATTTTCACTGCCCTAAAAATTCTCTGTGCTATGCCTGTTTATCCTCCCCCTAATCCCCAAGACCTGACAACCACTAACCTTTTTATTGTCTCCATAGTTTTGCCTTTCTCAGAATGTCATATAGTTGGAATCATACAATACATAGCCTTTTCAGATGGTGTTTTTCACTTAGTAATATGCATTTAAGTTTCCTCCATATCTTCTCATGCTTGATAGCTCATTTCTGGTTAGAGCTACTTAATGTTCCATTGTCTAGATGTACCAGAGTTTGTTTATCTATTCACCTACTGAAAGACATCTTGGCAGGGCTTAGTGGCTCACACCTGTAATCCCAGCACTTTGGGAGGCCAAGGCAGGCAGATCACCATAGGTCAGGAGTTCGAGACCAGCCTGGCCAAGATGGTGATGCTACTTGGGAGTCTGAGGCAGGAGAATCGCTTGAACCTGGGAGGCAGAGGTTGCAGTGAGCCAAGTTCTTGTGTGGACATAAATTTTCAGTTCATTTGGGTAACTACCAAAGAGCATGACAGCTGGAGTGTATGGTAAGAATATGTTTAGTTTTGTTGGAAACTGCAAACTGTCTTCCAAAGTGGCTGTACCAATTTGCATTTCCACCAGCAGTGAATGAGAGTCCTCTTGCTCCACATCCTTGGCAGTATTTGGTGTTTTCAGCCTTCCAGGTTTTGTTCATTGTAATAAGTGCGTATCTCATTGTTGTTTTAATTTGTATTTCCCTGATGACATATGATGTGGAGCATCTTTCATATGCTTATTTTCCTGTAAATCTTCTTCCTTTTTAAATGTATATTTTTAAAATTGTCATTTTATAGCTCCCCACTGCAGCTGCCCCCAACCCTTCCCTTCGCTGACCACTTTTGCAGGCTTCATGGGGGACCAGGGAACAAGGCTGGAGCCTGGCAGCCTTACTACGCTACCAGCCAGGGAGAACAAGTAGCAATTAGAAATTATTACAACAATTAGTGCCCGTACTTGGGGGCTCTGCAAAGTGAGGAGGCCCCAGCTCCTCATTGTACAGGGGTCTATTTGGCAGTGACCTTGTTCTGGACACGGTGATATTCCTTCAGCCTGAGGGAATTGATGTTGATGAACCCGGTGGCATCGATTGGCTCCTAATGGTCCTGCACATTCATGTTCACCAGCTCCTCATTGTAGAGAGACAGTGGGGAGTCCTAGCGGAGGATGTACACCTGGCCCTTGAGGACAGACACCTGCACTTTCCCTTCCACTCATTCCTGGGACTTGGTGATGCAGTGGCGGACACGTTCACATTCAGGGCTGTGCCAGAAACCGGTGTACACCAGCTCAGCCAATTTCAAGTCCAGGCCTTGTTTGATTTTGCACACTTACTGGTCCATGGTGAAGGCCTCAATGTCTAAATGAGCGTGGTAAAGGATGGTGTCTGCTGGGGTCTCGTAGATACCTCGGGACCTCATTCCAATGAAGCGGTTATCCATGATGTCAATAGAGCCAACACGGTGCTTGCCCGCGACTTCGTTCAGGTACACGAAGAGCTCCAAGGAGGTCTGGTGGATGGTGCCATCCTTGATGTTGGTCACCTTCACTGGGACCCCTTTTGTGAACTCGATCTTGAGAATGTCAGGGGTGTTGGGGCTTTGGCTGGGTCCTGGGTCTTCGTGCAGCAACCTGGAGGCGCTTGGTTCTTGGGGCTCTCCAGGATTCCAGCCTCATAGCTGATGTGCATGAGGTTCTCATCCATGCTCCACGGGTTCTTGGGAGTGACTGGGATGGGAATCCCGTGTGGCTTTGCATATTCCATCAGATCGTTGAGGCACTTGATCCGATTGTAGAACTCGAACATGCACCAGGGAGCAATGACCTTTATCTGGGGGGGCCAGCGAGTAGCAGGTGAGCTGAACCGGGCCTGATCATTGCCCTTTCCCGTGGTGCCATGGGACACACACTTGGCCCCCTCCTGCTGGGTGATTTCTACTTGTTTGTGGGCGATGCAGGGCCTGGGGAGAGAGCTGCCCAGGAGGTGGTCCTCATACAGTGTACTGGACTGGATGGCCAGCCAGATGAACTCCTCCACAAACTCTCTGCTGACATCCTCAGTGAACACCTTTTTGGCCCCGGGCTTCAGTGCCTGGCTTCCTTGAAGTCTTCCTTCTGGCCGATGTTGCCCAGGTAGGCAATGATGTCATTGCCTTGTTCCTTCAGCCACACAAAGATGCAGGAGGTGTCCAGGCTGCCACTGTAGGCCAGAACCATGGAGCCTCTGCTGGACACAGCGTCTGGGATTGGAGGCGTGAGTTCCCAGCGTCTGGAATCTGTCTTCACAGCTCAGTGAACCACTTGGGCCCGGGCAGTGGTGGCAGGTGATAGAGCCTAAATCTTCTTTAGTGATGCATCTGCTAAAGTCCTTGGTTCATTTTATTTTGTGTTTTAAAATTTTTGTGGGTGCATAGTAGGTGTATATATTTATGAGATACATGAGATATTTTGATACAGGTATACAATTCATAATAATCATATCAGTTAAATGGGGTATCATCACATCAAGCATTTATCCTTTCTTTGTTTTACAAACAATCCAATTATTATTTTTTATTTTTAAATTTTTATTTATTATTTATTTATTTTTTGAGATGGAGTTTCGCTCTTGTTGCCCAGGCCAGAGTGCAATGGTGTGATCTTGGCTCACTGCAACCTCTGCCTCCTGGGTTCAAGTGATTGTCCTGCCTCACCTCCCGAGTAGCTGGGATTACAGGCATGAGCTACCACGTCTGGCTAATTTTGTATTTTTAGTAGAGATGGGGTTTCTCCATGTTGGTCAGGCTGGTCTCGAACTCCTGACCTCAGGTGATCCGCTCGCCTCGGCCTCCCAAAGTGCTGGGATTACAGGTGTGAGCCACCATGCCCTGCCTATTTATTTATTTTTTGAGAATGAGTCTCACTTTGTCACCTAGGCTGGAGTGCAGTGGCAAGATCTTGGCTCACTGCAGTCTCTGCCTCCTAGATTCAAGTGATTCTCCTGCCTCAGCCTCCCAAGTAGCTGGAATTACAGGTGTGCGCCACCACACTCGGCTAATTTTTGTATTTTTAGTAGAGATGGGGTTTCACCATATTGGCCTGGCTGGTCTTGAACTCCTGACTTCAGGTGCTCCAGCTGCCTCGGCCTCCCAAAGTGCTGGGATTACAAGTGTGAACCACCACACCTGGCTTACAAACAATCAAACTATACTCTTAAGTTACTTTATAATTTTTATTTAGAAAACTTTTTTCTTTTTTATAGAGATGGGGTCTTGCTATGCTGCCCAGGCTGGTCTCAAACTCCTGGGCTCAAGTGAACTGCCCCTCTAGGCCTCCCAAAGTGCTGGGATTACAGACGTGAGCCACTGCGCCTGGCCTGAGAGTTCACATTTTTTTTCAGAGTGCCTGATAGAGTGCTATAAAGTGCATTTGTACGTTGCTTTTCCATCCTCTCAAAATAATAGAAGATAAAGATCCAGGCTGGGTGCGGTGGCTCACGCCTGTAATCCCAGCACTTTGGGAGGCCAAGGAGGGTGGATCACTTGAGATCAGGAGTTCAAGACCAGCCTGGCCAAGATGGTGAAACCCCCGTCTCTACTAAAAATACAAAAAATTAGCCAGGCGTGGTGGTGGGTGCCTGTGATCCCAGCTACTCGGGAGGCTGAGGCAGAGAACTGCTTGAACCTGGGAGGCAGAGGTTGCAGTGAGCCAAGATTATGCCACTGCACTCCAGCCTGAGAGACAGAGCGAGACTCTGTCTCAAAAAAAAAAGAAAAAGATAAAAAAGATCCAAAAGTGAATGTGAAAAAATCATCCCAGCAATTAAGGACCTGATATACATTTGGCACATCAGCTCCTGACACCAAAGTGGGGGGTGGCAAGTGTGCTGTCTAGCCTAACTCAGGATTAGAATTAGAGCCTGAGATTCTTGAGAGAATGCCCTTACTGGTAAGGACTGGTAAGCTCTGTGCTGATGACTCAAAGGATGGGCTCTGTGAGTGTAAGAGATTGGACTTGGACCTGTAGCCAGGACGCAGTATTTTCTTATCTTTAACTTCCACAAAGCTCATGTTTATTCTTCTCTCACAAAAGCCAAGCCTAAAGTGCGCTGCTGAAGGAGTTGTTCCTCTTTGGACAGCTGTGTGTGCCCTATAAATGCCCTCCTCAGATGGAGAAGGAGGAGCTGTGTGCATAGCGCTGTGAGCTGGACTGGAAAGCATTTCTGCAGCCCAGTGATACATGCAGAACTACACCCTCGAGAGCCACGGTTCAGTGAAGGGCTAGGAGGGTCTTGCATTCTGGTCATTCATTCACCCGGAAAGGCTCAGCACTATCTCGTGAACCTAGTTTCTGGGAAGTCAGGCAACCTGCTTGCACGTACAACTTGGTAAATGATATACTCTAAGGGCTCATAAAAATTAATCCAGATGCATGCTACAAAGCTGATACCATGAAATCATGAGCAGAGACCTCCTTTCTACTTGAGTCCAGAAAGAGCCAGGCTTTGTGTTGGTCTACATAGTACCGAGAAGGAAAGAGACTCTACTACCACTTTTCATTGTTGAAACTGTCCATTCTCAGCTCCCCTGGAAAGGGCCCTCACACTCCTGCCGTAGACACGAAAAAGGTAATAGATGCCGTGGAAGTGGGAAAAGTTGCCTTTGGAGAGGTTTCCAGAATGTTTTCTAATTTGATTGTCTTTCCAAGTCCCTTCTTTCAATTTAATGAAATAATTATTTTGAAAATAATAATAGCTACCATTTACCAAAGACCTAATACGTACCAATTTATTTACACATGTTGTCTGTTTAATTCTTGCCATCATGTACCATGTTCTGTGGCCATATGCCCTGGGAATCAGAAAGAAGAACTTGCCAAGGTCACACAGCCAGGAAATGAGAGTCAATATTCAAGCCTAGATTTCAAAGGGTCAGTATTTAAACCGAGGTTTCTATTCAGACCTAGAAATGAGAGTCAGTATTCAAACCTGCTACCATGGCCCACACTTATATGAATTCTGCCTCATTAAGATAATGTCTGGGTCATTTTTACTTATTTACTCTGGAGGTAAAATGGACTGCAGTCATGTATGTTTCAAGTGGGAGAAAGTAAAAGGCTTACTTTTTTTCCTTTTTTTTTGTTGAGACGGAGTCTCACTCTTGTCACCCAGGCTGGAGTGCAGTGGCATGATCTCGGCTCACCGCAACCTCTGCCTCCCGGGTTCAAGTGATTCTCCTGCCTCAGCCTCCTGAGTAGCTGGGACTACAGGCACACACCACCATGCCTGGCTAATTTTTGTATTGTTAGTAGATACGGGGTTTCACCATACTGGTCAGGCTGGTCTCGAACTCCTGACCTCAGGTGATCCACCTGCCTTGGCCTCCCAAAGTGCTGGGATTATAGGCATGAGCCAACGTGCCCAGCCAATTTTTTTCCTTTCTTCCTTCCTAAGATTCTCTAGCTCTCTTCCATTGAGAGAGAGTACAGGCAAAGGTGCATGAAATAATTTTGCATCATTTTTTTTGTAAGCACTGCATCAAATATTTGATAGCAATTAGATAGCTAGGGGGCAACTTGATATTTTTAGAAATTGAAAATTTATTTTAGAAAAACAAAGAACGGTTAGGTATATATTAGGTAATTTGCATTTTAGTGTCTAGCATTTTTTTTTTTAAACCGCTTAAATGTTTTAAAAAATAATTCAAACTGGCCAGGCACGGTGGCTCACGCCTGTAATCCTAGAACTTTGGGAGGCTGAGGCGGGTGGATTGCCTGAGCTCAGGAGTTCGAGACCAGCCTGGGCAACAATGGTGAAACCCTGTCTCTACTAAAATACAAAAAATCAGCTGGGCGTGGCGGTGTGTGCCTGTAGTCCCAGCTACTCGGGAGGCTGCGGCAGGAGAATCGCTTGAAACCAGGAGGCGGAGGTTGCAGTGAGCCAAGATCATGCCACTGCACTCCAGCCTGGGCAACAGAGCGAGACTCCGTCTCAAAAAAAAAAAAAAAAAAAAAAAATTCAAACTATTTAGGAAAGTAAAAATGAAAAGTAAATGTGAATCACCTAAAATACCACCACCTAGACACTGCCACAGTTAACACCGAAGGGACTTGCCTCTTTCTATGCATGCACTCAAATAGTGATATTGTATAAAAATGTCATCATGGCCTAAGTACTGTTTCTCAATAAAAACTGTTGAATTCAGTAGAAGAAAAATAAAATGAAACATAACTGGAGGAATTGTTGGACTTCAAAAAAAAATGTTTCTCCTCCCCAAGAAATATTTCCTAAATTATCCCTCTAAAGTTATAAAAGAGGTTGTGAAGAACATTTAAAAGTATTTTCCAGCTGGGCGTGGTGGCTCACCCCTATAATCTCAGCACTTTGGGAAGTCGAGGCGGGCGGATCACCTGAAGTCAGGAGTTCAAGACCAGCCTGGCCAACATGGCGAAACCCCATTTCTACTAAAAATACAAAAATTAGCCAGGTGTGGTGGTGCATGCCTGTAATCCCAGCCACTCAGGAGGCTGAGGCAGGAGAATTGCTTGAACCTGGGAGGCGGAGGTTGCAGTGAGCCGAGATAGTGCCACTGCACTCCAGCCTGGGTGACAAAGTGAGACTGTGTCTCAAAAAAATAAAATAAAATAAAATAAAATAAATAATTTTAAAAATAAAAATATTTTCCCCTCAATTTTAGGTAGTATAAAGTGTGAACATTAATACTCTTCCATCTTCTCTTTGCCCGTCTTCACTGGCTGTTAGTTATATTATTTTCAAGTTATCCAGATTTACAGTGTTTACTTTCTGTAATCATAGTTTTCATTGTTTTAGTATAACTTCTTGGTTTAAGTGGAAGTGTTGTTCCCCACCAGTCTTTGTACCATAGCTTCTCTGATCTTTACTTTGATTCACCTTTTATTTGTTTAGATTTCATTGTCACATATTTTTTCAAGAAGGGCACTTCAGTGATATTCCTAGTTCTTTTATGTTTAAAACTATCTGTTATGGTCTTTATACTAGAAAGATGCCATGACTGAATCTGTGCTCCGGAGTCACAGTTTCTTTTCTTATTTATTATTATTATTATTTTTTTGAGACGGGGTCTTGCTTTGTTGCCCAGGCTGGAGTGCAGTGGTGCGATCTTGGCTCACTGCAGCCTCCGCCTCCCAGGTTCAAGTAATTCTCCCACCTCAGCCTCTTGAGTAGCTGGGATTACAGGCGCACCACCACACCCGGCTAATTTTTGTATTTTTAGTAGAAACGGGGTTTCACCACGTTGACCAGGCTGTTCCCGAGCTCCTGACCTTAGGTGATCCACCCTCCTCAGCCTCCCAAAGTGCTGTGATTACAGGCGTGAGCCACCGTGCCTGGCCACCGTTTCTTTTCATTAGAATTTGTGAATGTGTCTCTAGTTTCTGCCATTGTATGTTACTAGGAATACCTGGGAAGCCAGTCTGATTTTTTTTCACCTTTGTATATATGTGCTAGTCAGGGTTCTCCAGAGAAACAGAACCAATAGGATGTGCATGTGTGTGCCTCTGTGTGTAATTTATTATAAGGAATTGGCTTATGCAACTATGAAAGCTGAGAAATCTCAAGACCTGGAGGCAGCAAGCTGGAGTCCCAGGAGAGCCAGTCTGAGTCTGAATCTGGAGTCCCGAGAACCAAGAGAACTGATGGTTCTAATAGTTCGGTCTAAATGCTAGCATGCTTGACACCCAGGAAGAACCATTGTTTTAGACCAAGTCGCAAGGCTAGAAAAGCTCTTGTAACCAGGCAGAAAGAATTCTCTTTTCTTCAGCCTTTTTGTTCTAGTCATGTCTTCAGTTGATTATTTACATTGGGGAGTGCAATCTGCTTTACTCGGTCTATAAATTGAAATGTGAATCTCACCCAGAAACATTTTGACAGACACACCCAGAATAATGTTTGAGCAGATGTTTGGGCACCTCATGGCCCAGTCAAGTTGACACATAAAATTAACCATTACAGTGGGCGATGTGCTTTCCTGGACATCTAAAGAATTCTTTCTTTGTACTTGATGTTCAGTGGTTACTAACTAAGGTAGTTTCTATATTGAGCATTCTATATACAATTTTCTTGGAACCGATTTGCATATCCAGATTTTTTTCCTTCACTTGGGGTGAGAGTGTGGAAATTTTTCTACTATTGTATCTTTCACCACAGCTTCTGGTGCATTTGTAGTTTCTCTAGCACAGAGAAGCCAACGATTATTAGTTGGAATTTTGATCCTTTATTTTTCCTTAATTTATTAGCATTATTTTTATTCTACTTGAATTCATATTTTATGCTTTATGATTTTATATTCAGTGGTATCTATTCTTCCTTGCCATGTTCTAGCTTACTGATTAGTCCTATGATGATATAGTTTCAGTCACATCTTTTTAATCTCATTCTGTGGTTTTATCATCTTCTCTTTGAGCTCACACTTTATTGAATTAATAGTCTCATTAATGTATGTTATGGCATGAAGCAAATTTTAATAATTTCCTTGGGATCTTTTTTTTTTTTTTTTTTTTTTTTGAGACGAAGTTTTGCTGTTGTCCCCCAGGCTGGAGTGCAATGGCACAATCTCGGCTCACTGCAACCTTCACCTCCTGGGTTCAAGCGATTCTCCTGCCTCAGCCTCCTGAGTAGCTGGGATTACAGGCGCCTGCCACCACGCCCGGCTAATTTTTGTATTTTTAGTAGAGAAGGGGTTTCACCATATTGGCCAAGCTAGTCTCGAACTCCTGACCTCAGATGATCCACCCACCTCGGCCTCCCAAAGTGCTGGGATTATAGGCGTGAGCCACCGCATCCGGCCTCCTTCTGATCTTTAAGTTGATTTTTCTTCAAGGTCTTTTCTGTCATTCCCTTTTTCCTCCCTCCCTCCCTCCCTCCCTCTTTCTCTCTCTCTTCTTTCCTTGTTTCTTTTCCTATAGTATGTTTTCAGAGCTTCCATTACATTTATTTTCATTTTTTTCCTGCTTGGTCAATTCTGTTCAGACTTGACTCTGTTATGATGTGGAAGACTTCTTGACTTGATTCCCACTGTATTCAATGTGGTTTTCCCTTGGCCAAGGGTTTGAATCTCAGTACTTTTTCTTCTGTTTATTTTAAGAAGCTAATATGACTTTGGGGGAGCTGAACTGAGGGTTAATAGCTGAGTTAAACCAGCTCTCTCTTGCTCCTCTCAGATTGTTGTCTTCCTTTCCCTAATCATTGCTTTTGGAAACACAGCATTAGGTCACACCCTTTTTCTTGTTGAGTTGTCTTTGGTGGATCCATGCCTAGGAGTTCTTAAATCTATGTTTTGCTCACGTTTCATTTCCTTTCATGTTTTCAGAAGTCTTAACCCAGAAATAGGAATCGTATGAGAGGAAACTGAAGAATTTGACTTGCATTTAAGTTAAAACAACTTTAAAAAAATTCAGGAAGCACCATCTCAAGGAAACTGTATTATACAGGGAAAGAGAACTGGACTGAGCATCAGATAACCTTAAATCCTAGCCCCAGCTGTAGTATATATAGCTGAAACTATTGAAGAGATATATATATGTGTGTGTGTGTGTGTGTGTATATATATATATTCCTTCAAAGAAGTGACTTCTCAGTTGCAAAATGAGTATCTACCATGACTACTTCATAGAGCTATTGTAAGCGTCAAATTAAATAATTAAATGAAAGGACTTTGTAAATAGCAAAGTAATATTCAATATAAGGTGTTGTCATTATTTTATTATGATTGTTATTACTAAATCTTTCCTTGTAGAAGATCATCATAAAGATGGTTAGATGAGAAGTTCTTTTTTTTTTTTTTTTTGAGACAAGAGTCTTGCTCTGTCACCAGGCTGGAGTGCAGCGGTGCAATCTCGACTCACTGCAACCTTCACCTCCCAGATTCAAGCAATTCTCCTGCCTCAGCCTCCCGAGTAGCTGAGATTACAGGTGCCTGCCGCCGCGCCTGGCTAATTTTTGTATTTTTAGTAGAGACAGAGTTTCACCATGTTGGCCTCGTGATCCACCCACTTTGGCCTCCCAAAGTGTTGGGATTACAGGCGTGAGCCACTGTGCCCGGCAGAGAAGTTCTTAGGAAGGGGGTTTAACAAGGTGAGGGGCGTAGCTTTCTGATTAAGTTACAAGTTTTCCCAAGCATTTACATTTTCCCTGTCCCTAGTCTAATAGAGAGAGGGATTGTGCCTAGTTTGAAAAATGTTTTTAGCTTATTCTGTATTCATCTCTCATCTCCCTTGAGAATTAATAGGTTTAGACATTTATGCACCTAAAGACAGATGACTAAGTTTCTCATATAACTGTATGTTGTTGTACATGTTGGCTAAGTGCCCAAGTAATTCTTGCATTACAAAAGAGTTAATAGTATTAATCATACTTTAATATTTTTATGATTCATTTTGGATTTCAAGAGATTTGCACTGTTGTTTTTAATTTTGATTACGATTCTTTTCAAAACATAGGCATGAAAAATATTTTCTCTACTGACCTGAAAGAGAAGAAATATGGAAGCTTGGACCACAAGATTCAGTAGTGAAATTTGTTTATAATACTACTTAAAACTGAAGCATTCAAACAAAATGATTTATTTGCTTATGAGTTTTATTTTGAAAACAAAAACTAAATTTTTATTCAGTCTATATAGCATTACTGAATTTTGTAATCCTTCCATTTTAAATATGCATATTTTAAAAAAGCAATTGACACATGGGTCTAGGTGACATACCCTCATACATGCTAAGAATTAAAATAAGGCTGGGCGTGGTGGCTCACATCTGTAATTCCAGCACTTTGGGAGGCCAAGGCAGGTGGATTACAAGGTCAGGAGTTCGAGACCAGCCTTGCCAACATGGTGAAACCTCGTCTCTACTAAAAATACAAAAATTAGCCGGGCGTGGTGGCATGCACCTGTAATCCCAGCTACTTGGGAGGCTGAGGCAGGAGAATTGCTTAAACCTGGGAGATGGAGGTTGTAGTGAGCTGAGATCACACCACTGCACTCCAGCCTGGGGGACAGAGCAAGACCTCGTCTCAAAAAAAAGAAGAGTAAAATACAAAAGTAAAATACACTCATTGATATCATTGATTTTGCATTCCACTTCATTCATGCTTTTAAAATATTCTTGGTCTGGTAGAAGCAGTGCTTAATTGAAGAGTTTTAAAAAGAAACCATTTATATAGTGTCTATAATTTTAATTTTAGTTTATAAATTGATTATTCTGCTTTTGCATTCATTTAGCCTACTGTAATAAAAATTTTATAAAATAATTATTGCTGTGTAACTTTGAAACTCAATTACAGCTGCAGAAATGGAGTACTGAGATACCAAGTCGGGGAGCAAACAGTTGTAAATATCAGCTTGAGATGGAGTGCTGGTACAGAATGTAAGATTACATTTACATGTAGAAAATGGCAGTTTCAGTGTACACAGGTTTGGCTCTGCTGCCATCCTAAGTCATACCTGTGTTAATGAAATGGTCTTCTCAACTCAGCATTAGGCAAGACTTAAGTTTTTACCATAGAAACATTATTCCTACTGCTGTAGTTCAGCGAACCGTCCACTGAGATTTATAGCGAAGTTCTAAGGTATATTTTGGCTGTGTTTGTTTTTAGGACTCATGTTATTTTGAAATAAATTTATCATATTAGTTGGAAGTGTGTCTCTTCTAGATCTATTTTCTTTACTACTTATCAGCATAATCATTTCAAATCTCGGGTAGAGATTGAAAATTGAGCATTTGATTTCAATATACTATATGAAAGGCCATTACACAGAATTTACTGCACTGTTTTTGCACCATTAGCACAAAAAAAGAAAAAAAGGGTGAAAGAGGCCTCTTGAGAAGAATTAGATATTTCCATTTGGCAGTATATGCAGGGTGTGGTGTTTTTATTCACTAAAACTAATAAATTATTTTTATTTCAAATTCAGCCTATTTCCCGGGTTGTTTTCATGTATCACGAACACAAAAAATGGCCAATATATATTAAGGAATACCAGTGCTAACGTATCTTAGTGGAAATATCCGATCAAATACCCAATATTTCCTTTAATCTTGGGTAAAAAAGTTGATTTGTGGTTAAATTTGTCAAGATAGACACAGTGTGCTTTTCTGACTTTTTTTACTTCACTCTTATTCTGATTCAACAACTGATATTTTACATATGCTTACAACATTTTTCTATTCTCAATAGCATGGTGAAGTTAATTCTGAATAAAGACACCTAGAGTTTCATCACAGATCGATAACTTGTGTGTGACACTTAATCTTTATGTCCTCAATTCCCATCTGAGAAAGGAGAAATTCTGGGGTGGGGGTGGGTCACACAAAGGTTCTCCGAGAGCCACTCTTGGCTCAGGAACCACTCAGGGAAGCCTGGCCAAGTAAAAATCTAGGTTCTTCCACTCCCATTTTAGCCAAAGCAGTTTTACTTTTTTTATTTTTATTTTTTATTTTTTGAGACGGAGTTTTGCTTTATGACCGAGGCTGGATTGCAATGGATGTGAACTCAGCTCACTGCAGCCTCCGCCTCCCAGGTTCAAGCGATTCTCCTGCCTCAGCCTCCTGAGTAGCTGGGATTACAGGCATCCACCACCATGCCCAGCTAATGTTTTGTATTTTTAGTGGAGACAGAGTTTCACCATGTTGGCCAGGCTGGTCTTGAACTCCTGGCCTCAGGTGATCTGCCCACCTTGGCCTCCCAAAGTGCTGGGATTACAGGTGTGAGCCACTGCACCCAGCCAGCAGTTTTACTTTTATCTGTTTATTATATTCAACTTAACAATAAGGTTCTGTATATAGAAAAGGTTTGATTGAGAAAAAAAATAAAACCTTAAAACCCACTGTTCTGGTGATGTATTGCTGTGTGACGCATTTCTCCAAAACTTAGTGGCTAAAAAGAAAACTTAGTGGGTCATAATGGTTCTTTGGGCTGATTTGGCTTAGCTGGGTGGATATCCCCTGAGGTCTCTCCTAGAGTCGTAATCAGACAGTGAATGGGGCTGGAGTCATCTGAAGGCTCAACTGGGTTGAACATCCAAGATTACCTAATCACTTACAAGTTTGACACCTGGGCAATTCAAGATACTGGAGTCATGGAGATGAGTTAGAAGCCTTTTTCTCCCACCCCAAAATCCGCTTTACTGAGGTATAATTGACATACAACAAATTGCACATATTTAGAGTGCACATCTTGATAAGGTTTGCATATGTATGTACCCAAGTAACAATCATCACCAATATTAAGAAAATGAATACATCTATCACCCCCCAAAAGGTTTCCTTATGTTATTTTGTGATGCCTCCTCCTTCTCCCACCCCAGGCAACAACTTATCTGCCCCTTGTCACTAGAGATTAGATTGCATTTTCTAGAATTTTATATAAATGAAATTATATAGTAACTACGCTTTCTTTTTGATTTGGCTCATTTCAGTCAGCATAATTATTTTAAGATTCACCTATGTTGTTGCATGTGTCAACAATTCATTCCTTCTTATTGCTGAGTAGTATTTTGTTATATGGATGCACTTCACTTTGTTTACCCATTCATGTATTGATGGACATTTGGATTGATTCCAGTTTTTGGCTATTACAAATAAAGTTGTTATAAGAATCCATATGCTGGGCCGGGCGCAGTGGCTCACGCCTGTAATCCTAGCACTTTGGGAGGCCAAGGTGGGTGGATCATGAGGTCAGGAGATTGAGACCATCCTGACAAACACAGTGAAACCCCATCTCTACTAAAAATACAAAAAATTAGCCGGGTGTGGTGGCGGGTGCCTGTAGTCCCAGCTACTCAGGAGGCTAAGGCAGGGAGAATGGCGGGAACCCGGGAGGCCGAGCTTGCAGTGAGCCGTGATCATGCCACTGCACTCCATCCTGGGTGACAGAGTGAGACTCCGTCTCAAAAAATAAAAAATAAATCCATATGCAAAACATATGTTTTTATTTTTTATTTGTATGAACATGTGTTTTTAATTTTTATTTTTGGATATACCTAGGAATGGAATGGCTAAGTCAATGGTACATATATGTGGAACATTTTATGAATCTGTTGAATTACTTTTAAAGGTGTTTGTACAATTTTACATTCTAACCAGCACACACATTGGATTTTTTTTTTTTTTTTTTTGAGATGGAGTCTCGCTCTGTCGCCCAGGCCGGACTGCGGACTGCAGTGGCGCAATCTCGGCTCACTGCAAGCTCCGCTTCCCGGGTTCACGCCTCTCCTGCCTCAGCCTCCCGAGTAGCTGGGACTACAGGCGCCCGCTACCGCACCCGGCTAATTTTTTGTATTTTTAGTAGAGACGGGGTTTCACCTTGTTAGCCAGGATGGTCTCGATCTCCTGACCTCATGATCCACCCGCCTCGGCCTCCCAAAGTGCTGGGATTACAGGCGTGAGCCACCGCGCCCGGCCCACACATTGGATTTTGTCAAATGATCTTTCTACATTTATTGAGATGATCTTTTTGCTTATTTGTTAGTTAGTATGCTGAATTACATTGATTGATTTTCAAGTGTTAAACCAGCCTTGCATTCCTGAGATAAACTCCACTTGGTCATGAGGTATTATCTTTCTCATATATTTTTGGTTTCAATTGGTTAAATTTTTTTTTTTAATTTTGCTTATGAAGGAGTTTTGTCTGTAATTTTCTTTTCTTGTAATATTATTTTCTAATATTGATAATGGAGTAATTCTGGCCTCATAGAAGAAGTTGAGAAGCATTTCCTCCTTTTCAATTTTTGTAGAGACTTTGTGTTGAATTATTATTTCTTTCTTAAGTGTTTGGTAAACTTCACTCATGACGCCATCTGGGACTGGAGTTTTCTTGTTTGGAAGGTCTTTAACTACAAATTTAATTTGTTTATGAGATAATGGAATATTCAAGTTATTTTCTCTTAAGTAAGCTGTGATAGTTGGTGTCTTTCAAGGCATTTGTCCAGTTCATTTAAATTGTCAAATTTATTAGCATAAAATTGTTCAAATATTCATTTTAACCTCATTCCTGATATGGTAATTTCTTTCTTCTCTATTTCCTGATCAATTTTTCTAGATGTTTATCAATTTTATTGATTTTTTTAAAGGAACCAACTTTGGTTTCACTATTTTTTCTCCTTTCTTTTTTAAAAATCTCATTTATATCTATCTATCTATCTATATATTTTTTTTGAGATGGAATCTTGGTCTCTCGCCCAGACTGGAGTGCAGTGGCACCATCTTGGCTCACTGCAACCTCTGCCTCCCGGGTTCAAGTGATTCTCCTGCCTCAGCCTCCTGAGTAGCTGGGACTACAGGTGCATGCCACCATGCCCAGCTGATTTTTTGTGTTTTTAGTAGAGATGAGGTTTCACAGTGTTAGCCAGGATCATCTGGATCTTCTGACCTCATGATCCACCTGCCTCAGCCTCCCAAAGTGCTGGGATTACAGGCATGAGCCACCATGCCCGGCCTTATCTACTAAATCTATCATCTATGTGAATATTGGGTCAATTTTGATTGATTGATTTTTGTATTTATCATGGGTCATCCTTTCCTGCTTCTTTTCTTTCCTTAGAACTTTTGGTTGGATGCCAGATGTGATTTTTTACCTTGTTGATTTTTTTTAAGCCTATAGAACCTGTATTCCCAGGTGGTCTTCTATCTAATTGTTGGATAATTTTATATTCCTATAAATATTTAGCTTTGTTCCAAGTTATGCCTAAATTGCTCATAAATTTAGATTATTTTGGGTATGGCTTTAAAACTTGCTGAGCCAGGAGCAAAGCAATGTTTAACCTGGGACTAGCTTTTCCCCATTACTGTGGCAAACCCTTTCTTGCCATAGTATTTTAACTGATGTTGTATGAATTATGAAGTTTACCAATCTGGTTAGTGGGCACAGGTGAGTTTTTCAGCTCTATATAGGATTATGGAATTGTACTCATTAATATTTTGAGTTGTTTATTTATTTATTTTTAACCTGGCCTCAGGTAATTTTCTCACTTGCATGTGGTGGTCAGTACTCAGCTGAGCATCAAGGGTTACCCTCTGAAGATTTCCAGAGCTCCAGCTCTTTTCTTTCTGACAATTTGCCCTAGTGAATTCTGGTTGCTTTGAATTTCTCACACTCACCATTTTGTCTCCTCAACTCAGGGAGACTGTCGGGCTCCACTTGGCTTTTCCCTCCCTGTGCCAAGCTGGGAAGCTTTCCTTAGGTACAAAGCTGGGGAAACCACAGAGCGCACCTTATTTGTTTTCCATCTCTCAGGGATCATTGTCCTTTGTTGCCTGATGACCAAGGTTTTGTGAACATTCTTTCATAGGTTTGTTCAGTTTTTTAGTTGTTTCATGAAGAACAATAAATTCAGTTACTGTTATTTCATCTGGGCCAGAAACAGAGCTCTGTTCAGCATCTTTCAAAATACTATTCTTTAGAGGAAAGGATGACCTGAATAGGATAAACCCATTGGTAACATAATAGATTATATAAACTTGAGGGATGTTTCATAGGCTCTGTGGGACTTGGTGTCTAACTAAGCATGGGCAGTGAGACGAAGTTTCCTACCCTCACGCCCACAGGGCTACGTCGATGGCAATGCGATTTTCTGAGATTAGGAGTCCATGGGGAAGAGGTGAGTTGGGTGGATGAGTTCCAAGTTTGTACATGGCCTGTGGATAATTTAGATGGAAATGATCAGGAAGCAGGTAGAAATATGGATCTGGAGTTTAGGAGAGAGGGGATGGCTATCACTATAGATTCTGGAAAAAAAATCTTCCAGGATAGTGCTTAATTGAGGAGAACTTTTTTTTTTTTTTTTTTTTTTCTCACGGAGTTTCTTTCTTTCGCCCAAGCTGGAGTGAAATGGGGCGATCTTGGCTCATTGCAACCTCCACCCTCCGTGTTCAAGTGATTCTCCTGCCTCAGCCTCCTGGAGAGCTGGGATTATAGGCGTCCGCCACCATGCCTGGCTAATTTTTTTTTTTTTTTAATTTTTTTTGACGGAGTCTCGTTCTGTTCCCAGGCTGGAGTGCTGTGGTGCGATCTCAGCTCACTGCAACCTCTGCCTCCCGGGTTCAAGCGATTCTCTTGCCTCCGCCTTCTGAGTCGCTGGGACTACGGGTGCCCGCCACCACACCTGGCTAATTTTTGTATTTTTAGTAGAGACGGGGTTTCTCCATGTTGGCCAGGCTGGTCTCAAACTCCTGACCTCTGGTGATCCGCCTGCCTTGGCCTCCCAAAGTGCTGGGATTACTGGCGTGAGCCACTGTGCCCTGCCTGCCTGGCTAATTTTTGTATTTTTAGTAGAGATAAGGTTTCACCGTGTTGGCCAGGATCGTCTCAAACTCCTGACCTCAGGTGATTTGCCTGCCTTGGCCTCCCACAGCGCTGCGATTACAGGCGCGAGCCACCGCTCCCGGCCTGAAGAGAACCATTTACCTCAAATTTCACAAATAAATTAAATGTGAATAACTTGGTAATGGAAACAATTACTTCTGCTGTGAAAGAATTTATTACTGTTACCACTGGGCTCTACTTGCTGCTGCTGTGTGTGTGTGTGTGTGTGTGTGTGTGTGTGTGTATCCACTTTCATCTCCCCTAATAAATTTTAGATTGGCAAGAAACAAAAACACAAAAATGTCAACCCTAAAGACTAATGCTTTTATAATATCCTATCGTATGATACAAACTAGCATCTAGAACTTTGCCTTAAAATTGTTACAATAGCCGGGCGCAGTGGCTCCTGCCTGTAATCCCAGCACTTTGGGAGGCTGAGGCGGGCGGATCACGAGGTCAGGAGATTGAGACCATCCTAGCCAACGTGGTGAAACCCCGTCTCTATTAAAAATAGAAAAATTAGCCGGGCGTGGAGGCGCGTGCCTGTAACCTCAGCTACTCGGGAGGCTGAGGCAGGAGAATCGCTTGAACCCAGGAAGCGGAGGTTGCAGTGAGCCAAGATTGTGCCACTGCACTCCAGCCTGGGCGACAGAGCCAGACTCCGTCTCAAAGCAAAAAATTGTTATAATAAAGAGTAGGCTAATGTTCTGCTTTTCTGCTTTTCTCCCAGTTTCTTTTCTTTTCCCTTTCTTTCTTTCTTTCTTTCTTTCTTTCTTTCTTTCTTTCTTTCTTTCTTTCTTTCTTTCTTTCTTTCTTTCCCTTTCTTTCTTTCTTTCTCTTTCTTTCTTTCTTTTCTTTTCTTTTCTTTTCTTTTTTTTTTTTTGAGACAGATTCTTGCTCTGTTACCCAGGCTGGAGTGCAGTGGCACGATCTCAGCTCACTGCAACCTCCATCTCCTGGGTTCAAGCGATTCTCCTGCCTCGGCCTCCTGAGTAGCTGGGATTACAGGCATGAGCCACCGCGCACGGCTAATTTTTGTATTTTTAGCAGAGACGGGGTTTCTCCCTGTTGGCCAGGCTGGTCTCTAACTCCTAACCTCAGGTGATCTGCTGCCTCGGTCTCCCAAAGTGCTGGGATTATAGGCATGAGCCACCGCACCTGGCCTTTTCTCCCAGTTTCTTTTCTTTTTCTTTTTTTTGAGAGGGAGTCTCGCTCCAGGCTGGAGTGCAGTGGTGCAATCTCGGCTCACTGCAAGCTCCGCCTCCCAGGTTCACGCCATTCTCCTGCCTCAGCCTCCCAAGTAGCTGGGACTACAGGCACCCGCCACCACACCCGGCTAATTTTTTGTATTTTTAGTAGAGACGGGGTTTCACCGTGTTAGCCAGGATGGTTTCAATCTCCTGACCTCGTGATCCGTCCGTCTCGGCCTCCCAAAGTGCTGGGATTACAGGCGTAAGCCACCACGCCCGGCCTTTTCTCCCAGTTTCTAAAACTGCATGTTTGCACACCAATGTAACATACAACAAACATTTTATAAGACTACTAAAAAATGGCAGTTTGTTAAAGTCTTTGATATATCATGTAGCTCTTGAAGTCATTGGAATTAAATGATAAATGATACTATTGTTAATATAAGTCTTATGATATTAGTCAAAACTTTGCTCAAGTTGAAACTTTTGGTATTATAAATTCTCACTTTCAGTATTATATGTTTCTTCAGTCAGTGGTTTGAAACTTGGGTCAAAAAGATGAGAAAATGTAGGGTAAGATGTATTCATTAAAATAACAGTTCAACAATTTATGCAGAAATTAAATGTGTTTAATTTAGATTACATGAGAACTTGGGTCAGTGTATTTCTATTATTAGAAGAAAAATCCAGAACATAGTACCATATATTCCCAGGCCACAAGAGCCAAGGATCATCTTACATCAAGTCTGCCCTGGTCATGTGGAAAATGATCATGTTTAAGACCATTTTATATTTTTAGGGATACAAAAAACTAAATATAGCAGAAAGGTTGATAGTCAGTGCTAAATAATATTCCTACATCTCACTTAGCATGCAGTGCAACTGACCTTCATCAGACCAAGTTCCCCCAAAATCACAATAATCTTTGTGATAATTGGGGGATTTTAGTTACTGAATGAGGACAGAGCCGATATATTGTTCCTTCAGCTCAATAGTATCTCCGGAACTTATTTTTATTTTTATTTATTTTATTTTATCTTATTTTTGAGACAGTGTAGTCTTGCTCTGTTGCCCAGGCTGGAGTGCAGTGGTGCAATCTTGGCTCACTGCAACCTCTGCCTCCCGGGTTCAAGCGATTCTCCTGCCTCAGCCTCCTGAGTAGCTGGGATTACAGATGTGTGCCACCACACCTGGCTAATTTTTTGTACTTTTAGTAGAGATGGGGTTTCACCATATTGTCCAGGCTGGTTTCAAACTCCTGACCTCAGGTGATCTGCCCACCTTGACTTCCCAAAGTGCTGGGATTACAGGCGTGAGCCACCACGCCCGGCCTCTGGAGCTTATTTTTAAAGATTAATTGTAAAACTTTAACGTAGGAAATGCCCTTTTGTAAGCAAGTTTATATCTACCATTCAAATTTAATAATTAGACTGAAAATAAACCAAATCCACTTATAGAGAGAAGCTCGATCTTATTTACAAATGGAACTACAGTGTCAGGCTCAATGACTGCATTTTGGAAAACATACAACTTAGGAGGATGTTGATTTCTTCTTAATTGACTTTTTTTTTTTTTTTTGCTGGGGGGCTTCTCAGTACTTCTAAACTATCAGTGCATGGTCCATGCAATTAGATTTTTAGCAACACAATTCACAAGAAAACTTAATTCTATTTTCTAGTAATTCACTTATTCTTTAGTTAAAAAATATGGGTTTATCTCTTATATACTCACAGCAAAGTCATTATCTCATGAAGTACTACCTTTTTTTGAGAACTGAAACTACCCCTTTTACTGAAATTTTAATAATTTAATTCACTTTGGATAAAAGTTATTCTAAAATGTACTATATAGTTTCTGGTTCTTTATAATATCATTAAAAAATAAAAAATAAGTCTGGGTGTGGTGGCTCATGCCTGTTATCTATGCCTGTTATCTAAGCACTTTGGGAGGCTGACGTGAGAGGATCACTTGAGTCCAGGAGTTCAAGACCAGCCTGGGCAACACAGGGAGACTTTGTCTCTAAAATAATAAAAATAAATAGGCCATGCATGGTGTTGCACACCTGTAGTTCCAGCTACTCAGGAGGCTGAGGTGGGAGGATCATTTGAGTTCAGTAGGTCAAGGCTGCAGTGACCTATGATTGCATCACTGCACTGCAGCCTGGGTGACCAAGTGAGACTCTGTCTCAATAATTAAAAAAAAAAAAGCCCGGGTACAGTGGCTCACACCTGTAATCCCAGCACTTTGGGAGGCCAAGGTAGGTGGATCACGAGGTCAGGAGTTCGAGACCAGCTTGGTCAATATGGTGAAACCCTGTCTCTACTAAAAATACAAAAATTAGCCAGGCATAGTGGCCTGTTTCTGTAGTTCAAGCTCCTCGGAAGGCTGAGTTAGGAGAATCACTTGAACCCGGGAGGTGGAGGTTGCAGTGAGCTGACACGCACTACTGCACTCTAGCCTGGGAGACAGAGAGAGAGTCTGTCTCAAAAAAATAAATTAAAATAAAATAATAATAAAACAAGTTCCTGAACCCCTGCCATATGAAAACTGATTCTATTTTTGTATTTTCTCAGACCTTGTGCCATATGGATGCAGTTGTAAAATAGAAATTATTTTAAAATACAATCGATATGATTTAATTACTGCAGAGTGGTTCCAGACATTGAATACTGTCTTAGTCCCTTTTCTGCTGCTATAACAGAATGCCACAGACCGAGTAATTTATAGAGAAAACATTATTTGGCTCATGGTTCTAGAGACTGGGAAGTCCAAGAGCATGGTGCTGACAGCTAGTGAGGTCTTTCTTGCTGCTTTATCCCATAGTGGAAAACATCACATGGTGAGCAGGCTCTCATCATGGAGAAGGGATATGGGGCCAAACTCATCCTTTTCTCAGGGGCCCACTCCCATGATAACTAATCCACTCCTGTGATAGTGGCATTCATTAATTCACTTATAAGGCATACCCTTATGACCTAATCATTTCTTAAAGGCGCCACTTCCCAACACTGTTACGGTGGCAATTAAATTTTCACGTGAGTTTTGAAGGGGATATTTAAAACCATAGCAAATATGAACACTATTTTTTAACAGGGCCTCTGATTTTTATTACAATTATGATATTACATTGGGAATACTACAAACACTATGGATTTTAATTCCAACAAGGCATTTGACAAGTCTCTTGGGATGGATAGACTTCTGGGCAAAATAAAAAAAAAATGTTGGTAAGATGAGAGTTCATTGGTGTATTCATAACTGCAGAAATGACCACAAGAGTCTGAAATTTCAAAATTAAAATAACATTGTATGCTTTCCCTTGATTAAAAAGATAACATAGGCTCGCCATAGACATTTTGGAAAACATAGCTAAGTACAAAAAAGAAAATGAAAGTCACAAGCAAACCCAAACCCAAACCCACATCTAACCACTCTTTTTTTTTTTTTTTTTTGAGACAGAGTCTCGCTCTATTGCCCAGGCTGGAGTGCGGTGGTGCGATCTTGGCTCACTGCAAGCTCCACCTCCCAGGTTCATGCCATTCGCCTGCCTCAGCCTCCTGAGTAGCTGGAACTACAGGCGCCTGCCATCACGCCCGGCTAATTTTTTGTATTTTTAGTAGAGACGGGGTTTCACCGTGTTAGCCAGGATGGTCTGGATCTCCTGACCTCATGATCCGCTTGCCTCGGCCTCCCAAAGTGCTGGGATTACAGGCGTGAGCCACCGCACCCGGTCCATAACCACTCTTAACATTTTTGTAGATATATTAATATTCTATTAAGTCATACGTTTCTCTTTTGGGTAAAAATTTTTTCTCTTAGTACATTCATGAATGTATTTTCATGTTACTAGTCATTCTTCCACAACATCATTTTAAATAAATGCATAGTTTTATCAGGTATAGGTACCCTAATATATTTAGCAAATCCTCTGTAGTTTTTCCTTTTTTTGGTTATTTAAATTAGGACTATATATTGACTTTTTCAAAGACCTTTTCAACACCTGTTAAGGTGATCAAATGGCTTTTCTCCTTTAACTTTTTGTCATGGTAAAATATTTTTGATGTCAAATCATTTTTGCATTTCTGGAAATCCCCTTATTTGGTTCTGGTGTTAATTATAGTTTGTTTTACTTATAGAAATTTCAAACATACTCCAGAGTCTAGAGAATGACATAGTGAATCCTATGTAACCTACGCCCAAATTCAGTAATTATCACTACTCTTGTTTCATCTGTTCTCTCCCTCTTCCCTTTTTGGTTGAGTATTTTAAAGCAAATCCTAGAAATCTACCATTTTACCCCTAAAATCAGAACTTTTAATTAATTAATTTATTATTTTAGGCAGAGTCTTTCTGTCACCCAGGCTGGAGTGTAGCGGCGCGATCTTGGCTCACTGCAACCTCCGCTTCCCGGGTTCAAGTGATTCTCCTGCCTCAATTTCCTGAGTAGCTCGGATTACAGGTGCGCACCATCATGCCCAGCTAATTTTTGTATTTTTAGTAGAGATGGGGTTTCACCATGTTGGCCAGGCTGGTCTCGAACTCCTGACCTCAGGTGATCCGCCCACCTGGGCCTCCCAAAGTGCTGCGATTACAAGCGTGAGCCACTGCACCCTGCCAAAATCCTAACTTTTTAAGCACAAGCACACAATGCCATTATCACATGTAGCAAAAGTGCCAATTAATAATCATCTTGGCCGGGCGCGGTGGCTCGCGCCTGTAATTCCAGCACTTTGGGAGGCCGAGGCGGGCAGATCACGAGGTCAGGAGATCGTGAGGTCAGGAGATCAAGTAGCTGTAGTCCCAGGTACTCTGGAGGCTGAGGCAGGAGAATGGGGTGAACCCTCGGGGGCGGAGCCTACAGTGAGCCGAGGTCGCACCACTGCACTCCAACCTGGGCGACAGTGAGACTCTGTCTCAAAAAAAAAATAAAAATAAAAATAAAAATAATCTCATAGGGTCACGATTAATGACCTAAGTTCAATTTTCTCCAATTGGCTCAAATATTGTTTCTTTTTTTGTGTGTGAATTGTTGGTTTAAAGCAGTCTCTTAATCAACAACAGCTCTCTCTTTTCATTTTTTTCATGCTTTGTTGAAGAAATGGGGTCACTCGGTGCATCTCCTATATTCAAGAGTTGGTTGATTGCATCTTTGTGGTTATAAATGCATCCCTTCTCCCCTGCATTTCCTATTACTTGGCGGTTAGACCTAGAGGCCTGATTAGATTAAAGTTCAAGACTATTCCATGCATGGTTCTGTATCGTTGATTTTGTACCACATGACAAGGCACATAAAATTTGGTTATCCTACTTTTAGTGATCTCAGTATTGATAAGTGATTTCAGGTGTTAGAGTCGGATCCAGCCATTATAATGTTTCCTAATTGTGTATCATTTTAATCTGTAGCATTAGATTTGATTGATCACATTTTATATAGGCTTTTTTTTTTTTTTTTTTGAGACTGAGTCTTGCTCTGTCGCCCAGGCTGGAGTGCAGTGGCGCAATCTCGGCTCACTGCAAGCTCCGCCTCCTGGGTTCACGCCATTCTCCTGCCTCAGCCTCCCAAGTAGCTGGGACTACAGGCACCCGCCACCTCGCCTGGCTAATTTTTTTGTATTTTTAGTAGAGATGAGGTTTCACCGTGTTAGCCAGGATGGTCTCGATCTCCTGACCTTGTGATCTACCTGCCTCGGCCTCCCAAAGTGCTGGGATTACAGGCGTGAGCCACCGTGCCCAGCCACATTTTATATAGGCTTTTAAAAACATTTACAGTCCATAAGTAAGCTAATTCTCTTGCTTTTTTTCTGTGCATTATTTTAATAGCTAAAGGCAACAGGATTAAAGAGTAGGGAATCCAAAGAGGGTGGTACTTTGATGTTAGGCTACCTGGTTACCATCTCAGAAGGCCTTCATCACCTTTTTTGAGATAGGCATAAAGCTCTAGTTCCTTAGGGGGAAACTGGCAAAAATACCATCAGAATCAGAGCAGATGCCCATCCCAAGAATGAGGAGCACAATTTGGAGGGATGTTAAATGTGCAGGCAGCCCTTCATTCTCCAGGTAGTCACCGGGATCTTGATTTCCAGAGCTGGTTAGTATCAAGAGACTCTGAGGGGAACACTGCAAGAACCCTCTCTGCAGTCTGACTGCGAGAGCCGTCATCCTATCCAGAAACATAAAGGTGCATTTCTTTCTTTCTAGATCACAAAGAGTTAATCATTTTGAACTGGTTGTTGTTTCAGGACTTCAACAGTTCACCATTTTTTTCTCACTGCTTCCTGTCTGGAGATTTGTTTTTTTCTTTGCGAGTAGATAATTTAAGAAATAGTTCTCATTGCCAGAAGGCTGACTCCTTGACAGGAAAGACATTAAATTTTATGCAAATCTGTGTGTGTGTGCTTTATCATGCACTTGGGTTTATCTTGGCAGTTGACATCCTAATGCTCAAAGGGAGTTGTGAGATGGCTTTCAGAAGCATGGTCTCTAGGGTTATGGGACACATAAAATCAGTGGGCAGCCTTTCCCACTATCTTCCCTTTCCCTCATTCTGTTTTTGACCTGGGCCTCTAGATTCGAGATCATTCCTTATCTTATTGCTAAAATCCTGATGCTTTGGGTAATGCGCTTTAAGAATGTTTTAAACCTCTGCCAACAACTTTATCCTGACTATCCAGGCAGGTTCATTACTGAGGTTAGTTTAAGATCTGGTTTCAAAGCCTGCCTTTCTTTGTTCAATCATTACTTGCTAAACATTTATTGAACCCTCCTTGTGCTAGGTCCTGGCTAATGCTGGGAAAACACCAAGCTGAAGAAGACATGTTTCCTGCCCTCCAGCAAAGAGATAGAGTCCAAGCAAATAACTACAACAGATGTGAACGCGGAAGCACAAAGGAAGAAGCTAATGCTTCCTGGGAGAGGTGACATTTCTTCTGGGTTTCGATACTTCTTCTAGTCCTCTCACATCTTAAATCTCCATTCTCAGTATTCTCAGTGGAGCATTTTATTCTGCTTCTATGATTTGGGGCAAAAAGAAGAGAATCTATTTGATAAAGTACTTCTAGAAAGACTGGCAGAAAAGACTCTGAAAGACTTTCTCAGGAGTAAGAAACAACACAACTTTCTTAATATTCCTGTGCTGTTTTCACATGCAAAAAATACTTTCCCCCTCCTACCTCATCGGTAGGGCAATGGACAAAATGGCTTTTCTTATAGTAAATAGCATGTTCCATGTAAGACGAGGCCATGATCTCCCTTTTTTGCACTTCAAAATATTTTAAAATTGCTGGATTATTTTTTCCTCTCCATTCTTCCTTCTGTGGCTTGACAATTACTAAAGCTGGTATGATTGATAACACGACTCAAGTTAGAGGAAGTCTTTTTTTTCTTGAGATGGAGTCTGGCTCTGTCTCCCAGGTTGGAGTGCAGCGACTGCGAACTCGGCTCACTGCAAACTAGAGGAGGCCTTTTTTTTTTTAAATCAAAGAGCCTCTTTTAAAATTATAACCCATTGGGAATATGCTGTGGGGAGGTCTCTCACAGCAGTGTGAAAGAGCACATTATCTTTTTTTTTTTTTTTTTGAGACGGAGTCTCGCTCTGTCACCCAGGCTGGAGTGCAGTGACGCGATCTGGGCTCACTGCAAGCTCTGCCTCCCGGGTTCACGCCATTCTCCTGCCTCAGCCTCCCAAGTAGCTGGGACTACAGGCGCCCGCCACCACGCCAGGCTAATTTTTTGTATTTTTAGTCGAGACGGGGTTTCACCGTGTTAGCCAGGATGATCTCGATCTTCTGACCTCGTGATCCGCCCGTCTCAGCCTCCCAAAGTGCTGGAATTACAGGCGTGAGCCACTGCACCCGGCAAGAGCACATTATCTTGTATGTGCCTGTAGCCCATCTGCAGACATGAAACCCAAGTCCCTGTTCTCCCAAGTGCAATGGAAACATCTCCTCTCCTGCGGATGAACTGAATAAGGGATAGTGAAGCATATTTTTAAATGTTTGCTATTGCTCGTTAGCCACAGTAGGAATTTCAATACCAGTGGCAGTGGGATCCCTCATTTTATTGTAGATGCCTTTTTTCATTTCAGCTTACAAAGCTTCCCTCCGTTGGAGGGTGGGGGCCGCAGAAATAAAATGGAAGGCAAAGGGGGGATGCGCTGCGATTTTTCTGCTCATTGTCTCATTTTGAAACTGCCCCAACTGTATAGAACTTCTAGGAAGCCCGTACATGTCGGCACATTCCCGGGGAAGAATGCTTCTCTTAGGAGCCAGTGCCTTAAGAAGTTTCTTCCGTGTTGCACTGGCATGCATGTCTGCTTAAATCGCCACTCTCCTCATGACATTTGGCAGGACTAGGAAGTTCACGTGTCAGTCCCGCTATTGGCCCACGTGACCCCATCCCCAAAGACAGGCAGTGAACCCCTGTGTTTTTATGCCATATGAACTGAGAAGTAGACGCATTCTGTGTAATGGATACACACTGAGGCTGCAATTTTTGAAAAGTCATTGTTTTGACTTCCCTATATTCACATCGAATAACGCTTTTAGTCTTTGCCCTCAGTACTCTAGAAGGGGCTATATAGCCTGTTTTTGTATTTGTGGGAAAAAGACTAGAAGCTGGGCAAAATGCCACCAGGAAGACTAACATGGCGACGTGATCCCAAGGGAAACTGAGGTCTCACACTGTCCAGCAACAGAAGGAGGTTGAATTCTGGAGGAGGTTTAATTTTTTAAAAACTCAAACTAATAAAAGATGTTCACAAATATTAAATATTTTTATTTGGACTCTGTGTGTATTTTAAATTTTTTATTATCAACATAAAAAATATATGCTGGTATCTGTTGAGATCCAGTTAGGAAAAGAGAAACCATACTGGATGTTTTAAACAGAGGCGGGTAAATACAAGGAATTACTAGCCTGAAAAAAAAAAAGGATAGCGAACTAACCAAGAGATTATGAAAATCATAAGTAGCTACCATCCCTACAGCTATGAGGAGCCACTGCCTCAGACTGGGGTTTGGGGAGAGGCCGTGGCTTAGTTGTTATTGAGGCTGCTAAGAGGGTGTCACACAGCTGTGCCCAGTCACTGAGAGCACCTGCCCAGCTGGCTGAAGCCTCTGCAGAGGTGCCTCATGGCTATGCTAGAAACTGTGTGGGCTTCTAGGAGGCCACTGTGCAGCTGATGTCCAGACCCAGAGGGGATTTGGCCTGGCCATCCTCGGGGTGCCAAAAGATGCTAGAGGCTTTGCTGTGTCTGTGCTGGAGAGATGCTGACGATGGCCAAAGGCAGGAAAAGTATCTCCTCTCCCCTTCTCCCTTTCATAGTTCCCTCAATGCCTCTCACTGGCAGAATTTAACTGGCGAAAGTTGGTAAAAAGAGTCTTAGAAATGTGGTTCGCGGCCAGGCATGGTGGCTCACACTTGTAATCCCAGCACTTTAGGAGGCCGAGGCAGGCGGATCACCTGAGATCAGGAGTTCGAGGCTAGCCTGGCCAACATGGTGAAACCCCATTTCTACTAAAAAATACAAAAATTAGCCAGGCGTGGTGGCACGCACCTGTAGTCCCAGCTACTCGGGAGGCTGAGGCAGGAGAATCGCTTGAGCTCGGGAGGTGGAGGTTGCAGTGAGCCAAGAGCACCAGCTTGGGCGACAGAGCAAGACTGTCTATAAAAAGAAAAGAAATATGGTTCTCATATCCCTAACCCCAGCATCACAGAGCACTGTGTAGAAGCTGCATCTGGGGCTGAGAGGCGGTAGGTGAATAAGCATCACAGATCCTCCCGTTGGGTACCAAGCATCCACATATCATCCTCTACCCATTTGAAAACTTCTCTACTGCAGCAATAGTAACTTCATGCTTCTGGTAGCAAGTTGTAACTTCCCTTTGAAAACATGCTTTCAACTTCTACCCCTAAAATGGAGTTACAAATCTCTTAACACTCTTCACATTCATCTCTGGGTGATGTTAATTATTGTTTTTATTCATAAGAGAATATATATATATATATAGTGTATATACATTTATATACTCTTTATATATTATAAAGTTAATTATCACCAACAGTGTTTATATAAAATATTTGAAAGTTAGGAGGAAAAAAAGAAGAGAAACAAATGAAGACAAAAGTATTCGTATCCACTACTTTATTTCTGGAACTGGTCACAAAGCCACAGTTAATATTTATAAATTCCTTTTTCTACTACCTATTCTACATTTCCCTTGCCTTCCGCCAGCTGGTCAGTATTCTTTATCTAGTGAAGTGACCCGGAAGGGTCTGAGGTTTTTTCAGCCCCCCACCTTTATTTTTTTTTATTTATTTTTATTTTTGAGATGGGGGCTCACTCTGTCACCAGGCTGGAGAACAGTGGCGCAATCTCAGCTCACTGCAAACTCCGCCTCCCGGGTTCAAGCCATTCTCCTGCCTCAGCCTCCTGAGTACTTGGGATTACAAGCGCACATCACCACGCCTGGCTAATTTTTGTATTTTTAGTAGAGGCAGGGTTTCACCAGGTTGGCCAGGCTGGTCTCAAACTCCTGACCCCAAATGATTCACCCACCTCGGCCTCCCAAAGTGCTGGGATTGCAGGCGTGTCCCACTGCATCCAGCCCAAAGCCCTGTCTTTATCAGGCATAAAAAATGACAGAGATGCCTTAGAGAGTCCCTTCAGCTCCAGATCTAGTATGCCCCGGCCACACTGTGCAGCAGCCAATACAGCTAAACAGAAGCAATCACCCCAACCAGTGCAGTAACCTCTTCCTTTGTCTGTTCGTTCAGTGACACAAGGAACTGAAATTGCCAGATGGTAATCTCAACTTCCAATTCAATAGAACAATTGTTGTTTCCCTGCTAGAATCATTCTTCCTTTAGGAACCAAGCTCTCTAACAAGTGGAACACAAAGCTATGGGAATAGGAAGCAAAAATTCTATAAGTGGGTTATTGGGAGGAACAGTGAGAGCAACTATTGTCATTTTTACCTCTTTATTTCCAGAACCATAGATTCTGGCTATGGGGAAAGAAGCACCACGTATTGGTCACAGTTTTAAGTGCATATACTGCATCTCGTAGGATAGTGATTTCACCCCACAGATGTTCTCTCAACTGAGTCGTTAGGAGACCATTCTACCTTTTCTCTGAGGCCAGATCCTTTTTTTTTTTTTTTTTTTTTGAGACAGAGTCTCACTCTGTCACTCAGGCTGGAGTGTAGTGGAAGCTGTCTCGGCTCGCTGCAACCTCCACCTTGTGGGTTCAAGTGATTCTCCTGCCTTAGCCTCCCATGTAGCTGGGATTACAGGCATGCACCACCATGCCTGGCTAATTTTTTGTATTTTTAGTAGTGACGGGGTCTCACCATGTTGGCCAGCCTGGTCTCGAACTCCTGACCTCAGGTGATCCACCTGCCTTGGCCTCCCAAAGTGCTGGGATTACAGGCGTAAGCCACCACACCCAACCGAGGCCAGATCTTTCTAAGAGTTAGTGATAAGACCAGTGAGTTCCATGGGCATGAGCCCATTGCTATACTTTTTTCTTTTCTTTTTTAATGAGTTCCTTAGCCTGAACAATGTTGCGTGGGATACCATGAAGGTGGATAAGGCAATCCATAAGTCCATGGATAGTGTGTTGGCAGAAATATTGCAACCAAATAAAACAAATCAATATCCAGATTAAGTGTCTATTCTGGGGAAGACAACTAGAGCTCCTCATGATGGAAGTGGTTCAGTGCCGCTGGTGCCTGGATTGTCCCCCTTCCCTACCAAATGGTGGTATAATAGAAACGTGTGTTGGCCTCTGCTACTGTCAGCTTAAGCACTTAATGGTGGTGGTGAGCAGATCACCAATGGGAAGTCTATGGTGCTGAGCCCATATGCAGCCTTCGTCCTTGCTGGCATGGTCTTTTGTATATGAATCTATTGAGCAAGTACCTGTTTGGAGAAATAAGCTGACAGACATCCATTGAATAAGCCATCCTTCCTACCTGATTATTGAGAGCTCTGTAGCAGATGCCTTTGTGAGCGTTCGCACAACACTTAAATACCCTCATGCTCTGACAATTAAGAGGTCCGTCCACATACTGCTTTGCAGACAATATTCTAATCCTTTCTTTCTAAATTCCTGATTGTTCAGCCAAACCATTAGCCATTATACACGAAGCAGTAAACGTCCATCCGTATCTCAGGCCATCTCTCAATCCAAAGCGGACAAGGAGATAATGTTGCTTAAAGTCTTTCCACTGAAAGGATTTCTCTTTTCTTTTTCTTTTTCTTTCTTTTTTCTTTTCTTTTCTTTTTTTTTTTTTTTTTTTTGGTAGAGACAGAGTTTCACCATGTTGGCCAAGCTGGTCTTGAACTCCCAACGTCAGGTGATCATCCAGCTCAGCCTCCCAAAGTGCTGGGATTACAGGCATGAGCCACTGCGTTCGGTCAGGATTTCTCTTTCTTAGTGTGTTTGTTTGTTTTAGCACACTTCTTATCGTGGCTATAATGCTCTATTCCTAGCTTGCCAGTGTACTGGAAAAAAAGAAATCTATAAACCAGATTCTTCTTCAGCAATTTGTTCACAGGGAGATCACCATAAAAACCTAACACTGGATGAAGGAAAGATGGCAATGCTGCAGAAGAATGTGCCATAGGAGCCCGAGCCTTCAGTACACGTGACTACATTGTTGCTTCAGAATCTGCTGGAGTCTGGTTTGGTGTGTACCATTTCCACTTGGTGATGAAGTATTGCCATGCATGCTTAATTGTGTGGCCTAATGAATCAGATAACACCTAGTCAATTGTGGGCAGCTCAGGTGACATGGCCAGGTGTTCAGTCTCTATAAAGCTCAATAGTGGCCAGATGTGGTAGCTAACGCCTATAATCCCAGCACTTTGGGAGGCCTGGAGGGGGTGGATCACTTGAAGCCAGGAGTTCAAGACCAGCCTGGCCAACATGGTGAAACCCTGTCTCTTCCAAAAATACAAAAATTAGCCGGATGTGATGGCGCACGCCTGTAATCCCAGCTACTCGGAAGGCTGAGGCAGGACAATTGCTTGGACCTGGGAGGCAGAGGTTGCAGTGAGCCAAGGTCACGCCACTGCACACCAGCCTGGGCGACAGAGCGAGGCTCTGTCTCAAAAAAACCCAAACCAACAAAGAAAGAAACAAACAAAAGCTCAATAGCAAGACAGGAGAAGTTTCTTAAAAGGAAAACAGTTATCTAGAAAAGAGGCCACATCTTTACTTCAAACGCTAGGAATATGCACATGGTTATCCTCTTAAGGTTTGCCATAGGCTCCACACAGCATCCCTGTTTACTATAGAAACATCAGGTGCTACTGGATCTGCTGGGCCACATGGCCCTTGCCTTGCACGTGCTGGTGCTGGATGCGTCTACAGTCTACATTCCGGACTAGCTCTCAGTTGGTCACCACTCAAAGCTGGTTGTATTAATATTATGCTAAATTGGTCAGAGCAGCACACTCAAATGTGCTGTATCTTGCCTCCAAAATAGAGGCTAACACTGAAAATCTTTCTTTGTTATAGTTGGTGCAAGGTACCAACTTGTCTTCCACTTTGTGGGGAATATCTTAATATGATCCAGAATGTTAGATCTCTAGAAACTTCACTCAGGTAGCTGGCTTCTGGATTTCATGGGGTTAATATTTCTACCTTCCGACAAGCTTGTATCTTTTTTTTCTTTTTTTTTTGAGATGGAGTGTCACTCTTGTTGCCCAGGCTGGAGTGCAATGGCGATCTTGGCTCACTGCAACCTCCGCCTCCCGGGTTCAAGTGATTCTCCTGCTTCAGCCTCCTGAGTAGCTGGGATTACAGGCATGCGCCACCATACTCGGTTAACTTTGTATTTTTAGTAGAGACGGGGTTTCTCCATGTAGGTCAGGATGGTCTCGAACTCCGGACCTCAGGTTATCTGCCTGCCTTGGCCTCCCAAAGTGCTGGGATTACAGCTGTGAGGCAATGCGCCCAGCCTCTTGTATCTTAACTAGGCACCTGATATACATGCTACCTACTGTTCCTTAGATCCAGACATCATGATGTCCCCCATGCAGTCGACCAGTTTGATCTCTAGTGGAACCAAGGTTCCTGCACACTGGATTATGACATGAGACTCGACATAGCCTTGAGACAAGATGATAAAGGTGTCTTCTGGTAGTCCCTTTAAACTGATGTAGAGAAAAAAGCTTAAATTACTAGTTGCCAGAATATAGGACCATCATATAGAAGGCTGGGCTTGGATCTTAGAGACAATGGGAAAATAATTAAAATAATGTTCTTCACAATTAATAGAAAGTGGGAATATGCAATATGTAATGTGGTAGATGGGGGCGGGGATGGAAGAGACTTTAAAAAAATCCAGATATGATTGCTGGATCTTTATTTAAAAAACACAATGTTATATAACTTTTGTGCCCTTTTTTTTTGCTAATTATAAAATGCTGTCACATCCTCAGATTATATGGAAAAGTATATGAATTAAATAAATGGAAAACAAACTCTATAAATGGTACAGGGTTATTGCTGTTTACTTTCGTCCTCAAACTAGACTTGTAAAATAGTTGGGCTAATGCTTAGCCTCATTGTGCAGATGAGGAAAGCGAGGCTCTCTGTATTTAGGTAACTTGTCTAAGTTCTCACAGCTGATCAGTAATAGAGTTTCAAACCAAAACCAGCTATCTTGATTGATACATTGATATTGGTGATATTGGCCAGCCGTGGTGGCTCACACCTGTAATCCTAGCACTTTGGGAGGCCCAGATGGGCAGATCATGATGTCAGGAGTTCGAGACCAGCCTGGCCAACATGGCAAAACCATGTCTCTACTAAAAATACAAAAATTAGTCGGGCATGGTAGCGGTCACCTGCAATATCAGCTACTCGGGAGGTTGAGGCAGGAAAATCGCTTGAACCTGGGAGGCAGAGGTTGCATGAGCAGAGATTGCACCATTGCACTCCAGCCTAGTGACAGAGCAAGACTCCGTCTCAAAATAAATAAATAAAATAAAATAAAATAAAATACAATAAAATAAAAAACAAGATATTGGTGATATTCTTACAATGTGTGCCTATGTTTGCATAATTGAGATATTAATTTATATTTTCTTGTTTTATTTTTCTCCTTTTTCCCCTCTCCAAATGCTAACCCAAGATTTGCTTTGGAAGAAAGAACGCTGCAAATCCTAATCCAAGAATGCTTAGGAAGAAGGATAGAAGCAGAAACAGGAGAGAATGGAGAGACTCTTTAAGATGAAGAAAGAATGTTGGCCTTCAGCGTGTTCTTCAAGTAAAGACCCATGCCCAGCACTCTTGAAGCATGTTGGGGAGGAGCTTGGAGAGGAATAACTATGTGGTAAGAGGCTGAATATTAGATTTGGAATCCTTCAGCCCTGGCAAAGATTTCTGTGCCAGGCTTGGCAGGAATAAACAGAGCTGTCTGACCTTAAGGGATCGCAGGAGTTTGGACATGAGTACACAGGTGGTGATCGCTATGAATTGAGGACAAGAGGCTAGGTCCAAATGAGGTGCTCTGGGTAAGTTCCCAGGGGCTTTTGCACAACATTGGAAGGCCCAGTAAGATGAGGACTTATAATCAAGTGTATTTTGATTTTCTTTTCTTTTTTTTTTTTTGAGACAGGGCCTCACTCTGTCACCCAGGCTGGAGTTCAGTGGTATGATCTTGGCTCACTGAAACCTCCACCTCCCTGCTTCAAGTGACTCTCCCACCTCAGCCTCCTGGATAACCGGGATTACAGGAACCCGCCACCGTGCCCGGCTAATTTTTGTATTTTTAGTAGAGATGGGGTTTCACCATGTTGGTCAGGCTGGTCTTGAACTCCCGACCTCGGGTGATCCACCTGCCTCGGCCTCCCAAAGTGCTGGGATTACAGGCGTGAGCCACCGCACCCAGCTGTATTTTGATTTTCAACCAAAATGAAGTATTGTGACATTTTTCATACATTCTTGTTTGTGGAGTAAAAGTCATACGTCCTACTTGTATATTTGTGGGTGCAGAAGAAGAAAGCAGGACAGCAATGGTGATGGGAGTGTGATTCTGGGTATTAGAAAGCTTGAGAATTTGCATCATATCACCAAGGGCTTAAAGGGAAAAGAATGACCGATTGTGCCCCTTAATGTCACTCTCAACTCCATATGTTTTCAGTTTATTACTGGTACGTGCCAATGGCTGATTCACTTAGCTGTTTGGAAGAGAGTGCTAACGAGGCCAAGGTCAGGGTTCTCATTTCCATATCGTCAAATACACTTAGTGAGAGTACTTCAGCTCCAGTCGCCACAGATTAAATCCCTAACTCTCACCAACTGTCTCACAGATATGTGTGCTGGGTTATTGGAGGCCAGGTGAGAGTGTGTGAATGGGTCAGCACAAAGCTTTACCGCCACCAAGGACAAAAACAAAACAGATGTCCTGTTGACATCCCTGTAGTTTGTGTGAATGCTTATGAAGGAGAGAGCACGCTGCTGCCATGTGAACTAATTCACAAAACAAATACAGCAAGCCAAATTTCTCTAATTTTTGAAGAGAATCTGATATCATTTCACCCATAATGTAACACATGTTGTGGTGTAATTTACAAAAATAATGCAAATTTTAAGAAGCATATTAAAAAAATCTGCAAAATGAAGATGGGGATTCTAAGATTACCTTTTAAATATAAATTCTAGAAAAGCAATGTAATTAGAATTTGCCGGGTGCAGTGGTGCATGCCTGGAGTTCCAGCTACTTGGGAAGCTGAAGTGGGAGGATTGCTTGAGCCCAGGAGTTTGAGGCTGCAGTGAGCTAGGATCATGCCGCTGCCTGGACAACACAGTGAGACCCCTTCTTTAAAAAACTAAAAAAGAACACATAAGACTTTTAAAATATTTAATTATGATTTAATTTACATACAATGCACTGACCTTAAGGGTTCATTTTGAGAACTTTGGCAATTGTATACACCCACATACCCACTACTCAAAACAACTCACTCTGTCACCAAGGCTGGAGTGCAGTGGTGCAATCTCAGCTCACTGTAACCTCCTCCTCCCAGGTTCAGGCAATTCTCCTGACTCAGCCTGTAAAGTAGCTGGGATTATAGGTGCCCGCCACCAGGCCCAGCTAATTTTTGTATTTTTAGTAGAGATGAGGTTTCACCATGTTGTCTAGGCTGGTCTCAAACTCCTGACCTCAGGCAACCTGCCCACCTAGGCCTCCCAAAGTGCTGGGATTAAAAATGAATCTTTTTTTTTTTTTTTTTGAGATGGGGTCTCACTCTGTCACCCAGGCTGGAGTGCATTGGCATGATCTCGGCTCACTGCAACCTCCGCCTCCTGGGTTCCAGCAATTCTCCTGTCTCAGCCTCCTGAGTAGCTGGGACTACAGGCATGCACCACTATGCCCGGCTAATTTATTTTTTGTATTTTTTAGTAGAGATGGGGTTTCACCATGTTGGCCAGGCTGGTCTTGAACTCCTGACCTCAGGTGATCTACCCACCTCAGCTTCTCAAAATGCTGGGATTATAGGCCTGAGCCACTGCACCCAGCCAGGAATAGCATATTTTAGTTTTTTTTTTTTTTTTTTTTTGCTCACAGGCATAGAGTAAATTGCACAGGAAACTTCTCTGATTGAATATTGGAGGTCATCTTTTGGTAAGTGTGGCACACAATGAATCTAGGCATCATAAATTCTAAGATGTAAATTACAAGAGCTTTGAAGTTTGAAATGATTCTCCTAGGCAATGCATTGCACAAAAGAGCAGAGTGGAAATGTCATCATTTATGTTTTATTTTGGAGAATATCATTTCCTCAATTCTTTCCTTCTCTACTTTGCTTTAGCAGATTTTGACATAAAAGAAACCTCATATTCTTTATAGATATAATGTGGAAGTCTAATATTTCAGAATTCAGAATAAAACTTTCTTTCGATGCCTTTAATAAGATCTTAAAGCATTTAAAAAGCATTAATTAAGCTTTACACAGCAACTCTAAGATGATTTGATCAATTCGAAAACATAATTGTAAAGTCTGCACTCAACTTTCAATTACTATATGTCCCAGTGGAGAAAAAACAGAGATAATACAAACCACAGATAATAACCAAACCATTTCTACTCAAGGAACAATGGCATAGATACTTTTAAAAATGCAGCTAATTCCAAATAATTTATATTTGATCTTAGAATGCATTATATGATTTTCTTTCATGAAACCATGTGGAGATTTACTATTATAATTATGCTTTATTTAAATGAAAACTACAATTAATTCAGTCTCCATATACACCGATTATTGGAAGGAAGAAATATATAAAAATTACAGGCTGTGTGTCAGAAGGAAGTGGTCCACAGATGTGTTTTTTTGCCTGTTTACAATCTGGAAAGTGAAGTCATCTACGTAAGGTTGCATTTCATAAAGGTTTAGAGATGAATGAGTTCTGTTAAACTACATCAGCCCAACTCATTTGATAAGTAACAATGAGGCCCACTAGAGTGACAAATGACCTGCTAGGGCTGTCTAATGACAGTATTATTTACAATCAAAAAAGAGAGCGAGAGAGCCTGAGCACAAAAGTCTAAATTTTTCACAACTGAAGAATGTTTGAATAAATTATGAGCCATCAACTTCATGCCATTCAACTGCCATTAAAAAGAAAAAGTAAGTAGATAGCAGCAGCCTTAACTGAGATCCCTTCTTCTAAGATAAGCCCTTCTCTATTTCCCATATCTGGGATGGAGGCCCCTTAGGGATTCTACCTTTGAGATTGAATATACCCTATTGTAATTATATACTTAATTGTATTTTCTCTGGGTGGTTCTAAGCTGTTTGAGGCTTGGGCAATCTTATTTATCATTTTATTCCCAGATCCTAGCCAAGTGCCTGGCCCATTATTATTGTTCATTAAATATTAATTTCAATGGAATAGAATGTCATTAATACCAACAAGAAAAATCAAGAAAAAATGTATTCACAGCTAAACACAAAGTCTCAGACTCTCTCCCTTTCTACAACTATGTCCTTCTATATTTAGCCCTGATCCTTTCTTATTGGGTTACTCAGCTTGTTACCCAAGAACCAGAGTGATGGCTTAGAGTGACAGGGTGCTGGGCTGTCACCAATCATACACAAAGTGGACAAGGCATTGAGACGTAGTCATTTTGACAGAGAAGTGACATTTTGATACAGCCTAAAAACAAATTGTTAAATTTTCAGCTTTTAAAAAGGACCAGTAAATGTGTGCAGCAGACACACTCACCTCAAACCTAAGCAAATCAAACCTCCTCAGGGACCCGTAGAGATGGATACAGCTGACAAGTTTAGTGGACAAGCCAGGGTGCAGGTCTCCTGACCTGGAGAGTAGTGCTTTCTGCCTGCCCCACATTCCATCTCAAAGGGCAGAGAGGAGAAGAGAAGCCACCAAGCATCAGCCCTGTGCTGCCTCAGGGTGCTCCCCTTGTTCTCAGACAGATCTGTTCTGCTCCCACCAACTTGGGTTTAGTTTTGCTTTAAAATTTATCTTGAGAAAAGAATGAAAACTTTTTCTTGTGGTAGGGCCAGTTGCTAAAGTCTAAGTGTCAGAATTTCATAATTGAGTTCAGATGAGGTCACTGTGGTTTGAGGGAGCTAGGGCGGGCTGTAATGAAGACAGGGTCAGCATTTTCCAGGGAGGTGGCCCAGCGGATGTTCTAGGAGGAACTTCTTAGGAGTGGGAGGGAATGGGGACACTGAGGGTGGGCCACGTCCAGAAGCCCAGGATGGCAGGTGGTTGGCATTCAGGGTATTTATCTTCAGATGTCACGTCCTCCACCACCTGCCTGGGGCTTCAATGCTCATATGGCAGCCTGCCTTTTCCTTCCCAGCACTTCCCTCGGGTTGTAATTATATATCCTATATGTGTAATTTTTTTTTTGGCCCTGTCTCCCATCAAGCAAAGATCATGCAGTTTTGTCTTATTGGCTTTTGTTGCTGCCACTCTGTCCACAGGCATAGCACAGTGTTTGGCACATAATAAGCATGCATACATATATCTTGAGTGGATAAATGATGGAATAAATGAATTAAGTCAAGTTTATTGTATGTATTTCTAGAGGGACTAGGTTAGGTTACATGGGGCTTCATTAATGGAGAAGAAGGCAAAAGCACAATTATCTAATAAAGATGGCTCGGGGCTAGGAAAGTAAAGCCGTAGATGCTGAGACTCAGAATCCAGGGCCAAAGTTATTTGTCTCTCCAGGCTGAGGTACTGCTAGGTCCTAGATTGGATTAGACCTGAGCGTAGGTGTCTTCAGGTATGCTGAACAGAACGGAGAGGTCTTGGGTCTATGCTATCTGGGAACAGTGCAAGGCTGATCCAATGTCTTTTGAACATATTTGGTTCAATTCATTCCTTTAAGCTCAGAAGGCTACTACAGGTCTCTTTTGGAGTTAGAGTGTACACGATAATTTTTCTCTCCCCTTTGCTTTCTAAACTCTTTGGCCCAGTCTGAATCATGTTATCTGAAGTCAAGGAAACACCAGTGATCATCCAAAAACATATTACCCCCACTCCATCCCTACATCTTCAAATAACGTACTGTTCTTTTGACCTACTTCTCTCCCTGTCTCTCTCTCTCATTCTCATTAAGTGGAGACCTGTAGGTCTGTGCACAGACCCTGAAACATATTCAGAATGAAATACTCAAGGTTGGCCAGGTGCAGTGGCTCGCGCCTGTAATCCCAATACTTTGGGAGGCTGTGGCGGGCAGATCACTTGAGTTCAGGAGTTTGAGGCTAGCCTGACCAACATGGTGAAACCTCGTCTCTACTAAAAATACAAAAATTAGCCTAGCGTGGTGGCACTCATCTATAATCCCAGCTACTTGGGTGGCTGAGGCATGAGAATCAATTGAGCCCGGGAGGTGGAGGTTGCAGTGAGCCAAGATTGCTCCATTGCCCTCCAGCCTGGATGACAGAGTGATACTCTGCCTCAAAAACAAAACAAATCAAAACAACCTCAACAACTGAAGGTCCTTCTTCCTTTGGCTGAATCCTTTTAAAAGAGTGGCTTCTGTTCCCACTGTAGAAAGTTGTGAAAAGAGGCCCAATGGGATTGTTCTGCAGGTCCTCCTGCAGAGTAGTGAATCACATACATTAGTTATAGGAACGCTTGTATTTGGTGATGGAGGGGCTCACACTAGTCTGGACCCTTCCTCTCGGCTGATGCTCAGCTATGGTGCTCAGTATCATTCATTCACAGGAGAGCCAGTTCCAATCGAGTTCTCTCTCCAATAAACCACACTGCTTAGGACTCACCCTTGTGCAATAAAATTGTGGCAGGGCTAAAAATAGAAACCACAAATCCTGCCTGCCAATCCTGCATTCTAACCTCTAATCTACTTGTAGCAAGGACAAATGTTTTCAGGAAAATAAAATGACACTGCATAGAACACAGTGACACAACTGTCCCTATTGTCAGAACTTCCACTCAAAAAACCTGGAGAAAAGAGGATGAATTCCATCTTCCACACCTTGGTCACCATATACCTAGTTTCAACCTTCCTCTAATTTCTAATACAATCTGAATTACAAAAGCAATGAAAAAAATAAAAAGAGAATACAAAGCAGGACGGGGAGAGAGACATAAATATCCCCCTTGTTACAACTTTCTTAATGATGGGAATTTGTCTTTTGTGTTTCAGTACAATGGAAATGGACTAACAGAAGTTCAGTATTAGATTAATAGGACTCTCACTTTGTCAAATGGAAAGCCGGTTAAGGGGGTGAATTCCTTAACCTGGATTTGAGGACAGAGGCATCCTGCTTAGTAAAAAGTACCCTCAGAAAACCTGAATGTGATCCCCAGCTTGCCACTCACATCTAGTTCAAAAGGGAACCAACTATTTCATCTCCTGCAGCCTTGGAGTTCTTATCTCTAAAATGACATGATGGCCGGGCATGGAGGCTCATGCCTGTAATCCTGGCACTTTGGGAGGCCGAGGCGGGTGGATCACCTGAGGTCAGAAGTTCAAGACTAGCCTGGCCAACATGGTGAAACCCCATCTCTACTAAAAATACAAAAATTGCAGGCATGGTGGCACATGCCTGTAATCCTAGGTACGCTGGAGGCTGAGGCAGGAGAATTGCTTGAACCTGGGAGGCGGAGGTTGCAGTGAGCTGAGATCACACCACTGCACTCCAGCCTGGGCGACAGAGCTAAACTCCTTCTCAAAATAAATAAATAAATAAATAAAATGGCTTGCAATTAACAGCCTTGTATGCACAGAACTGTTGTGAGGCTCAGTGAGACAGAATTCATGGGAAGTGCTGCATAAATGGTATGTCTATCTATAACTGAGGGATTATTATTGCTGGACACAAATTCATTTATTGTTCTCGATTGGATGTACACATAATTCAAATTCCCCAGAAAACAGCTCTGCCCTTCATTTCCAGCTGTGTGGTATGCAGCTTCTAAACATTTTTACTGAAACCTTGCCTCTTAACTGTTAGTCTTGAGGGTCTACACACAGCTCCCACGCTCAATTAACTGTTACTTCCCCAGGCAGCTGCAAGGCAGAAATTTCTGATTTGTGTTACAACCAGTCTAGCCCTCTGTGTCTTGGCTACGGACAGACATGCCTCCACAAAGACACAAACCAGAATGGAATCTAACAGGAACCTTGGTGAGAGATGTGCTCTGGGAGGAATGAGATATGAAGACAGGACTCAAGAAACGGTGGCTATAGACTTCTTATAGGAGGCTTTAACTTTCTCAGTTTTGAAATGCCATATTTGTTTTGCTGTGCGATGAATATAAGTGAATTAACAATGTGCTTACAGATTTCTTAGCTGGTAATGTGATAAAATTTAAAATATTCTTGTTTGGTATCATTTTGAAATTTTCTTGGCACTTATGAAACTAATGAGAAACACCCGCATGCTGTTGGAGAGAGTGAGTGCATTTTCAGGCCCAGCATTTGGGAGCTTCAGTCTTCCGTAATTCAATGCATGACAATAGATTTATTATTGAAGAAATGAAGAAAGAGGTCAGGCAAAAAAACCAGCAATTAATCATTTGAAGACACTGAGTCATCTACTATTTTATGTCAGAAATCTTGTAGCCATGTTTACATAATAATAAAACAGCTATAAGAGGGCAGATGTTTTAGGCCTAGACATTCGCTAGTCAGTAACATGTAAATGTGAGAGTCCTCGTGGTTACGGTTTCACACCTTTCCATGGCGGTTGCCAGTCAGTTTTTCCTTGCTGTTCATAAGCTACCAAGTAATACACATTTGTCTTCACTCTGGTCTGCAGTGAAAATAAAATGAGAAGAGAAAGAAGAAGATATGAAGTGGAACAATGTGGTTGGGAAATTCCCATATCTTTACCCTAAAAAAAAAAAGAAAAAATATTACTCTTTTAAGTAAGGCCCAAGAGAATATTAAATGCATATACTATGATTCAAAGAAAATAGTGTTACCATTTAGTCATCAAAGTGGACCTTTGGTCTTGGCAGCATGTGTGAAACTTAAGGGTGGCAGCATGTGCTCTGTTAGTGAGTACATTTGTAGCAAACCACAGGGGTCTGAGTTCTTATTGCCTAAGTGCCCATTTTCTTGGGTGTTTTGCTTTTGTCTCCAGAATATCCAGAGAATGAGTTTGTTAATAAAAAATAAAACTGGCCGGGCGCAATGGCTCACGCCTGTAATCCCAGCACTTTGGGAGGCCAAGGTGGGCAGATCACCTGAGGTCAGGAGTTTGAGACTAAAAATATAAAATTATCTGGGTGTAGTGGCGGGCACCTGTGGTCCCAGCTACTCGGGAGGCTGAGGCAGGAGAATCGCTTGAACCCGGGAGGCAGAGGTCGCGTTGAGCTGAGATCGCACCATTGCATTCCAACCTGGGCAACAAGAGCAAAACTCCGTTTCAAAAAAAATAATAATAATTTTTTTTTTAAAGAAGGGTAGCCAACAGATGAAGAAAAATAAGTAAATTCCTCCAAGATTCAAGACAAGATTTAAATACTTTCTAGCCATTTATTTTTCTAACCAGATTTAATTTGGAAGTATGAACAAAAAAAGTTATAGCATCACGCTCTGGTCAGCTTGTCTCAGATAATGGCTTGTGTGACCAGTGGAGGTCCTGGGGGAAGGGAAATTCAGAGGGCAATAAGGAACTTCTCTGTTATCTCAGAGTTTCACAATACACACAGGAAACATTTGTAGCTGGTCCTCTGTTAGCCTGAAAGATTAGCTAATCCCTTGTTTCACCATAAAATGCATTTTTAGCAATAGTTCCTGAACTGCAAGCAAAAACTCAGGTGGCCAGCTCATAGTCCTCCTAAATTACAGTTGAAAGATGCTTTGCATTGTAGATATTGGCTTGGGCAATAAGGAAACTGGTATAGTTCCTGGGGATGTGCTGGGCTGACATGAACCTCTCTATGCCCCACCACCAATGGAGCAAGCCGATTTCCATGTCCAGCATGCCGTATACATTCTACAACAGTGTTCTTAGGGTAGTATTGGATTCCTGAAGCCCAGAGATGGATTAACTGTCCAGGTGCCCCAGATGAATTCTAACTCAAATTAACACATCCTGTCTATACAACCTTTCAACTCTATATAGCAAAACTGTGACCTCCTGTTCAAACAGGAAAGATAAGCAGCCACATTTTATCATGGTGGTTCCTGAATATGTTTGCTACTAGCCTGATTTACTCACTTATAGTTTGCCCACTAGATCTTTTTCTCTAGACATAGTCATTTCTCTTTTTTCTTTCTTCTCTTTCTTTCTCTTTCTTTCTTTCTTTCTTTCTTTCTTTCTTTTTCTTTCTCTTTCTTTCTTTCTTTTCTTTCCTTTCTTCCTCTCTCCCTTCCTTCCTTCCTTCCTTCCTTCCTTCCTTCCTTCCTTCCTTCCTTCCTTCCTCCCTTCCTTTCCTTCCTTCCTTCTCTCTCTCTCTCTTTCTTTCTTTGTTACGGAGTTTTCCTCTTGTTGCCCAGGCTGGAGTGCAATGGAGTGATCTCGACTCACTGCAACCTCCACTTTCTGGGTTCAAGCGATTCTCCTGCCTCAGCCTCCCAAGTAGCTAGGATTACAGACATGCGCCACCATGCCTGACTAATTTTGTATTTTTAGTAGAGACGGGGTTTCTCCATGTTGGTCAGGCTGGTCCTGAACTCCCGACCTCAGGTGATCCACCTGCCTCGGCCTCCCAAAGTGCTGGGATTACAGGCGTGAGCCACTGCTCCTGGCTCATAGTCTTATTTTATTTTATTTTATTTTATTTTATTTTATTTTATTTTATTTTATTTTATTTTATTTTTTTGGGACAGAGTCTCGCTCTGTTGCCCAGGCTGGAGTGCAGTGGTGCGATCTCAGTTCACGGCAACCTCTGCCTCCTGTGTTCAAGCGATTCTCCTGCCTCAGCCTCCTGAACAGCTGGGACTACAGGCACATGCCACCATGCCCAGCTAATTTTTTGTATTTTTAGTAGAGACAGGGTTTCACTGTGTTAGCCAGGATGGTGTCGATCTCCTGATCTCGTGATCTGCCCTCCTCAGCCTCTCAAAGTGCTGGGATTACAGGCGTGAGCCCCTGCGCCCGGCCTATTTATTTCTAAAAGACCTGGGGGAACTTTTAAAAACTATATTTTAATTTGTATAAAGAATGTATCACAGATTTATTGTGCTGGAAGAGATTTATTGTGCTGGAAGAGGTTTTAGAGATTATCTAGCCCAATGGCCCAATGTCTTTATTTTAGGTATAAGGACATGAGAGGCCCAGAGAGGTTAAGTACCTTGCTCAAGGTCACTCAGCTAGTTAGCTGTAGTAGATCTACCATATGAGCACATGGTTAATTCCTAAAGTATTCCCACAGGTCCTCTGTATTCACAGCTCCTCATTAAGCAAAGACCTTAACTCAGAGAGCTGTTTTGTGACACATGTTACACCCAGCACTTTTCACCTTTAAGATACTGGGACAGGACCACCAAGAATACCAATGGGCTGAGATCAGCTTGGAGGGTCAGCTGCTCACAGGGTTTCCTGTGCACTAAGGCGGCATGACAGCTGGGGAGTATCTATCCTGTTTGTCTTTCTGAATAACCCTCATAACTGAGATGGCATTTGGCATAGATTCCAAATTACAAATACGATCAAATTCATGTGTGCTACCCCACAGTGCATGATGAGATTATTTATTTATTTTGTGTTAATTAATTAACTAATTTTTATTTTTTGCTTTCATTATTATTTTTAACTGACACATATTTATGGGGTACCGTGTGATATTTGGATACATGGATACAATGTATAATAATCAAATCAGGGTAATTAGCATAACCATTACCTCAAACATTTATCATTTCTTTGTGTTGGGAACATTAAAAATCTGATCTTCTAGCTATTTGAAAATATGCAATTTTTTTTTTTTTTTTTTTTTGAGAAGGAGTCTCACTCTGTTGCCCAGGCTGAAGTGCAATGGCACAATTTCGGCTCACTACAACCTCCGCTTCCCAGGTTCAAGCGATTTTCCTGCCTCAGCCTCCTAAGTAGCTGAAACTACAGGCACGTGCCATCATGCCCGGCTAATTTTTATATTTTTAGTAGAGACGGGGTTTTGCCATGCTGGACAGGCTGGTCTCAAACTCCTGACCTCGTGATCCACCCGCCTTGGCCTCCCGAAGTGTTGGGATTACAGGCATGAGCCACTATGCCTGGCCTGAAAATATGCCATGAGTTGTTGTTAGCTATAGTCACTCTCTAGTGCTGTATGAACACTAGAACTTATTCCTCCTATCTAACTATACTTTTGCATTCCTTAACCAACCTTCGGCTACCCCTCCCCCACCCTGTCCCACCTCTAGTAACCACTGTGAGATTATTTATTTTTATCCATCTTGTACCTCAATGGTTTTTGAGGTTCTCTCTTTCTATACAAAATACAAAAATATAAAATAACATTAGAAACAATTAGGGTGAGGGCAAAATTGTTTTGTTTTTGATAGAAAAATAATACAGATAGGTAAAACTGATACACAGAAATAAATATTATAAAGCTTTTGTTCTGTGTTTGGAGAAGAATGTAAAATTTGGCTCAGAGTTTCTTAGTGGCCTCAGCAAAGGGAAAAATGTGATCTATTATAAGATTCAGAATGTTTGTGAGATTTAAAAAAACGCAATTCAAGAGAAACATAGTTTTTACTCATACTAAAACCCGAGAGGTTTCTTCCTTGATAAAATCCTTTTAGTAGAGATCACAGTGAATTTCATATGGCTGTGTCTCATATTCCTCAGTGCAAGTCAAAGGCACAAACAACGAATGCAAATCAGAAAAGGCGTTCCCAGGATATTGAGCGTGGGAGCAAAACAATGGGCCCACATACACACTGGACTATTTGGAAATAAGTGAATTGTACATACTCCAAGAAATCTTCTGTAGATGCTATTCCTTAAAACCATTTGAAAAAATAATTGCTGGGCAGCAGAGAAATAAGGAATTAAATAAAGGGTTCAATGAAGATATTGCTTTCTGAGACAAAGGCTGCAAATTCTCCCCGGTGTCCATGTTCTCTGCTGCTTTTGAGGCCACAGCTAGATTGCATTTCCCAGTAGTTGGGTGTGATCATGTAACTGAAACTGGGCCAGTGGAATATGAACAGGCCTTGCCTTTAAAACCCCCATGTGCCTTTCTCACTCTCTTTTCCTGTCCAACCTCTGAACTCAGAGGACTCCATGGATCTAGAGGAAGGCAGAGCTATAAGACGGAAGGACCCTGGGTTACTGAATGACTGTGAAGAGCAGAGTTGCTGATCTACACAGGAGTGTGATATGAGTGAGAAATAAACTTTTTTGTTTGTTTGTTTTGAGATGGAGCCTCACTCTGTTGCCCAGGCTGGAGTGCAGTGGCGCAATCTCACCTCACCACAACCTTTGCCTCCGGGTTCAAGTGATTCTCCTGCCTCAGCCTCCTGAGTAGCTGGGACTACAGGTGCGTGCCACCATGCCTGGCTAATTTTTGTATTTTTAGTAGAGATGGGGTTTCACTATCTTGGCCAGGCTGGTCTCGAGCTCCTGACCCCGTGATCCACCCGCTTCGACCTCCCAAAATGCTGGGATTACAGGTGTGAGCCACCGTGCCCCGCCGAAAAATAAGCTTGTATTGTATTCATTGGGGTTTGGAGATTTGTTTCAGCAGCTAGTATTATACTAAATAATAGAATTAAACTTTCAAACTGCAAGTCCCATCAATGAAGCAGATGGTTACATAATCTAATCACCTTTCCTTACACTGAGAAAACAACAACCCAAATCACTACTTTTTCAAGGCCATATCCTTTGACTTCCACTAGTCTCTAGGAGACTGTTTAGTAAGCAGATTGGACCACCTGGGCATTACCTTTAAATCTGCTATCCATGTGCCCTGGGCAAGTTACCTCACCTCTCTAAGCCTCAGACGCTCCATCTATAAGATGGGGATAGTAATAGGACTGCCTGTAAGAGTTGCTGGAAGGAAAAAGTTGGTACCCTATACAGAGTGCGCAGCCCGGGATTTGGGATGTGGTAAGCACATGATAAATATTGGCTAGTAAAGGTCATCATTCTTTACAGATGTATCTTCATATTTCTGGCTGATGGTGGGGAAGGCCCACAACAGGACAAGCTGTGCCTGGGCAAAGGTGACTGAGTTTCTAGCAGTAAAGCAGTTCACAGTAACCAGGCTCTCCTCCTGTCCACCTCACCCTTTCCCTTTCCTCTCTTTTTAAATTCAAGCAACAGCTCACACAACCTTCAGACTTTGAACTAGGCTACTGTGATCTGAGACCTGTTCATTCCACCCAAAATTTTTGAATAACTTTCATAGGATCCTTCTGGAAAAAGAGGATAATAGCAGTGACAACAACAATAATTCCTGATCGTTAAGTACAGTGCTTTTGAGTTTGTGAAGTTTTTTTTTTTCCACTCAAAATGCCCATGATGATTCTACCAGAGCATTTTTTTTGATGTTGGAAAATCTTACAACATTCCCTGATAAGGCATGTTTCTGAAATGATTTCATAAAAATCGACAGTTTTGTATTAAAACAAGAAATAATTCAATTTCTGAGTGAAAGACTATGCACTACGTAAATCTTTCTTGAGGAATTTAGAGGGGTTTTTTTTTTCCCTTGCACCTGACTGGATATATAAACATAGCTAGAGTCTTGGCTAATAATAACATCACAATGTGTACAGACCCAGCGCTCTTCAATACCTTTGCAGAGTTATTTGTGTCGGAAAGGATTTTATCATAAGCACATTTCTTCTCTCAGTATCACATGATGCGCCATTGAATTTCCCATCATACAAACTTTCTAATCTCATTTACAGTCACAGAGGTTGAAAATAGATAACTAATCAGCATTTAAGTACCTTATAATCTGTAAGGTAAACCAGATATGGCTAGACTGGCAGTGGAACATTCCAGAGGTTGCGGACTAGGGGATCCTGACTCTAGTCCATTATTAATAAGTTCTGCGACTTCTACAGCCCCTGGATCTCACTGTGATTCAGATTCCATATGTGCAAATTGAGTTTGTTCCTCTAAGTTTCCCTCTAATCCTCATACAGTCAAATGAGTGTCATAATTCTAAATATTTCAGCTTAATTTACGACAGTGTCCTTACTCATGATTCAAGACAGACTGGGGCCACATATAGGATCGCTGTGGCCTTTTCTTTTCTCTTTTCTTTTCTTTCTTTCTTTTCTTTTCTTTCTTTTTTTTTTTTTTTTTTTTGAGACAGAGTCTTGCTCTGTCGCCCTGGCTGGATTGCAGTGGTGCTATCTCGGCTCACTGCAAACTCCGCCTCCCGGGTTCACGCCATTCTCCTGCCTCAGCCTCCCAAGTAGCTGGGACTACAGACGGCCACAAGCACGCCCAGCTAATTTTTTGTATTTTTAGTAGAGATGGGGTTTCACCGTGTTAGCCAGGATGGTCTCGATCTCCTGACCTCGTGATCCGCCTGCCTTGGCCTCCCAAAGTGCTGGGATTACAGGCATGAGCCACCGCGCCCGGCCGCTGTGGCCTTTTCTTAGCCTAGGAAATCTGTACTGGGAGATCTGCCAGTTTCCTTGGCCTTAATCTTCTTCAGTTCTAACAAATGTTCCCATAGTGACAAGTTGTATTAGAGTTGACGTGGGCTGCTTTCTTCCCATTCTATTCTGTTCTATTCCATGTATCTATTTATTTATTCTGTTTTACATTTAAATCTCATAGTGCTAAAGCAAACTTCTCTTCTGAGAATGCCTATTAGGCAGTTAGAGAACTGACCAAGTGACTAAATATAACTTTAAGACCTGACTTTGCTTGAGCTCTTCACCGGTTATTTAAATCTATTTAGAATTTAGCTATTTGGTTCATCTGATGGGTTGACAATTGACTTAATAATAGTTATCCTTTGTCATAGGATTCTTCTTTTTCATGAAGTATTCTGAGAGTGAAATTGGGGATAATAGGGCACTTGAGAATGGGGTTAGGGAACTGTAGATACCTGCAAATTTGCAAAATGCTGACAAACAAAAGAATGCAAACTAAAAAAGAATGGAGGCGATTTAGAAAGTTACATTTCTTTGACTCAAAGATAAGGCTTTACCAAGGAAAGCAGAAGGGTGGAATGGTTTCCTGTTTAAGTACTGGCTGAATAGGGTAGTCTGTGTGCCGTTTGTGAGAATGTTTCCTAACAGGAGGAAGTCTGCAACGCACTGCAAAACCTAACCTGATCATACAGTATTTGATACCCTCGGACACAAATCCAGGCCTAGCCAAACCTCAGCGTAACTTTGGCTCCCAGCCAGTTTGATTCCTGTAATATTATTCAGTGTGAAACGCCATCGACCAATTTTATTATTTTTAGAGAATAGGACGTGAACTGATAGCCAAATGGTAAATAAAACCCCACTCCCCCATCCAGTTTGTTGTGTACTGGGAAGCACTGGGTGTGCTGAAGAAACGACAAACAGCAGGGGTTTGATTCTTAAAACGTTCCTGTACTCTAGGTTTTTGTGTCATTGTTGTTGTGTTCCTTATTTCCTTTTTGCCATCAATGGTGGCAGTTATTGGATAGGCCTTGGCCAGCGCTCCAGGGCTGCTGCTTTGCCCAGTGACTGTATCTTTCCTGTTAGCATGCTGATCATACTTGGAAACTATGAGTCAGTGAAATGCAGCCGCTAGCAGTGGGGGTGGGTAGATTACTAGGGAAAGTGCAGCCAAGACTTCCTGTACCAACTCAGGGCCATTATCTTTGGGGGAAGGTAGGAACTCACTATGGCAATAGGAACACCTACATTCACCTGGCATTTGCTGTGTACTACATTGATTTAGGGAGGGTATAGGGGCACAAATTAAAAAAAAAAAAAAAAGAAAGAATTAAACCTTCTTTTGTAGACACCAGGGTGGAGCTTTGAGAGTCATGTTATAATATCCCTGTTATTGACACCTTCAACTTGCTATTAGTTGCTGAGACTCATTAACTATTCACATTTGTCTGCCCTCATTCAACTCCTAGCAACTGCAGTTACAGTCCTATTTAAAATAATAGAGTAAGATTGGTAACATTACTGATTTAACAGGAAATTAGAAGACTTACATTCATAGAGCTTAGGTAATTGACACCAACAGCACTTTTCTTGTAATTTATGCACTATGATTGATTTCATTCCCCTGCTAGCCCTAAAAGAATCTCTGAAGCATATTCAGCCATCAGATTACTGTGCAAAGGAATTAAATGAGTATTACCCTGCTATCTATTTCAGAGCTGGTAAAAAGTTTCTAAGTGGTTTGGAGCTCAGGAGTCAGTCTAAAATTATAATGCTATTATAAAAGAGTTCAGCTTTAGAGCATTTCTTTGTAAGTGACAACTGTGGATTCACATGAAAAGGGCTTATTACTGAAAACGAGGACAAAACTACAAGTAGGTCATTTGTTTATGATTTTAAGCGTATTTTTTTGTAAGCTATATATGTATTCCCCGGCTTACCCTAAAATACACTCACTAACCTATAACAGTTGTGTTATAAATGATCCATTTCCAGATGTTTATTTAGTGTGGTATTTGGATCATAATATATCGCCACGCTTCATGCTTCTCACCCTCCACAATATAATTAACAATGCTGAGTGCAAGAAGTCTGATAAATGAGGAGGAAATATATTATTTAAGCCATGTATTCTACTCTGGAAATTTCATGAAACACTGGCAAAGAAGAGGTAGTAAATCTACAATGTTCAAATAAATCATTATTATTATTATTATTATTATTATTATTTTATTTTGCTATTTATTGAGCAGAGTAGGCATGGTCTGGGATCTACCTGCTTATTTCTCTAGTTTCATGTTCTCTTTTGTGGGGCTGGGTCTAAGGAAACCAGTCTACACCCATAGGATTCTAGGACTCTGGGGCTCCTTGCACACAGCTCACAAGGGGACATGCCCAGAAATGGCCAGGCTCCAGGTATCCTAGGAGGAACTGACCTAAGGTAAGTCCAGTTGTTGACCTAAGGCAGTAACAGGTGTTGGGTAAAGTGCTCCTGCAAAATATTTTTAATATTACAAAGAAGCAGAATAAAGATATGACAGCCATGTGTGAAAAAGTAAAATTCTGTGAAGATTAAGACAAGAGTAGGTTTAAGTACTTTCTTAGTTGCTATTCTGGGTAAAAATTCAGCTGACAGACTAGGATGAAAGCCTAGGTACGTCAATGATTCTTTGGATTCTTCTCAGTTAACTCAGTGCTTTCTTCATGTCAGTCTTCCACTCAGAGGTCATTGTCTTTTGTTTGTTTGTTTAACTTTAACAAAGTTTATACTTCGTATTTAGGAAAAAAATCAATCCTAAAGGGCTACTTTCAACATGGCGATATACATTATTTCAGTTAAATTCTTCGAACAACCATAATATCTATTGTATACACACACATTATCTTTGCTAATAACAGCAATGCAATGAATAACTACAATAGTGATTTAGCATCAGCTCATGTTTATATAGCACTGCACCAGCACATGCATCTATTTTTTTTCTTATGTACATCTCAAAAGATACCTATGAGGCAAACAGGACCAAAAAACACTTTTTGAGCCTCTGTGTGATCCAGGCACGGTTCCAGGGTTACCTCTTTAACAGTGCCAGTACTACAGAGTTGAGGGAGGTGGGGGGTGGAGCAGAATTTAAGGAGGCCTTCACTCTCAGGGTCATGCCAGCAGAGGGTTAGCACCTGAGACCTGCCTCCTTAAATTGTGCATCCTAGGCACTTTGCTTGAAGAGACCTTCTTGATGGTGGAGTCTTGGTTGTTCTCAGGAAGGGGATGTAGGTAGCTGGTGGACAGGGGCAGAAGAGAGATTTGTCTCTTTGTCCTTCCTCATCATTTGGATTGTATACTATACACAATTGTCCACTCAAAATCAAATTAGACAGCCACCACACTTACTCCCCCATCCATACTCTCAACTGATGAACTTGTCTTCAGTGAGAAAACTGACCAATCAAAAGGCAACATGGATGAGCCTAGAGGACATTATACTAAGTGAAATAAGCCAGAAAGAGAAGGAAAAATACACATCTCACTTGTATGTGGAATCTTAAAAAAAAAAGTCAATGACATAAAGGAGAAAATAGTGGTTGCCAGGGTGGGCTGGGGGAAAGAGGGCAAGGGAGGAGGCAGGAAATGGGGAGATGTAGAGTCAAAGGGTACAAAGTTGCAGTTACATAGGATGAGTGAGTCTAGACATTTAAGGTACAACAGGAGGACTATAGTAATACTATTGCACTGTGTACTGGAAATTTGCTAAGGGAGTAGATTTTTGGTGCCCTTGTAACAACAACAAGAACAATGCCAGGCGTGGCGCTCATGCCTGTAATCCCAGAACTTTGGGAGGCTGAAGTGGGTGGATCATTTGAGGTCAGGAGTTCAAGACCAGCTTGGCCAACATGGTGAAACACCGTCTCTACTAAAAATACAAAAATTAGCCAGGCGTGGTGGCAGGCACCTGTAGTCCCAGCTACTGGGACGCTGAGGCAGGAGAATCGCTTGAACCGAGGAGGCAGAGGTTGCAGTGAGCTGAGATCTATGCCACTGCACTCCAGCCTGGGCGGCTGAGTGAGACTCCGTCTCAAAACAACAAAACAAAACAAACAACAACAACAACAAAAGGGAAATTACACGAGAGTGGATTTGTTAATTTTCTTAACTATAGTACCCATTTCACTATTTAAGTATATCAAAACATCATGCAATATACCTTAAATACATACAATAAAAAAAAAAAACGGACTCCTTAAATTCCCATGGTCAGCCAAAACAGTGCTTAAAACTAAGCAGTCAGCTCCCTAAATGTATGCTGAATATCAAACAGGCTTCTGCAGCTTCCCAAAGTTCTGTCCTTACCCTGTCTTGTAAGACTTCCCCGTTCAGGCTCCATGTGCTATCTTCACTACATGTTTTCCATTTCCACCACTGGTGTCTTGTTATTCTTCTGGCCTAAGATGCCCTCCCCCAACTTTAGCCCTCTGTGTCTTAACCATGCTTCAGTACAGCTCATCTCCCACCTCTCTGTTAAGCCTTTTTTGTCCCTTCCAACTTGTCAGTCATTTCTTCCCCTTTTCACAAATTTAGAACCTGGAGTGACCTCGGTGAAAGGTACAAGAGTTGGAATTTTGTCTGACATCACTTTGTGTCTCCCTCAACACATACACAATGCCCTGCACATAGCAGATGCTCAATAAAGACCTTTGGACTGGCTGAAGACATTTTTATAAATTCATGCAACTGGGAATATTGTGAGAGTGGTGGGGTCTAAATTCTCCCTCCCCTAACACTCCCATGGAAATCTGAATTTCTTAAATGTAATTGAAGAGAGCCTCAGGCTCGCACTGCTTATTTCTGCCAAGTGTTAATTATGTGTGGAATCCAAGGGGATTTCCATGTATGGATTACAGGGGTATTATGAGGGGACATTAAGAAAGGCAGCTGTGGAGCAGGAAGACACTCTTTTATAAACTTTCAAAGACCAGCAGTTTTCTAATTTCTTTTTGGGGAGAGATCTGTTCTCCATGTCCTTTGTTTGTGCTTAGCGAAAAAGTAGAGGATACTTAACTTCCAAGAAAAAACCTTTGTCTGATTAGCTCTTTGCATTATTAGGATTCAAAAAAGAAAAAAAAAAGGGAAAATTCTCAATCATTTTCTCTGAATTACAACTGCGAAGATATTGTAAACCCTCACATTGTTGTCTAGGTCTTCATCTGGCCAAAGCCAACCAGCGAGAGTATGTACAAGAATCTCATTCCAAAACATTTCTAAAAATGTTATTTTTAAAACAACTTTAACATTTCAAGTGAACGTAAAGTAATAGGATAAACCAGATTATCATCTGTTCTGTGTAGTCACTTGAAAAGCAACCTCTCCAACTTAAACATTTATTCCAACTTTGTTATTATTGCTCAAAATGAGACTGGTTTATCTTTGAAGCCACTTTTCCAGCTACAGAAAGAAAATAACTCCTTCTTTCATAGTCACACCTCATTTTAAAACTCAATCTAATCTGTATTAGCTTGATCATGTGCCTCCTTTACCACATTTGGCACCAGATGATTTTGGGCTGTTTCCCAAAAATGAAATCAAAGAACGAACATTTGCTAACATTAAAACTACTTCTGAAAAGCAAAGGATATAGACCCTGAAGGCAATTTCAAGAGAGGAGCCATAGAAAAGTTTTGAGTAATGGAATGAGTGTATTGTTGCCTGGGGTAGCTTTTTTATTTGAGACAATACTCATATTGACGTGGAAGAGTGTATATATTTCTTTACAATCAGTTTCCTCATCTTGTATGCACATCTGATATTTGAAACTCACTTTGAACTGAAGGAATGTTCTTAGTTGAGGAAGACTCTAGGTCATTGAAAAAAACAATTGGAAAGAAATTACATCCTGCCTAACTTAGAGAAAGATGAGTGGTAGGCCGGGCATGGTGGTTCGCGTCTGTGGTCCCAGCTACTTGGAAGGCTGAGATGGGAGGATCCTTTGAGCCTGGGAGGTCGAAGCTGCAGTGAGCCATGATTATGCCACTGCACTCTAGTCTGGGCAACAGAGTGAGACCCTGTCTCAAAAAAAAAAAAAAAAAAGAAAAGAAAAAAGAAAAAAAAGTAACAGGAAATATATCATTAAAAACTGCCAGATGGCAGGAAGTATTAGAACGACATAGACCTAGATTCAAATTACATCCCTTGTTTGCTACTTTGGGCTTGTTATTCAACGTTTCTAAGATTCCATTTATTTTTCTATATGATGGTGCTCTATTAAATGGGAACTTATATATACTTAACACAGAGCCTGGCAAATGTTAGGATATTAAGTACTCAAAAATGTTATTTTCATTTGCGAACAAAACATAATTTAGTAGAAAGAGGATCTTCAGGGACTTAAAACTTCTGAGTTCTAGTCTCATCTAATCATCCGGTGGCCTTGGCTAAGTCATTCAGACTTTCTGAGGTCCAGTTTTAAAATTACATTTGCAAAATTATATTATCTACTGTGATGATAAATTTTGTGTCTCAACTTGGTCAGTGGTGATCAGATTTGGTCAGACATTATTCTGGATGTTTCTGTGAGGGTGTTTTTGGATGAGATTAACATTTAAATTGGTGGATTTCAAGTAAAGCAGATTGCTCTCTATAATGTGGGTGAGCCTCATTCAATCAGTTGATGGCCTGAATAGCTCTCCCCAAGCAGGAAGGAATTCTGATAGCAGCTGGCCTTTGGACTTGATCTGCAATATTAGTGCTTTCCTGGGTCCCCAGCCTAATGGCCACCCTGTAGATTGTGGACTTGCCAAGCCTCCATAATTGTGTGAGACAATTTCTTAAAGTAAATCTTGTATGTATATCCTATAGGTTCTGTTTCTGTACAAAACCCTGACTAATATATCTACGCCAAGGATTTTTTGCCCCAGGGAGGAACAAAGGCAGTCATGTATGGAGCTCTGCCTGCCCCAGGCCTGGATCAGGGCAGTAGCTTCGTAGGCATCAGTTTTCTTTCCCTGTTCCTGCCCTTTGCTTGTTGAGCCTTAGTTTTCTTATAAGAAAAATGAACAGGTTAGACACATTAGGTAATATCTAAAGCCTCTTACAGATATGAAAGTCTGTGTATCTATATAAAATGAATTGCTTGGGCTGTAACATTCAAATACAGGCATGACCAAGTTGGGTTTCTGCCAAGAAAGAAGGGCATGGGCGTGCATTAAAGACTATTTATGTAGAAACAAACCTTTTCAGGGGTATGTAAAAGGTTCGGGGGACTAACGGGGAACTCCTGGTAGCCCTATAAATATACTTATAAGCCTGAATGCTTTCTCAGTGGTTGGGGGAAGTAAAGTATAATCTCTTACTGTATGTAGAAATAACTGGGGAAAGCACCTACTTTACCTGTTAGTGCCTTTATGTGTGTCCCTGTTCACCTACTTAAGTGACTAAACTGGGGAGAGCAGAGTCTTTTGATGGATTGTAAAGAACTCAGGGGAACAGGTTGAACATAACACTAACCTTTGATCTCTGAAAATTTAAGGTCCAACACAGTGTTTGTTAGAAGCATAAAAGTAGGCCCCAGTGTATTTTAACTATATTCGTAGCAATTCACCAGAAATTGTTCTAGTATATTTCAGGACATAAGTGTTCTTTCCTTTCTTAACCAGTGAAGTGGCTAGATACTTAAACATACTGGCTAGAGTACTTTGGATCTCTGAGTCTTAGATGAAATGATTGGGAAAATCCTTTTTAAGCTCTTTTGGGCTATATAAGGGTAAGTGATTGTTATTCTTAACAATACACACTCAGGCGATACCAGTAGTCTGAGGCTCAGTTGAAAGAAGTCTGGCTAAGAGGGCTTCCTTCCCAACGTCGGAGTTTCATATTTTCTTTCTGGCACACTCTGGGAGCCCTTGTCAGGTAGGCCAATGAGCAAAGTTAGCAACTGCTCACACAGCTTGAATTCAGAGACTCAAATAAAGCTTCCTGCTCATCAGTCCAACTGCCCACAGCCAGCCACATGGGCTCTGAGCCACCAGGCTGTACCCTATTCTATTCCACGATGTTTCCAGAGCCATTTTAGGCACATTCACCATCATGACAGTTCACTGCTTAAAAGATTCATTGCTTTTCCATTCCCTGTAGGGTAAAACCCAAACACCTTAGTATCCATAACATACAAGGTCTTTGGAAAACTATGGCCTCTTATTTCTTTAGTTCCATCTCTGCTGTAATTATTGCCCACTCTTCCATAGCAAAATTCTAGGCTCTGGGCTGTAAACTGTCATTCTGAGATTTGATATTTATTCAGCAAATAATTAATGCATGCCAAGTAAGGAATATCGGGCACTGTTTTTAAGAGCTGGGGATATGTCAGTAAATAAAATGGAGGCTACGATGTAGGGGAAAATGAATGATGAACATTATATAGCATATTAGAAAGTGATGAGAACTATAAGAAAACCCAAGTGAGATAGGGAGCTTTAGTTATGCTGGGAGTGGGAATAGGGGGCTGCATTTTATATAGACAGCCCTCTCTGAGAAGGTGAGGGGATGTTTCACTTATGTAGCATTATTGTAACAACAGCGAGCTGATAAAGGGAGCAAGCCATACACACATTTTGAGGAACAGCTTTCCAAGCAGAAGCAATGCATATCTGGAAGGTCTTGAGACAGGAAGCAACTACTGTGTTTAAGAAACAGCAAAAAGGCTGTGTGCTGAAATGCAGTGAGAAAGCAAGTGGATGGAAGGCGATTGGGAGCGGGTGGACGCTGGGCAGCGGGACCCGATATAGTAGGACCTTGAATGCCACCGTCAGAACTTTGGCTTTGACTCCATCAAACAGCAACTGGACGGTTTTGTGCAGCAGAGTAACATGGCCCATCTTCTGTTCTCAAAGGACCCCTTGGCTGCTGTGTTGTGGACACACTGAAGGGTAGAGGTGGGAAGATCAGTTGGGAAGCTGTTGCAATAACCAGGAGAGAAGATTATGGTTTAGACCAGGGTAACAGCAGTGGAGGTGTAAGAGGCAGTCAGGTTAGGGATCTATTTTAACATTACAGCTGTAGGGTTTGAATGTGGAGTGTTCCAATATTCAGATGACGGAAGATGGGTATAGCAAAGGAATTAGCAAGGAGATTGAGAAGGTGCAGTCAGTGAAGGAGGAGAAAGATCAATAGAGTAGCAACCCAGATACCAAGTGAAGAAAGTGTTTCCGGAAGGAACCTGTAATTAGCTGTATCAGATGCTGCAGAGAAGTTAACTAGGATCACCCTAAAAACTGACCACTGGACTTAGCAGTATGGAGGTTATTTATTTATTTATTTATTTTTTGAGATGGGGTCTTGCTGTGTTGCCCAGGCTGAAGTGCAGTGGCTTGATCTTGGCTCACTGCAACCTCTGCCTCCTGGGTTGAAGTGATTCTCCTGTCTCAGCCTCCCCAGTAGCTAGGATTACAGGTGTGCACCATCATGCCCGGCTAATTTTTGTATCTGTAATACAGATGGGGTTTCACCATATTGGCCAGGCTGGTCTCGAACTCCTGACCTCAAGTGATCCACCTACCTTGGCCTCCCAAAGTGCTGGGATTGCAGGTGTGACCCACTGTGCCTAGCCAGAGGTTATTATTAACCTTAAGAAGAGCAGTTTTGGCCGAGTGGTTGGGGGAAAATGCCTGATTGGCAACAAGTAGAAGAAAAAGGGAGAAGAGGAATGAACACAGTGAGCCTAGATAACCCTTCAGAGCATTGCTTAGCTACAGAGGGAGCAGAGTAATGAGGCAGTAGCTGGAGGGACAGGGGGGTCAAGAGAGACTTCCCTGAACACACACCTTTGTGCCTTTCTGAGATGCGTTTCTCCTCATTCACCTGGTGAACTTCCACTTTTTCTTGAGGAGTTAACTTAGGCATATCTGTACTGACCTTTCGCTACTATCTGCACTGATTAATCAAAAAGGACTTACTGTGTACCTATTATGAAATAGACTCTAGTCAATGAACTCATTAATGAACAAGGAGCAAGCCTGATACGATATCTGCGTTCCTGGAGATTATGTTCCAATGGGAAGACAGAGAAGACAGAAATAAATAAATAAAATAACTGATTACTACAGATCATGGTGAGTGTGTGCTGGCCATAAACTGAGTGGTGTGATAGAATGTAACATGTAGTGGTCATGGAAGACCTCTCTAGGGGGTTGATCACTGAACTGAAACCTGAAGGATACTGCCATGGAATGAACGTTTGTGTCCCCGCCAGATTCCTGTGTTGAAGCCCTAATCCCCAACGTGATGGTATTTGGAGGTGGGGTCTTTGGGAGGTGATCAGATCATGAGGGTGGCAGTCTCATGAATAGGATTAGTGCCTTTATAAGAACAGACATGGCCGGGTGTGGTGGCTCATGCCTGTAATCTCAGCACTTTGGGAGGCCGAGGTGGGCAGATCATGAGGTCAAGAGATCGAGACCAGTCTGGCTAACACGGTGAAACCCCGTCTCCACTAAAAATACAAAAATTAGCTGGGCGTGGTGGCGGTGCCTGTAGACCCAGCTACTTGGAGGCTGAGGCAGGAGAATCGCTTGAACCCGGGAGGTAGAGGTTGCAGTGAGCTGAGATCACGCCACTGCACTCCAACCTGGTGACACAGCAAGACTCCGTTTCAAAAAAAAAAAGAAGAGACATGAGGCCTGGTGTGTTGGCTCATGCCTATGCCTGTAATCCCAGCACTTTGTAAGGCTGAGATGGGTGGATCACGAGGTCAGGAGTTTGAGACCAGCCTGGCCAACATGGTGAACCCCATCTCTACTAAAAATACAAAAATTAGCCAGGTGTGGTGGCAGGTGCCTGTAATCCCAGCTACTCAGGAGGCTGAGGCAGGAGAATCACTTGAATCCTGGAGGTGGAGGTTGTAGCGAGCCGAGATCACTGCATTGCGCTCCATCCTGGGCAATAGAGTGAGACTCCGTCTCAAAAATAAATAAATAAGAGACATGAGAAAGATGATTTCTCTCTCTACTACGTGAGGATATAGCAAGAAGGTGTTCACCTGCAAACCAAGAAGAAGGTTCTCACCGGGAACTGAATTTGCCAGCCCTGTGACCTTGGACTTCCTAGCCTCTAGAACTGTGAGAAATAAATGTGTTATTTAAGCCACCCTGTCTATGGTTGTGTCAGGCTGTTTTTGCATTGCTATAAAGAAATACCTGAGGCTGGGTAAATTATATAGAAAAGAGGTTTAATTGGGGCATCGTTTTGAGACAGTACAGGATATGTGGTGCTGGCATCTGCTTCTGGGGAGGCCTCAGGAAGCCTACAATCATGGAGGAAGGTGAAGGGGAGCAGGCACGTCACATGGTGAGAGCAGGAGCAAGAGAGAGTGCAGGGAGGTGCCACACACTTTTAAACAACCAGGTCTCATGAGAACTTATTATTGTGAGAATAGCACCAAGAAATTCATGAGTGATCGGCCCCAAACACCTCCCATCAGGCCCCGCCTCCAACACTGGTGGATTACAATTCAACATGAGAGTTGGAGGAGACAAACATCCAAATTGTATCAATGGTATTTTTTGTTATAGCAGCCTGAACGATCTAAGACAGATATAGAGAAGACAGATATAGAGGAGCCAGCTTAGGAAGGGCCAGAGAGTCTTCCAGGCAGAGGGAACCAACTCTAAGAGCAGAGGCCTTAAGATAGGAAGAAGTAAAGTGGTGAAAGAAAAGGGTCTCATGTGGCAGGGGTGGCCTGAGCTAGGAGAAGGTGGAGGGAATGAATAAAAGGAGGAAATGACCTAAGGCATAGGAGGCCTAGACAAGGAGTTTGAGTAGTGCTCTCAGTGTAGTGGGATTTTGGCAGAGGTTACTGCCCCTGAGCAGAGGAGAGATGCAGATGTCTTTGTTGCATGGTGGCAGTATAGATGGAGAAGGGCATGCATACAGACAATTTTGGAGGGAAACCAGCTGATGGATTGGGTGTAGTGAATGACAGAAAAGAAAAAATCAGGGCTGGGCATGGTGGCTCAAGCCTGTAATCCCAGCACTTTGGGAGGCCGAGGTGGGCAGATCACCTGAGGTCAAGAGTTTGAGACTAGCCTAGCCAACCTGGTGACACCCCATCTTTACTAAAAATACAAAAATGAGCTGGATGTGGTGGTGGACGCCTGTAATCCCAGCTACTGAGGAGGCTGAGGCATTAGAATCCTTGAACCCAGGAGGCGGAGGCTACATTGAACCAAGATCATGCCACTGCACTCCAGCCTGGGCAACTGAGCGAGATTCTGTCTCAAAAAGAAAAAAAAAAAAATCAGGAATTGTCTCTGGGGCATGAGCAGCCAGCTGGATGTGGTACCATTATCTGGAAGTGAGATATCTAGAAAGAGGGAGAATGTAAGGCATAAGGATAAGAGAAAAAGTGGGGGTGGGAAATAGACACTGCTTGGAAAACAAAGTAACATCAGGGAGGTCTGGAAATAAAATGTTTCAAGTAGTTGGAAAGTCAACCAGATAAAATGCTGCTGAGAGACAGCAAGGGGTGCAGACTGAGAAATCATTAGTCTTAGCACTTACTCTTCCATAACCCTCAAAGCTTGTCTAACAGTGATTCTTTTCTGCCTTTCTCCTTCATTATATGATAAATTGCTAGAGGGTTTAGACCTCCTTTTAAATTCACCTTTATCTCTCTGGGCTCAACAGGGTGCCTTAGGAACAGGGTAGACTGCACAGTTCCTGACTGAAAATAACACTGGCAAGGAAACACCCCAAGGTGCTATCAGCTGCCAGATGCCAGAAGGAAATGGAAGGGCCTGGACTGCTCCCTAAAGAGCCTGACCCAGAAGCGGTGTGTAACAGGTTCCACTCAATGCCTTATAGGCTGAAAATTGCTCTGTCTTCTCAGAGCTAGAAAGGGTGTTCAGATAAGGCAGGGTGGGACCCTGACTCATGGACACACAATTAGCCGGCTTTTGTCTTTGAATCTGACTGGAAGTGACTCATGAGCTGGAAAAAAACCCTTTGGAAACAAATGAAGGGGGAAAAAAGGAGGGTAAGCCACGACTGCATTTTACTCTGTTAAAATGCAGATCTGCTGTCCTATAAATGTAGAATACTGTACATTTCCTCAGCCTCCCTCCAACAAAGACCCAGGGGAAATTATTAAGCCTGACAATTCACTCATTTTCTCCAAGATTTTTATTAAATGCAATTTAGAGGGGATAAAGTTTCTTCTCTTTTCTCTTTCTATTCACTTGAATAAGCCCTAATTACCACTAGGGTACAATAAATGGGCTTCTAGAAGTCTGTGGCAATTGGCGATGCTTCCCCTTTAAATTAACCAGTTGAAGCCTCCAGTTTCAACAGCCACCAGGGCACTTCCCGTCCACTCACAACTTGCTCAGTGCAATCTGAAGAGCATTTATTGAGCACCTTGTTATGGGGCACTGACATATGCTGCGGAGGATAGAAGACTTCTCGGGGGGTTATAATGGGGCTGGGGAGCTCTTGAACTCAACTGACATACTGTGTAAGTTAAACTAGTAAATGCCATGGGATTTTTGGATTAGAAGCAACAAAAACACAAACTAGGTTAAACAATAAGAATTTGTGGCAAAAAATAATGGGCTGTCGCAAGGAATCGGGGGCAGGCAGGGCTGTACCAGGGACACAGGAACCGATGCTGCCAATAACATTAGACTCCTGTTGGCCTCAGCGCTCTCTCCCAGCCTGTCTGGCTGTGGCTGAGGCTCTATCTTTGTTTTCTGCTCGATCTTTATCTCTGTTTCTGCCTTCAGATTGGCCTTGCCTCTCCTCTCCTGACCATGGGAAACATGGTCATGTATGTTATAATATCTTGCAGTTTTAGCCCTGGGGAGAAACTGACTTTTTCACTTCCAGTTTCAAAATTTCCCAAGAAGGCTTTTGATTGGATTCAAATATGTCAGCTCTTCCCGCTGGGACCAATCCCCTGTGGCAAGGTGGGGGAGGGAAATTTGAGAAGGGCCGTGAATGGTCCAGCTTAGGTCAGAGGTACAGTTTCCACGTCCCCACCCCCACCCCCGCCCCGTCAACAAAACAGCTCTGCCCTGTAAGCCTGTGGGTGTGGGTGAAGGTGGAAGTGGGTCGGAAGAGGCTGCGGGCTCCACTTTGCCAGGAGTGTAGGGGGAAGGGCTGAGTTGAGGAAACAATGGGTCTAGCACTTCTGCTGACCTTGTTTTCAGAAACAACCACAGGGCCTCTGGCCCCAGTGGAACTTGACTCATAAAGGCGAGAGACTTGACTATTGAAAAAGGTCTCCTATGAAATCTGAATTTCACTTAATCCTCAGAACAACTGTTGAGGGGGTTGTTACTACTCCCATTTTAAGACGCGGGCTGTAGAGAGGGTAACCACCCTGTCCACATTCACACAGCGAACACGTGGTGGGGCAGGGCTCAAGTCCAGGCGATTCCAAAGTCCCCCCGTGCTGTTTGCGCCACGCGGTGCTCCCACCAAGCCCACTCCGCGGGGAGAAAAACCATAGGCCTCGGAGGAGGAGCGGCTCCTCGCAGTGGGGTGGGGCAGAGGCCAGCATGAGGCCTTGTTCACTGGAGGATTCCACAGGCCTGGAACGGAAAGAATGAGAGCTCTGCAGGCAGGCAGAGCCCAGGGCGCCCAGTGCCCCCAGGCTGCGACAGCCAAGTCGGTGGGCGCGCATGGCGGGGCTTGAAGGAAAGGTCCAGAGCCGGTGGGAAAGGCCACGCCCCGGGGTAGAGCGCTTCCTTCCAGATCCCGGCCTTTAACTGCAATTCCGTTTTAAGGGCAACCCTGCCCGGTTCACACCTAGCCTTGAAGATGACAGATTGCACTGTGAGCAATTTGCAGGGTGAGAACGGGAGCCTACGACTCCGCACCTGCACTGCCAGAGCCATAAATGCAGCAAATCATGGCCTATAAAATGTCACCACTGCTGAAGTGCAATTTTCCAGGGGTCTTCTGCAGAGGGAACTCCACCACGGAGAGCGACCCTCGGCTCTGCAGCCTAAGAGGAAGGCCCCTGCAGGGTGGGGGAGGGAACAGGGAGGTCTTCCTCCCCATCCCCTTCGTGCCACTGCTCCCCCCTTTGTGACCCCACTCTGCCACGTGGTAAAAGCTTCCGGGGGGAGGCATTAGTTATTTCTGTCTGAGGAGTTTTTGACCAAACGTAAACATCAGAGGAGCGGGAACCCGAGCCCCGCCTGGGCTGGGCGGCAGCGACCCCGACGCCGCGGCGGCAGAGCCGGAGCTCGAAGCAGCCGCCGCTGTTGCGAGCCGCCCCTCCCCCGCCAGGCTGGCGAGCCCATTTTCGCTTGGCCGGTCTCCGCGCTGCCGGATGGATTGCGCCCCACCCCCGCTCCTCTGCTCAGTCATTCAGACTTGGAAAGTCAATAACACGCTGACATCATCAGGGGTTTGTGTATTATTACACGGCTACTTTCCAGAGTACCTGGCATTATCTAAGAGAGGAGCACTCCGGCTGCCCAAGAAAGGGCCTGAACTGGGAGCTTGGCGGCCTCGGGGAGGGGCGGCTGCTCAGAGCCAGGCCTTTCCCTAGTGGGGAGGGCATCTGCAAGGCACAAATTAGAAACAGACTATGAGCTTTTGCTTCACTAAATGCAGATGCACTTTAGATATCGATACATGCTTCATTTTGCCTTCGGGTGCACTTATAAATCATCCTTAAGTGACCTCTATTTCTACCAAAGACATCCACTTGGTCTTTAAGAAGCATTCTTAGTGATCCTCACAAAGGAAAAAAAAAAAAAGGAGATATCTTCTGTGACAGGAAGCCAAAGGCTGATTTTCTTTTTTTTTTTTTTGAGACTCTTGGAGTGTGTGTGTGTGTGTGTGTGTGTGTGTGTGTGTGTGCGCGCGCGCGCGCGCGATTCTCTGTTATGTAATCGCCATCACGGGTGATTAGGTCTTCTAGGTCTTTCCCTCCAGGGCTGAACTGGATGGTTTGGTTGCTGTGTTTTTCTTAAGCCTCACACAGGGCAAACACACATGAAAAACATGTCCCAGATTTATGGCGCAAAACTGCTCTCCAAGCAAATTGCCTTAGAAGACTGTCTCGGTTTTGGAGGAAGGAAATAGATGAATTTGTTGCTAATTAAGACTCCTTATCTTACTACTCTGGCATTTCCTTTTTTCTAGAACGAATTTTTAAAAATAATTTTATGTAGTTTAGATGTTCCCTCCCTTCCCCCTTGCTGTAATGGTACTTGAAATAGCTTAAATAACTAATTGTATAGACAACTGTACTTTTGTTCTACACACACACACACACACACACACACACACCAGTTAACGTGAAAGGCAGTAACTCATACAACATGGTACCTTTTCTGTTTGGCCATACAGACTGTTTCCTTCTTTACACACACAGGGCTGATCTCATTTAAATTCTCTTAGCATCTTAAATTGCAAAAAATGGCAGCCAGCTGAAAACTGGCTACCTGGAGAATTACAAGGGGAGAGAGCTGTTCTTTGGCCTCATCTTAATCTCTCTGTACCTCAAGCAGGGAGTCCATCTCTGATAAAAGTCTTTAGAGCTCCCCAGGAGGAAGCGAAGCAGACATGTTTTTCAACAATGTAACAATTTCCCTATGTGTACTTGATCATTTCGGGAGAACTTGTAGTAGATTATGACTACTTCCCTCCAGATGGTCTGACGGAAAAACTCTCCCACCAGACTTGCACTTCTAAAATCACTTCCCCAGGCCTGGCCCTCCCACCCCACCCCCATTTCCCCTTTCGGAGGTGCAGGCAGCTGGGGAGGCCTGGAACACCAGACCTCCAAGATGGCCCAGCATGTGTTGAGTCTGGAGGCTGAAGCTGCTGAAGTGGGGAAGGGTCGGGGCACTCGCCTCCAACTGGGAGCTATTTACCTAGGGGGTTTCCCTCAGCTCAGAGAGGAGCATGCAGACCTGACAGTCTGTCTTTTTGGTTCTCAAGATGAAGAAACTCTTCAGTCTCTAAGCACTTCCGGTTTTTAGCCCAGCTGACCCTCTCGTCTTTGCCTTAGCCTCTCCCAGACACAACTGCCTACTATAGGGATCCGTGCTAGGGAAGGACGTGGGCCACCTTGCTTTGGGTGCTGAGCTTCGGCAGCGGGCAACGGACTTCCTACCCTAGAGTTTCTGCCTAAGCAGGGGAGGACAAAGTCTGGAGGATCAGCTTGGATAGAACCTGATAAGTAGGAGGCAGGCTACCAGTTGCCAAAGTTCAGCACCCCTAACTAGAGGCTGACAAGGTTCTTTGCCTAGCAAGGAACCTTATATTTGGCAGAGGAGGAGAGAATTCAGTGAAGAAGAGCCATGTTGGGGGGATGGAGGAGCAGGAGTCTCTGCCCTGGACAAGCTCAGTGTGTTGGAACAGGTAGACACAGAAATGACCGCCTGAGAGCATGCCCTCTGCCCTTCAGTGAGGGCCTCTAAGGGGCTGGTCCTCCTGTGCTGTGGGAGGGAGAAGGAACTCCAGGTGACCGTGGCATCAGGCTATTCCTCCCACAGCTGGCCCTGGAGGAACCCTGGTAATCTGATGGGCTAGGAGCGGTCCTCCGGGAGTGACATTATTTCCCCCGTTCCTCTGGTTCTTTACTGCCAAATATTTGTCAGCTGGAAAGAACTGGTTGCATTTTGATTCATAGGCTTGTCTCTTTCAGGCGGTCCATGTGACGATTCTAGACACGGAGATTCAGTTATCAAATACAGCATCCTCCAGTGGTCCGCTTGCTTTGATGAAGACCACAGCAATGCTTCTTAAACTGTCATGGGCAAGATTTTTAATCTACTGCCCACTGATATTTTTGTTTCTAAAAAATTAGGGAAATAAAACAGATGTATAAGATACAAGCCAATTTTTTATTATTAGATTCAGAAAATTACATGACAAAATTACCCTGTCAAACTGTTATGGCTATTTCTAAGTGTTATTCTCAGTTGCTATGCACATCTCATTGTGGAATGCAAGAAACAGTTGTTGAACCTGGGACCACACTTCCAGTTGCACTGGTGCAGACATTGAACGTGGATTTAGCTCCCATTTGTATTTAGGTTAGCCTGAACAGTTGTTTTTAGAAAAGTTGGATTAAAAATCCAGAGGATTCACAGGAAAATCCAGCTTTTCCTGAAAAGTAAAAAGCTGCAGGCAACAGAAGCCTTGTCAACAATTGGGTGGGGCTGGATAGCAGCTGCCCCTTTGAAACCCGGCACACAGCCTTCTGTTGCCTACAATTCCAGCCTCTCCCTCTTTTCTCACCCATAGGCAGGTTCCCTCATTTAAGCTACTTGCTTGACTGCAGAAAGCATTTGAATCTGTGTATACCTTAGCAGGATATCCACTTGAAATGAGCTGCTTCAGTATTTTTCTAGCCTCCCCACAGGGAAAGACCACTCTGCAAAGGTCAACGGAACCCATCCAGTGTGGTTCCGAGACTGGAGGCTGTAGTGTAGTACAGAGTTGCTGTGAATCACTGGGTGTCCTAGATATTCTCTAGATAAGTGGATCATATACTTCACATCTATATGGGTTAAAATCTTTAGATGCTATTTTGATGAATATAACAATTCATTTAATAATTTTAAGTGTTACTGAATACCTACTAGTTTGTTTTTTTGTTACTTGATTTTTCTTGGTTAATAGGTATAGAAAGTAAAACTATGACTGCTTTTATTTTTAAAATGTTCAAGAAGGGATACTTCCTTATGAAAAGGTTAGGGGACTGCTATTCCATATTAGTTGTCAGCATCACACTGTTTTGTGCATGTACCCCCTAAAAGAATCTTGAAAAACAATGTATTCCGGGCTCTTTTTAAAAATGATAGCTACAGTTTGGCATCCTAAGTGGAAGTTGTTGCAAAGGAAATAATATCTAGTATATTGCAAAAAGTTGACATTTTAACATAACATCACTTTAAAAAATGTATCCAATAGGATCCAAATACCACAGCAATCGGATACCCATCATCGTTCACTTAAAAAATTCATGAGCAAGCTCTTCTTTAACACTGGCAGGTTTTATATCATTTTTTTCTCCTCGAATTGATGTAGCCATATTTATATCTCATCAACAAAATAAATATAAATTTTAATTAAAAAATTATGTGTGATTATATGGCTCTAAGAGTAAAAGATTTTTTTTTTGAGACAGAATCTTGCTCTGTTGCCCAGGCTGGAGTGTAGTGGCGTGATCTCAGCTCACTGCAACCTCCACCTCCCGGGTTCAAGTGATTCTCCTGCTGCCTCCTGGGTTCAAGTGATTCTCCTGCATCAGCCTCCTGAGTAGCTGGGATTACAGGCATGCGCCAGCATGCCCAGCTAATTTTTGTATTTTTAGTAGAGACAGGGTTTTACCATGTTGGCCAAGCTGGTGTTGAACTCCTGACCTCAAGTGATCCGCCCGCCTCAGCCTCCCAAAGTGCTGGGATTATAGGTGTGAGCCACTGCGCCCGGCCAAAGTGTTAACTTTTATTGATAATATATATATTAATCAGGAGAATATGGCTTTTCTTCCAATTAGCTTATGTAGCTATGGTTGACTAATATTATCTATTACTAGACTGACAAGTTCAGCATCAATTCTGTTTCTAATTTGTTGTTCACATATGTGCGTGCACGTGCACAGACATACTCAAGAAACTTGATAACATATATAGGTGATGTAAGTAGTTTTTTTAATAGCAATATTATCCCCAGATTCTCCAAACTCCTTCTGAATCATTTGTCAAAGATCTCATGGCTTGCCAGAAATCAGTTGTGATGAAACTCTATTTCAGTCTTGTGGAGAGCAAAGAATAAGAAGCCATCTGATGAGCAAAAGTACTTATTTTAAGTCATTGGAATGATTCTTCCTCTACATTGATTTTTTTTTGAGGCAGTGTCTTGCTCTGTCACCCAGGCTGGAGTGCCGTGGCGCCATCCTGGCTTACTGCACCCTGGCTCAAGTCATCCTCCACCTCAACCTCCCAAGTAGCTGGGACTACAGCTATATGCCACTGCAGCAGGCTAATCTTTATATCTTTTGTAGAGACAGGATTTTGCCATGTTGCCCAGGCTGGTCACGAACTCCTGGACTCAAGCGATCTGCCTGCCCCATGAGCCATCATGCCTGGCCATCTCCACACTGATTCTGAGACCTAATTCTTCCTTTGCTGGTGCTCATGGTTGGGGCCATGCACCACAGTAAGATTTGGAGTGTGTCCAAGGTATGCATTTCTTCAGTAAAGTAGAAGGCAGGAGATAAAGAGGTCACCTTGATGTTAAGCTCTTTCTCAGACAGTTACACATATAAGTTGAGGAAATTGATTCCCTTAAAAGTGGACTTTTCTGTGTATCCCTTGGAAAGTCTTCATGCATCCACAGTTTGAAGACGGCTGTCCTAGAAAAAAGTCAGTTCTGGGTTCTTGCAGTAAACAGGAAAGAAGTGGAGGTCAATGTAGCCAGTGATTGTACTAATAACACATTATGTTTGAATTGTCGGCCCAGATGTATTTTGTGGCCCATTCTATGGGAGCTTAGGAACTGCGAAGGGGATCTTTCCCGGGAGCCTCTGGCTCCTCGTGGGGCTGCTGGTGGTTGGTGGCTAGACTAGCATTTACAGCACTGGCCTTTCTCATAGTTACCGTTTGGCTCAGGATGTCATTAGCTTGGTTCTTCCTTTTCCACTGAGATAATTTCAGTGAGAATAACCTGGACATGGTTGTGCTCCTCTTCACCCCACCCTTTCCCTCTACCATAGACTGAGTTGAAGAACTACTCCTATTCCTTCCTAGGTATGGTCAGCTGTCTCTCCTCACCCTTCATTCCCCATTGCACAAACCACCTTCTCAGGTTGTTGTTGTTTGGAAGAAGATAGTTCAAAGCGGGCTGGGCGTGGTGTCTCACACCTGTAATCCTAGCACTTTGGGAGGCCAAGGTGGGCAGATCACATGAGGTCAGGAGTTTGAGATAAGCCTGGCCAACATGGTGAAACCCTGTCTCTACTAAAAATACAAAAAAATTAGTCAGGGGTGGTGGTGCACGCCTGTAGTCCCAGCTACGTGGGAGGCTGAGGCAGGAGAATCACTTGAACCCGGGAGGTGGAGGTTGCAGTGAGCTGAGATTGTGCCACTGCACCCCAGCCTGGGCAACAGAGTGAGACTCCGTCTCACAATAAACAAACAAACAAATAAACAAAAGAAAATAGTTCAAAGGAAGCCACAAACTTTTTTTTTTTTTTTGAGACAGAGTCTCGCTCTGTCACCTAGGCTGGAGTGCAGTGGTATGATCTCGGCTCACTGCAACCTCCGCCTCCCGGGTTCAAGCAATTCTACCTCAGCCTCCAGAGTAGCTGGGACTACAGGCATGCGCCATCACGCCCGGCTAATTTTTGTATTGTTAGTACAGACGGGGTTTCACCGTGTTAGCCAGGATGGTCTTGATCTCCTGACCTCGTGATCTGCATGCCTTGGCCTCCCAAAGTGCTGGGATTACAGGCGTGAGCCACGGCACCCAGCCTAAGCCACGAATTTCTAAAGGAGATAGCTGGTAATCCAGCGTGCCCTTTTGTTTTTCTTTTTCTTTTTTCTTTTTTTTTTTCTTTTGAGACGGAGTCTTGCTCTGTCACCCAGGCTGGAGTGCAGTGGCGCAATCTCGGCTCACTGCAAGCTCAGCCTCCAGGGTTCACGCCATTCTCCTGCCTCAGCGTCCTGAGTAGCTGGGACTACAGGTGCCCGCCACCACACCTGGCTAACTTTTTGTATTTTTAGTAGAGACGGGGTTTCATCGCGTTAGCCAGGAGGGTCTCCATCTCCGGACCTCATGATCCGCCTACCTCGGCCTCCCAAAGTGCAGGGATTACAGGCGTGAGCCACTGGGCCCGGCCCGCCCTTTTGTTCTTTACTTGTATTTTCTTCTTTGTAGTTCTGGGGCTTTGCAAGAATTTCCAATATGAGCTAAAGCAGCCTCTGGAGGGTAAGCCGGTCTTCCGTGCTCCTGGCTATTTAATCTGTTCTCACCAATGAGAATACTGAGGGCTTTAAGCAGTCAGTTCCGGCTGGGGGCAGTGGCTCAGGCCTGTAATCCCAGCACTTTGGGAGGCTGAGGTGGGTGAATCACCCAAGGTCAGGAGTTCGAGACCAGCCTGACCAACATGGAGAAGCCCCATCTCTACTAAAAATACCAAATTAGCCGGGCATGGTGGCAGGCGCCTGTCATCCCAGCTACTTGGGAGGCTGAGGCGGGAGAATCGCTTGAACCTGGGAGGCGGAGGTTGCGGTGAGCCAAGATCGCGCCATTGCACTCCAGCCTGGATGACAGAGCGAGACTCTGTCTCAAAAAAAAAAAAAAAAAAGTTTCATTCTGGAGTCACCTTAGGGATTTGGGCTCCATTTTAGGGTGTACCTGAGAAATTCAGTCTAGGACACTTAAAATAATTTTAAATCAAATGTATTCTCTTAGATGGTGATTGGAGAGGATGAGATCACTGGAGGCTGTATACAAAGAGAAGAGAGACAGAAAACAAAACCCAGGGATCATATTAAACTAATACTTAAAAGGATCATCAGCAAAAGAGATTGGGAAGAAATAGCCAGAGAAGAAGACAGAAAACCAGGAATTTTTTGTTTGTTTGTTTGCTTTTTTTTTTTATTTTTTGCAAGGATGTTAAGGGTAGTAAGAGAATTCAACAGTGTGAAAACAGCTAACAGATCACAGAAATAAACCGTTGGTTCTGGCCTAAGGGGATGAGTAGCTGTCTTGGCAAGAGCAGTTTCTGGAGAGAAGTAGCAGGTGGGAAACTACAGTGGGTGAGAAGAAAGTGGGTGGTGTGGCCAAGGAGGCAGTTATTGGAGACAACCATTTATTTATTTATTTATGTTTGTTTGTTTGTTTTTTGAGACAGAGTTTCACTCTTGTTGCCCAGGCTGGAGTGCAGTGGCGCGATCTCGGCTCACTGCAACCTCCACCTCCCGGGTTCAAGCGATTCTCCTGCCTCAGCCTCCCAAGTAGCTGGGGTTACAGGCATTCACCACCACGCCCAGCTAATTTTTTTGTATTTTTAGTAGAGATGGGGTATCTCCATGTTGGTCAGGTTGGTCTTGAACTCCCGACTCCAGGTGATCCGCCTGCCTCAGCCTCCCAGAGTGCTAGGATTACAGGAGTGAGCCACCGTGCCTGGCCAACACAACCTTTTAATAAAGATTGCATTGTGTTGGAGGCATATATAGGTATATATGAAGACGGGCACTGCGTCAGCATACTAATAATGCGGATGATGGCAAGGAGCCAGCAGAGAGGGAGAGCTTTCAGCTGTGAAGAGAACAAGGACAAATAATAGTGGAAAGTGGGAGAAAATGTCAGAAAGGTTGCAATCTAGAGGGGAGTAAAATTTATGATGCATTGAAAGTCTCCCCCACTTCCTTTTACATGAGGATGAGAGAATAGAATGTGGAAACGAATATGTCTCCATCATCGCACTCACAGGGTGGTTTTCTGTTTAATTTGCTCACTAGTTTTCGAGCTATTGCAGGGGCACTTCACATATTTAGCTCTGTATTTCCACTTTTTTTTTTTTTTTTTAGATGGAGTCTCACTCTGTTGCCCAGGCTGGAGTGAAGTGGCATGATCTCTGCTCACTGCAGCCTCCGCCTTCCGGGTTTATGTGATTCTGCCTTCTCAGCCTCCTGAGTAGCTAGGCTATAGGCATGCACCACCACACCCGGTTAATTTTTTTGTAATTTTAATAGAGATGGAGTTTCACCATGTTGGCCAGGCTAGTCTGGAACTCCTGATCTCAGGCGATCTGCCCACCTCAGCCTCCCAAAGTGCTGGAATTACAGGCATGAGCTACCGCGCCTGGCCTGTATTTCCACTTCTTTTTGTTTGTCTGTTTGTTTGTTTGTTTGTTTTGAGACAAAGTCTCACTCTTGTCCCCCAGGCTGGAGTGCGATGGTGCTATCTCGGCTCACTGCAACCTCCGCCTCCCGGGTTCAAGTGATTCACCTGCCTTGGCCTCTCTGAGTAGCTGGGATTACAGGTTCCTGCCACCAGGCCCAGCTAATTTTTGTATTTTTAGTAGAGATAGGGTTTCCCCATGTTGGCCAGGCTGGTCCAGAACTTCTGACCTCAGATGATCCACCAGCCTTGGCCTCCCAAAGTGTTGGGATTACGGGCGTGAGCCACTGTGCCCGGTATTTCCACTTCTTAACTCAACTTCTGCACTTAGTAGGCATTATGATTAGTGAGTATAATTTTAGTATTTATTGATGCAATCAAAGTTATTTTTTTAAAAACAAAAGGGTAGAGCATTAGGCTCCACTTTTTTTTTTTTTTTTTTTTTTTGAGACAGAGTCTTGCTGTTGTTGCCCAGGCTAGAGTGCAGTGGCACAATCTTGGCTCACTGCACCCTCCACCTCCTGAGTTCAAGCAATTCTCCTGCCTCAGCCTCCCAAGTAGCTGGGATTACAGGCGCCCACCACCAGGCCCAGCTAATTTTTTTGTATTTTTAGTAGAGACGGGGTTTCACCATGTTGGCCAGGCTAGTCTTGAACTCCTGACCTCGTGATCTGTTCACCTCAGCCTCCCAAAGTGCTGAGATTACAGGCGTGAGCCACCGTGCCCCGCCTAGGCTCCATTTGTAAGACAAACAACGACAACAACAACAACAAAAACAACCCACCGTGGGCCAGGCTCGGTGGCTCACGCCTGTAATCCCAGCACTTTGGTAGGCTGAGGCGGGTGGATCACGAGTCAGGAGATCGAGACCGTCCTGGCTAACATGGTGAAACCCCATCTCTACTAAAAATACAAAAAATTAGCCAGGCATGGTGGCGGGCGCCTGTAGTCCCAGCTACTCGGGAGGCTGAGGTGGGAGAATGGCATGAACCCAGGAGGCAGAGCTTGCAGTGAGCCGAGATTGCGCCACTGCACTCCAGCCTGGGCGACAGAGTGAGACTCCGACTCAAAAAAAAAAACAAAACAAAAACAAAAACAAAACCCACCAAACAAACCCCCAAAACAAAAAAACAAAAAAACCAACCCATGACAGAGGATGAAAGATAAAGGAGAGCAGTTCCTACCAAGTTTCAAGCCTGGCTGCTAATTTCTCCATATGCATGACAGTCAATCAATCATCAATCAATCAGGAAACAACCCAGGTGCATTATTAAGTGGCTTCACTTTTCAGGTCAGCTGTGCTGGGTTGGCTGCATACAAACATGATTTTAAATTTCTTATTTCCACAGAGAAATTCAAAGACCTACAGTTTATGTATTCAGAATCCTCATGATGTAGACACACTACTCAAAATACATTGTAGAGATATTAAGAAATACAAGTCACAAGACCAATACAAAATATTAGATGTTCTCCCCCAAATTCTTTAGCTTGGGATTTGTTTTTGTTTGCCACGTAGCTTTACTATTGCAGAACAGTTTTGTGATGTGCCTCTTCTTCTAGGACGTGGATTTGTTAAGAATCTGCCGCAGTAAGAATATAGGCAGCTATATAAACTGTCCAAGTGAGAACTCCCTTGGTCCAAAAGATTGTCAGCTGTTTTAATTGAATCCATTTATTAGCCTGTCTCATCAGCACATGCTCCTAAGATTGTGTACAAGAATATGAATACATATCCAGGGCTAGACAATTCATGATTTTGTTATTAAAAGAAAGTCACTGGTAGAATTCCATCCATAAATATTTGACTAGAATTACAGAGGGACTGGCAGGCTGCATTCATTCAAATTGGCTTTACTGGTCAACTTTTCAGTTGAAGCCTGTGAGACATTTGCCAAAAAATGAGTGAAAAATCAAGCTCTATCCCAAAGTGTAACTTGGAAGTATCCTAACTATTTGTAGGGCAGGTCTTTAGCTGGTAACCCGACCTGGTCAATTCCTTTCTAAAATAGCCCCTGCATCTGTCTCATTTTCTTCATTACTTCTATTACCAGCTGATCCAAGCCTTTATATCTCACCAAGCAGTTACTGCAACAGTTGCCAACTGGTCCCTGTGCTTCCAGGCTCTCCCAACTTCAATTCAAACTCTGTCAAGGGGACGTTTTTTTAGATCACCACTCCCCCTTGTTCATTTCTTTGTTTAAAAATCTAAGTGCAAATTCTGGTATATTGTGATTAACGCTTAAGAATGCCTGTCTTTGAGAGGAAGGTGTTATAATATTAATGAACAGTGCTAAATACACTGTACGTATCTATAATTTAATCTTTGAATGTATGTTACTGGATTAGCTCCCTCCTCCTTCTGTGTGATGGCATCATGCATGGAGTCAATCAAATCCTTGTGATGTTTTGCATGGACTTTGGCAACATGTAAATAATGTGTAAAGCAAGTTTTTATGATGAAGGAATCAAATTTATTGAATTTTATTATTGAAAGTTGAAACTTAACATGTATGGACAAAAAACAATAAAAGAATATACTCTTTTCATGGACAACAACAACAACAAAACTACGTGCCTCGATATTGTTTACTGAATCAAGTAGAGATTTTATTTTGAAGCAAGATTATTTATTAGCATAACTAAGACCATATGCCTTGATTAAAAGTAACATAAAAAGTAGAGAGACTAGGTTCTTTCTAGGAAATGTCAAGGAAGAAAGGCATTAAAGAACTGTGAGAAATGAAAAAGACTGTAGTTCAAACCAGGGTCATCCAGGGCCTGGTGCTTATATGACTGTGGGAAGGCCTTTTTAAAAAAAAAATTAGAAAGTACATACATACAAAATTAGATGTAGGTCTTGGAAGGAATCAGGGCTTAGGCTTTATTAGCTTAGTAGTAAATCTACCTCTGGGTCAAACAAACATGGCCTAATAACTGAGTTTATTTGTTTTGAATATTCATATTTGGATCAAAGTGATACAATCATGTGGTATCAACTCAAATTGTGCAGAAAAGTTTATAACAAGATTCTCTGGTCCCCCACCCTCCTCATCCTTAGTTCCAGCCCCAGAGACAACCTATTTTAGCTTTATCTTTCCTTTGGTGTTTATCACAAAAGGTTTAGTAATATATGCTCATAATTTTTTTATGATTAATCAAATTTAAATAGTACCTATTGACTCATTGCTATGGCATATGAGGATTTATCTTATTTTATGCCACCTCCTCTCAATGTTTGGTAGTAATTATTATTGCTTTTATTATTGTTTAGTAGCTTAGTCTAGTAACTAGCTTTAATTTTAGTTTTGTGTAATTTAGAAATTGCTCCATGATCTAATTCCACTGTCATTCAATGTGTAGCATTTCTGCTGGTTTCTTTTGTTGCTTCCCTTGCACACTAGATTCATAGTGCCCCTCTCTTCCAGCCCCACCCCCTTTGCCTATTGAAGTCCTTTCCATCCTTCAAAGCCCAGATCAATTCTTACCTCATCCATAAATCTCAGCTGTTCCAATAGACTTTGTTATCTCTCTTTGAATGCTTCTCACTTGACTTCTGCAACACGCAATTTAGCACTTAATTATAAAGCTTATTGTTTGTTTTTGAGCCCAGCCGCCTCCCCCTCCCTGGAGCCAGTCACTATATCTGTTGCAAGGCTGGCTCTCAATAAGTGTTTATTGAACTGAATCATTCTGTTCTCTGTTTCAGATTTGTGAGTCTTACCTGCCTCACTAGATTATAAATGCCACATATTCTTGCATTTTCCCATAGTGTAAAACATAGAGTAGGTACTCAATAATAAAAATTGTTGAATAATTCTGATCTTTTGCTTCATCCACATTATCTTGTAGCATTTCTCCTGCATTTACTGGAAGGTAGGAGAGGGTAAGTGAAAGCATACTATTTAGTTTTAACTCTGGGCCATATTTTTAAAAATATATTTTATCTACCTTTTCTTCGTGAGCGTAATTCTTTTTCCTCATTCACTCACTGAGTTCCCAAGAAGGTTGTTAAATATGGCTTAAAAATTATCCTTCAAGGCAGTTTTTGTGTGCAGAAAAGATTACTGAGTTTTTTCGCTTTAAAAATTAATAATCAATTAATTAATGTTACAAATCCACACATGTAGTTCTTTTTAAGCTTTTAAGTTCAGTTTATAAATCTTATTTTTCTGTTTATAAATCGAGCAAATTTTAACAATCATTTTTAAAGCAGCCTTTGACTAATATTTGGTCCTTTTCACAAACTTAAATAAACAGCCTGGAACACTTTAAATTTCATTTATGATTTAAATGTGCTTGATTTTCCTTTTATAGACTTTAGTTGCTTGCTTTAGCTAACAGACCTTTTCTAAGTATTTAAATAACTGTTGTAAATCTAACAAATCAAATTCAGCTATGGGAACACTAAAATCTCTTAAATCTTCCAATATTATATCATTAAAATTGTGTAAATCTAAACTCTAAATCAATAACTCAATCATATATTTTAAGGTGGAATTACAGGGCTGAACTGTTACATGAAGAGGCCAAAGTCTCATGTGACTTTTTAAATTCCAAATATTCACATATCCCTTAATAACAAAATTATAAAGATTACAGGTTTTTTTTTTTATTAAGCATTTATCAACTCAATTTCCAAAATTTATGGGAATTAAAGGATGCTTATCTGGCTGGTCATGATAGCACATGCCTGTAATCCCAGCACTTTGGGAGGCCGAGATGGGAGGATTGCTTGAGGCCAGGAGTTTGAGACCAGCCTGGTCAACACAGTGAGACCGTGTCTCTATAAAAATGTCAAAAAAATTTTTTTAAAAAGATGCTTATCTATTATGAAGCAAATGTATTACCCTGATGAATTTTGAGGATTGCCCTCAGTCTTAGTCAGTTCCAGCTGCTATAACAAATTGCCATAGACTGGGTGTGTTAAATAACAGAAACTTTTCTCACAGTTCTGGAGCTGGAAATCTAAGATCATGGCACCAGCATAGTAAGGGTCTTGGCAAAGGTCGTCTTCCTGGTTTACAGACGACAGTGTTTTCATTGTACCCTCACTTGGTGGAGAAAGAGATCATTTCTCTAATGTCTCTTATAAAGTCACCAATCCCATTCATAATCTAATTACCTACCTAAGGCCCCACCTTTAAAATATCATCACATTGGAGATTTAGGCCTCAACATATGAATTTTGGAGGGACACAAAATACTTAGTTTGCATCACCTTTCTACTTGATTATGGGAGTTGCCTTCTTGGCTTGTTGAAGGCACTTAATGCCTGGAGAAGATGGCCTGGGTATTAGTAGAGTGTCGTGTAGAACTAAAATGTTCTGGCAGGCTTCTTTTCATAGTTGCTGGGTAAATGGCCTCCATTTGGGGTGATCCGATGTCCACTAGGTTCGACTGAAGCTTTTCCTAGTTTTGTCTGTCAGGGAAGTCTGCTACTTAACTGGCTTTTAGATATGCAATCTGCAATATCTAATTGTACCAAGTTAAGGCAAGGGCTCAGGAAGCAGCCATGCTGGACTGGATTTTTCATTTTTTTGGCTCTTAAGATACGTAAATTGTAAGATCACAAATCTTAAGATCTGAACCTTAAATTGTAGATCTTTGCATCCAACTCTTATAATCTTTGAACTGGATAGAATTAGGCATTCTTTTAATATGTTTCTTGTCTAAAAAAAGCCACAAGTTTTACACATTAAAATATTATCCAGTTGAATTAGGAATGTCTCTTGGCTTTGACTGGCACAGCAGTCACAGTGTCTGAGCACGTTCTATTACTAGATGTGAACTGGGCATAGGTTTATGAAATAAAATCTAGAAATGGGCACTGTACAAACCAATGATTATTACTTGCTCTGATTCACCCGTGCTGCAGTGGGGAACAGAAAACTAACAGCAGAGCAGGATGCCGCCCCAGCTAAGCCTGTTATAACTATAGAAAGTCTACAAAAGGACAGAGGCAGGCTTCCTCTGGGACTTCATCTAGAGGTCAGGAAAGAGGCTTCTATCTTACAGGGTAATTTTCATAGTATGGGGTTCCTGTCTGCCTTGTTTAGGGTAATATCCTCAATGCCCAGAACAATGCATTGCAAGCCATTAATAAAAATATTCTGAATGGATGGATTGATGGATGGATGGCAGGCTGTACCAGGCAGGCCCTCTCCTGTGCATGTAAAGGACATGTGTAGAGGAGATTGTTTATATAGCTACCATTTGACATGGAGCTAGAACCCAGTAAACTGCAAAATTCACGAGTGGAGCAGAAGCAGCTGGTTTACTCAGAAATACCTGAGATGTTTTTATAAACACTCAAGGTAATACAACAACAACGGCAACAACAAAGTAAAAACCCCAGAGCCTTGCTGCCATGGGCAAAGAGGCTTTGTTTTTGAGACGAAGTCTAGCTCTTATCCCCCAGGCTGGAGTGCAATGGCGCGATCTTGGCTCACTGCAACCTCCACCTCCCAGGTTCAAGCGATTCTCCTGCCTCAGCCTCCTGAGTGGCTGGGATTACAGGCATGTGCCACCACGCTCGGCTAATTTTTGTATTTTAAGTAGAGACAGAGTTTCACCATGTTGGCCAGGCTGGTCTCGAACTCCTGTCCTCAGGTGATCCTCCTGCCTCAACCCCCCAAAGTGCTGGGATTACAGGAGTGAGCCACCGCGTCCGGCCACAAAGAGGCTTGAATGATGTGATGAGTATGATATGTGAATCACAATTTTAAAAAGCGATCATGGTTCAGTCATTTTCTGATATTTTCTTATGGGCATGGACGAGTGTAACCTATGCCTGTGACACCAATGAGGACAGACAGGCAAGCAGGATGCCCTGTTCTTGCTTGTGATAACTGAAATAGCAAGTTTCCAGTCTGGTTTTCTCCCTAGGCTCTCTTAAATGCCATCATAAGTATCACTGCAGACAAGGAGCAAACTGGGTATAGAGATTGTCTCCAACACAGCAGATGGATTCCTGTTTTCTTACTATATTCACTGCTGTATCATTATGGGGGAAAGCAGTTGAACAAGGAGCAGACATACGAAATAAAGTCTTTGTTACCTATAGGCAAATAAGTACATTAATTTTGTGAGATGTTTCGAGAAGAGGAATGATAGGAATCACATCCTAGTGTGTGTGGGTATGGGAGACAGATTAAAAGGCATTCCTAGGAGGAGCAAAGATTTCAGGAGCTACTAAATGATAAAATGTGAGATCCTAATCAGAAAGATGGTACTTTATGTATAGGATTGAGCCTGAGAAAAATTATGGAAGGGTTGTATGAGTGATTTGGAGGGGGAGGGGATTGGAAAGTACAGAGGGGACTCCTGGGGAACGAGAGAACTTGCTTTTGTTCAGAAGCATTAGTCTTTAATGTTGAGGGCATTTGAAAAGACCTAGAATGTAAATCATATTAAAAATCAAATCAGCAGGTTTGTTTTTTTTTTTTTTTTTTTTTTTTTTTTGAGACGGAGTCTCGCTCTGTCGCCCAGGCTGGAGTGCAGTGGCGCATTCTCGGCTGACTGCAAGCTCCGCCTCCCGGGTTCATGCCATTCTTCTGCCTCAGCCTCCCGAGTAGCTGGGACTACAGGCGCCCGCCACCACGCCTGGCTAATTTTTTTTTTTTTTGGATTTTTAGTAGAGACGAGGTTTCACCAATCACAGGATGGTCTCAATCTCCTGACCTTGTGATCCACCCGCCTCAGCCTCCCAAAGTGCTGGGATTACAGGCGTGAGCCATCACACCCAGCCGTATTTTTTTTTTTTTTTTGAGATGGAGTCTTGCTCTGTCACCCAGGCTGAAGTGCACTGGCACAATCTCAGCTCACTGCAACCTCCACCTCCCAGGTTCAGGCGATTCTCCTGCCTCAGCCTCCTGAGTGGCTGGGACTACAGGCGTACGCCACCACGCCCAGCTAATTTTTGTATTTTTAGTAGAGACGGTGTTTCACCATGTTGCCCAGGCTGGTCTCAAACTCCTGACCTTTAAGTGTTCTACCCACCTCGGCCCCCCAAAGGGCTGGAATTACAGGCATGAACCACTACGCCCGGCCAAGTATTTTTCTTTTTTTTCTTTGAGCATCAGTTGCATGCACGGCACTGAAACATTCTGTGTTTTTCCCCTTTTGTTTCATGTTCATGGTTGCTTCTCCTGAACGTGCACAGATGAGAAAAGAGGAGTTAGACTATGTCTGCATATCTTTGGCCATTTTTTATCAAGGGGGCACAGATAGTCAAAGACTGAGCCAGCCTTGAAAAACAATGCATTTGTGGACTCTCCTCTATCACTATTTTTATTCCTATAAACGAAAACTTCAGTACTATGATACAGTAGCTATAACGTTCCCTACAGCTCTTCACAATATGGCAATTACTGAAATGGTTTCTTTCTCATTATGCAGCCCCAAAGCAGTGAGATCATGAGGTAGGCAGCAAGAGAAAACAATATTTAATTTGTCCTAAAGGACAGGTGCCATGGGAATAAAAATATTCTCCTTTCCCCTGAGGTTTAAATACGTGGACACAACCAAAAAATGCAGGAGTGATACTGCACACCAAACAAGCCCGAACGTAATCGCCTAATTAAATCATTTTCATCTAATGAATATAAGCAACAAAATAAACTGGCATAGCAGCGAGTCAGGGAGTGATTCCAATGGAAGCAACTGCAGAGGTGGTGTGGCCGTGCCGGGACTTGCAGAGCTTTTCTGCTTATTTTCAAGTGACGCCCGTGTTGGCACCTTAGCTCCAGGTGAGTGGGTCTGAGAAGGCGGCTCTGTCTGGCAGTCTCCCAAACAGGGTTGGACTTCCTATGCACCTTCACCTTTTGCCTGGGGAAAGCTGGGTTTTACCCGAGAATGCTGGGGAACATAGGCTGGGCTAAGTGTGTTCCCTAGGGCTATATAGGGGTTTCCCCCGCTGGCCTGGAGTTTGTCAATAATATTTACAAAGACAAATCCCAGGTTCCTTGATCTTGATAACGGTAGATGGAAAAAGTTTATGGTGTTATTCTGTGTTGCTTTAACATGAGATCAACAATGAGTTGCCTTCCGTCTCAAGATGATAAGGGATATTTTGGAAACATTTTGAGAACAATTTTTTAGCCTTTACCATCTTGTTTGACTTCTCCCTTTAAAACTATCTTCTTGGCCTGGTGCAGTGGCTCATGCTTGTAATCCCAGCACTTTGGGAGGCCGAGGCGGGTGGATCATTTGAGGTCAGGAGTTCAAAACCAGCCTGGCCAACATGGTGAAACCCCGTCTCTACTAAAAATACAAAAATTAGCCAGGTGTGGCGGTGAGTGATTGTAATCCCAGCTACTAGGGAGGTGGAGGAAGAAGAATCCCTTGAGCCTGGGAGGCGGAGGTTATAGTGAGCAGAGATTGCTCCACTGCACTCCAGCCTGGGAGACAGAGTGAGACACCGTCTCAAAAACAAAAAACATAAAACATCTTCTTTGCCTCTTGCCCCACCTATAGAAAAAAAAGGAAAAAACAAACAAAAAACTAAAATAAGTTGACCACGAGGACAACTTAGTGCATTTTACAATGGAAGAAACAGTGATTTTGGAACTATTCTGACATGTATTGACTGACAACTGGATTCTACCACTCACTGGTTCTGTGACCATGGACAAGTTCAGATTCCTCGTCTGTAAAATGGGAATGATAAAGCAGATTCAATGAGACAGTGTATGAAACGTGTAGATAGAGCTGTTCTTCAAGGAAGATCGGTTTCCTTGGCTGGGAGGTGCATACTCTATTTACGGACGGACATCCCTTACTTTCTAGATGCTTCTGTGACAGGGGATTCCCATCTTGTCACGTAGGCAGGAAAGTCCCTTCTTACTATGTGGATTCTAGGGGTGTGAGAAGATTTCTTTTCTCACCACTGTGGCAGTGAGGGTTAGGGGAGTCCCTTTTCACCCCTTTATTTATTTTTTATTTTTTGTTTTTCTTTTGAGACAGAATTTCGCTCTTGTTGCCCAGGCTATAGTGCAATGGCAAGATCTCGGCTCACTGCAACCTCTGCCTCCCGGGTTCAAGTGATTCTCGTGCCTCAGCATCCTGAGTAGCTGGGATTACAGGTGCCCGCCACCATGCCTGGCTAATTTTTGTATTTTTAGTAGAGATGGGGTTTCATCGTGTTGGTTGGCCAGGATGGTCTCGAACTCCTGACCCCAAGTGATCCACCCACCTCTGCCTCTCAAAGTGCTGGGATTACAGGTGTGAGCCATTGCGCCCGGCTTTAATACTGATGGAAAAGAGGGGAAAGAAAGGGTGGAAAAAGTCACTTCTGGGAAATGTAGTGCAGAGCTTGATGGGAGTGGAGGCAGACTCCGTTCTTGCCATGTGTTTTGTGCTTCTGAAGGGGAGAGGGCTGGTCTATTTCTAGTGCATATTTCACTATAGGCTGACTCCTCCCTGTCTTGTGCTGTTTCCCACTTACCCCCCACACATCTTTTAAAATCGGTAATATCAACACTTCCCTGGGTTCTTGCTCCTGTACCTCTCCTCTTTTTAGCCATTAATCTTCATTTGTGTTTGCAGAATATGCCAGTAATGTGGAAACAATCTTATTTCTAGCTAAGGGAGATTTGAGAAACTTTGCTTCGGCTCTCATATATAACACACAGGAAAGTCACAACCCTCACCCTTGTGGAGTCTGCTGCCTAGTGGACAGAAGTGAATATATGGGCACAGGTGTGAGGGAGGAGAAGCCTTGGGCCTTTGGGCAGCCAGGCGACTTACAAAAGAAGACGCAGAGTTGACAGTTGGATTTAAAGTGTTTGTGCCAGTCAGGCACAGTGGCTTACTCCTGTAATCCCAGCACTTTGGGAGGCTGAGGTGGGTGGATCACTTGAGGTCAGGAATTTGAGACCAGCCTGGCCAATGTGGTGAAACACCGTCTCTACTAAAAATACAAAAATTATCTGGGCGTGGTGGTGTGCACTTGTAGTCCCAGCTACTCAGGAGGCTGAAGCAGGAGAATCGTTTGAACCCAGGAGGTGGAGGTTGCAGTGAGCCGAGATTGCGCCATTGCACTCCAGCCTGGGCAACAGAGTAAGACTCTGTCTCAAAAAAAAAAAAAAAAAAAAAAAAAAAAGGAAGCAGTTGTTGTCAATCTTGACAGCATATAAGAAAGCTATGTGGAATCTTTTAAAATATACTATGCCAGGATCATACCTCCACAGATTCTGATTTCAGAATCAATATAGAAGGGAATCTGGGCATCAGGGTTGTATAAAGGTCATAGGTGATTTTAATGTGCGGCCATGTTTGAGAATCACTTACTGCTCTACTCTTCTTTCCCTTTCCTTTTCTCCTCTCTCCTTCCTTTTTTTTTTTTTTTAACTGTAATCTAGTGGTTCTCAACCTGAGCTATACATTAGAATTACCTGAGGAGATACAGAAAATTCAGATGCCCATGCTATGTATGCCCAGACCAATCAAATAGGAGTTTCTAAAGGTGGAACTCAATAATTCATAAATTTCTTTTCTTTTTTTTTTTTTTGGAAGCAGGGTCTCTTTCTCTCACCCAGGCTGGAGTGCAGTGGCACAATCTTGGCTCACAGCAGCCTCAGCCTCCAGGGCTCAAGGGATCCTCCTGCCTTAGCTTCCTGAGTAGCTGGGACTACAGGCATGCACCACTGTGTCCAGCTAATTTTATTTATTTTTTTGTAGAGATAAGGTCTCTCTATGTTGCCCAGGCTGGTCTTGAACTCCTGGGCTCAACTGGTCCTCCCGCCTCTGCCTCCCAAAGTACTGGGATTACAAATGTGAGTCACTGTGTCTGGCTAAACATCCATAAATTTCAAGACTGGTTCAATTGTACAGCTCAGATTGAGAGGAAGATTGGAGGAACTAGATGCTCTGTGACTGTCAGGTAGAGACCAAGTTAGCAAAGCAGACTGAGAGGTGAGATTAGCACAGAAACTGGGAGAAGAGGGGGTACTTAGGTGTTTGGTATAAATGGAGCCTTCAGTATAACGTTGATGAGAAGTAATGATAATGTTTCATTCCTGACTTTAAAGAGGATACTACCAACATTTTCTGATAATAGGTACTATGCCTAAGAAGATCACTTCTGTTCTCTTACTATGAGTTTGTATTATGTTGAATTTTATCAAATTCTATTCCTGCATTTATTAAAATGGTCATATGGTTTTCTTTTCTTTTTTTTTTTTGAGATGTAGTTTCACCCTTGTCGCTCAGGCTGGAATGCAGTGGCATGATCTCGGCTCACTGCAACCTTTGCCTCCCAGGTTCAAGTGATTCTCCTGCCTCATCCTTCTGAGTAGCTGGAATTACAGGTGCCTGCCACCTTACCTGGCTAATTTTTGTATTTTTAGTAGTGATGGGGTTTCGTCATGTTGGCCAGGCTGGTCTCGAACGCCTGACCTCAGGTAATCCATCCACCTCGGCTTCCCAAAGTGCTGGGATTACAGGCGTGAGTCACTGTGCCCAGCAATGGTTTTCTTTTTTAATCTGTTAATGCATTGAACCACATTATAGATTTTTCTGATATTAAACCATCCCTGCATTCCTGAGATAATTGCAACTTGATTATGGGATGTTATTTTTTATCTATACTATTCCAATTGGCTTTGCTAGTAATTTGTTTAAAATTTTTGCATCTTTATTTATGAACTAAAAAGGCCAAAATTTACCCCTTTTCTAATGTCTGCATGACTTTGGTATCAGTTTTATGCTGATTGTGTAAAATGATTTGGTGGCATATTTCCTAGAAGAAATTGTGTAAGACAGATGATTTTTTTCTTGAAAAATTGGGAGAATTTTTGCATGAAGCCATCTGAGATTGGCATTTCATTGTGGAAATACTTGAAGATATTGCTTTAACTTCTTTAATAGTTACAATTATATTTTTGTATACTTTGTATTTTTTATTTATATTTTATATTTATTATTTTAAATATATATTATTTATAATTATTTATTATAGATATTTATTATATAAAATATTTATAATATATTTTAAAAATGTATTTTAACATATAATATATTAATATAATAATATATAATATAATTAATATATAATACAGTAATATAATATATAATATAATAATTATATTATATATAGTAGTCTACATAATTATTATATTATTTATAATAATACTCTATATAATTATTATATTATATAATAATATTCTATATAATTATTATATTATATAATAATATTCTATATAATTATTATATTATATATAATAATAGTCTATATAACTGTATATAATATAACATTAGAAATAGATGCAGGTGTAAGAGGTTGGGAACTAGAAAAATACATCTTTCAGAGCCTGCTTTCAGCAAAAATACAAAGTATACAAAATACATAATATATAAAAAAATATAAATATAAATATATAAATATATAAAAATATATTTATATATTATATATAAAATATAAAATGCATATAAATATATTATGTAAATATAAATATTATATAATATATTTATATGTATTTTAAATATATATTTTATATATTTTTGTATCCCTTGTATTTTTGCTGAAAACAGCCTCTGAAAGATGTATTTTTCTAGTTCCCAACCGCTTACACCTGCATCTATTTCTAATGTTTGCCAGCCAAATCTCTTGCTAGCTCCATTTTTTTAAAATTAACATTTATTCTCAACATGCCGAAAAATAGCTTCTGTTGCTTTGACAAGGTTGCTAATGAATCTTCATGATGCTGACTGAACAGGATTCTTTTTTAGTTTTTTTTTCAAACTTCATGCTTTATTTTGAGACTATTTACCAACCACTTCTTTCTGAAACTTTCTACTGCCTGGTATGTTTGACAAAATTCTTTCCTGATATCCTCCTAACTCTCTGATTATATTCTAAATATCTCCTTCCTAATCCCTTTCCTCTTTCTCTCCTCATGGTGTGAATATATTGACATTTGCAGGTTTCCATTCTTACACCACTGCTCTTTTCATTCTATACAGTCTCCTCAGAAAATCTCATCTACTCTTATTTAAATTTTACCCAGGGGTACATAAAATTTTATGGAGTCTGAAGCTTATAAAATTTTGGAGCTTCTCTGTAAGAAAAATATATAAAATTAAGTACAAGTCCTCATCTTGGAAGTAAGGGGCATGAAAGTTAAACTTCATTAAAATTACAGTAAATGTCCCTCTGTCTATATTTCCCAAGTTGGAATATGTTTTTTGACCTCTTTCCTAAAGGTTCCTTTAAGATTTGTAAATGAAATTATTTATTGAACTTATCTGTCCCACAGTGGGACTTAAGATGTCCTACAGTATGGAGGTTTCAAAACATGGCTGCAAAACTATATGAAATGCCTCCTATTGAGAAGTGGGGTCTATGTCTCTCGTTTTGAGCCTGGGCTTTATGACTGCTTGATCAGTAGAATATAGTGCAAGTAATATGGTGTCAGGTTCAAGCCTCGAGAAGCTGATGGCTTCCATTTGCTGTGTTTTGGGATGTTTGCTTTTGGACCCCGGACACCATGCTGTGAAAAAGTCAGAGAGCCACATGGAGAACCCACATATAGGTGTTGGAGCAGACAGCCTGGCAGAGGTCCCAGCAGGCGGCCAGCACCAACTTGCCAGCTGTGTGCGAGTGAGCTGTCTTGGAACTGGAGCATCCAGCTTCAGGTCAAGCTGCCCTGATTGATACCACATGGAGTCGAGGTGAGATTTCCCCACTGAGCTCGGCCCAAATTGCTAATTGGTAAGATAAATGTGATTGCTATTTTAAAACCTTGAGTTTTGGGGTGGTTCGTCACGCAACACTAGATAGCTAGAACACACAGACACCTCAACTTGTTCCTTCCCCTATGTGTCTAATCATAATTAATGATGGTGTCAGTGACACTGTTACCCATACATTATGTGAGCATTTACTCTAATTTTTCCTATTCCCTCATATCTAATTAATCACTAAGTTAGGTAGTTTCAGATTTTACTTCTTACATATTTCTCCCATCTACTTCTTCTCTATCCTTTTGTTAGTAGTGCCCTCTGTATCTTTTAATGTTTTGCAGGAGACTCGTAATGTATTTTCCCGTATTTGTCTTTGCCCTGCTCAAAATTGACTTCCTGCACTACCACAAAAATGTCCATGAAATGAATTCTAACTATGCTACAAATCTGTTCGATGAAATAGACATAAAATAATTAAAGATAGGCCGGGAGCTGTGGCTCATGCCTGTAATGCCAGCACTTTGGGAGGCCGAGGCGGGTGGATCACCTGAGGTCAGGAGTTCGAGACCAGCCTGGCCAACATGGTGAAACCCCGTCTCTACTAAAAATAAAAAAAAAATTAACCAGGTGTGGTGATGGGTGCCTGTAATCCCAGCTACTCGGGATGCTGAGGCAGGAGAATTGCTGACCCTGGGAGGCGGAGGCTGCAGTGAGCCAAGATCATACCACTGCACTCCAGCCTGAGCGACAGAGCGAGACTCTGTCTCAAAAAAAAAGTTAAAGATATAATGCAAGTAACACATTTCTCAGCTGAAGAAAGACCTGAGTTTGCCCATTTGAATATTGCAACACTAACACGTAGATACATTCTTAAACAGTTTCCTATAGGCATCCTAACCTTCATCTAGCTCTCATCCCTGCCCCACTAAACAACCACAATAACAATATTTTGCCTACAAAGGATTAAAATGCAAACTGCCTTGGATTTCCAATAGGTCAGTGGTAAAAAATAATAAAAAAACTCAATAGAATAATATCTTTGGGATTTGAGGGGGTACAGTTAGTCAACATTTTTTTTTTAATTTGTTTTGTTTTGAGATAAGGTCTCACTGTTACCTAGGCTGAAGTGCAGTGTCACAATCTTGGCTCTCTGAAGCCTCAAATTCCATGCTCAGGTGATCCTCCCACCTTAGCTTCCTGAATAGCTAGGACTACAGGTGTGCACCACCATGCCTGGAGGAGCCAACATTTTAATACTCAGCCAAGTTGTCATTATGAGAAAATAAAAATGCGAAAGTCCAAAAAAGAATGTCACCCACCATGCCTCCTAGAAATAAAGATGATTTTCGGTATTATTTGTAGTCTATTTTGTCCTATCTGCAGTGGAACTTTCTATGCCTAGTTATGTCATGAGATTGGATAATACTGTGTAGCTACTATACTATTTCAATGATAGATATAGTGCCATTAGCTAATACTTTTAAAATGTCGAATAGTTCAGCAACATTATAGAATAAATTAACTTCTGAAGGGATGCCCGAGGGGACGAAGTGACATTTTAAAATCTTGTTTCAACGAAAAAAATTATTTTCAACTTTCACCCATCTAATTTAACAAACAATTTTTGCAGCGTAATGTGGAAATGTCTGAAGTAATTTCTTTCTGTCATGCTAATGTTTGCTTGAATTTGAATATCTTATAGCCAAAATTCATACTCTTGATATTGAGAAGATACAAATATTTATGAGAATGCTGTACAGTATTTTCCTTAAAAAATTCTCATTATTCCTTGCTATTTCTTTAGGTCAGAAAAAAGTTAGATTAGATTCTGAAACTGTTTTAAAGTACAACATCCAAGAATTGGCTTCAGTCTGACATCAATCAGCACTTCTTTTTGGTTTCAGGGTGCTTTGGGTCTGAATTACAGCAAATGATTCCCTTAAATCAATAGGAGGCAGGTGTAGAGATTTAGAAAGTAATAACATTAAGTCAACATTGAATAAAAAATTTAATACTTGGAATACAGAATAACAGATATGTATGGTACCAATGACTTTTTCAGAATCACCTTTTAATTACAGGAGTATCTGGGTATTACATGTTCAGTGCTTGCAAATAATTGTAGTGCTAAAATGATTCATATTTAGGTTGAGATTTTAGCCTTCTCACTTTTTTCACAGCTTGTTACCACAGAAGAGATTATGTTCGAGTGTGTATATGTGTTCATGAATGACATAATTGTAACTCAAATTCCACGTCAAAATGGTTATTTTATCCAGAAGTAATTTTTCAGGTAACCTGGTAATAAGTTTAAAGGCAAGAGCAAATGAAGGCAGGTACTTTTACTTCTCATAGTTAAAGGGTGTTATATGTAAAGGGGTCATAGAGTAGACCTTACCTTTCACCCTTATTTTCTGTTTTAAAATTCTTCCTCTTCATAAGTCTAGGAGAAAGAGAAAAAAAGAACTAGCTGTTTCTTACTGCACATCCTTGAAAACACATGGCGGTTGCAAAAGATATTGTATGGTTTCCTAAGGACTCAAGTTACTAGACTTCAGTAAGTTGGTTTATGTAGAACTTAGTGTTTGTTCTCCCTTGAATGCATGAGAACACATGAGAAGGGCTCAAGGAACTGTGCCCAGTGTAAAAGGATCCTATTGTTATGGTGTTGGGTTGAAATGGCAGGAAGGACTAGGTCTTCAGCAGGCACAGCTCCTGAGCTAGGCACTGGCCTTATTTTTTCCTCCCTTTTAGTTCTGAGTCATAGAAAAAGAAATCTGAGCAAGGAAGAGTGAGGCAGGACAGCTCATGCAAATGAAGGAAGATCTCATCCTTAAGTTTGGTTTCAACATAATCTCAATGAATCTACAAAGACTTATGTAACCTGAGATTTCTCATGCCTGGAGCCTGTGGATCCTTAGTTCTGTGGCACCTGGAGAAAATCCCAAAGATCTAATATTATTTTGGTCATTCCCCACAGTCATCTCTTTACCATCATGTGACTGCATAAAATGTGAATGCAGAAGAGTTTCCTGGATTTGTCAGCTGTGGCTCATTTTCTGTTTCTCAACAGTTTCATCCATCATCGTTATTATTTAATTGGCTCTATTTAGGTCTTGTGCCACCTAGTTACACACTAAGTATCTTATAGTGGGGCTGCTTGAAGACTGTGAAACTTGCAAAATAGTTATATGAACCTCACTCCCTTAGCCTTTATGATGTAAACAAATAGTTTACTTAGCTGTTTGTTAATATAGCTTAGGGTTATCTATGAATGCTACTGTTTTGCCAGATTTTAAGGTTATTCTAATACCATCATCTTGGGGCTTTGGCCAAAATTACAGCCAATGACCTTGTACTAATTTATTTCTGTTAATATTGGACTTCTTGAGTCCAGAAAGTTTAAGTAACTCATTAGGAAATTTCAAAAGCTTTCACGACTACACGGTATTCTGTAAAAATATTGAATGGATGAAATAAAATAATTAGATAAAATCTCTGAGGTTGAAATTCTATTGACTTAAAGTTCATAATTATTCAGAGAAGTGTTAAGCAAATTTGTTTCATTAGGGTGTACTTTAAAAGACAGACTTTTACTTAAGTTGACTGTAGCTTAGCTCTTTTCCAAGCAGCATAGTAAATGAAACTCTGGCTGAGAAAATGTAGTGCAATTGTAGGGTTTGGACATCCAGTTATCGGGGTAGGAGGAAAACTGTACTTTCTATATGCCATTCTATAGCCCATTACAACTTGTTTTCCTTGCATAAAAAGGTGACTTTTTTTTTTTTTTTTTTTTAGACGGAGTCTCACTCTGTCACCCAGGCTGGAGTGCAGTGGCGCAATCTCGGCTCCCTGCAACCTCTGCCTCCCGGGTTCAGGTGATTCTCCTGCCTCAGCCTCCCGAGTAGATGGGACTACAGGCGTGCGCCACCATGCCCAGCTAATTTTTGTGTTTTTAGTAGAGATGGGGTTTTACCATGTTGGTTGGCCAGGATGGTCTCAATCTCTTGGCCTCGTGATCCACCTGCCTCAGCCTCCCAAAGTGCTGGGGTTACAGGTGTAAGCCACCGTGCCCGGCCAAAAAGGTGACTTTTAAAAAATGGTACTAGAGGGTGCTAGGAGTATCCTTGACTTACATCAAGGCGAAGAAGGGCAATAGCATCTGTTCTCATCTATGGAGTGCATACTCTGTTCCTGGTAGTAGGAGATTTACAAACATCTTTAAAACACCAATGTGGGTATAATCGGCCCCATTTTACAGGTAAGAAAGAGGATCCTTGCAAAGCGTTGGGGAAGAGGTAGAATACAGAAATCCTAATTGACTGAGGAAGAAAATGAATGCATTAATTGGATGTGATGAGCTGGAAGTGAGTAGATCAAATTTCCTGCCTCAAAAAATAGGGGCTTGACAAAGACACAAAGATGGGTTTTTTTGGGGAAAAAAAGATTTTTTTTTTTGCACACCAGTAGTTGAGATTTGTGAAACTAGTACCCACTACTTATCTACCTCTTTCTTTTTTTATAGACAGAGTCTTGCTCTGTTGTCCAGATTGGAGTGCAGTGGCATGAGCATAGCTCACTACAGCCTTGAACTCCTGGTCTCAAGCAATCCTCACACCTCAGCCTCACAAAGCACTGGGATTACATGTGTGAGCCACTGTGCCTGGCCTCACCTGTGTACCCTTATGTTGTCTATGTACCTTTATGTTGTCTATGTGGCGAGCATATTGGTATTCATACTCAATATTCATTGAGTATCTACCATGTGCACAGCATTTTGTTAAAGTAGGGGCTCCCATCAGTTGTTCATGATGAAATAATTTAGAGACACTCACTTTCTGCCTCGTCTGGGAACTCTTATTCATGCTTTAAGAAGCAGCTCATACTTTAACTTCTCTTTGAAGTCCTACCTGAACACATCAATCAGACATTAATCAACCTCTGTTGTAAATTTCTGTCTGTAGTACATCTATCATAGACTAATCCCATGGACCATATTTATTAGTTAATCTGCTTGTCCCTTTCTGCTAGACTGTGAGACTATGAATTCCATGCCATCAAAGGCTGGCTCCTTGTCCCTCATCCATCATATACGCCAGTGATTATGTCAGCCTGGCTCTTAGTAGCAGTTCATGAAGCTTACTCAGTACATGAATTACTGTATACCAGCAGTTCTAGGTAAAGCAGAAAGTTCTTCTCCTTTAAAGTTGCTCAAAATTTTAAGAGGTATGACTAACTGAGCTCCTGCACACTTCATGTATATTATCTAATTTAACCTTACTATAATCTACTTAGCTTGGTATTATTTCACTGGCCCCTTCATTTATAAAGCTGCCCAGAGGTATTAAGTAGCAAGCCCAATATCACTGAGCTAGTAAGTAGTGGAACAGGAAATAAAATTTAGTCTGCCTGTCTCTGAAGCTGTTTATTCCACCGAGTTAACACTGAGTTCCATATGTAAGGATGCCAGCATCTTACTCTGTCATTATCTATTTGATTCTTTGCGTTTCTTTTTTTTTCTTTTTCTTTTTTTTTTTTTATTATACTTTAAGTTTTAGGGTACATGTGCACATTGTGCAGGTTAGTTACATATGTATACATGTGCCATGCTGGTGCGCTGCACCCACTAACTCGTCATCTAGCATTAGGTATATCTCCCAATGCTATCCCTCCCCCCTGCCCCCACCCCACCACAGACCCCAGAGTGTGATATTCCCCTTCCTGTGTCCATGTGATCTCATTGTTAAATTCCCACCTATGAGTGAGAATATGCGGTGTTTGGTTTTTTGTTCTTGCGATAGTTTACTGAGAATGATGATTTCCAATTTCATCCATGTCCCTACAAAGGACGTGAACTCATCATTTTTTATGGCTGCATAGTATTCCATGGCGTATATGTGCCACATTTTCTTAATCCAGTCTATCATTGTTGGACATTTGGGTTGGTTCCAAGTCTTTGCTATTGTGAATAATGCCGCAATAAACATACGTGTGCATGTGTCTTTATAGCAGCATGATTTATAGTCATTTGGGTATATACCCAGTAATGGGATGGCTGGGTCAAATGGTATTTCTAGTTCTAGATCCCTGAGGAATCGCCACACTGACTTCCACAATGGTTGAACTAGTTTACAGTCCCACCAACAGTGTAAAAGTGTTCCTATTTCTCCACATCCTCTCCAGCACCTGTTGTTTCCTGACTTTTTAATGATTGCCATTCTAAATGGTGTGAGATGATATCTCATAGTGGTTTTGATTTGCATTTCTCTGATGGCCAGTGATGATGAGCATTTTTTCATGTGTTTTTTGGCTGCATAAATGTCTTCTTTTGAGAAGTGTCTGTTCATGTCCTTTGCCCACTTTTTGATGGGGTTGTTTGTTTTTTTCTTGTAAATTTGTTTGAGTTCATTGTAGATTCTGGATATTAGCCCTTTGTCAGATGAGTAGGTTGCGAAAATTTTCTCCCATTTTGTAGGTTGCCTGTTCACTCTGATGGTAGTTTCTTTTGCTGTGCAGAAGCTCTTTAGTTGAATTAGATCCCATTTGTCAATTTTGGCTTTTGTTGCCATTGCTTTTGGTGTTTTGGACATAAAGTCCTTGCCCATGCCTATGTCCTGAATGGTAATGCCTAGGTTATCTTCTAGGGTTTTTATGGTTTCAGGTCTAATGTTTAAATCTTTAATCCATCTTGAATTGATTTTTGTATAAGGTGTAAGGAAGGGATCCAGTTTCAGCTTTCTACATATGGCTAGCCAGTTTTCCCAGCACCATTTATTAAATAGGGAATCCTTTCCCCATTGCTTGTTTTTCTCAGGTTTGTCAAAGATCAGATAGTTGTAGATATGTGGCGTTATTTCTGAGGGCTCTGTTCTGTTCCATTGATCTATATCTCTGTTTTGGTACCAGTACCATGCTGTTTTGGTTACTGTAGCCTTGTAGTATAGTTTGAAGTCAGGTAGTGTGATGCCTCCAGCTTTGTTCTTTTGGCTTAGGATTGACTTGGCGATGCGGGCTCTTTTTTGGTTCCATATGAACTTTAAAGTAGTTTTTTCCAATTCTGTGAAGAAAGTCATTGGTAGCTTGATGGGGATGGCATTGAATCTGTAAATTACCTTGGGCAGTATGGCCATTTTCACGATATTGATTCTTCCTACCCATGAGCATGGAATGTTCTTCCATTTGTTTGTATCCTCTTTTATTTCCTTGAGCAGTGGTTTGTAGTTCTCCTTGAAGAGGTCCTTCACATCCCTTGTAAGTTGGATTCCTAGGTATTTTATTCTCTTTGAAGCAATTGTGAATGGGAGTTCACTCATGATTTGGCTCTCTGTTTGTATGTTGTTGGTGTATAAGAATGCTTGTGATTTTTGTACGTTGATTTTGTATCCTGAGACTTTGCTGAAGTTGCTTATCAGCTTAAGGAGATTTTGGGCTGAGACGATGGGGTTTTCTAGATATACAATCATGTCGTCTGCAAACAGGGACAATTTGACTTCCTCTTTTCCTAATTGAATGCCCTTTATTTCCTTCTCCTGCCTAATTGCCCTGGCCAGAACTTCCAACACTATGTTGAATAGGAGTGGTGAGAGAGGGCATCCCTGTCTTGTGCCAGTTTTCAAAGGGAATGCTTCCAGTTTTTGCCCATTCAGTATGATATTGGCTGTGGGTTTGTCATACATAGCTCTTATTATTTTGAAATACGTCCCATCAATACCTAATTTATTGAGAGTTTTTAGCATGAAGGGTTGTTGAATTTTGTCAAAGGCTTTTTCTGCATCTATTGAGATAATCATGTGGTTTTTGTCTTTGGCTCTGTTTATATGCTGGATTACATTTATTGATTTGCGTATATTGAACCAGCCTTGCATCCCAGGGATGAAGCCCACTTGATCATGGTGGATAAGCTTTTTGATGTGCTGCTGGATTCGGTTTGCCAGTATTTTATTGAGGATTTTTGCATCAATGTTCATCAAGGATATTGGTCTAAAATTCTCTTTTTTGGTTGTGTCTCTGCCCGGCTTTGGTATCAGAATGATGCTGGCCTCATAAAATGAGTTAGGGAGGATTCCCTCTTTTTCTATTGATTGGAATAGTTTCAGAAGGAATGGTACCAGTTCCTCCTTGTACCTCTGGTAGAATTCGGCTGTGAATCCATCTGGTCCTGGACTCTTTTTGGTTGGTAAACTATTGATTATTGCCACAATTTCAGCTCCTGTTATTGGTCTATTCAGAGATTCAACTTCTTCCTGGTTTAGTCTTGGGAGAGTGTATGTGTCGAGGAATGTATCCATTTCTTCTAGATTTTCTAGTTTATTTGCGTAGAGGTGTTTGTAGTATTCTCTGATGGTAGTTTGTATTTCTGTGGGATTGGTGGTGATATCCCCTTTATCATTTTTTATTGTGTCTATTTGATTCTTCTCTCTTTTTTTCTTTATTAGTCTTGCTAGCGGTCTATCAATTTTGTTGATCCTTTCAAAAAACCAGCTCCTGGATTCATTGATTTTTTGAAGGGTTTTTTGTGTCTCTATTTCCATCAGTTCTGCTCTGATTTTAGTTATTTCTTGCCTTCTGCTAGCTTTTGAATGTGTTTGCTCTTGCTTCTCTAGTTCTTTTAATTGTGATGTTAGGGTGTCAATTTTGGATCTTTCCTGCTTTCTCTTGTGGGCATTTAGTGCTATAAATTTCCCTCTACACACTGCTTTGAATGCGTCCCAGAGATTCTGGTATGTTGTGTCTTTGTTCTCGTTGGTTTCAAAGAACATCTTTATTTCTGCCTTCATTTCGTTATGTACCCAGTAGTCATTCAGGAGCAGGTTGTTCAGTTTCCATGTAGTTGAGCGGCTTTGAGTGAGATTCTTAATCCTGAGTTCTAGTTTGATTGCACTGTGGTCTGAGAGATAGTTTGTTATAATTTCTGTTCTTTTACATTTGCTGAGGAGAGCTTTACTTCCAACTATGTGGTCAATTTTGGAATAGGTGTGGTGTGGTGCTGAAAAAAATGTATATTCTGTTGATTTGGGGTGGAGAGTTCTGTAGATGTCTATTAGGTCCACTTGGTGCAGAGCTGAGTTCAATTCCTGGGTATCCTTGTTGACTTTCTGTCTCGTTGATCTGTCTAATGTTGACAGTGGGGTGTTAAAGTCTCCCATTATTAATGTGTGGGAGTCTAAGTCTCTTTGTAGGTCACTCAGGACTTGCTTTATGAATCTGGGTGCTCCTGTATTGGGTGCATATATATTTAGGATAGTTAGCTCCTCTTGTTGAATTGATCCCTTTACCATTATGTAATGGCCTTCTTTGTCTCTTTTGATCTTTGTTGGTTTAAAGTCTGTTTTATCAGAGACTAGGATTGCAACCCCTGCCTTTTTTTGTTTTCCATTTGCTTGGTAGATCTTCCTCCATCCTTTTATTTTGAGCCTATGTGTGTCTCTGTACGTGAGATGGGTTTCCTGAATACAGCACACTGATGGGTCTTGACTCTTTATCCAATTTGCCAGTCTGTGTCTTTTAACTGGAGCATTTAGTCCATTTACACTTAAAGTTAATATTGTTATGTGTGAATTTGATCCTGTCATTATGATGTTAGCTGGTGATTTTGCTCGTTAGTTGATGCAGTTTCTTCCTAGTCTCGATGGTCTTTACATTTTGGCATGATTTTGCAGCGGCTGGTACCGGTTGTTCCTTTCCATGTTTAGCGCTTCCTTCAGGAGCTCTTTTAGGGCAGGCCTGGTGGTGACAAAATCTCTCAGCATTTGCTTGTCTGTAAAGTATTTGATTTCTCCTTCACTTACGAAGCTTATTTTGGGTGGATATGAAATTCTGGGTTGAAAATTCTTTTCTTTAAGAATGTTGAATATTGGCCCCCACTCTCTTCTGGCTTGTAGGGTTTCTGCCGAGAGATCCGCTGTTAGTCTGATGGGCTTCCCTTTGAGGGTAACCCGACCTTTCTCTCTGGCTGCCCTTAACATTTTTTCCTTCATTTCAACTTTGGTGAATCTGACAATTATGTGTCTTGGAGTTGCTCTTCTCGAGGAGTATCTTTGTGGCGTTCTCTGTATTTCCGGAATCTGAACGTTGGCCTGCCTTGCTAGATTGGGGAAGTTCTCCTGGATAATATCCTGCAGAGTGTTTTCCAACTTGGTTCCATTCTCCGCATCACTTTCAGGTACACCAATCAGACGTAGATTTGGTCTTTTTCACATAGTCCCATATTTCTTGGAGGCTTTGCTCATTTCTTTTTATTCTTTTTCTCTAAACTTCCCTTCTCGCTTCATTTCATTCATTTCATCTTCCATTGCTGATACCCTTTCTTCCAGTTGATCGCATCGGCTCCTGAGGCTTCTGCATTCTTCACGTAGTTCTCGAGCCTTGGTTTTCAGCTCCATCAGCTCCTTTAAGCACTTCTCTGTATTGGTTATTCTAGTTATACATTCTTCTAAATTTTTTTCAAAGTTTTCAACTTCTTTGCCTTTGGTTTGAATGTCCTCCCGTAGCTCAGAGTAATTTGATCGTCTGAAGCCTTCTTCTCTCAGCTCGTCAAAGTCATTCTCCATCCAGCTTTGTTCCGTTGCTGGTGAGGAACTGCGTTCCTTTGGAGGAGGAGAGGCGCTCTGTATTTTAGAGTTTCCAGTTTTTCTGTTCTGTTTTTTCCCCATCTTTGTGGTTTTATCTACTTTTGGTCTTTGATGATGGTGATGTACAGATGGGTTTTCGGTGTGGATGTCCTTTCTGTTTGTTAGTTTTCCTTCTAACAGACAGGACCCTCAGCTGCAGGTCTGTTGGAATACCCTGCCGTGTGAGGTGTCAGAGTGCCCCTGCTGGGGGGTGCCTCCCAGTTAGGCTGCTCGGGGGTCAGGTGTCAGGGACCCACTTGAGGCAGTCTGCCCGTTCTCAGATCTCCAGCTGCGTGCTGGGAGAACCACTGCTCTCTTCAAAGCTGTCAGACAGGGACATTTAAGTCTGCAGAGGTTACTGCTGTCTTTTTGTTTGTCTGTGCCCTGCCCCCAGAGGTGGAGCCTACAGAGGCAGGCAGGCCTCCTTGAGCTGTGGTGGGCTCCACCCAGTTGGAGCTTCCTGGCTGCTTTGTTTACCTAAGCAAGCCTGGGCAATGGCGGGCGCCCCTCCTCCAGCCTCGCTGCCGCCTTGCAGTTTGATCTCAGACTGCTGTGCTAGCAATCAGCGAGACTCCGTGGGTGTAGGACCCTCCGAGCCAGGTGTGGCATATAGTCTCGTGGTGCGCTGTTTTTTAAGCCGGTCTGAAAAGCGCAATATTCGGGTGGGAGTGACCCGATTTTCCAGGTGCGTCCCTCACCCCTTTCTTTGACTCGGAAAGGGAACTCCCTGACCCCTTGCGCTTCCCAGGTGAGGCAATGCCTCGCCCTGCTTCGGCTCGCGCACGGTGCGCGCACCCACTGGCCTGCGCCCACTGTCTGGTACTCCCTAGTGAGATGAACCCGGTACCTCAGATGGAAATGCAGAAATCACCCGTCTTCTGCGTCGCTCACGCTGGGCTTTTTTTCTTTTTCAATACTGCTCCTTCTCTATACATTTCCCTCCCTCCCTCCCTCCCCTCCCCTCATTCCCCTCCCCACTTCTTTCCTTCCCTCCCTCCTTCCCTCCCTTCCTTCCTTCCTTCCTTCCTTTTTATTGAGACAGAGTCTTGCTCTGTCATCCAGGCTGGAGTGCAGTGGCGCAATCTCGACTCACTGCAACCTCCATCTCCCGGGTTCAAGGAATTCTCTTGCCTCAGCCTCCTGAGTAGCTGGGATTACAGGTGTGCGCCACCACGCCAGGCTAATTTTTTTGTATTTTCAGTAGATACAGGGTTTCACTATATTGGCCAGGCTGGTCTTGAACTCCTGACCTCAGGTGATCCGCCTGCCTCGGGCTCCCAAAGTGTTGGGATTACAGGCGTGAGTCACTGCGCCCTGTTATACATTTTTTTTCAACAACATATCACATTGTAGCCATCTCCCAGCCACCAAATGAATTATAAAAATACTAACTCTTCCAGATCTGGGTATACACGCCACCTGCTAGTATTTGGTTGGAGAGAAAATTTCTCAGCCTCTTTCTGTGTGGTGATAATGAATACACTCAGCATCCAGCACGTTTTTAGGCATCTTGAGGAGGAGAGCACACCCAGGGTCTGAAATGTCCTTAGAGCGTGAGAGTTTGGACTCAAGAGAGTCTAGAAAAATGCCCAAGTGCTACTTGCATGTGACAGCCAGGCAGATCTGAGTGTATTTATTCTGATAAACCTTAACCCTGAAAACTCAGAGGTAAGTTCTCAGTGTCTCAACAGAAAGAAATATGCAGCCTGGAAGGTAAACATGGAAGATAGAGTGCCTGCATGGAGAAGACACTAACCCAGGAAGATCGTGAGCTCCCCTTTGAATAAGATGTTCCTCCAGGGCAAAGATGACAAGGCTGTCCCTAATGCCTAGCTCACAGTATGTAGTGATCACAAGACCTGCTCAATAAATTTTTGTTGATGAAGCATTATCCATTGTTATATAGATCATCTGAAGCCATATCCTAAAAGGATATACAGTTGTCCCTTAGTATGGGGGAGGATTGGTTTCAGAGCCCCCCCAAACCATACTAAACTCCGAGAATGTTTACATAAAATGATGTAGTATTTGATATAACCTATGCTCACACTCTCACAGACATTAAATAATCTCTAGGTTAGGTATAATATCTAATACAATGTAAATGCTATGCAAGTAATTGTTATACTGTATTGTTTCTAAAGTATGTATTTTTTGTTATATTCTTATTTTTTATTTTTTTCAAGTATTTTCCATCTATAGTTGGTTAAATCTGTGGACACAAAACCAGTGGATATGGAGGGCTAATTACACTGACATAAAAAATAGATTACTCTAGATTTTAAAATTAAGGTATAGATTATGCCCAGCAAGGTTGATGCACAGGAGAAGCTTTGGAACTCAGAATACTTGCATAAAAACCTAGACACCATCTTTTATTTATTTTATTATTATTTTTTGAGATGGAGTCTCGCTCTGTCACCCAGGTTAGAGTGCAATGACACAATCTCGGCTCACTGCAACCTCTGCCTCCCGGGTTCAAGCGATTCTCCTGCCTCAGCCTCCTGAGTAGCTGGAACTACAGGCGCGCACCACCACACCCAGCTAATTCTTGTATTTTTAGTAGAAACGGGGTTTCACCATGTGGTCAGGCTGGTCTCGAACTCCTGACCTCGTGATCTGCTCGCCTTGGCCTCCCAAAATCCTGGGATTACAGGTGTGAGCCACCGCGCCCGGCCTGACACCCTCTTTTAAAGAGGCTCTAACAGCATGGAGGAAAATGCAGCATGGCTTTATTAATAGTTAGTGAAATGGCAGGGCATACACTCTGTAGAATAGCTCCATATGGTGAGAGCAGAAGACTACATCTTTTATTACCCCACCTTCAAAACCGAAAACCTTGTAGTGAAGAGCTGCCAACAGCACACTGCAAAATGACAAAAGCCCCATAGCACAATGAACTGCTAGATTGTATTACGCTCTGCACATAGAGCAGGAAAATCCCACTTATCATGTAATCATACACACGTGTTATCCCATGTGTGTGAAGCTCAGCCTACAGCCTGAGATTCCACAGCTAAAATCAAAGGGAACAGGGCATATGTCTGAAGGCAGGAAAGGCAAATACAAAGAGAGCCACGATTTCTCATAAACCAGTCATAAAAGGTCATTTTCCTTATCAAACCAATTAATCTATTTAGCTCAACTGATTCTTTGAGACAGTAAAAATTGCTTACGTATCTTGCAAGCACTGAGGAAAGGATCAGCTTTTCTTTTAAAATCAAGAGTGTTAAGATCATTGCAGATATATGACATTCTTGTTGAAATGTTTTTTGTTTTGAAAGCTATACATGGTAATTGTAGAAATAATTAGAAAATAAAGACAAGAGTTTTTAAGAAATGCCAGTATTTCTTCCCCTAAAAGACAGTAACTTTTAACATTTTGGTGAATATATTTGTGGACCCACAACAATGGGCTGATGCCACGAATATTGTTTTATACTTTTTTCCACTTATAAAGATATTGTGAACAATTCTCCATGATAATATGTATTTTTAAATTAATTAAATTACATACAGAAAAGTATGCATATTGTATCATATCAAGGCATAATTTAACATCATTTTAAAGGTATGGTATTTCATTTCTGGGAATACATCGTAATTTATTTAACTAGTGTATGTATGCATGTATTTATTTATTTTTTGAGACGGAGTCTCTCTCTGTCACCCAGGCTAGAGTGCAGTGGCATGGTCTTGGCTCACTGCAACCTCCACCTCCCGGATTCAAGTGATTCTCCTGTCTTAGCCTCCCAAGTAGCTGGGGCTACAGGCACGCACCACCGCGTCTGGCTAATTTTTGTATTTTTAGTAGAGGCGAAGTTGCACCATGTTGGCCAGGCTGATCTTGAACTTCTCCTGACCTCAGGTGATCTGCCTGCCTTGGCCTCCCAAATTATTTTGTTTTTAGAAATACAAGGTTTCCCTACATCTCCCTTCACTATTATAAAAAAATGCAAAAGAATATCAATGGACATATTGTATATCTTTGCACATATCCCTAAATTATGTCCTTAGGATTACTATTAAAATTGGAATTACTGGTTAAATGAGATGATTTTTTCTAAAGCTTTGCCATATAGCTTTCTGGAATAGTCATACCTGGCTATGCTCCTACCCTCAGTGCACGAGCTTATATGAAGAAAGGGAGGTTGTGTCATTTACAAGTTGCAAAGAGTTTTCTTTCTCTGGAAAGCATGTGTATTTCTTTAAGCATGAATTGCATGAATAAGTCCTTTGGCCTTTTTTTTTTTTTTTTCTACTGGGATGTCTTTGTTTGTGTTGCTATAAAGGAATACCCGAGGCTGGGTAATTCATAAAGAAAAGAGGTTTATTTGGCTCAGGTTCTGCGGGCTGTACAAAAAGCATGGCACCAGTATTTGCTTCTGGCAAGGGCCTCAGGCTGCTTCCACTCATGGCCGAAGGGAAAGGGGAGCTAGAGTGTGCAGAGGTCACAGGGGAGAGCAGAAGCAGGAGAGAGGGGAGGGAGGTGTCAGGCTCTTTTTACAAACCAGTTCTGGATGGAACTAAGAGAGTGAGAGTTCATTTCCGTGAGGACAGCACCAGGACGTTCATGAGGGATCTGTTCCTGTGACCCAAGCATTTCCCATGAGGCCCCACCTCCAACACTGGGGATCACATTTCAACATAAGACTTGGCGGGGCCAAACAAACCGTATCTAACCCATAGCATGGGATATTCGTCTTTTCTTTTCAATTACAATATCTTCTTACGTCATAATGAATTAATCTTTTATCTGACTTATGTGAAGGAATTTTTCTTATTTTATCATTTGCCTTTGAAATATTTATGTATATTTGTGTGTGTGCAGTTGATCCTCATTATTTATGAATTCTGTATTTGCGAATTTACTCACCAAAATTTATTTCTAACTCTATATCAATATTTGTTGCACTTTTTGGTTATGTGTGGACATGCACAGAGCTGTAAAAAATGTGTGTTGCTTGACATGCGTGTTCCCAGATGAAGCAGAACAAGGTTGCTTTACCTTCCTGTTTAATCTGTCATATGGGAAACATGGGGCTTTTTTTCCTCGTCTGTTTAGTGCCACATTTTCCACGTTTGTGCTTTTTGTTGGTGCTTTCATTGTTTCAAATAGCCCCTAAGCATAGTGCTGAAGCGATGTCTTGTGTTCCCAAGCTCGAGAAGGCTGTGATGAGCCTTGTGTTAGATAAGCTTCATTCAGGCATGCATTATTGTGCTGTTGGTCATTAGTTAAATGTTAGTGAATCAACAACATGTAATAAATAAGGTGTCTTTAGACAGAAGCACACATAAAACAAAGTTAAGTATCAATTGGTTGATTAAAATGTTGGGATCCGGCCGGGTATGGTGGCTCACACTTGTAATCCCAGCACTTTGGGAGGCCGAGGTGGGCCGATCACGAGGTCAGGAGATCGAGATCATCCTGGCTAACACGGTGAAACCCCGTCTCTATTAAAAATACAAAAAATTAGTCAGGTGTGGTGGTGGGCGCCTGTAGTCCCAGCTACTCGGGAGGCTGAGGCAGGAGAATGGAGTGAACCCAGGAGGCAGAGCTTGCAGTGAGCCAAGATTGCACCACTGCACTCCAGCCTAGGCGACAGAGTGAGACTCCGTCTCAAAAAAAAAAAAAAAAAAAAGTTGGGATCTGAGGCTTGCAGGAACCCAGCCCTCTATTTTCCTGGGAGCAATGGTTCAATATCACCAATTCAGTGTTCACACATGACTAATGTGAATAATGAGAATCAACTGTATATATATTTTTTCTTCACAGGTAGACATTTACATTTTTTATCTAGACACGTATTTCTTTTTTTAAAATAGATTATGCCTTGGTGATGTGCTTAGTATTGTAAAAACATTTATATTCTAGTCTTCATATTTTCCATGTTGGGGGACCTCTGCTCTAGTGACACCCCTGGACTCTCACTGGACCACCCACTTACCTGAGTGGTGACTTTGGGAACAGAAACAGACCCTTTAACCCTTCTCGAATCTGCCCCCTTCCTGAAAATAGCACATATCCTCTGATCCTTACATTTTATAGGGCACACCTCTTCCCCCAAGGTAAAGGCCTGGAAGTTGAGTACTGCCTGTAATCAAGAAAGTCAACTTTTGAAGTACAGTATTAGCAGGTCCACGGCCATTGCTGACTTAATAACTTAAGAGTATTGCTGAAGCTATAATCTCTAATACCTGCTTTATCAGTGATAATGTTCATTTTCTCACTGACTCCAGGGTTGAGCTCTCAGTTGGTTACAAACTAAGGCAGGAAAAGAAAGCATGTTCTTGTAGTAGCTATCTTTACTTAAAAATTTCTTTTTCACATTAAAAATGTTATTTATATTCACATATGAATATTTATTATTATTACTATTATTATTTCTTGAGACAGAATTTCACTCTCGTCACCCACGCTGGAGTGCAATGGAGTGATCTCAGCTCACTGCAACCTCTGCCTTCCAGGTTCAAGAGATTATCTTTCCTCAGCCTCCCAAGTAGCTGGGATTACAGGCATCCACCACCACACCCAGCTAATTTTCATGTTTTTAGTAGAGACGGGGTTTCTCCATGTTGGCCAGGCTGGTCTCAAACTTGTGACCTCAGGTGATCCGCCCACTTTGGCCTCCCAAAGTGCTGGGATAACAGGCACGAACCACCATGCCTGGCCACACATATGACTTTTTTTTTTTTTTTTTTTTTTTTTGAGATGGAGTTTTGCTCTTGTTGCCCAGGCTGGAGTGCAATGGTGCGATCTCGGCTCGCCGAAACCTCCGCCTCCCGGATTCAAGCGATTCTCCTGCCTCAGCCTCCTGAGTAGCTGGGAATACAGGCATGTGCATCCAAGCCCGGCTAATTTTGTATTTTTAGTAGAGACCAGGTTTCTCCTGTTGATCAGGCTAGTCTCAAACTCCCAACCTTAGGCGATCCACCCTCCTTGGCCTCCCAAAGTGCTGGGATTACAGGTGTGAGCCACTGCCGGCCACACCACCTGGCCACATATGAATATTTATAGTTCTTCTTTGACTTACTTGTTTTTTTATCTCTTAATTCTTTGTTTCAGAGTAGCTAATGTTGCTGTTGGATTTCTGTTTTTATATAAGGCACTGACACTCAAAAAAAGGGAGCAGGCTCTGTTAGCCCCTCAGGTTATCTGTGGTTTGGGGGGCAGTTCTTCCCTTGTTCCTACCAGCCTTGCTTTCTGGGGTCTGAGCCTAAATCTTATTTACCTTGACTTGTTATCTGATAAAAATTTTAGTCTTGATTCTCGCACTGTTTGACGCTCAGCCTGTTGCAGCATGGCCTCCACCTCTCATTCTCACTGAATTTTTTCTTTGCAAGTTATGTCCCTGGCTCTTCTTTTCTGTATCACTACCCCTGGGATATTAGGTGTTTGACTCAGAGGTGAGCTAAAGTGTAGTGACTCTGTCCAGACTTAATCTTAGAGCTCCAGAGCTTCACATTATTTTCCCCCTAAATTCTATCACCCATAAACAGTCAAAGATACTTGGAGTTGCCATGTACTGCAATGGCCTTGTACGTATCATGGGTCTCTCAGCTTGGTGACACCAGTCCAGGCTATATGAAGAACTTTTGTTGTTATTTAAGAACATAGTATATACTGTTATTCTTTTAAATTCATCATCCATAGAAAGACAGAATGCTATTATGGGAAGAGTCTTTGAATAAGATAGAACTGGATTCAGATCCTGCTTTTCCTGCTTTACCAGCTGTGTAACCTGCTATGTTGACCTTTAAGACTGAGTTTCCTCATCTATAAAATAGTGAAAATAGTAAGCATTCTCTCAGAAAATGAGAGAATTTTTGTAGGGTACCTAGCACAATGCTTGGAGATGACAGAAGATTGATACCTGTTGGTTAAATATGTTTTTTTATTCTGTTGCCTTCTCTTCTACATTGGGCGAGATTTCAGCTCTAATCTTTTAGCACATTCATAGAATAAATAATTTCAAAGTATTTTTCATGCATAATCTGGTAAATTACTCTGTTTTATTCTGTTCTTCTACAAACCACCAAAAGGAACGAGCAAATCAGGGACACTTCCAGGGGACATGACTCTTCCAAGGGTTCCCTTAGAAATAGTTGGTCCCTAATCATCTGACCACAGAAGGTGTGTGATCTCATGTCATCAACTCTCAGTTCTGATTGACTTTGCTCAGGGTTCTCATTTGTTCTGCGGATCATTCTCTACTCACATTCTTTACCTTTATCCACTCGAGCATTATGCCTGGTAAATAGCTGTTTTTTAAAAAAGTTAAAGTTTAATTTCATTGTTACATTTTAATTGACATAATAATTCTGCATATTTCTGAGGTATGGTGTAGTATTTTGATACATGTATACAATATGTGTAATGATGAAAGCAGGGTAATTAGCATTTATCACCTCAAATATTGATCATTTCTTTGTGTTGGGAACATTCAAATGATCTCTTCCTGTTTGATGAGTTTGGATGCATTCAGGGTAGTATCATTTCTTCCAGCTATTTGAAAGAAATAGCTTTTGAGACACAGTTTAGGAAGCATCTTTATCCAGCCGTTCGTTCTTTCCCCTCTCAGATAGAGTGAGCGCTTGTTTCTTTGTGCCCCCTTTGCGCCCATCCAAGTGTCTCACATGGAACCTGCTATTCTCTAAAGGCCTTATTTGTTACTATGATCTTTTCTTCCATTCTGTGGTCCAAAGCCAAGCACAGCATTTGGTATACAGTAGGTGTTTTATAAATATCTGTTGAAGGTAAGAGTGGTGAATTAATGAATAGTGGAAGACAGAGAGTCATTGAAATGAAGGTCATTGCCACAGACGATGGCCCACATGCTGTTTTCAGAGTGTCACAGCATGCCAAATGGGGCCTTCCAATGAGGGCTTGAATACCTACTTCCTCAGTTTTCTGTTGAGATAATTATTCGGCTGGGTAAGGTTGAAAGGTGATTGGAATATTTGTTAGGGAACCAAAATGCTTCAGCCAGAAATTCAGACGGCTCCTTGTCTTCATAAACTGCTTGGGATAAATAAGCCTAGTTTGTGTAATTCACACTAAGCCTTGGTGTGGGGGGGCAAATGGGTGTATGACCTCATGTGTACATTTCCCCTTGGCATATTTTAATGAATATAACTCAGTTTATTGAAAAGGCTTTAGAAACAAAAATATTTCTTTAATTGAAAATTAAAACCCCTAATATATTTTCTTATTGCTTTGTATAGGTAAGATGTTCATCATTTTAATGATCTGTCTTATTTTAAAATTAAGGGAAGCAACTGATTGAGTAAATAAACTGGGAAGAAGAGACAAGTCTTTCTCACAGTATGATTCCTAGATATTCACCCTTCCAAAGAATATGTATAAATACTTTCTTTTCCAGGATGGTCTTGACCCTCACCCCTCTTAAATGTGGGCTAGACTGAGTGACTCTCTTCCAAAGAATAAATAAAAGAAAGGGAAAAATAGTAAACTTACAGTAAGAAACTTGGCAAACACTACTTTAACCAAAGATGAAGATTAATGTCACCAGTGACATCATATGGATATTACATACCTCTTGATAAGAAGTGATGAGGGCTGGGCGTGGTAGCACATGCCTGTAATCCCAGCACTTTGGGAGGCTGAGGTGGGAGGATCACGAGGTGAAGAAATGGAGACCATCCTGGCCAACATGGTGAAACCCCGTCTCTACTAAAAATACAAAAAATTAGCTGGGTGTGGTGGTGCATGCCTGTAATTCTAGCTACTGGGGAGGCTGAGGCAGAAGCATTGCTTGAACCCAGGAGGCAGAGGTTGCAGTGAGTTGAGGTTGTGCTGCTGCACTCCAGCCTGGTGACAGAGCAAGACTCTGTCTCAAAAAAGAAAAAAAAAAGTGATGAGAAGGGCACTTCCCTCTGTGACTCTTTCTAAATACCCATAACCCTATTCTATTCATAAGAAAAACAACAGCCAGTTGCAGATTGGAGGACATTCTACAGAACACCTTACCAGTACTCAAGACAGTAAAAGTCATGACAAACAAGGAAAGGCTGAGAAACTGCCACAGACCAGGGGACACATGGAACTCAATGGCATGTCCATAGGTTGGATCCTGGAATAGAAAGAGGATCATTATGTAAAGACTAGTGGAATCCAAATAAAGTCTGGAGTGTAGTTAATGGGAATCTATCAATGTCAGTTTCTTAGTTTTTTTTTTTTTTCTTTTTTCTCTTTTTTTGACACGGAGTCTGGCTCTGTCACCCAGGATGGAGTGCAGTGGCGCGATCTCAGTTCACTGCAACCTCCGCCTCCTGAGTTCAAGTGATTCTCCTGCCTCAGCCTCCTGAATAGCTGGGATTACAGGCACCCGCCACCACACATGGCTAATTTTTTTGTATTTTTAATAGAGATGGGGTTTCTCCATGTTGGACAGGCTGGTCTCGAGCTCCTGACCTCGGGTGATACACCTGCCTTGGCATCCCAAAGTGCTGGGATTACAGGCATGAGCCGCCACTCCCAGCCAATTTCTTAGTTTTGACAACTGTACTATAGTAATGTAAGGTATAAAAAAATGGGAAAACTGGATGAGGGGGTATATGAGAACTTTCTGTGCTACCTTTGCAGCTTTTCTGTAAATCTATAATTATTGCAAAATAAAGAATTTATTTTAGAAAATAAGGGAAGCAGATGTCTTACACTTTGTTTCTTTTTTAAACCCATGGTCAAATGATAGAAAAACCTTTAGAGGCAGGCAGGAAAAAATGAGTCTTTGTGGATTGCTTTGTACTGGGGAATGCATTCAGTCTTACAAATTGAGTCCTATTCTATTATACCAAAAACTATCCAAGAGAAAAGCACTCAATTACAAAAAAAAAAAAAAGTTAAGAGAAAATGAATATTTTGCAGGTCATGTAATGTATACTGGCATGTTTATAAGATAAAGGTAAATTTCTTTTGCATGGTAAAGCTCAACAATACAAGAATTGGTGGATCTTTCCCACTTTTAAAAGCATCTTCATCTTGCTTTTTTTTTTTTGAAGCTACAATTATTTATTTTCTGGATTTAACAATCAAGGCTTTGGTAATCTGTGGGGACAATGGGTTAATTAACCCCTTTATTTTCAACAAGTACAATCTATTTTTTGGCAAGAATTAATGTTTTATATTCAATGTAGAAGAAAAGGAATGGTGGACAGTTCTCTAGCAATTTTCTAAGGCTAGAGGAGAGAGGTGAATTTCCTTGTGCACAGACGGAAAATACTCTTAGCTCAAATCACCATTCCAGAGATGTGATTAGGCAGAGAATGAAATTTTACAATATTTACCTCTTTGATTTTTTCATTTGCAGTCTAGCATCAGCTCAGTGTACGTATCAGTTTTCATCCTTAAATGTGCATGAAACCAAACCAGGGGTTTTGCAGAGTTCTAATTGCTGTATGATTTGATGTTACTGTGCAGTGAAGCTGTGCTAGTTAATTGTTTTCCTGACTGAATTTCCATCTCCCCCCAACATCCTCCCCCATTGTGCCTGAAGGAGCCTATAAAGCTAAAAACAAACACACAAAAATCTCTCAGAAGAGCATCTTTCATTTTCAGAAGTGTCATTTGCAATGGGTAGCAGCCTAGTCATAATACGGGCAATAATGATGACAGATAATTGTAATCCTTAAGTGGTTTCAGCTTATGGTTATTAGGGGAGGGAGCAAAGTGAGGATGGGTGAGCGGGAGAAAAATATAGTTCACTCTGCCTTAATTGTCTTTTTTAGCATTTCCAACAATAGAATGAAAAAGTCACCTCTTTGCATTTCCTGCTAGGTTGTGTTCTAGTTTTGATATAAGGATTTGAATTATAGTCCACTGGTACATTGTGTGATAGGTCACATGGTTATTGGAGGAAAAATCATGGAAACAAACTAGATATTTGATTAACCACTTTAGATAATGATCGATCTCTAGGGCTTCCTGTACACTGTCTTTTTCACGCTAACCAACAGCTCAGGCGATAGATAAACAATAGCCTTCTGTAATAAATAATTGCATTACACAATGCTAGTTAAATTTAGAAATCACTATTTTATTGCATTTTTCACTCATAAAGCATAGTGTCAAATAGTAATTGAGATTGAGTTAAAGTCTCCTAATGCTTTGCTTCAAAATCTAATCCAGGAATCGTTTCTCTCTGAAGACCTATAGAAAGAGATCCCATGGGTAATAATGGATGACTGAAGAAGACAAGGATGGGAAGGTGGGGAAGGGAGAGAAAAGGAAAAAGGTCTAAATGAGATTGGAGGGGAGGGAGGGAGTTCAGAGAAAATAAAAAGCTTGATGTGGCAGCTTGCCTCTTTCGAATCCCAGTAAACCATTTTAATGGAAATGGGTGGTAGGCAAGGAAGAGCTCGATTGGAAAAGGCTAGGAAGCAGGCCCTGTGTCCTCAGGAGAGCAAACTGTCTTAGACAATAAGATGGGAGATTTATTACAAAGAAACGAAATGTGCTGCTTCCCTCTCCCTGGTGTTTCTAAAGCCCTTAGCTTGACAGGAGAATGTAGGCTCCATCTAGTTCTAGTGGCTTCAGGAACATCACTGGCTGCTTTGAGACTGTCTACTTGCTTTGAATCAATTATCTTCCTGCCCCCATACCCAAGGATAAGCTGTATCCCCCCATTCCTTAGGTAATTCCATCACCATCTCCAAGACAAATGAAGGTCTCCCAGGTAGCCAGAAGTAGACTTGGGGAAATGGAGCTACGTTACATTAATTTTATAATTGGAAGATGTACCCTCATCCCAGTACAGCGAGTCATAATCAGTACTTGCAGCACAGCTATCTGGAAGGATAATACATTCCATTAAAAAAGATGTAGCAAACATATTTTGAACATTTTTTTAAACCAACTCCAATAAATGTGTTTTCATTATTATAGCTCAAAATATAACTGGGAAAGTAAGACCCACCTGGAAGGGAAAAGAATCAAATGAAGTCCAACTGGGTAAACAAGGAAAGTAAAACCTGAAATTGATTCTGCAAAACTGTTTAAGTTATGTGGTCTTTGAAGGATTGTTCTTCCTTCCCTGGAGTATCTGACACTGTCTCTTAAGTCAACCAGAGAGATGTGAGAACTCTGGTATTAGCTCAAAACTACTATGGCTAGCTGAGTCTACAATTTACCTCCTCTTCTCCCCAAAATGGAATAAGTGCTGCCATTTTCTGCTCATAATTACGTTTTACCTACTCTTCAGGTTCAACTCAAGTTCTATCTCTACTCTAACAAACCCCACTCTCAGTGTCCTATTCCTTCTTTGAACTTTTATTGCTAATACGAAATGCTTTGATTATAAGGATGCTGTAATTTGTAATAAGCTTATATTCTCAACTAAATAGTGAGTTATTTGAGGGCATCAATCATGTCTTAGTTTGTGTGTGGGGTGGGGAGGGTGTTTCACCCACAAACTTAACACAATAATGAACTCATGGATGTTGATGCTTAAATGTTTGTTGGTTGATTGATTCAGAAACATGAAGGTCTTTTATGGATATTTCCAATGTAGCATAGGAAATTTTCCATGGCAGGTATCATCATTTAGAAGGAGTGTTGGAGTGACCATGTATCTTTGAGCTCCAGATCACTGTCTAGGCATGGGGTGAAGTGCACATCAGCCTGTCAATCAGTATCCAAATGGGGGACCCCTGAGCACAGAATTTAGAGTGGATTTGCTTCCACAACCTGAGTCAGGCTCTGACCAGACCTCTTCTCATAAGATTCCCCTGATCCAAATTTACCTTTTTCATGTGCATCCCTTTCCTCTGCTGACCACTTGGAACAGACCAATCAACCTGGCTGTGCTATGTCTGTGTTACTGAATCAATAAAAAAGTTGAATGACTTGAACAGGGGTAGCTTTGGGAACATTAAGGGGGCCCTTGAAAGTGAAATCACTTAATAACTTGTAGACATAGGATAAACTTTGTACCTAAAAGCTTAATTATGATTTGGAGCGACACACTGCATATCAGTGGGGCAAACCAATGCAAAAACATAGGCTGCTTTTATGTGTATATGATCATGTCTTATAGGATGTTGCACTCTGGAAGGATGGATTCAAGAATGTGTGGGTCATGCTAATAGAAGTCTCAGATTCAAACTTTTACTGGCATCATCAATGGAAACTCAGTGCTCCAAAGTTCTTCTCTCATTGGCAGGGCCCCCAGCATGGTTCAAGTAATCTCTGGGGGTGGTCATTATAGTTCCTCTCTTTGCTAACAGGAGGTCATCATTCACCCTTTCTGACCATATTGCAGTTTTGCTAGTTGCTCTGTTGCTACCACCTTTTAATCACAGGGTTCCCATAAACACTGCCTTGTTGATTGAGTCTGGGCTTTTCTCTGATTGAGATTCAGAGACTGGAATGGGTGTCACATGTCTCCTCCAATTCATAAAAAGGCAACTTATTGTTTGAATATTGTTCATTCATTCACTTGGCACCTGATTCTATAAGACATTAGTGACAGTATAATAAATGAAGGAAAGGAGAAAATACATAGCTGTAGAAATCAGGACCAAAGAAGGATATGGGTAGGAAACTAATAAAGCAAGAAGTGAGCATAGTATACCAAAACACATATTGCAGACATATGGCCCTGCAGAGTTTTTAGATGTAGGATATTAATTTGGCTTAAAAATTCCTAGCAGCCGTAACAAAGATGGAAACCAAACAGGTATAGAATTCACTACATTCACATTTACAAACAAAGCAACTATTTAGGGATACAGCTTTTCTTGACACTCAGCAACAATAAATGTTTCCCCATGGGTTTGGGTAAGGTGGACACTGTGTCAACGTAGAGGATGATGCCTTCAACAGCATCTTTGTGTTAGATTCCTTTTGTCCTTCAGTGTTAGATTATACTGTCCTTCAGTGTCAAGCTGATGGCTGTACAGCTTGCTCGTGCTCTTGCTTGATCCAAAGCTTAAATTTGAAATGTCTGGGAGAATTGACAGACTGCAAATTCTCCAGGCACCTTTCCATCAGTATTATTTTGGGCAAGTGCTTTCTACCTGTCTTAACTCCTAAGAGGCAGTATAGTGAGTAGTTAAACCTGCAGGCTCTGGAATCGGACTACCTGAGTTCAAGTCCCAGCTCTGCTATTATTACCTTCAGTTTCTTTATCATGAAAAAAGGATAATACATACCACATAGACATGTTATCAACATGACATGAGGTAATGCTTTTTATTATTTTCTTTTTTTTAATTCTTCCTATGTTGCCCAGGCTGGTCTTGAACTCCTGGGCTCAAGCGATCCTCCCGCCTTGGCCTCCCAAAGTGCTGGGATTATAGGTGTGGGCCACCATGCCCAGCTGAGGTGATGTATATAAAGTGCTCAGCACTGAGAGTGCTCAATAAATATAAGCCACTGCAGTTAGACTACAAACAGTGGCTTTACCATCAAAGTGCCTTCTGAGCGACATATTGCTCCTTTTTTGTTTGCCCTCTCTCTTCTTTCAGTGGTAGGAAGATTATCAGAATGCCCCCATAAGTCATTGATGCTTCTTGCTGATATCCAGACAGGATCCCTTAATTGAGCTTGACCTCTTATCCCCCTAGAACGGACAGGTTTTCTATTTGGCATCCACAGCAGGCATTGAAGGGATAGCCCCATTTTCCTCCAAACCTGAGTTTTTCAGTTCCCTTCATTCCGCATGATGTGTTCTAACTCCTTTTGTAAAGGAAACTCTGGCTAATCTACCTTGACCCACCTACATTCCTGAGAGGCGCATGGAGTGTAAGGCTTCTTTTGAGATTCTTGATATTCACATACTGGTAGACCCCCTTAGGGCTAGAGGTTGCATATGTGGCCTCAGAGTTCAGTCAGCACAGCATCACAGTATTTTGTAATAAATGTGAAACCTTTCAGGACACGTGCTCTCTAATTTCCACTGTTCTCACCAAGGCTTGCGTTCATGCAGTCAATATAGGCAGAGCCACAGTGGAGTTGTGACATAAAGGAAAAATCAGTATGCTATTGATCCTGTCTGTATTTAAAAAATTGATATTTTGGCTGGGAACGGTGGCTTATGCCTGTAATCCCAGCACTTTGGGAGGCCGAGACGGGCGGATCACGAGGTCAGGAGATCAAGACCATCCTGGCTAACATGGTGAAACCCTGTCTCTACTAAAAATACAAAAAATTAGCCGGGCGTGTTGGCGGGGCACCTGTAGTCCCAGCTACTCAGGAGATTGAGGCAGGAGGATGGCGTGAACCCAGGAGGCGGAGCTTGCAGTGAGCTGAGATCGCACCACTGCACTCCAGCCTGGGAACAGAGGGAGACTCCGTCTCAAAAAAAAAAAAAAAAATTGATATTTTGTTAAAAATACATAGATTTTTACATTAATTTTGTTTTATTGAAATGTTATTTATCTTGATCACCAAGTTTTTGGTATCCCCTAAAATTTTGCACCTAAGGCCAATGCCTCACTTTCCTGTAGGGCCCTTGTTCCCTGCCCTGCATGCAGATCCAGCGATTTGCAATGTCCTGGTTCTCGAAGGTATTTGAACTCTAGACTCTAAGGCACTTGTTCTCCAATGCAGGTCTGTGACAAAATTTTCATCCAACTGAGGAGAAATAAGAAAAGGAAGGACAAATATTAAATTTAAAAAATCAAGCTAAGTTTAAATAACATGATAATGCCTTTTTAATTTTTTGAATTAACATTTATTTAAAAAACAGAACCTGCAAAAATATTATTATTGCTTAAAGTCCTGATGCTAGTGGGTGTTAGTAGCTTTATAAACATGCACTTACTGGGCAAAACAACAGTGTGGTGACTCAATTAAAAAAATAATGACCTACTCCAAATATTCCTACACCTACGTGAAGCTCTTCTCTAGGAGCCTGATCAACCCTCTCACCCAGGACAGCTAAGGAGGAGCAATGACAGAGATGTGGTGGCTGGAAGTCCATAGCAGGGAGGGAGAGATCAGGAAGCTGGCTGAGAGGAAATAAGGCACCTGCTAGTGATAATGGAAGAATGATGGGTGACAGCCTCCTGTGTTCAACCAGGGGCAGGTTCTCCTGGATGCAGAGGCCCGGAAGCAGGTGGCAGGAAATGAAAACGGGCCAAAACCAAGAGCAAATATTGAGCTGCAGCAGCAGGGGTGTTGGAGAGGGAGGTACACGTGCTGTTTCCCAGTTGGCGTATATTCCAGCTCTCTCCTCATAGTGCTTTCAGTGCACCAAACTGCAACCTCAGAGAGATTTTCTGAGGAGCAGAAAGATATTTTTTAATATATCTAGTGAATTTGTAAAACCAAGAAAGGTATAGATGTGTTGAATACGGAACAATTCCTGGAAAGCTAGGACTATAGGCCCGCATTGTATTTACTGAAAGAAGCATAACTTCACATAGCAGGTAGCAGACAAATTGTACTCACCAAGGACAATGAAAGCTTAGGAATGGAGATAAATTCAAGGCAATAAATCCAAGGCTGATTTTCCTTGAAAGTGTAGATGTTTGCAAGAATGTTCCCTATCTTTGAAAAAAGCAGAAGTTTTATTTTTTCTGGTTTTTACTCATCATCATTGTTACAATTTTTTTGCGTTGGAAATAGTTTGCAGTTAGAGTCAGAGGAATTGAGCCTAAGTTTTAGCTTTTTCATTTACTTTGTTAGTTGTGTTACTTCAAGGAGGTCATTGTATTCCCTCAGGCCTTGCCTTCCTCATCTATAAAAAGACAGAATTGGTCGGGTGCAGTGGCTCATGCCTGTAATCCCAGCACTTTGGGAGGCCGAGATAGGTGGATCACCTGAAGTCAGGAGTTCAAAACCAGCCTGGCCAACATGGTGAAACCCCGTCTCTACTGAAAATACAAAATTAGCCAGGTGTGGTGGCGGGCACCTGTAATTCCAGCTACTTGGGAGGCTGAGGCAGGAGAATCGCTTGAACCTGGGAGGTAGAGGTTGCAGTGAGCTGAGATCGCACCATTGCACTCCAGCTTGGGCGACAGAATGAAACTCTGTCTCAAAAAAAAAAAAAAAAAGAAGATAGAATTGAACATTATTGAATTATCTTGAGTTACAAAATGATAAAATTTGTCATGATTTTTATGATGACTTGAAGAGAACTCCTAGTAAGCACTTCTTGTTACCCTCTTTCAAGTTCAGAAAAATGCTTTGGACCAGAGCTGCCTGTAGAGAAATTTCCACCTTCATTCTGATATGTTACTGTGCAGTTTCTTATATGATTAAGTTCTTTGGAACTAAAAGAAGGTCATTGAATTTCTTTGGGCCTTACTCTACTATATCTGTAAGACTGTTTTTATGCCTGTATCACAATCTTGATGTTTTCTGGATGAAGGAATTAGCTACAGTAATGCATCACTTTTTTTTTTTTTAATTGATCATTCTTGGGTGTTTCTCCCAGAGGGGGATTTGGCAGGGTCATAGGACAATAGTGGAGGGAAGATCAGCAGATAAACAAGTGAACAAAGGTCTCTGGTTTTCCTAGGCAGAGGACCCTGGGGCCTTCCACAGTGTTTGTGTCCCTGGGTACTTGAGATTAGGGAGTGGTGATGACTCTTAAGGAGCATGCTGCCTTCAAGCATCTGTTTAACAAAGCACATCTTGCACCGCCCTTAATCCATTTAACCCTGAGTGAACACAGCACATGTTTCAGAGAGCATCGGGTTGGGTGCAAGGTCATAGATCAACAGCATCCCAAGGCAGAAGAATTTTTCTTAGTACAGAACAAAATGGAGTCTCCTATGCCCACTTCTCTCCACACAGACACAGCAACAATCTGATTTCTCCATCTTCTCCTCACATTTCCCCCCTTTCTACTCGACAAAACGCCATCGTCATCATGGCCCGTTCCCAATGAGCTGCTGGGTACACCTCCCAGATGGGGTGGTGGCCAGGCAGAGGGGCCCCCCACTTCCCAGAAGGGGCGGCCGGGCAGAGGCGCCCCCCACCTCCCGGACGGGGCGGCTGGCCGGGCGGGGGCTGCCCCCCACCTCCCTCCCGGATGGGGCCGCTGGCCGGGCGGGGGCTGCCCCCCACCTCCCGGACTGGGTGGCTGCCGGGTGGAGATGCTCCTCACTTCCCAGATGGGGCGGCAGGGCAGAGGCGCTCCTCACCTCCCAGACGGGGTCGCGGCAGGGCAGAGGCGCTCCTCACCTCCCAGACGGGGTCGCGGCAGGGCAGAGGCGCTCCTCACATCCCAGATGGGGCGGCAGGGCAGAGGTGCTCCCCACATCTCAGATGATGGGCGGCCGGGCAGAGATGCTCCTCACTTCCTAGAAGGGATGGCGGCCGGGAAGAGGCCCTCCTCACTTCCCAGACTGGGCAGCTGGGCAGAGGGGCTCCTCACATCCCAGATGATGGGCGGCCAGGCAGAGACGCTCCTCACTTCCCAGACGGGGTGGCGGCTGGGCAGAGGCTGCAATCTCGGCACTTTGGGAGGCCAAGGCAGGCAGCTGGGAGGTGGAGGTTGTAGCGAGCCGAGATCACGCCACTGCACTCCAGCCTGGGCAACATTGAGCACTGAGTGAATGAGACTCCATCTGCAATCCCGGCACTTCAGGAGGCCGAGGCTGGCAGATCACTCGCGGTTAGGAGCTGGAGACCAGCCCGGCCAACACAGCGAAACCCCGTCTCCACCAAAAAAATACGAAAACCAGTCAGGTGTGGCGGCGCACGCCTGCAATCGCAGGCACTCGGCAGGCTGAGGCAGGAGAATCAGGCAGGGAGGTTGCAGTGAGCAGAGATGGCAGCAGTACAGTCCAGCTTCGGCTCGGCATCAGAGGGAGACCGTGGAAAGAGAGGGAGAGGGAGACCGTGGGGAGAGGGAGAGGGAGACCGTGGGAAGAGGGGGAGGGGGAGGGGAGGGGGAAGGGGAGGGGGAGCCTAGTAATGCATCACTTAAGGATGACGCATTACTAAGCCCGGCCAACTTTTCTTTTTCTAATAAGTAGAAGGAATATACTCTAAAATCATCATAAAACTATAGTAGAATAAATATATAAACCAGTAGCATAGTCATTTATTATTATTATCAAGCATTATGTACTGTACATAACTGTATGTGCTATACCTTTATATAACCGGCAGTGTGCTCAGTTTACTTAACACCAGCATCACTAAAAACACGTGACTAATACATTGTGCTATGATGTTATAACAATAGGAGATAGGGATTCTTCAGTTCTGTTATAATCTTATAGGCGCCTTGCCATATATGTGGTCTGTTGTTGGCTGAAATGTTGGTATAGAGCATGGCTGTATTGTTTTATTTGTTAACATGAATGTCAGTGATAGTGACTTTGAGAAGCAGCGTTGACCTAGCAAGCAACGCTCAATAGCACTCCATCCCCAATCTTACCCCCGCCAGCAAATCTCTTGCACTCCATTGACTGAGGTGCCTGGAATTTCAAGATTCATTTGTTTGCTTTCAGGATTTCCCTATTTCTTAGGGCTGCCCTTTAATTGCCCTTTAATTAGTGATGGCTTGATGTTTTTGTTTTTCTTCCTTTAGCGGTCATGGTGGTCTTACTCATGCGTGTATCCAAGTATGTGTGCAGGGCACTCTCCCAGCATGCTCCTACTCCCTGGCGCTTGTGGCCAACATCATACTGGGCAGGGAGAGAGCATCCAACTGCCCAGAGACCCAGCTCCCAGATTAGGGGAATTCTCTATTGAAGAATCTCAAATGTTCCAAGGGCCACACAAGTTTCTAGTAAAAACACCCTCAAGACAGGCAATTCAGGGAGCAGCTAATTCTTTAATTTAAAAGCCATCACCGAAGTATGACTAGGACTGGCCCTGTTGCTTTGGGAAATGCAATAAAACTCACCAAATCATGATTGCATAGTCTTTGCCTACCTTGAGCTGACATCTGAAGAGAGAATTCTCAGCACTAACTTGATGTCACATTGCTTGTTTTATTTTGTAAAGATGCTGTCTATGTTAACAACGTGTTTCCTGTTCTCAGTCTTTGTCTCAGGTATAAGATGGGAGTGGAAAACAATAGTTATACTTGAACATAATATCTTATTTCTTAGAGGCAGCTGGTTGCCAATTAAGCAGGAATACTGTAAAATAGCAAGTGGATATTTACCCACAAACAACAGGGAACTGGAGAGACAGAGAAGGGCCTCAGGAAAGAAGCTGTTATTGTCAATAAAATAATGATTGGATTGTCTTTATGCAATTATTTTATCCCCATATTTAGTTGAAAAGTCCTAACCTGTCATTTCCCAACAATTCCTATATTTAAAATGGAACTACTTACATCTCTGATGGTATTTGCATTTACTTTACATGTTTGGGAATAGCTTATGGGTTGGAATACATATATATATATTTTTTGATACTGACATCCTTCATGGATCCAGGGTTACCTCTTTCTGAGCCTTCTCTGAGTCTCTGGGCAGAGTTTGTCACTTCCTCTCTATGTGTCCTCACTCTGTGCTTATTTCTATCATAATGTTGATCTTAGTATGTGGCAGTTGTTTATTTATGTGTCCATCTCCCTGACTGTTAGCTCTTCAGGGGCAGATAACCTGGCAACTGGAAGATCCTCAAATATGTTGGGTCATGACTCAATACATGAATGAATGATGATGGCGGAAGAGCTCATATCTTCTCCTCAGCACTTGCAGTTGCCTTTCTCAGCCACTTGTCCATCAGCATGGGAACCCCCAAAATGTGGTGCTAGGGTGGCCACCCTGGCTCAGTAGAGTCAAGGAACAATTCTGATCCGCTTACTATAATGAGGCTTTAGTTGCAATCATAACAGATATGTGGAAGATGTGGGCCTTGGAGAATGGGTAGCAATGGTGGCAAGTGTGTTTCCCATGGAAAAGAGTGGGATCAGCAGTTTTGTGTTTTCATTTTGCTGGAGTATAGAATGCTTGACAAAGAGAGATAGATGGATAGACACACACACACACACACACACACACACACACACACACACACACAGAAAGAGAGAGAGATTGAAGGGGGCAGGCTGAGATTCTGAGACTCTTAGGGACATGGAACCAGAACAAACTGCAACCTCAAATCTTACTCTATTTCTGTCCTCCTGGTTAAATGAGAAAATAATTTTCCTTTTGTTTAGGGCAGTTTAATTTGTGATTTCTGTTAGTTGCTACAAAAATATCCTAACTGATAATAACATTTTATTGGAAAGAAAAGTTGGAGCCAGACTATTGAGAATAATATTTCAAAGGCAGGTGGAGCCATTTAAGGTTTTTCAGCTGATGAATAAATTGATTATAACTTTAAGGAGATTAATCTGGCAGATGTATGTAGGATGTTTTATGGAAGGGAAGAGAGTACCCTCAAAAAAAGTGGTACTCCCTCTAAGGTAAAAGTCTCCACATGTGGAATTATCGTGATTAACAAATCAAGTCTTCATCTTAAGTCAACTGAAATTTTGCATATTAAAATGTAAAAGGAATCCCTGTATAGCTGAGGAGAAATCCTAGACTAGCAAGCTCCTGTCTGTCCTTGAATTGATTCGCATGGTACAGTTTTTGTTTCCCCTGTTGTCATCAGATCTACATAGTTTTAGTTGCCCTATACAAGGTAGAAAGGGTGACCCCTTCCCAGCAGGCTCTCTCATGCCATAGATATCCTTTCCTCAACCCATGGTTTTAGATTTCCAGAAGTTTCTAGGCAGACCTCTAATTCCAGTGGTATTCATCAATGAATATTCACAAGTGTGGAGATACTCAATAAATCGTGGAGTGTCTGGCATCTGGGACTTATCTGCTTCTGCCGCTTATTCTATGGCCTTAAAAATAATTCATTCCCTTAAGCCTCAGTTTTGTCAACTGTAAAATGAAGATGGTATAATATCCACTGAAAACATTGTTGTGGGAAGGAATGGGATAATGTAAGTAAATACATAGTAAACTCCAATAAGTTTTGTTGTGTTTGTAGTTGCTACTTGTTTTAATTACCAGGAGGCTTGGAATAAGAGATTAAACATCTGTTCTCTTAGGAGGCGTGAGGTCTACTAGCCTTTCTGTATCCCATACCAATTTAGTAGGCACTAAGGAACAAACATTTTTTTTTTTTTTTGAGACAGAGTTTCACTCCTGTTGCCCAAGTTGGAGTGTAATGGAGCGGTCTCGGCTCACCACAATCTCCGCCTCCCGGGTTCAAGCGATTCTCCTGCCTCAGCCCCCCAAGTAGCTGGGATTACAGGTGCCTGCCACCATGACCAGCTAATTTTTGTATTTTGATAGGGACAAGGTTTCACCATGTTGGGCAGGCTGGTCTCAAACTTCTAACCTCAGGTGATCCGCCCACCTTGGCCTCCCAAAGTGCTGGGATTACAGGTGTGAGCCACTGCGCTTGGCCAACACAAACATTTCATATCTGATTTTGAAAGAGCAAACAAAAGAAATGGGTAATAATAAAAACACCTTTTGGGATATTTAAAACTCAAAGATCACTGATCTTTTAATTTATTGTTGACTTACAGGTATGACATAAAAAGACGAGATACTTTGAGATTAAAAAAGAACTGAACCAATGAACTGGAATGGGGAAATTATGAAGAGTGACAATTCAAAAGAGAAACATTGAGTTTTGACAATATCTGTGAATGTTCTCTGTGGTTTGTGCTGAAAACTGAGATGCTGCCTTCCCCGATGTTTGTGTGAATCTAATTTTAACCTAACAAGTTGTAAAAATAACATTGTCTATCAAATGTGAGGAGACAGAGGACTGTGACTTTTCCTGCCTGGGCCCTTTTTGAGACTTCCCCAATAATGCCCAACCCAAAGTACCTAGGCTTGTCCAGTCTTGTTTATATTTTAAACTTTCCATTTTGAAATAAATTTAAATTTATAGAAAAATTGCAAAAATAATACAGTTCCCATATTCCTTTAATCCAGCTTCCCCCTCACATTAATATCTTAGTAGCCATATAACAAGTATGGAAACTAAGAAATTAATATTAGGACAATACTATTCTTACCAAACCACTGACTTTATTTGGATTTTCCCAGTTTCTCTGTAAGTGTTCTTTAGTCGTTCTAGGAGTCAGTCCAGGATCCCAACGTTATACTTAGTTGTCCTGTCTCCTTAGTTACTTCCTAGCTGTGATGATTCCTTGGTCTTTTGTTGTCTTTCATGTCCTTGATACTCTTGAAGAATCCTGGTCAGGTATTTTGGAGACTGTCTGTCAATTTGAGTTTGTTTTCTTGTGGCGAGATTAAAGTTCTCTGTGTTATATCAGGGGCTCGTGATGTTGATGTGTTTCCCTGCTGGTGATGTTAACCTTGACCACTAAATTAAGCTGCTGACTGCCAGACTCTCCACTGCAAAGTTACTGTTTTCCCCTTAATAATTAATAACTGCCTTGGGAGAGATACCTTGAGACTGTGCACACATTCTCTTGCTCTTCAAACTTTCACCCGTGAATTTCAGCATCCATTGGTGGAGCTTGCCCGTGGTGGTGATTACCCCGGGGGGGTTTCTAACAGTGATTTTCTGTTCCCTTTTCTCCTCTTCTTACAGAATTGGAATTCTTCTGGAAGCGACAATCTTTATTTTTGATAATACCGGATAAAATTTACCTGTGACTTCCCAAGAAACCTTTATACTTTAATTGTCACATTTCCATGAAAAGACTTTTTTTTTTTGCTTATTACAAATGAAATACAAATTCAATAACAAAAAGCCAAAGATAGTAGAATTTAAAAAAAGTGTAGTCTCACCCAGAGACAACCATCTTAATGTCTTAGCATCTATTTTTCCATATATTTTTCTATGCATCTATATGCATGTATTAACAAAAAGCAAATCATGCCATGCATTTAATTTGAAAACCTGCATCTTTCATTTAACAATACATTTTTTATTGCAATAGGTACATTTCCATAACATCATTTTAAAGGATGGCCTAATGGTTATTCTATGAATGTCATAATTTGTTAAATGAATCACTTACTAGATATTTTGGTTGCATTTTCACCTGTCCTTTTTGCCAACACTGATGTAATGACCATCCTTGTACTATCATTTTTATGTATAGACAATAATATGGATCAGGAACAGCAGTGATATTTATCAGACTCTCATACCTTGCTGGGCATAGTGCTGAGCATTTACATGTTTGAGCTCATTGTAACCTCATGACAGCCTTGTGAGATAGGTATGAGTGTTACCCCTATTTCACATACCAGGGCAGTGAAGTTCACATTCTGTAATTCGTTCAAAATTTCATTGAGCTAATCAGTGGCATCAGGACCTGAACCCAGATTCTGTTGATGTCAAGGACTGGCTCTTAACCACTGCTCTACATTGATCTTTAAATTATTTCCTGAAGCAGATTCCTAGAATTGGAATTTTTGGTTAAAAGGGTATGTGCATTTTAAAGACTTTTTGAAACATAATATCTAGTTGCCTGCCAGAAGAAAATCTCATCAAGTTTATCCTTTACTCCCCGTGCAGGGGTGGGTGTGTGTGCTCATTTTCTGGAACCAATACCAATCCTGAGTATTCTAATTAAAAAAACAAAAAACAAAAAACAGCAACAACAAAAAACTCTTGTTAAGGAAGGTTTTTAAAGGGGGCTGTTCATATAGATGAGAGTCTGGTGTTACTGTTCGTGGCTAACCAAACTTCCCCTTGACTTCCTGATCCAGAATTCCAAGGCTTTAGGGAATAGAAAACAAAGAAATAGTATTTGTTTTTTTGTTTTGTTTTGTTTCGTTTTGTTTTTTTGAGACGGAGTCTCGCTCTGTTGCCCAGGCTGGAGTGCAGTGGCACGATGTCGGCTCACTGCAAGCTCCGCCTCCCGGGTTCACACCATTCTCCTGCCTCAGCCTCCCGAGTAGCTGGGACTACAGGCACCCGCCACCACGCCCAGCTAATTTTTTGTATTTTTAGTAGAGATGGGGTTTCATCGTGTTAGCCAGGATGGTCTCTATCTCCTGACCTTGTGATCCGCCGGCCTCGGCCTCCCAAAGTGCTGGGATTACAGGTGTGAGCCACCACGCCCGGCCAAAAATAGTATTTGAAGAAGTGAATGAAGAAATGATTGGATACACCTGCCTCTGCTAATGGCCTCAGCTTGGCCACCTCCCACGGCAGTAGCTTGGGAAGGGGGTCTGAGGGAGTGGCCACTGTTCCCACCCTGGCCTCCATGAAGGAAGGGACCCTGCCCACTGGAGGAGGAGAGAATAAAGGAAAGCCTATGGCCTGGCTTTGTCCTTTTCAATCTCACACTCAGATATGCAAAACTGTAATCTTTATTTTCTTATAGTAAATGTAATTTCTGACTTGGCAGAAAGTTTTGATTTTAGTCATTTCCAAGTAAACTCAATCCAGTTCAGAATTTTCTCTGCAAGTTCAGGTTTATAATTCAGTCACATTCACGTTAAAATTCCCCCTCAGATCTTTTTAGTCTTCCTCCCCCACCTTCCTGGGGCATATTCTAATCACTTAGATGTTTGTGCAACTGCCTCATTGTCCTCAGAGGAGGTCACTGTCTGCCTCTTCGTTGTGACTTGTCTTGGACTTTTGCTGCCCTGCCACTCCAGACACATTCTCTGATGGCCACCTGGACAGTCTGTAGGACAGCGATGGACTTCCCAGGGCTCCCCAGGGTGGGAAACGTGCTCAGATGCAACCTCATCTGCTGTTGTGTGAAGGGAACCTCCCGCCTTCTTCTGCTACATGGCACTTGTCCCAGCCTTAGCACGTCTCTCAGCATTGCTTTTTTTGTCCTTCTAAGAGCCCAAGGCAATACTTCTTTATAAATACATTTACAACTCAGAAAAAAAATTGTCTCCAATCACATGTCCTGATTTTGACTCAGAAAAATCTGTTTATTATACCTACAGCTGACTTGGAAATATGGGAGGGACTATAGAAATATTGTTTCAAAGATCCAGTAGATAGATTCTTATCTATCCCTTTTACGCATAAAAGCAACTACATTTCTCCCACTTGGACTTGTGTTGTCCATACAAATGTTTATTTTGATATATGAATGCACCCTTGGCATTCACTGATTTAACATTCCTGGTTTCCACTATTTGCAGATGACCCAGAAGATTTATGACGTGGAGCAATTTGTTCTTCTGCTCCAGCACAGATTTGAATCACATGCTGTCTGGCTGCAGTGGCCTGGGAGACACTTAGCTGGGGTGTACACTTAGCTGACTGCCCAGAAGCCCTGCCATGCAAATTCACTATTTTGATTTCTTCTTACATATTCTGTTATTTTCATTATGCATCTAATTACAATGTTTTAGTTCATTTCACTGCGTTTAATGGGAGAAATTCTATTACGTACTATGATAAATTTCATGAATCTAGGCTTTTGACAAGTACTGACATGTATTCCTTGGGGATACATCTAGGGTGTGTACCACAAGGCTTCCCTCTACTACCAATAATCCTGACCCCCTGCTCTCCCCACGAGGGTATGCTTGTGCTTGGAGAAATGCTCACAGCAAGGCAGGAATGCAGGGATGCTGGAGCAGCAGCTTGAGCACCTGGGAGTGGCCAGAGATCACTCAACTACCTTTGTACCAGGTGAACAGCCAACCTGAAAACTCTGCAGCCTGAGTTTCTTCCCTCTGAAGGCAATAAAGTGGCCACATGCCTACGCAGGAAGGAAGAAGAGGAATGGGGCAGGCAACCTGCAAACTCCAGCCCCAGCTTGCTCCAGCCCAACCAGGAGAATCCATGTTGCCAGTGGCCAAGGCCAGCTATCTGTTTACTGAGACTCCAAATGTGACTCTGAGACCCGCCCCCTCCAATCACATGGGAGCTTGTTAAAAATAGAGATGCTCAAGTCTCATTAAATCCAAATCTCTGGGGGTGAGGCCTGGACTTTGTTAGTATTTAAAATATCTCACATGATTCTAATCTGTGCTGGGACTGAGAATCACTAGGCCAGAATAATAGCTTTTCTTGACCCTGAAGAGACTGGTAGCATGGCTATGTGCTTTCTATAGGCCAGAGACACTTCACAGCCACATTATACTCCAGATATTCCCAACTTGGATACGACTATGTCTTCGCAATTGATGTCCACCTTGCTGGCTATCCCTTCTCTGTGAAGCTCACTTCTATTCATTCTTCAATACTCAGCATGAGCATCTCCTTCTCTAAGAGGCCTTTGCAATGACCTTCCCTCCCAGACTACCACTGTCACCTCCACTTCCTGGCTGGTTAGACACTTCTGTGTCCCCAAAGCCCCAGTACTCTGAATGTTAGCACCTTTCACATTGTTTCTTTCCTATGGACCTTGTAGGCCTGTATTTTTCATCTCTTCTCCTCTAGCTCTTCACATGGTGCATGACACACACATGCATGTACATGCATCCACATGGGCACATGGCTACACACGCACACATGTCCACATGGGCAGTCACTTGCAGTGACTGCTACATGAGTGGACCAAGTTCAGATTATAAAGCCCAAGACCTCAGAGGTTGTATTAAACAGAAGGAAAAAATGGGTTACTCAAAGTTAAATGATGATATCTACTTAGATAAATGAAAAACAAAAGTATGACTTTTTTTTGTTTCCTCTTGAAATGGAGCCTACTATTCTTTGTGTAAAGTTATGGGGCAATGATATTAGCACTGTGGTTCTCAACTTGGTAGCACATTGGGATCACCTGGAGAGTGTCACAAACTACTGATGCGTGAGTCTCACCCCAGATATTCTGATTGAATTGGCTTAGGGTCCAGGTGATTACAATGAACAGGAAAGTTTCAGAGCCCGTCATCCAGCGCTCTGTCTCAAACTTGAAAGTGTCTTAGGAGCCACCTGTGGAGTTTGTGAATTGGGCAGAACCGTGGGTCCTGTCTTGGAGATTCAGATTTGGAAGGACTGATTTGTTGACGGTTAGCAAACATCCCAGGTTATTCTGATGGGGGTGCTCCTCCGCCAGGCTTTGAAAAGCCTTGACTTAGGCAACTGGCTCTGAAACCTTCTACCAGAGCATACTGATAGCTGAGGGGAAGGCTCATGTTTGAGTTTTCCAGGCTCAGCGTTTCCCTTTTCACAACTCCAATATCTCTACAGCGTTACACCTCAGATGCACACATGCACATATCGTTTCTATGCAGTATTAAATATTTGTGATTTTAAATCATACTTTATATCTCTCCTAGGGAACTGCAACTCTCTGGGGCTGGGATTATTCATTTTGTTTTTTCCCTGCTTATACTTGGCACAGCGCCGTGCAAATAATAAGTGCTTAATAAATGTTGGTAGAAGGAAAGGGGTAGAAAAAGTATTTAGGTGTTGTTCTGACTCAGCAGCTCGCCTAATTCAATTTAAAACAAAAGATGGCCAGGAGAGGCGCATGGAAGGTGACATTAGTGTGAATTCACATCAATTTCTAATATTTTCAGTTATAAGGCCAGGCTTAAAACATGTTTTGAAACAGTTTCTTGAGGTGTACATTTTAATTGCCAAATCATTTTCCTTCTCCCCCTGCCCCAGATGTTTACAGTAGCTGCCGTCTCAGTGAAATGGAGTTAAGGAGGAACAGTGGCAGGCTCCAGTTTGCTCAGCTCGGAGGGCATGTTCCATTAGAACTCTTCTCTCCCATCTTATTTAGGTTCTGAAAAGCACTCTCTGAAGCCTGGGGAGGAGGCTGCCCTCCCCGCTGCCATCCTCTTCTGTTTTTCAGTTAAGATGTCATTTTGTCCTTCTGAAACTGTCCTCCTTCTTCATCTCCACACCTCCGTGGTGAGGAGAGAGGCGGGCTTTAAGGGGCTGGCAGCTGTGGCCTCCCTTGCCAGTCTGGCTGGCTGGCCTCCTCCCCTCTGAGGCTGGGGTCCTTGGTTTGTTGTTACTGTGAAGAGGGTAGGGCTGCAGGTTTGGGGATGGGCAAGTCCCTCTCTGGTTTCCTTGCATATCTTTCCCCTTCTGTTCTGTTGTCTACTCATTTCTAGGTCTTTACCTGGAAGACAGAAGCTCTTCAGTAAGGAAAATCTGGGGACTGTTGCTCCCTCCCCACTTGGCACAGGGTGAAGGAGAAGGCTCTAGACTAGGCCTACAATCTGCTTCCTGCCTCTCAGTTGGACACTGGGTTTACTAATACAGAACGCGACCCTCCTTCTTAAGTCTTGGAAATCATCTCTTTCTTTGCACGGATACAGCAAACTCTTTCTGTAAAGGGCTGGATGGTCTCTGTCACAACTACTTGACTCTGCCGTTGTAGTGAAAGCAAGGATAGATAACACATGAACAAATAGTCATGGGTGTGCCAATAGAACCTTATTTAGGGACACTGGACATTTGAATTTCATGCAATTTTCACGTGTCACAAAATATTCTTATGATCTTTCAGCCATTTAAAATGTGAAAACCACTCTTAGCTCACAGGCTGTACAAAAACAGTCAGCAGGCCGGATTTAGCCTGTGGTCTGGAGTCTGCAAACCCCTGTAGAGTGCCTTTAAAAGAGAAATAAGGAAGAAGGAATGGGGATAATTTTTTTTCCATAAACTATAATGGAATGCTCTCTATAGACCCATGCATATGGGCTTTAGCATGTGAAAGGGTCTCTAGGAGTCTAGAAACCCAGTGGGTTGAGCATTCTTATCTGGAAACAGCTTCTGAACTATGTTTAGTAAAGGTTTTAGAATATGATCGAGGGTGCATTCCTTTGTCTCTCTAAATCAAATATAACTTGCTCTGAGCCCACATGAATGTGACTGGTAGAAAGCTCAATCTCTGATTAGTCGTTTTTTTGGGGATTATATAAGAAATCGGGTTTGTTTGGTACTCACAGGGCACAATGGAGATGCCCGTTTCCAGGCCATGGTGCTGCCTCCTGTCATTACTCTGCACTTTCTACTTGGTGCTGGTGTTGAGGCTGGTTGCCTGGTGACACTGGGAGTTCAGGCAGACATTTGCTTCCTGTTGACTGCTGTGGACCTCACCACCTGTTGTGCTGTCAGTGTCCCCTTCTACAGGAATCCTGTGGTATTGGGAGTGAAGCATGGAAGAGGAAGCTGTGTCTATTATCATGGGGGATCTTTCCATCCACTAAGAAAACTCAAATCCAAACAAAAGCCTTCCCATCCTAAAGCTCCTCAACTTTTGTCTCCACTATGCTTGATCTCTCTGTTTCAGCCTAATGAATAAGACAGTTTTCTCTATCTCCAAATCTCACCAACCCTTCTCTATTCACGGGCGATTCCAGAGAAATTTCTCTTTCTGGGTGAAGTATACAAAGACCTGAGATATTTAGAAGCACGACACTCTCCTCTTTGGGGGTCTGGGACTGTAATGGGAAGGGTTAGGAAAAGGAGATGCTAATATTAGTTAATTTCTTTCATAATAACACACCCTTTTATTTCCTTCCTTTGTACCAGTCCCTGCAAGAAAATGTCCCAGCAACTTCTTGGTTGCCTCATGACTTCCTTCTTCTTTAGGGGTTTGTCCTGGTTGGAAGCAAAAATTAGAAAGAGATGAGTCCTGTAGGAACAGTGGACGTTCATATATTATTTGAAGAACTGTACTGGAATCCTTAGTCTTTTCAAGTTGAGTCAAGTTTTTTCTTTCTTTTTTTTTTTGAGACAGAGTTTCGGTCTTGTTGCCCAGGCTGGAGTGCAATGGCACGATCTTGGCTCACCGCAACCTCCACCTCCCGGGTTCAAGCAGTTCTCCTGCCTCAGCCTCCCGAGTAGCTGGGATTACAGGCATGCACCACCACGCCTGTCTAATTTTGTATTTTTAGTAGAGACAGGGTTTCTCCATGTTGGTCAGGCTGGTCTCCAACTCCCAACCTCAGGTGATCCATCCGCCTCGGCCTCCCAACAAACTTTTTCTTTAAGCATTCATCTTTAGAGTGTTATCTGAATAGGAAAAAGTAGTTTTAGGCCAAATGTTGAAGAGCTGGTGCTAAGGAGTCTGGACTGTATTTTATAAGCAATGGAGAACTTTATGGAGAAAGACAACACACTTGGATTCTTTCTTTTGGGTAAAACTCGGCAGCCGTGTGGATGCTGGATTAGAGGAGAGCAATCCAGAGGTGGGAGCCTGTTATTTGACTCCTCCAATAATTTACTCAACCCACGTTCAGATTCTTTACACACACATCTGCCCACCGCTTTCCCTAGATTGGGATTCTCTCAAGAGTAGAGATTGTTAGCTTCAATTTTAACTCCCTCCACTCCCAGCCCCCAGATCCTCGAATGTATTAGCTTTCACATTTTTGGCAGTTAATAAATATTGACTGAATTAGATTAGTCCCAAATGAGCTCTTAGAATAAAAACACTCAAAAATAAAGAATCTCCATTTTTCACAAAGTTTTTACTGTGGTGTGCTGTTGGAGTGAATCACCTTAGTCAAAACAAGCTATTTTGGCAATAAAACCAATGACAGACTTAGGTAAAAACTTCCCCCTCCCCCACATGTTAATACCAGAAACTTAATTCTCTACTCTGTTTTATAATATATATCCATGGCAATAGACTATTAAAATCGCATTCTCAAGTTATAAATACCATAAACCACATTTTCACATGGTGGCCTAGCCACTGTCTTTTGCAACAATTTGGCATGGAATTACAAGTAGCATCCATTAAATTTCATATGCCCTTTAATTTTTTTATCTCTTCATTTGCATGCATGTATTTTATAATCATTCATTCTGGTAATAAAACCCACAGGATCTTAAATTGAACTGAAGTCCCAGATGCTTTAAAAGAATTTATGTTGCATAATTGTACTGGTTGACCTGAAAACAAACAACAACCTATGATTTAAATATTCTGCCCAGGAGCGGAGTCAAACTCTTCCTTAAAATTCTGTGGTTTCTATTGACCGACTTATTGTGAGGGAAAGATTCAGAAAACTAAAGGGACTATAAAAATGACAAAGCAAAGGAAGCAGACAGTAGTGGCTTTCTGAAGATTTTATCATCTAGAACCATATGCATATTTCAAATGAAATATTTGTGAAGCAGCTACAGAGCTTATTCCCCAGTCAGGGAGGGGAGTCAGTGGATTAACACCAATGATTTGTTTATGGAGACAAAGGAAAATAACTCTACTTACTTCAACAGGAATAACCTGAGAAAGCCTAGGCAGGAGAAATGTTTAGTATTTGGAGGAACTTCCCAGGACTTGAATTTGTTGTCCATTTTTATGTAACAAAATACATCCAAACTTAGCAGCTTAAGGCCACAGATATCTTTTTCTGTGGCTCAGGGGCCTGGGAGTATTTTAGCTGGGTTGTTCTGGCTTAAGGTCTCCATGAGGTTGCAGTGAAGCTGTTTGACAGGGCTGCAGTCTCACATGAACACTCAGCTGGGGAATGATCGTTTTCTAACTCACTCACATGGTTGCTGACAGGTTTTAGTTCCTTGCTTGCTGTTGGCTGGAGACTTTAGTTCCTCACTCACCGTGTGTGCCTCTCTGAAGTGGCCTAAGCGTCTTCATGATATGACAGCTGGCTTTCCCCAGAGTGAGTGATTCAAGACAGAAACAGAAAGAAAGAATACCCAAGTCGGAAGTTGCACACTTTTACTAACCCACTGTCAGAAGTGCTGTTATATGGGGTTGGTTATCCAGACCAACCCTGGTACAGCGAGGGAGCGTATAACACGAGGGTATGAATCCTGCAGGTGGGGGTCATTGGTGGGTATCTTAGAGACTGCCTCCCCCAGGGTTGGACTGGGTAGGGACAGTGACTCAGGGCCACAACCTGGAGATGGCTTATAAATCATGCCCTTGTTTGATGAAATGTTAAAGAAAAAGAGGAGAGAGGGCTGAAGTAACAAGGTGGCTCTCAGCTGCCTTCCTTTTCATCTTCTACCCAATGCTACATCTCCACACCTTTTTCTTTGAGCTGTTCCTGGAGAACACCAGAATAATGACTGGAGAGAACCCTTGTTTAGTCATCAGGAGTCATGTGATCTGGGTTTAAATGTGGTTTGACCACGAAAAACTTGGAGGCAGAAGGATGTATTATTAAATGAGTATAGACTTTAGAGTTTAATAAGTTTCACTCAAAGTCAGGCCTCAGCCCTTACTGGATGTGTGATCTTTGGTAAAGCATAGGCAAGCCTTGTGAGGTTGAGTGTGTTTGTACATTTTACCTTTTAGGATAATATTTTACCTTTTAGGCTGGTTGAAGGTTAAATAAAATGCGATTTCCCTTGCTTGTTCCCTGTGGGATATTAAATCATCCCTTCACTTCTCTGGATTGTATCTCAATGGGAAAATGACAATGACAGGGGCTTCTACCCAGTGGGGTCACTGATGTGCTCTCTTTGGGACTCTGAAGTTCTGAGCTATGCCTTAGCAAGCAGATTATGCAATCTGTGCAGGGGGCTGGGCTGGGGATGGACACAAGATCAAACCTACACTATGGTGACGGTGGGGATGGGCAGGGGCAGGATGAAGAGACGGGCTGAGAGCTGGGCTTTTCCTTATGCCTGAAAAACATTTTTTCACAATGTTTAAAGGGAATATAAGAAAGAAATCTGATTGATGGTTGCATATTTTTGGTATTGCAGAAATAAGAGAAATTGTCTAGTAAAAACAATCTTAGATAAAAAACAGTGTTAAATCTCTTTTTCTTCAAATACACGAATGTTAGTCCATGTTTTCAATTTGAGACAATTTTTTTTTTTACGGAGTCTCACTCTGTCGCTCAGGCTGGAGTGCAGTGGTGCGATCTCGGCTCACTGCAACCTTTGCCTCCTGGGTTCAAGCGATTCTCCTGCCTCAGCCTCTTGAGTAGCTGGGACTACAGGCGCCTGCCCACCACGCCCAGCTAATTTTTGTATTTTTAGTAGAGACGGGGTTTCACTATGTTGGCCAGGCTGGTCTTGAACTCCTGACGTCAGGTGATCTGCCTGCCTCGGCCTCCCAAAGTACTGGGATTACAGGCATGGGCCACCATGCCTGGCTGAGACAATTTTTTTTTTGTCGCCCAGGCTGGAGTGCAGTGGTGTGATCTCGCTCACTGCAAACTCTGCCTCCCGGGTTCATGCCATTCTCCTGCCTCAGCCTCCTGAGTAGCTGGGACTACAGGCGCCTCCCACGACGCCTGGCTAATGTTTTGTATTTTTAGTAGAGATGAGGTTTCACCGTGTTAGCCAGGATGGTCTCGATCTCCTGACCTTGTGATCTGCCTGCCTGGGCCTCCCAAAGGACATTTTTTTTTTAAATGACAAGGAATAGAAATCCACTAGCTCAAGTTCAGAAAGGCAGTTGGTGGAGGATGGGGTTAAGTAAACTCAAAGAATCCAACTGGAACTGGGAACTAGAAATCAGAAATGAGGCTATTTTCACTGTCTCTGTGGAGTTTGTTTCTTTAAGTTCTCTCTGGTGCCTTTCTTGACCTACTCTCCCTGCTTGCCCGTCTTGCAGGACACTATAGGCCCCAGCTTTGCATCATAGCCTTTGGGCTCAGTACCCACTACAGCCTATCTTTATGTCCTGTTTGCTCAGATTTGAAGAAAGAGGATCTTACTGGTCAGTGTTTAGAAAGCAAATTGGCTGGCTTTTGCTTATATGTCCATCCTAAAACTGGTTACATGGCAGTTTTCTAGAAGGAACTGCAAGAGAGACAGTCAATAAAATTGCATTTGGGAAATTATTTCACCCAATAATACATGGTGAGTATGTAGAATGAAAGTGGTTATCTGGCTACCTCTTTGCATTTAGGAGGACAAGGGTGGGGGATGGAAAAGTTTGAAGCTCAATGCAGAGGAGCTAATAGACAATAGACAGTCTGTCTCAATTCTAGGGGATACAAATCTGGGGGTGGGGAAAAGAGAAATCTCCTTTTTTCTTGTACCTAAAGTAATGCACATTCTCTAAGTCAGTAGTTCCCAGACCTTGAGAGCTCTTGGAGTAATAGAATTAGAAAAAATCAGGGACTGACATAGGTTGTGGATTTTATATTTTGCCAAGTAAAATATCTTAAGCCCTTCACAATTACTATCTTTTTTTATCATTTCATAAAACAACAAAAAAAGTATTTCCAAAGAAATGCAAAGGACATACAGACTACAGAATAGTTCTCTAAATTAAATAGATTTAGCCTTATGACAAATCAACTATATTGTCCTTATTTACTTCCTCTCACTCCATGCAAACTGTTAAAAATTTCATCACGGGCTGATGCTTGTAGGCTGACTTGTGTGTGGGAACTGTTGCTGTAGTTTATAAGGAGGGACACATAGGTCATAGAAGGTTAGAGTAAGTCATCTAGTGACAAGATGAAAAAAACTGAGCCGTATTTGATCATTCATTCATTAGACAAATATGTGTTGAGTACCACTATGTGGTTCATAGATATTTAATAACTTATTTAAGAATACTAATTAATTTTTGTTAGTTAATTGCAGGATTGGGCAAAAAATTAGTAATCTTTCTTCTTATGCCTTTCAAATTGGATGGATATGGGGAGATTAAACCCAATTATTAAACATGCTGGAGCAAGACTTTTAAAAACAGGGGTCAGATCCAAACTAAACCTCCAGAAAAAAAGTTGAACTATCCATAACCATTCAAATGTAAAGAAATTGCATTTGCCAATGTCCTGAGATGTAAAAACCGGAATCATTTTGATGAAGTGAAATCTTTAATTTAAAATTTCTTTTACTTTTTAATCTTCGGTTAACACTACTTATATAAATGCATATATGTGGAAACCCTTTTTATTTCAAGGAAGAGTGCTTATATAGCTGTGTTTTTGTACAGAATCATTTCCCCCCTCATTCTTCAGGGCACTGTATCATTTATGTGAGTGTCTGGAAATTTCCTAATTCTTAAGATTTCTGATCATGACCACATTTCATTCAGGTGGTGCTCCTCTTCAGATAAAAAAGTTTGAATAAAACCTTTATCTTTGTTTGACAGAGAGAAAAAGTAAAGGCAGAGTGTCCCAATTCTCTCAGTTTCCATTAACTTTAAACGGAAGCTTTGCCTGTGGAAAGGAAGATAGTCTGATGGCAAGGAGACTGAGGAGATTAAGTGGCTTTCACACCACCATGTAGGATGTCATTCACTGAATACCTAGATAACCTGATTTCCAGATCCACACTGAGCTATCTGCTCCACTCCATGCTGTCAGTAAGGGTCCTGATTTACTCTGGGACCTTTGCCTACCTTCCAGTTGAGTTACAGGGCAAGCGATTTGCACTTTAATGTAGTTGCAAAGTCGGTGAACGTCGTTCCTCTGTGTTCCATTCCCATTGCTAAATGTCATTCATATGTTTCTGGGCCATTTCCCCCCTCTTAAATGCATTTATAGGATTGAAGAATTTACATGAAACTATGTTTGGCTTTAAATGATGAGGAATTTAGTAAATGCAGAAAAAAACCATAAGCACAATGAAAAATCACCAGTAACCCCATTTCCCAAAGCAAACCACTGTTAGCACTTTGGCATATAGCCTTTTCCTACCCTGTAAAATAGAAAAAAAAAAAGATGTTATTTAGAACAGCAGTGACTAAAGAAGCATCTGCATTCTGGAGGAGTGGCATAATTCATCTCGGGTGCGTTTTTTTGTGTGTTTTTTTTTTTTTTTTTTTTTTTTTCAGGCCAGCAATTACTCAGGAGTAATTCTGAATATGGACAACAGAATCCAGATAAACCTCATATTTGAAAAGCCAAATTTAAGACTTGACACATACATCCAAAGATAGGTATTAATCCACAGTTTGCAAGAAGTAAGAATTAGCACCCTATACAAGAAACAAAAAAGGAGAAACAATAATTCAGTCAAATTGTGGCATTGTATCTATTTACGCACAGCAACAACTACCTCTGTTTATTGTCATGCTCATTCAGGTTATAAGAGTGTTACTGCTTTTTGGCTTTACATCTTGTAATACAGTGGTTCCCCACCACCCCCTCCATTGTGATCAAGGACTGAAGCGGCGGGGGGGAAGAGAGAGACTTAGTGAGCCATGACACAATTAAGATTTTGCATTGTAATGTCTCTCTGGTTTGTTGTGTTTTGTCAAAGACATGCCTGGTATCTATTGTTTTTATTATTTCCAGCTGTCCTAATTATTTCTCTCATTTGATTTTAATTCAGCTTTCAAAGAGGAGCTGGCTTGCCAGGTGGTTACTATTTTTTCTAAACTCTTTCAGCTCTAATTAAAAAAGACGTCCAAAGAAAGTCATTATTTCAGCATTTACTTGTAACATATTTATGACCCCATTGAAGAGGGAGTCACGTGTTCTCAGGCTGATTTCTATTGTTTGCACTGCACTCAGGCTCAAGGAGATAAGAAATAGGCACAGCCTTCGGAATGAGTGTGAATTTCTTCTTAAAGGAAAAAAAAAGCTGCTTTCTTCACTGGAAAGAAATAAAACGTTGTAATAAGGCAAATGTCGCATATAAATACCCTTAAAAAAGTAGTCCAAATTAAGATTCATTGCTGCTTAAACTTTTAGTTTTCATGAGCTAGGTTTATTTGTGTTAGATTTTAATAACTGAAATACTAAAGTTGGTGAAAAAGGATATAAAAGGCTGGATCTAGGGACAAAGGGGAACATGAGGCCAAGTTCAGCTCCTTAGGGTTTGTTGGGCCATTTATTGATTTATTTATCTTTGGGAAGTGAAACAAATAAGTAAATTTTCTCATTATTAATTAACAGGTCAATTATCATCTGCTCTGCAGTTTCCTTTGGGAGAGGCAGAGCCCTGCATTCACAGATGTTTTCCCATCTTTACTCCATCAACCTTCTCCCCAACTTGCCTCATTGCCGAAGGGTAATCTCAGTCCCATCTGGATCTATCCTCTTCACCCTTGCCATGTGCCCCCGATGCCTCTTCACTAACTTCCTTGGCTATCCTGTCACATCTAGGCACCACCACCTTTCACTCCTCCTAATGTCTTTTTTTTTTTTTTTTTTTTTGTGAGACAGAGTCTTGCTCTGTTGCCCAGACTGGAGTGCAGTGGTACAATCTTTGCTCACTGCAACTTTCGCCTCCCAGGTTCAAGCAATTCTCATGCCTCAGCCTCCCGGGTAGCTGGGACTATGGGCATGCACTATCATGCCTGGCTAATTTTTGTATTTTAGTAGAGACTGGGTTTCACCATGTTGCCCAGGCTGGTCTTGAACTCCTGAGTTCAGGCAATCCACCTGCTTCGGCCTCCCAAAGTGCAGGGATTACAGGCCTGAGCCACCACACCTGGCCACTCCTCCTAATTTCAAGTCTGATTGCTCAGTGGTGAAGGAGACACAAATGTTACTACAGACAGTCCCAGGCTCACAATGGTTCAACTTCACAATATTTTCGACTTAGGATGGGTTTATCAGGATGGAACCCCATAGTAAGTAGAGGAACATCTGTACCTTGAAAGTTGGACTTATGGGGTCTCCCAGAGGCCTTGGTATACTCAAATATTTCACAATATAGTCAGCAGCCTGTGCTGCCCCAGGGAGGGTGGGCTCCCGTATAGGCATCTGCATTGCTCCCGTTAACTTCGTTAGAAGCATCTACCAATTTGTGCTGAGCACATGAAAGAGCTGGTGAAATTCCTTGATGCTCTCAGCCTGCTTTAATGCACACGTATTAAAATTACTTAGCAACAGGGAATCATGTCAAGATGGAGGCCCGCTGAGCCATGGTGTTATTTTTTTGTAAAATGGGGGCTCTGAGAGATGGGGCGGATGTGAGGGTTCAATAGTATATGTTTCAAAGCAGGCTTCAATAGATAGAAGATCCTGTCCCTTCCACCCCCAGGTAGGTATTCCAACCTCAAATTATTTCTCTAGGGTAGGTCAGTGGAAAGTGTGGGTAGAGTCCTTGGGTATTGTAGTGTTGTTACTTGAGGCTATATGTGTCCCTGCTAGACTCATCCTTGCAAATGGAAGTCACGACTTACGAATAACTTCCAAAGTGTTCTAGGAATGCTTGGGCTAAGACAGTCATTTAAACTTTTAAAAAAGAAACCTAGACTGAGCGCGGTGGCTCACGCCTGTAATCTCAGCACTTTGGGAGGCTGAGGCGGGCAGATCATGAGGTCAAGAGATCAAGACCATCCTGGCCAACATGGTGAAATCCCGTCTCTACTAAAAATACAAAAATTAGCTGGGTGTGGTGGTGCACACCTGTAATCCCAGCTGCTCGGGAGGCTGAGGCAGGAGAATCACTTGAACCCAGAAGGTGGAAGTTATAGTGAACAGAGATGGTGCCACTGCACTTCAGCCTGGTGATAGAGTGAGACTCTGTCTCAAAAAAAAAAAAAGAAACCTAAGGCTAGAATTATGGACATGACCTTTTCCCTCTCTTTGAGGAATAGGAGGATAGTTTCTGGAAGAAAGAGCTCAATGCATAAAAACAGTCCTGCACTCAGAATTGTAAAATGTGTGTTTGAACTGGTTCTAGATGTAGTTTTAAATATTAGCCCTGACACAAGTCGAGTACCATTTTTGTCCTTTCACACAGAAAAACACCCAGGCTTATCTGATTCAGGCTCAGCACAGCCACGTGTGCCCAGGCACATCCATGCTTCCCATCAGTCATAGCCAGCGGCAGGCTGCTCCCCTCGTGAGCAGTGGCCCAGGCCAACCACCTCACCTGCTTCCTTTGCTCCACTGTGACCAAGAATGTCTCCATCCTGATTTCTAGGACTCCTCCTTAACCCAGGACTGAGAATCCTACCTGCCCTCCCTTAGCGAGCACCCAGCTAGTGGTTGAGGAGGAGATTAGAGGCAGGTGGTGGTTTCTTGTTGTTCACTTGTAGGAGGACTCGGATTCTCGCTATACTGAACTGGGCACCTCAAAAACTCCATCTCCCTGGCTCCCCAACTCCTGTCATTTGGAAGCAAAGGTCTAATTACCAGAATCTCCAGGTTTCTGGAACTGCCATCCAGAAATGATTCTGGGAGAATATCTTTGTAGCACAGCCTAGATAGAAATAATCGTCTAATCTTGGATTTACATAAAAAGATAATTTTGTACTCCATTGCAATTTCTAAAATAATTTTTAAAAACTGTGCACTTAAAGCTATTTTTTGCATATGTACGTGATAATGGATATGAGGACCTTTACTTAATGCTGTTTTAGGCATATGTGTGTGGTAACAGTACAATGGCTTTTGTGAATAAATTAAAATGTAATTATTTGCTAATAACCTAGAGCAGCTTTCTCACCTCGGGCTTTTCACCCTTTTGTGCCAGCTTAACTTCTGCTCCTCTTCCGGTCCCTTCCTCAAGGAGGCCTTCCCTTACTCTCTGGGCCAGGTGACTTCCCTCTGCCGTGCTTATTATTATTATTATTATTATTATTATTACCTGAGACACAGTCTCGCTCTGTCACCTAGGCTATAGTGCAGTCATGCGATCTCGGCTCACTGCAATCTCCGCCTCCCGGGTTCACGCCATTCTCCTGGCTTAGCCTCCTGAGTAGTGGGGACTACAGGCGCCCCCCATCAAGCCCGGCTAATTTTTTGTATTTTTAGTAAAGACTGGGTTTCGTCATGTTGGCCAGGCTGATCTGGAACTCCTGACCTCAGGTGATCCACCTGCCTCTGCCTCCCAAAGTGCTGGGATCACAGACGTGAGCCACTGCACCTGGCCATGTGCTTATTATTTTAATTTTTACTAATTATTATTAAAGACTTATTAGTGTCAAAGAAGCAGCCAAGAGGCTCCGGGATCATATGGCACACATTTGAGTCTTGGCTGTGTCTCTTATTTGCTTTGTGATGTTGGGTAATTTGTTTCAGTTTTCTGTGTCTCACTTTCCCTACATATAAAATAAAGTAATGAAAGTATATACCTGTAGAGTTGTAGCAAGAACTAAATAAAAAATACTCCAGAAAAATTCACACAGAGCCCGGCACATAGAATACTTCCATAAATGCAAACTATAAAATGTCCTTATTGCCCACTAGACTGAACTGTAAGCTTCATGAGAGGAGGCTTTATGTTTGTCTTGCTCATGACTCTGAAGGGCTGAGAGCCTACTGCTTACTGATTGCTTAAATGATGACTAAAAGAAACACCTTTTCTTGCACTTACCTGGGTCCCTAGACTTCCAGAAATCAAATTTGTTGAGTGAATCTCAACAAGAAGCTATCTAAGGTTGGAAGCTTAATTTAGTCTTATTATTAGTTTTACTCTTTTGTTATTATTTTTATTAATATATTAATGCATCTTTAATATCTTTAAGATAACATCTCGTATCATACCTTTATCATAACTTTCCTGCCCCCTCCCCAGAATCTTATTGATATGTTGTATAAAAGGAATAGTGGCCAGGTGCAGTGGCTCATGCCTGTAATCCCAACACTTTGGGAGGCCAACATAGGTGGATCACTTGAGGTCAGGAGTTCCAGACCAGCTTGGCCAACACTTGGCCAACATGGGGAAACTCTGTCTCTACTAAAAATACAAAAATTAGCTGGGCGTGGTAGTGCGTTCCTGTAATCCCAGCTACTTGGGAGGCTGACGCAGGAGAATCGCTTGAACCTGGGGGCGGAGGTTGTAAGGTTGCAGTGAGCCAGGATGGCACCACTGCACTCCAGCCTGGGCGACAGAGCGAGACTCTGTCTCAAAAAAAAAAAAAAAAAAAAAGAAAAGAAAAGAAAAGAAAATATCTTCAGGAGTTCGAGACCAGCATGTCTAACATAGCAAAATCCCGTCTCAACTAAAAATACTAATATTAGCTGGGCATGGTGGCATCCTAGCTACTCAAGAGGCTGAAGCAGGAGAGTTGCTTGAGCCTGGGAGGTGGAGGTTGCAGTGAGCTGAGATCGCACCACTGCACTCCAGCCTGGGCAATAGGATGAGACTCCAACTCAAAAAAAAAAGAAAAAGTAAAAGAAAAAGAAAATAGATAACACATTATTAATCAAAGTTTATAGTTTACATTAGGGTTCACCTTTGGTATTTATTCTATGGATTTGACAAAAGTATAGTACCATGTATCTTCCATTATAAATACAAAGTTGCATTTCTTTTTCTACTTCTTGGTTCATATCACTCTTAAGAAGTAGTCAGAGCTCTTCCTGGTCACAGCTCTTGAGCCCAATATACCATCTGCCTCCTCCTCCTATTTTAGCCATCTCAAATCTTTTATAGACTCACAGCCTCAAATGTGTTGGCACTGAATAGGACCTTAGGGATCCAAGGCCAGCTCCATCATTTTACAGATGAGAAAATTGAGCCTCAGAAAGGGAAGTAATTGCCCAGCATCCGGAGCTAGTTAATGGAAGGGCTGAGACCAGACCACTGGACTCTTAATTGAGCTCTCCTGCCAATATGCCACACCCCCATTGCTTTGCATTGACATCACTCAACTTTTTAAAAATTTTCTTTAACACATTATAGATCTTCTTTTACTAGAGAACATTAACATTTCCTTTAAGAGATGTTAAACTGACCAGGTTTTCTTGCTTTCTTTTTCTTCTTTTTTCTTACTTAGGGAATCTATTTAGGTTACTCTTTGGGTCTGAATCGGGTCTGTAGAACTGAATTGCTTGGTGAAGTTAGGCCAATATTCAGCTAGAAAATAACCCACATAAGTTGTGCAGTGTTCTGCTCAGACAGTTAGCAATGATGCCCCAAATTCCCAAATCATACAGGGAGCATTGAGATCCAACATTTAGCCTTTCTAAAATGAATTTTAGATAGTCTTTTCCTGGAACAGTCTCTTAAGGATTGCTTTGATAGTTATATGGAAAAAAAGATACAATGCTACTGATTTAAATAGAAGACAGATTAAGAATCTGAAGTGTCATTATATCTTTTAGCAGGCAAACTCACAAATGGAGTAAGTTTCGAAATAGAATTTGCTGATTGAAATGAGTGAGAAACATTTATAACTTTAGTATCAGAGAATGCTCTGGTATAAAAACCTAGGCTATCTTTTAGGGAAGTTACATGTTTCCGCCTTGAGCAGGGTCATCCAACCTCTTCCAAGGCCACATGGTGGCTGATCAGAAGGGACAGGTCATTTCCAGCTCACTCACACATTATACCAAGAAGACATTACATTTATTCATCAACTAAAAATCACTAATAACATGTTATTAAAAAATAGCAATGAAACCCCAAGCAATAAGAAAAAGCGATCTTTGTGTTCAAAGCTTAAGACATGATAAAAGTCATAAATTGCTAAACTTATGTAATATCCATTAAAAAAATTATCTAACTGTCACAGCAGAGACCAATTTTTCACCACGCAAAATGTGACATCATCTCTAAAGGCCCCTGCTACGAGAGGCATTTGCCAGTATTGTGGGTGTATTCTTAAAGGCTAATTAAAAACTTTCAGCCCTTAGGTTTCAACACTACAGTTTTGCTACAGCAAAGTGAGATAGGGAAACTTAAGTCTGATGGGCTATGCCAGATGCCAAGGGGCAAAGTTCCAGGCTCTCTTATAATCCAATTGACACATGCAATATTTATTACAGAGCAGCAGGAGTTCATGATTTCATCAATAGGCTGGCAGATTAGATGATTTTTTTTCAATTGAATAACTGGTCTACAATAATGGAATTCTATATCAGGTGTGGAATAAGCCAGTGGTCTGTTCTTTTATACCTCCAGTTAGTGCAGTAAACAAGGTGCCAGAATGGCGTGCTGTACGGGATGGAAAGAACATGCCCTTTTAATGGTTTCCAATAGTGGTTTTGATAGTTACTTGAGATCATAAAGCAAACATTAAAAGGGCTACCTTTGCCAGATTTCGTGTGCTTGGGTGACGAGAATGTATAGCTATGGCAAAAAAAAAAAAAAATTAAGGCAGCTATAAGGGGGTGGCTCTGTTTCTTTCTTCAGAGTAATGTTAACATTTTCTCCATATTTCCTGAATAATTTGCCCTTAACAAGCTAGGAATGTTGATTCCTACACATACAATTGGAGTGGATGCTGTGTATAAATTCAGGATGCTCTGGTACCTTCAGGTTCTCCCAAAAATCAGGGGAGATACTAAAAATATTTAACTGCTAGTAAGATACAAAATGACCAATCGAATTGGATCCCGGCCAGGATGCTTTACCTGCAGGCAGAATGTAAGCCCTGCCAGGCCTTCTGTTGAGACATCTTGGGATTTGGCGGTTTTCATCTCTGAACCCACCGATGTCGGGAGGATGCTCAGATGACTCCGAATCTGGGAATTGCCCCAGAGTTGCATGTTCATTTCCTGCATATTTTTGTGTTATGGGTTAAAAAAGCATGAACAGCATGGCATTTTAGTAAGAACTCTGGATGAAATGACCACAACAGTTTGCATTCATGTCCCAACTCTGCTACTTGCCAACCGCATGACTGTGAACAGTACACATGCTCTCCCACTTAACTATAGAATGAAGGAATTGGATGAAAATTCTCCTTTGCTCCACAGTTCATTTCAGCTTCACACTCATGCCTGCTTGGAGATAATTAATAAAACCTTCCAGCTTTCTGGCTTGTGAAAGTGCATAGTCTCCTGCCAGTGGAAATTTCTGATTGTTATGCAGTGTCACCCCAGAGATGTACTTGCTTTACCTTCACGAGATCCATATTTCTGCTGGGTGAGTACTATTAGCTAAAAAATTTGTCAGGTGTTCAGTGTTTTCTTCTATCTTACAATCTTCCATATCATGTCACATGAAATTGGCACAATTTCTTAAGTGGGAAACATTAAATGTCTAGGCCTTTAGACCATGCCTCTGAAGGAGAAATGCCACATGGGCAGAAAGTTTTGAAGCAAGTGTGCTGGAGTGAACTGTTGATCTCTTTGCTGTACTGCCAGCCTTATTATGCACATTTTGAAAGAGGAATAAGTTGACTAATTATGTCACTTTTCTTGTGTTTCTTAAAAGTCATTGAGCACAAAAGAACTGGCCTCGATCTATCCATTACTCTAAGCAGTGGCAAGCAAAGACTTCTATCTACTTCTAGTCTCTGCCCAACTGCCATGATGGCCAGCCCTGCTCCAACCCTGCTCCACCAACCCTGCTCCTCCTTGCTACTGCTTTTTACTGAGGGTTAAAAATGTCCATTGCCTGACAATTGTTGTGAGGAAGAAAAACTGTTCCTGCCTTCATCACATGTGGGTAGGTGGACAGGGGCTTGCTTGCCAAGTCCAAATCTTTGTGTGGGGTAAATTACTCCTTACACTGATCGTAAAATAAGCATCTGACATTTCCTGCAAATGCTCTATTTCTTAATACAGAGTTAACCTGCCAAAAACATTGTGTTTATAATCTAAATATTTGGATCATAAGCCAAAAGGGTGGGGGAGTCTGTCTTCCTCCATATTTTGCACAGTGACATGTCTAAAAATGTTAATTATGATAATAATAAATAATCAGAAAAGAATACGTTGGAGGGAAAGTATGAGGAGTCTGGGAGGCTAAATTGCATTAGTTATGAGAATTATTTACGGGAGAAAAATGAAGAGATGCCTCTGGATTGCCCATCCCCTTGCAGATATTTTCCTAGTTTTCATACCCACAAGACATGCTTCATTCTGGGACAGGTGAAAGTGTTGTAAAGACTGATGCCGGGGTATCGGCTGGAACACCACTCAGAAGGTACAAAGCTTCCTGAAGGTCTAGTGGGGATTATGTTTTGTCTGGGAACAGGTTGAAAACCCAGAGCACTGTCTCTGGAGTCAGACGGACTTGGGTTTGGGTCAAGATTCTAACAGTTCTAAGTGGCCTCTCCTAGCCCATTTCCTCATCTCTGTTACAGGGTTAGTAAATGCTTCTGTGTCAAAGGGCTTGTATGAGCGTTGAATGAGATTGTGCACAGAAAATACTTGGCATGATACTTGCATGCAGAAGAACTCAACAAATGTAATGATGGTGGCGAGGATCACTGGAATCTCCCTCCTTTAATTGACAGCTGCGCTGGGCCTTCCCTGATGCTCGGGACCTGGTGCCCGGGGCATGCCTTCTGTTGTGCCTTCACTCCTGCAGAGGCATGCCTGCTTCTTTCGTGGACCATATGTCTCTTTTTCTGAGACAGCCTCAGCTTCAAATATTCTGATCCATTGTTTCCACAAATCAGTGAATTAACAGAGAAGTCCAGTATTTGATATATAGTAACTGAATGACTCAGGTCAATAATACAATAAAAACATGTGTCACCAAAAAATGAGTCACAGGCTGAAGAATTGATACATTAATGGGGACACATGTGTGCATGCTAGCCCACATTCGATACAATGATGTGTGTGAATGTGCTGTTGTTTTAGCTGTAAAGGTGAAGAATATTATACTTTTAAAATCTTGCCACATTAGGGGCAATGCTGAGGTGATGGACTGTAATGGGGTGGCTAAACGGTGACTATTTCTACTTGCTACTGAATGCACTTGGGGAATTTAAAATAAGTTTGAAATTGTTTCAGAGGGTCAGAATTATTTTCGTTAAAATTTTAATTTAATTTTATTTTAACATCAAAATGCAGAATGATTGCTAAAATTTGATTGGATAAGACATTTTATAAGAATTCACAAAATCAGACCAGACCAAATTTAATCTTGAAACGGTGTCTAGACTTTTTATTTGGAAATTATGATTAACATATTGCTAATCAAAATTCCTGAAGCAGAGGCCTTTGTCTATACTGAAGACTTACAAAGGAGAGTGAGATGTATTTATTTGAGATGATGGCCACAAAGCCCATGTGGCTTGCATTTGATAGAATGATAATGGAGTAGCATTCTTAAGCCTGTGATTAATTGCAACAAGCCTTGGAAAGCTACTTGAAAAACTATGCTTTGTTTATAGTATTTATTTCTTTGATTCAAGAATTGTTCCAGTTGCAAAACTCTCCTAGGGCACATGTTCAAATGATTAATATATTATTTATATGGAAAATAACCTAGAATAACAACTAAACTAAAAGCAAATAGTTGCCTTAGTACCAACCTATGGCACAAGACCAATTAGGATAAAAAGAAGATGAGATCCCCTTCTTGGCTTTGTGTTCATACATGGTGAGGTATCCTCAGAACTATGTGTGATGGTACCCCTCTGGAGGCTGAGATAGAAAGTTCCTTAATGATGGAGACTAACAATCTTTAGCAGCAAAGGAAGAGACTGGGCGTTTTATACATATATGGTCATGATTTGGAGACTTGTGAGGAAGGCCAAAGTGGATTGGCTGTGGTCTCGGTGTAGCACGATGGAATCTGGTGGCTTAAACCTAGCTGTCCACATTTCACTATCTGAAGAGCAGAAAATGTGTTAATAGGAGCCTGGTGAGTGGAGGAGACTGAAGATGGAGAGAGAGCCTGGACCTCAACATGAGCATCTGGAGCCATTTGGCAGCATTAGGCTGTGACCGCTTAGAGAACCGAAAGGTAAGATCCTCCGATTAGTTCCTCTTTTTCTGAGTTTATGTTTGCAAAGCACTTTCTAACTATAAAAGTTTCCTATTTCAGTTTTCAAATAGGGAGAATCTGCACTGACCAATGTTTGGTGTGTTCATCAACTTGGTTATAGTTGTCAGTGTAAATTAACTCACTGTCTGGATAGAGGGGAGAATGAAATGACTTATTCTGTGCCAAAGAGAGACAGAGTGAAAAACAGACTTCAGAAGGCTTGAAACTCAGGCCTGTTCTCTGTCTCTAACATGCTTTCATTAGCCTGTAGAAGCTTGAGAGACGCACAGACACATCTTGCAACATCTTCTGGCTTCTCGATGTGCATTTATGTGAGTGTGGGAGCCATGCGTGTGTGTATGCTGGGAGAGGAACCCCCATCTCCTCCTCCCCGGCAATGTCCCCGCTCTCTTTAGATCCTTATGAGTTGACTCAGTTCCCATGGATGGATGCTGTGTGCAGAAGCGGGCCACTGGCCCTGGGCTCCACAGCTGGCTTCAAGCTCTGATCTCTGTGTTCATTTCTCTCTGTAATCTCAGTCCCAGCAGACCTCTCATCTTCCTGGGTGATTGAGTGTAGATTCTAGTTTTATTCTTTTAACATTTTTATTTACTGATGAAGGAAAATCCTAATTTATTTTCTATTGGGAAAAAAAATATGGACCAACCCCATAAAACCAGAACATTGGCAACTACTGCCATTTTGAATCCCAGTTCTACAGAGTTTGGAGATTTATTAAATTTTTCTAGTTAAAAGAGACCTTAGAGACCTTCGAGTCCACATGAGAACAAAAGAAATATATTTTATATTGCAAAATGCACACACATCCACCCACCAACACAAACAAATATTCATACAGACACACACAACTGAAAAGTTTTTTTCTTTTTGAGATGGAGTCTCACTCTTTCACCCAGGCTGTAGTGCCGTGGTGAGATCTTGGCTCACTGCAAGCTCCGCCTCCCGGATTCAGGCCATTCTCCTGCCTCAGCCTCCCGTGTAGCTGGGACTACAGGCGCCCACCACCACACCCAGCTAATTTTGTTTTTGTATTTTTAGTGGAGACAGGGTTTCACTGTGTTAGCCAGGATGGTCTCGATCTCCTGACCTCGTGATCCACCCGCCTCAGCATCCCAAAGTGCTGGGATTATAGGCATGAGCCTCCGCACCTGGCCAATAAAAGTTTTTAATGAAATAAACTGCTTACTGTATGGGGTTTATATTGATATTTTCTATTCTATTTCATGAAAACTACTACTGGTCACTAACCAATTAAGTTGGTTTTAGAGTCACCTAATTGTGTGTCTGTGGGGTGGGCTTGCTGTGTTTAACACTTAACCTCTGCTTCAGTCCATCTCCTAATTCCTGTCTTCTTCCAATTGTAGGGGCAGGGACCAAATGGGACTTATCCACCTTATCTGTCACTGAACTGGGGCGTTATGATGACTAATGCAGAAGGAACACAAAGTAAGCTAGGAAGGCTGGCATGAAAACAGAGAAATGTAATAAGTGCCTGAGAGCAGAAACAAACCTGGTAGGCAGTAATGCAGCCTCAGGCAGGGCTGGCAAGAATGTTTTGAGTATCCTTTAGAGATCTTCAATGCTGTCAGTTTTCTACGTGTCACTGAGCTCCAATTCCCTTATCCGGGGCACAGTAGAACCTCCTCTGAGAGAAACTAATGTTGCTGACTGAAGGTCATGGCCAAAATCATGGTGTGCACACACCCCCAGGGTCACATTCTTTCTGATTCAGTGATAATTATACTAAAATAATAATAGAAATAACTGCCATCATTTCTTTCTTTCTTTTTCTTTCTTTCTTTCCTTCCTTCCTTCCTTCCTTCCTTCCTTCCTTCCTTCCTTTCTTTCCTTCTTTCGTTCTTTCTTTCTTTTTTTGAGACGGAGTCTCACTCTGTCACCCAAGCTGGAGTGCAGTGGCACAATCTCGGCTCACTGCAAGCTCCGCCTCCTGGGTTCACGCCATTCTCCTGCCTCAGCCTCCCGAGTAGCTGGGACTACAGGCACCCACCACCACACCCTGCTAATTTTTTTTTGTATTTTTAGTAGAGATGGGGTTTCACCGTGTTAGCCAGGATGGTCTCGATCTCCTGACCTCATGATCCGCCTGCCTTGGCCTCCCAAAGTGCTGGGATTACAGGTTTAACATCATTTCTTAGTGATTATTATGTACCAACATGTTATGTACATTATCTTATTTAATTTTTGTATGAATCTTATGAAGTAGGCAATATTTCACTCATATTACAAATGAAGAAATGGAGACTTGTGGCAGGGCCCGGTGGCTCACACCTGTAATCCCAGCACTTTGGGAGGCCGAGGCAGGCGGATCACCTGAGGTCAGGAGTTTGAGACCAGCCTGACTAACATGGTGAAGCCCCATCTCTACCAAAAATACAAAAATTAGCCAGGCGTGGTGGCACACACCTGTAGTCCCAGCTACTCAGGAGGCTGAAACAGGAGAATCACTTGAACCTGGGAGGCGGAGGTTGCAGTGAGTTGAGATCGTGCCATTGCACTCTAGCCTGGGAGACACAGCAAGACTCTGTCTCAAAAAAAAAAGAAAAAAAAATGGAGACTTGGAAAGATTAGATAAGTGATTTGCTGAATGTCACACAACTAGTAAGTGGCAGAGGTAGGATTTGAACTTCAGTCTGCCTCCTTTGTTGTGTCTATTCAACCGCAATACATACATTGTATTGTGTATGTATGAAAGTGTTCAGATGACCTTTAGATTTGAGGAAACACTTTCATTAGGAAGTTGTACCTCCCCTCATTGCAGAATTGCCAGTGTTTTCTGGAGATCTGCTGCCAAAATGGGTTCTTATATCCTGCTGTTCCAGAGACATGTATAGAAACCAGACTAAACACAATAACCTTTCTTTCAAAGAATGTTTTCTGAAGATAGTAGACAAAGTTTAAAAATTCTCCCAATTGAAAACACTGGTATTTCTTTCTTTCTTTTTTTTATTTAGATGGAGTCTCGCTCTGTCGCCAGGCTGGAGTGCAGTGGCGTGATCTCGGCTCACTGCAACCTCTGCCTCCCGGGTTCAAGTGATTCTCCTGCCTCAGCCTCCTGAGTAGCTGGGATTACCGGCACCTGCCACCACACCCAGCTAATTTTTGTATTTTTGGTAGAGACGGGGTTTCACCATGTTGGCCAGGATGGTCTCCATCTCCTGACCTCGTGACCCGCCTACCTCAGCCTCCCAAAGTGATGGGATTATGGGCGTGAACCACTGTGCCTGGCTACACTGGTATTTCTATGTGTGTGCTACCAGCAAAGACTAGACACAAGCTAATGTTTATAGGGGGCAAAAATCCATGTGTTATATGTATGCTTGCACTTCTATTTTCAGAAGATTCTATGGGAGAAAGTTCTTTAGTAAATCAGATCAAAATGTAAACAAAACCTAGTTTGCATGTTGGAAAATGTAAAATGGGAAATTAAAACATAATTGTGAAAGGCAGACAGACTTTTATTTACTTAGTACCATATTATAATCACAGTGATTTAGGCCACAGGCTTTACTTGAATAAAACAAAACCTTGGGATTATAAGTATAAATGTGAGTCCAATGCTTTAATTTGCTAATTATGCTTCCTGGTGATAGAGGGAGGCTTATCATCTGTGTGGGTGGGGTTTTATTATGTTATTTTATTGACATGAGAAGAAGAGGCTATAAAAATGGTGCAATATTCCCACTTAGTACACAGATTTTTTTAAGCCTGAAGTTAGTAATTATGAATAAAATTAAAATCCATTGCATATTAGTTGTAGAAAATAATATATAAACTTAATTACATCTTCTAGGTAGCAATTATTTATTCTATACTAGTCATCACTAGAGAAACAAAATACATAACAAAGAGGTATTTATGAAAAGGATAGAAGGAGAATTATAGGGCTGTAGAGCTGGGGTATAGTATCTTAAAGATGACATTGTTGTTGTTTTTTGGATAGGAAAATAGAGTCTGAGAGTGCTTAGGTAGCTTGTATAGGTCACACAATGAGCAGTGGCACAGCCCAGGGTAGAGAAGCCACGACTCCTTATTGCCCAGGCTGGCGAGTTCCTCAGTGAGTTGTTATTCAGTGCAGCAATTAGCTTGGGCAGACTCTGGACTGTAAAGCAGGAAGGGGCCTTGATAATAGCAATCGAGAGACCAAAAAGCCAACTCACAAGTCTTTCCTGAAGGAATAACAAAACATTTTTTTTCCTCAGTGTTTCGGTTTCCATGTCCTATGGCACTACATTAATATAATGTATTTAGGGAACTGAGAGGGTTTTCTTATGCAACATATCACAATAATGTCCGTCAGTCTCATGAATGAACTGTGAAAGGATCGCTGACCTCAGGACAGCTTGGCAGTAAGCACCATTAAGCAGCCAGACTTTATTCACACCAGCCTGGAGTAAAAATAAGGTTCTCTCCAAGTTAATGACCTTTTTGTGAATAAACGGAATCTCTGACAGTGATCCTCAGCACATCGTTTTCAAGACACGTGAACCACTTGTTTTTGAAATAGAGCGACATGCTGAAAGCCTCAGGGATAAATAGCACTTAAAACATAAAAACACGGCAATTCCTATTGAGCCATCCATCCCCATTGGCGTACCAGAGCCGGAACCATATGTGTGAATGGCCTACAACACGGGCATGGGGTTATGATGGATGAAATACTGAATGCGAGTGCCTCTGAAAAAAAAATCAAAGATGAGAATCCCAAGTCAATCATTGTCCTTCTAAGGAACCCGAACTTTAAAACCCCTACTACCGTTTTTTCTCTTTTCCATAAACACTGTATAATATTAGCTACCCTTTATTGAATAGCCTTCACTGTGGGCTGGATGATGTACCATGTGCACTACCCTAAATGGGTTTTGCAAAGACTCTCTGAAGAGTCCTTATTACCCCCATTTTACAGGTGAGGTTTGGAGAAGTTAAAACATTTGCTACTACATCATACAGCTCACGTATAAACCTAGGTTTGTTGGACAACAAAATCATCCTCTTTGTGACCAAATAATAGCAATAGCATTATTGCTATTATTATTATCTTCTAGGAATAATCCATTTAAAAATCAGACAAACAAGTGTTTTCCCTGACATTAGATCACCAGCTAAGTCAGTAGTGGAGGAACTGACGGACTTGGGAAACCTAATATCAATTCCAGACCTAATACACAGTTTAAAAATATTGAGAATCAGGCAGCAACCTTTATTCGGTCATTTGGATAAAAGTACTGTTATTTTATAATAAAATGTTTCTGTGCTTTTTTTATATCAGAAATATGCTTAATTATTTGGTCATTTCTGACTACCAGATGACATAGTGGCTCCTCAGCTGGTTAAGACTGATTTTCTCAAGTTTATAGCACTAGGGCTTAATTAATTTGCACATTCTGTACAGAATTTGGAGAAGAAAATTCTTAAAAGTTAATGGGCTAGTTTTATATTTAGTCAATATATCTTTAGTACAACTCTGGGCAACAACATTTCATGTTGTATAGCTTAGTGCAATAATAATAGTAAAAGAGAAGTTGTTGATGGCTATAACTAAGGTTTACATTCTGGCTTAAAGCTTTTGCTTTCTGTTTCTTTATATTAAGTCTGTTGTTAATGGATGGGAAGGATTTTGCAGGCCTGGATGAGGTTGGATGTTCAAGTAAGGACACCGGCAAAGCAGGTGACTAGAATCTGATTGAGAAGTTTGGTATTGGAGTCAGTCCTGAGTTCAGATTCTGAGTTTGCCACTTTTTAAAGCTATTTAACCTTTAACAATGTAACCCATCTGTGCTACAGTTTCCACATCTGTAAAATGGGAATCATAATACCTACATGATAAGATTGTGGCAAAAATTGAATGTCTCAGCTTGGCCCAAAGCAAGAGGGCAGTGAACGGTAGCCACTATCAGGAGGTGCTCATGTAAAAGACTTGGAATCTGGCTCCTCAAAGTGAGGACCTGCCCTGACCTGCTCCAGCTCCCGGAAAGGCAGAAAAGCCTGGCAAAGAGCCCACTGTTGTTCTTAGGCAGGCCTCCTCCCCTGCTTTGCACTGAGCTCATCACTCGGGCTGTACTCACCTGGGTCACAAGGAAATATGTAGATGGTAAGTCCCAGAGTCAAGTACAGGTATTTTCCATTTTCATAGCAACTTGTATTCTATTGGGTACACAGTGGTTGTGTGGTAAATATGTATTGATTTTATGTATAATGTGCAGGGCAGAGCTTCTTTCCCCTGGCTATGAGTTGAGAATGGTAATAGGTAGATGAGTCTGCATAATAAAAAATATGGGGCACGTGGAGAGGAAAAAAAGGAATGAGTCTTCCTAAGAGTGAGTATGAGAAATAAGATTTTCCTACAAACCCAACACTGTTATAAAAAGAACAAAAGTCAACCCAGTAAACATCTTATTACCTTAATGAACACTAATTTGATACTTGTGGAAATGCGCTTCAGATTGAGCTGTAGTGTACCGTGAGCCTCTTCAAGAGAACTATTCAAGAGAACTGTGCCGTTTTTGAGGCATTTTTATAGTAAAGCTGGGTTAATTGTGCATCATTTTTATTCATTTCTTTCTACTTGGCAACACCCAACTAAGATAATTTGAGTTAGTGGATGCAGGATATTGAGAACTTCTGAAGCTAGTTTTCTTTAAACTACTAAAAAAATTTATATTCACATAGTTTGGGGTCCTTCTGTCAAAAATGGACAGAGCCTAAAGCGTATTACTTTAACACACTACGTGTACAAGCAAAGCTACAAACACCTATGGAGTAAAGCTGGTCAACTGGGCTGAGGCCAGTCCATTTTTCAAGCTTTTATAAAGATTACTTCAGGTGACAATTTTTACTGAAAACTTGTTTTGTTTTGGTTAACAGTAGTGATAGATTTGTAGATAAACTGAAATTCAAATGCTTATTCATGCTTCAATAAAACCCCTTGATAGGTTACGAGTTTCTTCTTGAGAATAGATTTCCTTACTGTGAACTACTGAGTATTTCCTGTTTTAGGTCAGATTGTAACTACCGCGAAATGATCTATTAGAAAAATTTGGGTCCTTCTAGTGCCAGAGGAAAGAAATGCACAATTAAATACACTCAGATACAAAAAGCAACTGAAAGACAAAGGAGAAGAGAATAGAGAAGAGCCTTATGGTCCTGACATTTTATTTTTGAAGTGTAAGAAAATGACATTTGAGATTTTAATGTGGTTTTGTCTGAGCTCAATCTAAGATTTTACTTATTTCTACGTAACACGTCATCATTAGTTTCAGCTGACCTCATTGCCACATGCATAGCTGAGGGCTTGTGGAAAGAAATCACAGGGATTTCCAGAAAAGGTGACCTCACCACAGAAGCACAGGAGCAAGGAGACCGAGGAAGGCTTCAGGGCTGAGAAGTGAAGTTAATGGGATGAATTCCTGTAGAAAGCTGCAATGTGCTGTAAACAGGGCCAGACTTGCAGTGGCACCCAAGCAATGAACAAAGGCAAATGGGTTGGGAGACTGTGGTTGAGCCCTTTCCTCAGGCAAATCTCCTTTCTCAAGGCCTCAGTTTCCTTTTGACTCAATGTGGCAGTTGGACATAGCTGGATGTCTAAGTTTTCTTTCTCAATGCTGTGGTTCTGGGTGACCAGGTCAAGAGCAGACTCTATTTCTGTTACGCAAGATCAGAGCTCAGGGCCCTGCACCGTCACCTGCTGTGGCTATGAACCCTGTGTCTGCAAAGAAAAGAGATGGGTGGGGAAATTGCATAACTATGAGCAAAATTGCAGGTCAGGTCTCACCCCTGTTCAGGAAATGGAAGGGTTTCCTTTTATCTTCTTGCATAATGGTATTAGCTAAAGATGAATTTATTATAAATAATAAAACAGTCAACATCTATTGAGTGGTTATGATGGGCCAAGTGTGACACTAAGGATTTTTCATGCACTGTCTCATTTACTTCTCACAATAACCCTTTGAAGGAAGTGCTAGCATCATTCTCATTTTTATATACAGATAAAATTGGAGGCCCAGAGACAGAGAATAACCAGCCTCAGTTTCCTAGACCAATAATGGCAGAACTTGTATTCAGACCCAGTTTGACTGCAGAGCCTGGGCTATTTATTGATTTATTTTGAAGTAAGGGTTGCACTCTGTCACTGAGGTTGGAGTGCAGTGGCACCATCATGGCTCAGTGCAGCCCTGACCTCCTGGGCTCAAATGATCGTCCAGTCTCAACCTCCCATGTAGCTGGGGCCACAGACATGTGCCACCAAGCCAGGCTAATTTTTGTATTTTTTGTAGAGATGGGGTTTCGCTATGTTGCTTGGTCTCAAACTCCTGGTTTCAAGCGATCCTCCTGCCTTGGCCTCCCAAAGTGCCGAGATTACAGGTGTGAGCCACTGCGCCTGGCCTGTACCATCTTTTAAAGTCTCATGGCCCAACAGGATGCAAGTTAAATACATATTGATACAATCACCTGGTGCAATTTTATTTTTGGAAAAACAACGGATGCTTACAGGCAAATAGAAATGTTCACTGGGGTCAGGCATGGTGGCTCACGCCTGTAATGCCAGCACTTTGGGAGGCCGAGGCAGATGGATCACCCGAGGTCAGGAGTTTGAGACCAGCCTGGCCAACACGGTGAAACCCCATCTCTACCAAAAATACAAAAATTAGCCAGGAATGGTGGTGCGTGCCTGTAATCCCAGCTTCTCGGGAGGCTGAGGCAGGAGAATTGCTTGAACCTGGGAGGCGGAGGTTGCAGTGAGCCAAGATCACACCATTGCATTCCAGCCTGGGTGACAGAGCAAAACTCCATCTCAAAAAACAAAACAAAACAAAAACAAAACAAAACAAAACAAGAAATATTCATCGGATGGCAGGATTATGGGTGGTAACTCTTTTTTCTCTTCCTTGGTGTTCCGTTAATGCTGTCTGTGTAATGAGAAACAAAATAATAATTTTAAAAACCCAAGGAAATAGATTTCTTCTTTGATGTACTCCTTGTAAGAATTTGGCTTCCAGTAAGCCACGTTCTTCTGAGGAAGGGCAGAGAACTTTGAGTTACGTGTAGCAGACGCTTATTTTGCCGAGGCTTTATGTCAGAGATGGGCTAATTCATGTTTCTCAACAGCCCCGGTGTGCCAGGCTTTGTATGTATAAGAAAAGGGGATGCAGTGTTTGGATTACTCTGCCTCGGTTACTCCTTGTGTAAGCAGTATGGATATTTCTGACTGTCCTTTTGATTCTAGTTGAAGCTGCTTGCCACAGGCATCTCTTAGTAGATTGCTTTGTGATTTATGCAGGTCTAAAGGAGACCAAGGATCATTTATCTTCAAACCAGGAGAGATGAAAGCGGCTCGGTAGTAAAATTTCCTGTGGAGTTAGATGAGAGCATCAAAGGGAAAAAAATGTCATTGTTTCATGAAAACTAGGAAACGTGAGTCAGTTTCTAATGTCGCAGATAGATATTTTCCTGTGAAGAGTTCATGTTTTTGAAAAATCTCCACTAAAGGATAAAAACAACTGAAGCAGTGAATGGGTGTGATTGAAACGCTACCGCCACAAAACATGGCCTTTTCCCGGAGGTTAAGATGAAAATAAAGGATAAAGTGGTGAAAATCTTAAGCTGCCTTAAGCCATTTGTAATTATTTTTCCCATGATTAAATCTAATTTTCTGCTGTTACTTAAATATTTGAACATTATTCTTCTTATTCTTTCTTCGAGGAAAAGAATTCCTCAAAATGGATGCTTCTCCAGCCTGGATATCTTTTGTTTGTTCACATTCCTCATACTCCCCGGCTTTGTATTCATTGACAGCCTCTGTAAAAATGATTCTTCCCCAACTGTTTGATGCTCTGCGCTAATTTGTACCATGGTTACTGTGTTTGGTATGTTGTAAGAGCCCTATTCTTTTTAAATGTGTTCCACAGATTTAGAGATATTTAAAACACTGTGATGCCCGGAGGAAAAAAAAATGTTGTAATCAAGCCATTTGTCACTGTGCATAGGAATATAAGATTTCCACCAGACAGAAAAGATATTATGGGTTTCTCTCTGGCTACTGTACATGCCATAAGTAAAACAATGATGCATGAAGTTGAACTGACTGCCAAAAATAGATCAGGAAGAAAAATTTCTCCCATGACAACTGGCTGTGATCCTAGGGATTTTCCCTTTCACTCTGAAATCTTGAATAGGACTTTATCTTTTCTCTCACTTTCCTTTTCTTTCTTTCCTTTCCTCTCCCTCCTTCACTCCCTCCTTCCTTTCCTCCCTCCCTTTCTTTCCCCTCCCTCCCTCCCTCCCTCCCTTCCTTCCTTCCTTCCTTCCTTCCTTCCTTCCTTCCTCTTTTTTCTCTCTATAAACATACTGTGATTTTGCCTTGAAATTCTCAGCGCAGTAGTAGCAAACAGAAGTGTGGCACTGATCAAGTTAGTTTGAATGCAGAGCCACTGCAGTGGCTTTCTAGTGGAAACATGTTCTCCTCACTCCTAGTTCTCAGACCTTCATTCCTGACTCAGAAGAGCCTGGTAAGCCTGGGGTGATGTCATTTTCAGTCCTGAGGTAATGCTATTATTCAAGACATATTATTAAGCAATTGGATAGAGAAAGGAGTTCCTTTGAATGAATATACTTTATGCAGAAATATGATTCCTCCACAATCAGAGGCCCACACCTAAACCCAGACATTAAGAACAACAAAAGAACATCACCACCATCACCCCCAAAAACTCAGACAAAAAATTTAAAATTCCTCAGAGCATCAATACTGTGCCACTTGAACTGTGTAGTCCACACAACTATCACTTATAAATATCTGGAGAGTCTAAAAGTTGAAACCATCTGGCATTGTGCAACCGACAGTGGACATGTTGGAGTCTGGGGGTAGTATAGTGTATGGGTGCCGGCAAGCAAGAGAACTGGTATAGAATCTGAATTTTAACACTTAGCATATGTTAACTTTGGGCAGGTTACTCAGCTTTTTCCAGTTTCAAGCTCCTCATCTGTAAAACCCTTCATCCCTTTTCTGAAGCCATAAGGGAGTTATAATTAGCACGCCTCCATTGGCTCTGTTTTCCTGCTATTAATCTTTCTTAACATTTATACCTTGTCTTCTCGTTAAGATGGCGGGAGCCTGTGGCTTTGTGCACTCAAAGTCTCTATCATGGTTCTTTTTTCCGAGATTCACAGCATGAAAGCAGTAGATGAGAGAGAATGGTTTTCAGGAGTTTTCAATTGGGTTTGAAACCTGTCAAACTGGTTAAAAATTGCATGTTATTTGTACAGCACCCACTTATTTTATCAGTTGATTAATGAGGTGCTAGAGTAATGTGTTGCTTGTCTCCAATGTCTTAGAATTTGGTATGTAGTACATTTGATGTATAACTGATATGTTATAGTTTTATTTATTTATTTATTTTCTTTTTTTGTGCGCAATAGATTTCTTGAATTTATTTTTCCTATTTAACCAAAATTTTCTCTCTCCCTTCCTTCCTTCCTTCCTTCCTTCCTTCCTTCCTTCCTTCCTTCCTTCCTCTCTTCCTCTCTCTCTCTCTTTCTCTTTCTCTCTCTCTTTCTTTCTTTCCTTCTTTCTTTTATTATTATGATACTTTAAGTTCTAGGGTACATGTGCACAGCGTGTATTTATTTATTTATTTTGAGACAGAGTCTTGCTCTGTTGCCCAGGCTGGAGTGTAGTAGTGTGATCTTGGCTCACTGCAACCTCTGCCTCCTGGGTTCAAGCGATTATCCTGTCTCAGCCTCCAGCCTCCTGGGTTCAAGTGATTCTCCTGCCTCAGCCTCCTGAGTAGCTGACATACAGGTGTGCGTCACCACGCCTGGCTAATTTTTGTATTTTTAGTAGAGATGAGTTTTCACCATGTTGGCTAGGCTGGTCTTGAACTCCTGGGCTCAAGTGATACACCCGCCTTGGTCTCCCAAAGTGCTGGGATTGCCTGGCCGATATGTTATAGTTTGTTTTTTTTTTTTTTGAGATGGAGTCTCACTCTGTCACCCAGGCTGGAGTGCAGTGGCACGATCTTGGCTTACTGCAACCTCCGCCTCCTGGGTTCAAGCAATTCTCCTGCCTCAGCCTCCAGAGTAGCTGGGACTATTGGCGTGCACCACCACGCCTGGCTAATTTTTGTATTTTTAGTAGAGACGGGGTTTCACCATATTGGCCAGGATGTTCTTGATCTCTTGACCTCGTGATTTGCCCGCCTTGGCCTCCCAAAGTGCTGGGATTACAGGCATGAGCCACTGCAGCTGGCAGTTACAGTTTTAAAAGGTTAAAAATTATATGTAGAAAGAGAAGCCATAATCCAGTGTTTCTGGAGGACAAAGTGTATCTTTTTTGAAATACCGATTGAGATCTACAAATCCAGATCAACCCCACTTACAGATGAGGAAACTGAGATTCAAAGAATGATTTGAAAAAAGACATTTGGTTGATCAACTGTGGGGGACATGTACACATGCTGCCCAGATAGCCTTTCAAGGAAGGACTTTGAGTTCAGCTGCGGGGAGCGGAGGCAGCCCCACTGCCAGCTGTCAGCATCTTCAGGCTCTGTCCCAGCAGGAGAGTTGCTGTGACTGAGGTATCGCCCTTCCTAAGGGAGCCAGCATCTGTGGACCAGATGAGCCATGGGTGAAAAGGCCTGGCCACGGGGCCCACTGTGGGACAGTTTGATGGAATAGAGTTTTGAGTTTGATGGGTAATACTTGTTCCAGTGCTCCCTAAATTCTACCGGATATTTTGTCCGGCTTGCACTGCAGCCATCTTCCTTCCTCTTTCTTCCCTTCATGGGTGTTGATTCTTAATGAACTTCCTGACCCTCAGCTCTGTCTCAGTGCCTGCCTCCAGGGAAACCCACCTATGTCATTAATTGATTGAAATTACACAGTATATTGGCATTTCAGGAAATTGAGATAATTATCTTTAAATTTAATTATCTTTAAATTAACACATTTTATAAATATGAATAAAAAGTCTTCATATCATCAAATATAAAGGGTTGAAAAAGGAATATTTCTTGCCATAAATATAAAATAATCATAAAATAGGCCAGGTGTGGTGGCTCACACCTATAATCCCAGTACTTTGGGAGGCTGAGGTGGGCGGATCAATTGAGGTCAGGAGTTTGAGACCAGCCTGACCAATGTGGTGAAGCACCATCTGGACTAAAAAAAAAAAACAAAAATTAGCCAGGTGTGGTGGCGTGTGCCTGTAATCCCAGCCACTCAGGAGGCTGAGGCAGGAGAATCACTTGAACCCAGGAGGCTGGAGGCTGAGGCAGGAGAATCGCTTGAACCCAGGAGGCAGAGGTTGCAGTGAGCCAAGATCACAACACTGCACTCAAGCCTGGGTGACAGAGTGAGACTCTGTCTCAAAAAAAAAAAAAAAAAATCATTAAATAAATTCAAATAATA